>NC_000003.12:3760000-5010000 GCF_000001405.40 Homo sapiens | reverse complement strand
CTGCTCTCCCTGGACCACAGTGGCTCTCTTTGCGTCCAAGAGAACAATCTTCCCCCAGATTGCTGGCCAAGTCGCGACTGCGTGTTAGGGATCCCACAGCCAAGTTGTGGTTTTATGACAGAGTTTGGAACCATATGTGGTTCACGTTCACTCAGTCCGGAGACTTGGGGAATCTCTTATAAATGTTCTCAGCAAAGGCACAGTGGCTGCCCACATCCTGGGACACCCAGAAAACTGGGGAAGATGAGACCTCTGGCTTCCACAAGACAGCCAAGCGCCTGGGAGTGGCCCCTCTGCACTGGCCTCCCTCAGGCCCAGCACACGCTGCTCCTGCCTGTCCCCAGAGTCCCTGGGGAGTTTGACTTCTCTTCCCAGACCCCTCTGAAACAAGGAGACCTTGCCATGTACAGCCTTCCCTGTCCTCAGACGAGTGGAATCACCTGACCACTGTCCTGTATTAGACTGAACTATAGTCATTCATTGAGTCAATAATTATTTATTCAATTATTATTTATTGAGCACCAGCTATATGTACAGCCTTCCCTGTCCTCAAATAAGTAGAATAACCTGTCTAATGGCCTGTATTATATTGAGCTATAGTCATTCATTTATTCAATAATAATTTATTGAGCACCAACTATATGCACTAGGATTCTAGCATATAGCAGACAGATGGCCTATATAACATGTACACCATATAAAAGACACAGTCCCCATATTCCAGGAGCTTCTAATTTCCTAGAGGAGAAAGGCAATAATCAATAATTAATACTATTAATCATTTCATTATAATTCTGACAAATGCTTTAGAGAAGTACAGGCACTATGGGGGCATCAGGAATGTGATCTGATTGGGTGAGAAGGAAGGGAGTGGAGAGCCTTCAAAGAAGGCTTCTTGAGCCTTGGCAACACAGTGAGACCCCAACTCTACCAAAAAAAAAAAGCCAGGCATGGTGCCCTGTTTCTATCGTCCTAGCTACTTGAGAGGCTGAGATAGGAGGATCTCTTGGGCAAAGGTTGAGGATGCAGTGATCTGTGACCGCGCCACTGCACTCTAGCCTGGGCAACAATGTGACACTCTGTCTCAAAACAAAACAAAATCAACAAAGGCCTCTTGGAGAGAATAATATCTAAATTGAGATCTGAACATTTGAGGCATTAGCCAGCCAATCGGAGAAAAGGGGGTTATTCCAGAGAGAGGAAACAGCATATGCAAAGATCAGATGGACCATGGCTCCTTCAAGGAAGTGAAGCTATACCGTGTGTACTGTGTGGTATGAGGAGTATGAGAGGGAAGGAGATGCTAGAGATGGCAGAGAAGGAGCTGGGGGCAGTTCGCAAAGGAGCTTGAAGGCCAAGTTAAGGATGATGGAGTGCTCACGAGGTAATAGGTGTGTGTGCAGGGGCGAGTAACTTATACCTAAAATGAGTGCTTTTGTTGGTGGGAGCTGACTGGGTCAGAACAAGGTAATGTGAATGCTGCAGGGGCTAGGCCAGCCCACACAGCACATTTGTAAGAATTAGGAAAAGGTGCCCCTCTGGGAAGATGCAGCCCCATAGGCCCATGCTTAGGAAAGGGACCTGACCTGAATTTCACCCCCTCTATGCCCGAGCCAGCACCCTCGTGCAGTGAACAACCTACACAACTGTATACAATGGCCACAGATGCCAGGGAACAGTCAGAAGGGTGTAGCGACATTTGTTGACAAATCTGTCTCCTCCATCTTAAGCACCTTGAGTTCTGAGTTCTGGAGCTGCATATCCATGTTTGTAACCTCAGTACACATAGGAGATGCTCCTAATATTTGTCGAATGGATTGTTCTTTGGCTACTTGTTTTTTCTTCAGACTTTCTGTCTTCTTGTCCTTCTAAATTCATAACGGCTTCCTCTTAATGCACTCCTGCTAGCGTTAGAAAGCACTGTGTTGGCTAGCTTGCCTTTTTTTTTTTTTAGACAGGGTCTCGCTCTGTCACCCAGGCTTGAAGTGCAGTGGTGCGATCTCTGCTCACTGCAGCCTCCGCCTCCCAGGTTCAAGTGATTCTTGTGCCTCAGCCTCCTGAGTAGCTGGGACCACAGGCATACACCACCAAGCCCAGCTAACTTTTATATTTTTAGTAGAGATGGTGTTTTGCCATGTTGCCCAGGCTGGTCTTGAACTCCTGGCCTCAAGCAATCCACCCACCTTGGCTTCACAAAATGCTGGGATTACAGGCGTGAGCTACCACGTCTGGCCCACTTTGACTTTTTAATCCTAACATCTTACCCTCTGTCCATTCAACAGAAACTTGGCTATGGCCACACAGCTAGGAAGGCGGGCAGGCAGTGCTGGGCAGGAAACTGTCAAGCCCTGGGGTTGTGGTCCAGGCTGGATCCCCTACCTTCTGGTAGGGATTCTTGTGGCTTAATCTCTGTACTTTGGATCCTAGAATGTCAGAGCCGAAAGGAACCTTTTGGGGCCCCATTTTACAAATGGGGCAACTGAGGCACAGAGAAGGGCTGGAAATTACTAGAAGCCACTGAGTAAGAGCCAGAGCAGAACTGGAAACTAGGTCCCTTGACATGTTTAGAAGAAGTAGCTAGCTAGATATCAGGAGTGGAAATTAGAAGAGAAAGACCAAGGAGGAGAAATGGCTCTCTGAGGAGGGTGTCTGACTGTGATGGCTGTTAGTGGGGCTACGAGGGATTAGAGAAGACTTGAGGAGGAGTCCCTTAGATCACTGGTTCAAAAGGGAAGAGAGGGTTAAGAAAACAGGACTTTGCCAAGGAGTGGACAGCCCTCTAAACTGGAATCCATTTGGATCCAGCCTGGCCATAGATCTCCAGATGCTAAACAGAATTTCTTGTTCTGGGCCTGGTCAGTTTGGAAGTCCTTGGTCAGTAGCATTTGGCTGGCAGCGAGCCGCCAGATGGCCTGCTCTGTGAGCACTTGCTGAAATCAGAGGCAAGGCTTGGTTCCCCTTCCCGGGAGCCTGCACTCCAGGTACCTCTGTGAGGCCCCACTCCAGTTCTCTGTCAGCATCTGCTCGGGGCTTTCCTCTTTCTAGGTCTTCTTCACAGCTCCTCCTATGTCACATTGCCTCGGGTCCCACCAGCACTGCCCTAAGCTGGAAAATCCCTCCGAGCCCAAGCAGCCCGTGACCATAGAGGCAGGAAACTATGACACTAGAGGCACACAGGGTGTGAGGTTTATTCTTGGTATGTGGTTGGGAAAGGCGGGGTTGAATGGCGGTGGGGTGGGATGGGATCCTCAAGAGAGATAGAGAAATCCAAAAAGAAGGAACCCCTTTGAGAATATCAGAGTAGTTTTCTTTTCTTTTGTTTTCTTTTCTTTTCCTTTTTTTTTTTTTTGAGACAGGGTCTCACTCTGTCACCCAGGCTGGAGTGCAGTGACATGATCTTGGTTCACTGCAATCTCTGCTATCCGGGGTCAAGCGATTCTCCTGCCTCAGCCTCCTGAGTAGCTGGAACTACAGGTGCACACCACTGCACCCGGCTAATTTTTGTATTTTTTGTGGAGTCGGGGTTTCACCATGTCGCCAAGGCTGGTCTCGAACTCCTGGCCTCAAGTAATCTGCCCACCTCAGCCTCCCAAGTTGCTGGGATTACAGGCATGAGCCACTGCACCCTGCCTCAGAGTAGTTTTCTTTCCCAGCGTGTTCCCTTTGCTTCAAGCCTCTGGGATTGTCTCTCTTCCTTGGGGTAGCCTCTGGGTGTGCGGGGAGCAGGGGAGCATTTTAGGATCAAGGGTTCAGCTCCTCAATCAGGGTCTCCAACCTATAGAGTTTAGCAGTAGCAATCGTAGTAACATAGGGAATATTGAAATTAACTGATCACTTTCTAGATGCCAGGTTTTATGTACCTAGTACAGTGCCTGGAACACAGTAAGTCCTCAATATATGGTAACGTGATTGTATGATTGTAATCCACCTTAGGAAGTGGCATGGGGCCAGGCATGCCTGTAATCCCAGCCCTTTGGGAGGCTGAGGCAGGCAGATCACTTGAGGTCAGGCATTCGAGACCAACCTGGCCAACATGGTGAAACCCCGTCTCCACTAAAAATACAAAAATTAACTGGGCATGGTGGTGGGTGCCTGTAATCCCAGCTACCTGGGAGGCTGAGGCAGAAGAATCTCTTGAGCCCGGGAAGTGGAGGTTGCAGTGAGCCGAGATGATGCCATTGCACGCCAGCCTGGGCGACAGAGTGAGACTCTGTCTCAAAAAAAAAAAAAAAAAAAAAGAAGAGGCATGAATCCCAATCCCATTTTAGAGATGGGGAAACAGATTCAAAGACCACAAGTCATTTTTCCAACATGGTACAGCTGGCTATTCATTCGCTCACTGATTCAATAAGTATTCATGGAGTCCTTGCTGTGTGGCAGCCACTGCTGTAGATGACAGAAATGGAGCCCTGCACGTGGCCCCCGCCGTCAGGGTTCATCTGTGTGTGTTCTACTGAAGGGAGTCAGGTGATGAACACACAGCAAGTCAATAAGGAAGGGAATTGCAGATTGGAATAGAAAACAGGCATTGCAGGGAGATGTGGAAGAAGTGAGAACATGACAGTGCTTTAGAAAGGAAGAGAAGGGAAGCCTTTTTAAAAATCTTTATTTTTTGTAGAGATGGGATCTCTCTGTGTTTCCCAGGCTGGTCTCAAACTCCTGGGCTCAAGTGATCCTCCTACCTCGGCTTCCCAAAGTGCTGAGATTATAGTCATGAGCCACCATGCCCAGCCAAGGGAAGGCTTTTTAAGGGAGGTGACACTGAAGCTAGGATTTGATGAGTGTGAAGGAGCTGGGGAAAGGTCGTTTACAGCAGGGGCAACACCAACAGCAAAGGCCTTGTGTGGGGAGAGAACTTGGTTGGTTTTCAGGAGGTTCAGGGAGGCCAGTGGGAGTGAGGTGAGCAGGCAGGAGCATGGGAGGGAGGGAGATGAGGCAACCGGTGGGACAGGGACACACCAGCCTTTGGGGCCACGGGAAGAGCTGGGGCTGTCAGTGGCAGAGGCTGCCACGCTGGAGTTTAATCCCTCACTTCGGACCTCCATGGCCAGCCTGGGCTCTGCCCCTTTGGTCCCAGTCCTGACTCTGAGCTGGGCTTCAGCAGGTGTGACTCCCCTACGTCCCTGCCGGCCACAGCCCCCTCCACTCACAGTGTGTCATAGGACAGGCAGGGCCACTCCTGTTTCCCAGCTCAGAGCCTGTCGAGGCCTGCAGATTCCCCACTGAGCAACAGAAACAACCCCCTCCTGATGGGACAGTCAGCCCTAAAGGAGGGAGCAGCTGTCCAAACCCCAAACACCTCCCTACCAGCTACCTGCGAGGCTTCTGGGCCTTCTCCCTTCCTCCACCCACCCTTCTCTCACACGTCAGCTGACCTGGGTTCAAATCCTGCCTGTACCTCCCATAAACAGTAGGGCAGTGAGCAAACTGGGTTTTATTTTGTTTGGTTTGGTTTGGTAGAGATGGGGTCTTGCTATGTTGCCCAGGCTGCTCTCGAACTCCTGGGGTCAAGCAATCCTCCCACCTCGGCCTCCCAAAGTGCTGAGATTACAGGCGTGAGTCACTGTGCCCAGCCTGAGCAAGTCATTTAGTCCTTCACCTGTGAGGTGGGATAATACCTATGTGCTCTCACAGGGCTGTCAGTGAACATTAAATATGATAAGAATAATATCAGTTAGCATTGAGAGTCTACTCTGGGCCAGGTATGTGCCACTTGCCCTACACACTTTAACTCACTTTCTCCTCATAACAACAATGTGGGGGAGTATTGTGATCAGAGCCAGCTTCATGGGCATGTGGCCTATGCAGTCACAGAGGGCCACCCCACACTTAGAAGGGCCCCACGTTTGGTTTAATTCTCCATCATTGCTCTCTTGAAATTCTTTTTTTTTTTTTTTTTTGAGATAGAGTTTTGCTCTTGTTGCCCAGGCTGGAGTGCAATGGCATGATCTCAACTCACCACAACCTCCACCTCCTGGGTTCAAAGCGATTCTCCTACCTCAGCCTCCCGAGTAGCCGAGATTACAGGCATGCGCCACCATGCCCAGCTAATTTTGTATTTTTAGTAGAAATGGGTTTTTTCCATGTTGGCAGGCTGGTCTCAAACTCCCAACCTCAGGTAATCCACCTGCCTCAGCCTCCCAAAGTCCTGGGATTACAGGTGTGAGCCACTGAGCCCGGCCGAAATTCTTAATAATTTTCTTTTTTTTTTTTTTTTTTTTTTGAGACGGAGTCTCACTCTGTTGCCCAGGCTGGAATGAAGTGGCACTATCTTGGCTCCTGCAACCTCCATCTCCCGGGTTCAAGCGATTCTCCTGCCCTAGCCTCCCAAGTAGCTGGGACTACAGGTGCATGCCACCATGCCCGGCTAATTTTTGTATTTTTAGTAGAGACGGGGTT
The DNA here is from genome assembly GCF_000001405.40 of Homo sapiens. Lineage (NCBI taxonomy): Eukaryota > Metazoa > Chordata > Mammalia > Primates > Hominidae > Homo > Homo sapiens. The sequence goes on along the minus strand of NC_000003.12, from coordinate 5,003,601 downwards.
TCACCATGTTGGCCAGGCTAGTCTCAAACTCCTGACCTTGTGATCCACCCGCCTCGGCCTCCCAAAGTGCTGGGATTACAGGCGTAAGCCACCGTGCCTAGCCCGAAATTCTTAATTTTTAAAACAAGGGCCCTGCATTTTCATTTGCGCTGGGTCCCACAAATTACATAACTGGTCCTGATTACTGCATTAGCATCTACTCTTGGCCAGGTGCTGTTTAAGGCACTGTAGAGACAGGAGTGAACAAAAGAGAATTCCCTACGCTTGTGGAATTTACTTTGCATTACTTCCCAGATGAGGAAACTAAGGTTCAGAGAAGGTAAGTTACCTGCTCAAAGTCACGCAGTAAGTGGGTGTCCAAGTTCCAACTCAGAGCTCTTAACCATGATACAATTCCCCTCTTCTGACTGAGGCTGTAAAGTATTTAATACGACTTCAAGCAAAGAAATAGCAAATAGCGTTCTACATGCTTTAAATGGGTTAACTCATTTAATCACAACTGCCCCATTTTAGAGATGAGAACATGGAGGCTCAGAGAGGTTAGGTACCTTGCCCAGAGTCACACTGCTGTGAAGAAGCAGAGCGGAGACTGGGAACCCAGGTGTCTTGCTCAGAACTACGTTCCTAGCCACACCAGCATGTTGCCTTCTGAAGGAATCATTCAGAAAATGGTGGCTTTTGCAATTCGTTTTAATCCCCGTCATTTTCATTTTTGTCATTTTTGTCTTGTGTCTGGAGCCCCCACGCACAAGGCCTGACCCGAATTAATATGTACGCGATAAAAGGATTAACAAATGAATGAGCAGACTGAGGCATAAACCTGTGTGGTAACGGCTACAGTTGCCCCCACCACCACTACCACAACCACCCAAAATCTGACATGACTTATCACCAGGGCCTGACACCCAGCTTCTCTGTCTTGCCTTAAGCCAGTGATGAAATCTGTCATCGCTCAGGATGTAGAAAACAGGGTCGCGTCTTCCAGTAAACAGGCCAGGGCTGGAAGGTAGGGGGTGGGGAGGGGTGCCGTGTGGAGGAGTCGTTCACAGCGATTGTTATCAATGAGTAACAAGCTTTCCTTTTCCTCCCGAGGTGATGACAGGGCTCGTGACAGGGCTTGTAGATGTCTCCCTCCCCTAAAGGCTGTCACTCTTTAGAGGGTCTCATCCTCCATGCTTGGGCTGACTTGGGGAATTTATCAGTCAGGCAGGCCTTAAGTGCCAGGTGATTTCTGGGGCTCTGGGAGAGACCCTTGGACAGAATAGCACCTCCCATTATCCTCACTGATGTCTGACACCCCTATTCATTCATTCATTAGTCAACGAATCGTTATTGCGTGCCTACTATGTGTCAGACACTCTTCTAGGAACTGAAGATATAGCAGAGAATGAAACAGATAAAAATCTCTTGCCTCAGGGAGCTCATATTCCAGTCCAAGGCACTTCCACTGGGAATTCTTTTGATTACATGGTAGACATTGGGAACTTTATCTTGCTGAGCATTGGATATGTTTGTACTCTTCTAAAAGCCATTGAACTTTGTCTAGGACACAGTTAAGGTTCTTTTTAATTGTTTCAGATGGGAGGGTAAATCTGGTACCTGTTACTCTATTTGGCCAGAATCCAAAGTTCCCTTCCACAGGTTTTTTTTTCTTATAAGAAAGTCTTTAGGCCTGGGAGAGGCAAGACTTGAAATATCATCTGTTACTTATACCTTTTTGTGAATGAGTTTATAACAGCCGTTTTGAGGCACTGTGGTAATAGGTAACAGGAAATGAAGACCTGGACCTGGAAGACACCGAAATAATATCTACGGATTAGGAAATTAAATATTCACATAGCCATTATTTCATTTGAATTCATCTCATTCTTGGAAATAGTCAAGCAAGAAAAGTGCTTCAATTTCCATTTTATGGCTGAGGAAAGTGAAGCTTGGAGAGCTTCACTGGCTCAAAGCCACACAGCTAATTAACACCCAGAGGCACTGACCTTTTTAGAGATAGGGGGTCTCACTTTGTCACCCAAGCTGCATGTGCAGTGGCATGATCATGGCTCACTGCAGCCTTGACATCCTGGGCTCACTTGATCCTCCCACCTCAGCCTCCCAAAGTACTGGGATTACAGGTGTGAAGCACCACGCCCCACAGAGCCTACTGACATTTACCCTAGAGTGTGTTCTAACACATCTTGGGGCAGGGATCACCATATGGAGAGAGCAGAGGGCACCTATGATTCCAAATACTTGTGCTGACTTTGTTGTTTGGCACACCGCTGCACTTGCCCCTTCTGCTTTGGGCCTGTCTGAGGAAAAGCATCAGCTTCCTGGGGACACAAGTCAGTACTGCTTGTTCATGTGCCCTGAGCAGCAGCTACAGGTTAGGAAGACACACAGGCACAATCTGAAGAGACTGCGAATTCCACGAGGGCAGGGACTGCATCTATTTGGGTCCCCACTGGGACCTCAGCACCTAAAACAGTACCTGAGCCCTAGTAAGTTATCAAGGAATATTTGCTGAGCAACGATAACAACAAAACACATGAATAAATGAATCTGAGGGGTAAGCTGACGAAAAGGAATACCTACCTCAGTTGCTTCAGCTATAAAATGGGAGACAATAATCTTTGCCTTTTAATGTTATTTTGATTTCACTGAAGGCAGGGGTTTTTGTCTGTTTTATTTATGCCTTCCTATATCCCCAGCTTCTAAAACAGGGCCTGTCACATAGTAGGTACTTAATACATGTTTGCTGGATAAACAGATGCAAGCAAAACATCTAGGTTTTTGTGAACATGTGTGTCTAAAAAGGACCTAACATAGTACTGTGGTTAAGGGCAAGGAACTTGAAGTCAGGCCTGGGTTGGACTCCTGGCTCTGACACTTACTAGCTGTGTGACCTTGAGAAGGTCTCTGAGCCTCTGTTTCCCTGGGGCATATAATAAGGAGAGTCATCATCTCTATACTAGGGTATCCTGAGGATTAAACAAGGTCATGTATATAAAGTGCTTAGCATAATTCCAGCAGCAAATAAAATGCTCCAAACTTATTAAAGTTCTAATGTGTCTAGGGGCAGGGTGCAGCAGCTCACACCTGTGATCCCAACACTTTGGAAGGCTGAGGCAGGAGGATTGCTTGAGCCCAGGAATTTGAGATCACCCTGGCCAATATAGTGAGACCTCATCTCTTTTTAATAAAGAAAGAAATTTTTATATAAAAAATAATACGTCTAGGAGTGAGGATGCATTTTTATGGGGCATTTTTCTCCCTTAAGGACTTTTATCCCTAGGACTCCCCAAAAGATCCCAGAATTTGTTCTCCTAAAAGATGAAGATGTATGGAAAATAAATACCAATCAAATCTCCCATTGGCAACTAAGATCCCCCTTGAGCCTGCAGGCAGTGCTCCATCCTACCCTGCACCTGCCTGAACTTGATGCAGCCAGATTCACTGGGGGGGCATGAAGCTCTGCTCAGCTGCCCTGGTCTTCGGCAGCCCTTTCAAGTTGGGATGTGTCTTTTCTTGTCTTGTGGTTGGCCTGGCCTCAAAGCTAACATGCAGCCCGTCCCTGCCCCAGGGTGAAATGGGTGCTCTCAAGATCTTCAGTGGAGATAGTAAAATCTAGCCCTCCAGCAAAAGCAGGTAAAGAGCATTCTCCTAGCTTTGTCATCTGCCCCGAGGCCTGTCCACCTGCATCCTTGGCTCTGTTCCAAGCCTGGATCTTGGCCAACTCAGATCCCAGACTTTTGGTCCCTCTGGCCTCAACTCTTTGGGCCTGTGGATGCCATAAGCACGTGTCAATTTTTGCCTTGGAAACTTGGTCATTATCAAGGGAAGATTCTGTGGCTTTGCAAAGAACACCCCACGAGGCTGACCTTCCTGTGGACTGCAGGGGATGAGGGGAGAGCAGTTTAGGAGAGTGATTAGACAGGCCTTTGACACCCTAACACAGAGAGGGCAGGAAGATTCAAAGATAAGTAGGCAGGGTGTGGAGCACAGAGAAAGCTCTCAGTTCACGAAAGCAATTATTATGTTGATTTGAGTATATGGATATTCCAGAACTAAATGTGCATATCTTTTTTCACATTCAAAAGTCCCACACAGATTTAAGGCTCACGGCATCCTACTTCCTTGGAGAATTTTCTGGAGCTTAAATTTCTCCAGGCTTCACAACCCTGTAGCTCTCTCCGGTGAAAGCTCTCCTGAAATATATGTGTATGTGTAGTCCTGTAGCTAGCAGATGTGCTTTCATTCATTCATTCAATCATTTGAAGATAGGCAATACAGTCTAAGGTCAGGAACGCACTTGAGGCCAGAAGGCTGGAGGTCCCTCTGACATTTACTAGCTGTGTGAGCTCAGAGAAGTTACTCAGCTGTAGCCCTCTCATCTCTAAAATGGGCATGACAGGCTGGAGGCAGTGGCTCATGCCTATAATCCCAGCACTTTGGGAGGGCGAGATGAGATGATCACTTGAGCCCAGGAGTTTGAGACCAGTCCTGGTAACATACTGAATCCTGTCTCTACAAAAAATAGAAAATAAAAAATTAGCCAGGCAGTTCCAGCCACTCGGGAGGCTGAGGTGAGAGGATTGCTTGAGCCCAGGAATTTGAGGCTGCAGTGAGCTATGATCATGCCACTGCACTCCAGCCTGGGTGACAGAGTGAGACCCTGTCTCAATCAATCAATCAGTCAGGCATAATAGTGCCAACCTTACAAGGCTGGGTGAGGGTTACCTCAGTGAATACCCACGAATCACTTAAAATAGTGCCTGGCACATAGTGACCACTCAGTAACTAAGATATTGTTCTTATTCTTTTTCAGCAAACATATCTTAAGCACCTAACTTATGCCTGACATTGTGTGTATAGTGATTTCTGGGCTTATAGAGATAAAAGGTTGTGTTTGCCTTCCTGAATTCACACTTCAGGCTCTGCACAAACCTTTGATAATTTCTCTTCTTTTTTTGTAGGGAAATGTTCACTGATGAATTCATGAATGAAGGATGATTACTTTTTCCCCTGATCAGGGCTTGGGCTGCTGTTTCACGTGTACCATCTTAAGGACTGTGACACCCAAAAAAGGCTCTGCCACTTAGATACAAAGGCATTTCTCCTCCTCTGAGCCTCAGTTTCCTCAACTGTAAGACTAGGGTGGGGGAGATTTAATTCCTGACTTGCAGGGTTTGCAAAGTGAAACAAATGCCGCCAGGCTCACAGAGGCATGGTGAAGACTCAGGCGCCTCCGGTACTATAAAGAGTGAAGATGGCCTTCGGCTCCATGAAGGGTTTCCTAAGAGGGCAGGGACAGCTCCTTGGTCCCTGACACAATAGCACACACTAGGGCCAAGAGCAGGGTCTCATCACCTCACTCACAAACAGTGGCTGAGGTTGACACGGGGGATCCCTGTGTGAATCAGAACTCCTAGGACTCTAGGTGACAGAAACTCCTCTCCAACTAGCCTAGGGGAAACTGATAAATGCAGGGTGAAGAATGTGCGGGTAGGGTATCTCCAGTAAGCCCAGGGGAAACGCGGAGATGCAGCAGGGCCAGGGCAGCCAAGGGGCTCGCTCGCACTCTCTCTCTCTCTCTCTCCCTCTCCCCTCCCACCTTCCTTCCCTCCCTCCCTCCCTCTCTCTCTCTCTCTCCTTCCCTCTTGTCTTCTCTGGGCAGCCTGTCAGCTCCATTCCCTCAAGTCAGCCCCCTCTATGTAGCAGCAAACATAGCCACCAAGAGAGAAACTGCATTTTCTTCCTTAGCTCCTGACCAAAAAATCCAGGGAAAGATTCTGATTGGCCCAGCTTAGGTCACGTGTTAACCCCCACCCATCCCCAGACCTATTAATTATGGAGTGGTGGGGCGGGTGGAGATGTACAGCATCGAAATTGTATCTGGGGCCGGGCGCAGTGGCTCAAGCCTGTAATCCCAGCACTTTGGGAGGCCGGGGCAGGCGGATCACGAGTTCAGGAGATCGAGACCAGCCTGGCTAACACTGTGAAACCCCGTCTCTACTTAAAAAAAAAAAAAAAAAATTAGCCTGGCGTGGTGGCGGGCGCCTGTAGTCCCAGCTACTCGGGAGGCTGAGGCAGGAGAATGGCGTGAACCCGGGAGGCGGAGCTTGCAGTGAGCCGAGATCGCGCCACCGCCCTCCAGCCTGGGGGACAGAGTGAGACTCTGTCTCAAAAAAAAAAAAAAAAAAAAAACAACGAGAAATTGTATCTGGGGTCCCACTAGACTTCGAGACCCCCCATGAGGGAAGCCACCACTTTAGCCCTTCAGAATGTCTGACATTGTCCACTTCACACACTTAGCACTTCCATTGTGCACTGGCCCGAATGAATGTCATTTCCCCAACTAGACTATAAGTTCCATAAGATCCACAACTGTGTCCAATGCTATTTTCATTCTTTTCTCTTCCTTCGCACCGGCTCACCACACAGGAGACAGCAACACAGAGCACACTGCTAGTCATATGGTCACAGAATGTCCCAGATAAGGGAAGAGATCGAAGAACTAAGGCACAGAGACAGACGGCCATTTTCCCAAAGTCACACACCTCAAACGAGGCTCTAGGTCGCCTGCGTACCCTGCTAGCTTCTCCTCTGTCTTAAGGTTAAAGGCTCCACTTCTACCCCTACAGGGAAGCCCCTGCATAGCTCTAGTCACTTCCTGCCTCCCCAGGCTTATCTGGTACACTCTACACACCTTCGAGGTAGTTATTTTTATTGCTATTTTAATAGTCGCCTGAGGTGCCCACACTGATCTGCTTCCCTGTCAGTCTGGATGAAGGAATTTTTGACTCTGCATTTCAGCCAGGGTGGCCTCTTTTCTCAAACCCGCCTCCCCTGCCCTCACTTCCAGGGCTTTTGCATGTGCAGTTTCCTCTGCTGGAAAACTGAGTTTGTCTGCTACGGCTACCTTGACAAAAGACCACAGCTGGGGTGGGTTAAACAACAGAAATGTGTGATCTCAAGTTCTGGAAGCTAAAAATTCAAAATCAAGGTGTCAGCAGATTTGGTTCCTTGGAGGCCGTGAGGGAGCGTCAGTTCTAGGCTTCTCTCCTAGCTCCTGGTGTCGGCTCACTATCTTCGGCATTCCATGGCTTGTAAGCAGCCAGCATCCCCCTGATGTCTGCTTTCATCTTCACGTGACATTCTTCCTGTGCGCATGTCTGTCTCTGTGTCCAAATTTCCCCTTTTGATAAGAATACCAGTCAAGATTAGGGCCTACCCTAATGACCTCATGTTAACTTGATTATCTCTGTAAAAAACCCTATTTCCAAATAAGGTCACTATCTAGGTACTTGGGGTCAGGACCCCCATCTCAACCAGACAACTCCCACTTACCCGTCTATTTCAGGCAAACCTTCCCTGAACACCCCAGACCACTCCAGGCACTGTTGTCTGCTCTTCTGTGCTCTTCTTGCATATTGATACTGGATTGTTGGTATCTATCTGTGTAATTATCAGGTTGCTATCTGTGTCCCTCTCAGACTATCGGCTTCAGGAAACAGGAGCATGACTCTTCTGTGCACTATTGTAGCCCCAAAGCCCAGTACCTGGCATGTAAAGGTACCAATAACTATCTGTGCCCTGAATGAATGAATTATTGAGAGGTTAATCTTTGCTAATTGCAAAAATGAATAGGAAGTTCTAAGTAAGGGCTTCAGCAGCAGTGAGGTCAATGTTTCCTCCGGAGAGAGTGAATTTACTGCGGGATCCGTGAGGGCCAAAGCCCTGCCCTCACGCACCCTCACCACCCTTTGACTAATGGTCATTGCCTCTTCCTCCCTCCCACCCAGTCACACTAGGGAGAATCCACATCAGCCTGGCCATGCAGGGGAGGCCTCACGAAGCCCTGGGAAGCCAGAGGTGAGTCAGAAGGGATGGTAAGGCGAATAGCTCTGAAACCGGAACCCTGGCATAGAGCTGGGGGCAGGAAGGTTCACCGAAGGTAATGGTGCTTGCTTTAAAATTCAAGGGGCCCAAGGGAGCATCATCTTTCAGGAAGGCACCACTAGTTGATAAGAGGCCAAGTGTGCCTCAAGCTCCAGGTACCTGAGGTTGCTGCGCTAGCATGGCCTGTGAAAGATGCCAAAGGTGGACTTTATTTTATAACTCCTCTTCTTATCCTCCTCCCCATGACTGGGCACAACCGTAAGGGCCATAAGAACTTACCCTCTGTGGCCTCTACTTTTGCTTATATGAGCAGGGGGAGGTGGAGCGAGACCAGGTGGGCACCTTGAGGGACCCTCATTTGGCTGAACTGCAGCAACTCAACCTGCCCCAAAGGAATTCCAGCCCCCTTGCTTCCTAGGGACCCTTGGGAATACCTCGTAGGCAGCCGAATCCCAAAGGGAAAAATGAAGGTCTCCCCAAACCCAGCCCAGGACAAGGGCCAAGCTGGAAAAAATGACTTGGAGGCCAGTCACCACGTTTTTCCCCAGTGAAAGGCTGACTCATTGCAACAGGCCTGGGCTGGCTGGGACTTGAGCCGGTGGCTTGGAACATGCTGGGACAGTGAGCGCCTTGTCTGAAAGGCAGACTGTGAGAAGCCACGGGTCAGGGGAGCTGAGGCCACTGCCCTAAGAAACACCCCTCACACAGCCACGTGAGCCCCAGGGGAAGCAGGGGCCAGGTGGGTGTCCATGCTGCCTCCCACTCAGACTCTGGAGAGCTAGCGTCACCTTGCTGGATAAGGTCTAGAGAGGCTCTAAGCCCCAGGGCAATTAAGCCCTAAGGTCCTGAGACATGAGCATTTTGATCCTTCCTCCCCATACGAAGTGCAAACTGAAAACACAAAGCTTAAAATAAATTTAGAGAAACCCCAATAAGCCCTTGATTTTAATCATAAGATGATCTCCATGTTTTTCTTTGAAATATCAAAAAGAAATTATTTTCCAATTTTGGGGAGATGGAAGGAAGCTGGGGCTGCTTTCCCAGTGTTTTCAGCACACACTAGGTCTACCTAATGGGTAATTCAGCAGTGTGCACAGAGTGGGAAGCTTATCTCTGACCCTCTTCCCTCCTCATGCCTCTGTCCATTTTGACATCCTGGGCTCTTTCAGCAAGGACTTTTGAGTCATATGTTGAGTTAAATCCTGTCTGTGCCATCTGCTTGCTGTGTGACCTTGGGTGAGTCACTTAATCTCACTGAGTCTCAATTTCTGTAAATGTAAAAATGGAGATTGCACCAGATAATGTATGCATAGTGCCTAGTACAGTACTTAGCACACAGTCTGATATATATATATATATCAGAGAGATCTCATACACACAGACATATATATATGTGTGTGTGTATATATATGTGTGTGTGTGTGTGTGTGTGTATGAGATCTCTTTCAGCTTTTCCCTCTACAAAGCATCTTTCAGGAAATAATGTTATGTCAGTTACTTACACTTTAGAGTGAATATGTTCCTATAAATGTCATTCTTTCTTTTCATTTATTTTTTTATTTTCTTTTATTTTTAAATTAAATTAAAGTTTTATTTTGAGATGGGGCCTCACTCTGTCACCTTGGCTGGAGTACAGTGGCGTGGTCATGGCTCACTGCAGGCTAAGATCCTCCCACCTTAGCCTCCTGAGTAGCTGGGACTACAGGTCCGTATCACCATGACTGGCTAATGTTTTAATTTTTATTTGTAGAGACAGAGTTTTTGCTATGTTGCCCAGGCTCCTTTCATTCATTTAATCAGCAAATGCTTGAGCACCTACCACATACCTGACTGTAGCTAGATGCTGTATATTCTACATAAGGATTTCTTTTCATCCTCACGGCAATCTCTACAAGATCACTAATATCCCCATTTGATGGATAAGGAAACAGATTCAGGAAGGTGAAAGAACTTTCCCAAGGTCACACAGCAGAGTCTAGATTCACTTGTTCATTCAGGAAACACTGACTGAATTTCAGCTTTGTTTCAAGCTAGGCACTGGGAGCGCTGCAGTGAATGAGTTAGAGCCCCCATCCCAGGACCCTCACAGCCTATTGAGTGTCTTTGCACCTGTTTTGAAACTTTTGTCATCTCTCTAATTGTTAAGGTCCTTGTTAAAAGCTCCTATGTGCATGTGGGTAGGGAGAGCTTTCTCTAGATCTTCCACTCACCCTTTGAAGGGAGTTGCCTTCTTCCCAGGGTGTAGGGCTGGCCCTGCCCAGGGCTGAGCTGGCAAAACCAAAAAAGCATCCTGCCTCTCCTTTCCACATCATCCCCTGGGACTGCTGGATACAGATGTCCATGACAACCTTGAACTCCATTCTTGTCCCCCACTCCACTTATTCTGTTGCACTTCATGATCTATATTACAGAAATACCATGTTCATTGTAAAATAAAAAAAAAAGAAAATATAGAAAAGCAAAAATTCTTAAAGGAACAATAACCAATAATTCTAAATCCTGCTAAGGTGGTTAAAATTTTATTGTATTGCCTGCCAGACCTTTTTCCTCTGTAACTATAATACAATTACTAAAAAATAATAACAATAACACTAATTTTAGCTAACCCTGACATGGAGCTTTCTCTGTGCTAGACACTGTTCTAAGCATCTTAGACATTGAAACTCATTTAATCCTCACAACTCAGTAGGCCAATTACTATTGTCCTCATTTTACAGTTGTTCAAAGTGAGGCAGAGAGAACATTTAGAAGCACACATATTATTCTTTTTCAAAAATGGGATAAGTCTGAACATACTATTTTGTGGCCTACTTTTCCTCCCTTTACAACAAATAAACAATAATCAATTTACTTTCCTAACATAATTTTTCATGACTATTTAGCATTCCAGCACTTGCACATACTGTAAGTTACTCAACCAGTCTCCTTCTCAGCCATCTTTCTGATTTCCTTATTCTCTCCTTCCCTCTGTCCCTCCCTTCTTTCCTCCTTGTTTGTTTTACCTATGAATGGCACAGGACGTCCAATCTTGTAGCTTAGTCTTTGAAAACCTGTTTAATAACTTCTTGGCTGTGCATGGTGGCTCGGGCCTATAATCCCAGCACTTTGGGAGGCCAAGACAAGAGGATTGCTTGAGGTCAGGAGCTGGAGACCAGCCTGGTCAACATAGCAAAACCCTGTCTCTATTTTTTATTTAAAAATTAATTAATTTTAAAAATCGTATTTAGGATAACTCCTAGAAGTGGAATCATTTGGTCTCAAGATATACATATTCTAAGCTTTCCGACATCTCTTGCAAATGCCTCCAAGACAGGCAACAACGTTGGGTTCTAAAGGAGTATGACCTGTGTCCCACGGAATGATACCCATCAGAATGACAGATGCTCATGACATTGACCCAGCAATTCCATGTGGGAGTTTACCCCATAAATACTGTTATACGCTTGCAAAATGACCTGTGTATAAAATTACTCATTGCAACCCTGCTGGTGATAGCAAAAGATAAAAAATAATCCAGATGTTCATAATAGGGAACTAGTCAAGTAAATTATAGGACATCTATACAATGAGATACGCACAGTTGTGAAAAAGAATTAAAAGCCTTTCTATGTATTCACGTGGACAGCTCCTCAAGACATACTAAGTGCAGAAGAGTGTGAACAGCATGCTATTTTTGTGTGGAAAAAGGGGACAAATGACAGCCCACATCCATATTTATATGCACATGCCTAAATAAACTCTATTTTAAAAAACATTATTATTATTTTTTGAGACAGGATCTCACTCTGTCACCCAGGCTGGAGTGCAGTAGCAACGATCATGGCTCACTGCAACCTAGGCTCAAACTATCCTCCCACCTCAGCCTCCTGAGTAGCTGGGGTTACAGGCATGCACCACCACACCCTCGTAAGTTTTTAATCGTTTGTGGAGATGGGATCTTGCCATGTTGCCCAGACTGGTCTTGAACTCTTGGGCTCAAGTGATCCTCCCACCTTGGCCTTCCAAAGTGCTGAGAATACAGGTATGAACCAACATGCCTGGCCAATAAACTCTAAAGTAGTTAAAATAGTGCCTACTTGCCTGCTTGTGGGTGAGTTTGGTGAAGGCATAGAGACCAGGATGATGGATAGGGACAGGGAACAATTTCTTTTTTCAGATCACTTTTTTTTTTTTTTCTTTTTTGAGACGGAGTCTTGCTCTCACCCAGGCTGGAGTGTAATGGCGCGATCTCGGCTCACTGCAACCTCCTCCTCTCGGGTTCAACTGATTCTCCTGCCTCAGCCTCCCGAGTAGCTGGGACTACAGGCGCCCACCACCATGCCTGGCTAATTGTTGTATTTTTAGTAGAGACTGGGTTTCACCATATTGGCCAGGCTGGTCTCAAACTCCTGACCTTGTGATCTGTCCTCCTTGGCCTCCCAAAGTGCTGGGATCACAGGCATGAGCCACCGCACCCGGCCTCTGATCACTTTTTATATTTTTTAATTTTGAAAACAATCTATATTCTTATTTAGAGAACTAGTCTAAAAAATTGCCTTTTTATACTGTTAAATATTTTTAGGTATGATAATATTATAGTAATTTTATAACACTTATCTTTTAGAGATATATACTAAATATTTTAGAAATATTTACAAATGAAATTATATGATATCTGGATTTGCTTCAAAATAATACATGAGCAGGGGAAGTGGATGGGTATATATTACAGATGAAACTGACTTGGGCATGAATTAATGACTAATGAAGCTGGGAGACTGATAAGTGGAGGGTTCATTATGCTATTCTATCTACTTAAAAGAAAATTTATTGAGGTGAAATCTACATATAATTAACCATTTTAAAGTGAATAAGTCTATGCCATGTATTACATTCACAATGCTATGCAACCCCCCATGCCTAGTTCCAAAATATTTCTATCACTCCAAAGTGAAATCCCTGTACCCGTTTTATTCCCATTGTCTCCCTCCCTCATCCCTTGGCAACCATCAGTCTGTATTGTGTCTCTATGGATTTATTTATTCTGTATATTTCATATGAGTGGAACCGTGTAACGTGACTTTTTGCCAGCCTTCTTTCACTTAGCATAATGTTTTTGAGATTCATCCGTGTTGTAGCATATACCAGTACTTTATTAATTTTTTGCGGCTCTATAATACCTCATTGTATGTATACACCACAATTTGTTTATCCATTTATCTGTTGATTGACATTTAGGTTGTTTCCACCTTTTGACTCTTGTGAACAGTGCTATGAACACATGTGTCCATATATTTGTTTGCGTTCCTGTTTTCAATTCTTTTGGGTATATAACTCTTAGAAATGGCATTGGGTAATATGGTAATTCTATATTTAACTTTTTGAGGAAATGCCGAACTTTTTTCTATGGTAGTTTCATCATTTCACATTCCCACTGGCAATATACAAAAGCTTCAGACTTCTCCACATCCTCGACAACCTTTGTTATTTTCCATTGTTTTGTTGTTATTATTATTAATATCATACCCATCCTAGAGGGTGTGAAGTGGTATCTCACTGTGGTTTTGATTTGCATTTCCCTGATGACTAATGACATTGAACATATTTTTATGCACTTGTTGGCCATTTGTATATCTTCTTTGGAGAAACATCTATTGTTGTTTCTACTTTTGAATATGTTTTAAATTCTCCACAGTAAAAGAGATATAAAATATTAGATATTTTATTTAAAACTTTAAGAAACAGTTGTTTTGTTTTGTTTTTTTTTTTTCCATCTGAGAAGAGAGTGGTTTTTCCCTCCTTCTTCTCCTGCTTGGATTCCCCTGAGACCCTTGCCTAGTTCCCACCCCCACATCCCCATCCATAATTCGGTTTCAAAAAAACATATTTGCTCTTCCAACAAATAAGCACAAGTTTATTCCCTTTTGCCTCCTCAAAGGTGGGTGTGGGCGTGGGAGAACAGGGCCAGGACTTAGGGTGAGCAGAGGCTGGTTGCCCTACTTCCTTTGGTCCCAGCCTGAGGCTGGCACCCCTACCCAGCAGCCTTGTGACACCCTCATGTCCCACCTCCACATCTTTGCTGAGAATCCCCAGGGAAGGGAGGGCCCCATCTATAGTGGAAGAAACCTTCTGGGCCCAAATCCAGCCACATCACAAGACTGGATGGCCCAGCCGCGAGACGAGCATGTCAGTGGCTTCCATGGCCAATGGGAGAGGCTTCACCCGGCTCATGTTCTGCTGTGGTTGTCGGGCCAAACAGATGGCTGGGGATAAACAGGGGGTGGTGCTGGGTGGGGTGTGTGTTGGGGTGGCTTTGAATGGCCTCAGCCTCCCTCTGGATCCTAGGGAAAGAGGCCAGTGAGGTGAAGGCAGTGCTTGAGGAAGGGGCTGTCATTGGTGGCCTTCAAAACTTGTTTGTGATGTCTTTTCAGCAATAAAACTCTTGTTCAAACAAACGATTACAGTGGTAAGACACGAAAAGGAAGCTGTTCCTGCTGATGAAGGGTGAGAAACCTGGAGCCTTCCCTCCCTCCACGCCACGTGGCAGACACCTCAGGGAATGCTGGGTCTCAGGAGAACATGCCGATCCCGTTAACACACAGTCTTCATATGAAACCATGTGGGAACTCAACACATGCTGTCTCCTCTCTAACCTGAGATCCTGGCCCTGTTCCACAAAGCGAGGCAGCCTCTTATATACCCCTCACAAACCAAGTACTGGGGTGGTGGCCAAAGGGGAGAGACAGGCTAGGGTGTGGGTGGGCCGAAGAAATCTGAGAGGGACAGGAGCTGCGGTGGCCTGGTCTCTGAGCCTGCAGAGGCTCCCTTCCAGAGAGAGAGCTTGGAACTCAGTCTCTGCCTCCCTCCTTCTCTCCCTCCCTCCAGCAGAACTGCCCTGCCCCAGGGGGTTCATACCTCGCTAGTCCCCTAGGCCTACACCTTTCCTAATCTTAGGAGAGACATAAGAAAAGGAATCTCTCCCCTTCCCCGCAGAATACTTTTTTTTTTTTTTTAAACAGGGTCTCTCTCTGTCACCTGGCTGGAGTGCAGTGGCGCAATCATGCTCACTGCAACTCTGCCTCCTGGGCTCAAGTGATCCTCCCACCTCAGCCTCCCAAGTAGCTGGGACCACAGGCATGCACCACCACGCCTGGCTAATTTTTGTATTTTTTGTAGAGATGGGATTTCGCCATGTTGCCCAGGCTGGTCTCAAACTCCCAGCCTCAAGTGATCCTCCCACCTAGGCCTCCCAAAGTGCTGGGATTACAGGCATGAGCCACCGTGCCTGGCCCACAATACTTTGGTATAGTTGCTTCAAGCCCAGATTCTGGTTCTTCGCACAGTCAACCTATAGGGTGCCCCCCCACCGCCCCCCCCATAGTCCTTGATAGTCATGCTGGGTTAGTTTCTCTAACCAGAGGATGGGCCCATTCTTCGCTGTGAGATGGTGTGTGGGGACATCGGTAAGGAACAAATAAAGACTTGGGCAAATAACTTTATTCTGAGGTTGGTTATCTCAGCCACAGGCTGAGCATCATAGTACCTATTCCGCAGGGCTATTTGGAGGATTAAATGAGATAATGTGTATCAAAGCCCAACATGACAGGAGCTCAGCGTAGAAGCAGTTCCATACCAGAAAAAAGGATGGCTTTGTCCCTTAGGTGTCGTGTCACCTCAGATAAGGCATTTCCCCTCTTTGAACTCCAGTTTCCTCATTTGTAAAATGAGCATGTTTAAAATTTTTTTTACTTAAAAAAGGGGCATATTAATATCTACCCTTCACAGTTGCTATAAGTAGAGGCGATTCACATGACGTGGTTGATACCTGGCACAAAGAAAGTACTCAAAACAGGATAGTAATAATTGTAATTATTACTACTTTTACTATTATTAACTTAACTAGAAGGGCAGTGTGGTTTTATAGTTAAGCACATAAACTTTGCAGCCAAATTTCCTAGGTTTAACTTACAAGTCATCAATGGAGCTGTGTGACTTTGAGCAAATTACTTAACCTCTCTGTGCCTACAGTTCATTAACTGTATACTAATTTACCTACTTCATGGCCTTGCAGTGATAAAGAAGTTATTGTATGTAGAGCACTTTGCAGAGTGCCTGGCAAATAGTAAATGCCACAAACACATTTGCTGTAATTATTCTTAGTAATAAATATCCATATTTGTACTATTATAGTCATTAACAACTCGGCTCTGTGAAAGCCTTCTCCTTGGATCCAATTAAGGGACCCACAAACCAACAGATCCACCATCCTACAAAAGGTTTAGCCCCCTCAGAAGCTGTGTGACCTCGGGCTAGTTACCTCTCCTCTCTGAGCCTGCTTTTATTTATCTACAAAATGTGAATTGTAATAGTACCCATAATGATACTTCTAGGTTGTTTGACGTGCATTAGTGAGCGATGACCCGTGGGAAGCTTCTAGCTTCTAGTCAATTAAGCCCTGGTCCCCGTGCTCTGCCTAAATCCAGCTCCCTACCCCACCCAGTCCTCCCTCCCCACCGCCGACGGGGAGCGCTCGAATTCCCTCCTGCTGGGCGCGAGGGAGGGGGGGCGTCCCGTGCCCGCTGCCAGGCCCTAGTTCTGGGGGCCGAGCGATCCCAAGGCCTTGCCGAGCTTCCCCGGGGATCAGGTTTCTGCTGACGCGGTGCCAGGCACGTCTGCTTCCAGGAACCGGCAGCCGCTTTTAGCCGCGGGCCGCACATGAAAGGGCTGCAGTCGGAAACGTGACGTTGTGTCAACAGGCGGGGCAGGTCAGCGCTGGGTGAGACCATCCCGGCAGGCCCGGCGGATCACGCCCTGTCTGAAGGCGGCCAGATGCCCAGCCTCCGCTCCCCTGCCTCCTGCCACCTCTCCTTGGCCCCGGAGCCAGCGCTTCGCCCCCTGACACTCACACACCCCGCTTTTTAAACAGAAGTCCTCTTTGTCCGCAGTGGGCATTAGGCTGGGGTGCGCGCCCCTCCCCCGCACCTCCCTCTGAGCGCATTTGGATGCCGCTAGAACTGGGCTAGAAGAGAGGTTAAGGGCGAGCTGGAAGCAAAAAATGAAGTGGAGGGACAGCTGCAACTTGAGGCGCTGTTTGACAGGGGCAGGTTCCCATAGCGGGATTCTGGGTTGACTGTGTGTGGAACCCTCAAATCTTTTTTTTTAGTTCAGGTTGCTCCAACCACTTCCTCCTTTCCCCAAAGCTACTCCTCCTGCAGTGGCCTGGGAAAAAGAGAGGGTTATGCAAAAAGAGTTTGGTCTTGATTTTTCAACCCCCGGCTATATCACCAGGGTAAGTTTGATTTGTTGGGTTTTTTCCAAAAAAGTCTAGCTAGAGAGGTCTGGCAACTCATGGAGCAATTGAGGTGTTTCACAGGCATGAGACCTGGAAGCCCAGGCGTTGGGCTGGGAGAAAGAGTGGCTTACAGAATTTGCCATCTGCCTGCTCTGGGACTTGTGAGAAGGGCTCGGAATTCTTATTTTATCTAGTCAAAAGCAGGCGTGGAGAGGGAGGTGATAGACCACCAGCTATTGATGCCAGGCTTCCACCTCCTGGTCCCGGCTCCTTGCACAACAGCCTGTGGCCTGGGGACAGTTACGTGCATTCCATATGCATCCAGCACAAGCAGACAATGCTCACTTTCACCTGCTGGCCCATCAGGAGACAGGGAAGGTGACATGTGAAGCAAACAGTCTTCATGGTCAGGTGGAGCCTCTGCCTGGCTAAGAAATCCCTAGGGGCAGCTTCCCTGCTGTACTCCAGACAACCAGGGAGTCCTGGCAGACTGGGATGCTTTGGGAGCCGGAGCGTGTTGAGTCAGGCGCTGGCCATCAGGAAACATCAGGACACCTCTGACAGGGAGTATCCCACAGGAATGTTGCAAATCAAGGCAAAGGA
Organism: Homo sapiens; assembly: GCF_000001405.40. Taxonomy (NCBI): domain Eukaryota; kingdom Metazoa; phylum Chordata; class Mammalia; order Primates; family Hominidae; genus Homo; species Homo sapiens. The sequence continues at coordinate 4,985,837 of NC_000003.12, read as the reverse complement.
GAGAGGCAAAAATACACGACAGGGTCATTTCCCACCTTTCCCATGGAATTTTTTTTTTTTTTTTTTAAATAAGAGCACTTGTCGAAGGAACACCCAATATGCATTCACGCACAAACATACCGGAGAGGAAGTCCAGGAAGGATGTAGAAAATAATTATGGAATGTTGCCTCCAGCAGGAATAAGACAGGATATGGCAAATCCATTAGACCTTGCTAGATTTGAAAAAGCTAGACTGCTTTGGCAAAGAGGTGCTATCCTAGCATCAATTAGTATTGCATAATAATCCAGTAAATCTTTTCTCAATGTGCCTCTCCCTCCAGCAGGCTCCCCAGACACTGCTGCCCACGGTGTCATACCTTGGTTTTCTGTCAAGTTCCAAGGACCACGATGAAAGCAGGCAGGGGAAAATATGCTTTTTACTTAACTCTGGAAAGAGGTAGAGGATGATCATGAACCCCTGGCAAGGGTTAAACAAAAATTGAACCAATATTTACCTGCCAGGTTGACTAAGCTTATTCTGATTGAATACAAAGCACATGAAAAGCTGAATGAAATTACACTGAGATTAACTGGTTTGCTTCAGCCAAGAAAGAAGGACATGGGAGTCAGCCATATCACACCAAGTGAGCTATTTTAAAAAACTCAGGAGACCATCTTTCTCTTCCACAGGAAAAGAATTATTTTATTAAGTATTTTAAAACAACTACTTAACATTTACTCATAGATAAAAATATTTACAATTTTACACCTTCAGGAAGGCTCCAAAATATAAACACTGTACCTCTCCCTAGAGAAAAAAAAAATTATTCTTCTCTTCAAAAACAGGAATACATTCATTTTTTCTCACTGTGTGAATCAAGTAATTATACAAATAAACATCTGAAACATTTTCCTTTTTAATATATTTATATAATATATATTTATAACAGCTTTACAAATAAAGGCAACGACTTAATACCAAAATAAAAACAGGAAAAGAAAAAGTTAAAACACGATCAGCAATCAGGCATAGTGCATTTTGAAAAGCTGCTGCGGAGCTGGCTGGACACATCGGGAAAACAAGTACTCTGGACCAAAAATAAAACTTCTTTGAAGGAGACGGAATCCTTTTTAGCAATAAGGACACTCCATATGCCGTTGGGCAAGAGGAATTAGCCTACAGAAAGGATCTGGCGGTGCCAAGGCTTGGTTAGGCCTTTGAGAAGCTAAGCTTGGTTAAAAGGAGTTTTAGGATGGAATTGAAAACTGAGTCTAGTTCTGTTTGAAGGGGGCAGCTTTTTACTCAGCTTTGTGCACTTTGGGGTGCTCGCTCGGGGTGTCCGCATTTCTCAGACCTTGGTTTGGTTCCCTGCACAGTAAGTACTAATGGTTAGGCCTAGAAACAGGTGCCAGAAGCCCAGGGAACTCCTCCCTCCCTCCGGGGCAGCTCAGCTTGTACAAGGGGCCCATTTTCAGTTCCTTAGTAAGCTAATCACTACGAAAGCCTGAGTAGGGAACTACATTCTCTTTATTCTTCCGAGGCAGGGGTGGGGAGCAGACCTGCGGAAACCTCCCCAAACCACTACCGTGCTATGCCAGTGCCTGCTACCTCCCCATGTTAGCAGAAAGCTCGGTCTGACTGCTCTCTCTCCCCGACGTCTGGTGAGTCACGTCGACAATAAAGGCAAAAGGGTGGGGTCCTAACAGCTGGTTGGGAGCTGAGCCCTGGAAAGCCCTCTTTTGAAAGTACCTTCTGATCAAAGCCACAGACCCAGCTCCCAAACTGAAGAGTGACTCACAGACCAAGACTTTGAAGCTTTTGAAAATCCAGCTGATGTGTATCGAAGGGGGCTATTCTCTGGGTGGGGAAAAGCCCAGACGTCTGCTACAATCCCCCCCAAGTCTCCTGATGTCAAGCAATCCTTCGTGACTTCCCTATGCCAAAAGGAGCTTTAAAGTCCTATACCAACACGCAGGCACACATGTGCACGCACACGCACATACACACACACACACACACACACACACCCTGAATCTGCTCTCCATGCCTCAGATTATCTCAGTATACACAATGCAACAATCTTGCAGCATTCACAAAAACTTTTTTGTTGCTTTTTAGGAAGTAGCGAGGAAGGAAAGCAAAGCAGCAGGATCCCCTAGAGAGTTTAGTCTTTGGTTTCTAAGTTTAAAGGGGGGATTGGCTTCAGAGCTTGGAGCAAGACAGAAGAGTCGACGGACGGATGAGCTGGCAAGGGAGAAGGGAGTCTCTGGGGCATGAGCAAGGGAGCCGAGATCTTGTCTGGGTTCATGAAGCTAGAGAGGGCTGCGGCAGAGGCGTTGAGGCCTGGGTATAGCACTGGCACTGAGGTGGGATACCAGCACTTCTCCAGCATGGGCAGGTAGGCAGTCGCTGAAGGTGGGATCAGGTAGAAGGGCAGGCAGAAAGGAGGCTGGTGTGGGTGTGGGCCCAGGAACGGGGAGCTGATCAGGTCACTGCTAGTGAAATGGCCTTCATCATCCGAAAGCTGCATCCGGTTCTTTTTTGTGGGGGGTTCTTCGGACTCTTGCTTAATTGCGCCGATCCTTTCTCCCATCGTGAACCTGCGTCCGTGGTCACTTTTGAAGCACGGCTGCTCACTGCGCAAGTCGCCCTTCTCCGATTCTCCTCCATAGCCACTGTCTGTGTCCGTGTCGCTGCCGCTCTGCTCCCCACTCGAGTGAGCGAAAGTCCGCTGGATGACTGGCACGCAGTTTTTCCCAGGACCTTCCGAACCTTTGGCCGGAGAGCTGGGTTTTTCCTTGAAGTCCATCACTTTGGGAGCTGGGTCTGATGGCTTCCTGGAGGTACCACCCTGCAGCAGCTCCGAGACCACCCGGTGGAGGTGGGTGACAAGCTGCGAAGACTTCAGGTCCCGAGTGTTCTCGTGCTTGGCCAGATACTGAAGCACCTCCCGGGCACATGTCTGGAAACCTGAGCAGAACATCTCTTGACCTGTTTCGACATTTCTCCCTGACAGCTCACCTGGGGAAAGAAAAATCCGAAGGAAAACGTTTCAGAAGGCCTGTGGCGCACCTGGAAACTATACTCCAAAAAACCAGGTGCTTTAGTTTTTGTTAAAAAAAAAAATGCATTTACTGATTTGTGTTCCTAACTCCAAAAGTAGTATGCTCAGAGAAGAATTACACTGAAAAGTATAAATAATTAAAATAATCCATATACTAACACTCAGATAAAATATGATTTTTAATGGTTGCATAATATCCTATCATGGAAATGGACCATAATTAATATGAGATGAGCTGTTTCCCCTCTTTTGGATTGTATAGGTGGTTTGTGAGTTTTCCATGTAAGCGAGGCAGCAAAGAACATTCTGATGTATTTATAAACCTAAGAGTCAATGCATACAACATTGCACCGTGGCAAAATGGGCAGAGGCTGGATAGTTATAAAATGAGGAAAAGAATGAAGAAACAACAATCACCTAAAGTAAACTTATTTTCAATGATTTGTAAAAGTTGCAGTCATGCTGTGACCTTTAATTAGGCTATTTCTATGTCTTCTCCACATATTCTATCCATGATCCTCAAGACATTAGGTATGACCATCTTCCTATTTTGAATGAGGAAACAGGCAGAAGCACTAGCTGGGTTTTTGCAATTTTCATCATACGAGCCTTCGAGAGGAAGGCAGACAAGCATGAAATGAGGGAGTGGGTAGAATAATTCTCCCCAGTCTGTACAGTATTATTTGGAAGAAGTGAGACTAGAAGGTTAGAAGGTTGACTCCGATTATCTGGAAGTCAGTAGAAACGAATGATGAAACTTCAGTGGTTTCGCTAGATTGTGCAATTCACCAAGATACCTAGTGGCTATTCAGGGAACCACATGAAATGCAGGAAAAACTCCTGCTGTATCCTGCCAGGATCACACCACACACCAAGTGACAAGGAAGCAAAGAAACAGGAAAACGCTGGGGCATACCCATGATTTCTTCTCCAATGAAAGAGGGCTAAGAAGACCAACTGTAAAACACCCACAATGCAAATTATAGGTGCCTTGGCATTTTAAAAGGGAGTAGGGAAATCTCCCAGAACCCAGAGACTCTCAAGCTAAAATGCCACAGGAATATCTTATCATTTCACTAATACGTATTCATGCCAGGTGGCACAATGCATTTCAAATGAAAAGTCTGACCTTTTAGGAAAGATAAAACTGCATCTCCCCCAATGAACGTGCATAAGCAATTTGTTGCAGTAATGTTTATTACATCAGATGTTGAGCCCACGGGCTCTCTATTTGCACTCAAACTCTTAAAGAGAGCATAGCCAGAATCAGCACTCACCAGCTTGTAAACCACTCTGCAGGGCAATGATTTTCTGCTGCTGCTGATCAATTAGGTTTGTTAGTGCTTTCACATGCTTCAAGGTAAGTTCAAGAACCACTGCTTTTTCCAAGTGACCCAAAGTCTGGAAGGAAAAGAGCCTTAGTCAGCGGTGAGGTCAGAGAAGTCCCACCTTTGGGACATTTATTAGCAATGAGAAATGAGAAAAGAAAAAAAAAAGTGGAATAGTGTTTCCTGGTTGGCTGTTTTAAGTCTGTAGGTCATGCTTTTAAAAAGATAGACAGATACACTCATATATGTGTGTGTGTGTGTGTGTGTGTGTGTGTGTGTATATATATATAATATATATATATAATTAAATAATTTAAAAAAACGGGTGCCACCTGTCTTTGGAGGCATTTTGGAAGCTGCAACTACCTCAGGAAAATCCTTTGACAGATAAATTTCTCCAGCAGCCTCTGCCGACCTTAACTCAGGGGAATCCAGAGATAACATTTTCCTGCAGTGGTGTCAACTCAGAGAGGGACCTCTATTACGTCTGGCAGCCAAGAGGCTTTCCCTACTTCTTTCCTTACACCCTTTCAGAACTTCCAGCTCATCCAGGCTTTTTTGTTCCTCCCGAAATACTATTTTTTTTTTTTCCATTTCCCCAACCAAAGGCTGCGAAGTAGCCGAGGGCTACTGTCAAGAAAGGACAGGCCGTAAAAATCACACACCAAAGCAAGTCCCCTTATTTGACAACAACAACAAAAAAGGTGGGGGGAGTGGTAGAGGGGAAGGGGTAAATAAAATGTGTGTGTTTCTTGGCGTGTTCCTTTAAGTGAGAAAAACTAGGGAATCCTGAAAATCACCAGAAGTTAAACTCCTGAAAAGGAAGGCCAGTTGGTGTTGGAGCCAACTTGGAGAGGTCCAAGTGGTTCTCGCCTCATTTGCATGAGTCAGCCAGAAAACGCCAGGACTGTGGAGGAGGACCCCACCGCAGAGCCACCCGCCAGCTCTGATCCGCCAGTCTGGTCTGCAGTTCCCCGCGGAACCTGCAGGCGGCGAGTGACCCGCCCGCCCTCTGGGCAAAGGACTGGGTTGGAAAGGGGCCAGCTTCTCACTTACTGTAAGTTTGAGATGTTCGGGTAGGAGATCCTTCAGCTGGGCGATGCACTCGTTAATCCGGTCACGTCTCTTTTTCTCGATGAGCCGGTGCGGCAATTTGTAGGTCTCCTGCAAGACGCACGGGGAGGCGGTGGGCGCTTGGGGAAGGAGATGAGAAGCCTATCCTCCCAGCCCCGCAGCAACAGTCCGGCAGAGGAGCAGAGTAGCAGAGTAGCACCCAGAACCATCGTCTGCCCTTTCTTTTCCAAGTCACTCAGAAGAGGCACCGAGCCCACACCCTGCATCCCCTCGCCAACCTCAAAGCGAGAAAACTTTTCTTGGAAACTCAGCGCGCGCGAGGGGCTGAGCGCAGGGTCCCTAGGGGTGCACTTGCTTACCTTGCTGTCCTCGCTCCGCTTTATTCCCCGTCTTGACTTGTACACTTGGTACATGTGGGCAGGGTACATCCTGCAGGAAGAGAGACCAGGAAGGGTCGTGACTGCTTGCGCACGGCTGCAGGCGTTCTGCCGGGCAAGAACCTCCCGGTGCGCCCGGAGCTGCTCCAAGTTGAGAGTGGCGCATAACATGGGGCTGCAGTTGAGGCTTGAAGGGCCAAGGAGTGCCAACTTACCCTGGTAGGTCTCCGTGCTCCAGTCCCGGTGCTTTGGGCAGGCAGGCGGGGGGTGGTTGCGCGCTGGGGATCCGCTCCATGGCGCGGCGAGCCGGGGCCACTGCGCGCTCCTGTCTGCACTAGCGGAGCGTCTGGATGAGGACTGCCCTGGAGAGGGCTTCGGGGGTCTCTCCGCAGATGTTCCTCTGAGTCTGAGCTCTTTGAAATCCCCTGGGCTGCTGGAATCTTCGGCTTTGAGATGCAGCTTCAGTTGGGGGCGTGCATGGCCCGGTGTCCCCGCGGCCTCTGGCTCCGACTCAGCGCACAGACTGGCGGTGTGTGCTCCCTGCGCGGTCTGTCTGCGCCGTGCGAGCCAAGTGAATGAGAAGTGGGGCGGGCGGGGAGGCGGGAGGGAGCGGGTGAGGGGGGGGCGGTTAGGGCGGAGTGGGGGGGTGGGGGGGCAAGCCGAGGAGTAATGGAGAGGCTGCGGGCTGGGTTAAATGGGAGCGAGTGGGTGGGTTGGAGCTACGTGTTCTACCCTGTGACTCCAGGCACGTCTGGCCACTGCCGGGGAGGGAAGGAGCGACCTGCCCGCCCTCCCCCGGCTTCATCACATGAGTCTCACGTGTTGGACAACGCTCCGGCGGCTGCTAGGGAGCCCCCACCCCCAGCCCCGGCCCCCAGGTGTCTGCGGCTGCGGCCGCCTTTCCCCGAAGAGGGGGTGGCAGCACGACCTGGGTCCTGCCCAGTTGGGTGGGGGGCGCGGAAGCTGGAAGGGACGGGGGTGCTGGGGGAGGGGGAGAAGTTGGTAACGTGGGCGAACCTGCCCCAGGGAAATGAAGTAAGTTCCCGTCTCCTGGGAGGGAACGGGGGAGGACGGATCCGCCCGCGTCTGACTCAAGCCGGGAGAGGAATATCCCCTTGCTAGCTCCAGCCCAGCCCTCTTCCTCCTCCCCCGCCCGGCCCGCTTGGAGGAACCGGCGCGCTGCGGAGGGAGTCGCCCGGCCCCCCAGCCTTCCCCAGAGGCTGGGGTTTCTTTCCGTCCTGGCTTCCCTGCCCCCACTGCTCACCCTCGCGTCCAGGAATTGCCCGCCTTGGGGAGGGACCGAGGGGCGGGGCGGATGTCACCCCATGGGAAGCGGGCCGACGGCCAAGCGCAGGGGCAGCTGAGGCTGCCGCCGAGCACGCCGCGCGCACCTGACCGTGGAGGGTGTGAGCCGAGGGCCCCTCGCTCCCAGGAGCTCCGCTCCTGGGCACAACCTGCGGGCGGGCGGGCACCCGGTTGCGCAGCCCCCTGGGTGCCCCAGTGTCACCCCCTTCCTCCCGGCCAGTCAAGCGCAGAAAGATACCGGGCGCTGTGCCCGGCGCTCCCTCCCTCCTCTGCCCCCTCCGGAGCAGAGGCGCCCCGGTCGCCTCCCCTCCGGCTGCAGCGTTACACAACCGCGGCGGCGGCGCCTGCCCTGCAGCAGCGCAGGGCGTGACGCTTCACGTGGCCGGGCTCAGGTCGTAGCACCGCGGACCGCGAGCCTCTCTGCGTTGACCCAGGGACTGAGACCCCGGGGACGTGGCGTGCCAGCCCGGATCGGCCCTCTCCCTGCCTGTTGGGAAGTTCGGCGGCGCTGTTCGCGGTCTGCACCCAGGGCAGGAGGGATGAGAGAGACAAGAAAAAAAAACCGCCTGTTACAGGGAAATCTTAGCAATCATGCGGTCGACACGTATTTCTTGAGCCCCCTGCTCTGCACTAGGCGCTGCACTAGTTGATGAATCCGACACGGATCCTGCCCTTGAACTTGCAGAACCTCTAGGAAGAGGTTAAATTGAGCAATAAAGGAAAGGCAGCCCTGGGAAAATTGTATCGAGGCCACTGGCTGACAGAGGGGAAAAACAATGAGAACTTGTGTTGCTTTGTGTTTTGTTTTTAATTTCATTGTAACCGAGATGCCTAGGTAGAGAAGCGGGGGAGAAGCTAACCCAAAGCCCCAAGCCCGGGGCGGAAGGACCTCCTCCAGCGGCCCCAGATCTCTGCAATCTCACTTAGGCTGCCGGAGGGCCCCACCCACCTCCCCCGGAAAGGTCCGGGCTCTGTGACCTTCTCACTCAGCCGGGAGCAGGGAAAACAGCTGAAACTCCAATCCCGCGGTGTGAGCAGCGCTGATACAGTCAGAGGAGGGAGCCAGTGGAAACTCATGACTAAAATAAGGCCTGGCTGGGGATTTCACTGACCTCTGCGCTCCCCTGCCCTGCAAGTTCGGGGAGTTGAGAGATGACTGTAAGCCCTTCCCACTGCGCTTCGGGTCAGTCACCCCACTGCTGAGTGACCTGGCTGTGGGAAGGATTGAAAAAAAAATGGGGTCACTGCCGAGACTGGGCGAAGAGTAGTAGCCTCGGGTGCAGTTAGGGGATCAGTCTTAACTGGCAGTGCCCTTGACGACCTAGAGAACTGGCATTCACAAGTTGACCAAACTGGCAGTGTATTTCCTTCAGGTCGCCTTGGAGAGCTCCCGCTTCCTGTTTATATTTCACAAGCGTCAAACTCTTTAGCAAGTGTGAGAAATGCCTCCTTTTCTAACTGCTAACTGGCATGACCTCACTTCGGGGCTCAGAGATCCCTCCCTGCCAGAATGTACTTTTGCTGGCCAAAGGCGGGGACCGGGGTCCGCCCTGGAAACGCGCTTTCAATCTTGGGCGACCTGCTTCATTGTGTGATTTTAATAAGGATGAAGGGCTGTCACGGCTGCGTCAAAACCACGGTTCCAGCAGGAAATAAGCACTGGGAGAGGACAGGACACGTACCCCCTTCCGCCGACACCCCCCACCCGATGGCAGGAGGGAGCCCAAACCTTGCAGCTTCCATGGCTCATGGCTCATGACAATATCATTCTTAAAATTCTTTGAGTTTATCAATACGTTTTGCCCTTACCTGCCCTACAACTGTAAATAACAAAATGTATGCATTTCCTACTTTTTATTTGTTCCGAATGTATTCTCAAGCTTCAAGAACGGTTCCCATCCTACCAGACTTCCACCGTATCAGGATTAAAAAACAAAACAAAACTCTGTTATTCTCTCCATAGCTTATGGCTTTTAAAAAATAATAATTTGAACAAACAATTCCTACGTGGCATAGATCTTTCCATCCTGGAGAATGTTACTATTTCAGTCTGTCATCTTTTGTAGATATTAAAAACCTTTCGTATGTCAATTTCTTTGCTCCTCACCACCACCTTTTAGGCAGGTACTAGTATTAGCTCGATGCATTTGACACGTGTTTATTGTTATTCAATGCCAGACACTGAAATAGGCCCTAGGGATGTATAACATATTCTGTTTGGAAAATTGAGGCTCAAGGAGGCTAAATAACCTGCCCCAGGTTATATAGTCTGGGATTCAGTCTGAGACAGGCCCCCAGGTTTGTTGGACTCCAAAGCTTGTGCTCTTAATCACTATACTTACGGTTGCCTGGTAGGGTTGTTTGGGTTGTGCACCGCTCAACTCCAGGGGGAGCTATTCACATTGCAGTCTGTGTGAGAGCACCCTCTGGAGTTGTGCAATGTGGCACTGAGCAGCTGCACTGGGTAATCCTGCCATTTTGTAGCCGTCCCTGCTGTTTTGTCTCTTCTAAGTGGGGAGAGAACATAATTTCGTACAAGAGAAAGATGGGATCTTTCTCTTCTTTCCTATTGGGACTCAGCATCTTGGTGGCCTTACACTGTGTGCTGAATGAGTCTATACTGTTACTATCTATAGTAACTCCCGGGCCCTTCCTGTGCAAGAATTTAGAGCCCCAAGCTCCCCTATACATCCCCACAACTTGCTTGCTCAGATATCACTTTTTACCTGCTTATGAAGCCTCAAAAATTTTTATCTCAGCTCACGGTAAGAAATACATTTTACATCATGTCTCAATACACACACGTATGTCTTTACACACATCTTAAGTATATTTAAGCATAGGGCAGCCAAAGCTTGGTTGGGCTATAGCAATAAGTGACCGCTACCCTCTCTCCTATACTCCTGAGTAACCATTGCTCTCTTAAAAAAGAAAAAAGAAAAAATTGAGCCACTTAGAAAGAAGTCAATCAGGCCGAGTGTGGTGGCTCATGCCTGTAATCCCAGCACTTTGGGAGGCCAAGGCGGGCGGATCGTCTGAGGTCAGGAGTTCGAGACCAGTCTGGCCAACATGGTAAAACCCCAGCTTTACTAAAAATACCAAAAATCAGCCGGACATAGTGACGGGCACCTGTTATCCCAGCTACTTAGGAGGCTGAGATAGGAGAACTGCTTGAACCCAAGAGGCAGAGGTTGTAGTGAGTGAGCCGAGATCACACCATTGCACTCCACCTTGGGCAACAAGAGCAAAACTCCGTCTCAGGAAAAAAAAAAAAAAAAAAAAAGTCAATCCAATGCATTTCAGACAAAAATTTCACAGAACAATATTTCACTGTTATTATATACATTCTGATACTTTCCAGTTTAGTCTCATCTGTTTTATTAAAAGTATTCAGGTCATGACTTACTAAGTTGATCTCACCACTCACCAATGGATCATGACCTGAAATTTAAAAACTTGCCTGTGGGGCACAGTGGCTCACGCCTGTAATCCTAGCACTTTGGGAGGCCAAATCAGGTGGATCATGAGGTCAGGAGTTCAAGACCAGCCTAGCAAATATGGTAAAACCCCATCTCTACTAAGAAAATTAAAAAATTAGCTGGGCATGGTGGTGCACGCCTGTAGTCCCAGCTACTTGGAAGGCTGAGGCAGGAGAATCGCTTGAACCAAGGAGGCAGAGGTTGCATTGAGCCGAGATCATGCCACTGTACTCCAGCCTGGGCGACAGGGTGAGACTCCGTCTCAAAATAAATAAAAAATAAAAACTTGCCTTACTCTAGAGATAGTGTTGTATTTTTGGCTTGGCCCCACCAGAAAGAGATCAGTGGCATCTGCACACTTGAAGATCTTCCAAATAACTTATAAAAATGTTAAATAAAATTGCTGATTCTGGTTGGACTCAATGGTATAGAGGTCTCCATTCAGGAAAACATCTGTTAATTCCTACCTTTGTTCCCTATTTATAATCAACCTTCTCATTTTCTGCTCTTTTAAAAAATAACGGCATTTAATTCTTTAATTGAGAGGTAAACATAAAATGCAGATCTTAAATGTTTGGTGTATTATTTTTGGTAAATGTACACCTATGTAGCCACTGCCCCACACAAGATACAGAACACTTTTATCACCCCAGAAAGTTTCTTTATATATCATTTTCCAATCAATCCCCCAACCCCCACAATTACTTTCTGATTTCTATCACTATAGATTAACTTTGTCCATTATTGAGATTCGTATAAATGAATGTACTCTTCAAAGTTTCTGTCAATATAGTTTTGAGATCCTACCATATTAGCACATGTATTAGAATTTTGTTCTTTTTTATTGCTGAGTGTATTTCATCATACACATATAGCACAGTTTATCTAGTTCCCTGTTAATGGATATTCAGGTTGTTTCCAGTTTGGGGCTGTTATGAATGAAGCTGCTATCAACATTCATGTTCAAGTTCTTTTGTGAACGTATGTTCTCATTTATGTTGGATAAATATTAGGAGTGGAATTCTTGGGTCACAGATTAAATATATGTGAACTTTATTATAAATTGCCAAACAGATCTCCAAAGAGGTGTTACCATTTTACAATACCACCAACAATGTATGAGAATTCCAGCTGCTCCACAACCTTACTAACGTTTAGGGTAGACAGATTTTTAAATTTTAGCCATTCTAATGGGTATGAAATAATATTTTATTGTCATTTTAATTTGCATTACCCTGATAATGAAGTTGAGCACTCTTTCATATGCTTATTGGCCATTGGTATATCTTATTTTCTGAAGTATTTGTCCACATCTTTTGCTTAGTTTTTAAATTGGATTACTTACCTTTATAATTGTTGTATATGGAAATACAATCCAATTTTCTATATTGACCTCGTATCCTGCAACTTTGCCATTATATTGTTGACTTTTAGGAGTTCCTTATATATTCTAATTACAAGTGCTTTGTCAGAAACACGATTTTATTAATGATGTCCTTTATGAGTAGAATTTTTAGTTTTGGTAGAGTCCAATCTATCAGTATTTTCTTTTACAGCTTGTGCGTGGGTCTTTATCAAAAAATTTTGCATGACTCAAGTCAGAAAGATACTATGTTTTTCTCTAGAAACTTTATAGATAAGATTTTTGTACTTAGGTCTGTGATCTGTCTCAAAGTAATTTTTTGTTTATGGAGTGAAAGAAGAGTCAAGATTCAGTTTTATGTTCCAGCAATACTTAACAAGACTTTCCCTTCCCAATCGGATTTACTTCACCACTTTGTTGAAAATCAATCAACCATATCCGTGTGGTTCTATTTATATACTTTCTGTTTTGTTTCGTTGGTCTGTTTGTCTAGGTTTCACCAATACCACACTATCTTGATTACTGGAGCTTTACAGAAATCTTAAAATTGGATGGTGTAAATCTTCTAACTTCGTTCTTTTTAAAGATTGTTTTGGCACGCCTGTAATGCCAGCTCTTTGGGAGACTGAGGTGGGCAGATCACATGAGGTGAGGAGTGTGAGACCAGCCTGGCCAACATAGTAAAACCCCGTCTCTGCTAAAAATACAAAAATTAGTCGGTCATGGTGGTGGGCACCTGTAATCCCAGCTACTCAGGAGGCTGAGGCAGGAGAATCGCTTGAACCCAGGAGGCGGAGGCTGCAGTCAGCCAAGATCACACCACTGCACTCCAGCCTGAGTGAGATCATCTAAAAAAAAAAGATTGTTTTGACTATTTTGGGTTCTTTGCATTACCATATAAATTTTAGATTCAGCTTTTTTCTTTCTTCAAAGAAGCTTGCTAGAATTTCTATGGGAATTGCATCATACCTATAGATCAGCTTAGGAAAAATGAACATTTAAACAATATTATGCCTTCTTATCTATGAATATGGTATAGCTTTACATTTTTTTTTATGATGTCATCTTCATTTCTTTCAGCAATATTTGTAGTTTTCTATGGAGAGGTCTTACACATCTTTTGTTAGATCTGTTCCTAGCTATTTGATTTTTTTAAATATGCCTGTAAATTTTAAAACATTTCCCAATTGTTTATTGAGTGTATATAGAAATGCAGTCAATTTTTGTATCTATAACCTTGCTAAATTCATTTATTAGTTTGAGTAGTATTTTTGGTAGGGTTCTTCACATACGCAAACATGTTGTTTGTGAACAATGACAGCTTTACTTCTTTTCTGATCTTTTAAATTTCTTTTTCGCCTTAATACTTTATCAGGATAATGCTGGTCTTATAAAACAAGTTGAGAAATATTACTTCTTTTCTGAAGGAGCTTGTGTAGGATTGGTAATATTTCTTCCTTAAATGGAGAAGCCACCTGAGCCTGAAGTTTTCTTTGGGGGAAAGATTTTTACTATGAGTATAATTCCATTAACAGATATTAGGCTATTTAGTTTTTAATTTCTTCTTTCATTAGTTTTGTTCATTTGTGTTTTTTAAGAAATTTGTCTATTTCACTTAAATTTGCCAATATATTGGTATAAAGTTTTATCAGTTTCAAAGTTTATAGTCAGTAGTAATAAACCCCTTCTCACTCCTTTTAAAAGTTTTTGTTAATGTATGTATTTTTCTTGATTATCTTGCCAAGGGGCCTATCAATTTTATTACACTTTACAAAGATCGAAATTTTGATATTATTGATTTTCTCTATTGTTTGTTCATCTTATATTTCATTAATTTTCTCTTTTTTTCTTTTTTTTTTTTTTTTACTTATTTTGGATTTAATTTGCTCTACTTTTTCTGGTTTCTTGTGATGCAAGGTAATGTGATTTTAAACTTTTCTTCTTGTTACTTACTTTTTTATTTTTTATTATACTTTAAGTTCTAGGGTACGTGTGCACAACGTGCAGGTTTGTTACATATATATACATGCGCCAGGTTGGTGTGCTGCACCCATTAACTCGTCATTTACATTAGGTATTTCTCCTAATACTATCCCTCCCCACTCCCCCCACCCCACAACAGGCCCCAGTGTGTGATGTTCCCTGCCCTGCGTCCGTGTGTTCTAATTCAATTCCCACCTATGAGTGAGAACATGCGGTGTTTGGTTTTTTGTCCTTGCGATAGTTTGCTGAGAATGATGGTTTCCAGCTTCGTCCATGTCCCTACAAAGGACATGAACTCATCATTTTTTATGGCTGCATAGTATTCCATGATGTATATGTGCCACATTTTCTTAATCCAGTCTATCATTGCTGGACATTTGGATTGGTTCCAAGTCTTTGCTATTGTGAATAGTGCCTCAGTAGACATATGCATGCATGTGTCTTTATAGCAGCATGATGTATAATCCTTTGGGTATATACCCAGTAATGGGATGGCTGGGTCAAATGGTATTTCTAGTTCTAGATCCCTGAGGAATCGCCACACCGACTTCCACAATGGTTGAACTAGTTTACAGTCCCACCAACAGTGTAAAAGTGTTCCTATTTCTTCACATCCTCTCCAGCACCTGTTGTTTCCTGACTTTTTAATGATCGCCATTCTAACTGGTGTGAGATGGTATCTCATTGTGGTTTTGATTTGCATTTCTCTGATGGCCAGTGATGATGAGAATTTTTTCATGGGTCTTTTGGCTACATGAATGTCTTCTTTTGAGAAGTGTCTGTTCTATCCTTCGCACACTTTTTGATGGGGTTGTTTGTTTTTTTCTTGTAAATTTGTTTGAGTTCATTGTAGATTCTGGATATTAGCCCTTTGTCAGATGAGTAGATTGCAAAAATTTTCTCCCCTTCTGTAGGTTGCCTATTCACTCTGATGGTAGTTTCTTTTGCTGTGCAGAAGCTCTTTAGTTTAATTAGATCCCATTTGTCAATTTTGGCTTTTGTTGCCATTGCTTTTGGTGTTTTAGACATGAAGTTCTTGCCCATGCCTATGTCCTGAATGGTATTGCCTAGGTTTCCTTCGACGGTCTTTATGGTTTTAGGTCTAACATGTAAGTCTTTAATCCATCTTGAATTAATTTTTGTATAAAGTGAAAGGAAAGGATCCAGTTTCAGCTTTCTACATATGGCTAGCCAGTTTTCCCAGCACCATTTATTAAATAAGGAATCCCTTCCCCATTGCTTGTTTTTGTCAGGTTTGTCAGAGATCAGATAGTTGTAGATATGTGGCATTATTTCTGAGGGCTCTGTTCTGTTCCATTGGTCTATATCTCTGTTTTGGTACCAGTACCATGCTGTTTTGGTTACTGTAGCCTTGTAGTATAGTTTGAAGTCAGGTAGCGTGATGCCTCCAGCTTTGCCCTTTTTGCTTAGGATTGTCTTGGCAATGCGGGCTCTTTTTTGGTTCCATATGAACTTTAAAGTAGTTTTTTCCAATTCTGTGAAGAAAGTCATTGGTAGCTTTATAGGGATGGCACTGAATCTCTAAATTACCTTGGGCAGTATGGCCATTTTCACGATATTGATTCTTCCTTCCCATGAGCATGGAATGTTCTTCCATTTGTTTGTATCCTCTTTTATTTCACTGAGCAGTGGTTTGTGGTTCTCCTTGAAGAGGTCCTTCACATCCCTTGTAAGTTGGATTCCTAGGTATTTTATTCTCTTTGAAGCAATTGTGAATGGCAGTTCACTCATGATTTGGCTCTCTGTTTGTCTGTTATTAGTGTATAAGAATGCTGGTGATTTTTGCACATTGATTTTGTATCCTAAGACTTTGCTGAAGTTGTTTATCAGCTTAAGGAGATTTTGGGCTGAGATGATGGGGTTTTCTAAAAATACAATCATGTCATCTGCAAACAGGGACAATTTGACTTCCTCTTTTCCTAATTGAATACCCTTTATTTCCTTCTCCTGCCTAATTGCCCTGGCCAGAACTTCCAACACCATGTTGAATAGGAGTGGTGAGAGAGGGCATCCCTGTCTTGTGCCAGTTTTCAAAGGGAATGCTTCCAGTTTTTGCCCATTCAGTATGATATTGGCTGTGGGTTTGTCATAGTTAGCTCTCATTATTTTGAGATATGTCCAATCAATACCTAGTTTATTGAGAGTTTTTAGCCTGAAGGGCTGTTGAATTTTGTCAAAAGGCCTTTTCTGCATCTATTGAGATAATCATGTGGTTTTTGTCTTTGGTTCTGTTTATATGACGGGTTACGTTTATTGATTTGCGTATGTTGAGCCAGCCTTGCATCCCAGGGATGAAGCCAACTTGATCATGGTGGATAAGCTTTTTGATGTGCTGCTGGATTTGGTTTGCCAGTATTTTATTGAGGATTTTTGCATCAATGTTCGTCAGGGATATTGGTCTAAAATTCTCTTTTTTGGTTGTGTCTCTGCCAGGCTTCGGTATCAAGATGATGCTGGCCTCATAAAATGAGTTAGGGAGGATTCCTCTTTTTCTATTGATTGGAATAGTTTCAGTAGGAATGGTACCAGCTCCTTTTTGTACCTCTGGTAGAATTCGGCTGTGAATCCTTCTGGTCCTGGACTTTTTTTGGTTGGTAGGCTCTTAATTATTGCCTCAATTTCAGAGCCCGTTATTGATCTATTCAGGGATTCAACTTCTTCCCGGTTTAGTCTTGGGAGGGTGGATGTGTTGGGGAATTTATCCATTTCTTCTAGATTTTCTAGTTTATTTGCGTAGAGGTGTTTATGGTATTCTCTGATGGTAGTTTGTATTTCTGTGGGATTGGTGGTGATATCCCCTTTATCATTTTTTTATTGCGTGTATTTGATTCTTCTCTCTTTTCTTCTTTATTAGTCTTACTAGCGGTTTATCTATTTTGTTGATCTTTTCAAAAAACCAGCTCCTGGATTCATTGATTTTTTGAAGGGCTTTTTGTGTCTCTATCTCCTTCAGTTCTGCTCTGATCTTAGTTATTTCTTGCCTTCTGCTAGCTTTTGAATGTGTTTGCTCTTGCTTCTCTAGTTCTTTTAATTGTGATGTTAGGGTGTCGATTTTAGATCTTTCCTGCTTTCTCTTGTGGGCATTTAGTGCTATAAATTTCTCTCTACACACTGCTTTAAGTGTGTCCCAGAGGTTCTAGTATATTGTGTCTTTGTTCTCATTGGTTTCAAAGAACATCTTTACTTGTGCCTTCATTTCGTTATTTACCCAGTAGTCATTCAGGAGCAGGTTGTTCAGTTTCCATGTAGCTGCGTGGTTTTGAGTGAGTTTCTTAATCCTGAGTTCTAATTTGATTGCACTGTGGTCTGAGAGACAGTTTGTTGTAATTTCTGTTCTTTTACATTTGCTGAGGAGTGCTTTACTTCCAACTATGTGGTCAATTTTGGAATAAGTGCAATGTGGTGCTGAGAAGAATGTATATTCTGTTGATTTGGCGTGGAGAGTTCTGTAGATGTCTATTAGGTCCACTTGGTGCAGAGCTGAGTTTAAGTCCTGGATATCCTTGTTAACTTTTTGTCTCGTTGATCTATCTAATGTTGACAGTGGGGCGTTAAAGTCTCCCATTA
Source organism: Homo sapiens (assembly GCF_000001405.40). Lineage (NCBI taxonomy): Eukaryota > Metazoa > Chordata > Mammalia > Primates > Hominidae > Homo > Homo sapiens. The sequence goes on along the minus strand of NC_000003.12, from coordinate 4,968,295 downwards.
TTATTGTGTGGGAGTCTAAGTCTCTTTGTAGGTCTCTAAGGACTTGCTTTATGAATCTGGGTGCTCCTGTATTGGGTGCATGTATATTTAGGATAGTTAGCTCTTCTTGTTGTATTGATCCCATTACCATTATGTAATGGCCTTCTTTGTCTCTTTTGATCTTTGTTGGTTGGTTTAAAGTCTGTTTTATCCAAGACTAGGATTGCAACCCCTGCTTTTTTTTTGTTTTCCATTTTCTTGGTAGATCTTCTTCCATCCCTTTATTTTGAGCCTATGTGTGTTCTGCATGTGAGATGGGTCTCCTGAATATAGCACACTGATGGGTCTTGACTGTTTATCCAATTTGCCAGTCTGTGTCTTTTAATAGGGGCGTTTAGCCCATTTACATTTAAGGTTAATATTGTTATGTGTGAATTTGATCCTGTCATTATGATGTCATTGCTCGTTAGTTGATGCAGTTTCTTCCTAGCATCAATGGTCTTTACAATTTGGCATGTTTTTGCAGTGGCTGGTACTGGTTGTTCCTTTCCTTGTTTAGCGCTTCCTTCAGGAGCTCTTTTAGGGCAGGCCTGGTGGTGACAAAATCTCTCAGCATTTGTTTGTCTGTAAAGGATTTTATTTCTCCTTCACTTATGAAGCTTAGTTTGACTGGATATGAAATTCTGGGTTGAAAATTCTTTTCTTTAAGAATGTTGAATATTGGCCCCCACTCTCTTCTGGCTTGTAAAGTTTCTGCTGAGAGATCCACTGTTAGTCTGATGGGCTTTCCTTTGTGGGTAACCCAACCTTTCTTTCTGGCTGCCCTTAACATTTTTTCCTTCATTTCAACCTTGGTGAATCTGACAATTATGTGTCTTGGGGTTGGTCTTCTCAAGGAGTGTCTTTGTGGCGTTCTCTGTATTTCCTGAATTTGAATGTTGGCCTGCCTTGCTAGGCTGGGGAAGTTCTCCTGGATAATATCCTGCAGAGTGTTTTCCAACTTGGTTCCATTCTCCTCATTACTTTCAGGTACACCAATCAAATGTAGGTTTGGTCTTTTCACATAGTCTCATATTTCTTGGAGGCTTTGTTCATTTCTTTTTACTCTTTCTTCTCTAAACTTCTCCTTTTCTTCATTTCATTCATTTGATCTTTAATCACTGATACCCTTTCTTCCACTTGATCGGATTGGCTCCTGAAGCTTGTGCATGCGTCACATAGTTTTTGTGCCATGGTTTTCAGCTCCATCAGGTCCTTTAAGGTCTTCTCTACGCTCTTTATTCTAGTCAGCCATTCGTGTAATCTTTTTTCAAGGTTTTTAGCTTCTTTGCAATGGGTTCGAACATCCTTCTTTAGCTCGGAGAAGTTCGTTATTACCGATCTTCTGAAGCCTACTTCTGTCAACTCGTCAAAGTCATTCTCCGTCCAGGTTTGTTCCATTGCTGGTGAGGAGCTGTGATCCTTTGGAGGAGAAGAGGCGCTCTGATTTTTAGAATTTTCAGCTTTTCTGCTCTGGATTCTCCCCACCTTTGTGGTTTTATCTACCTTTGGTCTTTGATGATGGTGTCCTACAGATGGGGTTTTGGTGTGGATGTCCTTTTTGTTGATGTTGATGCTATTCCTTTCTGTTTGTTAGTTTTCTTTCTAACAGTCAGGTCCCTCAGCTGCAGGTCTGTTGGATTTTGCTGGAGGTCCACTCCCGACCCTGTTTGCCTGGGTATCAGCAGCAGAGGCTGCAGAACAGCAAATATTGCAGAACAGCAAATGTTGCTGCCTGATCCTTCCTCTGGAAGCTTCGTCTCAGAGGGTCACCCGGCTTTATGAGGTGTCAGTCTGCACCTACTGGGAGGTGTCTCCCAGTTAGGATACTCAGGGGGCAGGGGCCCACTTAAGGAAGCAGTCTGTCCGTTCTCAGATCTCACACTCCGTTCTGGGAGAGCCACTACTCTCTTCAAAGCTGTCAGACAGGGACGTTTAAGTCTGCAGAAGTTTCTGCTGCCTTTTGTTCAGCTATGCCCTGCCCCCAGAGGTGGAGTCTACAGAGGCACACAGGCCTCCTTGAGCTGTGGTGGGCTCCACCCAGTTCGAGCTTCCTGGCAGCTTTGTTTACATAGTAAAGCCTCACCAATGGCAGACACCCCTCCCCCAGCCTTGCTGCCACCTCACAGTCCATTCTTGGACTGCTGTGCCAGCAGTGAGCAAGGCTCTGTGGGCATGGGACCCACCAAACCAGGCATGGAATATAATCTCCTGGTGTGGCCTTTGCTAAGACCGTTGGAAGAGCGCAGTATTAGGGTGGGAGTGTCCTGATTTTCCAGGTACCATCTGTCATGGCTTCCCTTGGCTAGGAAAGGGAGTTCCCTGACCCCTTGAGCTTCCCAGGTGAGGCGATGCCCTGCCCCGCTTCGGCTCACACTCCATGGGCTGCACACACTGTCCAACAAGTCCCAGTGAGATGAACCCGGTACCTCAGTTGGAAATGCAGAAATCACCCGTCTTCTATGTCACTCACACTGGTAGCTGTCGACTGGAGCTGTTCCTATTTGGCCATTGTGGAACCAGTCCCTGTTACTTACTTTTAATAAGGCATTTAAAACTAAAATTTTTCATTGAGCACTGCTTTCATAGCATTCCACAATGTTTGGTATGTTTGGTTTTTTTAAATTGTTTAGGTCAAAATGTATTCTAATGTTTTTTGTAATTTTTCATTTATTTATAGTTTATTTACAAGAGTGTTGCTTAATTTCCAAATATTTATGAATTTTCCAGGTAACTTTTTCTTTTAAAATAATTATAGGCTGGGTGCTGTGGCTCATGCCTGTAATCCCAGCACTTTGGGAGGTCAAAGCGGACAGATTGCTTGAGCTCAGGAGTTTGAGACCAGCTGGGCAATATGGTGAAACATTGTTTCTGAAAAAATAAAAAAAAAATTAGCCAGGTATAGCAGCACACACCTATAGTCCCAGCTACTCAGGAGGCTGAGATGAGAGGATTACTTGAACCCAGGAGGCAGAGGTTGCAGTGAGCCGAGATCATGCCGCTGCACTCCAGCCTGGGTGACAGAGCTAGACCCTGTCTCAAATAATAATGATAATAATATCACAAGAAATTACAAACATAATACACAGAATTTCCATGTATCTTCACTCAGTTTCGTCCAATGGTAAAAATCTTACATGACTATAATACAATGTCAAAACAAGGACATTGACATTGGTGCAATCCACAGGTATATATTCATATTTCACCAGTTTTACATGCATTCAACTTGTATGTAGGTGCATATATAGTTCTATGCAATTTCATCACAGGTGTAGATTAGTGTAATCACCACCACAATCAAGATGCAAAACTGTTCTATCACAGTAAAATTCCCTCATGCTACCCCTCCATAGTCATACCCATTCCCTTCTTCTCACCTGTCCCACAGCCCTGGCAATCAATCTATTCTCCATCTCTGTAATTTTATTATTTCAAGAATGTTATATAGGCCAGGCATGGTGGCTCATGCCTATAATCTCAGCACTATGGGAGGTCAAGGCAGGAGGATAACCTGAAGCCAGGAGTTTGACACCAGCCTGGGCAACATACAGACCCTGTCTGTATATTAAAAAATTAAAAATAAATATTAAAAAATTTAAGAAGAATGTTATATAAATAGAGTCACATCATATATAACCTTTGAGATGGACTTTGTTTCACTCAGTATAGTTCTCTTGAGATTTATCCAAGTGGTTTTGTGTATCAGTAGTAAGTTTCTCTTTTATCATTGAGTAGTATTCCATGATATGGATGTACCATAATTTGTTTACTTATTCACCCACTGAAGAGATTTGAATTGTTCCAATTTTGGGCTACTACAAACAAATCTGCTATAAAAATTTATGTGCACATTTTTGTGTGCATATAAATTTTCTTTTCTCTGAGATAAATGCCCAGGAATGCAATTACTAGGTCATTTTGTAATGTAGATTTTTTTAAGACACTGATAAACTATTTGCCAGCATAGCTGTACCATTTATTTATTTACTTATTTATTAACTTTTATTTTTTTAAGTTACTCAAGACTTTATTCTCCTGTTATTACTCCTCAGCTCAGTCACTCTTCTCTTCCCCACAATTCCAAAACTATGTTGCAGTTCTTTAAGGGTCAGCCCTCCTGAAGAGCTATTTTCTTATTCTGCCTACTTTGACTCTGTAAAATTCCAACAGGCAAAATAAAGGCTAAAAAAATTTTTTTTGCCTTTACTCATTTTCAAAATCTGTCAAATTCTCCTCAGCAGAAAATTAATTATCCCTTTAACTAATCAATATACAAGGATGAATGAGTAGTACTTTGGGTTACTTCCTTCTCTTCCTCCCTCTCTTCCAAATAGACTGAGATAAGGCTTCTCAGAACCATGGGATGTATCAGCAGTATAGAAAAGGGACAGTGCTGAATGAGTCAGCACCCAGTTCCTCCTACCCATTCCCTTCTATACCAGCTGGTAGGCTCCCATTTTATATTTCCCATCGCAATGCATGAGAGATCTAGTTTCTCTGCATCCCTACTAGCATTTTGTATTGTCATTATTTTTAATTTTAGATGTTTAAATAGGTGTGTAGTGCCAGGTATCTTTTAATTATTGATTTCTAATTTATTACTATTTGGTCAGAAGATACACTGTATTAGATTTTAATTTTTTGTTTTTGTTGTTCAGAGAGGGTCTCATTCTGTTGCCCAGGCTGAGTGCAATGGTACAATCATGGCCTCAGACTTCCAAGTAGCTGGTACTACAGGCATGTGCCACTGTGACCAGATAATTTTGGTATTTTTTGTGGAGATGGGATCTTGTTATATTCTTCAGGCTGGTCTCGAACTCCTGGACTCAAGCAATCCTCCTACTTCAGCCTCCTAAAGTACTGGGATTACAGATGTGAGCTACCATGCCCAGCCAGATTTTAATTTTTAACAGTTATTAAAACGTCTTTCATTGCCCAGCATATAATCCATCTTAATGAATGTTTTATGTGGGTTCAAATACAAACAAATGCGTATTCTACATTTGTGGTAACATTTTATAAAATCAGTTGAGTCAAGTTGGTTGACAGTGTTGCTCAAATATAATATATCTCTATTGGTTTTTTGCCTATTTGTCCTATCAATTACTGAGACAAGAGTCTTAAAAATCACTCCAACTATGATTGTAGATTTGTCCATTTCTTTCTTTTCTTTTCTGTTTTCTTTCTATTTTTTTTTTTAAGATGGGATCTCACTCTGTCACCCAGCCTGGGGTGCAGTGGTGCAATCATAGCTCACCATAACTTCAAACTCGTAGGCTCAAGCGATCCTCCCACATCAGACTCCCAGGTAGTTGGGACTACAGGCATGTACCACTATTCACAGCTAATTGTTTTTTTTTTTTTTTTTATGTTTTGTAGAGACAGAGTCTCACTGTTTTGCACAGGCTGGTCTTGAACTCCTAGCCTCAAGTGGGATTCTCCCACCTCAGCCTCCCAAGGTACTGGGATTAGAGTGTGAGCCACCATACCCAGTCAATTTGTCTGTTTCTGTCAAATTTTGCTTTTGCATTTTGGGACTCCATTCTTTTTTTTTTTTTTTTTTTTTTTTTTTGAGACGGAATTTTGGTTTTGTTGCCCCAGCTGGAGTACAATGGCATGATCTTGGCTCACGGCAACCTCCACCTCCCAGGTTCAAGTGATTCTCCTGCCTCAGCCTCCTGAGTAGCTGGGATTACAGGCATGCGCCACCACACCTGGCTAATTTTGTATTTGTAGTAGAGACAGGGTTGCTCCATGTTGTTCAGGCCGGTCTTGAACTCCCGACCTCAGGTGATCCACCCACCTCAGCATCTTAAAGTGCTGGGATTACAGGCATGAGCCACCGCACCCGGCTGGAAGTCCGTTCGTAATTGCATACACACTTAGTATTGATAGATCCTTTTGATGAGTTTCTCTTTTATCATTAATACTTTTCCTCTTTATCTCTAGTAATATAATTATTCTGAAGCCTATCTTAATATTAATATAACCACACCTGCTTTTTTATACTTAATGTTTGTGTGGTATATTTTTTCTACCCTTGTGCTTTCAAACTATGACTTTTTATATTGTATTTATTTTATTCTGTTTTTTAGAGACAGGGTCTCACTCTGTTGCCCAGGCTGGAGTGCAGTGGTGAGATCACAGCTCACTGTAACCTTGAACTTCTGGGTTCAAGCAATCCTCCTGCCTCAGCCTCACAAGTAGCTGGAACTTCAGGCGTGTCTCACCACAGCCCTGAAATGGGGTCTTGCTGTGTTGCCCAGGATGGTCTCAAACTCCTGGCCTCAAGCAGTTCTCCTGCCTTGGCCTCAAAGTGCTGGAATTACAGGCGTGAGCCACTGTACCTAGCCTTAAACTATGTCCTTATAATTTTGTATTTGTCAAGATCATATTGTTGGATCTTACTTTTATATTAATCTGACAATCTCTGCCTTTTAAGTGTTTAATATGTTTATATTTGATATAATTACTAATCTGAGTTAATTCTCCCATATTGGTATTATTTTCTACTTATGCCTTTTATTCTTTGTTTCTGCTTCTACTTTCTTGCCTCATTTTTGGTATACTGCATTCTTTTTAATTAATTTTTTTTTTGAAATGGGGTCGTACTATGTTGCCCAGGCTGGTCTTGAACTCCTGGCCTCAAGTGATACTCCCATGTCAGCCTCCCAAAGTCTTGGGATTACAGGCATGAGCCACTGTGCCCAGCCCATATTGCATTTTTATTTTTATTTATGTATTTTTTGTTTTGAGATGGTGTCTCACTCTATTGCCTAGGCTGGAGTGCAGTGGCACGGTCTCTGCTCAATGCAACCTCTGCGTCATGGTTTCAAGCAATTCACATGCCTCAGCCTCCCCCGTAGCTGGGATTACAGGTGTGTGCCACCACACCCAGCTAATTTTTCCTATTTGTGGTAGAGTTGGAGTTTCACTGTGTTGGCCAGGCTGGTCTCAAACTCCTGGCCTCAAGTGATCCACCCACCTCAGCCTCCCAAAGTGCTGGGATTACAGGCATGAGCCACAACACCTAGCCCCTTTTTGCATTTTTTAATCATTCCATTTTATCTCTTGTTTTTAGCTGTATTTCTCGTGGTGTATTTTTAGTGGCTGTTCTAGAGCAGTGGTTCTTAAACTTTACATACATTAGAAACACCTAGTGCTTTTATTAAAACATAGATTTCTGGGCCGTACTCCTAGAGCTCCTTATCTAGTAGGTCTGTGATATTGCTCAAAAATATTCATTTCTAGTAAGTTTTCAGATGATGCTGGTGGTATAAGTCTGGGAACTACATTTTGAGAACCACTATTCTAGAAATTATTCTCTGCATTTACCTTCAAATAGTATACTAAAAAAAATTATTATACAACTTCACAGATAGTGCAAGAACTTTACAACAGTATAATTCTATTTCTTCCCCCACCAACATTTTGTGCTCTTATTATCTGACATTTTACTCTTTATTCCCAAATATGTAATAAACCTCACAATATATTGGTTTTTTGCTTTAAACAATCAATTATCTTTTCAAATATTATATACACACACATACACAAATAGATATATAAATATTTCTTTGTAAAAGACCTTTAACATAGTTTTTTTGTTTTTTTGTTTTTTTTTTTTTTTTTGAGACAGAGTTTAGCTCTTGTCACCCAGGCTGGAGTGCACTGGCGCGATCTCAGCTCACCACAACCTCTGCCTCCCGGGTTCAAGCAATTCTTTTGCCTCAGCCTCCTGAGTAGCTGGGATTACAGGCATGCACCACCACACCCGGCTAATTTTTCTATTTTTAGTAGAGACAGGGTTTCTCCATGCTGGTCAGGCTGGTCTTGAAATCCCGTCCTCAGGTGATCCACCTGCCTCAGCCTACCAAAGTGCTGGGATTACAGGCGTGAGCCACCACACCTGGCCTTTTTTTTTTTTTTTTTTTCTCTTTGAGATGGAGTCTGTCTGTCACCCAGGCTGGAGTGCAGTGGCATGATCTCGGCTCACTGCAAACTCCGCCTCCTGGGTTTAAGCCATTCTCATGCCTCAGCCTCCTGGGTAGCTGGGATTACATGTGCACACCATGATGCCCAGCTAATTTTTATATTTTCAGTAGAGATGAGGTTTCACCATGTTGGCCAGGCTGGTCTCTAAGTCCTGACCTCAAGTGATCCACCTGCCTTGGCCTCCCAAAATGCTGGGATTACAGGCGTGAGCCACCACACCTGGCTGTATCCATTTTTTAAAACGTTTTCTGGGAGTCTTAAATTCTTCCTACAGATCTGAGTTTCCTTCTGCTATCTTTTCTGTTCAGTCAGAAAAACTTATGCCAGCTTTTCTTGTAGCATGGGTCCAATGGAGATGAATCTTCCCAATTTTTACCTGTCTGAAAATGACTTTATTTCACCTTTTTTTTTTTTTTTTTTTTTTTGAGACAGAGTCTCGCTCTGTTGCCCGGGCTGGAGTGCAGTGGTGCAGTCTCAGCTCACTGCAACCTCCACCTACCAGGTTCAAGCGATTCTCCTGCCTCAGCCTCCTGAGTAGCTGGGATTACAGGCACCTGCCATCATGCCCAGCTAATTTTTTGTATTTGTAGTAGAGACGGAGTTTCACCATGTTGGCCAGGCTGGTCTCAAACTCCTGACCTCGTGATCCGCCTGCCTCGGCCTCCCAAAGTGCTGGGATTACAGCTTTGAGCCACCGTGCCTGGCCTTCACCTTCATTTTTAAAGTATCTTTTCACTGGCTATAGAATTCTAGTTTGACAGTGTTTTTCTTTTAGCACTTTAAAGATGTTCTATTGTCTTCTGGCCTCCATCGATTCTAGTGAAAAGTCATCTGTTATTTCTATCATTATTCCCTTATATTTATGTATTTTTCCCCCCTTTGATTGCTTTTCAGATTTACCACTTACCGCTGCTTTTCAGCAGTTTGGCTGTGATTTGTTTAGGTGCTGCTTTTTCCTTATTTATTCTCCTTGTGGGTGCGTTAAGGTTCTTGGTTCTCCTCCCACCCCCAACTCTCCCCTGACACACAACGTGGATGTGGAACTTCTTGATTCTATGAGTTGAGATCTTCAATCAATTTTGGTAAGTCTTGACCAATAAAGCTTTAATGATTTCTTCTGCCATGCTGTCCCTGTTCTCTTATTTTTGGGATTCCATTTGCACATATGTTGGGTTGTTTGAAATTAACCCAAATACTGTCAGATGCTCAGTTTCCTCTGCTGTTGAGTCTGCTACTAAGCTGCTACTAATGAATTTATTTTTGATATTGTGTTTTTCATTTTTAGCATTTCCATATGGTTCTTTTTTTCTAGTTTCCACCACTTTTTTGAAATTCCCCATCTCTTCATGAATGTTGTCCTCTTTTCCATGAGGTCCTTTAACATTTTTATATTATAGATGTTTTTTATTTTAATATCTCAGTCTGATAATTTTAACTTTTAAGCTAGCTCTGGATCTGATTCTATTGATTATTTTCTATCTTAACCATGAGACCTATTTTCTTGCTTTTTCACAGACCTTGAAATTTTTTATTGCACACTGAATACTTTGAAATAAAAGTAGAATGAATACAAAATAAATAATATTTACCTCCAAAAAAAAGAAAAGAGCAAGCCCCTTCTGCAAGGAGCTGAGTCTATCTGATCTGTAATTGATCTGGGTCTGGGCATTGTTGTAGCTTTAGTTTAATTCCGTTCACAACTGTTCTCAATGTTTTGAGGGTGGGATTAGGACTTTGTCTTCAGCAGAACTGGGTATCTGAGCACTGGTGAGATTCTTGAGATCGGCTTTTATTTCAAAAGTGAGCTGACAGACTTCAGAACTGTGGGGGATCGCAGCCTGCTTTACAGCCCAGCTGATAGCTTTTTGATTTCTCGTTGCCCTTTGCTTCCCTGCTTTCTGTACCTCTGGAGAAGTCTCTCAGCCCTTTGGCTCCTCACTGGCTCTAGAAACTTTCTAGACTCTATGAAGGCCCAAAACACCTCAAGGAGTTTCCCCTAGCCATTTTTTTCTTCCCCCAGCTTTGGTGAACTATTCCCAGCATGATGTGAAGACTCTCGGGAAAGAGGAGGCAGGCAGGTGCAGACTCCCTCTGTGGCTGGGGCTCCTCCGCCCACAGGCAGCCATTCCAAGCTTGTTAAAATTGCAGCTGAGTTCTCATCCCTGCTGTTCACAGACTCGTCTTCCTTCTGCCATTCCCCCAGAGGTGACAATGACCATGAGTCTCTCCTTTCATATGTGGAGCTTGTCACTTGCTTGAGTTTGGTTCATTTAGGTTTCTTTGCTCCCTCAGTTCTCTGATGGGTTTTAAAAATCAAAGATTATTTTGAGCTTACCTGTCTTGTTTTGGTTGATAAGGTACAAATAGTCTCACGTAACCCTGTACATCTGGTAGAAATCCCCCAGATAACTGCCTCTTACTAGCAATGAAAAGGTATGTAGGAATCAGAAGAAAGCAATCAATCACATAGGAATTGAAAACTTTAAAGCCGAAGCCAGTGCAGAGATTAAAAAAAAATAGACGCTGGTAAAGGTTTGCATCGTAGTCTATCAAACAAATGCCGAGGTGCTAATCACACACACACACACACACACACACACACACACACGCACTCGCCCAAAGACTAAGGCAAAGAAGAGATGATCTGTGCACCTTGCAAGTGACATTTATTTTCTGAGATTGGATAGAATGCATAGTGCACTAAAATGTGTTGTGTTTTATTTGGGTGATTGCCTACTTCCTACTCTGTCTCTTAGGGTAGTGAGTCTCACATTTTACTCTGCATCTGAATCACCTGGGCATCTTGTTAAAATTCAAATTCTCTCTTAGTAGGCCTGGGGTTGGGCTCGAGATTCTATATACATTTCTAACAATTAGATAATCCTAATGGTATATGACCAGCACGGTCCTAGAGTATATACACCTTTATTTTTAGGTGGGTCATAGCAATGAAACTTAATCATTTGTGCTAAGGTGAGTTTACAGTATAAAGGAAACAGGAAATATTTAAAAACTGAATTAACTAAATAAAATCAACAATCTGAAAACTCCCAAGAAGTAGCCAGAATGTGGCTTATAGTCATGCAAGGTGCAGAGAAAAGTGACATTTCAGTGTTGAGGAAATCCAGTGAGAGGCAGACCTATAATTCATCAAGCTGGCTTCTCTGGGGGTGGTTTAGTTTTTCTTGAAGTGGGTAGCTGCCATTCTGGGAGCTGGGGCTGAAACGGGTATTCATTGCCATTCAGAACCAGGCCTTTGACAGCTCTGCTGTCTCACATCTGCTGAGGGCATCAAGCACCGGTTCAGTAGGGAAAGAAGGATGGGGAAAGGCTGTGGGGAGAGAGGTTGGGTAACATTAGGGAGATGCCAAGAATCTGGCTATTCAAGACAGTGTTCACAGCACCAACAATTGCAGAAAACATTCATTGAGTGGTTGTAAATTAGCACTTGAATCCCACTATCCTCTTTTTCAACTGCCAAATTTGTTTGTTTTTCACCAGAAGAGACTTAGTGATTGGAATTTTGTAATTGTGATATTAGCTATTGGTCCTGCATTCATCACAGAACTAATTAATGCACCCATAGAAGAGAAAATAAATTCCCCATCATTTTCTGGGCTTAGCAAGGCAGTACAAATTTCCAACAGATGTGAGTAGGGCACAGGCCACCTTGTTAGGAAGAAAGCAAGGGAAATGATTATAAATCCACTAAAGGTAAAGATTTAATTTAATAAAACTTTACCACTCAAAGAAACACAGAGGGAAGTAGTCTAAAGTTTTAGTGACATTTAATTAAAGAAAATTTAAAAGATTGAATTCATTTATTTAATCAAAAACATTTACTGAGGGGTTTCTATCTACCAAACACATGCTGTATGAAAAAAAATTTCATGATTGTTCTCTCATGGAGCTTGCAATGTTATTACTTTGAAGCATGTGAGGAACTTGAACTAGGCTAACAGATTATTGTATGCTATTCCCGTAGGGCAACTGTTTAATGACTAGACAGGAATTCTTCAAAATTATCATGTTCTCTGCATACAAACAAGGACATCTTAACTGGAAAATAATGTGTTCTTTTAAGTACTTAGACCAAGTTTATTCAGTCATTATCGGCACTGTTAGTTTTCTTTTCTTTCTCTCTCTCTCTTTTCTTTTCTTTTTTTTTTGAGACAGAGTCTCACTCTGTTGCCCAGGCTGGAGTGCAGTGGTGCGATCACGGCTCACTGCAACCTCTGCCTCCTGGGTTTAAGTGATTCTTGTGCCTCAGCCTCCAGAGTAGCTCAGATTACAGGTGCATGCTACCACGCCCAGCTAATTTTTGTATTTTTAGTAGAGACAGGGTTTCACCATGTCGGCCATGCTGGTCTCAAACTCCTGACCTCAAGTGATTGGCCCACCTCGGCCTCCCAAAGTGCTGGGATTACAGGTGTGAACCACTGCACCCAGCCACTATTAGTTTTCTTGAGCAGCGCTCCTTTCTTACTTAAAGCCTTAGTTTGCTCAGCTGTAAAATGGGGCAACAATGGTATCTACCTCCTAGCATCATTGTATCAGATTAAATTATTTGGTTAAATTATTTATTACAGTGCATAGCATATGGTGATGGCTTAATTAAGGTTAGTTAATAATATTTGTTTTTATTGGTAGAATGCCAGTAATTGCTTAGCATACCTGAGTATATAGTCACATAGATGTAATTTGGCTACCAGTAGCACAACCAGAATTTTCTCTGTAGAATGTGCTGAAGGTGAACTAAGGTTCTAAGACTGAATGGTTCTTGTTGAGTGTTCTTTGGCACTAGCAGCAAAGAAACGACTCAGGAGTCCTGAACTTTTTATCCAGAAAAAGGCAAAAATTGACCTTCCCTAACATGAAGTTGCTCAGAATAACCAATATCTTTTTTTTAACAAACAAAGAAAATTTAAATTTTAGCTTTTACCGTAAAAAGGAATGAATGGATGGGATTGGAGAGTATTATTCTAGGTGAAGTAACTCAGGAATGGAAAAGCAAATATTGTATGTTCTCACTCATAAGTGGGAGCTAAGCTATGAGGATGCAAAGGCATAAGAATGACACAATGGACTTTGAGGACTCTGGGGGAAAAGCTGGGAAGAGGGTGAGGGATAAAAGACTATAAATTGGGTTCAATGTATACTGCTCAGGTGAGGGGTGCACCAAAATCTCACAGATCACCACTAAAGAACTTACTCATGTAACCAAATACCACTTGTTCCCCAAAAACCTATGGAAAGAAAAAATTTTTAAACAAACAAACAAACCAGCTATGCCCTGACCACCTTGGGCACATGTCCTCTGGAGATGTTCAGAACTTTGTGGATTTGTCTACATGGTGTTAAAACTTTTGAACAATTCAAACAACTGGCCAGTACTTTTTTTTTTTTTAAGCTATTTAATAGATAAGCCTGGTTGGTTAAGACTTATGAACTCATGGCCAGCTGTGCACATGAACTTTGCCTGGAGGTATCTTTCAGTACAGTTTAGAATAATAAGGATTTGTGATAAGAGTACCAAAGAAAAATAGACAAGTTGTATTTAATAAAGCTCCATGTCATTTAATAAAGCTCCATGTCACAATGGCTTCGCAAATATAGTGTGAACTCCTGGTGAATGGATACTTAAAAAAATTATCCAGAACCACTCAGATTACAAAATGTAACTCTTGATTACTACAGGAGATTGTATATTCATTCAGTCATTCATTCAACAAAGACTGAAGTGCCGTATTGGTTAGCTCCAGGTGCCATAGCAAAATGCCATAGACAGCATGGCTTAAACAAAAGGAATTTATTTTCTCACTGGAGGCTGGAAGTCGAGATCAGGGCACCAGCATGGTCGGGTTCTGGTGTGGGTTGTCTTCCTGGCTTGCAGTCAGCTGCCTTCTCCTTGTGTCCTCACAAGCAGAAGAGCACTCTGGTGTCTCTTCTTATAAAGACACTAATGCCATCATGAGGGTCCCTCCCTCCCGACTTCCCCTAAACCTAATCACCTCCCAAACGTCCCATCTCCAAACACCATCACATCAGGTGTTGGGCCTTCAACATTAGAATTTGTGGGAGGACACAATTTAATCCATAGCAAATGCCTTCCTGCACTTGGCATTGTGAACCGGAGAAATAAATCCAATCTCTATGCTTCTAGAGGGGAGAAACAGACAACACATGAATAAACAAATAAATAAAATCAATTAATTTCTGAACATGATGGCTGTCATGAGGGAAATAAACGAGGTAGTGAGATAGAAAATAATGGGGCAGGAGGTGAGGAGGCCACAAGGCCCTTCTGATGATGGAACATTTAGGCTGAGACCCAAGGAATGATAAGGAGCGAGCCAGAAAAGCCAGGACAGGGGCATTCTGGGAGGAAGGACAGCAAGGACAAAGGTGCTGAGGTGGGAGGGGGCTTGGCATGTTCTCAGACCAGATACAAGGCCAGTGTGATTTGAGGGTCTTGATTGTACGGCAAGGGACACAGACAAGATTGTACTGGTAGCTAAGGGCTGGATTATCTGCAGTTTTGTTAATAGTTAGTAATACCTGGGTGTTTTTGGTACATTGGCACTTGTTATAAGTTAAACTCAATTGCCTTCAATACTCTACAATGTGTGTTGATCATCTCACTTCCTCAACTCACTGTACCTATAGGAATATCCTTTGAAACCAAGACACCTAACCACGTATGGTCATTCAGGAAGACTCAAGAGGGGGCAGATACCATCCCCAGCATGGGAGAAGTTAAGCCAAGTTGATTCATTACCTGGAGCAGGTTTTCATTATTGTATTAATGATGAATTCTTAGACCATCTGACACCACAGTGAAATCAGCTGGGGATGACCAGCCATACACAATGGTGTGGCCAATTCAAAACACCCTTTTGGACTGGAGACTTGACCCTCAAGAGAGAGGATGCAGTGTGACTCACTAGAACTAAGGCAGTAAATTAGCCCACTTGGTGGTGAAAACCCATGCTGTTTAAGCCAACCCAAACCCAACAGGCATTTTCCCCATCCTTATCCAGTACAAAAGAGCTTTTGTCCTGGCAGAACTCGAGGAGGCCTCTGTATACAGACCTGATGTTATGCCAACAACATCTTGGAAAGGTATAAAATATCTGCTTCGTGAAGCTTTTGGTAAGATTAATAGTTTCTCCCAATATCACTGAGTGTTTAGGAGTAGAATCCAAGGTTCTCCTCACCCAGAAAGGATCTTTAAGTCGTCTCCTCTGCTTTCGTGTGTCACAGTGAAATGGTTCCAAAAAAGCATGCAAACATAAACACAGAAACGGCGTGGAAACTTGGCAGCCTTTGATCTCTAGTGTCTGCAGTTTGGAGGGTAAGGTTTACCCTCCAACCTGCATTCGTCTATGAGGATGCATGGATCCTTATAGATTCAACCACTTGATTATAGAAATTATTAAATGTATTACAAACATCTTATGCGCTGGTCGAAATGTTTTGTCATCAAGGGAAAATAGGTATTGTTACTTAAAATGGTCTGGTCTAATGAAATGCAAATACCAAAAGAGATGGAATATTGAAAATGTTTAAGAGGCAAGATAAATTGATAATTTAATGGGATAGTGCAGGCATAGTCTCCATTTACACCAGCATGTCAGATGAGGTCCTGAGAAACACAGAAAGATGTTTTTTCAGATTTCTGGATCTGGAGTGTTAAATTTCTGATGGCAATTCTCAGGAAACCAAATCATTGGCCTGGAAGTTTAAAGATATTTGGTAAACACGGTAGCCATTTTAATTCTGGAAATATGCCCTTTTGGCTTTTTAATTATTTAACTGGACTATGATATACAAAAATGGTATTTTAATATCAGTTGCTTATAATAGTTTAATTAGATTAATGACCAAACAAGTGAAGCTTTGCTCATTATCTAATATTTCAGCATGCTTTCTGAATGGGCATGGTTATCATGCCAACGTAGTATTTAAAAACCATATATTTCACTACATTTATTTAGATTGAATTTACCCTGAAGTATTTTCACTTAAGAGGAAGTGGGGTGGCCGGGCACTGTGGCTCACGCCTATAATCCCAGTACTTTGGGAGGCTGAGTTGGGCGGATCACCTGAGGTCACGAGTTTGAGACCATCCTGGCCAACATGGTGAAACCCCATCTCTACTAAAAACACAAAAATTAGCCGGGTGTGGTGGCGGGCGCCTGTAATCCCAGCTACTGGGGAGGTTGAGGCAGGAGAATCGCTTGAATCCGGGAGGCAGAGCTTGCAGTGAGCCGAGATTGCGCCACTGCTCTCCAGCCTGGGCGACAGAGCATGACTCCATCTCAAAAGAAAAAAAAAGGAGCGGAGTGCCTAAGAGCTAAAAAGACACTGAACTCATGAGTATATTAAGTGCCGCTGAGTATCTGTCACTAGTATAGGGGTGTCCAAGGAAGAGAATACAGTCATGGGTTCTTAGTTTCTCTTTCTGGTTGGGCCAGTAAAGCCCCTTCCTCATCCCTCTTTTCCACTTATCACTAGAGACAGAAACTAAAAACCACGGCTTCAGAATGCCAAAACCTAAAACAAACAAAACAGAACAACAACAACAAAATAAGGCAGGCTGGACAAGCTTGCAACCCTTCAAGATGATTGTTTTCACGGATTTAAAGAAATGGGATAGCACTTTGGGGGGCTGAAGCAGGCAGATCACCTGAGGTCAGGGGTTCGAGACCAGCCTGGCAAACATGGTGAAATCCCGTCTCCACTAAAAATACAAAAATTAGCCAGGCGGGTGGCAAACACCTGTAATCCCAGCTACTCGGGAGGCTGAGGCAGGAGAATTGCTTGAGCCCAGGAGGTGGAGGTTGCAGTAAGCCGAGATTGTGCCACTGTACTCCAGCCTGGGGAACAGAGTGAGACTCCATCTCAAAAAAAAAAAAAAAAAAGAAAAGAAAAGAAACCGGAAGAAATAAAATGGATGACGGAAAGAAAGAGAGTTTGCAGAGTGTACACGCTTTCTTGAACAGTTTTTTCTCGGGCTTTTTGCCCCACCCAGCTTTACTCATTAGCTCTAAGATCAAACAGGACTTTACGTTGGGAGGGACATTAATAAGGAGACTGTACAAATGGAAAAACCCAAAGATCTAAGCAGAACATCCGGTTCAGAGGAGAGACTGCACGGAGAGGGCAGTTATCGTCATAGTGCAAAGGAACACAATTAAAAAAGAGAGAGATGTCAGGGACCTCTCTGATTCATATTTGTTTATTCTGTGATGCTTTTCATGGCTCCTCTTCTATTTATTTTTTCATTATTCATTCACTCATTCATTCAACTTACTGAGTGCCAGTCATTATCCTAGTCATTAGGGAATTCTTTATTGACGTTCTCTTAATCTCTGTTGTTTTCAAGAATGAAGGGGGCCAGGCTCAGTGGCTCACACCTGTAATCCCAGCACTTTGGGAGGCTAAAGTAGGCAGATCACTTGAGGCCAGGAGTTCAAGACCAGCCTGACCAACATGGTGAAACTCCGTCTCTACTAAAAATACAAAAATTAGCCAAACATGGTGGCACCTGCCTATAATCCCAGCTACTGGGGAGGCTGAAGCATGAGAGTTGCTTCAACCCAGGAGGTGGAGGCTGCTGCAGCGAGCCGAGATTGCACCACTGCACTCCAGCCTAGGTGACAGAGCAAGACTCCAACTCAAAAAAAAAAGGAGAAGAAAGAAAGGAAATTGAGCAACTGGCAACTTCTTCTGGTGTGTAGAACAGACTCATTCCATTTGGATTTCCTTTTCCTGAACCAGTCTGAAGGGGCTGCCTGATCCTGCTCCATGCACCAACTGGGTTCCCGTGTCCTTGGCCAGAACTCCATAGAAGGCTCTGCCTTGGGGCCAGGGCCAGGAAAGGCCTCCACAACTCACAACTCTAAAATTGAGCCAGAATCATGACAAAATAGGGGAAAAGAAGATTCAGAAATGTTTGTCGTCATCTTCAAAATGATTACCCCTTCCTTGTTTGTAGAGTACTGATTTAAAAACAAACAACAACAACAAACAGAAACAAAATGATTACCCCTGGTCTGGGCCTGGGATGAAGCAAGGTGACCAGGGTGCAGCATGTAAGGAGACCCTCAGTCTCAGGGTTGTGCTAGTGTTTTCGTGCAAGTAGGTACTTTCTTAGATCTTGCGCCCTAGCTGTCTCCTTTACCTTATTCTAGTCTTGACCCTGCAATTAATTCTTTTCTTTACTCCCTCCACTGCTACCCTGAAGTGTCCACTGTCAGACACATTTGGAAAATATTGCTTACCATGTACAGTATATTCTTCAAACTACTTACAGCTTCTGGTTTATACACAGTGCACGCCTGTCTATTAAAGGCTCTGAGATCTCCTGCAGTAAGGAAATCCTATCTAACCCTGCATTTCCCAAATGTACTGGACTGTGGAAGTTTTTCTTCTTTTTAAAGAAATACTTATTAACATCTCATGGGACATCCAGGGACGCTGGTTAAGAAATACTTTGAATGGTTGTGTATGGAATGTACTCATTAGTTTGAAAAGTTTTCCTTGCTCAATAATAGCTATTTTCTATTCTGGATTTAGATTTCTTTGCAAGTTTCATTAAGCTCTTCAGCATCTGAGAAAGGATTAGAATGTTTATTCACACTCTCCAAATTCCAGTTTATCAGTTCATTGATTCATCAACGTTGATTAAGCACTTACTATGTGCTGAGAATACAAAGGTGAGTGAAATGGAGTTCCTTACCCCTAAGGGGCTAAGGAGGAGCAGAGACTTGCACAACTTAAGTCCAAATGCAATTTGATAATTGCTGTAAAAGCACAACACAAACAGGGAAAGCAGCTCAAAAAAAAAAATCCTTCGATGTTTTTTGTTTTGTTTTATTTTTGAGTCAGTCTGGCTCTGTAGCCCAGGCTGGAGTGTGGTGTTGCGATCTTGGCTCACTATAACCTCTGCCCCCTGGGCTCAAGCAATTCTCCCCACCTCAGCCTCCTGAGTAGCTGGGACTACAGGCATGTGCCACCACACCCAGTGTTTTTTTATTTTTTTGAAGAAACAGGGTCTCACTATGTTGCGCAACTGGTCTCAAACTCCTGAGCTCAAGCAATCTGCCCACCTTGGCCTCCCAGAGAACTGGAATTGTAGGCATGAGCCTCTGCCCCTGGCCTATCCTTTGATTGTTGTACCTCCAGACCAAATTAACTGCTCCTTAGGGAAAAGAGCTATTTGTGATATTTTTCAGTCTTTCCTATCACACCTAGTAGGGACTATGCACATAATAGAGGCTCAATAAATATTCATCAAATAAATATTTGAAGAAGAAAGCTTGCAACTTAACTGACGTACATTTGGTTATAATATCTATTAAAGATCATTCACAAAAACACTTTAAAAAAACATAAACAGAAGGTTGTACTGACCCCTCTAAGTTTCAGTTTCTCCATCTGTTAAACAACAACAAAAAAATAGTCCTAATTTCATGGGGTTCTGCGAGGATTAAATGAGAATGTATGTAAAGCGGCTATTATGTTCCTCAGCATGTTAATGGGTGGCCAATAAAAAACAGTGATTATGACTACAATGCACCGTGCTTTTCATCCACAATGACACACTCTGATATGATGAAAAGGTCACTTGGAGTTTTATTTGGCTCCATGAAACACTCTCTCGCTTGACAAGAATGTAGTGAACACATGCTGGCCAAGAGCCCTAGTTAAGACTACACACCACATACATACACACACACACACACACACACACACACACACAAACAGCACATCACAGCACACCACAGTGCACACACACACACACACACACACTCCTCCAACCTTCCCTTTCTTTCCATTAAAAGGCATCAGCAGGAGGCCAGGCTAAGTGGCTCATGCCTGTAACCCAGCACTTTGGGAGGCCAAGGCAGGAGAATCACTTGAGCCCAGGAGTTTGAGACAAGCCTGGGCAACATAGGGAGACCGCATCTCTACCAAAACAAAAAACAAAAAAGTAGTGGGCATGGTCGTGCACCTCTGTGGTCCCAACTATTCAGGAGGTTGAGGTGGGAGAATTGCTTGAGCCCAGGATGCGGAAGCTGCAGTGAGCCATGGTGGCACCACTGTACTCCAGCCTGGGTGACAGAGTGAGATCCTATCTCAAAAGAAAAAGGCATCAGTAGGAATTCCCCAAATGGTCTGATTTCCCCAACTCTCCAGTGTGAACTTGCTGAAATATAGGTTGACTCCTTCCTTGGAAGGCACTGTTTTGAGATCCAAGCAGGCTTGATAATGAGGAGGGAGAACCCATGAGTGCCCGTCAGCAAGACTCAGCATGACCTTAGGACTGGTCAGCTTTCCCGCCTCCACGAGGCTGGGAAGGGTTCTCTTGGTACCCAGCACTGATTCCTGCTTCATAGTGTAATTAGCTCAGTTGCCTTATCCTTTTCCCTCATCTAAATGCTCCCTGAGAGATGACTTTGAGCCACATTTACCTTGATATTCCTCTCTGCCCCTGCAGTGTTTTCCAAACCCAAACAGGCCTTCAAATTACCTGGGTGGCTTGTTAAACATACAGATTCTCTTGTCAAAACTTCTGGGAATGGGACCCAGAGAGCTGTGTTTGGAAGGCTTCTGGGGGATTTTAGGTGGCCAATGTGATGTTTGGGAAGCACCGGGCCACAGCACTTTGCTCAAGGTTTTGCTCACAGTTGGCCTACCATGTCTATGGAAAGAATGACCAATGAGAGGGTAGGACTTTGAGCAAACAAGGAGACATTTGGTGGAGGGGCGCATACACTTGCATATGTGCCATGTGGTCTACAGAATAGAATTCGGTCTGTGGCATAAGATGTTGCCTGTAGTTCAGAAACAGAGGCCCCAGGAGCCGGAAGATCACCTTCAGGGACCCTGAAGCAAAGCCAACTGCTTCTCATTCTGCCTCCACATCACCCTGTGGAAGGGCACAGCTGTTAATCATAATAATCTGGATTCTCGGAGGAGCTCCAGATTGATATCACGCTAGCCAAAGGATCCCAGGGGAAAGTAGCAGCATTCAGAAATAAATAAATAAATAAATAAATAAATAAATAAATAAATAAATAAAAGTCTCCTGGCACCCATAAATAAGATATCAGGATAGGAGCCTGATTGGCCCAGCTAAGGTCCCACACCCTTCCCTGAGCTAATCACTGTGACTAGGGTGCTGGGGTACATTGTTGGCCAGGCCTGGATTACTTGCCCATCCTTTGGCCCGGGGACAGGGTCGCATGATTGGCAACCACAAGAGAAGCACATGACTGAGGAGAGGCAGTTCCCTGAAGGTGTGGTTGCTACTGCCAGAGGAATGTATCTACTCCAGACTATGACCTTGACTTGCCCAAACAACTGAAGACACCAGCTAGCCCCAAAGGGAGATGTCCTATCCCCCAGGCAAAGCTTCTTAAGGATCCCCATTGAAGGAGCCTTCTTGAAGTAACTTCAAAGATAGTGAGTTTTTATTTCCTGAAGGTAAAAGCTCAAAGCAGACATATTCAGACCTAACATTTTTTGGAAGTCTCTTATTTCTAATTAAAAATAATGTTCTGGCCGGACGCAGTGGCTCATGTCTGTAATCCCAGAACTTTAGGAGGCCAAGGCTGGAGGTTCGCTTGAGTCCAGGGGTTCAAGACCAGCCTACGCAACATAGGGAGATCCTGTCTCTATAACTTTTTTTTTTTTTTTAATTAGCCAAGAATGGTGATGCACACTTGTGGTCCCAAGCTACTCAGGAGGCTGAGGTGGGACGACTGGCTGGGCACCACTGCACTCCAGTCTGGGAAACAGAGCAAGACCCTATCTAAAAAAAAAAAAAAGAAAAAAATCCCAAATTTTTATTATGAAAAATTTCAAACCTACAGAAAAGTTGAAAACATAGTACCAACACTACCAACATTATCCTTAAGTTTCAACAATTGTTAACATTTTACTACATTCACTTTATTTCTTTCTCTCTTCACACACATATATAAAGAGAAAGGGACACAAACAAAAACACGTGTATATTTACTTTTTTTTCTAAACCAATTAAGTGTTAGTTGTGGGTAGGCTGGGCGCGGTGGCTCAGGCCTGTAATCACAGCTCTTGGGGAGGCCGAGGCGGGTGGATCATGAGGTCAGGAGATCGAGACCACGGTGAAACCCCGTCTCTACTAAAAATACAAAAAATTAGCCGGACGCGGTGGTAGGCACCTGTAGTCCCAGCTACTCAGGAGGCTGAGGCAGGAGAATGGCGTGAACCCAGGAGGCAGAGCTTGCAGTGAGCCGAGATTGCACCACTGCACTCCAGCCTGGGGGACAGAGCGAGACTCTGTCTCAAAAAAAAAAAAAAAAAAAAAGAGTTGTGGGTAAAACGACACTTCACCCTTCAATACTCCAGCATATATTTTCTAAGAACAAAGACATTCTCCTACATGACTACAATGTAATTATTGAACTCAAGATGTTTAACATTAATGCAATGTTATTATCTAACATATAGGAACATTATGGAACATAATCTATATTCAGATTTTTCCCAAATGTCTCAATAATGCGCTTTTTTTTTTTTTTTTGACAGGGTCTCACTCTGTCACCCAGGCTGGAGTGCAGTGACATGATCTTGGCTCACTGCAGCCTTGACCTCCCAGGCTCAAGCAATGCTCCTGCCTCAGCCTTCCTAGTAACTAGGACCACAGGCGGGTGTCACCACGCCCAGCTAATTTTTGGTATTTTTTTGTAGAGACAAGGTTTCGCAATGTTGCCCAGGGACTGGTCTCAAATTCCTGACCTCAAGCGATCCACCCGCCTCAGCCTCCCAACGTGCTAGGATTACAGGCATGGGCCACTGCGCCTAGCCTCAGTGATGTCTTTAAAGTGTTATGGTTTGTTTCCCTCCTGCTCTGGTATCCAATCAAGGATGCTTCATTGCATATCGTTGTCGTATTGCTTTAGTCTCCTCTCTTTGTCTCTCACACCATTGATATATTTGGAGCTCAAGTTCCAGTTGTTTTGCCAAACGTCCCTTAATTTGGAAATCTATGGTTTTTTCCTTATGGTTGGAATCAACAATTTTGTCTGGAATACTATATACTTAGTGCATCCCCTCAGGGGCACATGATATAACTTACTTGGTGATGTTAACTTTGATCACTTGGTTATAATCATGCCTGCCAAATCCACCATTATAACACTCCAATTTCCCTGTATAATAAGTAATTCACGAGATCATGTGAATATCCTGTTTTCCAACAACCTTCCACCCAATGGTGATTTTTGTCTGAATCAATTATTAGTATGGCAGTTGTGAAATGGTGATGTTTCTATCCTTTCTTCTACATTTATTACTTAGTATTATTCTGTTAAAAAATTTCCCTCCACCTAACATTAATTTTTACATTTTTAGTAACAATTAGTAATAATGATGCATAAAAATCTATTACTGTCTTTATTCATTTTGATGTTTCATATTATCTGAAATGTGGCCAAAATACCTTCAGGCTGGCACTCCTGTCCTTTTGAGATAGCCACATCAGCTTTTGAACGTGTCCTTACTGTCTGTGAGAAGATGTTCCAGACTCACACTTGTACTTTCTTCTCCCTAACTCTGGAAACAGTCATTTCTCCAAAGAATCCTGATTCCTTATCATAGAAAATGATATTTAGAAACCAAGGTATAGGTGGAAGGTGTGCTTATTACTGTTGGAACGACACTACTCCCAGGCTCTGTAAGGAGACAGAGCCAGGGAATACTTGTCTGTATATATGCATGCACGTACTGAGATATAGCCACACATATCTTCAAATACTTCTATATGTATCTATACATATTAAAAACTCAGTTCATACTGGTAGCTCCAATTCCAATCCAACACTATAGAATTCATTCTATTTTTCTCACTTTCCATATTTGCAACTCAGTTCTTCAACAATGAGAAACCATTAGGAGAGAAAAATTAATTCTGCAAACATTATATCCCTAGAAGATCAGTAATAAAAAGAAATAATGCTCAACACACAACATGGATGAATTCTGAAAAATTATGTTGAGCAAAAACATTAGATACATGAAATAATCAGATATACATTATTGCATATTCCGTTTACATTCCATTTATACAAGCAAAGGTAATTTATGAGAATACAAACCAGAAAGTGGTTGCTTCTGGAGTGGGTGGGAGGATTGACAGGAAAGGAGTCAGAGGGAAGTTCTAGGGGGATGGCAGTGTTCTACAGATTGTGCTCAGTGGTGGCTACACAGATATATTCAACTGTCAACACTTATGGAACCACACACTTGAGAGCTGTACATCTTGTTGTACGTCAATTATGCCTTAATAAAAAAGAAAGACATAAAAATCTATAAATTGCTCTTAAATGGAAAGTTATTAAGCTTAACTCATAATAAGAGAATGCAAATTAAAACACTGAGACACCACTTTCATCTATATCAGTGGCAAAAATCAAAACCTTGACAGTACACACTGTTGGTGAGGCTGGGAGGGAAATGGGCATTCTCACCTGCTGGTGGGAATGCAAAAGAACAGCCCCAGTGAAGGGGAATTTGGCAATACCTAAAAAGAGCTATATTGACCCTTTGCCCCAGCAATCTCGCTTTTGGAAATTTATCCTAAATATGTATCTAAAGCTAATTTTCCCTACATACTCAGGTCTATTTCTTCACTTTTCATTCTTTTCTACTAGTCTACTTATCCTCCAGTACCACACAATTTTACTTCTAGAGGTCTTATAGTATGTGTTCATGTCTATTAGGGTTACTTCTACCTCTTTGTCTTTTTTTAGTTTTTCTAGCAATTCTTGTGTGCTTTATTTTAAATAAATAAGTATATATATATATATGTACACACGCAAATAGGTATTATATATATTTGTATATATGTGTGTGTATGTATATACCCATACAAATAGATATAGGCATTAAATAAGTATATATTTGTATAGGTGTATATACACATACACTCACACCCCATACAAATAGGTATATATACACACATACATATATATACCTATTTGTATACATATATACACATATACAAATAAAATATATATACATATATACAAATATAAAAATAAGTATATATACTTATTTAAAATAAAGCACACAAATAGGTATGTATATATGTATATGTTTATATATATGTGTATATATAAACCTATTTGTGTGTATATGTATGTGTATATATACACAAATATGTGTATGTATATGTGTGTGAATATGTATATATATATATTTGAAGTTTTGAAACAAAAACTTATTGGTACTTTTCATTGGAAATGCATTAAATTTATAATTTAAGAATAAGTAACATTTTTATGATAGTCATACTTTCTGAAAACAAAGGATGTCTTTCCATCAAGTGTATACTTATATCTTTTAAGAATGTTTTACAGATTTCCTCTTATAACTTTTGCACATTTCTTATTAATACCTAAGTTTTTATCTTTATTATTGTTGCTATTGTAAATGGGGTTTTTGCTTTCATGATTCCTTCTAACTAGTCGGTCATTGTTTGTGTATATGAAGCTATTGGTTTCTGAAGGTTAATTTTATACCCTTTTATATTATTGAATTACTTTATTGTTTGAGTTAGTTTTATCATTTAACCTCTTGGGTTTTACAGGCATACTACCATATCATCTGGAAATGTACATAGTTTTACTTCTGCTCTTTCAATTCTTATGCTTCAAATTGCTTCCTTCTGCCTAACTGCATTGGCTGATACCTTCTATACTGTGTTAAATAGTAGTAGATATACTTGGCATCCTTGCCATATGTCTGACTTTAGTGAGAATGTCACCAATTTTTTCCAATTAAATAAAAAGTTGGCTTTTGACTTAAGTATTTTTATTATGTTAACCATATATCCATCCTCCTATTTTATTAAGAATTTTTTATTTGAAATGAGTGTTGATGTTTATCAAAATCCTTTTCAACTTTTATAGAAATTATTATATAACTGTTCTTACATTAATATGATGAATTATTTTAATGAATTTGCTAATATCAAACCATT
Source organism: Homo sapiens (assembly GCF_000001405.40). NCBI lineage: Eukaryota > Metazoa > Chordata > Mammalia > Primates > Hominidae > Homo > Homo sapiens. The sequence goes on along the minus strand of NC_000003.12, from coordinate 4,942,245 downwards.
CTTGCATTCCTGAAATAAACTCTACTTGATCATGATGTATTTCTAAATGAGGTATTAGATTCTGTTTGTGAATGTTTCATTTGTTTTTTTGCATCAATATTTGTAGGTTAGAATGATTTATATTTGTGTGTGCATGCACTGTATTTGTTAGGTTTAAGTATAAATGTTAATCCTGCTTTATAAAAAATTTAGAAGCCTTTTTCTATTTTCTATGCTCTGGAATAATTCATGTAGCATTGGTACTATTTGAATTTTGAAGGTTTTCTGGAATTCTCTTGTGAAACTGTCTGAGTGTGATGGCTTTTAATGGGGTAGTTCTTTGAAACTTTCTTTAACAATTCTTTGGAAATGTGTCTGCTTAAGCATTTTCTCTCTCCTGGGGTCAATTTTGTAAAACTGTATTCCTAGGAAGTTATCCATTTCAAAAGTTTTCACATTTATTTATGTATGATTATGCAATGTAGTCTCTCATGATTTAAAAAAATTCCTCCATGATAAAAGTTATTTGTCACTTTTCTTTTTTATAGATTTATGTTTTCTTCTTTGTTTTCTTGATTAGGTTGGCTACTGTTTCCCTCTGCCCAAGGAACCACCATTTTAATTTATGTAGTTTTATCATTTTCCTGTTTTTTTAAGCCCTTTAATTTCTACTTCAATATGTATTATTCCTTTCCTTATGTTTTCTTTTGGTTGATTTTGTTGTTATTTTTCTAGCTTATTTGAGTTGGAGTTTAATTCACTTGTTTTCCTCTTTTTATTTTTATTAATGTAAGCATTTAAGGCTATGAATTTCCCTCTGATCACTAGTCTAATGTATCCCATAAATTCTCATATACAGTGATTTCATTATTATTATTATTTATTATTATTTTTTTTTCAGACAGGGTCTCACTCTTCACCCAGGCTGCAGTGCAGTGGACCAATCATGGCTCACTGCAGCCTCTACCTGCCAAGGCTCAGGTGATTCTCTTGCCTCAGCCCCCTGAGTTGCTGGGACTATAGGTACGTGCCACCATGCCCGGCTGATTTTTGTATTTTCAGTAGAGACAGGGTTTCGCAATGTTGCCCAGGCAAATCTCGAACTCCTGGCCTCAAACAATCCACCTGCCTTGGCCTTCCAAAGTGCTGGGATTCCAGGCATGAGTCACTGCACCTGGCCTCATTACTATTCTTTTTTAGAAATGCCACCATTGCAGTTTTTATGCCCACTTTCACCTAAGTGTTTTTTTTTTTTTTTTACAGGCTCATATCTGACCAATCCTCATTGTTGTTTAATAGACAAGATTTAAATTTTCACCTGTAAAGGCCTTTAAAATATTTTGTAGCTTTATTGTATTGTGATAAGAATTATGCCTTATTTTTATTTTTATTTTTAGAGACAGGGGTCTTGCTATGTTGCCCAGACTGGCCTCAAACTCCTGGGCTCAAGTGATCCTCCAGCCTTAGCTTCCCAAGAAGCTGGGACTATAAGCACATACCACTATGCCCAGCTAGAATTATGTTTTAAAGCACTTAACAGTTAAAATGTTTTCCTCCTAGAACATTTAAGTGCAATTGACACGGGAAGATGTGCTATATTCACCTGGTGGCATCTCATATCCTCTGGCTTACAACCACATATCTCTGACAGCGTGTTCAGCATTTTTTGGGTCACACTTTTTAAAGAGTAAAATCAGTTCTTCTCATAATGTTCTAGTATTACCTTTTAAAAAATGGTTTTCATTTATTACATATGTATTTTTTTAAGAGACAGAGTCTTGTTATGTTGCCCGGGCTGGAGGGCAGAGCCTATTCACAGGTACTATCACAGCACACTGCAGCTCTGAACTCCTGGACTGAAGCGACCTCCCACCTCAGGCTCCCGAGTAGCTGCGACTGTAGGTGCACCACCGCACCTGGCTAGTATTACCTCCTTCTTCTTCTTCTTTTTTTTTTTTCTTTTGAGACAGAGTTTTGCTCTTGTTGCCCAGGCTGGAGTACAATGGCACAATCTCAGCTCACTGCAGCCTCCACCTCCTGGGTTCAAGCAGTTCTCCTGCCTCAGCCTCCCGAGTAGCTGGGATTACAAGTGCATGCCACCAAGCCTGACTAATTTTTTTTGTATTTTTAGTAGAGATGGGGTTTTGCTATGTTTGCCAGGCTGGTCTCAAACTCCTGGCCTCAGGTAATCCACCTGCCTTGGCCTCCCAAAGTGCTGAGATTACAGGCATGAGCTACTGTGCCCAGCCAGCTAGTATTACCTTCTTATCAATAGAATGATAATGTTTGATTAAAATGATCTGGTTATATCAGACCATATGGTTCACTAAAATACCAACCTAAAAATATATATGCCTTCAATTTTCTTGTGGTTCAATAATTTTATGAGAACCTAAATGCTTCCTTTTTTTCCCACTTCACTGAGAAAATTTTATCTCATGCAGTCTTTGTTTTACTGTATACTAAAGGTCAACTAATGGCCTACAGTTCTACATTAAGAGCAAAATGATGGCTGTATTTACCAAAACCTAGCATAAGACCTAACAATTTATGAATGTTTAATGAATATTTTTGAAATTCATAAGTGAATATTCTAATATAGATTATAGTTTACTTTTGTAAAATAACAGCACTTTGATAGATCTTTAAGTAGTTAAGTATGATTGCTTTAATCTTACTACTAAAAACCATTTTCTATCATATTTGTAATCTAAGTTTAATGGGTTGTAGTGCCTTTTAGCTTAAGTGCAGTGGATTGGAAACAGCATTTTTAAGGGTGGGTGTCAGAAGACCTAGAGTTTTCTCAAGCTAATGGGAGGAAGGAACTGTTGTCTTTAAGTAATGAATCATAGATTCTTTTTTTTTTTTTTTTTTTTTTTTTTTAGACGGAGTTGGAGTTTTGCTCTTGTTGCCCAGGCTGGAGTGCAATGGCGTGATTTCAGCTCACTGCAACCTCCACCTCCCGGGTTCAAGCAATTCTCCTGCCTCAGCCTCCCAAGTAGCTGGGATTACAGGTGCCCGCCACCATGCCCGGCTAATTTTTTGTATTTTTAGTAGAGATGGGCTTTCGCCATTTTGGCCAGACTGGTCTCAAACTCCTGACCCCAGGTTATCTGCCTGCCTCGGCCTCCCAAACTGCTGGGATTACAGGCATGAGCCACCATGCCTGGCCAAATCATGGATTCTTTAAAGTGATGTCAAGAAGATAATTCTTGAAAGGATCAAAGGATGGCTTCACAAGTCACCAAACATTTCCCTTAGGTGAGGGTCTCCAGACAGAATGTGGAATGAAACACAGTTTTGACAAGCAAACCTCTTAGAATTGTGTGATGGTCTGTAACATTTGGTGAACCATGCCTCCTGGTACTTACACCCTTTCATAACCCGCTCCCTTGAATCTGGACTGGCCCTGGGGCTCATTTTAACCAATGGACTGTGATGGAAGTAATGCAAGCTCCAGGCCTAAGCCTGTCAACTTCTGCTTTTCACTCTTGGAACCAGCCACCATGCTCTAAGAAGCCCAAGTCACATGGAGGGTGGGTGTCAGAAGACCACACAGAGCAGTGCCAAGGCACTCCAAGAGTGAGCCATCTTGAATGTATCACACCAGACTGAGCCCTTAAATCATGGGTGGTCAAACAGTGCCTTTCAGTGAAATCTGGTCCGCCATCTGATTTCTGTAAATCAAGTTTTATTGGAACACAGCTACGCCCTTTGATTTATATATTATCTATGACTACTTTGTCACAACAATGGTATGGCTGAATCATCATGCCAGTTGACCATATGGTCCACAAGGCCTAATGTATCTGTTATTTGGTCCTCTATGGGAAAGTTTGCTGAGCCCTGCCCTAGATGGCTGCAGCACCAGCTGGCTTCATGTGATGAAGAAATGCCAACCTGAGCCCAATCCACCCACAGACTCATGAGCCACAGTACAATGGTTGCTGTCTTAAACCATTAAGTTTTGGGATGCTCTGTTATATAGCCACAATAGTGACAAATTATACAATCCAATATCTGAATTGTATAAGCTTGATGATTTCATAGTTTAAATTTTTATGCTCTTTTCTTTTGTTTTAACTCTTTGTAAGCTTTATTTAACATTTTCTAAGTTGTGTTATCCATGTGTCATTGAAACTTCTCTTACCAAGGCAACCTTCTCCTTGTTGTTACATTCAATGGAGGTTTTTCAGTCTTCACCTCATTTGACTCTTGACCAACATTTGACACTGTTGAACTTCTTGGTTCCTGAGATATTTTTCCCTTTTATTCAGTTACAGCATTATCTCCAAGCTTTCTTTGGTTTTACAGGAAGCTCCTTATCAATTTTCTTTTGGAAATTCTGCCCAACACTTAATGTTAGAGTTTCTCAGAATTCTGTCTTAGATTTCATTCAATATTCAAAAGATATATATTTTTTAATTCATAAGTGAATAATCTACATATAGATTATACTTTATATCATTTCTATGTAGAAATACAAATTATTTTAAATTATAATTTGTATTTTTACATAGAAATTATATAAACTATAACATAATGTACTTTATGCCAGGCATTTTTCTAGGTACATTGGATACCTTAATAAACAAAACAGGCAAACAAAAGTCGTTCCTGCCCTTGGATAAATTTTTAAATGTACACATAATAAAATAAATTTTTGCAAAAGCTAGAAGTTGATAAGTGCTTTAGAAAAGAAAATCAACAGGGAAGGGGAAGGGAAGTAGGGAGTACGCAGGGGAAGGGGAGGGCAATTTAAAGAAGGGTACTCAGAATAGGCCTTTTTGAGATGATGATATTTGAGCAAAGCCTTAAAAAAGGCAAAAGACCTGACATGTACCTATGTCAGCATTTCTGGCAGAGAGAGTAGTATTTCAGAGACCTGAAAGCAAGGAGCATGTCTGAAAGGTTTGAAGACAAGAAGGTTGTCCCCTGTGGTGGAAACGAGTGAACATCAGGAGATGAAGTTGAAGAAATCTCAGGCTCCCGGGGTCCTGTAGGACCTTGTAAATTATGGTCAGGCATTTGTGTTTTCTGAGTGAGATGAAGGGTTACAGGGGAATTTTGAGAAGCATGAAGTCATCCGATCATCAAAAGAATCACTGTAGCTGCTGAACTGAGAAGAGAACAGAGGTGGCAGGAAGGGCGATAGAGAGACCTGCTAGAAGCTCTGGGAGTGACCAAGGGCAGCAGTGGAAACAAAGAGGAGTGACCATCTCTGGACAGTCGTACAGACTCATGCTTCCATGGTTCCTATTACCATTCACATGCTGATACTCCCCGGTCTATGTTCTAGCCCAGATGTCTCTCCTGAGTTTCAGACCCACATATTCCAAATACCTGTTTGTCTTCCCTTTTTTTTCCATGTTCCACAGGCACTTCAGTTTCTACGCTTTCCTCTAAAGCCTTTTTCTCCTCCCATGCTCCCTCTATGTCACTACTAAAGCCATGCAGCTACACCTTTCTATGAAGGCATTATCTTTAAAAGGTCACTGTTAAAACATATGTTAGTGGAGAATCTGTGCTGGTCCACAGACATTTTGGTTTCCACTAACACATCATTATGGTTTAGTTTATCAGCTTTTCTGCCTATGATGGTGGCTTTAAGGATTGGATATAGGATCAGCAGGTTTTAATTGGCATAGGAAGATGGAATCCTGCCTTAGAAGTCAGTTTAGGGCAGGGTGTACCATATTGGTGGGATGCTGAACACCCTGAGGATGGAAGATGGGAGTTACTGAGGGAATTCCTTTCATTTCACAGTTTTACCCAATACAGGAACTGTCACTGGAACACATAATTCTGAAATTGTCAGTTTTGTTACAAATAGTGCACTTATCACGTAACCGTCGTGCAAATAAAATTCTGTATATGTTATAGAATTTTAATATGTGAATTCCATTTTCTTCCATCTCTCTTAGGAATTGTTTTGTCCACTTGCCATAATAATTTTAGAATTTTGCATTCATCCTATTGACTTGTAGCAAAGGCAATACTTTCACTCTGGAAAACATTTAGTCTGAAGGTTGTGTGACTCCTTTTTCCACGATCTTTGTTTTTTCATAATTCGTGTGTAAAGGAGTTTACACATAAATATCTTAATCTTTTATTTCTAACCCTTACAAGAGTTTTTTTTTTAAATAATAGATACAAAGGAAATAAGTTTTCCTAAATTATATTTTACCACATCATACTTGTATGTGGGAACAAGTCTTATAAAAATCATTAATGTGAAACTAACTAGGCCAAGGAGAGCTATTATTTTTTATTAGAAAATTAACTTCAAAATGAATGTTTAAATACAAGCTTCACATAGTTAAAAATGCAATTAAGGCTGATTCATTGACACTTGAAAGCTCTTTTTATATATTTATCATTTATTCAACAAATATTTATCAAAGGATTGCTCTGTGCCAGGCAGTATGCTTGCACTTGGGGTGGAGCATAAACAAAGACAAGGACCCTGCACTGTGGAGCTTAATTCTAAAGGGAAAAGTAGACAAAAAATAAGTTAAAAAATAAATTACTGCTTGCAAAAAGTGCTAGGAAGGAAATAAACCAAATGGAGAGAGAGAGAGAGAGAGAGAAAGGAGAGGCTACTTGAAAGAAGGTCTTTCTGAGAAGATGAATGTGAGTTGAGACCTGAAACCACAAAGGTGAGGTTGAGTCAGCCATGAGAACTGAGAAATGCCTCCCAGCAGAGGGACCAGCAGGAGCAAAGGCCCAGAGGCAGGAAAGGCTTCATGTTCCAGAAACAGAAAGGAGGCCAAAGTGGCTTCAGTGAAGTGACCAAAAATGAGAGGCACCAGACAGGCTGGAGGGAGGGGCAGAAGCCAGATCACGCAAGACTCTGTAAGCCTTGGGAAGGAATTTGGATTTCATTCTGAATGTGATGAGAGGACAATGAAGGGCTTATGAAAAGGAATGATTTGACCTGATGCTCTCCTTTTTGTTTTTTTTTTTTTGTTTTGAGATGGAGTCTTGCATTGTCACCTAGGCTGGAGTGCAGTGGTGCGATCTCCACTCACTGCAACCTCCGCCTCCCAGCTTCAGGAGATTCTCCTGCGTCAGCCTCCCAAGCTGCTGGGATTACAGGTATGCACCACCAGGCCTGGCTAATTTTTGTATATTTAGTAGAGACGGAGTTTCACCATGTTGGCCAGCCTGGTCTCAAACTCCTGACCTCAGGCGATCCACCATCCTCGGCCTTCCAAAGTGCTGAGATTATAGGCATGAGCCACAATGCCCAGCTCTCCGGTTTTTTATTTATTTTATTTTTTAATTTTTAATTTTTATTTGTTTTAATTGTGGGAAAATACACATAACATAAAATTTACCATTTTAACCATTTTTAAGTGTACAATTCAGCAGTATTTTGTACATTCTCGTTGTGCAACTGTCACCACTGTCCATCTCAAGTACTTGTTTCATCTTCCAATGGAAATTCTGTCCCTCTTAAACACTAACTCCCCATTCTCTGCCTCCCCTCCCACACCATCTAATCACAATTCTACTTTCTGTCTCTGATTTGCATATTCTGGGTACCTCCAATAAGTGGATCATATAATATCTGTAATTTTACCTGGCTTATTTCACTTAGCATCATGTTTTCAAAGTTCACTCATGCTGTAGTATGTGTCAGAATTTCATTACTTTTTAAGGATAAATAATATTTCATTGTATACACACACTACATTTTGTTTATTCATCTGTTGATGGACACTGTCTTCTGCTTTTTAATGAAGGATTAATTATTTCAATGCTTTTTGTGGGAAGAAACAACAATATGAAAAATAGTTGTTGAATGGAGTTGTGTCTGATAGGATTTATACTCAAAATGATAATTGTGTAAACAAGGTATCAGTTTGTTTTTCTCTCACATAGAGGTAGATGGTCCAGGACCAGTATGATGGCTCCATACTTGTCAGGTTGTCAGGGACCCAGAATCCCTTCTGGCTTTCTCCTCCATCATCTTTAGCACAAGGGATTCCCATTCAAGGTCATCTCATGGTCACATGATAACTACAACAGCTCCCACAACCACATACGACCTCCAGGCAGCAGGAAGATGAAAGAGGGTAATACAAAATGGTGGCCAAAGACAAAATGTGCCACAACCGAGTGGTATGCTCGTGTAATTTGTTTTTAGAGATGGGGTCTTGCTATACTGCCAGGCTGGACTCAAACTGCTGGTCTCAAGCAATCCTCCTGCCTCAGCCTCCTGAATCACGTGCCACTGCATCTGGCACTGAGTTATATTCTTTAAAGAACTCTCCTAGAAGCTCATTGGCTGCCCTCACCTGCAATGGAGGCTGGAAATCTAGACTTATAGCCGTGCACCTTACCACATCCAGCATTATAGGGAGGTCTCTTCAGAAGGAAGGAAAGAAGGAAGAAAGAAATTCCTGATTGTCTCGGAAATAACAGAAGTGTTCTTGGTATCTTGGCATTTTGGCTGCTTGTGATGGTTGAATTTTAAAATTATAGCAATGGCTCCGTGGAAAATACACCATTTTTTCTTTTTCTTTTTTTGATACGGAGTCTCAATTTGTTGCCAGCCTGGAGTGCAGTGGCACAATCTCAGCTCACTGCAACCTCTGCCTCCTGGGTTCAAGCGATTATCCTGCCTCAGCCTCCCAAGTAGCTGGGACTACAGCCGCGTGCCACCACGCCCAGTTAATTTTTGTATTTTTAGTAGAGACAGGGTTTCACCATGTCGGCCAGGTCAGTCTCGATCTCTTGACTTCATGATCTGCCCGCCTCGGCCTCCCAAAGTGCTGGGATTACAGGCATGAGTCACCGCGCCCGGCCGACATCATCCTTTTAAGAGGAGACAGTGTGTGGGAATTAAGTTGCCTTGCTGTTAACTTTTCAATTGGCCCATAGGCGATTTCCCTGTCCTATCTACTTATATTTGAAATCCACTATTAAATGATAGAACTCAGAGGTACATGTTGTGCTTATTGGCTAAAGAAATCTTTTTTTGTGTGCAGTTGCAGTTGGTTTTCTTTTCTTTTTTTGTTAAAAATTTAAACTTAAAAAGGACTAAAGTCACTTCTGGAATTTCAGGAGTGGGTGGAGGTTTAAACAAATAACAACAGAAAAAATGAGAGTGAGTATGTCCAATCAGATGCACTTTCCTCTAGTTAAAAATAAATAAAAATACTAGTTTTTTCATGTTTTCTTCACCCACTTAAGAAGCATAAAATACATTTTTTCTTTACTTTTGTATTAACGTATGGTTTACATATAGTAAAGTCCAAAAATCTTAAATGTAAAGCTTCTCTGAATTTTTACATTTTACATTTACATTATACACCTGTATAGTTGCCAACTGGATCAAAATATAAGCAATTTCCTGCATCTAGAAGTTTCCCTCAAATCCCCAACCAATTTCCCCCCCAAAATGCAACTACTCTTCTGGTTCTTCTTATTATAAGTTAATTTTGTCTGTTCAATAAAATACATGTATGTATGTATGTATGTATGTATTTATTTATTTATTTATTTATTTATGTTTTAGAGACAGAGTCTCACTCTGTCATCTAGACATTACCTCGGCTCACTGCAGCCTCGACTTCCAGGCTCAAGTGATCCTCCCACCTCAGCACCCCCGCCACCCCGAGCAGCTGGGACTACAGCCACACATCACTATCATCCCTGGCTGATTTTTGTATTTTTTTATAGAGACGGGGTTTTGCCATGTTGCCCAGGCTGGTCTCGAACTCCTGGGCTGAAGAGATCCTCCTACCTTGGCCTCCCAAAGTGCTGTGATTACAGGCGAGACCCACCATGCCCAGCCTAAAATACGAGTTTTCAAACTTTTTATTTGGAAGCTTGAAGAAAGGTTGCAAAAACAGTACAAAGAGCATCCTTATTCCCTTTACCCAGATTTACCTGTTGTTAACATTTCTTTTCTTTTTTTCTTTTTCTTTTTTTTTTTTTTCTCACCAAGACCAGGCTCTCAAACCTGCTGTTAACATTTTTCTCTCCTTTATAATTTGCTCCTTTTCTCTCTCTCCCTGTCTCCACCTCCGTTCCCTCCAGCCACACATACTTTTTTCTGAAGTATTTGAAGTATTGAGGTGTGTTTGTTTTTGTTTGTGGTAGAGATAAGGTCTCACTGTGTTCCCCAAGCTGATCTCAAACTCCTGGCCTCAAGAGATCCTCTGACCTCAGCCTCCTAAAGCACTGGGACTACAGGCATGAGCCACCACACCTGGCTGAGGTGTTAATATAATATTTTCATCTAGTGTACCACCCATGCTCCAGTTTTGTCAATTGACTCAATAATTTTCTTTTTTTTAGCATGTTTTCCTCTTCAATACAGGATCTAGTCTAGGATCTGGCATTGTATTTAGTTGTTACATCTCTTTAGACTCCTTTAATCTGAAACAATTTTTCAGCTTTCCTTTGTCTTTTATGACAGTGACATTTTTGAAAAATACAGGCCTTCTCTTTTTAAACTAGAGTATTTCTCATTTTGGTTTAGTCTGATGTTTCCTTGCTATTAGATTCAGGGTCTCCACACCTAGCCATAATACCACACATCTGCCCCATGCTGGTGCTGTTAATTTTGATAATCTGGTCAAAGCTTTGTCTGATTTTTCCACTGAATACTTACTATTTTTCTTTTACACTTAACAATCTGTGGGTAGACATTTAAAGATCATGCAAATGCCCAGCTCTTCATCAAACTCACCCTCCTAGATTTAGCATCCATGAACAATTCTTGTCTGTATCAATATTTACTTTGTCGATTGCAAAAAATGATGATTTTCCAATGGCCACACTCCATTTTTAACTTCGTCTCAGGACGACTTTAGGATTTAGAACATCCTAAAAAGAACAAACCAACGGCCAATTCCTAATTTCTCTTAGCATGGTCTCTTTATTCTGCTTGCTGCTATATACTTGAAGTTACCCTTCTCCCATTTGTCTCTCTTTCCTGGTTACTTCAGCTGCAGATTTCATCATGGCAGATTTCACCTATGGAAGAATTTTCCAGTAATCATGCTTTTGAGTACACCTGGGCATTTGATATCTGCTGTCTTTAGACCCTTAGAAGATGAAGTACTTCATCTTTCATTTAGAAAAATAACCACACACTCTCATACGATTATTATTCTGAAGACAGAAATCCAAATTATTGATTAGTGGTTCTTGGGGGAGGGGGAAGATATGGTTCCAATTAAATATGATGTTTCAGATAAACACCAGCATTAGAAACCACTAGAAGTGATAGGGAAAATATGACATTGATGTTTTTAAATGGAAGCTGTTCTCATTAGGGGCATGATATGCAAATTGCCAGTAAAACATCAGAGATAACAAACATTTTATTTGTTTTCTCAATTACAGAAGGTTGCCTTATTTTTCTATTCCTTAAAAATATGAATATGTTATAATTTTTCATAGAAATTCTCCCTAGGCACATATCTTTCTGCCCAGGGACAGCTACAATGGCAACTCTAGTAGTTCCATCCTTAAACCTTATCTTCATACCTGTAATCTAGACTGGAGGCCACTGAAGTGCAGGCTAATGCTTCTGGTTGGGGACCTGTAGGAGGCAGTGGTTGGATTTTAAACCAGTTACCAGGAAATGATCTTCCTCATCTCAAAAATCAACGATTCCACTTTGGGAAAGAGTTTTGCAGTTTTCCAAAAGTTAAACATAAAACATATGACCAGCAATGCTATTCCTAGGTATCTACCCATGACAAATGAAAATGTGTCCACATAAGGACTTGCACATGAATGTTCACAGATGCTTTATTCATAATAGGCCCAAACTGAAAACAACCTAATGTCCATCAACTGAAGAATAGATAGACATAATGCGGCTTATCCATGAATGGAATTCTTTTCAGCACCAAAAAAGAACAAATTACTTACACATGCTACATCGTGGATGAACCTCAATAATATTATGCTGGCTGGGCAAGGTGGCTCATGCCTATAATCCCAGCACTTTGGGAGGTTGAGGCAGGAGGATCACTTGAGCCCAGGAATTTGAGACAAGCCTGGGCAACATGGCAAGATCCCATCTCTACAAAAAATAAGAAATTAGCCAGGTGTTGTGGCACATGCCTGTAGTCCCAGGAGGCTGAGGCAGGAGGATAGCTTGAGCCTAGGAGGTCAAGGCTGCAGTGAGCTGTGATTGCACCACTGCACTCTAGCCTGAGTGACAGAGTGAAATCCTGTCAAAAAAAAAAAAATAGTATGACAAGTAAAAGAAGTCAGACACAGGCAAGCATGTATTGTATGATCCCATTTCTATGAGATATCCAGAAAAAGCAGATTTATAAAGACAGAAAGTAGATTAGCAGTTGTCTGGGTTATTAGGGCTGGGAACAAAGATCACCTATAAATGGGTATGAGGGATCTTATTGCAGGGATGAAACAGTTTTTAAACTGATTTATGATGATAGTTGTATGGCTCAGTGAAGTTACTAAAAATAATTATATTGTGCACTAAAAATGGGTGAATGTTATCCTATGTAAAATATATCTTAATAAAACTGTAATATGTCACATAGTCAATATCCAGATCAGCACCTGGATAAAGTGTAATATTTACTGTTCTCTGGAAGATAAGACATGTTTGGCTGGACCAATGTTGAAACATTTCAGCTGGGCAGAATGGAAGGGGAAATTTATTCTAAAATTACTGATAGGCCTGGATTTATCTGTGACAATTATATTTTGAAAGGCTCTCAATATCTCTATATTAAGAGGAATTAAGGTTTCTAAAACCATTTTGAAAGCATAATTCTTTATGTTTTTTGCATTAATTGTGCATTCTTATTTCCATTTGTTTTCACAACTAAGATATAGGATCTAAAATAATTTCTGTTCCCTGAACTGTTATATCCCTAAGTAAATTGGTTGTCCCAGAGGTTACTACTCAAGATTTCACTTTCTGTGGTAAAAAGGATTTGATGAATTTGTTTTTAAACTTTCAGAGAAGCATTTGTTCCTCAAATGGCTGAAAGGTTCTGATAAATATGAGGGGAGAGGGAATAAGCCTTCCAAAGATCCCTTGGCCAGCGTGTGCTAAAGGCCTATGCTTGACTGTTTCTAAAGCTATCTTCAAATTAATTTTAGTTTACAGATTATGATTAGGAGAATAATAAGTTATTTTACAAAAGTCTTTTTGTAAAGTGGAGCTTTAGGGAGAACTCAAGAATGAAAGTTAGAAAGACCTGGATCCTGGCCGAGCGCGGTGGCTCACGCCTGTAATCTAGCACCTTGGGAGGCCGAGGCAGGCGGTTCACGAGGTCAGGAGATCAAGACCATCCTGGCTAACACGGTGAAACCCCATCTCTACTAAAACTACAAAAAATTAGCCGGGCCTGGTGGCATGCACCTGTAGCCCCAGCTACTCAGGAGGCTGAGGCAGGAGAATTGCTTGAACCAGGGAGGCGGAGGTTGTGGTGAACTGAGATCACATCACTGCACTCCAGCCTCAGCAACAAAGTGAGACTGTCTCAAAAAAAAAAAAAGAAAGAAAGAAAGACCTGGATCCCAGGCCTGTGCTGCTTTTTACCAGTGGTACATCCTTGAGTCAAATTACAGAGTGACTTCTAGCTGGCTGTCACTGTCCTAGTGGAGTAGAAAGAGGCCCAGACATTCCGGTTATCCCAGCAGAGCCCAGGGTAGTCCAGCCCAGCTAACCCACCAGCTGACTGCAGCTGCATGAGTGAGCGTAGGTGAGACCAGCACAATCCACAGAATTGTGGGAAACAATAAATCATTGTTTTAAGCCACTAAATTTTAGGGTGGTTTGTTACACAGAGAATACATAAGTGAGACTCCAAACTTCCCACGACCTCACCACTACCACCACCCCACAACACACACGCACACACACGCCCTTGAGCATCTCTCTGGCTTGCCAGTGGCAATCACTGACCGCTTTGCTGTTCCTGTCTTCATCTTACCCGACATTAAAACTCACCCTCTACTTTGGCCTGGCCTGCAAGAACCTTGCAGTCCATTAATGGGTTTGAAAACAGACTCATACTTTGGTTCATACTGAGGTGTTAGTAACTGATGTTAGCTTAATGTTTTACATGGCTTTCACCCAAAGGACTAGCTCCCTTAAATGAGGAAATTTAGGCCCCAAGGCAGGCAAAGTCCTGGGCAGCATCCTCCTTGTAAATGGCTGTATCTTTGACTTAGAGGTAGACCTTTATGTGTATGGAAATGAAAGAAGGTGCCTCCTAGCTTCAGACTCCTTTTACCTGCTTCTAATACTGCACTTTGTTTTAGAGAACAGTGGTTTCCAATGAGGGTGGAGACTTCAGGGCTTATTTTAAAAGCCCATTCTTGGCTCTGCCCACAGGGATGCTGAGATTCTGATTCAGCAGGCTTGGGTGTGGCCTGGTTCTCTGTATTTTCACCAGGTTTCTTAGTGATTCTGAAAATCTCTCTCTCTTTCTCTTCCTCTCTCTCTCTCACACACACACACACACACACACACACACACACACACACAATCCAGCTCAATTGAACATAGAGTAGGCAGCAGTGGAAACAGCCCAAAGTTCACCTCCTGTAGTAACATGGTGGGGGTGAATGGGTCTAATTTTATAACACGTGACTATCTTTTGTCACTGATTGAAAGAAGGGAATAATTATACCTTCCCACAAGGGGCAGAGTGTGGTGTCTATACCAGAATTGCATCCTGGAAGTACTGACTTTCTAAGATCTAGGATGGAAAGGGAGATTTGAGAGATGATCTGATTATACATGGGGATATTCATATGCACCCACAGGAAAAAATAAGATATACTATTTTTAAAGGTCCTCAAAGTGGGCAGTTTCAAAATTTGGTTTCAGGTTCATTAATTTCCAAATCTGGAATTTGTCACCTTTTGTCATTAAAAATGAAAGCCCAGTAATTTTTTTAAAAAATCTTTTGGGGTTTTTTTTTGTTTGTTTGTTTTGTTTTTAGAAATTCACATGGTACAAAATTCAAAAGACACAAGAGTGTATACAGTGGATTATTTCCCTCCTATCCTGGTCCCCTAGCCATCTAGTCCCCTTCTCTGGGCCCAAGGTTTACCAAAAAAAAAGTTTTTTAATTGAGGTAAAATTCACATAACAGAATTCACCATTTTAACTATTTTAAGGTATTATAATTCAGTGGTTTTAGTATAACCACAGTGTTTGGCAACCATGATGCTTATCCATTTCTGAAATATTCCCATTACCCCAAAATGAAACCCCTTATACCCCAATTCCCCTTCCCTTACCCCTTAACAACCACTAACCTACTTTCTAGCAGTATGGGTTTGCCCATTTTGCCATTTCATCGAAGTGGAATCATAAAACATGTGCCCTTTTGTGACTGACTTCTTTCAGTTACCATAATGTTTTCAAGGTTCACCTATGCTGGAGCAAGTATCATTTCCTTTTTATGATTTGATAATAATATTCGATTGTATGGATATACCACATTTTGTTTATCCGTTCAACCATTGATGGACATTTGGATTATTTCCTCCTTTTGGCTGTTATGAATAATGTTGCTATGAGCATTTGTGTACAAGAGTTTGTGTGGACATACATTTTCAGTTCTTTTGAGTGTACTTTTAGTAGAATTTCTGGATCCTTTGATAACTCTAATTTTTTTAGAAACTGCCAAAGTGTTTTTCCAAATTGGCTGAACAATTTTACGTTCCCATCAGCAATGTTGGAGGGTTCCAATTTCTCCACATCCTCACCAACACTTGTTATTTTGTTTTTGTGTTTTTATAGCCTTCCTAGTGAGCTGAAATCGTATCTTACTGTAATTTTTATTTGCATTTACCTAATGACGAATAATGCTGAGCATATTTTCGTGTGCTTATCGGTCATTTGTATATCTTCTTTGGAGAAAAGTCTATTCAAGTTCTTTTCTCATTTTTTGAATTGGATTGTTTATTGTTGAGTTATAAGAATTACTTATATATCCTGGACCCTTATCTGAGACCCTTATCAAACATGATTTGCAAATATTTTCTCCCATTCCTTAGGTTGCCTTTTCACTTTTATGATAGTGTCCTTTGATCCACAAAAGCCTTTAAATTTTGGTCGAGTCCAGTTGTAACTACTTTTTCTTTTGTTGTGTTTTGGATGTCATATTTAAGAAATCATTACCTAATCTAAAGTCACAAAGGTTTATGTCTAGCTCTCTTCTAACTATAAACATAGTTTATAACTATAGTAATTTTATAATAGTTATAGCTCTTAATTTGGGTCTTTGATCCACTTAGAGTTGATTTTGATATATGGAGTGAGATAGGGGTCAATATTCATTCTTTTGTGTGTGCATATCCCGTTGTCCCAACACCATTTGTTGAAAAGGCTATTATTTCTCTTATTGAATTTGCTTGGTGCTCTTCCCAAAAATCAATTGACCATCGATGTATGGATTATGTTTCTCCTTATGCCAGTACAATACTGTCTTGATTATCATTGTTTTAAATTAAGTTCTGAAGTCAGTAAGTGTGCATACTCCAACTTTACTTTTCTTTTCTTTTTCTTTTTTTTTTTTTTTTTTTGGCTATTTGGGATCCCTTGCATTTTTGTATGAATTTTAATATCTGCTTGTCCATTCAGCAAATTAGAAAAAAGGCAAAAGGTAATTGGAATTCTGATAGGGATTGCATTGAATCTGTAGACCAATTTAGAGAATATTGCCATCTTAACAATACTAGGCCAGGCACAGTGACTCACACCTGTAATCCCACTTTGGGAGGCCAAGGCAGGAGGATCACTTGAGGGCAGGAGTTTGAGAACAGCCTGGGCAACATAGAGAGATCCCATTTCTACAAAAAAATACAAAATACAGAAACAAGACTAAGTCTTTCAATCTATGAACATGAGATGTCTTTCTATTTATTTAGGTCTTTTAATTTCTTTCAACAATGTGTTGCAGTTTTTGGTGTACAAGTCTTACACATCCTTGGTTAAGTATATTCCTAAATATTTTATTTTTAATGGTATTGCAAATAAAGTTGTTTTCTTAATTTCATTTATTCACTGTTAGTGTATAGAAATATAACTGGTTTTTGTACATTAATCTTGTATTCTGCAACTTTGCTGAACTTATTAGCTCTGATAGTTTTCTGTGAGGATTATTTAGGAGTTCTATATATTATATCATGTTATCAGCAGATAGAAGTAGTTTTACTTCTTCCTTTTCAATCTGGTTGTTTCATTTCTTTTTCTTTCCTAATTTCCCTGGTTAGAACTTCCAGTACAATGTTGAGTAGAAGTAGTGAGGATAGACATCCTCATTTTATTTCTGATCTTAGGAGGAAAGCTTTCTGTCTTTCACCGTTAAGTATGATGTTAGCTGTGGGTTTTTTCATACACGCAGCCTGAAGGTTTTTGTGTGTTCTTCCAGAGGTAGTTTATTCATATATAAGAAAATAAATTTTAACATAAATACTAGCCTATGTATATACTGGTCTGCACCTTGCATTTTTTAACCTAACGATATATCTTGGAGATATATCTTTACTGACTTTCTAAGTCAGTAAAGAACTTTTTTATTTTTAGAAAATGTTGCTTAGTTTTTCATTTTATGGCTATACCATTACTTATTGAATGAATTCTCCATTGAAGCATAGTCTAACTATCAGCAGTATTGGTCATATAAATTCAAAGTCAGCAAATATTTATTTAATCTCTACTACTTATTTAACCCCTACTGTTGTATAGAGCACAATAAAACTTGTTAAAGAAAATAGGGTGGCTGGGTGCGGTGGCTCACGCCTGTAATCCCAGCACTTTGGGAGGCCGAGGCGGGTGGATCATGAGGTCAGGAGATCAAGACCATTCTGGTCAACATGGTGAAACCCCGTCTCTACTAAAAATACAAAAATTAGCTGGGCATGGTGGTGCATGCCTGTAATCCCAGCTACTGGGGAGGCTTAGGCAGCAGAATCATTTGAACCCAGGAGACAGAGGTTGCAGTGAGCCAAGATCGCACCACTGCACTCCAGCCTGGGCAACAGAGTGAGACTTCATCTCAAAAAAAAAAAAAAAAAAAAAAAAAAAGAGAAAAAGAAAAGAAAGAAAGAAAGAAAGAAAGAAAGAAAATAGGGCCTAACTTTTATTCACTCCATTTTCCCACTTTCATTTATGGGAATACTGCAGCAAAAAAAAAGCTGTTAATACCATTTCTTCCAACTTTGAAAATTTCAACAGAAGAGTTGAAAGAATTGTACAAGAAAAATCAAATAACAATTACTTAGATTCAAAAGTTTTTAAAATTTTGCCATCTTTATCTATAATGATACATTATTTGCTTTGTTTGCTGAACCATGTGAAAGGTTTTCTTCAGTTAAAAAAATTTTTTTTTCTTGAGATAGGGTTTTGCTATGTTGCCCAGGCTGGTCACAAACTCCTGAGCTCAAGCTATCTGCTCACCTCGGCCTCCTAAGGTGCTAGGCTTACAGGTGTGAGCCACCATGCCTGGCCTAAAAATTTGCTTATATTTAGGAGATATAAGTGCAGGTTTCTTACATGCATATATTGTATAGTGGTAAAGTCTGGGCTTTTAGTGATATGAAAGTTTTAAATTATAGATTTCTCAACATTTCACCCCAAAGAATAAGGATATTCTCTTACTTAACGACAATATCGTTATCCCACAGACATTAAACAATTTCCTTATAAAATACTATCAAACATCTGGTCCATATTCAAATTTTTCTATTTGTCCCCCAAAATGTCTTTTTTAGTTATTTTTTTTTTAAACTAAAATTCAGTCAAGGTCCACACACTGCATTTCTGTTGTTACCTCTCTTATTTCTTTACCTACAACAGTTGCCATATCTTTTTTTAAAAAAATAATATTGACATTTTGAAGAGATTAAACTAGTTAGCTTTTAGAATGTCCCACATTCTAGATTTGCCTGATTGTTTACTCATGGTATGGTTAATCTTGCTCTTTTATTCCCAGGATCTTCTGTAAATTTGAAGGTGAACTCTAATGGTTTGATTAAATCCAGGTTAAATATTTTTGGAAGAATATGTAGTAAGTGAAGCTATATAGTTATAGCATCCTATCAGGAGGCATATGACATCAACTTATTCCCTACTAAGTTCATCTCTCAGTTTAAGTGGTCTCCACTAGAACTCTTCATTAAAAAGGAAAATTTTTTTCTTTTAAGCTCTGAAATAGCCACTGCTTTAACGATGAGAGAATGTCAAAGACCTGGAATTGGAGGGATGGGGTGGAATCTATTTGCTTCTTTTCTTCCTTATATATCTCAACTCCAATTAGTGATTTAGATAACTTTTAAATACAAATAGAAACTTAGATGCAAAAGTGTTGAGAAGCAGACCTCTATTTTAAAAAATAGATGCAAGAGTGCGATAGATCACATGGCCTTCTGTAACTCAGAGCAGTAGGGCATGATCAGCTTATTACTCAGGGGTCCGTGGAAAGGTCATTGCATTAGAAAGCCAAATCTGAGACCAAGGTTTCAGTCTCTAATCTGCCACTAACTAGCCATGTGACCTTAACTCATTTAACTTCTCTGGTCTCCAGTTTTTCTCCATGACTTGAGATGGTCATTATCATTCCTACAGCTTTGACAGTTCATAATCTTATGATTTCACTTAGTGAAAGATATTAGAACACATTTCTTAGACATACAATGTGAGAGCTTTTTTTTTATTTATTTTTTTTTATTTTTTATTTTTTATTATACTCTAAGTTTTAGGGTACATGTGCACATTGTGCAGGTTAGTTACATATGTATACATGTGCCATGCTGGTGCGCTGCACCCACTAACGTGTCATCTAGCATTAGGTATATCTCCCAATGCTATCCCTCCCCCCTCCCCCGACCCCACCACAGTCCCCAGAGTGTGATATTCCCCTTCCTGTGTCCATGTGATCTCATTGTTCAATTCCCACCTATGAGTGAGAATATGCGGTGTTTGGTTTTTTGTTCTTGCGATAGTTTACTGAGAATGATGGTTTCCAGTTTCATCCATGTCCCTACAAAGGACATGAACTCATCATTTTTTATGGCTGCATAGTATTCCATGGTGTATATGTGCCACATTTTCTTAATCCAGTCTATCATTGTTGGACATTTGGGTTGGTTCCAAGTCTTTGCTATTGTGAATAGTGCCGCAATAAACATACGTGTGCATGTGTCTTTATAGCAGCATGATTTATAGTCCTTTGGGTATATACCCAGTAATGGGATGGCTGGGTCAAATGGTATATCTAGTTCTAGATCCCTGAGGAATCGCCACACTGACTTCCACAATGGTTGAACTAGTTTACAGTCCCACCAACAGTGTAAAAGTGTTCCTATTTCTCCACATCCTCTCCAGCACCTGTTGTTTCCTGACTTTTTAATGATTGCCATTCTAACTGGTGTGAGATGATATCTCATAGTGGTTTTGATTTGCATTTCTCTGATGGCCAGTGATGATGAGAATTTTTTCATGGGTCTTTTGGCTGCATAAATGTCTTCTTTTGAGAAGTGTCTGTTCATGTCCTTCGCCCACTTTTTGATGGGGTTGTTTGTTTTTTTCTTGTAAATTTGTTTGAGTTCATTGTAGATTCTGGATATTAGCCCTTTGTCAGATGAGTAGGTTGCGAAAATTTTCTCCCATGTTGTAGGTTGCCTGTTCACTCTGATGGTAGTTTCTTTTGCTGTGCAGAAGCTCTTTAGTTTAATTAGATCCCATTTGTCAATTTTGGCTTTTGTTGCCATTGCTTTTGGTGTTTTGGACATGAAGTCCTTGCCCACGCCTATGTCCTGAATGGTAATGCCTAGGTTTTCTTCTAGGGTTTTTATTGTTTTAGGTCTAACGTTTAAATCTTTAATCCATCTTGAATTGATTTTTGTATAAGGTGTAAGGAAGGGATCCAGTTTCAGCTTTCTACATATGGCTAGCCAGTTTTCCCAGCACCATTTATTAAATAGGGAATCCTTTCCCCATTGCTTGTTTTTCTCAGGTTTGTCAAAGATCAGATAGTTGTAGATATGTGGCATTATTTCTGAGGGCTCTGTTCTGTTCCATTGATCTATATCTCTGTTTTGGTACCAGTACCATGCTGTTTTGGTTACTGTAGCCTTGTAGTATAGTTTGAAGTCAGGTAGTGTGATGCCTCCAGCTTTGTTCTTTTGGCTTAGGATTGACTTGGCGATGCGGGCTCTTTTTTGGTTCCATATGAACTTTAAAGTAGTTTTTTCCAATTCTGTGAAGAAAGTCATTGGTAGCTTGATGGGGATGGCATTGAATCTGTAAATTACCTTGGGCAGTATGGCCATTTTCACGATATTGATTCTTCCTACCCATGAGCATGGAATGTTCTTCCATTTGTTTGTGTCCTCTTTTATTTCCTTGAGCAGTGGTTTGTAGTTCTCCTTGAAGAGGTCCTTCACATCCCTTGTAAGTTGGATTCCTAGGTATTTTATTCTCTTTGAAGCAATTGTGAATGGGAGTTCACTCATGATTTGGCTCTCTGTTTGTCTGTTGTTGGTGTATAAGAATGCTTGTGATTTTTGTACATTGATTTTGTATCCTGAGACTTTGCTGAAGTTGCTTATCAGCTTAAGGAGATTTTGGGCTGAGACGATGGGGTTTTCTAGATAAACAATCATGTCGTCTGCAAACAGGGACAATTTGACTTCCTCTTTTCCTAATTGAATACCCTTTATTTCCTTCTCCTGCCTGATTGCCCTGGCCAGAACTTCCAACACTATGTTGAATAGGAGCGGTGAGAGAGGGCATCCCTGTCTTGTGCCAGTTTTCAAAGGGAATGCTTCCAGTTTTTGCCCATTCAGTATGATATTGGCTGTGGGTTTGTCATAGATAGCTCTTATTATTTTGAAATACGTCCCATCAATACCTAATTTATTGAGAGTTTTTAGCATGAAGGGTTGTTGAATTTTGTCAAAGGCTTTTTCTGCATCTATTGAGATAATCATGTGGTTTTTGTCTTTGGCTCTGTTTATATGCTGGATTACATTTATTGATTTGCGTATATTGAACCAGCCTTGCATCCCAGGGATGAAGCCCACTTGATCATGGTGGATAAGCTTTTTGATGTGCTGCTGGATTCGGTTTGCCAGTATTTTATTGAGGATTTTTGCATCAATGTTCATCAAGGATATTGGTCTAAAATTCTCTTTTTTGGTTGTGTCTCTGCCCAGCTTTGGTATCAGAATGATGCTGGCCTCATAAAATGAGTTAGGGAGGATTCCCTCTTTTTCTATTGATTGGAATAGTTTCAGAAGGAATGGTACCAGTTCCTCCTTGTACCTCTGGTAGAATTCGGCTGTGAATCCATCTAGTCCTGGACTCTTTTTGGTTGGTAAACTATTGATTATTGCCACAATTTCAGATCCTGTTATTGGTCTATTCAGAGATTCGACTTCTTCCTGGTTTAGTCTTGGGAGAGTGTATGTGTCGAGGAATGTATCCATTTCTTCTAGATTTTCTAGTTTATTTGCGTAGAGGTGTTTGTAGTATTCTCTGATGGTAGTTTGTATTTCTGTGGGATCGGTGGTGATATCCCCTTTATCATTTTTTATTGTGTCTATTTGATTCTTCTCTCTTTTTTTCTTTATTAGTCTTGCTAGCGGTCTATCAATTTTGTTGATCCTTTCAAAAAACCAGCTCCTGGATTCATTGATTTTTTGAAGGGTTTTTTGTGTCTCTATTTCCTTCAGTTCTGCTCTGATTTTAGTTATTTCTTGCCTTCTGCTAGCTTTTGAATGTGTTTGCTCTTGCTTTTCTAGTTCTTTTAATTGTGATGTTAGGGTGTCAATTTTGGATCTTTCCTGCTTTCTCTTGTAGGCATTTAGTGCTATAAATTTCCCTCTACACACTGCTTTGAATGCGTCCCAGCGATTCTGGTATGTGGTGTCTTTGTTCTCGTTGGTTTCAAAGAACATCTTTATTTCTGCCTTCATTTCGTTATGTACCCAGTAGTCATTCAGGAGCAGGTTGTTCAGTTTCCATGTAGTTGAGCGGCTTTGAGTGAGATTCTTAATCCTGAGTTCTAGTTTGATTGCACTGTGGTCTGAGAGATAGTTTGTTATAATTTCTGTTCTTTTACATTTGCTGAGGAGAGCTTTACTTCCAACTATGTGGTCAATTTTGGAATAGGTGTGGTGTGGTGCTGAAAAAAATGTATATTCTGTTGATTTGGGGTGGAGAGTTCTGTAGATGTCTATTAGGTCTGCTTGGTGCAGAGCTGATTTCAATTCCTGGGTATCCTTGTTGACTTTCTGTCTCGTTGATCTGTCTAATGTTGACAGTGGGGTGTTAAAGTCTCCCATTATTAATGTGTGGGAGTCTAAGTATCTTTGTAGGTCACTCAGGACTTGCTTTATGAATCTGGGTGCTCCTGTATTGGGTGCATAAATATTTAGGATAGTTAGCTCCTCTTGTTGAATTGATCCCTTTACCATTATGTAATGGCCTTCTTTGTCTCTTTTGATTTTTGTTGGTTTAAAGTCTGTTTTATCAGAGACTAGGATTGCAACCCCTGCCTTTTTTTGTTTTCCGTTTGCTTGGTAGATCTTCCTCCATCCTTTTATTTTGAGCCTATGTGTGTCTCTGCACATGAGATGGGTTTCCTGAATACAGCACACTGATGGGTCTTGACTCTTTATCCAACTTGCCAGTCTGTGTCTTTTAATTGCAGAATTTAGTCCATTTATATTTAAAGTTAATATTGTTATGTGTGAATTTGATCCTGTCATTATGACGTTAGCTGGTGATTTTGCTCATTAGTTGATGCAGTTTCTTCCTAGTCTCGATGGTCTTTACATTTTGGCATGATTTTGCAGTGGCTGGTACCGGTTGTTCCTTTCCATGTTTAGCGCTTCCTTCAGGAGCTCTTTTAGGGCAGGCCTGGTGGTGACAAAATCTCTCAGCATTTGCTTGTCTATAAAGTATTTTATTTCTCCTTCACTTATGAAGCTTAGTTTGGCTGGATATGAAATTCTGGGTTGAAAATTCTTTTCTTTAAGAATGTTGAATATTGGCCCCCACTCTCTTCTGGCTTGTAGGGTTTCTGCCGAGAGATCCGCTGTTAGTCTGATGGGCTTTCCTTTGAGGGTAACCCTACCTTTCTCTCTGGCTGCCCTTAACATTTTTTCCTTCATTTCAACTTTGGTGAATCTGACAATTATGTGTCTTGGAGTTGCTCTTCTCGAGGAGTATCTTTGTGGCGTTCTCTGTATTTCCTGAATCTGAACGTTGGCCTGCCTTGCTAGATTGGGGAAGTTCTCCTGGATAATATCCTGCAGAGTGTTTTCCAACTTGGTTCCATTCTCCACATCACTTTCAGGTACACCAATCAGACGTAGATTTGGTC
The DNA here is from genome assembly GCF_000001405.40 of Homo sapiens. Lineage (NCBI taxonomy): Eukaryota > Metazoa > Chordata > Mammalia > Primates > Hominidae > Homo > Homo sapiens. The sequence continues at coordinate 4,917,904 of NC_000003.12, read as the reverse complement.
TTTTCACATAGTCCCATATTTCTTGGAGGCTTTGCTCATTTCTTTTTATTCTTTTTTCTCTAAACTTCCCTTCTCACTTCATTTCATTCATTTCATCTTCCATCACTGATACCCTTTCTTCCAGTTGATCGCATTGGCTCCTGAGGCTTCTGCATTCTTCACGTAGTTCTCGAGCCTTGGTTTTCAGCTCCATCAGCTCCTTTAAGCACTTCTCTGTATTGGTTATTCTAGTTATACATTCTTCTAAATTTTTTTCAAAGTTTTCAACTTCTTTGCCTTTGGTTTGAATGTCCTCCCGTAGCTCAGAGTAACTTGATCGTCTGAAGCCTTCTTCTCTCAGCTCGTCAAAATCATTCTCCATCCAGCTTTGTTCTGTTGCTGGTGAGGAACTGCGTTCCTTTGGAGGAGGAGAGGCGCTCTGCGTTTTAGAGTTTCCAGTTTTTCTGTTCTGTTTTTTCCCCATCTTTGTGGTTTTATCTACTTTTGGTCTTTGATGATGGTGATGTACAGATGGGTTTTCGGTGTAGATGTCCTTTCTGGTTGTTAGTTTTCCTTCTAACAGACAGGACCCTCATCTGCAGGTCTGTTGGAATACCCTGCCGTGTGAGGTGTCAGTGTGCCCCTGTTGGCAGGTGCCTCCCAGTTAGGCTGCTCGGGGGTCAGGGGTCAGGGACCCACTTGAGGAGGCAGTCTGCCCGTTCTCAGATCTCCAGCTGCGTGCTGGGAGAACCACTGCTCTCTTCAAAGATGTCAGACAGGGACATTTAAGTCTGCAGAGGTTACTGCTGTCTTTTTGTTTGTCTGTGCCCTGCCCCCCAGAGGTGGAGCCTACAGAGGCAGGCAGGCCTCCTTGGGCTGTGGTGGGTTCCACCCAGTTCGAGCTTCCTGGCTGCTTTGTTTACCTAATCAAGCCTGGCCAATGGCGGGCGCCCCTCCCCCAGCCTCGCTGCCGCCTTGCAGTTTGATCTCAGACTGCTGTGCTAGCAATCAGCGAGATTCCTTGGGCGTAGGACCCTCTGAGCCAGGTGTGGGATATAGTCTCGTGGTGCGCCGTTTTTTAAGCCGGTCTGAAAAGCGCAATATTCGGGTGGGAGTGACCCGATTTTCCAGGTGCGTCCGTCACCCCTTTCTTTCACTCGGAAAGGGAACTCCCTGACCCCTTGCGCTTCCCAGGTGAGGCAATGCCTCGCCCTGCTTCCGCTCGCGCACGGTGCACGCACCCACTGGCCTGCGCCCACTGTCTGGCGCTCCCTAGTGAGATGAACCCGGTACCTCAGATGGAAATGCAGAAATCAACCGTCTTCTGCGTCGCTCACGCTGGGAGCTGTAGACCGGAGCTGTTCCTATTCGGCCATCTTGGCTCCTCCTCCGAGAGCTTTTTTTTTAATTTAAAAATCACAACACTTGAGAATTTCAATTAATCCCATAATTAAGAAATGCCTACTCCATGTAGGTGCTCAATAGGTATTCTTGTAAACCAGGACACTGGTTTTCATGATTGCATTTTGCTATGTTCATAATCAATCCCTGTATTCCACAGGACCCTGGGAAATTATTTGATAACTAGGTCACTTTTTCTTTTTGTAAAGGGTTGAATTGTGTCCCCCTGCCAGATTGATGAAGTCCTAACCCCCTATCCCTCAGTAATTCAGAACATGGCCTTGTGGCCTTATTTGCAGATTGACAAACTGGTTGTTGCAGATGTAATTAATCAAGTTAAAATGAGATCATTATGGTGGGCCCTAAACCAATGTAAGTGGTATCCTTATAAAAAGGGGAAATTTGGCTGGGTGTGGTGCCTCGCACCTGTAATCCTAGCTCCTACGGAGGCTGAGGTGGGAGGATCGCTTGAGGCCAGGGGTCAGAAACCAGCCTGGGCGACACAGTGAGACCCTGTCTCTAAAAAAGTTTTCTGAAAACCCAGCTGGACACGGTGGCGTGCACCTGTAGTCCCAGCTACTTAGGAAGCTGGGTCGGGAGGATCTCTTGAGCCCAGGAGTTCAAGACTGCAGTGAGCTATGATTTTGCTACTGCACTCCAGCCTAGGAGCCTGGGTGACAGAGTGAGAGACTCCATCCCTTTAAAAAATAAAATAAAAAGATAAATTTAGACACAGAGACACATAGGAGGAATACCATGTGAAGATGAAGGCAGAAATTGGGATGTTATGTTGTCTACAAGCCAAGGAACAGCAAAGATTGCCAGCTAAACCACCAGAAGCTTCCAGAGAGGCCTGGAACAGATTCTACCTCACAGCTTTCAGAAGGAACCAACCTTGCCAACATCTTGACCTTGGACTTAGCCTCCAGAACTTTGAGGCAATATATTTAAGCCACCCAGTCTGCAGTACTTTGTTACAGCAGCTCTAGCAAACTAATACACTTGGTGACCCTGACCTGGTAATCAATGCCTTGAGCAATTATAATATCCTATAAAAAAGAGAAAAAATTATAATATTCTATACAAAGAAAAGAAATCACAGGGTTACTCTTGTGTATATGTCAGAACCATGACTGCTATGGTTTGAATGTTTGTGTCCCTCCAAAATTCATGTTAAAACTTAATCCCCAATGACCAGGCATGGTGGCTCACACCTGTAATCCCAGGACTTTGGGAGGCCGAGTCTGGCAGATCACTTGAGGTCAAGAGTTCTAGACCAGCCTGGTCAAAATGGTGAACCCTTGTCTCTACTAAAAATACAAAAATTAGCTGGGCATGATGGCACTCGCTTGTAATCCCAGCTACTCAGGAGGCTGAGGCAGGAGAATCCCTTGAATCTAGGAGGCGGAGGTTGCAGTGAGCAGAGATCATGCCACTGCACTCCAGCCTGGATGACAGAGCAAGACTATGTCTCAAAAAAAAAAAAAAAAGGGCTTAAGGAAGGCTATTTAGCCCCTTTTTGTCCTTCCACCAAGTGACAACACAGCAGCAAGGTGCCACCTATGAAGCAGAGAGTGAGCCTTCACTAGACATTGAATCTTCTGGTGACTTGATCTTAGAATTCCTGTCTCCAGACAGTAACAAATAAATTTCTGTTTCCTTATATATTGTCCAGTTTAAGATATTTTGTCATAGCAGAAGGAATGGACAAGGACAATGACCAGTTGAAAAGGTCTATTTTTTTATTCCTTGAAAATTCTATATCAAGCCAGACACGTTTTCTGAACTATGCAGGGGATACTTTGCTGCTAGTGTGTCTCTGGTAGGTCTTTCGTGCATATGTACATTGGCACGTGTGTGCACTCACAGGCACGTGTAAGTGAATTCTAACTCATTCTTTCAATAGATTACAACTCTTGATACCAAAAAGACAGACTAGAACTCACTATTCTCTAACTGAATTTAAATCTCTTCGCTGTTTCAGCATACATATGGTCACATCTACAATACACAAAAATTATATTCAGACTTTTGAGTAAAAATCTCAATAATTGCTCACACTTCCTATACGGATATCAGAAAGATATCAATCATAGAAAGCTATACAGGGACCCAGTTAAGTAGAAAATGCTTCTGAGGAATATAGATGCCTAAGATGAACACTGATCTGCTAAAAATTTCCATTCATTTCTAGCTTTTGCTATAATCTTAGAATGTGGAACTCTTAATCATGTTGTACTTCTATCATTTTTTAAAAAAACACAGATGCAAAAATACATTTGTTTGGTTCAGATGCATGATTTCAGAAAACTATATGAATCTAGCGGTTTTATAAGAACTGCTTCATTTATTTTAACAGTACTGTTTTGTTCTTTGAATGAATTTCCTCACCTGTGCCCTGATGATTTCTGTGGTCCCTTCCATTTATAAAATGCTGTCAGTCTCATTTAAGTCATGGCATATCTACTCATTTCTTTAGGGATGCTTCTGGAATCATCGATAGTTATCTCACAATTGTCATAGTGCTAGCATGAATTCTTCAAACATGACCCTTTTCAAGGGTGACATTCTGACATAAGCCTTTGGAATGGCTCTGTGTCCCCACCCAAATCTCTCGTCGAATTTTAATTCCCAATGTTGGAGATCGGGCCTGGTGGGATGTGACTGGCTCACGGGGGTGGTTTCTAGTGTCTTAGCACCATCTCCCTAGTGCTGTCTCATGATAGAGTTCTCACAGGATCTGGTTGTTTAAAAGCATGTGGCACCTTCCCCCATTGCTCTCCCTCTCCTGCTGGCCATATGAATATGTGCCTGCTTCCTTTTTGCCTTCTGCCATGATTGTAAGTTTCCCGAGGCCTCCCCAGAAGCAGAAGCCTATACAGCCTGCAGAACGGTGAGCCAATTATACCTCCTCTCTTTATATTATTTTTTTGAGACTGAGTCTCACTATATAGCCCAGGCTGGAGTGCAGTGGCACAGTCTCAGCTCACTGCAACCTCCACCTCCCAGGTTCAAGCAATTCTCCTGCCTTGGCTTCCCAAGTAGATGGGACTATAGGCACATGCCACCACACCTGGCTAATTTTTTGTATTTTTAGTGGAGACGGGGTTTCACTATGTTGGCCAGGCTGGTCTTGAACTCCTGATCTCGGGTGACCCACCTGCCTTGGCCTCCCAAAGTGCTGGGATTACAGATGTGAGCCACCATGCCCAGCCTTTTCTTTATAAATTACCCAGTCTCAGGTGTGTCTTTTTTTTTTTTTTTCTTTGAGATGGAGTCTCGCTCTTTCACCCAGGCTGGAGTGCAGTGGTGCGATCTATGCTTACTACAACTTCTGCCTCCTGGGTCCAAGCTATTCTCCTGCCTCAGCCTCCCAAGGAACTGGGATTACAGGCATGTGCCACCACACCAGCTAATTTTTTGTATTTTTAGTAGAGATGGGGTTTCACCATGTTGGCCAGGCTGATCTCAAACTCTTGACCTCAGGTGATCCACCCACCTCGGCCTCCCAAAGTGCTGGGATTACAGGCGTGTGCCACCGCACCTGGCCAGGTGTGTCTTTATAACAGTGGGAGAATGAACTAATACAGCCTTCATCAATGATTTCTAATAACAAAATTATCTTGCAAACCTATTGAACAAGTCTGGCTTTCATTATCAAAAATTTAACTTTCCATGCCTCTGATTATATACTGTGATTAAAAACACAGAAATTAAGAGAAGATCAATAGATCTGAATAAAATGGGGACAGTAACTAGTTTTTATGCTTATTAATGAGTAGAAATTTATGTATATCTGGATGTCTGCTATGAAAATGTAAGCATAATGCATGTTTCTGCTTGAAAAGAAGGTCATCTTGCAAAGATTAAGGGTTTTTGCTTGTTTTGTTTTTTGTTTTTGTTTTTCTTTTGAGATGGAGTCGTGCTCTGTCCCCCAGGCGGGAGTGCAGTAGTGCGATCTTGGCTCACTGCAACCTCTGGCTCCTAGGTTCAAGCGATTCTCCTGCCTCAGCCTCCTGAGTAGCTGGGATTACAGTGGGCAGCATGACGCCCGGCTAATTTTTTTTTTTCAATAGAGGCGGGGTTTTGCCACGTTGGCCGGGCTCGTCTCAAACTCCTGACTTCAAGTGATCTGCCCACCTTGGCCTCCCAAAGTGCTGGGATTACAGACATGAGCCACCGTGCCCAAGATTAAGGTTTTAAAACAGTTCCTTTTTGCAAAAGGTAAAGTGACTGGCGATACATGAGGAGCTCGTGTTCATTCTAAAGACAAGTGTGGTTCATAATTAGATGCCACAGGGCCAGTGACAAAACTCTTACACTTGTCATTGCAGTTACAGTGGCTTCCTTAGGTGCACCATTTGGAGTGAAAAGTCATTATACATAACATTCAACTTCTATGGTGGTAGAGGAAGAATGGAGACTTCAGATTTTCTTCTTCAGATTCACAGTGTTATAAAGACAAACAAATGAAATCAAAATGAACTGCTAGGAGCTCAAAGTACATAGCTCTGACAGTATCATCCTAAAATACTGACTTCGCCCAGTCCCATGGAAGTTCTAATAAACACCAGAGGAGGCATTCATCCAGGGATACAATTTATCCCATAAAAATAGTCGTTTTTTAGGGATGCTTCTGGAACTATCAACAGTTATCTCACAAACAGTTCAGAAAATGATTCCATAGTTTCTAATTTATCTTTTCAAGTGTATGTCCTAAGAGCCCAACTCTGGTAATCACATTTTCAAAACCCAGAGACATGTAAGTAGAACTGTGACTTACGTCACAAAAATGATAATAACCAGTGATCACGTTTAATCTGATTCCAGATTTTCTAATAATGTTAGTGGCATTACAGTGTTTGGCTTCAAGAAATGATGTAAATAACACATTTTTAAAAAGCCAACGTTTTTATGATCTCATTTTATATCTGTCAACTCAGGTTATTCAAGACATCCATCACTGTATATTGAACATTGGTCCATTCATTTGATTTTGCTTAGATCCACGTGCTTCTATTAAAACCTGGGCTTGAATTATGACAGTGAATTTTTTAACATTCACACATGTGGCAAACAGAATTATTTCGATATTTACTAATTCATTTGTTTTATAATCTTACTGGTAGGTCAGGCTGCCAAATGCAAGCTCGGTGAGACTTTATAAAGGCAGGGAAGGATGAACTATTTAATGTCGTTAATTATTCCTGTTTTGTTCACAGTGATAATCTGTCTTAAGACACCCCAAGACACACCCTGAGTTTGGACTCTGCTCTCTCCTTAAACTCTCCAATATTAGCAGATATGCAAGAACTCAGGAAGACAACTGTTGATAAAGTATCAGCTAGTATCCAAAAAGATCTAAGGCCCATATGTATCTGAACATAATCACATCCCTCATCTCACCCTGCAATAGAAGGAGTGCTCCTTTACCATGCACTCACCTGAGGATGTGCAGTCTGTATTCCTCTTTAAGTGCTGGGCCATGTTTACACTGTATATGTGCACTCCCCCTTCCAAACCTGGTATAGAGTGTCTGGATGCTCTCCCCTTCCTTACTTCAAACCTCAGCTTGGATATCACTTCTTCTGGGAAGGCTTCTTTGACCATGCTAAGATGGGGCGGGGGTCAGGGCTGCCACATTGCACAGCTGCAGGGGACATCATTCAGCAAAGTCTCAGGATACAAAATCAATGTGCAAAAGTCATAAGCATTCTTATACACCAATAACAGACAAACAGAGAGCCAAATCATGAGTGAACTCCCATTCACAATTGCTTCAAAGAGAATAAAATACCTAAGAATCCAACTTATAAGGGATATGAAGGACCTCTTCAAGGAGAACTACAAACCACTGCTCAGCGAAATAAAAAAGGACACAAACAAATGGAAGAACATTCCATGGAAGGGCATTGTGTTTCAAGTGAATCCTGACCCCTCTGGTGTTAGGCCATGGAGCAGCCCTCTCACAGTGCTACCTCTGCCTTGGTAGCACTCTGGGTTTACCTCTTCCAGGGACTTCACTGCTGGATTGTAATTGCCTGTTTCCTTGTCTACCTCTCTCAAGGGCAGGGACTATATCATAGAACACTGAAGTTTACGCAGATGGTGTGCTCAGTAAAAGCTACTAAAGGATTGAAAGTGTTGTTGAGTTGGGTGGCCCTGGGTCCAGCATTTCCTGAGGGGTGGCCCCGATCAGCCGGTTGCTGTGGTCTTGTTTTGGAAGAGGGCGCTACTAAACCCATATAGAGGGCTTCCTATTTCTTGTTGCTTATGAATATCACCTACTGCCTGGCCCCGGGGCCTTGTGTACTTTCTCAGAGAATGGGACCACGTTGGGAGCTAGAATGGGAGAAAGAGGGGCTGAATAAATCCAGGCATCCCAGCCCTCTTACAACCCCTTCTCTTTAATGAGAGAGACTTGTAAGTCCTAAGTCCAATTTTTAGTGACAGACGATTCTCTAATCAAGAAGGTCTGACTTAATATTTATTTATTTAATGAGCATATAAATATATACGGAAGTATCAAAAAATCATTGAAATCAAAAAAGTTGGTTCTGCTTTGTGGAAAACAAATCCTTCTGCTGTAGTATATTTTTCCATTAAAAAAAAAAGTTGATTTTCAGAGTCCTGCCAACAACATTCTAAATGTAAGTGCTAGATTTGCAAATAGGCTTATATTCATATTTAGAGAATATGCATATTCAGAGACTTATTATTCAGGAAATATTTGGTTATCTTCAGACTAAGTAAAACTTATGGCTAAAAATAAGAGGGGTAACATATAAATAGTGGGGAAAGTTAGGGAGCATGAACAGCAGCCATGGCAAGAATAGAATTGAGAGGAAGAGGTACAGAGAACTGCGTGTTATTTTTCTGTTTTGGTTTTTGTCTTCACCACTACCTAAAATTCCATTCCATTCCATTCTATTCAATGTAACAAACATTAGCTGGGTGCCTGGCACGCAGAAGATCTGAAAATGCAATTTTTGCCCCCATGTTCTTAGAGCTGGATGGGCAAGATACAATGGAATAAGGTTGCCTCTCTGACATCCTCTCCTCCACCATGATGTAGCCACTCTGTAGTTATGGGGTTGGACTTCAGTTCCATGGGTAGCACTGACTGGTGTAAACCTGTCAAGGTAGCCCTACTCCCTGCCAGCAATTGGTTCAGATACCCAGGCTCAAGCCTGGCATGGCACTCCTTAGGCAACAGTGGCTGGTTCAGGAATGGTGTGTGACTCTGTTTAGGCCAAGGAGATAAAAGGGAGTTTTCTGAGGATTCCAGAGAAAGTTTCCTGGCTACAAAAATAGAGAATAGACAGTAGAGTATTCTTCTTATAGTCCCTTTTGGGCAGGGATAGGAGGCCCTGAACCATTGCATCCTCTTGCTGTTTGTCTCAGGATAAACATCGTAAACACAAATCAGTAGAGTCAATAAAATCACAGAGAAATAGATCAAGAACTCTGATCCAACTTTGCTTGAACCTGCACTACTCCTTAACTCTTAGTTCCATGAGTCAGTAGATCTTTTTTCTCGTTAAGGCGGTTTGAATTGGCTTTTCTCATTCTAACTGATGCAAGTGATAAGCGCACTGGTACCTGCAATGCTTGTCAGGAGATGGATGACACATAATAGAAAGATTACCCAGGAAAACAAAGCAAGGTCTAGCGGGGATGAGATCCCGTACCTAGGAGTAATAGAATGCAAATAATAAAAATATTGTTATTTGAAAGTTAAACTGGGCCCACAAATATGAATTAATATCTAACAAAACAAATAGCAAACATTAAATAAGAGAAACCTAAGTTGGAAATGAATCATAGAATTTGAGAGTTAGACAAGATCTCAAAGCTTAGATAGGAAAACCCCTAGATTTCCTGTACAGAAATAGGTTCTGAGAGGTTAAGTAACTTGTTGAAAATCACACAGCTAAGTCAAGCGAGGCTGAGGACCCGGCTTTCTTGAATTCCAAATGGGGTTCTTTCTGCTGCATTACATAGTTTCCTCTCTGAAGATATAAAATGAAATAGGAAAATGGTATTTCTAAATGTCAGCATAGGAAGAAGAGTGAGGAAAATACTGCATTTTTATTTAACGGGGATTTGGGAGGCTCATAATAGAAATTTTGGATGTTTTGTTTTTAAATAAGACTGTGGCCTTTACTAAAAGGTTGAGCATATGCTACAGCATGGAACCACCTGGGGTAGCACTGTTGCTAAGCGCCCCACCAAAAGCAAGGCAGGGCTGGTTCAACCCATGCTCACCCCAAACTTGTGACCTGACTCCAGCTGTTCATTAGCTGGCTGTTGCTAAATTTAGACTCTGTACATTCTTTACAAGATCAAAAGTCAATCCATAAGGAGTCAGACCAATAGCGTATTCCACCTGCTGTCCACCCCAACACTGGCACTGTTTTTCTCACTTTCTTCTTCTACGTATTAAGTGAGGTAGGAAATTCCAACTGAACCACAGTGCTAAAACAGCAGTAAAACAGATCTCCAAGAACTGGATTCTGTCTCAGGTGTTCTATTTTAATTGCTCTAAGATCTTTAAACACATTGTTTTATCTCTGAGCCTCCATTTCCTTGTGTATTAAATAACAAATGCCCTGCCTCCCTTCAGGGTTGCTGTGAAGATCAAAAGAACTAATGATTGTGAAAGCAGTAGGCGAATTCTACAGCCCTGTGATCTAACTTCAGGCCCCTCAGTTTAAAGACAAGGGAGCCCCAAGCTACTGACGAGTTTCCTTAGGCCGCCCAGTCTCCTAGTGACAGGTAGAACTACCCCTTCCTAAGAATGAAGTGACAACCTCCAGGACAGAGATTCATAATTACATTCAAAACAGCCACAAGATTTGCTAGATCTATTCAATAGCTGCCTTACGAAGCTATATGTGAATGTGGGACTCTATTCCCTCTTTTTTAGTGATGCTCCAGATGTAATAAAACATTATACACAATGTCAAGAGAGATTGCTGCGAACAATCTAGCCCAATGATGTCCATTTCAAAAACAGTTTCCAGTGCTATTTTGCTTTCTGGCTAGTGAAAAAAGAATTCTCAAAGAACAAAAGGGAATTTTAACAAAGGAAATGGAATTATTCCTTGTGAACATGCATTCATATTACAGCCATTCAATAAATTGTCCTGTTCTTTAGAGCTTTTATAAATTCTCTTTTACCCTGAATTTGAGAGCCCTGCAACTTGAATACTTGAGGGATTGATTCACACTTACAGTCTCCAGGGTTAACAGTTTAAACAAGTGACACCTCTGCTTCACTAAAAAGGACTCTGAGATCTCACGGTCTATCATATTAGCATTCTTTCTACACTTTATGTATTTGTCTGTTTGTGGCTTTCCATAGAGGGAATTGAAGCAGCTTATACAAATATAGGCTCTGCTTAAGAATAAAATAAACTGAAATGAGTTTGAGGAAAGAAAAAAAATATGGCTAAGAAAATATAGGCTGGGTACAGTGGATCACGCCTGTAATCCCAGCTATTTGGGAGGCTGAAGCGGGAGAATTACTTGAGGCCAGGAGTTTGAGACCAGCCTGGACAACATAGTGAGACCTTGTCTCTAGAACAAACAAAAAATTAAAATTAGCTGGGCAGGGTAGCGTGTGCATGTAGTCCCAGCTACTCAAGAGACTGAAATGGGAGGATGGCTTGAGCCCACGAGGCCACGGCTGCAGTGAGCTATAGTCACCCACTGCACTGCAGCCTGGGAGACAGAGTGAGACCCTGTCTCAAAAAATAAGTAAAAAAGAAAATATGATGGTTTGCTAGATAGATATATGTATATGCATATTTGAATATGTGTGTGTGTGTGTGTATACATATACATACATACCCAATAGCCCAATTCACTTGCAAGCAGTAGAGGATTAAAAAAGACTAAGCCTCCTCACAGCCAGTGCAAAGACAAGTCATTGCTACCTGGTGATTGGCGTTTGGCTTATAGTCAGCAGCCTACGCTGGGCTAGAGAGAAGGGGTGGAAAGCAAGCTTGGCTTATAGCCAGTGCTGTGTATGCAGCCATATAGTGAATGCCTTCATTTGCACCCTGAACTCTGAATAGTCACTTTTAAAACATCCATCTGTCATCCATCTAGTGAGGTCAGGAGAGTGGCTGCTTAACTTCTGGGGTGAGTAATTCATCTACAGATTCACCTACCCCAAGCAAAGTGGGTAATATTTAAATTCAAAGCCTGCATTTGTTCTACAGAAACCACTTGCAGAGTCCGCTGCCTTGGTAATGTATTGCCCTAGGCAACTGCTTGTTCTGACTCTGTTCTTTTCCCAGCTGGAGTCATTGTTTGGACTTATTTGTATGAGTTAATGCTTCTTGGGTACCCAGAAACCTATTCCCAGAGCTCACTCATTAGTCAAGTTGGTTTTTTTCACTAATCAATTATGTTCTCTTTAAACTAGCTAATCTGAAGTAAAGCAAGTTAACTAATTTGGAGAAGGGTGTTTAAATCATTGTAATATAATGTTTTCATGAAAAGTGCTTCTGTGAATGAGAGTCAGGTTGTGTATGTGGATGATCCAAGAGGTCCTGGAATTTGAAGACTGGGTCCTTAGCTTGTGTTCCCACCTAGACATTTTCTTTCTTTCTTTCTTTTTCTTTTCCTTTTTTTTTTTTGAAACAAGGTCTTGCTCTGTCACTCAGCCTGGAGTGCTGTGGCGAGATCTCTGCTTACTGCAGCATATACCTCCCAAGCTCAAGCTATCCTACTACCTCAGAGTCCTGAGTAGCTGGGACTACAGGTGTGCACCACCACGCCAGGCTAATTTTTTTAATTTTTTGTAGAGATAGGGTCCCACTATGTTGCCCAGGCTGGTCTTGAACTCCTGGGCAAAAGCAGTTCTCCTGCCTCAGCCTCCCAAAGTGCCGGGAATACAGGTGTGAGCCAACATACCCAGCCCTCACCTAGACTTTCTTCCCTCTTCACGTGTTCTTCTTTGACAGCTGTGTCACAGAAACCGCTTCTACCCTTGTTGAAAGAAGAAACTGTGAAATGCCAGGACAATAGGTGTGCAGGGGGTGGTGAACTTGACATACATGAAATAGTTAAAGAATGGGCAGGACCGGTCGGGCAGCTTGACTCGGCAGTGTGTATAATCATTACTTTGTGATCATTTTTATAGTCGCCATCTGCTTACTAATAATGTTTTTAAAACAGGACCTTAATTCAACCTCTAGAGATTGCTTGTGTTAAATTATTTGGTCTATCTCACAACTGGTGAGAACTTTTCAAAGAAAATTTTTTAATTCATTTACACAGACTTGAATGTTTAAATTAGAGGAACATATCATCACTTTTATTTTAGTCACAGTTTCCTTCTCTTGTTTTGATGTGCTGTTTGACTTTTTGCCTTGCCAACCCAGATTCAACTGTCTTCAAAATATCTTCAGCTATCATTTAAAAAATCAGCTTTCTTTTCTTTAGATAATTCTGCAACATGAAGAATTAAAACAATATTGTCTAGCTGTGCTGTTGACTCTTGCGCAATCTTCAGGAAGCTAAATCATTTTCATGTGGCTGCTTAGGTTTTAGAGCAAGGTTCCCATAAGCATGTGCTCTTTTTTGGAGAATGAATGATGATAACTCTGTCTGTTTTTCTTTCCTATTCTTCGTGATATAGAAAATATAAGCTGTACAGAGGATATAAATTACTAAGAGTCTATATGCCTTTAAAAATGCATCTCCTAGTCAAAAGGTTTGTATAATTTTTGTTGAACAGTACAGTTTAGGAAAAGAAACTATAAATCTATAAAACTGATATCTATCAAAATATTTTCTATGAGTTCTAATTTTTTCTTGTCCATCTGTTGCCACAAACTTACAAATGAGAAATAGCAATTATTATGAAAGCACAAAAACCAAAGAGTGCTTCCTTCCAGTTTTGGAATAGGTTATATTATTTTGTATGTCTTCATCTAAGGATGTAAAATATCATTGGAAACCTCAATGACTCTATGAGGTAGATAATTTTGTATTGTTTTACAGATAAAGATAATGACATATTAAGAGGTTAATTAAGTCCTGGGATCATATTGTCACACCCAAAGGTGGATTTTAAAGTTCAAATTCAAGGATCAGAAGTACAATTGGCCACCAAACCACTTCAATAGGAATTTCCAGATTCTGACACCAAGGCTACATTTGACCTGAGGATCTGAAGTTTGACTGGCCAAAATTTTTCTCCATCTCTCCTGTCTTCCCTCCATTTAATCAAATACACTGTAGAATGAAAAATAGGTTTTGTAGCTGTCTTGCTCTCCCAAAGCTTTCATCTGTAAAACAGAGATTATAATACTAATGCTTATCTCACAGAGTCATTTTGAGGAGGAAATAATAACATGTAAAGACTTTATTATACGCCCAGTAACTTAGTAAGTACTGGACAGTCAGCCCTCCATATCCCCAAGTCTGCATCCAAGGACTCAACCAACCTCGAGTAGAAAATATTCAAAAAAATACAGATAAAAAATACAAATAAAAAACAGTGCAATATAACCCTATTTACATTGTATTAGGTATTATAAGATTACTTATAATTTAGAGATGATTTAAAGTATACGGGAAGATGTACATAGGTTACATGCAAACACTATGCCATTTTATAAAAGAAACTTTAGCATCTTGGATTTTGGTATCCATGAGGGGGTCCTGGAACCAATCCCCATGGATGCTAAGAGATCACTAGAAATGTTAACTACTATTATCATAATGATCAGCAAATAAAAGAATGAAATGAAGGGCGTCAAAACCTCTTACTTGCAGAAGGTTAAAAGAATGCTTGCTAGCTGGTGGGTGTGGGGATGAATGCTTATAGTACCAGCTACTCAGGAGGCTAAGGTAGGAGGATTGCTTGAGCCCAGAAACTTGAGGCCAGCCTGGGCAACATAGTGAGAAAGTGTCTACTTTTTTTTCCAAAAGACTGGAAGGAAGAGAAGACTCTTCTGTAGACATACAAACCTTGCAGCAGAAATTCTATCGATACTATTATTTTTATCTACCTACCTATTACCTAGCTAATATCTGTATATCAATTATCTGTTATTATCTATTTTCTACCTGTTATTATTATTGTTTATTACCCTATTATCCAAGAATAAAGTTTTTATCCTGTAATTGTCCCATTTACCCATGGCCAATTGACAAGGACCAAAGACTTTATCACAGAGATAACAGAAGAAACACTGAAGTGGTAGCCAGCAACCACTTATGAAATTGCCAATATTTGATGTCATTTTAACTAAATAAGCAGCAATTTCATATGATTCAGCCTAATAGACCTTGAATCCAGATACATCCAGGCAAAGGATTCAAAACCAAATCAAACAGTCTATTTTCTACTGTTTCTTCTCACTTATTTCCAAAATGTGAAACAACCATATAGTAAAAAACAATAGAATAGGAAATAGTGATTCACCAGAGCTGTTGGAAGTTTAGAAAGTATTGATATAATTAATTCAATACAATTTCAGTTGGTTGCTTTTCCATTTTCAAAAGCCATTTTAGATGTAGGAAATGACATTTTCTAAATATAAAATATAAGTAAATATCACATTATTTTTTAAAAAAAATTATAGCTATTTCTAGCATGAAAGCCCATTCTCTCTCTCTCTCTCTCTCTCTCTCTCTCTCTCTCTCTCTCTCTCTCTGTTGTTAAGACAGGGTCTCACTCTGTCACCCAGGCTGGAGTGCAGTGGCCCGATCATAGCCCACTGCAGCCTTAATCACCTGGGCTCAAGAGATCCTCCCACCTCAGAGTTGCAGGTAGCTGGGACCACAAGCCTGTGCCACCACATCTGGCTATTTTTTCTTTTTTAATTTGTTGTAGAGACAGGATCTCACTATGTTGCTCAGCCTGGTCCTTTGTCTCTAAATGGGATACAGATATTTGAACAGTTTATCGTAGATCAGCTTTACTTTTACAGGACAAGGTTATTTTTAAATAAAATTCTCTACTGCCTTAGACTGTATATTCTTGTTATGTGTTAAATATCTCTATTTTTGAAGAGAATTTTAACAAGATAATTTTATACCTCCTTCTCGCTGTTTTCTGCTTCCTTAATTGGTCACCTAGCTAATGGAGCTTTCTATTTGAAACATTGCAGCTTCCCTGTCAAGGGGACGGAGTCAACATGCTGTAATTATAGCTGTCTTCGAGGGTTGGATTATTATTCTGTCTCTCTGACTTTCATATAAACAGAGCAGCTACCCATTGTAGTGTATGTGCACTGTTCACCCAAACAGAGTAAACTCAGCCTGCTAACGACATGACGTGCCCTCCAACACACAATTACATTTCACGGCAGTTCAGAGGTTTTCCAATGTAACATCTGTAATACAATTTTCCCTGCCAAAGTTTTACAAATCGCACATTCTGGCAAATGATCAGCGATACCGAATCAACACTATTATTCACAGCTGGATCTCCTCAGGAAAATAAGTTGGAATATTAAGCTGAAGTTTTCTGAAAAGCTCCCATGGTACCTTTGCTGAAGAGATGTTAAACCAAACAGCTCCTGATATGGAAACAGCGGTTTGAACTGTAACTCAGTTAGATAACTTAATAGGGGAAGGCTATGATGTCATGATGCAGGAAATGACTAAACTTTTTTTTTTTTTTGAGACCGAGTCTCGCTCTGTCACCAGGCTGGAGTGCAGTGGTGCCATCTTGGCTCACTGCAACCTCCAACTCCCTGGTTCAAGTGATTCTTCTGCCTCAATCTCCCGAGTAGCTGGGATTACAGGGACGCGCCACCACGCCCAGCTAATTTTTGTATTTTTAGTAGAGACAGGGTTTCACCATGTTGGCCAGGATGGTCTTGATTTCCTGACCTTGTGATCTGCCCGCCTCAGAAAGTGCTGGGATTATAGGCATGAGCCACCACGAAATGACTAAATATTGCTTTGCAGTATTCCTGGATTTAGGGAGGGGGTGTGAATGGCATTGTGTGGGCACTGATGGTAACCCAGGTCAGTGAGACTTTAAAGGGACCATTACTTTGTCCTTCTTTCTGGAGTTTCAGGCATTAAAAATGTTAACTTGTGGCTGGGCATGGTGGCTCATGCCTGTAATACCAGAACTTTGGGAGGCCAAGGCAGGAGGATCACTTGAGCCTGGGAGTTCAAGACAAAGCCTGGGCATCATGGTGAAACCCTGTCTCTACAAAAAATACAAAAATTATCCAGGAGTGGTGGCATGCACCCCTGTAGTCCCAGCTGAGAGGTGGGAAGATCCCTTGAGCCTAGAAGGTTGAGCTACGGTGAGCCATGTTGCTGCCACTGCACATCAGCCTGGGTGACAGAGCAAGACCCAGTCTCAAATAATAAAATAAAATAAAGTGTTAACTTGTCCAAGATCCTGTTTCACAGCAGTCATTGATGAGACAAATGAAACATTTTGGGACACCTTAAAAAAATCCCATCAGTGTGGCAGAGCTAGTTTTATTATCCCACTTCCTAAAAAGCCATGAGACCTCATCAGCCATGGAAGAATCTATGTAAAGCTGAAGGAATTTGGCCCTTTAATGATGCACAAAGACGTATGCATGGATTTTGCAAGTTCCTACTTTCACCTTTATAAATGCTGGGTTTCATCCATGTTTTAATTGACTGGAGTTTTAAACAAAATAAATACAGATACCATAGTGTGTAATTTTAGAGATTTTTTTAAGTACAAAAATGTATTTGGGCCCCAAAATGTATTTGGACTATGTGCTGCAATTGATCTTTCACCATATGAGAAATCCAGGCCCCAGCTGATTTTTTGGAGTTAAGAATGATTTTTTACATTTTTAAAGGGTTGCAGAAAAGGAAGAAGAATCAGCAGAGAGCATTTGTGGCCAGCAAAGCTTAAAATATTTCCTAACCGATCCTTTGCAAAAAAAGTTCACCCACTCCTGTAGTCAGCAGCTCCCCTACTGTGCGCAGTCAGTGTGCCATCTCAGACTAGCAAAGGTGAGTAAAACCATCCCTGCCCCTAATCAATTTACAATCTGCATCCTCAGGGCAAGAGCCTAGTAAGCAAAAGGCAAAATAAGATGGCGCCAGATAAGGGCTTCAAAGGAAGAGAGACCAGGTTTGGTGGGGAAATAGGGGGTGGCTTCTTAGCAGGTTTTCTTTAGATGAACCTTGAAGATAAAAAGAGATTTTGATGAATAAGGGTGGGTGAGATGCAGAGGGGGTCAGCGCTGTGTCCTGGAACCAGTGAGTGATTCCATTTCAGAAGCACCCGGGGAGGCTAAAGGGTAGATTCTAAGGCCAGAAAGAGAGGAGAAGGTCGTAGGCTGGAGACCATGATGAGGAGTGTATACAGAGGGAGAGAGGAGAGATTCCTGCACTTAGAGGCCAAAAGGACAACAATTTGCACTTTTACTTTGGTGTCGGAAAGAACCGTAGTCTCATATGGTTACACGGAAGTGTTTTATGATAATCAGTGAAAAATGAGGAAAATAGTCTCTCTTAGGCTGAGCACCTAGGAAATGAGTGGCTCTTGGCTGTAAGTCAATGAACAGCATTAATATATGCAGTTACCAAGTCATCATTAACACATAAAGCACTGCAGGGTTTCAATCGATTCATCAGAATTCTTGAAAGTCCTATTTTAAGGCAGTTCAAACAGAGGCGAGGCAGCTGAACCTGGTGAGGCTGCCAGGAACAGCGAGTTCTGCCTCTGAATTTGCTCCTGACTCAGTGCCTGACCTTGGGCAAGCACTCAACGTCTCACTATCTCAGTTTCCTCAGCCATAAAATGGGGATAACAGACCTTAGCCACCTCATAGGAGTGTCATAAATGTCTGCAAAAACCTTTCAAGGTAAGTGCTCCTGGAAACGGACAAGGTGGGGAGGGTTCTTTTTCAATCGTCTAGGCGGGAAAATGAGGTTATCAAAATTAAAATAGGAGACTACTTTGTGAAACAGAAATGATTGTGGATAAATGATGCAAAGCCGACAGATGATTAAAGGTACCCATAGTCTACCAGTTAAAATCTCTGTCAGGATTTTCTAAATTAACGTCAGGACATCTTCTTTGTTGTTGTTTAAGGATGGAAGAGAATATTAAAAATCAGACAGGACCACCTTAGGGTATGTGGTCTCACATATCTGTTCTATTTGCTTTTTCGAAGCTTAGAATATTCTGCTCAATTCTCTGGGTATTACTCAGTTATAAAGGTGCAGAGGGATGCATCTCCTTCTGCACTTTCTTTACTCTGTAGATTTTCCTAATCTGTCCTAGAGAGGGACTGTGGCAGGGTCTGCAGACAGAAGGGCTGCCTTGTAGCCAGCCATCTTTGTATGACCTCTGCCATTGGCCGTTGGTGGCCGAGAAAGACACTGAAGTCTCTCGAGAAAGCTGAAGACCCAACCCTGAGATGTACCCACACTGCACCTGGAGCAGACAATTGGGCTAGAAGACAAGTTCTGCTCTGCTCTGGAAAGTGTGAGTGGTAAAATATTTATTAGGATCCTGCTGAGAAGACTTGCCATTTTAACCTTCTCTCTCTCTCTCTCTCTCTCTCTCTCTGTCTCCTTTTCTTTCTTAAATAAATTTTTACCTTACAGTTGTCCAGAGAGGAAAGACAGGCCAAAATAGTTCAGTATGCTGTCTTACTGGGAGGACAACAGCTTAAGCCACAAAGCCCTGAGTTTGACCCTAGAACTCTGTGGCTACTGGTGACTCATCTTGAAAATTATCAGATTGAATCTTCTCTACCGGTTTGATAACAACTGATGAGTGGAAAAAGAACGCCAATCAAATGTGCATGCTTAATAAGCAGCCTCCTTATTCCCCTCTGCAGATTTGTGCTTGGATCATCTACACTTCCCTGAATGTTGAAGAAGATATGCTATCCATGCAATCCTTGTCGACTGCTTGATTAAAAAGTGGATAAACTGTCTTCAGGCCCTTGGAGTATGGTGTCTGTGTGAAGAAGGGAATGAGGCAGAAGTAGCAGTCAGTGGTGGCTGAAGTAGGAGAAAGTGCTTGCTAATGAAATCTTGATTTTTCTGTGGCTTTTCTGTGCAATTGGGTGGCTAAGTAGGAAAGCCATTGGAGCTTCACTGTATCAATTCTGCCTTTCTTGTTTTTTGGAACTCCAATTCACCAAGGCTCCCTGCCACCCTATCCATCTATAACTTTTCATCACTTTTTCCTCAAAGTAAGAAGTGTGTCCCAGAAAATGTGCCTTTGTGACTCAGCAACATTTCAAATCCATCTGAGCCTTCCCAGCGTTCCAAAAGAAATACTGATTTGAATTCAGCTGCTTAAAAAACCAGTCTCTAAGCAGACAGCTTGAAACTTCCTTACAGCAATAGTTTAGGCTTTGGAGGGGAAATTGGTTTGTTTTTAATTGTTTTAATTTTTCATTCAATTCATTTGCCGCCTGATTATATATGATCTTTTGAGCCCAATACTCTGCTAAATTAACCTTGACTTTCTTTCTCTCTTTCTCTCTCTCTCCTTCTCTCTTTCTTCCTTTCTTTCTTTCTTTTTGACAGAGCCTTGCTCTGTCGCCCAGGCTGGAATGCAGTGGCACAATCTCAGCTCACTGTAAACTCCGCCTCCAAAGTTCAAGCAATTCTCCTGCCTCAGCCTCCTGTGTAGCTGGGATTACACACGCCAGCCACCATGCCTGGCTAATTTTTGTATTTTTAGTAAAGATGGAGTTTCACCCTCTTGGCCAAGCTGGTCTCGAACTCCTGACCTCAACCTTGGCCTCTCAAAGTGCTGGGATTACAAGCATGAGCCACCATGCCTGGCCTTACCTTGATTTTTTTTTTTTGAGACAGAGTCTCACTCTGTTGCTCAGGCTGGAGTGTAGTGGCTCGATCTTGGCTCACTGCAACCTCCATCTCCCGGGTTCAAGAGATTCTCCTGCCTCAGCCTCCCAAGTAGCTGGGACTACAGGTGTGGGCCACCACGCCTAGCTAATTTTTTATATGTTTACTAGAGACAGGGTTTCACCATGTTGGGCAGGCTGGTCTTGAACTCCTGACCTCAGGTGATTCACCTGCCTCGGCCTCCCAAAATGCTGGGATTACAGGTGTGAGCCACCACACCCGGCCCCTACCTTTGATTTTTAAGTCAAGAGGGAACAAGTCGAAATTTCTATTCAGGTAAACTGTATACCTTTGGACACTGAATCACTTTTAGAACCCCAGTAAAAATCATGTATGAATGACCCACAATTTCACTCCAACAGGAAGGTGTGTATATGTGCACAAAAACATTAGATTGTTCACACCGGTGCTATTCATAATAGTCAAAAACTGGAAACAACTCAAACATCCATCAACTGTAGAATGGATAAATAAATCATGATATATTCATACCATGGAACATAACAGTGACAATAAATGAACCACTGCTACACACAACAGATATGAATTTCACAAACAGAATGCTGAGCAACAGAAGCCAAACACAGAAGGATACACATTTATAAATCCATTTGTATGAAGTTCATAAACAGACAAAATTAGTCAGTGGAGATTATTCTCATAGAAGTCTGAAGGGTAGTTGTCTTTAGGGAGGGGGATATAGTGACTGAGGTGGGTATAAGGGGTTTCTGGGGTTTGGTGATGGTACACCAGCATATTCACTCTGAAAACTCATTGAGCTGTGCAATAATGATTTTTCAAACTTTTATATGTGTATGATAATGCTTCAATAAAGCTTTGCTTAAAAACACGCATAGTCATTGCTATGGTGTGAATGTTTGTGTGCCCCCGTTCACCAAATTCATAGGTTGAAATCCTAACCCCCAAGGTGATGATATTAGGAGTTGAGGTATTTGGTGATGATTAGATCATGAAGGTGGGGCTCTCATGAATGAGATTCATGCCCTTATGAAAGAGGCCAAGGGAGCTGGTTCACCCCCTTCTGCCACGTGAGGACACAGTGAAAAGATGGCCATCTATGAACCAGTAAATGGGTTCTCACCAGAGACAGAATCTGCCAGCACCTTGGTCTTGGACAGGTCAGCCTCCAGCAGAGTAAGAAAATTAAATTCTATTTATAAGCCACACAGTTTATGGTATTTTACTACAGCAGCCCAAATGGACTAAGAGAGTCATTATTATCAGGTATAGTTTAGTGTTACCACTTTTCATCAGAATGAAACTGATCAAATATTGTGTGAATGCTTTTGAGGTGCAAATGATAGGAGACCCAACTCAAAATGATCGAAGGGATTGGAAAACTTTTCCTTTAAAGGAATAAATAGTAAAGATTGTAGTTTCTGCAGGCCATGTGGCCTCTTGTCTTAACTACTCTGTGTTGTTGCATGAAAACACCCATAAACAATGGGTAAACAACTGAACATGCCAGGGTTCCAATAAAACTTTACCTGCAAAAACAAGTGGTGAGCAGGATTTGTAGTTTGCTGACCTCTAGTTTAAACAATCACTGAATTTACCATCATACTAGTAACAAGAAGTTCCAGGCAACGTAAGCTTCAGGGTTAGTTGATTCAGCAGCTTCACATCTCAATCCAGGAACTCAATTCATTCCATCTGCTTGCTCAGCTTTGTGCGGGCTGTGTTCCCAGTCTTGGTCTCTCCCGGTCATGAGATGACCACAGCCCCCCACACATCATGTCTTCACATAAGAGTGTCTAAAGGCCACAAATGTCTCTTTCCTGTGTCCCCTTTCTAGGAGCATGGAAAGCTTTCTTTCTTTCTTTCTTTCTTTCTTTCTTTCTTTCTTTCTTTCTTTCTTTCTTTCTTTCTTTCTTTCTTTCTTTTTTTTGAGACAGTCTTGTTCTGTCACCCAGGCTTGAGTGCAGTGGCGTGATTTTGGCTCACTACAACCTCCACCTTCTGGGTTCAAGCGATTCTCTTGCCTCAGCCTCCAAGTAAGTAGCTGGGATTACAGGCACCCGCCACCATGCTCGGTTAATTTTGTATTTTTGGTAGAGACAGGGTTTCACCATGTTGGTCAGGCTGGTCTCAAACTCCTGTCCTCAGGTGATTGGCCCATCTGCAGCCTCCCAAAGTGCTGGGGTTACAGGCCTGAGGCACCGCGTCTGGCAGGGAAAGCTTTTTTAGATGCCTCCTAAAAGATTTGATTCACTTCCTAAGACTGAGAAAGCAGGTGAGGTGTGTGTGTGAGTGGTTGTTTTTAGGCAGGCAACCCACATCGTGATCTGCATTCATTTCCTATTGCTATGTAACAAATTGCCACATAGCTCGCAGCTTAAAACAACATACAAACTACCTCCCAGTTTCTGTGGCTCATCCAAGCAACGCTTGAGGTCCTCCATGCAGGGTCTCACAAGGCCACAATCAAGGTGTCACGAGGCTTTTCTTCTGGGGCGTGGAATCCTCTTTCAAGCCTATGTAGTTGTTGGCAGAATCCAGTTCCTTGCAGCTGTGGGATGGAGGTCCCTGTTTTCCTGCTGGCTGTCAGCTGGGGGTCACTCTTGGCTCCTAGAAGCCACTCACAGTTCCGTGCCCACCACATGCCCCTCGCCATGAGACACCTCACTTCTTTAAGCTCAGCTGGAGAATGGCTCTATCCAATTTGCTAAGAGGGTCTCATATAATGTAATCTAATCAAAAGAGTGAAATGGATTATATTCACAGGTCCTGACTGCAGTCGAGGGAGGGGGATTAAACAGCACACAGGAGCACCCCCAAGAGACCCAACTCAAAATGGTTTAAGCCAGAGGCTGCAAACTTCCTACAAAGGGACAGATAGTACAGATTGCAGGTCTTTCAGGTCATCCAGCTTCTCCTCTCAACTACTCTGTGTTGTAGCACAAAAGCAGCCATAGATAATACATAAAAGCAAATGGACATGTCTGTGTTCTTTTTTAAAATTATTTTTATTTTTTGAGACGGAGTCTTGCTCTGTTGCCCAGGTTGGAATGCAATGGCACAATCTCAGCTCACTGCAACCTCTGTCTTCTGGGTTCAAGCGATTCTCCTGCCTCAGCCTCCTGAGTAGCTGGGACTACAGGTGCGGGCAACTACACCTGGCTAATTTTTGTATTTTTACTGGAGACAGGGTTTTGCCGTGTTGGCCAGGTTGGTCTTGAACTACTGTCCTCAAGGAATCTGCCCACCTCAGCCTCCCAAAGTGTTGGGATTACAGGCGTGAGCCACTGTGCACAGCAACATGGCCGTGTCCTAATAAAACTCAAGTGAACTTGGAGGCCATCCCAGAATTCTGCCTAATGATAGCTCTCACCTGAAAAATTAAATCAGATAATATAACAGTAGAACACTACACACTTAGAAGAGGAAATATGCTGTATTTGGCATATTCTTTGCTTGGAGGATAGACATTTAAAACACAGCTCCTTAAAACACAAAGTTTTTTTTTGTTTTAACTTTTATTTTAGGGGTACATGTGATGGTTTGTTACATAGGTAAACTCATATCACTGGGGTTTGTTGTACAGATTATTTCATCACCCAGGAATTAAGCCCAGTACCCAATAGCCATCTTTTCTAATCCTGTCCCTCCTTCCACCCTCCACCATCGAGTAGACCCCGGAGTCTGTTGTGTTCTGAAGACCCCAGTCCTTCTTTGTGTTCATAGGTTCTCATCATTTAGCTCTCACTTATAAATGAGAACATGTGGTATTTGGTTTTTTGTTTCTGCATTAGTTTGCTGAGGATAATAGCCTCCACCTCCATCCATGTTCCCCCAAAAGACATGGTCTCGTTCTTTTTTATGGCTGTGCCGTATTCTATAGTGTGTATGTACCACATTTCTTTATCCAATCTGTCACTGATGGGCATTTAAGTTGACTTTGCTATTGTGAATGTAAAAATGTTTTTGTTAGTGTGAAGAGTGCTGCAATGAACATTCATGTGCATGTGTCTTTGTGGTAGAATGATTTCTATTCCCCTGAGTATATACCCAGTAATGGGATTGCTGGGTTGAATGGCAGTTCTGCTTTTAGCTTTTTGAGGAATCGCCATCCTGCTTTCCACAATGGTTGAACTAATTTACACTCCCATGAACAGTGTATAAGCATTCCCTTTCCTCTGCAACCTCACCAGACTGTTGTTTTTTTACTTTTTAATAATTGCCATTCTGACTGGGTGTGAGATGGTATCTCATTGTAGTTTTGATTTGCATTTCTCTAATGATCAGTGATATTGAGCTTTTTTCATGTGCTTTTTGGCCACATGGATGTCTTCTTTTGAAAAGTGTCTGTTAATGTTCTTTGCCCACTTTTTAATGGGGCTCATAAACACAAAGTTAACCTGAAAGTCCTGAAGAATCAATTTTTTAGTTTTGCTCTTGTTGCCCAGGCTGGAGTGCAATGGCGCAGCCTCGGCTCACTGCCTCCTGGGTTCAAAGGATTCTCCTGCCTCAGCCTCCTGAGTGGCTGGTATCACAGGCACGCACCACGATGCCTGGCTAATTTTTTATTTTTAGTAGAGATGGGGTTTCACCATGTTGGTCAGGCTGGTCTTGAACCCCTGACCTCAGGCGATACACCCTCCTCGGTCTCCCAAAGTGCTGGGATTACAGGCATGAGCCATTGCGCCCAGCCTGGATTCTGGCTTTTACTCTATGCTTCAAAGCATACTCCAAGATTATATTTAAAGATTATCTAATGGCTTATTCTAGTGCTCTCATGATTTTATTTCCCTTTTGCTCTTTCTAAAAATGTTAATTCATCTGGAATTTATCATGGTGAAACATGTAAGGCTTGGATACAACTTTCTCATTTTTTTCCCCAGAGGGCTACTCAGTTGCTCTGACATTGTTTATTGAACAGACTATCCTTTTCCATTGGTAAGTGGTGGCATTTTATCATATACTAAATTTCTTTTTGTATTTGAGTCAATTTCTGGACTTTGCATTTATAATTCATCGAGTTGCCTTGTCTATTCATATACCATACCCTTTTACTTTTAGAGCTTTATACTATATTTTAATATCTGATACAACTAAAAAACCCTTGTTTTTTTATTTTCAGGATTTCTGAATATTCTTGCTTCTTTATTTTTCCATATTATAATGAGCTTGTATAGTTTTTAAAAGTCCTTTTTTAAAATTGAGCTTTTGCATTATAGATTGGGAATAATTGACATCTTTACATAGTTAAGTCTTTTTATCTAAAAATACATACATCCTTCCATTAGTTCAAGTTTTCTTCTGTGATCCTCAGTGGCATTTTAAAGTCTTTTCATATAGCTCTTGTTCACTTC
Source organism: Homo sapiens (assembly GCF_000001405.40). NCBI lineage: Eukaryota > Metazoa > Chordata > Mammalia > Primates > Hominidae > Homo > Homo sapiens. Next base: position 4,892,324 of record NC_000003.12, on the reverse strand, counting down.
TTAAGCTTAGGAATTTAGTCTTTTTGTTCTACTATAAATAGGGCCCTTCTATTTTTAACCCCATGTTGTTTCAACGATTCTTAAAAGCCAAAAAAAGCATTTATTCTATCTTAATAAATGAACTTTCGTAAACATATAAGTAGCAATAGGACTTGTAAGTTAGTTCTGTCCTAAATAGTTCACTGGTTGGAAGAAAACAAACAAAAACCTTTCCCAAATTCATGCAAGTAAAATGATATTAAGAATACATTAAAATGTCTCTTCTTAAGACCTTTTTTTTTTTTTTTTTTTTTTTTTGGTAGAGACAGGGTCTGGTCATGTTGCCCAGGCTGCTCTCAAACACCTGTCCTCAAGCAATTTCCCCACCTCATCCTCCCAACGTGCTGGGGCTACAGGTGTGAGCCACTGCACCTGGCCTTACAATTGGTTTTTGACTGACTTTTGAATCTTAAAATGGGATCCATGTAATTTTCTCATTCTTACAAGTCACTCACTCTTCACATTTTGCCTATTTTGGGTACACATATTATTTCTCAGGGTGTTCTATTAACTGTTAACCTCTCCCTAGGGGAAGGCTGGTAGCTCAGCTGGTCTGATTCTGTCTCACCAATATCTTAGGACACAAATGTTTCTAGGAAGTAGAGCTCCTAGATCAAGCAGAAGAGGCAGCTGATGCCTCCCTTTCTTCCACACTTGCAGGTTCCCATCATCATAACCTGGCAAAGCAGTCATAGCCTGGGAAAGCAGTACTTACGGAGGAAATTAAAGCTCTACCCAGAACTGAGAACATTTCCAAGGTCAGCTACAAAGAAGAAAGGTGGAAGCCCTTTTAGAAGACTCCCAGATTTGTAACCTGGGAGGATGCAGGATACAGGAGTGAGTTGTTCTGGGAGGGGAGCCTGGAGCTGGGAGAATACTGGTCTGTGTAGCCCTACGATGGAACAGCCTCATGGAATGGGAGTTTTCCGTCAGTGAGTGGCCATGTTGGAGGCTTGCGTCTCATTCTTGGACTCAAGTTGCTTGGCTCTGACTTTGGAAGAACAATTGATAGGGCGGGGAGGGACTAGAGGCTATAATCTCCTTTTCCTAACACCCCAAAGCCCCCTTACAGGCAAAAATTCTACCTGTAACATTTTCTTGGCTTAATTGGTAGTATCTATATTTATTGAAGAGCAATCAAGAGGCCTTCTGCATAACAATACAGTACTATTAATAATAAAAAGTAGAAAGGCCAATATATTTGTAGAACCAAGCCCTGTACTCATCCTTTACATAGATTCCCTTATATTTTTAATTTTTTATTTTTATTTTTTTCTTGAGACAGTCTCAGGCCGCCCAGGCTGGAGTGCAGTGGTACGACCTTGGCTCACTGCAGCCTGCACCTCCCGGGTTCAAGTGATTCTCCTGCCTCAGCTTCCTGATTAGCTGGGATTACAGGCGCCCACCACCACACCCAGCTAATTTTTGTATTTTTAGTAGAGACGGAGTTTCTCCATATTGGCTAGGCTGGTCTCAAACTCCTGACCTCAAATGATCTGCCCGCCTTGGCCTCCCAAAGTGCTGGAATTACAGGCGTGGGCCACCACACCCGGCCAGATTCCTTTATTTTAATCCTCACAGCAGCCCTATAAATTTAGTAGTACAATCATTTCAAATTGATAGATGAGGAAACGCAGGTTTAGGGAAATTAAATAACCCATTCATGGTCACATGGCAAAAGGCAGAGTCCGGATTTGAAAACAAGCACCTGACTTTGATGGTCATGCTTTTTACCACCGCCCTTATGAACATTCATGGTAAACGTAGATATTTTGAAATAAGGGTGAGGAAAGAGCTTAAAGTTGTTTTTATATATTAAATACTCTGTCCTATCGTTTTACATATTAATATATTTGGTTTAAAATGTATGTTTTACTTATACTGACAGAGCTCATGTCTATGAGACATATTGTAAACTCCATTCACAGGCATTTAATGCTTTTGCATTTAAGTGAGTGATGTACTCATATAGACATTGAAGTATAAGCAACCAATCAACTAGAATGTTTATTCTTCAGTGCTCCGAAGATTATTCTACTTGTGACTATAATTCTGTACTCAGTTTATAACATTCTTGCAGAGATGTCAGGATGTGTGTGTGCGTGTGTGTGTTTATTATGAATAATATGATTTCCTTGTGGCTGTGAATTTCATCCTCTCTGTGATTCCTGTGCCCTAACCATATTGCTAGGCAACACCAAGCAACACACATCCCACATTTTCCTAATTCCTTTTGATGTTTCACAAATGGACCTTTGCTTTTATCTGCAAGCAGAATAACACCAGTGGGTTTAGGATTTTGGCTTTTTAAATAATCAGGTGTCCGGTGAGATCAAAGCTAAGTGACCATAATTGTCAGAAACTGGCAGAAAAAAGGAAGAGCTGGCATGAAGCAAATGCACATATTTGTTTTAAGACTTTGGCTGATGATTCGTTAGTGAAGTCTAATGTGATTTCTACCATTCTGACTTTGTAGATGACATCAAGGACAGTGAGTAGGTTGGCTTCCTTCCAAGGACTTAAAGTCCTCCTAGGGCTTGGAGGGTAATTGCATATGAAATACTCTTTCTGATACTGGCAATGTTGCACACATATCATTTTCCAGATGAAAATCAGGTGCCCATCTCCTCTGTCAAAACAGAAACCAATATTTTCAGGTCAAGATCCAGAATCTGGCAGATGTAATGCACAGACATCACATCACAAGCTAAAGAGCATTTACAGTTGTCCTGCCTTCTATGTGTAGGGAAAGGTCAGAGAGAGGCCTCAGTGGGCATGGAGAATGCCAGAACTGGGCCTACAGTGGACAAGGGCTCAGCACTTCATCACCACAAAAAAAGATCATTTGGTTTTTCCCCATCCACTCAAGCCAAGCCACAGAGAACCACAGGAAGTAAGACTGACGAGTTTCCCCACTGCTAACTGACAGTATTTGAGAAGTTGTGCTGCCCAAGTTAGAAAGCCCCATGATGGCACTCTAAACTAACACTCAACCTGTGAAAGCAAATATGTTATAATACCTTACTTGCAGGCTTGGGGAAGAGAATATTTTTCCAGACGGGAGATGAAACGGAAATGGGGCCACTGGTAAGAAATGCACTTGTGGGAAAATATGATTGTATGAGTTATCTACGGCTGTGTGACAATCTCCTGCACCCCACCTCCCCCCAAAAAACCCTGTTATCAGTTTAAAACAATATTAAGCATTTACTACTTCACTCAGTTTCAATGGGCCAGAAATGGAGGAGTGATGCAGCTTGGTGGTTCTGTCTCAGGATCTCTTATGAGATTGCAGTCCAGATGTCAGCCCTGGCTGCAGTCAACTGAAGGCTTGCCTGGGACTGGAGGAGCCACTTTCAACAGGGTTTACTCACGTAACTGGCAAGTCAGTGCTGGTGATTGGCAGGAGGACTCAGTTGCTCACCATGTGGCCCCCGAGCATCCTCGTAACATGGCAGCTGGCTTCCCCAGAGCAGACAAGCCAAGAGAGAACAAGGCAGAAGCCACAATATCTTTGACAGCCTAGTGTTGGAAGCCACGCTCCATCATTCCCACAATATCCTATGGGTTCTACAGGTGAGCCCTACTCAGTGTGGGAGGAAACTACATAAAGGCATGAATACCAGGAAGGGAGAGTCGCCAAGGGCTCTTTTGAAGGCCAGCTGCAATAATGATGGAGACATTTCTGTGCATACGATACTGAGAAGCAATTCGTGTATTGGTTGGGTGATGGATGGCACTCTTGTCATGGGTCCCAATGCAAGCTGCAAGCCAGTGCCTGCATTGGAATCATCTGGGAGCACTTTTTAAAGCACTGGTTTCCCTGGACCCTTCCCTGGACATTCTGATTAAGTCAAGGATGATGCCCAGGTTTGGGAACTACTGGATTAGATGATCTCTAAGATCAAGTCCAACCTTAACAGTGTTCCTCAAACTTACCTGATCATAGGTATTACCCAGGGAATTTATTAAAAATACAGATTTTTTTAGGCCCCACTTCCAGCTTCATGAATCAGAACATCCAGGGATGGGTCTGAAAATCTGTGTATTTATTTATTTATTTACTTAAGAGACAGAGTCTTGCCAGGCTGGAGTACAGTGGCACCATCATACCTCACTGCAGCCTTGAATTCCTGGGCCCAGGCGATCCTCCCATCCTGTCTTCCTAAATAACTGGGATTACAGGCATGTGTCACCACACCTGGCTAATTTTTAAAATTTTGTTGTTGTTGAGATGGAATCTTGCTATGTTGCTCAAGCTGGTCTTGAATTCTTGGGCTCAAGTGATCCTCCCACTTTGGCCTCCCAAAGCACTGGGATTACAGGCATGAACCACTGTGCCCAGCCTGTGATTTTGTTTAATTTTTAAATTTTTTGACCAGGTCATACATTTAAAATGATGGGAAATTCCAAAAGGTATAAAAGAGTGTCATTATAAAGTCTCTATCCCAACTTTGTTCTCTCAGTATCCCAATTCACCTACCTGGAGGTGCTCAATGTTGTTGGTTTCTTGTGTATTCTTCCAGCAATATATGAATATATAAGATATATAAAGTAAATATATTTATTTTAAATGAGAGAGAGAGTGTGTTTGTGTGTGTATTTTTCTTTTTTTTTTTTTTTTAACTCAAGGCAAATCTAAAGGGTATGCAGTGAAAAACAAGTGTATTCCTGGTTCTGATCACCAGTTTTTTCCTTCAGATTCACTTTTACCAGTTTCCCGTGTGTCTCTTTAAGAGACAGGATGCTGTTAGTTTGTCAAGTGACTCAGGTGATTCTTATAATCTGGTGCTTGGGACACCCCAGTTCTGTAATGTAAGTTATAATAGAAGCTGAAACAGCTGGAAAACCTCACTTGGTTACACGAGTTGCATGAAATGCATTAGATTGTATCTGGATGTCTTAGTTACATTTGTTCGTGTAATCATTATTTACCAAATAATGATTATTTACCAGGCCAAGTCATTATTTGCCAGGCCAAGTCAACGATGAGCAATGGACCCAGCTCACGGGAGCTTGCAGTCTAACACAGGAAACAGCCACCTGCATCTGTAAAGGTGCGTGCAGGGCGCCGCAGAAGCTCCTTGGCATCAGAAGTGAGTGGAGGCTTCTGGAAGGAAGGGATTTCCACAGAGGTAAAAATGATGAGGAGGTGGGGCTCATTGGGCAAATGGAGAGGACGATATTCCTGGCAGAGAGAAAAGGACAAATACGAAGTTCCCAGGTTTTGATCTGGTACGCTGCTCTCAGGCAACCAAAAAGTAGAGCGTTTTGGTGTTTGTGCGCAGAAGAGGCTCAAGATAAAACGAGAGAGGTAAACTGAGGTCAAAATAAGATGGGGAAAAAACACGATGACTCTGAATGTCAGATATTAAGTTTGGGAATGATACGATCAGCACGGGGGAAGAATCGATGTGGGTGTAAAAAAAATGGACTAGAAGGGGGCTGGGCATGGTGGCTCATGCCTGTAGTTCCAGAACTCTGGAAGGCCAAGGTGGGAGGATCACTTGAGCTCAGGAGTTCAAAACCAGCCTGGGCAACATGGCAAGACCTCGTCTCTACTAAAAATACAAAAATTAGCCAGGCATTGTGGCGCACGCATGTAGTTCCAGCTACTCAGGAGGCGGGAGGATCGCTGGAGCCCTGGAGGCTGAGGCTGAAGTGACCAGTGTTTGCTGCACTGCACTCCAGGCTAGGCGACAGAGTGGGACCGTGTCTCAAAAAAAAAAAAATAAAAAAGACCAGAAAGGAGTGGTAACAACTTGGAGGTGGGAAGATAATTTAGGAAGTTGTTATCAAAATCCAAGAAAGAGACCAGAATGGGCTGCATTAGGTGGCCATTGTAGGGATGCACAAAACTGGAAACACTGACGTTATTAAAGAGGTAGATTCACCTGGACTTGGTGATTGATTGAAAAGGGCTGTAACTGGGACATTTCCAAATTTCCAGCATGGGCAACCACCTGTGTTTCAATAGGGAATACCTGTGGGAAAGTGCTTGGGGAGGAGGCACGAGGGAGGGTGAAGGGTAAGTCTAACATTCTGAGTTTGAGGAAGAGAGAATACGTGGGTAAATTAAAGTTTAGAGTCCAACAGAAAAATAAGAGCCTGTTTGTGACGGTCCATGGCAGGACAGGCATCTTCTAATTTCTCTTTAAACCTTATTTAGTTTGCATCTCTGCCCCCATCCCCACACTCTCTCGCCCACCATAAAGCAGGCTGGCACTGACAGTCCCTTCAACCTTCTCCACGGGTTGGAGTGGAAGGGGTGAACGAAGGTCCTGCCCTCCAAGCAGCTGCATTCACAAAATTCCGAAGCTGGCCAATAGTGTATTCCGTTCTGTAAAAAGATATGTTTTTTTTTTTCTGAGGCAGGGTCTCACTATATTGCCCAGGTTGCTCGAAAATAGTATTCCCAGGATGGTTATAAACAGTTTCATGTTTCCCAGAATCAAAACCCAGACTCTAAATTCACTTCCTTGATTGATTTATTCTAGGTACTGATGAGACCTCTTTAGTATGACACTGGCAACTGACGGCACTGCGGATATGTTTGGAATAAGGTAAGCCTGCAGCCACAGTTTTTATGCCTTTTGGAGTTTTGGCCAGAATGAACAGAGCTTAAGCAAATTAGATATTTGAAAATACCTTTGTTTTGTTCTGTGAGCAACCACCAGAGGCCTTTTAAATTGTGATGGTGACTAACAAAATAAGATCTTTGCTATTGTGCAGAGAAATCTGAAGAATTTTATCCATTCTTTCATTCTTGCTAAATGGTGCATTGTATGCTATCTGTGTGGTTTGGGTCTAGGACAGATTTCTCTCTGAACTTCACAGCATGGGTGGGAGAGAGTAATTTGGCCTTTCGTTTTCTCTGGCAGCCGGTGCCAGTCCATTTATATGGTATGTTCACAGGAGAGCTGACAAGTGTTGAGAGGTTTTATTTGATATGCGTTTTTTTTTTTTAAAGTAGAAAAAATTCCGTAAAAATAGGTGCTTGTTAGCTAGTTTTCCTAGTTAGTCTTCAGATCATAACCAAATGTTTCATTAAGGAGCTCCACCTCAAACAGACGAGCTACACTGAATTATCTGGGCTGTGTTTAATATTCACAGTGTAACCATTCATGGCAAGGGCAGTTTTTAATGATAGAAATGCAAACCCAACATTATTTTTCTGTGTAACTTGTAAAAGCCGTGCCTTCTAAAATGGAGCTGCTTATGCTAATTTGTTATAGTTAGTGAATTGCAGGCAGCTCTGTGAATTTACTTTTCTTGGCAGTTCTAGAATATCCTGCCATAACACATACTGAAAAACTGTTTGACGGGTTATGAAAATCTGGATGTACTAAAGGTACATCTTGTGCAAACCATAAAATAAATACATGATTACATTTTTAAAAATCTGTTATCAGGTTAAGGAAGTTGTCATTATAACAACCCAAGGAAAATTAAACAGTTTTGAATGGATGATACACTTTTTCCACTTGTACATACTGTAAATGCTTTTAGTATCCAACCCTCACACTATTTTGCTGGGCTTTATGAAAAGACTGCCTACTGGAGGTAAACTCTATTTCATATAGGTCATGTAGAACCTATCTTGGAAGTGGATAACACCTCATTGCAAAGGTTAATATTCTCAGTGAAGCATAAAAAATTGTCAGAATTATTTGACACAAAATATAATTTGAAATTTGTATTATTTTTAGTCAAGCCAGCAATGTTCTGTTACTTCAAGGATGTTGATTATGGGTCTGTCAATATTACTGTTGCCAGTGATGTGTGATTGCTTCATTCATGATAAATGAATTAAGTATGTAATTTGGTTCTATACTGTTTTAGCTGTATACCAAACCAACTCCTTTGAAACAGTCTCTAATCTCAAGGAGCTTGTAATTTTAATAGACGTTAAGATGTTAAGACAAAGGCAATTCATTTGTTCAACAAATATACTGCATACTGAGAATTTACTATGTACAAGACAATTCATTAGACTTCTTGGGGCATGGGGACTGTAACTACGGTGAATAGGAGAGATTTGGTTCCTATCCTTGAAGCTACCAGAAGACAAACATGAAAGAACAAATGATACAATTACTTAATAATTATGTGAAGTGTTCCAAAATACATCTACAGGGTGGGCTGAGGATGTATAATGAGTGAAGTGAAAGAGCAAACTTTTTAAAAGGGAACTCCTGAAGGTTAAATTGTGTTTGCGATTAACTGGAATAAAACCTTAATCGTGTCAAAGAAAAAAAGAGTTCTTGTTAAATACAAAGTAAAAGATCTCTAAAAGAAATATGGTGGTGTTTGGTGAGAATCTTATACAGTCAGGAAAATATCCTTGCATGCACTGAAGACATCTTACCACTTGAAGGAATGATTTTTCATCCTAGGATAAAAGTAGGATTTTATATTCCACTTTAAGAGGAAAAATAGATAAGAAATGCAGATGGCCAATTAACTTCTTTAGTAGAACTTCATGTACGTGATAAAGAATGAAACTTTAACAAAAAAAACTTTAACACGTTTATATGCTCATAAAAACTTCAAATTGATTAAAATTCTTCAGTGACAAGGTTAGGGTCCTTGATCAGTGAATGTTCTCACAGATTTCTAAGCAACATAGAAGGGTTATATTTGAAGTAGAAGTATAAAGAAGAATTATACAAAGAAAGCCAAAATTGAGTAAGAAGTGTCAAGAATATGATTAATTTTTGTAACCTACTCTTTCAATAATGAATTTCAACCAAACCTAATTAATCTTACATTTCTAGCACAACATATAATTTTAAAGAATGTGTCATTAAAGAGATACATAATCAGAAGTAAAGTAAATATCATCTAGGCTTAGATTAGGGAAAAATATTGGTTTTGATTTAATTTTTGAACAGGTAATATGCATATTATTGAAAATTTAAAAATTGTTTCACAACCCTGACCCCATCTACCTAGTTCCCAACCACCCTAGACACACACAGACAGCTGCACACCTGACGTTCTTTTCTTTTTTCTTTTTCTGTTCTTGAGGTAGGGTCTCACTCCATTGCCCAGGCTGGAGTGCAGCAGCACCATCACGGCTCACTGCAGCCTCAACCTCCCAGGCTCAAGTGATCCTTCCACCTCAGCCTACTGAGTAGTTGGAACTACAGGTGCACACCACCATGCCCAGCTAATTTTTATTTTAATTTTTTAAGGGATGGGGTGTTATTGTGTTGCCTAGGCTGGTCTCAAATTCCTGGGCTCAAACCATCCTCCCCCGGTTGGCCTCTCAAAGTGCTGGGATTATAGGTATGAGCCACCACACCTGGTCCTGATGTTATTATGTGTATATGTAAACATAGTTTGTTTAGCACATACCAACAAATCTTTTTTCCTAGGTAGTATTGGGTTGATACAAATCAGTGTAGTTTTTCTTGTCTCTTTTTACGCAAAAGGTAGCATACTGCAGACACTGTTGTGCCGTTGCTTCCCCACCACCCACTTAATTTTATTTATTTCTTGGAGATCTTTCTAAGTCAGTACATGGACCCTTTCCCTTTCTCCTTATTTATAGCTGTATAGTATTCCACTATATGGAGCTACCATAATTTATTTAACTAGTCTCCAGTTGACGAATATTTGTGTTGTTTCCAACAAACATTTCTGTAGTGAATAATCTTATGTAGGGTCATTTCACAAATATATCCGTGGAGGTAGAATTGCTAGCCAAAGGAATAATTAGTAATTTTGTAGATACTGCCAAAATGCCCTACACATAAAGTTTATAGTAACTTAATGCATTTAACAGTAATACATAACAATATTTTCCACTTGGTGTCATCAAACTTTTTTTGTGTGTGTGAACAAATGAAGAAAAATGGTATCTAATTTTTCCCATTGTTTTCCTCTTGTATGATTTTCTTTTGGGCTGTTTGTGTTTTTCTTCTCAACTTAAGCTCCTCTGTAGTAGGAAGATAAGACCTTTATTAGTATGAATTACAAATATTTTTATCTCATCTTATATAAAATGTAAAATTTTATTTTTAAAAATAAAATGTAAAATAAATTTTATTTTTAAAAATAAAATGTAAAATAAATTTTATTTTTATGTACCTGAATTTACCAGTATTTTCTCTTACGGCTTTTGGATTTGACTCATAGTTGAAAAGGTCTACCATATTCAAGGTCATTAAGAAAGTATCCTGTTTTTCTCCTAGATCTTGGGTAGCTTTTGGTGTTGACCTTTACATTTTTTATTCATTTGAAATTTGGCCTGGTGTAAGACAGGCTTTCCCCTAGAATGCTGCCCAGGTAGCTCAGTATCAAATATTGAACTATCCCTATTTTCATTCCACTCTGATTTATAATGCAATTTTTATCCCACATATATTTGGATCTATTTCTGAACTTTTTTTTTTTAACATACATATTTTTACACGTTCCAACTCTTAGAAATGTTCCATGCTGTTTCTGTTTTTAGGCTTTTAGGTACCTGCCGTGCTTAATTTTTTATTTTAAACATGGTTTTTCCTGTTAACAAAGTTTGCATTGGTTGCTTCCTTAAGCAACACCTTCAGAAATTTAAATGCGTTTGAAATGATGTGAAAATATTATTCATATCAGAGCTAATTCTGCAAAAGCTGAAATCTTGTGGAAAAAAAAAATCTATTTCAAGCGAAATCCCCTAAATCCCAGGGAACCTCCATATACTCAGACCAGAAATATTTTTTGATTCTACATAATGTATTTTAAAGGGATAAATGGATCAACTGGGCAGAGAGTTGGAAGAAAGTGTTTTAGCTCTGCTTCTGAATTCCCCAGTGTGATCGCTGGGAAACTTCACCATAAGTTGCATTCATTGTAGGGCAGTTTTGTCGCTTAAAAAAATATTTTTAATTGGAAACAGCAAGCTGGTTATATAATTGTAATTGCAGGATTATAATGAAAATATCAGGCCTGCAGGTTTTACATAATTACATGCAAAGTCATGTGCAAGAGTGGAAAAAGGGAAGAGCAGAGATATGTCTAATTATTTACTCTCTGTGGGGTGTACACAGATTATTTCTGGTGCAATTTAATCTGGAAGATTATATAGCTGAGAATAAGATATCAAATAGATATCCTTGAGACACCAGAATCTCATGAGTCAGTTGCAAACATCAGGCACGCAGCCTGCACTTGATGCTGGATAACTTGCTGATGTTGTATTCCTGACTTTCCTTAAGCAAGGTCTGTTCGAAAAGCTTGAAATTAGTATTCATTTAAACAGAGAAGCACTGGAACCAGCTGGCATTCTGTAAATGAAATCAATGGAACGGGAACGTTGAATAGTTTTTTCTTAATTATTTTGCTAGGTCGTCACTACAAATGGCCAAATCCTAAATCAGCTCTTTCACTCTTCTAGTGTTGACAAGGAAGTCGTCAACACTAGCATTTTACAGTGTTTAATGAATTATTTTCCAAACATACATTAAGTTTACTGTAAACAAGGGTATTTATAAGAATACCATGACTATCTGACATTTAGGTAAGAATTATGTCGTACTCTAGGAAAAAGAGAAAGCAATTTCAGTACTATCAGAACCTGGAGCAGAACTTAGTCTTGGGTGGAGCTGACATATGAAATTGAAATTAAAAAAGAAATCAAAGTAACTCTCCAAGTTTTGGACAGGGTATTTTTATTCTTCAGAATATCGATCCTGAAATTAGAGTGAATACATCAAAAGTGTGTGTTTAATTTCTTCAGTGGAAACATGAACTCATCCCTTGGGGAAAAATATCACTAATTGTACATTGAATAGTTTTTGCCCATAAATAGCAACACGTATAAATGCAAATACATGAAGTCAAAATTAATTTTAAATACTTCCTCAGTAAATGTAGAGGTTTTTATTAATAATCTAAAAGAAGGAAAAAAAGCATTACTGAGAAAATCTCCATTTTTTTTTAAAGTTTATGAAATGTGAGCATTGAGTTACTTTCTTGTATGACATGATTGACCCATATGTGAATTTTTTCTAAGAATAAGGAAATGGGTGAATTAAAATTGGGACTAGAAGGTTGGATGATTTAAAGGCTATGCTTATTTAAATGTTCTATTCTCTCAAAATAGTACATTTTTGGGCTTGCTTGCACAATAATGAAACAGCCTACTTGAGGTAACTTAACAATAATCCCAACACTTTGGGAGGCTGAGGTGAGATGACTGGAGCCCAGGAGTTCGAGACCAGCCTGGGCAATATAGCGAGACCCCATCTCTCCCCCCGCCCCCCCAAAAAAATCATTGGACTAAGGTGGAAGGAGACAGGGCAGCTGTGAAGTTGCTGGTATGAGGGACGAGAATTAATGTAATGGTGGGCAGCAGGTGATGATTCTGTGGCAAAGCAACAAAAGCAGGGATTATAATTTATTTCTGTTTATAACCATCAACACCTAGTTTGCCTTTCACTGTTTGCTGATTTTGTTGCCTGGGAAGCATGAATCTCTCTGATTCCTTTTTAGTGGTTCTTCATGAAGCCTACATGTGAGAAATGAAAATTGAAAATGCATTTTTTAAAAAGGAAAATAAAACTGGTATAAAATCAAATTACTCCGGCTCATGTATAATAAAATACATTAATCCTTTCCTAATTATTTCATTCTACGGTTTGTGGATTTTTTTTTTTTTTTTTTTTTTTTGTAATTAACGAATTTATTAAGCACCTTCTATGCTTGAGGGAATGACTTTGTCTCTATTTTTTCAGCAAATTATTTTGTGTGGGTGACAAAATGTACGTTCCCTTGCATGTAATATTTAAGTGCATATTAAATGTCTAATATGACTCAGGTCACAAAATTTCAGAAACAAAGACAACAGGAACTGTCAGCTCAGGAAAGTTTGTTTGCTTTTGAGATGGAATCTCACTCTGTGGCCCAGGGTGGAGTGCAATGGCATGATCTCAGTTCACTGCAACCTCTGCCTCCCAGGTTCAAGCAATTCTCCTGCCTCAGCCTCCCGAGTAGCTGGAATTACAGGTGCCCACCACCACGTCCGGCTAATTTTTATATTTTTAGTAGAGACAAGGTTTCACCATGTTGGCCAGGTTGGTCTGAAACTCCTGACCTCAGGTGATCCACCTGCCTTGAACTCCCAAAGTGCTGGGATTACAGGTGTGAGCCACCATGCCTGGCCAGGAAAGTTTTCCTGAAAGAGACTAGTCAGTTTTTTTCTCTCCTTCTACATATTGCCTATAATTTTCCAGGAATCAGAGAACTGGATTATTCATGCTTAGAAAGGAATAAAGGACAGGACTTAAAGGATTCAGGAATTTTTTACATAATCTCGGACGACTGCTTAACTTGTCACTGGGGACACTTTGAAGGTGTGGGGTGTTTGTGTGTGTGTTTCACACCAATCTTTTTTTTTTTTTCTGGAACTTTTCTTTCCTGAGTTAGTGGCTGAAGATGCCATAGAGGGAAGCAGAGGTGATACAGAGAAAGGCTAGGATAACTGAATGACAAAGCAGTGGTTTCAGAGGGTTCATTGCAGCCTCTGGATCTGGGGACGGGTCTTACAGGTAACAGCCTGTCTAGGGAAGCAATTGGAAAATGCCATTTCTCTGATTCTTCTATAGTTCATGAGCATGATGATTGGGTGTTCATGACATGTGTGAGATGTGCCACCCTCTGAACCTTGTTCCCACATCGGCACATTATCCATCTAACCTAAAAAGAAAAAAAAATGTTGCTCCCCTCAGGTGTGAGGGCAGTTGAAATTAGAAGGGAAATCAATACAGCACAGAAATGACAAAACACCTTGGTTTTCAGGAGGAATGGGGTGAGGGGCACATATATTTGAAGTCATGGTGAGATTTTTTCATCTCTGAATATCTTACCTAATGGGCTCCCTGGATTCTTTTTCTGCTCTTTGGAATCTCATGGCTTACGTCTTAGATTTCTTCTTTCCAACAATTACTAAAAGCACAGAAACAGACATTCCTGACTGCTCATTTCTTTTTTTTTTATTATTTTATTTTATTATTATTATACTTTAAGTTTTAGGGTACATGTGCACAATGTGCAGGTTAGTTACATATGTACACATGTGCCATGCTGGTGTGCTGCACCCATTAACTCGTTATTTAGCATTAGGTATATCTCCTAAAGCTATCCCTCCCCCCTCCCCTCACCCCACAACAGTCCCCAGAGTGTGATGTTCGCCTTCCTGTGTCCATGTGTTCTCATTGTTCAATTCCCACCTATGAGTGAGAATATGCGGTGTTCGGTTTTTTGTTCTTGCGATAGTTTACTGAGAATGATGATTTCCAGTTTCATCCATGTCCCTACAGAGGACATGAACTCATCATTTTTTATGGCCGCATAGTATTCCATGGTGTATATGTACCACATTTTCTTAATCCAGTCTATCATTGTTGGACATTTGGGTTGGTTCCAAGTCTTTGCTATTGTGAATAGTGCCACAATAAACATACGTGTGCATGTGTCTTTATAGCAGCATGATTTATAGTCGTTTGGGTATATACCCAGTAATGGGATGGCTGGGTCAAATGGTGTTTCTAGTTCTAGATCCCTGAGGAATCGCCACACTGACTTCCACAAGGGTTGAACTAGTTTACAGTCCCACCTGACTGCTCATTTCTAGTAATAATCTTTTAAATGAGAGCCTCTCATGTTCAGAGTCCAGTCTCCTGCATTCTACTCACATTTCTGCCTCAAATGTCCCTCTAAAGTCCAAGGTACAACTCTGAATTTTAGGAATTCTCTGACCCTTTGCTGTAGTTCCAAAATGAACATTTGCCAGAATCAATACTCAAATCAGTCTCAATAAATAAATATATTCTAAAGCACCCTATGCAAACTGTGCAAACTGTTGCACTATGGGAATCTTTCTTCTACATCTGGATTTTCTAGAAATGAATCTTTAGTAATGTCAGCAAATTTAGAGTCTTGAGGTATCTGCCAAATCTTACCTCTGCCAAGCATTTTGTGGCTAATCTATTCATTTAATTTTTCTTACAATTCTTTTTTTTTCTAATTATAGCTGACAAGCTATGACAACTTGCTATAGTCAATATGTCGCCTGACCCTCCTTTAATAAATATCACAGTGTGAACGATGTGTGCATGGTGCTAATATATTTTATTCTTCCTCTGAGAATTGTTATAATGACCTTACTTTTTGGGGGAGAAATGTGGGTTGCTGCTTATTCAACATGCTTTTAGGTTTGACTTAGCTATCACGTTTTCTTCTTTTAATCTAGACTTTTCTGTATTTTCTTCACTGACCATATATTACTGGCATATATTACTATCATAAAAAAATCTGCATAAAAACATCTTGCCCTCACCAAAATCAACAAAAATGGAAACTTTAAAACTGATATATGAACACACACATATATAATTTTTTTTTTTTTTTTTTGAGACAGAGTCTTGCTCTGTCACCAGGCTGGAGTGCTGTGGTGCAATCTTGGCTCACTGCAACCTCCGCCTCCCAGGTTCAAGCGATTCTCCTGTCTCAGCCTCCCAAGTAGCTGGGACTACAGGTGTGTGCCACCACACCCAGCTAATTTTTGTATTTTTAGTAGAGACAGGGTTTCATCATGTTGGCCAGGATGGTCTCGATTTCTTGACCTCATGATCCACCCACCTCGGCCTCCCAAAGTGCTGGGATTACGTGCCCGGTCACATAATGTAATTTTTAAGTAAAGATTCAGAGAAAAGTTTTAATGATAGTGAGATCTGATGTTTGCCTAGGACTTTACCATTTGATAGTTGTTTTCATATATGTTATATTAGAGGTAGAATAGTTTAGTAGTCTGAAGTCAGACAGCTCAAATCTTGGCTCTGCCACTTAACAGATATGGTTTGGGCCAGGTATTGACCTTCTCTAAGCCTCAGTTTTATCTCTGTACCTGTTTCCTAAGGTCATTATGAGGATTTGGTGGGACAATTCATAGAATGTGCTTATAGGGGCCAGATTATGCCAAATGTTCACTTCACATTACTTGCCTTTTTCTTTTAAACCGCAACACTCTTATGAAAAAGTAGGGTATGTGGGTTTATCTTCACTTTACCAAAGAAGAAAATAACGTTCAGAGAGATTAGGTGAATGACAAGTAATTCTATCATTTTAAACTGAGTTTCCATTGCAGTCTTAATGGCAAGACTGGAAAAGAGAATCCGGTGAGTTCCCTGGGCCGTTTCCTTAGTGTGGACTAACACACAGGGAATGTGAAACACCCGTTGAGCCACACTCTTGTGGGGTTAGGAGAACCTCCAAAGATCTGATACCGTCAGATATTCTATATAGTCACATAGCTAATGGCTTCAAGTTCAACTTGAGCTGAATGTTAACAGGGTAGATTCAAATCATTTTTCACTTTTTGGGGGGCTTGGAGTGGGGAGGTGATGATGAGCATTTGTAATAACTCCAGTAACTTTCTCATTTCTAAATGAAAATTACTTCTCTGAGAATTTCTGTGAGTAGGTAGCCTGTGAAAGCTACTTTCAAGGCTCAGCTTCCTTGGTTAATGTAGCTTTGCTAAAGGGGCATACAGGCCTTCACATCATACGGTGCCGGCTGGCCCTAGCCTTATTTAGCTGGGAGATATGTTGATCCAGTGACTTTATATGAGGCTCGTCTTTTAGAGCTACTTCAAAAGTAATGCCCCCATCAGCTTGTGACAAAGATGCACTCTGCCATTTCTTCCTGGCAATTACATTTTCTGTTCTAAATTAATGTCACCTCACAGCATTCTTTTACCATTCTTTGGCATTTAATCCAATTTTCTTATTCCTAACAAACAATTTTAAAAACAAACTCAATCCCTTTAAAATGAACTGAAATGTTAAAATGTTTCCTAGGAACACCTTCAGTCCTCATTCTATTGTTTGTTGCAAAAATATTCTTGGATTTCTTCGCTTTGAGAGAAACTATGAAAATGAAAAATTCCCAATAAACAAAGGGGGAGAGTTCACTTTATAAAAGAATGCTTTTCTTTGCGCTGGCATGTGTAATAAAAAGAAACAAATACAAATTCTTTATTCACTGATGGGTTCTGTTAGCAATACACTTAATTTTCAGACACAAAATGTTAGGAGTCAGTTGACTACCAAAATCTCTGAAATCACATGGTTGAGGAGATAATTTAAAATGGAAACATTTGATACATACCAAAGTTTTCAGTGATATAGCTATTTGGCAACCTCAAAGTGGAATCTACAGAGATAGTCTGGAAAGTCATTGTTAAAAGACTCATAAAATCATGTCTTCGGATAGTGATGAAAACATAGTTTAGCGAACTTAATTCTAGAAGACAGTAAGCTGGAAAAGCAAGGTTTAAAAGCCAGACCACAGACAGAGAAGTACTTCACATAGGCACAATAATCTTCAAGAAATAGATAAATGTATTGGATATTTATTTTTATTTGTAATAATTCTAAGAAGCTATCTCATAACTACAAAATGCCACACAAGCATAGCAGCTTTTATCCAATTGCTATATGTCCTTGGGCATGTTTTTACAATAATAGAAATGTTAGTTTTTCTATTCACATACAAACTCCAATTTAGCTAATTAAATCTTAGCCTTAATATGATTCTACTGGAATTAAAGAAAGATACTGCACACATTACTTCCTGCCCTGACCATTTGAGTGTTGCTGACAGCAGTTAAAAAGGCATCACATCCCTTTGGTGTGGCATTGCCAGGTTTAAGAAAAACAATGCCAGGCAAACTGGGCAGAGAAGCTGGAAATCCTTCAGGAATGAGATACAACATGAGTAGGTATGTGTGCATACACATGCAGGTAGAAATATATGTTATTATTTACCCAAAACTTGTTACAGAGCATATACAACTAATTTTCTTTAAAATAGGTGGCTGTCAGATTAAATTCATAATGTCTCAACCTTGATGAAAATTGTGTGTGTGTCAACTGCAGGCTATAAAATCTATTTTTTTAAAAAAACGTTTACAAAAACAGCAAAAATGATAGATTATTCACATTCTACCCTCCCCAGTTTGAATCCAAATCCCTGGGGAGGGTAAGATGAACTGCACTCCCAAATCAAGACATGTACCAGGAAACTAAATTAATGTTAAGTGTTGCAATTGGCATTTTTTAAAAGCAATCAAAGCTCCTGGAATTAGTTTTTCTATCAAGTTTTATCCCTAGCATGAAATTCAGATGCAGAGTTTCGAACTTGGGCAAGGCAGGATTGTATTTTCCAAATACGGCAGCAGCCACCTGCCCTTTTAACAGTGTGATATGGGCATTCCTTCATCAAGAAGTGGGGCCGATAGACCATTTTATGGAATATGGGTGGACAAATGGCAGGGCACAAGGGTTGCTATATGACTTCCAGAGCATAAGTCATACAGTGCGATACAGCTTCTTCCGGGATCACTTTCTTGGGAGTGTGAATCTTGGGAGCCCTGGCCAACATGTAAGATGACTAGCCAGCCTGAAGCCACCATGCTGAAGAGACTGTGTGTAAAAGCTCCATAGAGATGATAGAGATAGAGATACCTGAGGAACCCCACTGTTCTAGCCTCCAGCTATTGAAGTCTTCCACCACCAACCTCCAGACAAGAGAGAGCCAGCCTTCAAATTACTTCACCCCCAGACTTCAAGCCAGCCCTAGCTGATGCTGAGGGCAGCAGAGACCAGCCATCCTCATGAAGCCCTGCTCAAATTACAAAGTGGTGAGCAAAATAAGTAGTGTTGGCTGCGCACGGTCACTCACCTGTAATCCCAGCACTTTGGGAGGCTGGGATCACTTGAGCCTAGGAGTTCGAGACCAGCCTGGGCAACATGGCGGGAACCTGTCTCTACAAAATAAATAAATAAGTAGTGTCATTCTAAGTCACCAAGTTCTCCGGTGGTCTGCTGTATAGCAGTAGATAACCAGAATATTAGAATTTGAAAAGAAAAAAAAACTTTGTTACAGTTAAATGCTAAGTATAAGTGAATATACCCATAGGGTCGATTGATCAGCAAATTAATAAACTGTAATTTAAATTACACCTTTATTGTTGGAGAAGAGCTGCTGACATACATGGAAGTGTTAGCTGACTGGGTGTCTTAATGAGACTACTGAAACTTAACCATAGTCTCATGTCTTGATTTCTTAACTATGACCATCAAGTTAATAAAAAGTCAGAGGGTGTAGCAGCCTTTCCGTTGCCTGCTTCTCATGATTCTCTGGGTCAGGAATTGGGGTAGAGCTCCACTGGGTAGTTCAGGATGGCTTGGCCAGGCATGGTGGCTCATGCCTGTAATCCCAGCATTTTGGTAGGCCAAGGTGGGCGGATCACCTGAAGTCAGGAGTTCGAGACCAGCCTGGCCAACGTGGTGAAACCCCGTCTCTACTAAAAATACAAAAATTAGCTGGGAGTGGTGGTGCGTGCCTGTAATCCAAGCTACTCAGGAGGCTGAGGCAGAAGAATATCTTGAACCTGGGAGGCGGAGGTTGCAGTAAGCCGAGATTGCACCACTGCACTCCAGCCTGAGTGACAGAAGAAGACTCTGTCTCAAAAACAAACATACAAAAACAACATAAAAAGAAGGCTTGAACTCACCTGGCTGCTCCTCCACGTGGCCTCTCTGCGTCTGTGTGCTGGTCTCTGGTCTCATCACTCAGTAGTCTAGCCCAAGCTTTTGTTTGTTTGTTTGTTTGTTTCAGACAAGTAGCTGGGATTACAGGCATGCGCCACCACGCCTAGCTAAGTTTGTATTTTTTAGTAGATACAGGGTTTCTCCATGTTGGTCAGGCTGGTCTCGAACTCCCGACCTCAGGTGATCTTCCCGCCTCAGCCTCCCAAAGTGCTGGGATTACAGGCGTAAGCCACCACGCCTGGCCTCCCCAGGCTTCTTTAAAGCATGGAGGCTGGCCCCCAGAGGGAGGAAGCAGAAGCTGCCAGACCTCTATGGCCTGAGCTTGGAAGTCTCAGAACATCACTTTCATTGTATCTTTCCGCTGCCAAATGAAATCACAAACCAAGTCAAGCGGAGGGAAGAGACTCCACCTCTTGAATTGTGTGACATTATGTGCATACAAGATGGGAAGAAATTGATGGTGGCCATTTTGGAGAGAAAAGGGAAGAGCAATTGCGTCTGAGCAGGGAGGGAGTGGTTCTAATTCTGGTTCTGCTAATAACTAGCTTTGTGGTGTTGGCCATGTCACCTGAAAATGCTTAACCGGTTTGCTCAAAGTACAGGTGAGCAGAATGAGCCATAAGCTCCAAGCCCCTGTCTAGTTCTAAAAATTTGCATCTAATCAAGGCAGAATCTACATTAGCCTAAAAGGTGGGAGAGGAAGGGATGTCAATAGAAAACACAATGAGTGAATTATATCCACTTGTGCTCTTCTGGGCTGCTGTTTAACCTTTCACTGTGGACTGGTGTGACATCTCCCTCATCGACCATTATACAACCTCAGCTTTTGAGGCCTATTCTTCTATCTTTAGGACTTTGTTTCTGTTACAACTTATTCTACTTCAGCCTCACAAGGTGGGAAATCAAAATACTATTTTTTTCAGCTAAGGTATTGTCTTTTACAGGGAGTAGGAAGCTTTAGGTTACAAAACAAGTTGGGAGAAAGATCCTGGAAATGAAGCTTTGAGAAAATAACGTAGAACATCTCTTATAAATGTTGTGTCCAACAATCTGAATCCAATATTGCAAAATGAGACCTCTGAAGTAAACTGAAACAGATGGCGGGGTGAGGCGGGGGGCGGTATTTTAAA
Organism: Homo sapiens; assembly: GCF_000001405.40. Taxonomy (NCBI): domain Eukaryota; kingdom Metazoa; phylum Chordata; class Mammalia; order Primates; family Hominidae; genus Homo; species Homo sapiens. Next base: position 4,871,551 of record NC_000003.12, on the reverse strand, counting down.
AACTCTTCAACCATGGGCTTTATTACTTTGAAATATACAATTCTTTCGGCAAGTATTCCCCAAAATTCATTGTAATTGGACCACAAGTTGCCACAGGGGCCCCCTGAGCTAAGTCTTTGATCAGTAATTGATGAGATTCAATTTGTAATATCTATGCTAGGTGCACAGGGTCTCTATCTTGAGCTCATAATTCAGTAAATTAATCTGGTGCTTTCTAATTTGGGGGACTAAGTTAGACATAGCATTTGAGCCCTTATTGGCTGCATCCATTCGAGGAATTTCAGCAACAACCCTCCAGGTTCAGGCCTCTGTATACCTGGTGCTAGCTAGTTACTTGTGTGCTGCAGAGACACTAAAAGAACTGGAACTGAGATCTACCCAATCCTAGATTATCTTTGTCATTAAGCTCTCAACCCCTCCCTATGCCCTTCCTACTCTGTTGTCAAGAATTTTCAGGCCTAGTTTAACTAAAAAGATTCCCCAAATGAGGACACAGTAATGTTTTTGGTCACCATAAATAATATAGAAATCCTTACACTCAAGAATTAGCTTACCATTACTATTAAACCATAGAGGGCAGGCACGGTCGCTCATGCCTATAATCCCAGCACTTTGGGAGGCCAAGTGGGCAGATCACTTGAGGTCAGGAGTTCGAGACTAGCCTGGCCAACATGGTGAAACCTCATCTCTAATAAAACCACAAAAATTAGCCGGGCATGGTGGAGTGCTCTTGTAATTCCAGCTACTCAGGAGGCTGAGGCAGGAGAATCGCTTGAGCTTGGGAGGCAGAGGTTGCAGTGAGCCGACGTTGTACCACTGCACTCCAGCCTGGGTGAAAGAGTGAGACTCTGTCTCTAAATAAATAAATAAATCATAGAATATTGTTAGATCTGCCACTCACTCATTTTAAAAAATTCCTTCTCTAAACTCTCATTGTTCTCTCTCCTAGCCAAGATTATCCCCTCCTTTCCCTAATACCTTGACACTGCCTCCTCCCCAATTTCCAATGCATCCATTCTGCCAAAATTTCAATTGAGGCAATTCAAATCCAAATACAGGAAGAATATTCTTTCAAATGTTATGAGCAAAGATTTGAGTCCATCTGTGAACGGTCACTGAGTTCTAAGACTTTTGGGTGAGGGGGCGGCAAGGAGGGAGCAGAACTTGAAGATCTCAAATCAGTAAAGGTTTTGTTATTTGTTCAATTCTCATTGTTCCTTAATCATCCCATTCTCTTAACCACCTTCTGATGATAATCTTCAGTAAAACTACCCACCATAAGAGAAGATGGGAAAAACAGGAGTAGCAGTAATTCCATATTAACGAGAAAGTGAAATTTGGGGGTTGAACAGCAGATCTAGAGCTACTTCCTTATGGTATTTGCACCCAGGAATCAACCTAAAAAAAATCCACAGGAACTCATAATCAAGCAAAACTAAATGCTGCCAAATGTGATAAATGTGGGACATATGTTCCTTAAGTCCTGTCCCAGGAATGCCCCATCTTACCACACTCCATCAGGACAGCTTCAAAGTAACCTTAAGAACAACAATCACAAAAAACTTCGTGTTCTCAAGGGACCCATGGTATGAGAACACACACAACTCACCTAAGGCAGGGATTTTTTATTTTGAATATAGTGACATGGTCTGGATATAGACTTTTCTTAATAAAACTACCCACCAGAAAGCTACACAAGAATATCAGTAAGTGGCTGGGTGCGGTGGCTCTTGTGAGCCTGTAATCCCAGTGCTTTGAGAAGTCGAGGTGGGAGGGCAGCTTGAAGCCAGGAGTATGAGGCCTATCTAGGCAACGCAACGAGACCTCCTCTCTATAAAAAGATGTTTTAAAATGAGCCGGGCATGGTGCACGCGCCTGTAGTCCCAGTTACTCAGGAGGCTGATTCAGGAGGATCGCTTGAGACCAGGAGTCCGAGGCTGCAGTGAGCTATGATCATGCCACTGCACTCCAGCCTGGGCAATACAGCAATATCCTGTCTCTTAAAAAAAAAAAAAAAAAAAAAAAAAGAAAGAAAGAAAGAAAAAAAAACCCACAAGGCCAGGTGCGGTGGCTAACGCCTGTAATCCCAGCACTTTGCGAGGCCGGGCGGGTATATCACTTGAGGCCAGGAGTTCGAGACCAGCCTGGACAACATGGTGAAATCCTGTCTCTACTAAAAATACAAAAATTAGCTGGGTGTGGTGGCACACGTCTAATCCCAGCTACTCTGGAGGCTGAGGTGAGAGAATTGCTTGAATCCGGGAGGCAGAAGCTGCAGTGAGCAGAGATTGTGCCACTGCACTCCAGCCTGGGTGACACAGCGAGACTCGGTCTCAAAAAAACAAACAAAAAATGCCCCCACAAACCTGTTAACTGGGTTAAGTTAATGTAAGAAGTCTAAATATCAAAGTTCTAAGCATGCCCTGGCTTAGCCTCTAGAGCAGGTCACTGACCAGCAGGGTGGCCTTGGACACCGTCTTTCAAAGTCTGCTACTCAGCAGGACGACTGGGGCCCTGACCACAGCAGTAGCTTCATAGATAATGCTCGTGATTACCAAAGCGCTTGCAGCAATAGTTGAGCTTTGGTGGAAGGAACTGCTGAAGTTCCTGATGTGATGGGGCAGGGGGTCCGAGTCATTTGGATTTAGCCATAAAATGGGAAAATCTGGAGCAGTATCTTGTGATTTCCCACTCAAGACGTCAAAGGGGCCGTATTGAGGCCCGTGACACCCACTTCCTTCCTTTTCCGGGGAAACGCCCCCTCCTCCACCGAAGCCGGCCGCGGCACGCCGCCTTCCCACTGGAGTTTGCGGCCTCGGCGGCCTCGACCGCATCCCGCAGCCAGCCAAACCCCACCATGCGCACGCGCACGCGGCGAAGCCGGCGCCCCGGGCTGGGCTGGGAAGTGCCCGCGCCAGCCGAGGGTCCCGCGCTCCCTACAGGAGGCGGGGCACGGAGGGGGCGGGGCGATCGCGAGGCTCCGCCTTGCCCTTGGCGGCGCTGGGCCATGCGGAGGCCCACGTGAGTAGACTGCCCGCTGGCCCACGGGCCGGGGCGCGCAGGCGCACGGCGGGGCTGGGTGGAGGGCGGAGGTGGCAAAAGGGTGAAGGCGGAGGAGGGAGTGCCTGGGAACAGGCGCATACGCTTGGCGCGGTGCCTCGCAGCTGTCTGCGGGTGGGGCCGCCGCTTTCCCTTGCAGACGAAAGCTGCTGACGGGAAAACCACGCGGGAGGGGAACGTCTAGGCCCTGGCCCTTTCCCCTCAAAGGCCGCGGGAACATAGGGCTGGGGAATCCTGGCAGAGGCTCTGGGCATTATTACAGATGGTCGTTGAGGGTCGCAAGCACCAGGCCTGGAGGCCCTCCTCGGCCTGCTACCAGCTGTGACCTTTGGAAAGTGACTTGGCTCGCGCCTCAGTTTTCCGTTTTCTGGAGGACTTGCGGCCTGAGAGTGGCCAAAAAGAAGAGAGTTACTGTCGCAGTCACTGCCTGCCTAGTGGGTATTTAGGTGCCCAGTCATGCCTTTGCTCTCGGAGCCAGTGCCTGGTGCAAGCACTGCGGTGGGTTCGTGCCCCAGCTTGGGGGCCACAGGGCTGACTCGGCCGCACTGCCTATGCGAGCTTGGCCCCAGTTTCCTCGTCAGGGCACAGAACTTCCTTCAAAGGTAATGAAAAGAGGTGAAATCTGTGTCACCTTTAGTCCCTGGCTCATAGTGGGCTCGTAATCCCGGTTACAGGCTTCAGGCCGCGCACAGGGCATGTAACTAGAGCTGATCCTTTCATAGGAGGGGAACGCAGACACCATGCCAGCCGGTTGTGCATGCCCGCCGAACAGAGGTCGATTTCCACTCTGTCGGCTGGCCAGGGAGAAGGAATGCAATTATTCATTTATTACGTACACTCCCATTGATCCCTGCCGTAGAAAAAGCTGCTCAGTCTTACTTTGCACATCTTTCTAGTTTAGTGTTTTAGAAAAGATAAAGGAAGCATTTCATTGATTATTTTTTCTAAATTTACTCTTACAATTAGTCCTTCTCTAATGATCAAGAAGGAAACGTGATTAATCTGTATTTGTGGAGGTTATTAGTGTATTGGAATAACATGGGATAAAACAGTAATAGGAGAGCTGGCAAAACCAGATACTCTTCAACTGTTAACTGTGTTGAAAGCTTGAAAAGTATTCATGTTCTGTGCTGTGTTACACTCTTTTTTTGGTCTCAAAAATACCCCTACCTCCATTGTCTCTAGGTGGTCGTTAAAAGCTGTTATTTTTTGTAGGCTTTTATTTTGATCTTAATTTCACCTTTTCCTACCAGTAACCACTGTCAGATCCTGTTGCTACAGGAGTTCAGAGAAAATCCGTTTGTAATATTATTTAGAGGATAACCACGCCCTGACTTCTACAGAGTGTTGAGTAAATCAAACTACTGTTCTTTCTGGAAAAAACCTGCAGCTGAAACTGGGATTAGGGATAAAGAAACCCAGCTGGAGTTTGCCCCTAAGTGCCAGTGATAGTTTCTGTTTATGGTCTGTTTATCACACAACATCTTTTGCCAGGATGTGACTAGCTTTTTGTGAGCCTTTCATGACCGCACGCAGTATGTGATGCCGTACATCTAAAATATGTACAAATAGCCGATCCTGACCCCCTTGATTAACTGTCAGATGTTTGCTAAAGTCAGTGATTTGCCCACACATAGCTCCTTGTTGGAAAAGCAGCCATTTGATTGATGTTATGTATGAATTATAATTTACAAATAAATTATTGAAAGCATATGAGGTCCAGTCAGATGAGATCCACAGGGGGAAAAATACACATATGAGGGAATCCAGGGTTTGACTTTTCCATTTAACCAGTTTTTCATTTTAATATTTTAAACAGTTGCAGAGTTTAGCTACTAATGGTCCAGATTTTTGAGATAGGCATAAACGAGTTAGTTGTCCTTGGTCTTACTATTTCAGTTCAACATACATTATTTAATGTAGTATAAATAACTACAGCAATCATAATAAACATTTATTGAGATTGTACCATTTATATTTACTATTTCAATATACCATGTATATTCATGATTTTATTTTACAGTTGACCCTTGAACAACATGGGTTTGAACTACGCGGGTCCACTTATAGGTGGATTATTTTCAATAATTTGAAAAAAAAATTCAAAAAATTATTTCTAATAATTGAAATAATTTTTTCAATGTGTTAGAAAAATTTTTGGACATCTGTGACAATTTGAAAAAACAGATGACCCAAGTAGCCTAGAAATACTGAAAAATTTAAGAAAAACTTAGGTATATCATGAATGCAGAACATATATGTAGATACTAGGCTGTTTTATCATTTACTGTAAAATATACACAAGTCTATTATAAAAATGTAAAATTTATTAAAACATACATACAAACATAGACTACATGGCACCGTTTGTAGTTGAGAGAAATATAAACAACAAAGATGCAGTATTAAATCGTAACTGCATAAAACTAACTGTAGTACATACTGTATTGTAGTAATTTTGTAGCCACCTCCTGCTGCTATTGCCATGAGCTCAAGTGTTGTGCATAGCCACTTAAAATGTCATGTGATGCTAATCATCTCTGCAGGAGCAGTCAATCTCTCCAGAAAATTGTGTATCACAGTAAAAAGTGATCTTTTGAGGTTCTCATGTATTTTTCATTGTGTTTAGTGCAATACTTCCATTGTGTTCAGTGCAATACCTTGCGTCACACCATGGGACCCATGCAATGCTGGAAGTGCTCCCAAGAAGCAGAGAAAAGTCATGACATTAGAAGAAAAAGTTGAATTGCTTGATATGTATGGAGGTCTGCAGCTGCAGCTGCCCGCCATTTCAGACACAATTCATCTTGTAAACTTGTGGGGTTGATACATACCGATAAATGTATTTTCCTTATGATTTTTCTTAATCACATTTTTTCTCTCACTTTATTGTAAGAATACTGTGTGTAATACATATAACATACAAAATATGTTAATCACCTGTTCATGTTATTGGTAAGGCTTCCAATCAACAGTAGGCTATTAGTAGTTAAGTTTTGGCAGAGTCAAACGTTCAACTTGGATTTTCGACTGCACAGTGGGCTGGCACCCCTAACCCCTGCATCGTTCAAAGGCCAACTGTACTATTTTGGATAATGGGGAATAAAACAATGTTTATTATGTGCTCTTCCGCCTCTGGAAATTTATAGCATTGTTTTTACTTTTTTTTTTTTTTTTAAGAAAAAAGAATCTTCCTGAAAAGTTATGCCTTTTAATTGTGGTATACATCCTGGCTATTTATAAGATTTCATTGAGAAATTTTTGTTTCCTCTAATATTTTTGTTGTTTTTTGTTTGTTTCAGGTGAAATAACTAAACCTGACAATGTTAGTGTGGACTTAAAACAGATCGTTTGTATAATAAAGGGATCAATAATTTTATTTTAGTGCACAGCAACTATTTGAGAATCTTTAAGTAAAATTGATATTGGATGATGAGGATTTTAAAACAAGGGTTTTAGACTTAAGAAAAAGAAAGGTAATTGGTATTTATCCTGTCCTTTATTAAAATAAATTTGAAAATGTAGGAAATTAGTAGTAGTGGAAAACGCTGATGGATAAAAGTAAGCCATTATACTTTGGCCACCGTGGATTAGTCAAGGATACATATATGTATATGTTGAGTATCATTGTTTGATTTACAAAATGCTTTTGCTTCATCTCCTATAATCTGTTTCTCCTATATCACTTTGGTACAGGTATTGCTTAATCCCTTTAAGAAATGAAGAAAAACCTTCAGAGAGGCTGAAAGGAATTGCCCAAGGCATCTGAGTCCAAGTCCTATAATGCCTTACACAATAATAAGAATGTCAACATGTTGGGCGATGAATATTTTTGACTGAGACCATAGTCAATGTGGTGCTCTGAGTCAATACACCCAAATTACACTATGCCATTGACTGCTTTGTTCTGGTTTGTGCCTGTTTCTAAGTAATAAGGATTACTGAATTTAACAATAGTGGGAACAGAGTGATGAATGAAATGAACAAGTAAAGCAGCCCCAGCTCTCATGGAGGTTGCAATCTAGAAAGAGATACAGAGAGAAAAATAATTTCAGTGTGTTAAGTGCTAAAAGATAAAGAGCACATCATCTAGATTAGGGTATTATGTAAAGCTTCCCATGAGAAAGGATACCTTAACTAAAACCTGGAGGATAAGTAAAAGTTAGTTAAGTGAATGCAGGAGGAGGTGGATGTTCTACATAAAGGAATAGTAAGTGAAAAGACATGATGCAAAAGACAGCATCTGTTGTTCCAGGACTTGGGAAGTACAGTGTTAATTATTATAGATTTACGTGTGTGTGTTGGGGCAGTGTCTTCAGTGAAGGAGGGAGTGATGAGAGAGGATAGATAAGAAGAGGGAGCCAAAGGACTTTGTGAGTAGAAGTTTTGGGGAGTAGGGTACAAGAATGCTGGGAGCTTCAAAACTGCAAGTAGGAGGAACAACCATTAAAAGACTTTTGCAGAAATCCAGGTAAGAAATGATGGTTGCCGAAAAGGCTAGTAACATTGCACATGAGATGGGAAATGAAAAGGTAAGATATTCGAAAAAATATATAGGAGTAGAATTAATGGGGGTTTGATGATTAGTTGGATGGAGGGAGAGAAGAGAAGGTGGTTCCTGAATTTCTGACTTGGCAATTGGCAGGATGATACTACTATTCACTGAGAGGAGAGACATAAAACAGGGTACAAATTTGAAAGGAAGAATGTACAGGGGATGGTAACAAATTGAGTTTTAGACATGTTGAGTAAGAGGTACCTGTGAAACATCAAAGATATTAAGTAGGCTTTTGGCTTAGTGGGTTTGACAGTGACTTGGGAGATTTTAGTTGTAGACAGATATTGGGAGTCATTGGGTGTATAATACTTGATTCTGTCTCATTAGGAATGGGAGAATAGAAATATCAAGTATACTTTTAAGTTATTTTTGAATAAAGGTATTATGTTTAATTTGCATGACAAATCTGTAAGAAATCTCTAGGACAGGGAAACATTATTGCACATAGAAGTGGCTAGTGGCTTGAAGGGTTGCCTAATATGTAAAGACATCCAAATTTTTAAAAGGTGGAGTAGGTAGAGGGAAATTTTAACTTATTTTTTTAAATATGGCAAGAATTGTCAGATTGGGTTAAAAAATCAAGACCCAACTCTATATGCTATCTGCAAGAAACCCACCTCAAATATAAAGACATAGATATATTAAAAGTAAAAGGACGGAGAAAGATATGTCATGCAAAGCACTAATCAAAAGAAAGATGAAGTGGCTATATTAGACAAAGTAGACTTTAGAATAAAGAATGTTACTAGGAAAAAAGAAGGATATTACGTAATGAATAAGGGAGAAATTCATGAAGAATGCACAACAAGCATAGATATGAATGGACCTAACACAAAAAATTGAAAGAACCAAAGGTGAAGTAGACAAACAATTTTAGTTGGAGATGTCAGTGCTCCTGCTTCAGTAATCCATAGAACTAGTAATCAGAAAATCAGTAGGGATATAGAAAACCTGAACAGCCCTATCAACCAATTTGTTTCAATTAAGTTTTAGAGAACATGCCAACAACAGCAGAATACCATCCTTTCAAATGTATGTGGGAAATTCACCAAGTTAGATGATATTCTGAGACATAAAACCTTAACAAATGTAAAGAATTGAAATAATATAAAATATGTTCTCTAATCACAACAGAATTAAACTAGAAATTGATAATATCTGCATAATTCTCAAGTATTTGGAAATTAGACAACATACTTTTAAATAACTTGTAAGTCAAAGAGGAAGGCATAAGGAAATTAAAAACTATTTTGAATGGACTGGCGATAAAAGTATAACACATCAAAATGTATGAAACGAAGCTAAAGCAGTGCTTAAAAGGTAATATATAGCGTTACATGCTTATATTATAAAACAAAAAAAGGCCTCCAATCAATGATGTAAGTCTCCACCTTAAAAAGTTTAAAAATAGAAAAGCAAATTAAATCCCAAACAAGCAGAAACTAGAAAATAATAAAGAGCAGAAATGAAATTTTAAAAAAGATTCTAAAACCAAAAGCTGGTATTTGAAAGACAAAATTAATAAACCTCTAGCTAGACTTAAAAGAAGGAAAAGTGGAGAAGACATAAGTTTTAATTCAAGAATGAAAAAGGTGCTATCACTATAGATCCTACAGACATTAAAATGATAAGAGAATATCATAAACAATTTTATGTCAATAAATTTGATAAATCAAATGGACACATTTCTTGACAGACACTCAAAGCTTACCTAAGAGGTACTAGGCAATGTAAAAACTTTCCCACAGGAAAAATCTGATGGCTTCATTTGCAAATCCTACAACATTTAAGAAAGAAGTAATACCATTTTTATACAGACTTTTTCAGACATAGAAAAAAGGAGGAAAGCTGGGCATGGTGGCTCAAGCCTGTAATTCCAGCCTTTTGAGAGCCCAAGGCAGGAGGATCACTTGAGCTCTGGAGTTTGAGACCAGCCTGGGCAATGTAGAGACTTTAGTAGAGACTTCATCTCTACTAAAAATAAAAGAAAAAATAGCCAGGTGTGGTGGTGCATGCTTGTAGTCCCAGCTACTCAGCAGGCTGAGGCAGGAAGATCACTTGAGCCCAGGAGATAGAGGCTGCAGCAAGCTATGATTGTACACTGCACTCTGGCCTGGGTGGCAGAGTGAGACCCTATCCTGGAAAAACAAAAGGAAAAGGAGAGAAAACTTTTCAATTTTATGTGGCCTGCATTACCTGATATCAAAACCAGGCAAAGAATTTATAAGAAAACTACAAGCCAGTATCCCTCATGAATATAGACATAAAAATGTTAAACAAAATATTAGCAAATAAAATCTAGTATATAAAAAGAGTAGAAAATACACCATGACCAAATGAGCCTTACTGCAAGAATGCAAAGTTGGTTCAATATACATAAGTCAATCAATGCAATTTACCATATCAACGGACTAAAGAAGAAAAAAGGCATATGATTATCTCAATAGATACAGAAAAAGCATTTTACAAAAATCTATCATTCGTTCCTGATAAAACTTTCAGAAAACAAGGAATAGAAGGAAATTTCCTCCACCTGGTAAAGGGGATTTATGAAAACACCTAACATCATACTTCATAAAGAAAGATGAAATGCTTTCCCCCTAAGATCAGAACAAAGCAGGAATGTTGGCATTCCCCACTCCTATTCAATATTGTCCAGGAGGTCCTAGCTAGTGTAATAAGGCAAGAAAAAGAAATAGGCACACAGATTGGAAAGGAAGAAATGAAAATGCCTTCATTTGTAGATACCATGATTGTCTATGAAGAAAATCCAAATAACTTACAAAAAGCTACTGGATCTAGCTGGGTGTGGTGGCTCACGCCTGTAATCCCAGCACTTTGGGAGTCCAAGGCGGGCAGATCACGAGGTCAGCAGATCAAGACCATCCTGGCTAACATGGTGAAACCCTGTCTCTAATAAAAATACAAAAAATTAGCTGGGCTTGGTGGTGGGTGCCTGTAGTCCCAGCTACTCCGGAGGCTGAGGCAGGAGAATGGTGTGAACCCGGGAGGCGGAGCTTGTAGTGAGCCGAGATTGCGCCACTGCACTCCAGCCTGGGGGACAGAGCGAGACCTTTTTTTTTTTTTTTTGAGACAGTCTACTGGATCTAGTAGGTGAGTTTAGCAAACCCACAGGATACAAGGTCAATATATGAAAATGAACCATACTTTTTTATACTAACAGCAAACGTTTTGAACGTGAAAACTTTTTAGAGTATATTTACAACAGCATCCAATTTACAAATACCTAGGAATAAATCTAACAGAACATGTATAAGATTTGCATGCCAAAAACTGACATACATTGATGAGAGAAATCAAGACCTAAACTAGTGGTAAAATGTACTGAATTCATGGATTAGGATTTTCAGTACTGTCAAAATGTCAGTCTTCCCAAATCGACAGATATAATGCAATTGCAGTCACAATCTCAGCAGTCGTCTTTGTGGAAATTGACAGGCTATTTCTAAAATTTATATAGAGAAGTAAAGAACCTAGAATAGCCAAAACAATTTTGGAAAAGAAAATGTTGGATCATCCACACTACCTGATTTCAAGACTTGCTATAAAGTTACAAAAATCAAGACAAAATGATTTTTAAAATTTTATGGTTAAAAATGAGCTCTAGCCTCTTAATCAATTTTTAAGTGTATAGTATTGTTAACTATGAGCACAAAGTTGTACAGCAGATCTCTACAATTTTTTCATCTTGTGTGACTGAAACTATACACCCACTGAGTAGCAACTCCCCTTTCTCCCCTACCTGCAGCTCTTGGCAACCACTATTCTACTTTCTGCTTCCATGAGTTTGACTATTTTATGTAATTCATGTAAGAAGAATCGTACAATATTTGTCCTTCTGTGACTAGCTTATTTCACTTAGCATAATGTCCTCAAGGTTCATCCATGTTGTAGCATGTGACAGGATTTTCTTCCTTTTTAAGGCTGAGTAATATTCCATTATATACACACATCACCTTTTCTTTATTCATCCACCAGTGGACATTAAGGTTGTTTCTACCTCCTGGCTGTTGGGAACAATGCTGCAGTTAACATGGGAATGCAGATATCTTATTTTAATTCTTTTAGATAAATACCCAGAAATGAGATTGCTAGATCATATAGTAGCTCTACTTTTAATTTTTTAGGAAAATTATGCTATGCTCCATAGCAGTTGTATGATTTTACATTTCCGCCAACAGGGCACAAGCGCTTTCATTTCTCTACATCCCCACGAACACTTGTTATATCCTGGGTTTTGTTGTTGTTGTTGTTGCTTTCAAATAATAGCCATCCTAACAGGTGTGAGGTGATATCTCGTGGTTTTGATTTGTATTTCCATGATGATTAGCAATGTTGAGCATCTTTTCATATACCTGTTGGCCACTTGTATGAATTCTTTGGAAAAATGTCTATTCAAGCCTTTTGCCCGTTAAAATTTTTTTTTAAGTTTTTATTTTTTGAGACAGGGTCTTGTTCTGTCACCCAGTCTGTTGTGCAGTGGTACAGTCACAGCTCACTGCAGCCTTGACCTCCTGGGCTCAAGTGATCCTCCCATGTCAGCCTCCCAAGTAGCTGGGACTACAGGTGCGTGCTCCTGCACCTGACTAATTTTTGTATTTTTTTTGTAGAGACTGAGTTTTGCTATGTTGCCCAGGCTAGTCTGGAACTCCTGGACTCAAGTAATCCTCCCGCTTTGGCCTCCCAGAATGCTGGGATTGTCGGCATGAACCACTGCACCTGCTTTTGCTCATTTTAAAATTATGTTATTTTTGTTTGGTTGGTTCTTTTGCTGTTGAATTATAGGAGCTCCTTATATATTTTGAATATTAACCTCTTATCAGATTTTTTGGTTTACAAATATTTTCTCCCATTCTGTAGGTTGCCTTTTCACTGTGTTGATTATTTTCCTTGGTGTACAGAGGCTTTTTAGTTTGATGCAGTACCACTTGTCTACTTTTGCATTCATTGCCTGTGTTTTTTGGTGTCATGTTCAATAAGTCATTGCCGTGACCGATGCCATGAAGGTTTCCTGTATTCTAGAAGTTTTATAGTTTCAGGTATTACATTTAGGTCTTTAATCCATTTTGAGTTGGTTTTTTCTTTTCTTTTTTTCTTTTTTCTTTTTTTTGAGACAGGGTCTCACTCTGTCATCCAGGCTAGAATACAGTGGTGCAGTCATAGCCCACGGCAACCTCAAACTCCCTTGCTCATATTTATTTTTTTTTTGTAGAGATGGAGTCTTGCTATATTGCCCAAGCTGGTGAGTTGATTTTTGTATGTAGTACAAGATAAGCGTCCAGTTTTATTCTTCTGCATGTGACTATCCACTTTTCCCAATACCATTTGTTAAAGAGACTATCCTTTCCCCATTGTTTATTCTTGTCACTCTTTTTAAATATCAGTTGACTATATGTTCAGTTGATGAAGGGATAGACATATAGGTCCATGGAACAGCACAGACTCCAGAAGTAGACCCACACAAACATGGTCAATTGATATTTTTGACTAAGGTGTCAATTAACTCATTGGAGACAGGATAGTCTTCACACAGAATGGTGCTGGAGGAATTAGGTGTCCATATTTTAAAAAAAAATAATCTTGACACATACCTTGTACCTCTATAAAAATTAAGTAAAAATGTATCATAGACCAAAATGTAAAACCTAAAACTATAACACTGCTAGAACTTCCTGGCCCGTTGTGCTGGCCACATGTGGCTATTTAAATTTAAACTAATTAAAACAAAATAAAATTAAAAAATTCAGCTCCTCAGTTGTTGCAGCAACATATCAAGTTCTCAGAAGTCACATCTGGCTAGCTATACCCAGTGTATTGGTGAGCACAGATTATAGAACATTTCTGCCATAACAGAAAGTTATATTGTACAATGCTGTTCTAGAAGAAAACAGGAGAAAATCTTTGGAATCTTAGGCAAAGATTTCTTAGGAGGCAATATGAACCACAGGAGCAAAATAATTGATAAATTGGGTTTCATCAAAATTAAATCCTTCGGTCTTCAAAAAGCTCTGCTGGCCAGGTGTGGTGGCTCATACCTGTAATCCCAGCACTTTGGGAGGCCAAGTTGGGAGGATTGTTTGAGCCCAAGAGTTTGAGATCAGTCTGGGCAACACAGGGAGACTCATCTAAAAACAAAACAAAAAACAAAAACAAACGAACAAACAAAAACAACCTTTGCTAAGAAAATGACAAGCCACAGACGAGGAAAAAAAATTGCAAAACATATATTTAGTACAGAACTGGCAACCAGAATATAAAAAGCATAAGTTTCAAAATTTAAAATTTAATAACATAATCATAGTCTGAGAAGTCCTAAACATTTTAATAACAAAAGAAAGTAAAAAGTGGGCAAAAAAATTTGTATAGACACTTCATCAAAGAAATATGGATGGCATATTATTTAATTTTTCTAATCTTTTTTCTTTTTTTGGCTCTATTACGTTAGTAACTTACAACTTTTCTAACCTTATACAGGTATGCATCCATTTTTTAAAAATCAGTAAAGGTTATCTGGTTGAGAAGTTTATGATCTACTTTTATTTTCTTTGTTCCTCACTGGATCTTTTAAAGTGCAAATCCTAGCAAATGAAACCTGAGGAAGAAAGTCTCTAATCGGGGGTGCGTGTGTGTGTGTGTGTGTGTGTGTGTCTAAAAAAGCAAACATCTTTTTATAGTTGTTTCTGGTTGTCCAAGAATAGCAATAGTGAATGTAAAAGGAAGCAACAGTCTCTTGGGCAATCATTTATAGCTTTATCAGTGTATACGATCATGTTAATGAACTGATTTGTTCAGCCTGTTTGGACCATGAGAAAATGTGACCTTCCTAATTGTATTCAAATCCGTCAGAGTTGAAAAGAAATATGTGATTTGTTTTTCTCGTCTTTAACCTGTCTAGATTTTGCCTAAGCAAATGTGGTAGGCAGAATAGCGGCCCCCTTAAAGATGTTCATGTCCTAATCCCCAAACCCTGTGAATATGTTGCCTTACATGGCAAAAGGGAGATTGCAGATGTGATTACTGATTTTGAGATGGGGAGATTTCCTGGATTATGCAGGTTGGACCAATGGAATCACAAGTGTCCTAATAAATGAAGGAGGAAGGCAGGAGAGTCAGAGTCAGAATGATGCAATGTGTAAACGGCTCAACTGGCCATTCCTCTCTTTGAAGATGGGGTCAGGCCACAAGCCAAGGAACGGAGGCAGCCTCTTGAACCTGAAAAAGGCAAGAAAATGGATTCTCCCCTAGTGCCTTCAGAAGGAACGTGGACAAGCAGAACTGTAAGATAATAAATTTGTGTTGTTTTACGCCTTTAAGTTTTTGGTAATTTGTTACAGCAACAGTGGGAAACTAGTGCAGCATACCTACAGGACTGTTCCATTTGTAAGTTCTAAAACACAGGCAACTGATTATTTTTATTTAAATCAGGAGCACAAATCATTTTAAGTTTCACTGCCAGTGCTACCTTGCTCTCTAGTGAGCAGGTTTTTGACCCTTGCCCTCCTGCCCAACTCTGTGAAATACTTAGTTGAAAAAGTGTGCACACTGAATGTGCTAAAAAGGGTAAAAGTACCGTGAGTCAACCCAAACATTAGCAGTCCTGGGTGTGTGGGCTGTGGGCCACCTGCACACCATCGCCATTGTATGTTTGCACCACCATTTGTTTATTCATTTACTAGCTGATGGACATTTGGTTTGTTTCCAGTTTGAGGTGATATCAATAAAGGTGTTTATAATTTGCATACAGGTTTTTGTATAGACATATATTTTCATTTCTTTTGGATTAATACGTGGTAGTAGGATTTCTGGATTTTTTAGTAGGTGTGTTTATTTTTTTTTAACTTCAGTTGTTTTTCAAATTGGTTGTACTGTACTCTACCCATAAGTATGAGAATTTATATTAGTCCATTCTCACACTACCATAAAAAAATGCCTGAGACTGGGTACTTTATAGAAAAAAAGGTTTAATTGGCTCACGGTTCTGCAGTCTGTACAGGAAGCATGGTGTCATCTGCTCTGCTTCTGGGCCTCGAAGCCTCAGGAAACTTAGTCATGGCGGAAGGAAAACAGCGGGCCAGCACTTCAAATGGCTGGAGTAGAAGGAAGAGAGGGTGCAGGAGGTGCTACACACTTTTAAACAACCAGATCTCATGAGAACTCACTCACTATACAGTATCAAGGAGAGATGGTGCTAAACCGTTCATGAGAACTCTGCCCCCAGGATCCAGTCACCTCCCACCAGGTCCCACCTTCAACAACAGGGATTACAGTTCTACATGAGATTTAGGTGGGGACACAGATCCAAAGCATGTCAGAGTTTCGGTTTAAAATCCTATGGAATGGTACAAAAAGAGCTATGAAAGACTTCCATCCACCCCTAAGTCCTTTGGCCCATTGTGAAATTTCTAGTATTAGCAGAAATACTAAAATTTGTTAAATCTGGTTGGGAGACTCTAACTCAAGTGATTTACATATGGTTTATGTATAGATGAACCATAATTTGTTATTCAAAATGGCCATAATTTCTTTAGGCTACTTAAATGTGCTCTGTCTCTTCAGGTGTAATGAGAACTGCCATAATACTACCTGAATTGTTGAGGGATTATCTTTTAGCATTGTTAGATAAGGGAGTTGGGTGGAGAGAGGAGTATGAAAGTATATGTGGGTCTGAATTTGCACGTTCGTAGAGACCATGCTAAATCACAGCTTTGTTATAAGAGTTGAAAGAGGGAGGAAGAGAGAGATTGGGATCCCCTGGTTAGAGGGAGCAAATTGGAGAATGTTGTGAAGCAGGGTTACCGGAGCCAGAGGCATTATGATTAATGGTTAGTTTATAGGATTGAATGGTCAGTTAGCAACAAAAAGAGTAGTGACTGCCTGATGTTCAGTTCTATATGCACCTTCTTTTTGGGCCACTGCTAGATATTCGTTCCTTAATGAAAGACTCCTCCTTGCCCTTGGCTCCAAAACAAGCAGATTAAGTGAAGTTTCAAAAATAATCTTTTTTTTACCCCTCAAAGGCATTGACCCTCTTTGTTTGGGAGGAATTGTGCTAGGTACTAACAAAACAGAAATGAACTAGTTGCAGCTTTTGCCTTTAAGAACTCTGACTTTTCTTTGCATCTCTTAGAACTCTGATACCTTACACATCTCCCCCAGGCAAGGTGGGCAGGTAGAGGTGCAGACACAGGAACATAGCTGGATGGCACCTCACATAGTGAAGCACTGGGATACTGAGGAATATACATGAGGTCAGATGATCTGGCTTTTGAATCCCAGGTCTGATGTTCTGGTTTGGTCAAATCACTTCAACTTTCTTTTTTTTTTTTTTTTTTTTTTTTTGAGATGGAGTTTTGCTCTTGTTGCCTAGGCTGGAGTGCAATGGCATGATCTTGGCTCACCGTAACCTCCGTCCCCTGGGTTCAAGCGATTCTCCTGCCTCAGCCTCACGAGTAGCTGGAATTACAGGCACATAATCCTGTAATCCTGGCTAATTTTGTATTTTTAGTAGAGACAGGGTTTCTCCATGTTGGTCAGGCTGGTCTCGAACTCCTAACCTCAGGTGATCCACCCACCTCGGCCTCCCAAAGTGCTGGGATTATAGGCGTAAGCCATTGCGCCCAGCCCAAATCACTTCAACTTTCTAAAGACATTTCTTGTTCCGTAAAATAGGGATGTATCAGAAAAAAATGCTATTTTAGCAGCCAGTTTGCCCTGCAAGTGGAAGCTAAGGATGACAGAATTATAGCCTTTTTTTTTTGGCCAAGGTAAAGGCCTAATCTAGAGAGGAATGACTGGGAACTGAGGGCTACAATTGCTCTGCATAGTAAAGAAACAAGAATTTTTGGTTTTCACTTGAGGCTGGAAGGAAGGTTTTTTTTGTTGTTGTTGGTTTGTTTTGCTTTTGTTTGTTTAGGCAAGTGGGAAAGAAAAAGTAGATGCCTGCCTGCCAACAGGCTGAGAAGAGAAGTTGCTCCTCCCATGAGTGAAAAGGAAGGGGGAGGGAGCTTTGATGACTGATTCTCAATTTTTAATTGTTTCCTATTCCTTATTGTAATCTTCTTCCACTAAAGATCTGCTCTTCACAAAGCCCAGATGATAGTGGTGCTTTGGGGACAGGTAGGAGAGAGAGCTGTGTCCACACCAGTGAAATAAAGAGAGGGGAGATGATGAGAAGGAACAGATAATTGGGTTGGAATCAGGATTTGGGATGAAACAGTGACAAGGGATCATGAAGAAGGTGTAAACACCCTCCTTAGAATGGTTACTTGCTGAACTTGGGTCTGCCCACCCAGAGCAGCAAAGCCACACACTGACATCGGGATTGCAGGGAGAGAAAGTGGGGCATTTGTTGCAGGGCACCAGGCAAGGAGGATCAGGGAGGTCATGCTTAAGACCTGAACTCCCAGATGGCTTACACAGGTAAGGCTTTTTAAAGGCAGCGTGGCAGAGGTTACAGGCAAAGTCATAAATCAATACATGAGGCTACATATTGGTTTAACCTAAAAAGGTGGGATATCTCAAAGTGGAGTAGGAGTGGAAGGGTACAGCCCATAGATCATAGGTGGATTCAGAGATATTTTCTAATGTGCAATTGTTTAAGGAGGTGAAGCTTTGTAGAAAAATTTGAGGTCAGCAGAAAAGAATGTTAGCTCTGGCCTGTGGGCAATAACTTCCTCCAGGCCCTTCAAGAAGAAATTTAGAACAAAGAACAGTGGTCAGAGTTCCATCCTCCGTTCCCCCTTATCTGAGATTTGCCTGCCAGCTGACAGCATTTTTCCTTTGGTAGTGGTCTGGGTTTTTAAAAAACAACTCAAGGACATACGTTAAGATACTATCTATAGTTTCTTTAGGGAACCAAACATCTCATGACTTCCTTGGCTATTGTTTTAGGCTACTATTACCTTATTTTATTTTATTTTATTTTATTATTTTATTTTATTTTATTTTATTTATTTTATTTTATGTTATTTTATTTTAGAGACAGTGTCTCACTCTATTGCCCAGGTTGGAGTGCAGTGGTGTGATCTTGGCTCACTGCAGCCTTGACCTCCCTGGGATCAGGAGATCCTCCTACTTCAGCCTCCTGAATAGCTGGGACTATGGGTGTGTGCCACCACGCCTGGCTAATTTTTGTATTTTTTGTAGAGATGGGGTTTTGCCATGTTGCCCAGGCTGGTCTTGAACTCCTGGGCTCAAGCAGTCTACCTGCCTCAGCCTCCCAAATCATGAGCCACTGCGCTGAGGCTGCTATTATATTACTTTATTGCTCAACAAGTTGCTTATTCACTTCTCAGGGCTAGCTAGGTGCCTGGAATTGCCCTTGAAGGAATGCAAGATTTTCCTTTATTTTCATGCTCGGGTTGCAGAGGGGCTCACGGGCCCCCAAGGTGGGGTCTCTGCTCCTTCTCAGGATCCTTCTCAGAAAGAAATTATTAAAGAGGCTCTGGGTCTTCTATAGGTAGTGAGATGTAGAATTTGTATTTGAATGTTAAATTAAAGATAGTACAACTTGGGACCATTCAGACTTCAGAGATAATATCTACTTGACAAGACTGGGAGGTTTAAATGAGAATGTAAGTGAAGGCATTTCAGAAACTAAGGAAATATATTGTCATTCCCAAGATAAAACATTTTTTCTGTAGAGATTTATTTTATTTATTTATTTAGAGATGGAATCTCACTCTGTTGCCTAGGCAGGAGCACAGGGGCACAATCTTGGCTCACTGCAATCTCCGCCTCCCGAGTTCAAGTGATTCTCCTGTCTCAGCCTCCTGAGTAGCTGGGACTAAAGGCATGCGCCACCACACCTGGCTAATTTTTGTATTTTTAGTAGAGACAGAGTTTCGTCATGTTAGCCAGGCTGGTCTCGAACTCCTGATCTCAGGTGATCCATCCACTTTGGCCTCCCAAAGTGTTGAGATTACAGGCGTGAGCCATTGTGCCTGGCCCAAGATTTATTTTAAGAAAAGAAGTCAGATTTGAATCCAGCACTGCTAAAAAATATGAGGATAGTTATCTGGAAGTCATAAGCTGTATGAGAGGTTTCTTTATGAATTTATTCAGTTCAAACTGATAGTTAAAACGTACTTTGGATAGAAAGATAAAAGTTTTTAAAATGACTGGATGTGGCCCAAATATGTCATGTTAAGACATGTAGATTTAGGATCCCGCAGTAATAACATCAGACCCATTTAGTGGGAACAGAAAGAAGCTTTTGGTCATGCAATAGTTAGCTGAGATTGTGGATAGGTATGAAAAAAAGGAAATGGTCATGTTGCAAAGGAATGGGAAGTAACGTATCAGGTATATGCCAGACTCTTGGTATAGATTATCTTTCTTGATGCCCATTACTGCCCAAAGAAGTACGTGGTAGCATCTCTACTCTTGAGAAGGGGGGAACTGCACATTAAAATCATTAGTAACTTGCTCCAAGTTATAACATTTCAGTGACAGAAATGGTATTAGAATTCTTATCCACTTTAAGGCCCATGTTCTTTCCATTCCACCATGTTGCCATGTGGACTCTGACATAGACCTAGCACCTAAGCCTTGTGTGGTTCAGGTCTCCTTGTCCCAGTTTTATACCAAACCTTAATTGTTTTTCTGCAGAGAACTTTTACAAAAAGCTTCTTACAAGACTTTATGAGATACCATAGGTGATAAGTATGTGACTTATGCTCAGGAGTAAATAGGTGAAATTCCTGGATTGTCTGAAGTTCCATTTACCTGGGACCAACCATGTATTGTGAGGTCATTATAAATGTGCTGGCAAACTCTTTCCGTTAGTGGTTCTTGCGTACAGTGTGCACTTCTTATGTTGTTGGACTCTTTGTGTTGTTGTTCAGAATTCACCTTAGGGGTTTTCTCAAACTCTGCATTCTTATTCTATAGTGGTTTTTGGCTTTCTTTTTTCTCTCCAAGCTGGGTGGATGATGCAGTTTCGCTTCTAGGTGTTAGGATTCTCTTTCACACTGGTTTGTCATGACCTTAAAGTATTTTAAGATGTTCCTTTGGTAATTTTTTTTTTAATGTCTTGCCCTAGTAAGCTAGAGATTTGTTTTACCAAATGAGTTTAAAATACCAGCAGCTGGAGACTCCATAGCATTGTCTGAGTTGACCAAATGTAAACACCCACCAGTGATCTACCTTTTTATTTTCTTGATTTTGGTAGACTTTTTTGGTTCCAGACCTGAAGGCTTGTTATGCTTCTGAATTGGCCTCTAGGTTGTAAGAGTTGCTTAATGTGGCATATGATACCAAAGATGGAAAAATGTGTATGATAATTATAATCATCTTATTATAAATTGCCATCATACTCTCTCCTGTCAGATGATTGATGAGGCCTAAACGTTGTTCTGAGCTGCAACCACCCACAAAAACCACACACACGGCGTTTTACTCAAAACTTTACTTCAACCACTACTTTGTGATGCAAAACTAGTGGAATTTTGGGTACTTTCTGTAAAATTGAAATCTTTATGGGGATTTTCCAACATTCTAGTTGATTGTTAAATTATTAGTGTAAGGAACAAGACCAAGGCAGAGTTTGCCAATGAACACTGACATCTGTGGTAGGAGAGGACACCAGTGTGCACCTGCACATGCTCCCTAGGAAGAAGCCACCTTGATTGGGCCGAGGACGGATTCTCCCTTTGAAAAATGCAGTTATATAAGAGCTATATACAAGAGATTTGTAGTTGTGAAAGATAAAGACTTCAGGAGCTCACTCACTCCTTATCTTTGCCACAAAGTTTTCGGTCTTGACAAAATATTCAGAGTCAATACTTTCTAATGTGTAGATCCATCATCTCATGAAAGAGATTTGAAAAGAAAAAACAAATCAATCTGTATTGTTCCACATGTAGGACAAAATAAAGTTCTGCATGAATGCTTTGTGTAAAGGGAGAACAGTTAAGGGAAACTGATTACTGATATCCCCACTCTGGAAGGGAGATAGCAAGTGGGAAGAGCTCTCTGTATTTTGCTTAGTCAGGAGATCTTTATTTATTCTGGAGCTGAGTCCTTGGACAAGTTACTTTACTTCTTTAGGGCTCAATTTCTTATCTTATTTAAAATAAGTTTCACTTCTGCTGTACAGTGTCTCAAGAGCCTTCAATAACAGTCCTTTGTTATTCTGTCTTATGTAAAGGTGACTTTTACTGTCATATAATTTGTCTTCTAACAAGCACGTATGTTATCAAAATCTGTAAAAAAAAAAAAAAAGTTTTGGCGAAAAAGTTTTGGCAAAAACCCAACTCTGCTTCTATAAGTATGTAGTTATGATTGTAACAGTTTGGAAGGAGTAAATTTCCCTCCCTGCCGCTCAAAAGTCAGGCTAAGGGTCTCATTATTAGCCTTAAAATAACTATCAGAAACTTTCAGGCCTTTGCCCATTAAGGCTTTATCCAAGCCGTCTATAGTAGGAGTATACAGAGATCTACAATTGAGTTTTTAACAGGTTATTTTCTTAATTTACTCTAGAGATCTTAGTAATTTCCCACTAGCACATGGCATGTCAATGCAGAACTTTGCAGTGAACTGTATGGGACTTGGGAGACAAACAGCTCTGTATAGTTTGCTGCTGCAAAGGCTGAGTTGTTGACTAGCGTCCATAGACAAAGGATGCTTGCTTTAGAATTTATATTAGGAAGTGCTCAGTGAAACGCAGTGAAAGAGCACATTTTACAGGAGCAAAATCAAGCAATTGATTTCCAGAAAGGGCAACCAAATAAAAAAAAATTGGCTGAATGAAGAACAATGAATAAGGAACATGAACTTGAAAGCAAACTAAGTGAATAGTATCAAATCTTTAAAGAATGACATTAAAGTCATATTTTGTATGTTGGGGGCAGGGTAAATACAGATAAATACAGCACTAGGAGAAAACTGAACAGGGTGGATGGAATATCATTTAGACCTTCAGGACGACAGCAAACAGAGTGGAAGCTTTACTTGTAGAGAGAAACAGGGTAATCACTACACAATTTTAGGGGCATGGAAAGGGTAAGATCCCACAAATGTTAGAGAAGTGGAATGGAATTTCCCAGACCCTTTAACAGATGGATTAGTTAGGGAAATTTGCAGATGCTTGAAACTTGAATTGGTGCTGTAGCAAACTGTTAATATTAAATAAAATGGCTTAATTAAGTAACATTGGCTTTCTCTCATGTTAGCGAGTACTACCATACTTTCACCCTGATAACACTAATTCTTCATCCGGGTAGGTAACTTTGAAGGTGACTTGGACCTTGATCTTAAAATAGAGGTGTTGGAAAGGCACAATGTGAAGGAAGCAGGCAGAATTACAATTACACATCAAAGGCCCCCGGAGTTTTCACTTCAAATTGTATGTTTCAATTCTACTAGCTTTAGTGTTCACACCCAAACGGCAAGGGTAGGATCTACTGCATGGAGGGAGGAGTGGCATTCCAATTTCGTTTATTTTCTGCTGAAGCTGGCACACTGAATGAAGATTTATATCTTAAGTGACAGGATTCAAATGGAACATGACAAACCTGTAAAAGCTGCAACTTGGCATGTCAATGCAGAACTTTCCAATGAACTGGATGGGACTTGGGAGACAAACCACACACACTGCCACATCTCGTTGGGCAGTGTGAGAGATCAAAGAGAAAGCCCAGGGGAAAAGCAAGTCCTTGCTAGCTAATGTGTGCATTGTGGGGGTTAGCATAGATTGCCATTTTGCTTACAGATAAAAGTAGGTATCTGTCTTAGGCTTGCCTTACGATGGAAAAATTTTGTGGAGACAGGCTGCACTGACTGGAAAAAATTAATTTGTTTTTAAGTTATCAAATTTATAAAGTAGAAGCATTAGTTACAAAACTAGCCATTTAACTGGAATTTAATCTTGACCTAGTTCCCAACATTGGGTGGTATTATTTACCAAAGCATAGAGAAAATTAGTGTCAAAAAAAGCAGCCAGGGCAAGCACTGATTTGAGGAGGGAACAGGTTTTACTACGTTTGGACAGGCAAGGTGGCTCTGTAAAAACATTTTACACTTTGCTGAAGGACCCTGACCACTGGGCATGAACTAAAACAAATTTCAGCTGTTCCCGATACTTCCACATGGCACACAGCAAATTAAAGATCCCCCAGTAAAAGCAGAAGAGACAGGAGATTTAGTAGGGCGCTCCCGACAGCCTGGCTGGCAGTCACTAATCCAGAAGAATGAATGAATGTTGTACTAAATACTCCCCAATGTTTGTTCTAATAATTCTCCTCAGAGCTGTCATAACAACAGCAAGTGTTTTTTTAAATAATCAGGTAAACATTTTCTGAATTAACCTGGTAATCAAACCGACTGTACTTCAAACTGATCCTAAAGAAAGTACATAAATGGAATAGCAGTTAAGTCACAAATGCCAAATGAAAGCCACCAACCAGTCACTGTATATTCTGCATCATTTATTAAATATTTTTATATATGCATTTACAAACTTTACTCATTTCAGAACTCTGCTTTCAATGCATTTTTAAACTGTTTTTTTTTTTTTTGCAGAGAGATTCTCTTGTAAAATGAGATCCATGTACAAAACTAGGCAACAGATATAAAAGTTTCCTTTCATATTTTTCATCCATCAAGAAAAGAAATCATGTGACAAGAAATAAAACCAAAATGTGGCTCTTTCAGAAGAATAACATGTCTGTGGTCAACTATGACTTCTAATGAGATAGTTCATATTTCATCTTTATATGGATGTATATAGTTTTAATACTTCTTAGCTACTGTAGCATGTTGGTTCAGATGAAGAAAAAATAAACTCTATTGTTTGGACTAGATAATCTAGAAACCATCAATTATGCATGTCTTTATAATGCGACATCAAAATTTACCCAGGAGATGACACTGATTGGCCAGCAGTATGCATTTATCCTGAACATTGCATAGAAAGTTCCCTTTAAAAAATTCATTATCTTCTTCACAAGCTAAAGTATGAGCCTCTAATTTGGCTCTCTTATTTAAAGAAATAGTTTAAATGATCAATTTAGAAGCTTAAAAGTATCTTTGAAACTAAAGTTGCTTTTCTTAAAATGAATGCTGATTTAACAGTTCATAGACTTGGAGCATTATCACTAGGAGACGGAGGCACTACTGCCACTAACGAGAAACAGCATCACCAGAGGATAATTACATGGTACAAAATGCCCAGGGGCCTGAAACTCACTATTAATATAATTTTGGCAGCAGCATCATTTGAAAGTTAACCATTTATTACATAGTATTAACACACCAGCTTCAAAGAAGTGCACTCCCTTTAGGACACTCGGGAGCTACAAATGTATTGTGATTGCATAATTCGTATTGCACAGTTTTATAAAAAACATAAATACTGGCTATTCTAGTTTTAAATACAAAATACATGTCATATACTTTTAAATCTATAATCTGGTTCAAGTGCAAATCAGGTGCTTTCTGTTAGTCCTTCCAAAAAAGGCATTTTTAATATTTTTGGCACAAATGAAATGTCATCATGCCAACAATTCTAATTACAATACATATATCCAAACCTTTAGAGTAGCAATCATATACATACAGTATAAAACTGAGTATTTACAAATGTATTCAGCATAAATGTAACCTTCGTGGGTGAATCAGAACTCATTAGCCATACCCACACTAATAATAATTATAAAAGGTAAATACAATTCCTTTCTTTCATTTGCTTATGCTGGTTGTTGTGGGTTGACATTCATGTGAGGAGGATGTCCTAGAAGACCAATTCTTTGTTTCTGCTTCCTTTGTTCTGTCATCTGGAAAGTTAAAAAGTTTCATCATTAGACCCAGATACTTCCTGTACGTCAAATCGCATACTGAACCATAGATTTACCTCTGTGGTTATGGTTTATACTGAAACCCACTTTCTACAAATAGTGTACCATCGCTATATCAAACACACAGCACTTCAAAAAAGGCATCTTCTTAGGCAGAATGGGAAATTCTGTGACCTAGTCATGCAATGTAACATTCAGAAGTATTGCTTGCCACTTGTTTCATAAAGAAACAAAAAACAATAAAAGCACAGGATTCTTTCTTGTTTCCCAAATGCACTTCCAAATGATTTGAAGACTCATTGGAAAATGGTGGCTTTGTACGATAGTAACAACACGCCATACTAACAAGAAAAGCAGTGTTTAGAATCCTAGGTTTGAGAGGGAGGGTTCGTGTCCACACTTTCAGTGGGTCCTGATTTTTCTCTTCAATGACTCTTGAGTAGTTGGTTAGAGAAAAAAAAAATTACCTACCATAACTAGGAAAATGAGAAATGTTCTCAAATCTCTTTGAGGTCCAGAATGATTAAATGCTGTAAATAATGCTGTGACCATTCACGGTATCTATTTCTTGCCACCCAGTAGACACTGAGGCTCGCTGAAGGTCAGGCGAGACCATTGCCTAAGACTAGTTCAAATGAAAAAGTACTTTCAAAATCCCAAACAAGAAGCCGATTCTATTCATTTGGTTGCTGAACTAAATATATTCTCATGTTGATGGGTCTCTAGACCTGTTCTAGGTATTTTAGGGCATACTTACTTCTGTCTCTGTATTAAGATTTTCCTTAACCCAGTTAGTCTTAGTTTTGGATTTTAGGGTGAGCATTCAAGTCAACTGAGATAAAAAGGCTATACGGAATATATATTCAAGAAAATTGTTGTCTGCAAGTGGGTTAAGGTCCTACTCCTATGTTTTTAGCTTCCTAAAATTGTAGAGGAATTAGGGTAAAAAGAATAAAGGCTTTGGAATCAGATCTAGTTTCTTATGGTTTTGTCATTTAACTTATCAAAGTCTGTTTTCTCATCCATACAATCAGGATGATAATTCCTAGCTGATTGGTGGAGAATTGCGAGGTTATACGCAAATTTATTAGCATAGCATCTGTCACATAGTAGATGTGACACTTAATCTCACTTTTCACATGAACTCATTTTTGGTACAAAATATCTGGAGAGAACATAAAACAAGACTAATTTACCTAGGTTCAATTTCAATGTGGTTATTTTTTCTTCTTCAAAACTAGCATTATCCTCTCAAATCAAAATACTATTTTTAGGCTCCTGTGGAGATGCTTTCTCTGTTATAATTTAGATGAGAAGACTTACAAGGACTTAGTATTTCCAAAAGGTAGCTTTTAATAAAGCTTTTAATTAAGAATTGGATTAGGAAATTCCAGCTAGCCCCTGAAGTTTCCTTAGGTGAGTGACATCTTTAAAGGAAGTGTTACACACTACACTGTATCCACAGATTCGGCTCAGGAAGGAGAACCTAATATGACACATGAAATAAATTCACAATTAGGTTAAAATGCCAGTAATTCATTCATCTTACTACCTGATAGTTCAGATGTTTAGCTCAGATTTTTCTCCCACAACCCTTCCCTTGGCAGGTAACCTTGAGAGGGAATCCAATACAACTTAGCTAAATTTGGATAATCTCAAGTGTTCAAATTGATTTAGAAATCTTGGTGTGCTCAGCCAGGTGCAGCGGGCTCACGCCTGTAATCCCACCACTTGGGGAGGCTGAGGTGGGCAGACTGCTTGAGCCCAGGAGTTCGAGACCAGCCTGGGCAACGTAGCAAAACCCCATCTCTACCAAAGGGGAAAAAAAATTAGCTAGGCATGGTAGCGTGCACCTGTAGTCCCAGCTACTTGAGAAGCTAAGAGTGGGAGGATCACTTGATCCTGGCAGGTGGAGGTTGCAGTGAACAGTGATGATGCCACTGCACTCCAGCCTGGGCAACTGAGATCTTGTCTTGGAAAAAAAAAAAAAAAAATCTTGGTCTGCTCAACCCTTATTGAAGGATACTTTACTCAAAGCTTATATTTAAAGCTGCTGAAATCTTTCAACTCAAAGTTGAATGTCAAAGTTGGCCATTAAGACTTTTTTCCCCTGTAATTTTGCTTTAAATAACTACTTGTATTTGAGATGACCTTTTAGTATGCGTATTTTCATCCCTGTTTGTTACATCAGCTCTCCTTGACTTTTCAATTTGTCAGTTAGTCTTTCTCTTCAACTTGAAGAAACCTCTGAAACTTTACAACAAAGGAGTCTTCAGTTGGTGGCCTGGCTTCCTTTTCACTTCCACAGCCGCGGCCTGATGCCTCCTCAGTTAGCAGCCCTATTCATCTGTCTTCATAAGTGATCCCATCGCCCACCCTCCCTCCGTCCCTATCCTTAAGGCTCCCCACTGATGTGGGTTATTGGCCAATTCTTTGCTCAGGTAGTCATATTCCTGATAATTTTAAGTACCAACTACACATCTAATGTTCTTTTCTGTTTCTCTAGAAGAATGGTTCTCAAACTTCAGCATGCGCCAGAATCAC
Source organism: Homo sapiens (assembly GCF_000001405.40). Taxonomy (NCBI): domain Eukaryota; kingdom Metazoa; phylum Chordata; class Mammalia; order Primates; family Hominidae; genus Homo; species Homo sapiens. Next base: position 4,843,573 of record NC_000003.12, on the reverse strand, counting down.
CCAGAACATTTGTTAAAACACAGATCAGAAACAGAGTTTCTGACTCAGTAGGTCTGGGGTAGGTCCCATGAATCTGCTTTTCTAACGATTTCCCAGATGATGTAGACGTTGCCGGTCTGGGGACTACACTTTGAGAACCACTGCTCTAGAAGAGGTTTTTCACTGATAATCTCCAAAATCGGACAAGATCATTTTGAGTATATACTTGAACACTTTTTTTAAAAAAAGTAATTTGTGTACATATATTATTTTTCTCAAATGAGGGAAGCTCTTGGAGAAGATTGTCTGCAACTGAGCATATAGTAGGCACACACATTTGACTGATACTCTTTTGATTAACCATGGCCTTTTAGACAGAATGGCTGTCATTTAAGTCAACATCACTGCCATTTAAGTGACTGCTAAAGGAGAAGGAATTGGGCAACTGCTAAAGTGTTTGGCCTTTTAGTAGCAGTCATCATCCAATTACAAGAGAACCAAAAAAAAAAAAAAAAAAAAACCCCTCAAAACCCTGAAGGACTAAATCTGACCTATAAGAAACTGAGGCCAACAATTCTGGACGCTTAGGTTTCTCCAGCCTCTTAGTGCATATTCTCACATAATTTCTGGTTTTATTAGTTCAATTCTTCTTATCTACTTACCTACCCCACCTACATACATTCACACGTACTATCTATATATCTTGTTATAAGGCATCATTATTGTCTGTTACTCTTACCTACATCAAAACAAATATAATGACCAAAGTCTATCCTTAGCATTTTTGTCAGATAATAGTCTCTCTGGACATCTGAAACAAAATTGACTCTTGAGTAAAAAAAATCTATGGTAACTGTATTCAAAATTCTAATATTGAAACATCTATTTTGAGTAGTGTGAGATGTCTCATTTATAGTACATTTAAAAATCCTCAAAACGGCTGGGCATGGTGGCTCACTCCGTAATACCAGCACTTTGGGAGGCAGATCACTTGAGGCCAGGAGTTCGAGACCGGCCTGGCCAACATGGTAAAACCCCATCTCTACTAAAAATACAAAAATTAGCCAGGCATGGTGGTACATGCCTGTAATCCTAGCTACTTGGGGGCCTGAAGCAGGAGAATCACTTAAACCTGGGAGGTGGAGGCTGCAGTGAGCTGAGATCGTGCCACTGCACTCCAGCCTGGGCAACACAGGGAGACTCCGTCTCAAAAACAAAACAAAGCAAAAAACCCAAACCAAACCTCAAAATTCCCATGTAGCTAAGGATAAACAGTTGTAGTAATGCTGTTCTTCACATCTATACAAATGTAGAAACTAGCTTGAATTTCAGCATTCCTCCTTTTGACTCATCTAAACAAGAAGCAAAGAATAGTGTAGCTTTACAAGTCAGATACAGCCAGACATCTGAAAGACTGTTCATGAAAACACGAGGCATACAGTAGAAATGGGCAAATTTTAATCTACCAGTATTGCCTCTAAATGATTAAAGGCTGGCACTGGAAGGAAAGTTCATTGACAGCACACAAATGCCACATTTCTGGTTTATAACACATCTTAATAGTCTTTGAAAAGCTGCTTTCATGTTACAGGAAGGTCTTGGTTACTCAGATTCTAAACAGCTAGCAAATTCTAGTAATCACAGTTATTTTCTACAGCCCTATAAAATCAGTCATGTTCAGAATGATGAGCCTCAAATACTGAGAAATGAAACCAAACCATCCCTTGAATACAAATATGTTGATTTACTATCAATGTATAGATACAATTCAGATTCTTAGAGTTGATCTCAAATGCTCTGTTTCTCTCTATTTCACCTGGCCAACTCTTACTCAGGCTTTGAAACCAAGCTCCTGAATTACCACCTCTGAGAAGACTTCTGTGGTAATTACTCTAATCCTCTCCCGAAGATCAGATTGAACAAATCACTCCCTTTTCTCCATTCCCAGAGCAATGTGTTCACAGCTCGGTTACACACTCACCAAGTTTAATTATAATTGATCTGTTTACTTGTTTCCCACTCTAGACTTTTAGTTCTTGAAGGCAGAGAAGAGGATCTATTCATCTTTGTAGCCCCAGTACCTAATGCCGCACCTGGCAAACAGGTGTTTCATATGTGTTGGCTGAAAGAAGGAACGGAATTAACCAGACCATACTGCCATTCCTTGAGCATGCCATGCATTTTCATGCCGTTGCTCATGCTGATTCCTTTCCTGGGAAGCCCCCTACTGCATTTCTCTGCCAGCTCAGAAGTCACCTGCTTGTAAGATTATAAAAGCTAAACTCCTTCTGCACTGCAAACTTCACACAGGACCACTACCTACCTACTTCTTTGTGCTCCATGAAACTATTCATGCCTCAAGTCATTCATACTGTATCAGATTGCTAGAGGTCTACTTCTTTGTCTTTCTTGCTAGATCCTGGATCTAGAGGGCAGATGTTGACTTAGTCTTCTTTTGTGGTCCCAGCACAGTATAAGGAACATAGATGCAGTACGGGTCGTTTAATATTCCATTTTCCAACTTTGGGCAGTTATTCTAATCTTGTGTTATGCCTTCTGTCCTTAAGCAGTTAATGTTAGCAAGATAACCCTCTTGTATGAAAAATGCCAAATGCTGTAACATGCTAATGTGATCTGAATTTTCAAGCACTTCTTGTATTCCTAGCAACAGCAAATAATGGTCGCTGTCCTATAGGAAGCCAGTCATATTTTCAAGAAAGTTAGCCCTTCTTAGTATTTGCTCTTTTGCATTATGAAGAAAACATGCAAAAGATTTTTAAGTTCTTACATTAGTTCTCCTCCTTGGAATAAGAATGTAAGAGAATCACATTTAGTGTTCAGAATCTCTTGGGAGGGGAAACTTCAAGATGAGAGGCATCGTTAAATAATACTTAGAATAGCAATCCTAACCAACCATTCTTGGCAATAATAGAAAAAGTGACACCACTAACCATAATTTTACTAATATCCTAACAAGAACTTTTTTCCCTCAGATTGATACATAACGAAACAATCAAAGAGGTAAATAACAGTAAAGATTTAGACCAAAGTCATCCACATTTAAGCTATCGTTGCTCGAGTCTGCTGGTTTTTGAATCAGAAAATCTAAAACAAACAACAACAACAACAAAACAAAAAAAACCTCTAAGTAATGGAGCAATTTTTGTGTTTTCTAGCACTTTTACTAGTGAATGGTATTCTTTCATAGCTGTTTTAAAAAATATCACAAGATTTCTTGGTCATTAATCATTCATGGAGCTTTTATTTTTTAATTCAAAATTTTTTCCCACAAAGGGCAAGAATTCTCACAATTACTATTTAAGAAAGAGCAGCTCTGTAACATATCTGCATTTTTTAATATCTTTTGCACATAAAGGGTTTTTAAACCTTTATGATTGCTATAACCAAACTTAATGAAATTCAAATCTATTCAACAAGTTGATTCTCAAATGCATTAAAGGTTTGTAGGACGTTACATAATCAAAAGAAAACACTGACTACTTCCTTTTAAAAGATGCAAATCCCCCTGCCCCCTCAAAAAAAAAAAAAAAAAAAAAAAAAAAAAGCAGCTATGCTGAATTTTTCCTGTAATTCTGAGTACCTTAAAACTTAAGTAGATCAATCCTGGTAAAAGCACTTGAGAATGTACTACTGGATTCTCATGCTTCTTTTTAACTTATAATATCTTCCAAGAAAAAAAACAGTTCAAATTCATTCACAGGGGAAGGGCTTTCTGAAGAGTGGTTCCAACTGCCAACTTCAAAATAAAAAATGCATAAAAGGCTGGAATCAAGCAGTTTAAACCATACTGGTTTTAATGTCACTTAATGAACCTTAGTCCATATGTAATCAAATTTTACATATTTTGTTTAAACTAAAACTTTGGCTTATCCAGAATAATCTTATCTTGGATTTTAGAAATGCCAAGTCTCTACTATGCTCACTTGTATAAAATGACAATGAATGTATCCTCCATACCATTTAAGTATATGATGCGACTTGACTTCTGAAACTTCAAGCTTTTTTTTAAAAAAAGAGTAAGAACTTAAACAGTCAACCATGAAAGGCAAACAGTACAGTGACATAACAAAGCAAATAAAAACACACACACACACCCCTGACTGGATGATCAGGAGCTCCTGCCCTGGCAATGCCTAAGAACCTTCTGGGCTCCTTTGGTATCCTCATCAAGAAAATAAGGGAATGAGGTGAGATGGCATCTGAAGTCTCGGATACTGTCCTATACCTCTATTCTTTTTTTTTTTTTGAGATGGAATTTCACTCTTGTTGCCCAGGCTGGAGTGCAGTGACGTGATCTCGGCTCACCACAACCTCCGCCTCCTGGGTTCAAGCGATTCTCCTGCCTCAGCCTCCTGAGTAGCTGTGATCACAGGCATGTGCCACCACGTCCAGCTAATTTTGTATTTTTAGTAAAGACAGGGTTTCTCCATGTTGGTCAGGCTGGTCTCGAACTCCTGACCTCAGGTGATCCACCCTCCTTGTCCTCCCAAAATGTTGGGATTACAGGCGTGAGCCACCACGCCCGGCACTATACCTGTATTCTTTACTCTAATTCCTCAGCTCAACTCACTCCTTTGATGAGGCTCAATGGTTTGTAAAGTGTGCACTGAAGCAGAGTCAGAATCACTCTTCGTGAACAATTCAAAATAACAGATTCTTAGCTCTGAAAGGACAGATAGTGTAGGGAGGCGTTGCCTGGTTTTACCACCACAGAATGCCCATTAATAGTTTGTTTCAGATACATTTTAAGAAACTCTCTAGTAAATTGGTAACACCCAGTTTCTCAGATCAACTGAAACATACCCCCAAAGAGCCTCCAAGTGTGACAATGAGAAGCAGAAATGAGTGAGCAAGAATGAATGCCACTCGCATTGGCATGTGAGAGCTAGAATGCCTCACTGTTGCAATTCCAGTACCACGGGTGTGAAACAAAGATCCTCTGTTTCTTTGGAAAATGACACCAGATTTTATGGAGAACTGAAGTGTTCCTTTATTTAAGTATTAGTTCAGTGTCTGTAAGATTTTTTGGCACCTAATTTAAACATCTGATTTAACTGAGATTCTTGTAGCCACAGTTATCTCAAATGGGAGAAGAAGATAACTAAAGCTTGCTGGATGTGTAAAGAAGTTCACCTCACTGGGGGGTTGGGGGGGCAGTGCCAGAAGCAGCTGTAGCCACCAATGTCCTCATGAGTCCTGCAGAACATCTGCCAAATGTTTCACGGCGGGGGGCGGGTAAAATGTTAATATTAAGCAAAGTAATCTAGTTAGATCTTCATTAGTTTTACTTATTTAGGTTATTACTCATTTTATGTAGCTACCAAGCTCAGAGCTATAGACAACCTTCATAAATAAGGCCTTCTTTTCCTACTAGTCTTTTTTATTTGCACCTTAATACAGACGAAAGAAAAGAACTTGAGGCCAAATGGTATCTCAGGGCACAGTTTGGAATAATTTAGTTTGAAAAGAAATATTAATATAAATCTAAGTATGATGATTAAAAATGCTCTGTAAACCATCTCCAGTAAGAGCATTCTAGATGCGGTCTTCATTAGTTATCATCTTTGTAAGAGTGATAAATCACCCGTGGGTGTACCTTGCAACTTACCTCCAGTGCAGACATGGCCCATGCCTATTGCTGTGCAACACTATAATCTTGTCTATGGAGTTGATTAAAGAGCTTTCAGAAACTCACATAAAATGCTGAACTGAACATGATTATCCCAGTCACTTACAGAAATGCACTAATAAAACCAATCAGGGTCTTCTCACCACCCAGGGTACAAGTCCTTAATACACAGCTGCATCCTATCACTAGATAACCACCTGGTGACTGTGGCATGTTCATTTTAATGGAGTCAAAAGGGCAGAAACAGAGTACGCACGGTTTTGTATAAACATGTCCCCTACAACTTACTTTAAATTGGAAACTGCCTGTTTCCAATTTAAATTCTGCCCACAGTACTGCCCGCATCCTGCTTCCTATCCATAAGATAAGGGCGAAGCATTTATCTTACGGATAGGAAGCAGGGTGCAGGCAGTATTTCTGTGGATGGTTGAGGCCTGTGAGATCAGGGAGTATGTCTATATTGTTCACTGTTTTATCCCCAACACCTGGCATAATTCCTGTACTATGATAGCCACTCAGTAAGCCACTGAGAAAAGAATGAAACCAAAAGGGCTTTTCCATGACTATGGTTTAGCCTAGGATGCTGAATTTAAATATATGGGGTGAGGATTTGACAAGTCTGAGGGCTAGGAAGCAAAACAAGAAACAGCTTTTAATCTTCCACAGTACATAAAGTAAAAAGGGTATGGCTTTATGCATAGTGGTTTTTGGACAGTACTTCACTGAAGTAGTCTGCATTTCCCTCCTTTTTTTTGGTTTTGTTTTTCATATTAAAACCATGTCCTGAGCAGCACTGAAAGTAGCACCATGGCTTTATCCTGGAAAAGGGCAGTGAAGGGGATTGGGGTGAGGAGACTGGAGGAGTGAGTGGGTTTGTCCCCTGTTGCCTGGCTCCCTTTTCCATCTAGATGAAGCACTACTGATTTTCCTCATCAGATTTGGTGTGGTGATAGTGGGTGTGGGTGGGGATAGTGATGGGAGGGTAGGCGCTGGGATTTTCTTTCTTTACCTGATCCTTTAATTCCGACAGCTGGCCAGAAAGGTTCGTGACAAGTTTCATGGTGGACTCCAGCTTCTCCTGCAGGTTTCTCAGCTCATTCTGTTCTCCTTCAGAATCACTGCTGACCAATGACATGGCTCTCATCCTGGGGAACCAGTCAAGGTTTCTTTCCTAGAATCCACATTAAAAAAAAAAAAAAAAAAAAAAAAGACTGAGTCACTTCTAGAGGTAAAAACAAGAAAGGCCAGCTTACCGTGCCATGTTTCCTAACTCTCATTAGGTTATCTCCTTCTATGGCAGAACTTATGTGCTGTGTATTTTTTTAATTGCTCAGTAGCTATCTTTTTAATTGCATACAATGGAACTCTGAATTCTTAGAGGAAGCCACTTTAAATTTAAATATAGGGGAAATATAGGTTCTAAACAAGAGTCCTAATCTCCAAATCTGAATACTGCCACTGCTGCTCTGATCTTTGCAAATTACATGGCTGATGAGTTTGGTTTTTTTAAAAAATTGTGGTAAAATATGCATAACATAAAATTTACCATTGTAACCATTTTAAGCATACAGTTTAGTGGCATTAAGTACATTCACACTGCTGTGCAACCATCCCCATCATCTGTTTCCAGAACTATTTTTTTATCTTCCCCAAGTGAAATTCCATCCCCATCAAACACTAACCCCATTCCCGCCGGCCCCGGGCAACCACCATTCTATTTTCTGTCTCCATGAATTTGACTGCTCCAGGGGCCTCATATTATGCTGTGTATTTTAAAATGCATTATACTGGGAAAACCTTTTGCAAACACTTGAAGTGAAGTGAATTTTAAGGTCCCAGGTGTTCTGTCACTTAACAGATACGTGTGCATGTATGCGTTTGCGTGGGTGAGGAGATCATTAAGAGGCTGAAAATGGGGAATAGGCTCTTCTGTCAATGTCCCCGTTTATGAGCTTATAGAAACCACTCCTCTTGTTTCCTTTTCCTTCCAGCCTGAAGTGGTTGATGGGTGCTGGCAACTAGCCTAAGAAAGGCCCATTCAGTTTCCTCCCCCGTCCATCCCCATCCTTTTGATGTCTATAGCTTATGCCTGTAAACAGTATTTCTCACTACTGGTTAACAGAATGGGACAACTCCTCCTCCCACCTCACTTCCTTCTGCCCACATATGCCTTTCTCCCAAAGAGCATGCCGCATACATAAGTTCTGTACAGAGAGGCAGGAATGAACAGTAAGAAAAGCTTAGCATGAGACAGGGGGAAGAAAACTGACTCATTCCACATGTCTGGTGTCATTCTCACCTGGACCAGTTTTATCTTGTAAGGATACATTTAATGGTCTTTCTAAAACAAATCAAGCCCCCTCCCACACACACACACACTCACTCGGAATGCTGGATAATTGTTGCTTTGTGTACACCGTGGGGGTCGGCGACATTTTGTGTGTCAATATTTTCAGCTTTGTGGGCCACCTGGTCTCTGTCACAACTACTCAGCTACTCCGTTATACCCCCCAAACAACCAGTAAATAAATAAATGGGTATGTCCATGTTCCAATAAAACTTTATTTACAAATGCGGGCAGCAGGCTGGGTTTGCTCACCTCTGCTGTATACAATAGAAGGCATCAATATATTTAAAATAATGAAACTCCATGAGACATGTCTAAATATTACAACTCAAGTGAGATCATTGAGCTGTATCTTGACCTAGGGCCATCTAGCAATATAGAAGCCCTATAAGAGAGCTAGATGAAAAATATCACAAGCAGTCATACCACATGGACAACAAGGTGTCATAGAGTGTTTGCTTAAGATACTGGTGGGTGGGCGGGCAGGGTCACAGTCACTAGTTTGTGAGCTTTATGAAGGCAGGAACCACCTTAGTATACTGACTAGAGCATAGTAGACATTCAATATTAATAAAAGCTTGTGGAAGGACAGAATGATATGCAACTCTTCTTCTGCATGCACCCTAATAACAAATGCTTAAGTAGTAAGCCTGAGCTGCTTATCGTGACTGCTGGAGGAGAAAAATGGCAATCTCTACCTTCCTATACCCTGAATAAACACTTCATTCATGTGTCTTAACATTAGCTTATATTCATCAATTTCCCACCACAGAGCAATGGGCAAAAGATCGTTAAAAAATATTCCATTTCAGAGATGACTAGCTGAGAAACCCAAAGTGCTTCCCCACCTGTAACCAGTTTTCTCCCGTGCAGCTGCAGTGGCCTATCGTTGACTGTACTCATCTCTCCTGTGTCAATCCTTCAGACACAGCCACATCTTCCCACCAAGGAAGTAGCCCATGTTCAAGGACTATGCAACTCTGAGGAGGAAACCTCATTTTTCAGAAGAGGGCACACATAGGCGACAGGTCACTGGTGATCACTCACTCCCACTAGGGCGAGGGGAGGAGGGATGACGTGGGCTGGGCTGCTGAAGCCACAAACCAAAGCACAGCTGCAGAGAGATCACTTAGCACGAGGCCCTGGATACTCACGGTGGCTGCTACCTATTTTTGCAGACTGACCTCAATTGAGGAAAACAAATTGAAGAAAAAAGATACAAAGTCCCACTTTGGATACAACAATGTTGAGGATACTACAGTGAGCAACAGAGACATGGTCACTGCATCCTGGACCCCCTCAAAGGAGAAACAGTTTTGATACCTAAGTATGTGATAGAATTCCTGCCATCAAAGTGCTTACAATTTAGTCAAGGAGAGTGACCATCTAGATTTTCTTTTTAACAGGCCAGTCCTGGTGGCTGGTGCCTGTAATCCCAGTGCTTTGGGAGGCCGAGGTGGGTGGATAGCATGAGGCCAGAAGTTTGAGACTGGCCTGGGCAATAGAGTGAGACTCCATCTCTATAAAAAATAAAAATAATTAGCTCGGTGTGGTGGTGGGCACCTGTAGTCCTAGCCACTCGGGAAGCTGGGGCAGGAGGATCGTTTGAGCCCAGGAGGTCGAAGCTGCAGTGAGTCATAATTGTGCCACCGCACTACAGCCTGGGTGACAGAAAGACTCTCTGAAAACAAATAAAAAACTAACTAAGGAATAATGCAGGCTATGTTGTATCTAGGAGCGGTAGAGAGAGTAGTGTCCAAGTAAGACCCAACAACCAGTGACTGATTGATTGGCTAAAATCCTCTTCAAGCAAGGCTTGGCCCTAAAGAAGGTTAGCCCTTGGGCAAGCATGAGGGCATTTCACAGAGGCCACTGGCACAGTGAGGCTCCAGTGTGGCTGGAGCTGGGGATGAGGGCAGACAGGCAGGAGCAGCTTGGACTGTTGAAGACTAGAGGGAAACAGAAGGAAGCAGGAACTCTGTGAAAGGCCGCCGTGCCTTACCAGACCAGGGGAGAGGAGAGAGGATGGACATTCACAGTCCTCACTGCTAGCAGTCGGAACTCACCTGTAGCTCACTTATTACTGACATGCAAATGAATCTAAACTGCCTAAAATGTTAGCGAATCCATCTAAAATCTGGCTTTCAAATCCTTCATATGTTCATTTGCTTAGCAAACCTTCTATAAAAATAGAAAACACACATTTCCAAACAGAGTCCACATTAATGAGGCCTTCGAAAGACTCCAGAAAACCAATGCAAGAGTCTGCACATAGCCGAAAGTTTAAGGAACAGTTTCTCTCCCTCATTCCTAATAGCAAGTGACCAAATGACTACAGATTAAAATGAGAATTTTCCTCACCTTCTTTCATGCCATATGTACCTCCTGGCCCTCTAGGCAATGATTTCAGAAGGGTCTTTGAACAAATAAATGCAAAATGCACAGACTTTCTCCATTCAACAGCTTTTTACTGAACTTTTACAATATCTGTGTCCTGCATGGGGTTGAGCGCTGAGGATCTAAAGATGAGAAAGACAAGGTCTCTATTCTCAAGCTGCTTTAGTCCAAGAACTGTGGTCACCGGCCAGGTCTCAATGCATAGTTCTTCGCCTCTGTGGAGCTGCACGGAGGCCCTACCTCCAAGGGTGAGTGTCTAAAGAGTGTGTGCTGAAGACACGAATGGGGCCCATCAGCATGCCAAGGGCCGCTCCTGGCATCTCTGCCCCTCGCCTCAGTGGTGGTGGAGAGGCACTGATGCCCTGCGTCTTGTGCTGCTACATGGCGTACCTGTAATCCTGGGACTTGATGGCCCCACCCAAGGGGTACATAAAGCCATAAAAAGAAATAATGCATCTTTTTAGAATGTACAATATCCATTTTAATCAATGGTAAATGATTGAAATATTTTTATATTAAATTCAAAAAGTTACGTAGACCAGATAGAAAGGTCAATTTATTTTTTTGAGACGGAGTCTTGGTGTGTCACCCAGGCTGGAGTGCAGTGGCGCCATCTCAGCTCATTGCAACCTCTGCCTATCTACCGGGTTCAAGCTATTCTCATGCCTCAGCTTCCTAAGTAGCTGGGACTACACGCATGCACCACAATGCCTGGCTAATTTTTGTATTTTTAGTAGAGACTGGTCTTGAACTCCTGACCTCAGGTGATCCAACCACCACCTCCCAAAGTGCTCAATCAAATGTTAAAACACGGCGTTTCAAAGAAGGTCATACTTTGTGCAGGCCACATGGGCCATGTGCTCCCATCCTAGGGATAAAGCCTCATTCTCCATTTCACAGGAGGCCTTCAATGCAAAGATAGCAAAAGGATTTTCTGGTCCAGAAATTTATCAATCACCACCACACAGAGTCTCCCCCAGTGCCTCCCTTAATATCTAATAATGAAAAGCTGGGCTACGAGGGATCCCACTGGCAAGCATTCTTATCTTTTCTGCACTGAAGTGGGGGAGAGCCCCAAATTTAGGTGTTACCAGTGTTTTAATTAAATAATCATCCTGGGCTGTGAAATTAAATCTCAAATTACCAAGAAGTACCTGGTAGTTAAAATTAATTAGCAATTTTAGCCAAGCTGTTCTCTCAATTTCCCGTTGGCTTTGCATCCTGTGCAGTAGGACAGGCTCTAGTGTGGTATAAGGTTCCCCACCAACAGGGTCCCCCTCTGCACAGAGAATCTAAATCTCAAAGTGCAAATGTTTAGACTATAACCCAGTTACTGGAATAGGCACAGAGAGAACACCTGAATCCAATTACTTTCTCTCTAGCTAAGACTTTCATACAAAACTCTGAGCTTGTTTGAGTGCTGAATGACTCCAGTGAAGCCTGTCACCCACGCCTCTCCAGCCAGCCAGCGTCTGAAGGCCTAGAAATGTTTGCAGAATCTTGCCTGTATCATCTATTCAAGATCAAAAACGTGTCTCAGTGTCTTGGCTTCTAATGGATTTTTGGAAAAGTCATCTTCAGCTAAGACGCTTTGTCTGTTGTGAATTATCTTGGGGTGTGTGTGTGTATATGCGGTTGGGAGGGGAAGGTGGGGAGAGGATTACGGGGTCACTGAGCATCTGTCGGCCGCATCTGCCACTGGGTCTGACTCTGGCTTCAGTCTGCTTTGCTTCACTCACTCCTTGCTGCTGGCATCTCACATACCGATGTCATTAGGCACTGTCTGCCCCGGTCCTCCTACAATCCAGCCAGTACAGTTCCCGTCACAGCAAGTGCTTCCTCTCTCGGAGCAGACAAACTAACTGAAGCCACAGCCGGAAGCAGGCTGACCACAAGTGCTAAGGTTCTGGTTAGTTCTTTTCTAGGTAAAGTTGGAAAAGTCCCTGCGAAGGCAAACACTGAAGTTTTAGATATGGGGGTGGTACTGACCAACCTCTTGAAATGTCCTTGACTGGAAAGAGGGAGAGAGACAGAGAGAGGGAGTGAGTGTGTGTGTGTGTGTGTGTGTGAGAGAGAGAGAGAGAGAGAGAGAGACAAAGACAGACAGACGGAGGAGGAAGTTGGATTGTATGATGCAAATGCGAATCATTCTGAGAAGTGGGGTATTTTTTTTTCTTCCCAGGTTCAAAAGAAGAGGCTGTTCTAAGAAAGACTACCGAGTAATCAATCACCTCCTCAGAGAAAGTCTGCTCAGGTAGAGTTTTACGTTTACCACCTAAACGATGGAACATTTTTGTGGAATCTTTTATAGCCAAATCAGAGAATGAGGCGTTGAGGGTGAGGGGGGCTTGAGGGCAAAAGAAAGGGTCATGGGGGAGAAGATGGGTCCTAGAAAAATGGTCTTGTTGCTTTCTCTGCCCTTGAGAATCCCCTCTGGGAAGACGCAAGGAGGCGAAGATGGTCTTTCCAACTCAAATGGCAGCTTCATGTCTACTGCTCTCACTAGGCAGGAAGACAAACTGGATGTTCTCAGAATGCCTAGGGATGCTCAGGTGATGGAAACGACTAGAAGGGGGTACGGGGTAGGCCTGGAAACAGAGATTTGGCCTCCCCATGTATTTAAACCCTCAGAAAATGTCAGGAGGAGGAGGCTTGAAGATAATATTTATGTCTTCAAAAGCAGGAATATGGGACACTTAACGGACTTTAAATCATTTGTCCCTTTTATGAGCTAGGGTGATTATTTTCATTGAAGAGGAAGAAAAAAAAATTAGTCTTTAGAGCTAATTTTTCTAAGATCACAGCAAAACAAAATGAAACCTAAACCCTCCAAAAACAAAAACACAGAATCTGTTGGTTTTGGTGAAAAAATAGTCATCTTTATGTTCAGTAGCTCTGAAATGCCACTTAATAATATCTATTATAGGCCAGGCATGGTGGCTCACGCCTGTAATCCCAGCGCTTTGGGAGGCTGAGGTGGACGGATCACCTGAGGTCAGGAGTTCGAGACCAACCCGGCCAACATAGTGAAACCCTGTCTCTACTAAAAATACAAAAAAATTAGCTGGGCATGGTGGCATGTGCCTGTAATCCCAGCTACCCAGGAGGCTGAGGCAGGAGAATCGCTTGAACCCAGGAGGCAGAGGTTGCAGTGAGCCGAGATGGTGCCAATGCACTCCAGCCTGGGCAACAGAGCAGGACTCCGTTTCACACACACACACAAAAAAAAAAAAAAAAAAAAAAAAACTGTTATACATGTTTTAAAAAAAACCCTAAAAAATGGATCCCATCTTTGGACACAGTAAGATCAGAGACAGCCTGAGGCTCAGGGGGAGGGAGGGAGGGAGTGATAAATAGGAGGTGTGCAGAGGATTTTTAGAGCAGAAACTATTCTGTGTGATATTCTAAAGGTGGATACGTGTCATTTGAATTGGTGAAAACCCACAGAATGCACAACATGAAAAGTAAGCAGCAAATGATGGAGGGACATTAATATCAATGTATCCAATATTGGCATATCAAATCTTAACAAACAAACAGGCCACAATAATACAAAACGTTACTAACAGAGGAAACTGGCAGGAAGTCAGGAGGAGAAGGGCATGTATGAGAACTCTGTACTTTCTGCCCCATTTTTCTGTAAACTTCAAACTGCTCTAAAAAATAAAGTCTAGTAATTTTTTCTTATTAAAAAATTATCATCCTTTTATTCTTTTTAATTTTTTTTCTTCTTCTATCCTGTGAGTCTATTAATTTTTTAAAAATGGGATTCCATACCCGGAATTTGTTGGCCAGCCCCAAATTCAAGGAATTCAGTTCTCTTTGTCCCAAAAGTACAGTGACTTCAGACCACATGCATATTAATATCCCTGTATTTCACAGGTTCTGTACATTTCTGCCACAGCCTTGTGACATTAGTGTGTCAGTAGAAAAAGCAATGGCCTGTAATAAGAAGAGTTTCAGTTGTGTGTATACAGGACGGTGAATGAGTGTATAAGTCAGCTAGCTCACCAACCTGGTCTATTTTCTTTCTTTCTTTTTTGAAAGAGATCACCTCACCAGCTACCTCACTGGGTTACTGTAAGGATCAGATGGCTATAAAAATGTCCCACAAACTGGAAAGCATTATGCAAAAGTATTATAAATCAGTATGTCATCTGCCTAGAGCTGGGATAGAGTCAGCACTGCAATCCACGTATTGACTCTAATTTCAGTGCTCAGCTCCTGGGTAAAGATAGTTCCTTTCTTTCTTTGGGATAAAAATTTTAGGGATACTGATTTCTCTTTTTACCAGCTAAGCCACATGAAGGGTATCCAAACGGCATAAATCAAGGTGTCAGTCTGGTTCTGTTTTTGAGCTCTGAATGACATTACCAAAACAGGCCACATTATATAATCTTCAGCTGGACTGGAATGACCAATCACCCTTCCCAGACTCCATAGTTGTTCTTGGATGATACAGCGCAACAAAGATGGGCTCATCCCAGCAGAGAGAACCACACCCGTTTCTGATGAAATCCCTAGGAAGAGCCAGCCTCAGAATAATCCTTTCAAGTCATTCTGGGGCCACCGGTGGAGGATTTCCTGGGCACCCACAGGGTGCCATGGTGCACAGGGACCATGGTACACAGGGTGCACACTTGCTGGGTCCTGGGCACCTAGGCTGCCAGGCTGAGGAAACCAGAGGACAGGAGGAGAAAAAGGTGGGGCCGGCCACCCGTGCTGGACAAGGGCAGGGCGAGCCCATTTGAGACTCTGAATAGAGAACAATCAGGCTCACTCACCCTTCTCCCCACATCAGCATCCAAGCTGGCTTATGACATCTCGCTTAGGCAACTTCCCCTGCACTTTCAATTAGCTAAGAAATATGCCAGAACATTCCCAGTGGCTATGTATGAGGATTTTAGCAATTTTCGTGGTTTTCTTCTATTCTTTTCTGGATTCCAGTAGTATTCAACTTTGATCCATTACTACTTTTATACAACAATGCATTGTGTTTGTTTTAAGCCTAGGGAAACATCTTTCCAAAGTTCTATGCTGTTGTTTCGGGGAAAGATACATTTATCTTTGAAAACACACACACACATCCTCACCAATAAGCTGCTTCAACGCAACCACGTTCCATCTCAGCTTTATCATCTGATGGGCTTTTATACTGGAAAGCTCTGAGCTGAAATGGTTTTACTCAAGGTCAGTCCCGCCTAGACACACCGAGAAAGAAGTGATGGAAGATGTTATCCGTCTCGCCATCTACAGGACTTCATGAAGAACTGAGAAGGGTACCAGCACTGTTATTGACTTAAGAGTGGTTTGGAAGAAAGGTTCCACACAGCTAGATCTCTTTAGGGGGAAAGAGATCATCGGCCATGTGGATGGTCTCCAAATTCCTTAACCCTTTCCAAACCCTCCCCTTTTCTAACCAGCCCCTTGTACTCTGATCCCTGACTCAGACCCTAAGGATCACACCTTCCTGTTTCATATTTCACGAACTCCTATCCGCACTCTGAATGTTGCTTATTGGAATCTTAGACCCTACAAAGGGCACAAGAGACCCTTTGATTCAACTTCCTCATTTTATAGGTGGTAAAACTGAGGCCCTGAAGAGAGAGGATTTGTAAAAGGTGGAAACTCAGTCTAGTTCACCTTGTATAGCTTTCTCATACAAATGACTATCCCTAAATACTAACCTCTTTTCCTCATTCTCACATTCCCTAGAGACATGACAGTAGGCTTCATTGTAAAGACGCAGGTTTTAAAGAACTCTGAATATATATACCTGATGTAGACAGTCATATTCAGAACATTTTCCAGGTGAGAGCAGTTTTATAAGTGCATTTTTATGGTGACACACTTCTCAGTATCATATACTATAGTCCAGCTCTACCAGACACAGTCAATATTTAGAATACACAGGAAATGAAGGAGTTGAAGCAGGGGAGTTACAAATGTAGTTAGGACGTCTGGAAGTAAAGGGCAAGCCGGGCAGCACGGTGGTGGTGCTGTCGGGGCAGGAGCAGGAGGGTGGGTCAGGGTATGGGCGGTGGGGAGAAAATGTACTTTTGGAGCTTATCAGATCTGCCAAGTTGAGGAAAACGTGCATGTATGCAGGTATTTCATGTGTATAATAAGCATGTACAAACTCATACATCGTTGGACGAAGTAGCCAATGGGGAGAAGTGGTTTCATGCACAGTGAAGCGAGTCTTCAGTGGCTGACGGAACAATGTCTGTGCATAACCCTCATGTCCTGCACAGTCTCACAGACTAGACTCCTGGGTATACCTGACTCACGCCCCATGCTCTCCCTTAGCACACAAGCTCCTTCAGGGAGGATCATGGCTCTGCTCAACTCATTGTTACAAACGGCACCTGGCACACCCTCCACGAAGGTCAGAATGTAGGAAATTCGGAGGAGAGCACTGGGAGGTCAGTGCAGAACCGGGGCCCAAACGCCAAGTGCCTCACAATGAAAGGAAAGTGCCAGTGAAGTGCTGCACGGAACAAGGGGTGATTTCATCCTCCCTAGACTAAAGGGCAGAATGTGTTCTAAGGCTGGGTGGGGAAACTTAAGCTCAGCAACTGCTTTGTGCAGCTGCCACTGACACGAACCCAAGCCCAAGTGCACAGGGTGGGGTGAGAGAGGCCTGGCTGGCTGGCTGGGCGGCGAGTCCAGTGACGCTGACACACTGTTTCCAGCCACCGGGAAGCCAGTGCCAAATCCCTCTTCACTCCTCCCTGCTCCGATATTCTTGACTCTGCCGTGGTGCCAGCTAACTTCAGGGGGCATTCTGGGAATCGTATTTGGCAGGCAGCACAGGCTGTATCCTCACCCATGGTTAAGGGCTTGTCAGAGCCCAGGTGACATTTTAACCAATGCTCGTGGCCTCCCAGGTTAGGCCACAAGGAAAGCTGCTGCTCAGCACTACCAATGTTGAAATATCAATATTCTAGGAACATACCTAGGCACTCCCTTCCTGCCAGCATCCTCACTGGAATTCAGAATAAAAGCCCAAACCCATCATCGTGCATCTGCACGAAGCAGAAGGTGTCCACGGCACTTTATCAACAGCCAGGAGCTGCCTGCTTCATGCACAGAGGAGGTGCACAGGCGGGCAGAAAGGTCAGACCAGGGTTAAGTGCACGCCCTGTTGGACTCGCCCTTCCTCTCTCCTGCACCTAAGTGCTGTCTGGCAGGGACTCCAACTTCTGAGTTCCTTAAAGTGAGACGCCCCATGATGGCTGTGTGAATTTTCAGGCTCATTTCGTGGCTCCGGTCACTGCTGCCACCATCTTTTCCCCCAAACCTAGGTCCTTACTCTTATCTAATCATGATCTGCAGGAAACTCTCCTCCCACCAGCCCCTGCACTTGGTTCCTTGCGTTGCCTCTGGCTGGAAGCTGTTGTCCCCAACTTCAGAAAGTGTCTGCAGATTTCACAGGCTCTCTCTTGGGTCAAGGTAAGACTTCAGCCAGTTCCCCTTTTAAACAGAAGGTAGTGACACGCAGGTATTAAGTTTCCATTTTGATCTTTTGCCCTTGTTAACACGTTGCTTTCTGTATTTGCTTCCTGTGTCATCTTATCAAATACAGATAAGCACAAGGGCCAGATGTCCTACTGCTTTTGAATCTTCTCATAATGTTTCCTCATAGATGTTTAGTAGCACTGAATTAGCTAATAGAACTTATTTGCTTGGAAATGTTACCCAGGAGGTGCTTGTCAGGCAAAAAGGCTCTTTTGCATGTTACTTTTTTTGAAGCAAATTACCCGCAGCTCTCAGGAAAGCATTTTTCAGGAATGCGGGCTCCTGGGCTCTCCCCTCCTAAGCAAAAGCACCCCACCACCTCCTGAGAGCATCCCACTTGCTGCCACATTGAGCCTACTTTTGATCTGGAAAATTGCTCCTTTGCTTCTGGATCCTGTATAGCTAGTTTCTGAAGAGGTCAAGTGAACTAACCCGTAATGGAACAAACTGGAAAATCTCCAATGGAATGTTGAGGGCAAGGAAGAGGGAGCAGGAGAGGCAAAGAGAGAAAGTAGGGAGGTGTCTACCCCCACTGTGAGAAAAACTCAGCACCAGGCTTAAAGGATGATGGAGCAGACATTCTCATGTGTAATTATTAGGGAGTTAAAGTCGTTCAGATGAGTCACCTGGGTGTGGAAGCTCCAGTCTGGCTGTGGTTGTAGTGAATCGTCCTTCTCCTTTTACTTTGACACCTCTCAAATCTGGCCACCAAAGGACATGTCATTCCCTGTTTCAAGCTAAGGTGAGGGTAGTGAAGTTTCTCATATTTCAGCAGGTCAAAATTAACATATATTTCAGATACATCCTTTGCAAGGGCTGCACTTGATACCCCTTCCTGAACTCCTACCGTCTCAACAACCCCTAGGGTTGTGAAGTGGTTGTCTGAGCAGTGGTTGCTGGCGGCAGCAGCTCGGAAAGTCACACCCCATCTAACTCCTGTCTTACTGATTTATGCATGAGCCGGTCAGTATCCCCGGGAGATCCTCTTTCCCACTCTCCTCTCTACCCGCAGAGGGGCCTTTCCTGCATCTTGCCTCTTTTAAAGGAGGCTAATTCAGTATCACTCGGGGTCGGGGCTGGGAGATGAGCCAGTCCAAGTCTAAGATGCGCCAGTCCAAACCAGATGCCGCCAGCCAGCCAATGGCTGCAGACTGACAGGAGGGCTGTGTGCATGTGCACACAGGTAACCACATGCGGATATGTGGGTCAGGACAACCTGAGGGTGGGTTCTGGTTCAGCAGCTCTGGATTTCAGTCTTGGCTCTAGCACTTCCCAGCGCCGCGACCCTGCAAAAGTTGCTCGACCTTCCTGAGCTTTAGGTTCCCATCTATAAAGTGTTAATAGTACCACCTACCATGCTGTGATGAGGATTGAGTGAGATCATGCACATACAGTGTTTATTTTCCGCACACTGATTACACACGAGCTATTCCTTACTATCCAATCTGCCCTTCCCGAGGTAAAGCAGAGCCCAGCACAGACTGCTCCTCCAGAAACGGCAGCGCTGGTGCATTCCAGAACACTCTAGCTACCATGGGGGGGCAGGTTCTCCCCCGATATTTCACTGTCCACGTTAGTCGACGAATATGCTGTCCTACAGAAGTAGCCAGAGTAGACCAAGGTATCGGGACCTTCTGAAATGTAGATGGACAGTGTTCTATCTGATCAGGCCGTCTTTATATGCAATTCACTCAAAAACACACCTCCGAAAATATAAGAGTTATGTTAACCGGGCAGAATTCCAACATATAGAAGTGAAATCTATAATTAGCAGAAGACATGTCTTATATTTTTTTCATTTGTACAAATGTATGGGGTATATATGAAATTGTGTTACATGTATATAGTGCCTAGTGATCCAGTCAAGGTATCTAGGGCGTCCATCACCCAAGCACCACACATTTTTGTTAATTATAGTCATTCTACTCTGCTATCAAACATATTCCTTCTACCTAACTGGATGTTTGTGCCCTTGAACCCATTTCTCTTCCTCCTTTCCTTTTTCCCCTAACTCACTCTTCCCAGTCTCTGTTATCTATCTTTCCACTTGCCACGTGATCAATTTTGTTTTTTGTTTTTTTTAGCCCCCACATATAAATGAGAACATGCAATATTTGTCTTTTTGTGCTTGGCTTATTTCACTTCAGATAATGGCCTCCAGATCCATCCATGTTGCTGCAAATGACAGGATTTCATTCCTTTTTTATGGCCAAATAGTATTCCACTGTGTCTATATACCACATTTTCTTTATCCATTCATTTGTTGATGGGCACTTATGTTAGTTTCATATTGTTACTGTTGTGTACTTAAGTTACTGTTTGGTCTTCTTTACCAACCTTCCTTCTTAATGCTGCTCAAATTTCTAATTTTCAAGAAGAATTTAGTCTCCTGCATTTGACTATACTAGAAAAATGGGCTGCTGTTTCTTTGCTGGGAATCAAATATTTGGTCTTTTAACTGCAACATGCCCAGGGTGCAGCATCTAGATTCTCTCAGGCAAAGTGCTCATAATGAATTCACCACTTATTCAGATTAAATAGCTCCAATAGCATGGCCTTTCAAATCATCATCTATAGACTAACACAGATTCTCAGTTTAGTTGGCACTAGAGCAAAGGCAAACAGTGCTAAAATTATTCAAAAAAGGGTATGCAGCATATAAATTACTGTGAAAACTTAAATGTAGATCAAGGTTAATAAAAATTTGCTTATTAAAAAAGGCTATCACCAAAACTAGGATGGCACCAAAATTCAAGTTCCCGCAGGGAAAGGAAATTTTTTTTCCCTCTTCCCTTGATCTGCCAAGGGCTATGTCAGGTCACCCCACAGTCACATTTCTCTGAAAGCCCAGGCTTGTCCAGGGCCCAAGTCAGTGAATATGAGATTGCATCTCGGGGAATGAGCGGCGCTGTGAGTTACAGTGGAGGAGGGCTCACTTCCCCTGGTCATTTGAGTACTCGACAGCATCGCCTTCCATCAGGTGCTTGAGTTGAAGGACAAATCTACCAGTGAACCATGAATGATTTCATGATTAATCTGAGGTTTGCCTTGAATACACAGAACTCAGGGTCCACTCCCCAAATCAATGAAAGCTCTACTTCTGGGCAGTAAAAGCAAGTGGAGGAAACCACTAAAGACATGGATAGAACTCACAAGTATCTGTGACCAATTCAACAGAGAAAAGAACGCTAACGTCAACCATGCCCTGCCTCAACTTTGAAGGACACTTAAAGATTTAAAGTTCAAGAGAGAGAAAGACACAGGGATTTTCCAGAGGAGGAGGCTCTTAGAGTCAAGATGCCCACTCTGACTTTTCTTAGTGACAACGTGCCCACAGCCAAGGTGTCTTGCAGAGTTTTGGAACCATAGGAAATGATGCTTCTGTCAGCTCTGCTGTCAGCCCCGCAGCCCCTGCTTCCTGGCTGGCTGTGCTCTGGGCCTGTTGCTCTTTCGCCTGCTCCCTCCCTCTGTGCATGCCTCCCACCTGCCAGGTCTCATTTAGCTCATGTCTACCACCCAACGGATGTGTGAGGCGGTAGGAACCGCGATGTACAGACAGGAAACCCAGGTCAGCAAAGTCCCGTGACTTGCCCAGGGTCACACGGCGAGGGAAGGCACAGAGCGGAAACTCTCACCTTGGATCTTCTACCTCCACTTCTTGGGTAGTGAGGACTTCATAGTAGGCATCAGCCTGGCCCCAGCTTTGAGGGGGATACTCCCATCTCCAGTGAAAGGAGAAAGGGGAAGACCAAAAGGGGAGAGGGAAATATATGATCTATTATGTTTAAACAAGATTAACTTGTGGGTGAACAGCTAGTTGCAGAGTTCTCAACTTAAGACAGAGCTTCTTTACGTGGTCCCTCTTTCCCTCCCTCCAGAGATGACAAGAAACACACTGTTTCTATCTACAGGGAGAAGAGGTCCTGTCACCTTGTCTGTAGGCAGTTCCAGCAGGAATTAGGAAAGGTGAAGTATCTGATCTAGACAGGCTGTTGTGTTTTTACATGGCTGAGCAGCCACCAATGCAGGGAATGTGCCCTTGGGACATGGGACTAGGCAGGGAGGGCCATGGCTCTGCACACAGACACCTCTTTCATTCATGACTCGTCAAATGTCATTCTTTCCAAGTCAGCCTGGGTTTCCAAGAACCCTTCTCAATACAGTGCCCCAGATAAATTCTATGACCCAGTGTGGGGTGAGATGAAAACCCATTTGCCATCCCTGATGCTGCTGTCTGCAAGGAGCTGCTCTCAGGGCAGCTGGGCTCCTCCCTGCCCGAGTGGCATCTGAGGGCTTTTCCATTGGTTCTCTTGGGTTGCCTTTTGGCAGCTGTCATTCCACAAGTCTCCAGGAGTCTCTGGGATCTTCAACCATGGGCTAAAGGAGAGCTGCAGAGTAATCCAACATCCCCAGCCTTCTGCAGTTAGGCAAGAGGTATTTTTCCTGAGGACCACATACCCTAAAAGAGCCTGTATCAAAGGCAAGAGGGCAGTGAGCCCTCCAGCCTGCTTTTCCTTCCATCTCTGCCACTGCCCATCAGCTGTCCCTTCTCTGTCCTCCACGCTGGAGTAGCTACAGCCTCCTGGGGTTGGCTCATTCAAGAGATCACCTGATTTTCCCTCCCAGCAGCAGTGGGTAGGATGCCCCCGCTCAGTGGGGAGGCTGGTGGGGGCCTCATCCCAACTGTGGCTGCCTCCACAGGGTGTGACTAAGTGGGGCCCACAGGTGGTCTTGTAGCCTCTGCACCGCAGCTCTGAGGTCCCATGGGGCCCCAGCCCCCACCCCCACCAAATGACTCAGCTGGGCACCCCAGCCGCTACCCTGATGGGGCTAATGCTCCCTTAGGAGTCCGCAGCAGGGATTCATGTGGTTTCAAGCCTAAACACAACAGCAGACAGCGCAGGCGAGAAGGCACCACCGTTTAGCGGTAGATCTGACGCTTCTCTGAGCCACCACTTAGCGCACAGAACATCTGGTTCTGCAACAACTTTAACATTCAGAGAAGAATTCCTTGATGCTGTAAGATTTTTAGGTTTTCTGACAAGATGTCTCATATAATCAAAGAATGATGTGGATGGAGAAAGCACACCAAACACCCAGGCCCTCAGAGTGTTGCCACGCAGCAGGCTCTGACCGGGTTGGGTGGGTGGCGGGCTACAGGTCACTCTGGCTCTTAATCCTTATCAAGTGACTGCTCACAAGACGCCTTTAAGTCTCCACGATTGAGACAGAAACCCAAAAGTGTGCCAGAGTTTTCTGTGACCGGAAAGTAAGGTGATTAAGAGAAAACTTCAAAACTGGCCCCTGGAAGATGTAAAGATAGGACCCACTCAAACACTTCAGAGACAAGAGAACAAAGTCAGGGGTGAGAAGGAACATAAGTCAAGGGTGAACAGTACAGGCCTCCTCTAGACATTAAGACATCGAATGCAAATGAAGGTCATTATCTGTGCATGTGGACAGGTCTGTGTCAGTATAAATGCTGATCGAGTAGGGTTTAATTTGCCAGTTT
The DNA here is from genome assembly GCF_000001405.40 of Homo sapiens. Classification (NCBI taxonomy): domain Eukaryota; kingdom Metazoa; phylum Chordata; class Mammalia; order Primates; family Hominidae; genus Homo; species Homo sapiens. The sequence goes on along the minus strand of NC_000003.12, from coordinate 4,820,167 downwards.
CAACAATTGGAGGAAAAGAAGGGAACTGAGGACTTTTCAGTTAATGTGTCCTGACCCTGGAAACCTCACCTGTGGAAATCCACACTGGCACCCATCAGAATCCCTAAGCTGCTTAAAAATAGGAGTCTGCTCCCAGAATCACCAGCACCCTCCCGGTTTCCTATCAACGACATGATTATGGAGTGCGATTTCTACAGTCAGCCAAGCCTGGTTTGAATTCTGGCTCAGCTCCTTCTGAACTGTTCCTAGGAAGTCACTTAACCCCCAGCCTGGCTTTTATCTGTAAAAGGGATAAGCCATCATCAGCATTCTGCAACTTGTGTCTTTTTCTCCCCAGTCTGTGCTGATTTTTTTTTCTCCTTTCTTTCTGCTAATCTATGACCCTAGTGACTTCATCCTCTCTTTCAAAACCTTTTTCAAAAGTTACCTCTGCCGTGAACCTCCATCCATCTCTCCCCATCCCAGAAGTCCCTTCCTCCGGGTTCCCCATGGAGCGTAACTTTAACAACCAAATACAATACTAGAGGTGAGAGGATTTTACAAACCGAAGAGGGCCAAATGTATGTAAAGGATTAGGAATATTTCTCCTCATCATTCGCACAACCCCTCTGAGAGTAATCTTAAGTAAGCATCTGCTTTGTCTCCTCTGTGAGGCTCTTACTACTTAAAGGGTGATTCCCGGGCCAGCAGCTTCGGCATCTCCTGGAAGGTTGTTGGAAATGCAGAATATCTCAAGTCCTGGAAGTGACTGCTGAGTCAAAATGTGAATTTTAACATGCTCCACAGGTGATTCATATGTACAATAAAATTTGAGAAGCATGGAATTCAACTCTAAGGACCTCAAGGGTACAGACGGCACAGAATCTCCAGAAAGCCCTCCAGAACCTAGGAGAGGCCTCTGTGCCTCTGTAATCGGGGTATTCAGCAAACACAACCACGTAATCGCTGCCCTGCTGGCAATAAAACTGAAAGCCTGGCTGCCTCTAGGCCTGTCAATGATGATACTTATCTGAACAGACCTGACTTCCAGTATCTTTACATAAAAAGCCTGAAAATTACATCTAGGTAAAAAGCAGGCTCCTTTAGGGTAAGTCATTATCAGGCCGAGCACTCAAGTCCTTGGTAACTGGAAGGAGAGTTGGCCCCTTCTCCTCAGAGGCAGCCAGCGTGAATCACAGAGACTCCCTCGATTTCACAGTTCATGCTCCTCACGCCACTATCCACCCCTGAACATTTTAATGATGTTCGGAAAGCACAGGTCTGAAAGGACAGCTGGCCCGGGACACCCACAGCGCACGTTTGGTGTCTCAGCAAACTCTGCCCGAGAAGTGTTCTCTAACAGCCTGAAGCAGCTTCCCCGCTTCCTGGGACACAGTATCCACACTTCCCATCAGCGAAAAGATTAATTTGGAACTCAAATTCCTCCATCATATGATCACTTCTTAACGATTAGTAGAGTGTCTCCCAGAAAGGCGAGGCTGAGGGCAAACACAAACCATGCTGGACTGCAGTGAGCAGTCACTTTGCCTCTAAGACACCTCTTAGAGAGTAGGTGTTAATTAAAAAGAAAGGGGAAAAAAGCACTATCAAGAAAAGAGGCAGATTCACATAGCGACAGGAAATCGGGCTATGGAGTTTGATCCAGATTAAAATCCCAGCCCCAGTTCCGTGGTCACGTGCTAATCTCACCGAGGCTCAACATTTCCCCCACTAACACAGGCCAATACCACCTATCTAGTGGTTCTGAGGATCACTCCAGAGAACACACGAAGTTCACAGAGCACAGCGCCCCATCCGTGAGAAGGGCTCAGGCAACATCGGATGTTATTCTTCTGTTGTGCAGCTCCCCGATGGGCTGCTGGGGCCTTGCTCAGAGCTGAGTAGGCCCCAAGTCCACCTTGCTCCCAGGAGGCCTTTCCACTCACCTTGATCATTTCTGCCACGTAACTCTCAGGCCCAGTATATTCGGTGGAGTCCTTTACTTTCACCAGGACGATGAAGCACAGATAGTGCCACATGTTGTGTTCTTCCTTGATGTGCTCTTCAAAGGTGACAGTCTTGTTGTCAAACTTGTCTCTTTCCAAGCCTAAAAATGAGACAAAAAGCCCCCAGCCCCAGCTGAGCAGCCTTGGTAAAGAAAAAAAATCAATAACAGAACTGTCAGTAGAAAGGGGGCTGTGGTTTCACTCCTGTCTTTATAAAGAGTTGGATTCTGTCGGCCTTATAAGTACATTCATGTTTACATTATGGCAGGAAAACACAGGCTGTGAGTCAGACAGACTTGGGTTTGAATCCCACCTCTGCCACTTGGCAGTTGCTGCTTCATCTCCACATGCCTTAGTGGCCTTGTTAGTGAATGGGGAGACCGCCGTCTAGGTTCCAGGAGTGTTTAGGGGTAAAATGAGAATGTGTGTGACACTCTCACATATTGCATGCAACCAGGGAATGTGAAGTCCCTTCGCCCAGGTAAATGCCAAAATGCAGACATGTTAAGGTTTTTTGAGGAGACAGAATAAGTAAGGACAACAAGAACTTTAAACAAATTTTGAACTCTAGCTGGTAGGTTTATAATTTGAAGAGGCCGGGGTGAGCAATTCTAGTCTGTACGTATTCTAGGATTGATCAAATAAATATATCACGGATAATGGGAGCTGGATTCCTCACTGCCTGAGAAAAGAACACAAATAGAGAAAGGGAGAAAGAATAAACCCTGTAATGCTGAAACGGAATTAAAGGTATCAGTATGAATTCATCCTTTTTCATACATATATACACAGATGTGTGCAGATACATGTGCTGTGTACACATACACACATATGCAGATGCATACACCTCTCCTCTAGATCTGCACCCTAATAAGCCCTGAGAGCAGCAGCACACCAACAGGAATGAGCACACTCAGTCCCCAGATCTTGGCTTCTAAATACCTTTCTCCAGTAAAAAGAACCGGGGCTCTTTGGAGAAATGGCTGATTCCAGGGATGGCTCAGGAAATGTACAAGGTGAGCCTAAGCCTGGAATATATTATGATGCCAAAAAAGTAAGAAAGTACATAGAAAACGATGATGACATGACTAAACCCAGGAGTCAGCTGGAAAGGGCTCTCACTGGCCACATCTGAAGCAATTTGAACATCAAAATAAATAGCCCATTGAATAAAATAAAAATCCACAAGTCCATGTAGTTACAAATACAAACACAGAAATATAAACACATATGTGGGGAGAAGAAAAAATTCTTTCTTACAATAAAAAGCCAATAAAGAAATGTAGAAATAATAATAACATAAAAATCATCATTGGGCAACCATCATCATAATAGAGTTAGCCAAGCATCATCAATGAATGCTAAAGCTGAGGGGTGAAAGTTTAAGGAATAGCACGATATTTACAGAGTGTCTCTCCAAAAAAGTAACTTTATGGAGTTACTGGAAAAACCTGGCAATTAGCACCTTAACCAAATGATCAACGTTAGTATCACGGCTGGGCGCAGTGGCTCATGCCTGTAATCCTAACACTTTGGGAAGCTAAAACGGGCAGATTGCCTGAGCTCAGTAGTTCAAGACCAGCCTCTCAGCAACATAGTGAAATCCCATCTCTACTCAAATACAAAAAATCAGCCAGTTGTGGTGAGAGGCACCTGTAATCCTAGCTACTCAGGTGGCTGAAGCACGAGAATTGCTTGAACCCTGGGAGGTGGAGGTTACAGTGAGCCGAGATACTAGTTACAAGATGAACTGGCATTACATGCCTCCTGATACGATGCAATGAGAAGAACACAACAGCATGTCTTTGATATTCCTGTGGAAAATACATACCCTCAATCTTACCATGAGCAAACATCAGACAAACTCAAATCAAGGGACATTCTACAAAATAATTGACCTACATTCTTCAACAGTGTCAGCGGAGGCTCACGAGGCATGGTGACTGAAGCCCCGCAGGAGGTGGGATTTGCAAAGGACATTATTGGAATGAAGGGTGAAATTTGAATAAGGTCTGTAGATGAGATAACAGTATTGGATCTGTTTTAATTTCCCAATTTTGATAATTATACTGTAGATACACAAGAGAATGTTCTTGTTTTTAGGAAATGTGTACTAAAATATTTAGGGATAAGAAAGCATCACTGTCAGCCACTCACATTAGAAAATGTGTGTGTGTGTGTGTGTGTGTGTGTGTGTATAAAGCAAATGAGATAAAATATTAATATTTGGGGATTCTGGGTGAAGAATATATAGAAATTCTTTGGATAGTCATGTCTTTTCTATAACTCTGAAATTATGCCAAAGCAAAAAGCTTAAAAAGGTTTTAAGGGGGCAAAAAGCAAAGAATTTAAGTCTTTAATTGGAAACTGATCTTTTTTTTTAGCATACATACCACTAGGAAATTTATATATTTAGTAGCTATATTATGAATAATCCTGAAATGATTACTCAGCTCCCCAGATTCCTCCATGATTAGTTTACATTTACAAATATTTTCCTGTAGTTATACTGAAAATGATTTGTTTGGTGTCCATGCACCTCTTTTACGTAGCCGTTCACTACTTCTCCTCCCGTGCCTATAGTGTGCCAGGTTCTAGCTAGGAGTGTTACATACGCTGTCTCTCATAATTCTCACAATAATGCAGAGAAGGACATGTTATTGTACCCATTTTACAGATGAAGAAAGAAGGATTAAAGATGTTAAATGACTAAATGATGTTACACAGTTAGTTAAGTGGTAGAAGCTCAGTCAGAACCCAGGTCTGTAAATACTTCCCAGCAGAATAAAGGCCAAGGAGAGCCTCACTCACGGCAGAGGGTAGAAGAGTCAAGACGAAGCAGCAGCCGGTGCCCCCTCCCGCATAACTGGGCAGGCACCCCGCCCATCACACCCTCGCAGTATCCACATGCCTCTGCCACGCTGGGCCTTCACGCCCTTGCTGGAGCTGGCCAGCGACACTCACCACAGATAAAGCACGTGGTCTTCAAGATCTCTTCCTTCTTCTGCTTCTCACTCCTCAGGTCAGCAAAAGTGTCAATGATAACCCCAAAAATCAGGTTAAGAACAATGATGATGACCATGAAGAAGAACAAGAGGTCATAAATAACTCTAGCAGCAAACAGGGGTTCCTGGAAAAGAGAGGTGTCTGGATCAGTCTGGGTCCCTTGCGACCCTTTGGTCTGCGGAGCCTGGGGCACAGCTCAAGTGAGACCTCATCTACTTGGGTAGAAATTAAATTGGGCATTCAACTTTTAAACTGAAAACTGCATCTCTTTTCATGTCCCCTGTCTCAATTGCGACTTCTCCAAGTGTGGTGTGACACAGCCAGGAGGGATATTCACTGTGCGTTCAGGTGGATCAGGCCTAACCCTGATGGAAACAGTCCCTAAGTCTACTGAACAGAGAGCCAAAGCCAACCCTTTCCACGCAGCTGACTTTGCGGCACCACCTCACGTGATAGAGAGGAAAGGAGCCTGATGAGCTAGTTCCGCAGCTACTCAGCCCTACTCCCAGCTCTTCCTCTGCGTCTTCAGTTTACACTCAACACCGCTGCATGGTGCTCCCACCAACCACCCCACCCGCCCCCTTTGCCCTTCCTTCCCCTCGGGATTAATTTACCTCTTTGGACGGCTTCCTGAGTACATCTCCTACTCCACCCCCGCTCCGCAGCCCGTGACTCAGCACAGTGACAATGCACATCAGCAGCGTCTCACATGTGTGCTCTTTATCCTGTTCCGTCTCTTCTGCAGGGACCAGCTCTGTGAACACGGCAAGTAACAACAGAGAGAAAACGTGAGGAGAAAAGAGAGACCGGGATTTTGAAATCCTGTTTCCTGAATGCCATCTCACCAGGCACACGAAAGAATAAAATTAAGGAATCAAGAGCCAAGAATTTTCTTATTTTCTTTCAAAAGCTAAAGTCGTCTGGGGCAACTGTTTTCATCGCTAACCCCCGCTAATTTCTCCAGCTATGGTAGTATTGCTCTCCCTCTGTGGGATCTAAAACATGCCCTGTCCTTTTCAGGTTTTAAACCCCAGACCCAGCCGCAAACAGTCTTTTCATGTCAGATGAGTTGCTTCGCAACTCTGAGTCACAGGCCTCTTGTCTCTCAGATGAGGGTTATGCCACAGGACACAGGTTCCTCACTGGGAATGGTGTGAGGACTATATCCAGGGATATTTCACGGCAGGGCCTCTGGATCAACTGCTTTACATTGGAGGCTGTTCATTCTCACTGGTTTATGCAGTAAGAGCCATGCCTTGCTGTGTGCCTCATTCCTTTCTCCAGCTGCAGAGGGTCTTGCTAAAACACAGATTTCATCACTCATCTTCCAACAACCCCTGACCATCCTCTGGACGAAGTTTAACCTCCTACGCCTGACATAGAAGATCCTTCATGATCTAGCCCTTTGTTTGTATCTGTGGCTTCATTTCTTGCCACTCTCCTTCCTTATAATCATTATCTCCCCAAACTTGCTGTTTTTTTCTTTTTACCTTTAAAGCCTTTAGATGTACTATTCCCTCTCCTTGGAATATCAAGAGTCTCCTTTTATAGTTTGGATATCACTTTCTTGATGATACGCTTAGCCCAGTAGTAGGCCGGGTGCCTAACTTCTGTATTCCATCCTTATTCCCAGCATTGGGCAACTCTCTAGCAATCACCATTTGGCCTGCCCGCACCCTCCACTACATTACTGTCTCTTAGAGTACACCACAGTCCCTGGCAAATGGCGGGCACTCAGTATAAATCGGCTGAATCACATCAGATCTTTTCTTCAGGTGTAACCTTCTTTTCCCTTCATCTCCCTCCTCTTTCTCAGCCTTTCCCCTTTGCTATAGCCTTACTCCTGAGCAGTAAATTTAATCTTCTTCCAACATCACCTGCATCAGCTAAGCCTCTGGAGGAGTCCGATATTAACATGGGGCTTACAGTTAGGAGGTCCTACCTTCTCTGGGTGCAGGAGAGGAGCAGTTCTCCCCACTCTCCACCCTACACACATCGGAGAACAGGAACTCGCTTGCCAAACTCTCGCCGGTTTCTGGGAGAGAGAAGGAAATTTTATGATGAACAATCTGGCAGCATATGGTTAAAATGTTTGAAGTCCCCAATTCACGGCTGATTAAACAATTCTTTACATAAATAACACCCTAGAATCTTGCATATAAATTCAAAGCAGAAATGCAATTTACACTTTCATTTGGTGATCTGGATGGGAAAAAAGCCAAAAATGTCAATTCCTGTAGGCTTACTAGAAATATCGCACTTAAATAGCACCTCTCCAACTTTAAAGACAAACAGCTGAAACTCTTAGACAGATACTACTGAACGTACAGACTCTGGCAAGATTTATACCAAGTCTGCACGAGAAGCATTAGCAGGCATTAATAGAAATCCAAGGTCCAGGCCAGTTTAGTCCACAACTCTAAGATGGCTGGCAGTAAATGTCACTTAGTGTCAACTTGGGAGGCTGGAGATACATGCCAAGAACACAGCATTTGGGAGGGAGAGCACAAAGGCTGGCTGGCTCAGTCAGCCACAACGATTCTAGTCTGTTTCTTAGACTCGGGATGAAAAACCAGTAGTATTTCACTAAGTCGGGCCAACTATTGTAACTGAGAGAAGAGGGCACTTGGGTACCATTCAAGTATTATGGTCATTTTTTTTCACTCTCAGAATTGGAAATCTCTTCTGTTCTTGCTATGTGTAAAAATAACATGAGCTCACTGTAAAACCTGCATATAGTAAAAAAGCCCCAGAGAGAGCTACTGCTAGCAGTCTGGAGGTACAGTCATCCATGTTTTAATATATGTATATGGGCTTTTTAATTTTTAAGAAAACATAAGACCAGGCATAGTGGCCCACACCTGTAATCCCAGCACTTTGGGAAGCTAAAGCTGGGGGATCGCCTGAGCCCAGGAGTTCGAGACCAGCCTGGGCAACATGGCAAGAACCTATCTCTACAAAAAATACAATTAGCCACATGCAGTGGCAGGCGCCTGCAGTTTCAGCTACTGGGGAGGCTGAGGTGGGAGGATTGCTTGAGCTCGGGAGGTTGGAGGTTGCAGTGAGGTGAAATCATACCACTGCACATCAGCCTGGGAGACAGAGTGAGATCCTGTCTCGAAAAAAAAAAAAAAAAAGACATACATGTGATCCTACTATAGTTATCCTTCTGCCATTTCCAACTACATCTTGTGGGTATTTTTCCATGGAGGTTTCTAAAGATGTACCTATGTGCAAGGCACCCCACCTCATGGATGTACCATGATCTGATGAAACACCCCCGAACATTTACACTGCTTCCAACTGTACACTGCAGCGAACGTTCTCCCATATATGTCTGTTTCTACGTGCACAGTCGGCAGCCTTTTTTTCTTTAAGTATTGATCCTAGAAGTAGATTTACTCAGTTAAAGGGATGCATACTCCAACGCTCTCAATATGTATGGTCACTGCTTTACAAAAAAGTTGCACTAGTTTAAAAGATGATGTTAGTGAATAAATAAATGTCAGATCTGGTCACCCACTCTTAGCATTTGATATGCCACATTGCCACATTCATTGTGAGAATGAAGACCTGTATTTGAAATTCACACTCTGCGTGTTAGGGAGATACAATGGGGAGATATCTGCATTACTAAAGTCGTTATTTTCTTTAGTTCAGTTATAATCAGGAAATAATCTTTTAGCATTAAAAAGATCAGAAGATCCCAAACCCACCTGGAACAGCTGTTTCATTGGGCAGCCTATCTACTTCCAAGATAAAGTCATCCTTGAAGAAAAGATAGCCCACTATTGAGAACAGGTAAACGAGGATCAGAGCCAGAACTGCTGTCAGGATGATGGACCGTCCATTGCGAGTGACACTTTTAATGACATTAAGCAAAGTCTCTTCTCTGTACACTAAATCAAAAAGCTTTGAAAACAAACAAAAAGAATTTTAAGAAGCCTTGATGTTAGATGTACATCACTATCCCATAATGCAAACTTGGTTTATAGAGAGTTTGCCCTCTTAGACACTCAAAAGCACTACATATGATCTTAACACTGAACATCTTCCCTGGCTTCACAGTGAAACGGAGATGGTAAAAATGAGGAAAAATAAACACAGAAGAGGAAGCAGGAAACAATAGCAACTTCAAGTAGTATCCAGAGCCATTTAGAGGGACTGGAAATAGAGAAAATACATGCTTGTGCCAATGAGTTTCAGAGACAAAGGGAGAGGAAAGTGATGAGGGTCTTGGCATCCATTCATTTAGAAGGTACTGAATTGAGTTTATGAAGAGCCAGCCACCCTGGTCCCTGCCCTCCTGCAGCCCAGTGTCTGGTGGGAAGGCAGACGTACTACAAGCCAGCGTCAGTGGCAAGAACTCTGGACTTAGATGTAAATTCAAATCTCAGCTCAGCTACTGTCCACCGTATGATCTCGGGCTAGGCACTTTCCTCATCCCCTCTGAGTCTCCATTTCCTCATTTGCAGACTGGAGGATGTAGAGTTGTTATGAAGAATAAGTAAACCACGTACGCACAGTGCTTAGCACACTGGCATCCATATGCTCAGTAAGTACAGTAAATAGTAATTATCATCAATTTCCTGATCAAGAGACTGGGGCAGGGTCACATAGCTGGTGTATCGCAGGGACATTAGTGACGTTAACATTGCGAGGGTAAGACCCCTGCAGGTCACAGTGCCTTCACAATCCAGGCTTGCCCTCTGCTAAGGAACCTGCTCTTTGCAAGAAGTTGGCTTCCTGAGGAATGGAGGATCCTTGTAGGTACATATAGGTATGGGAGGATGATGGCTAGTTTTCCAAGAGCTACAGTCACAGATACTTGACTGGGAGAATGGTGGGGAGTGTGGGGAGAGAGCTCTCTGAAGTTACTCTTAGACCTGAGGCTAGTTTTTAGCATGGCCTCTGGCTGCTGTCTAATCCTGTACAGAAGGTTTGGTCTCCACTGTGGCTTTGGGGTGTGACTGCACCATGAAGTGAGTCAGGGGACAGGGTTGAATCCTGACTGCTTTTAATTTGTTGCAAGATGTCGGCCAAGCCATCTAAGCTCTCTGGATCTGTTTCCTCATCTGTAAAATAAGTGGACTGAGACAGCTGATCTCTGAGTCCCTTCCAATTTAGAATTTTTCATCTGAGGTCATTTTCCGGTCGATTGGCTTTTCTGCCTCCTTGACACCAATCTGTGTTCTGAGACTAGTTCTGTGAAGGGCATTGGGTAGAGTAGGATACTTAAAGGGAAGCAAGGAAGAGGGATTTTAGTCAATACAATATGACAGAAGGCAAAGTGTTGCTGTTAATGTTGGTTAAATGTTTTCCAGCAGCTCAATATAAAGTGGCAAGTAAGCGCAACTTCAGACAACAAACAAATGGCACTTGTTTTCTGTGGTTAAGGACCGCAGAGATTACACAGGCTCCAAATCATAGAAATGACAAGCGATTTTTTCCTTTTCACTCATCTATAGTTTCTGATTTTAAAACAATCAATAAGTATTATTTATATAAAAGAAAAGCTTTCTTCTAATTGGAAAATTATACATGTTCAATGGAGAAAACTTGGAAAACAAAAAAAAGCACAAAGGAAAAAAAGTCACTAATAATTCACCATCTAGAGACATTCGCTCAATAGCTTAATTCCTTCTGGCCTTAAAAAATGCAATTTATAGATATATATTGTTTACAAAAATATTAGACCATAATACTGGCACATAACCAGCCTTTCACCAAGCCATCAGGAACATTTTCCTGTCAAAAATGATCACCTGGTATTTCACTATATGGGAAAAACATGATTAACATAACCAATATGTTTTTTAAAAACAGTCAAGATGTTTCCAATTATATGTCATAACAAATAATGCTGTGAGGAACACTTCTATACATGCCTCCATACGTGCTCGTCTAGTTATTCCTTTTCGGCGAATTTTTGGAAATGGAGTATTTGAGTCAAATGGTATAAGAGAAACATTTTGCCTGCTGCTTTCAGAAAGGCAGGATCAGTTTACATTCACCACTAGTAAAGAATCATGCCCATTTTACCCCACTCTCACTAGTACTGGGCACCATCAGGCTTTTTAACCTTTACTAATGTCACAGGTAAAACACAGGATTGCGCTGTTTTAATTAGCATGTCTTTGTTTAGCACCAAGGATGAACATTTTTCCATGTTTACTGACCATCTGGATTTCTGCTTTTGTTAACTGCCTGCTTATGAACTTTGCACATTTTCATCTCCAGGTGTTAATATTTTTCTAAGGACACAGCTTTAATGCAGGCTCACGACCAGGTCCGGCCAGTCTTTGTGGGGGAGGGGGGGCAGCAGTTTAATTAGGCCACCAGATCACCCTCCCTACCTTCCGGCCTGCTGGCATGGAGGGAGCTCTCCCAACTCTGGAACACATGGGTGTTCCCTGCTCAGGTCTCTCTCCTTTTACAGGCAGCCCGATTTCTTTTGGTTGCAGGCTTTCCTTATTAGTAGAATAATTTGAAGTGTCAGTGTTTTCTGGTTCTTACCAGACACATTGAGTACTGCTTTGATACCAAAAGGAGCACATCACTTGAAGACACAAACAAGTCAAGGTCCACACAGCTTAGAAAATCCCCCCGCAAAGCACAGGAGAGGCAGCCAACCATAATCTGGTTTGATCCTATTGCGTTTCCTAAAAGTGAACTGAGGTAGCATGATCAGAAGCTGAGAGTTACTCTTATCTTTCTGTGATAGGTTGGAGACTTGAAAGCACAGATGCAAACTGGAACGTGAAATGCCAGTTTCACTGATGCAAGGACTTTTTCACATGCTTGAATAAAAGGCAGTGTCAACTTGGGAATCAACAGAGTTGTGAGGCTCTCCTGCCTCCACCAGTTACTGACAGTGTGACTCTGAGCAAGTTACCTAACCTCACCAAGCCTCAGTTTCCTCAGGTGTAATTGGAAGATACCATCTACCTCAAAGGTGGTAGTGAGAGTGTGTAGAGAAGAGTGCAGGGTGACCACTCACAAAACGGCTGTCCCTGTAATGTGCTCCTGACTGTGAGGCCTATGAGGGTAGGGACTGTGTTCCTCTCACCATTATGTGCCCTGCGTCAGGCACTGGCACTGGCCTGCATTGCAAGTGATGAAGAGAAGAGGACTCAAATGAACAGAAAAGAAGCCAAGCCAACTGGAGGCAGATTGGAGGAAAGGTCGAAGTGTCTACTGGGGCAAGGTGGCGTTGACCAAAGGGGCATCTCCTGTCTCTTGGGAGAGAGCCCTTGGCAGGGATGAGAGAGACCACCAACTGAACTCTGCCGCCCTCCCAAGGGAGGACAGGAATTTGTTGTCCAGGGACATGATGGCATGAGACAAAAAGTTCCAGAAACAGACGTAAGTCTCTAAAGGTTTCTGATACAAAGTGACCAAAATAGGCGACATAATGGGAATCACAAGGATATCCTGAGACCTCTTTGCCTAAAACCTCAAAATATAGCCAGACCTATTTTAAGATGAGGGAAAAGAATCCATTCCCTTTAGCCTGCCAAAATCCACCCCTAATGGTATGAGCTAATCCTAGTGATCTGAACGGTGAATTCCTTATGGTGTTTTGGACGGGGGAAGGAATATAGAATGACAAAGACAATAAAATAGCTGGCAATCATTCGGCAGTGCTATTCTAAGACCCTGACCTGAACAGCTGCATGTAATCCCTGTGACGGCCCTGTGAGGGAGATACACTGTTCTCATTTTGTAGATGAGGAAACTGTGGCACAAGGCAGTCAAGTACGTTAAGCGAAGGGAGCATCTCACACAGTTGCATTTTGTACTTTCAAATCTCTAACCTATTGCAGAAAGATAAGAGTAACTCCCAGCTTCTGATGCTGAACTGCTCCTCAGTTCACTTTAAGAAAACGCAATAGGATCAAACTAGATCGTGGCTGGATGCCTCTCATACGCGCTTCGGGGGGGTTTTCTAAGCATCTCCCTGAAGAGCTTCCCTTGCTCTGCCTTTTGTAAGCCCCCCTCTCTTTGTAAGCCCCCCTCTCTTTGTAAGTCCCCCCTCTCTTTGTAAGCCCCCCTCTCTTTGTAAGCCCCCCTCTCTTTGTAAGCCCCCCTCTCTTTGTAAGTCCCCCTCTTTGTAAGCCAACCCTTAGGCCTTGATCATTTTTGTCCTCACAAATATTTTAATATTCCTAGGCTGTTTATGGTGTTGCTTGCAGATAGGTCAGTTTTATGCTTCCTGTCATTTTATGTAGGCACAAGAAAATGGTTTCTTATCTACAACGCCACAGGTCTAGATTCCCTCCAACTACAGGAAAGTAAGTAGTTCCTTGATTTGTCATTTAAAAACCTGCTCAGGAGGAAGGTGATGGAACCAGCTTGTCTTACAGACTGTCAAGACATTAAGCACTTGGCTCATATCGGAGGAAAATGAGCTACTGAAAGGGTCTCCTAGACCAATAAATCTACTGAGCTCATGATCATGAATCCCGGGGCTTCAAAACTAGCTCCTACTCTTATGGTCGCTACACGTGTTCACAAGAAATGGACTCCCTGAGAGCTGTTGGATGACAGCCTCAAAAACACTCCTCTTGGTGTAAGTGCGGCTGAGTCTAAGAAGTAAAGAAAAACAAAGGTGCATGGAAAGGAAACATCTCCTGAACCTACTACAGGCATGTTCCATTACTGAGAAGTAACAGATCGGGAGTGCCCAGTACACAGTGCGGTTGTGTGACTCTTGAATTCCTGGGCTGACCCAATTCCTGTGGAGCTTTCCTCTCAGATCCCCCAAAGGCTGCCAACTGTGGAGCTTCAATCTTGGTGGACCAGGCACACCAATCACCATTAAAAGGAAGGGTCTGTGATGAGAGAGAGGACATAGGACACTCTCCTAGTTTCCCCACACATAAAATATTTCCACACCAGGTACTCACCAGCAGACTGTAGAAGAATTCATGGACAAAGAGCCCCATGGCACAGATCACCAGATACAACAAATGATAGAGGAACTCAACATCCAGAACCATGGCTCGGTAGCCTCTTGTGAATGTCCCACAGTTGCCCACAAAGCTCATTAGAAAGATGATTTTATTGCATACCTGAGAACAATGACAGGAACAGTCAGATGGCACGGACTGTGCCAAACTCTTCATGAGAGCAACGAGAGCATCTCACACAAATGTATTTCAGTCACCGTGCCCAAACAAACGCTTCCTTTTCCACCCGGTGCCCACCAAACCCGCCAAGACCCATTTGCAGATCTAAGTCATTTCATTACTTTGCTTTTCAGGCATATTACAAATTACATGGTAGTCAAATAACTTCATGCGCAACAGTAATCAAGTAGCATTTCTCTATGGCAAAAACAAAATTAACACATACTGAGATTATGATTTTCAAAATGAGATATGAATCATTTCTAACATTCTTGTATGAGTTAGTCAAACACAGAAGTCACCTCAATCCACGAACCCTGTGATCAGCATGATCAAAAGCATTTTCTGAATTTGTTACATTCTAGGCACTGTAAGGTGGCAATTTAATGAGCAGTGATCAGTTCTTGCCTTTCAATGCTCCTAAGTTCACAGGGAAAACAACAATTTTCTTGGGGGAAAAAAAATATAAGGGACTTCAGGATGAGTTCTATTCCCCTGCCCTCTCTTCTGGGAATAACTTCTAATTTTCCTTTGGGGACCATTCCTCTCTGAGTAGCAGTCTTTGAGGTCTGGGTGGGGCTCCAACCTGGCCATCACAATATTGTATTCCCCTGGGTACAATGACTGGTTTAGAGATAGACACAGGACCAAATGGAGCCAATGATGTCCACTGAGCTCTTTCTTGGGATTGCAGCCAAAGATAATTTTGTTCTTTCCCACTGACCTTGAACCTGAGCAGCTGTGAACTCTGGAGCTGCCACATTACCAACACTGAAGGCACCACCAGCACTGGGGACACAGAGCCAAAAGATGGCAAGGAGGAACTGGGCCCTGAGGACACTGTGTGAGCCCCTGTATCAGCTGTGCCTGAAGCGAGGCTGTTGGTTTCTTGGTCAAAATGAACCAATACATATTCTCCTTTGCTGAGGCTAGCATGGATTAGGTTTTCTGACATCTGCAACTGAAGGAGTCCTAACTGAACTACTGTGCAATATAGTCTCACCTTTGATAGAAACCCCAATGCCTGGAAGTCCATCTCTAGCAATATGTTGACAGAAAAACTTGGCTCAGGAGGAGGCCAGAGAGGGACCTCTCTGGATGCACTTGGTAAAACCATCTTCTGCTACTCTAGCTCCCTTGGCCACAGGTGCGGGGGAAATACTGCCAGTTAATCTGGTAGGTCGGTGTAAGTGAGCTTCTCGGCAATCAGATAAGCGAGGAAGCCGACACCCACAGATCGCTGCTGGCTTTCTCAGACAGGCTAAGCATTCAATCTGCCAATTTTTTCCAAAATTCTCACCTTTGCTAGTGGAGGGGATTTCAGAGGGTGGGAAAGTATCACTGATTCTGGATGATCCATGATGATGTGGTTTCAGGGAGAGGCAGATGGTGCCCTGGGTGACATCACACATTACAGCACCTCAAACACACCCCAGATCCTGCCAACTTAACAACAGGGTGATCCACTTCACCTGAGTCCATTCTCCCCTCTAACTTCTGCCCTAGTTTTCTCCATTGCTTCCCCAGGAAATAGCTGCTATTTGTGGTCTCAGCCTGCGGCTGGACTCTGCTTGTTAGTCTTAGATCTGGCTTCCATCCCCACCTCTCAACAGAGACAGCTCATGTGAAGTCTCCAAGGATTCTGCGCACCCAGCAGTCTTCCCGTCTGCTCTTAGCATCTTTCCCAGCTCCCTGCGGCGTGACAAGTCTCCCAGCGCACCCTGCTCACCACTCTCCCAGCTGGGCTTTAGGACCCCACCTTCTCCTCCTCCAGCTCTCAGAACTCCAATATTCTCTCTCTGTCTCCGTCCACAGGTACTTTCCCTCTCCCATACATTCCATGTGGGTGTTTCTCTCTTTTAAAATTCACTCTAGGCGGGGCATGGTGGCTCACGCCTATAATCCCAGCACTTTGGGAGGCCGAGGCGGGTGGATTGCCTGAGCTCAGGAGTTCGCGACCAGCCTGGGCAACACGGTGAAACCTCGTCTCTACTAAAATACAAAAAATTAGCCAGGCATGGCGGCACACACCTGTAGTCCCAGCTACCTGGGAGGCTGAGGGAGGAGAATTGCTTGAACCCAGGAGGCGGAGGTTGCAGTGAGCCGAGATTGTACCACTGTACTCCAGCCTGGGTGACAGATCGAGACTCTGTCTCAAAAAAAATGTAAAATAAAATTTACTCTAAATAATTATTTATTATAGCTGTTTGCCCCCTACCAGCTTATGTTGTTGTAAATGGTAATTAATTATCTCAGTTGAGTCTTTCCCCCAACTGATTTGTGTTAAAGAAGTGATAACTGTGGAATGATTATCAGAGAAGGCCAGAGAAGAAAAGAACTAGACAGCCCATAGAAGACAGCCTCTGAAATACTGAACATTTTTTCTACCTAGTTGTTTATGTAATTCTTTTGTATTTCTTTCTTAAATGGTTTCCTCTCACTGCAGGCAATCCCTACATTCCCCTCCCCACACTGATCTCTCTCTGTAGTTCTGGTCATGTATTTCCAAATGCCGCAGCTCACGTTAACAGCGTGTCTTTCCACCTGAAGCCCAGTAGGTCAACGATGTAAATGCATTTTCACCCTGAAAAACTAAATCTTTGCATGACTTCATTTTAGATGGCCACATTATTCTTCTCCCAATCATTTGTGACTGAAAATTTGGAGTCATATTTGCCTCCTTCATTACCCAATCAAGACAGTGATACCCTCTTTGTCTGAAAAAGGGACCCAGAGTGGCAGTATGGTTTGGTTCTGTGTCCCCCCCAAATCTGTTAACTTGTAATCTCCAGTGTCAGAGGTGGGGCCTGGGGGGAGGTGACTGGATCATAAATAGTTTAGCGCCACCTGTCCCGGATACAGTATAGTGATAGAGAGCTGGTTGTTTAAAAGCGTGTAGCGCCTCCCCATCCGCTTCCTCCTGTTCCAGCTCCAACTTTGCTGCTTTTACTCCGCCATGAGTGAAAGCTCCCTGAGGCCTCCCCAGAAGCAGATGCTGCCATGCTTCCTGTACAGCTGCAAAACCTCAAGCCAATTAAACCTCTTTTCTTATAAATTACCGAGTCTCAGGCATTTTATAGCAATGTGAGAACGAACTAATAGAAGCACATTGCTTTCTGGGTGGGGTAAGGCTCTGACTCTGTGCCCACCATGTGTTACTATTTCCTCATCTCTCTTTCTCTCTTTCTTTCTTTCTCTTTCTTTCTTTCTTTTTTTTTTTAATCAGTCTCATTCTGTCACCCAGGCTGGAGTGAAGTGGCACCATCTCAGCCCACTGCAACCTCTGCCTCCCAGGTTCAAGAGATTCTCGTGCCTCAGCCTCCCAAGTAGCTGGGATTACAAGCATGCATTACTATGCCAGGCTAATTTTTGTATTTTTTTTTAGTAGAGAGGGGTTTCACATGCATACTGGCCAGGCTGGTCTTGAACTCCTGGCCTCAAGCAATTTTCCCGCCTTGGCCTCCCAAAGTGCTGGGATTACAGGCTTGAGCCACGGTGCCCAGCCTGTTTCCTTCCCATTTCTGACGTCCATACCTTCCTTCTTTCTTCTACACTATGTCCAAGACTCAGGCTTCTCAAACCTAATCAAAGCGTCGCTACAGCCCCTAAAAAGCCTCCTTGCCTCTAGTCCCTCCTGATGAATCCACATAACAAGCCATACTGAATGCATTTTCTCAAGAATACTTCTTTGTATGGACCATTTCTTGGCTCAAAAACACCACAGGCACTTTCCACTACTGGGAACAGAGTTTCCAACATACATTCTATACAACACTAATCTCAAGTGATACTTACAAAAAACTGCAGGAAAATAAGTTTGGGAAACAGAAAGACACTGTTTTCCTTGGAGGTTCCTAATCCATATTAGTACATTAAAGTCTGTGAGGAAGCCTGCAGTAATGAAACCTTTCATTGTGTTTACCTCAGCATTTTTCATGCGGATTCAATCACGGAACCCTTTTTTCACCTCATATTTATCAACGTGGAATATGCTCTGGGAATGCTGACCTGGGGGATGAAGTCCAGTTGCTTTATCCTAAAATTCAGTGCTGCAAGTGACTTACACAGGATCAGTTCCTACTGATCACTACTGAACCACGAATGAGGTGAAACTCTTTATTTATTGTCTGTTGATAACATCCCGAGCTTTCCCACTGTTCTGCTCTGGCCTATGGGGCCCACGAAACCAAAGAACTCTTCTCAATCCCCGCTTCATGGCCAGATCCTCTCCATTCCCTTTTTTTTAAAAATTATTTATTTATTTGTTCATTTATTTATTTTTGAGATGGAGTCTCCCTTTGTCACCCAGGCTGGAGTGCAGTGGTGCCATCTTAGCTCACTACAACCTCCACCTCTCAGGTTCAAGTGATTCTCCTGCCTCAGTCTCCCGAGTAGCTAGGATTATAGGCGCATGCTACCAAACCCAGCTAATTTTTGTATTTTTAGTAGAGATAGGGTTCTGCCATGTTAGCCAGGCTGGTCTCAAATTCCTGATCTCAAGTGATCTGCTCACCCTGGCCTCCCAAAGTGCTGGGATTATAGATGTGAGCCACCGAGCCTGGCCCTCCATTCCTTAAGCCCTAACTTCCATCCTGCCTCCTCCCCGCTGTAAGCTTTTCAGCTTGACATGACCTGTTCTCTAAAGTCCTTGCTGCCTGTGCCATTTGAATACTCCCTTTGGGGCTTTTGCTGTTGCACTGAATTACTATATTATTTTGCGATATCACTTCCAGTTTTGCATGGGACCTCAGCTTCCTTATATACTCAGGGCAGAAACCCCTGGAAGGCATTTTTAGATCCTCCAGTGCCTCACATGTCCAAATTTTCTCCTTCCCTTCACAAGGAAACCTCTCCAATGTATGGTTTTATATCAGTTTGTCCTAAGAATTCTCCCAGAGATGAAATTGGCTTCTATCTTTCAATGGTAGTGAAACAGCATTTCTAAATGTCACCACTGACTTTTAAAGAATTGTCTCTGCTTCTCCTCTTCCCTCTCCACCTGCCCTGTCTCTGTATTTGGCCAGGCCCTCTTACCTATCCCCTCTTTTCTATGTGGCCCTTTCCAGAAGTGGGTACGGTGTTAATATTTGATCATTTCACTTATTGTCTAAAATCTTCTGTCCCAACAAACCTTTGACCAGATTGGCAAAACTAACTTAAATCTCAAAGCACTACCACTTTTTCTGCCTATCTCCTGACAGGGATAGTCCCTAAAAGTGAAAGTGCTGATGCCCAAGGGATCCATTACAAGGCTCACTGCACCACGCGGAGGTCAAGAGGGAGACGTCCACCTGCAGCCATCCCCTGCTTCTGGCTATTTAAACAGTTGCCCCAAACAATAATTTTCTGGACTGAAAGCACAGGCCAGGATTCTAGAAACCAGAGTGCAAGGCATTCCTATTAATCTGCAAACAAAACAGTGGCAAGGAAGGTATTCACACTTACATTGAAAGCGCCCAGAAGAAACAACGTGGGTTGTAACCCGACTGAAAATATCAGTCGTAGAATTGTGGAGGCAATTAAGGCCCGGATGCCATGGGGCTTGGGGAGGGCAATGACGATGGCCAGAGAGATGAGCATGGCTGTCCACAGGAGTCCCGACCAGTGGGGCTCCAGGGTTCCTGCAAGGACAAAACAGGGTTCTCTCACAAATCTGTGCCTTCACTGAGTACAGGGGACAGACCTAAAACATGCACTGTTACAGATTCCTCAATAACTTTTTTGGCTTACCAGTCCCAACTCTCACCTCAAATTCTCTGCCCCATCCATAACCAGTCCCATCAGCATTTTTTGACCTCCAAGCCTCCACACATGCTCCTTCTGCTGGGAAGTTCTTCCCTTCTCATTCATCTCAGGTCTTAGCTTTGACATTACTTCTTCCAGGAAGCCTCCCCCAATCCCCTTCCTCCCCACAAAAACATGTCAGGAGTTCCCTCCTCCTCCGTACTCCCTGCTTCCAGTCATCCCTACAGGACACTATTTCCTAATGGTCAGTTTACTTGTCTCTCTCTCACCAGATTGCACATTCCCCAGGGGAAGTACCTGGTGCCTGGCAGGTACTCACGAAAAGCTCGTTCGAGAAATAAAACTCATGCATGTGTCACACTTCACTCAAAGAAGGCGACGTGGAAGCCTAAACTTAATTTCTATTAAAAGTATGCAAAGGAAAACTGCAGGTCCCCTGCCTGAATCAGATTTCTCCAAGGGAAGGAGAAAGGCAACTTCCGTGTCATGAGCATCATGCTACAATTAGATTATCCCTGCAGTCAAAGAGCTTATACCAATTTTTGTCATCTCTTGCTACTGCAAGTTCTATTTAGAGTGTCCCACGAGACGGCTTGGTTATATAACATGAGCCAACACGGCTAAAAATATAGTTCTGTAAAACACTCATTAAAAAAAAAACACCCCTATTTCAAATGCTGTCACATTTTGAGTCTCCTTCAGATGTAAACAAGCAGCACTACATGATTAAGGCCACTTATATAAAGGAGCTTCACTTCTTCAGAGATGCTTGGATTGTGGCACCACTGGGGAGGAGACACCTTTGCAGGGCACAGCTCTTCCACCAGCTGCTGGCTGCCCTAGTTCATTGAGTCCACGCCTGCGGAGATTCAGCCTCACTTTAACAACTGTTCCCCCCAGCCCAGCCACTTACCTCTTCCCTTTTGAAATCCTTCAAAAGGCAAAGCTGATTGGGAATGGGGACAAAGAGGCAGAGGTTTCTCAGAAATTCAAGAAGTGCACATTGAGGCACATGTGCCGCTTTCTACGCATTTAACAATTGTTAGACATCGTGTCAAGCCCTTGATGTTGATGATCATTTATTCATCCTACTGTCCCCGGTCTACTCTAAAGGAAACTGAGTCTCAGGTTACATTTCTTGCCCAAAGTGATGCAGCAAATGGCTGCAGACCATTTGCCTCTGAAGTCGATGGTCCTTAATCAATATTTTAAAAAATCCATGCATTTTAAGTGTAAAATTTGGTGAATCTTGGCAGTTTATATAGTCATGTGACCACCGCATGTAATTGTCACCACAGTCAAGATACAGAACATTTTTATCACTCTAAAAGTCTCCTTGTGCCTCTTTGCAGGTGATGCCTTGCCCCATCCCTACCCCCAGCTACCACTGATCTAATAGTGTCAGTCCCTATAGCTTTGCACTTTCTAGAATTTCATAAAAATGGGAAAATAATCCTATCAGGTAGTCCTTTGTGCTTGACTTCTTTCACTGAGCAAGTTTTTAAGATGCATCCAGGTTACCATGTATGTATTGATACTTTGTACTTTTTATTGCTGACTATATTATAGTATGGATATATTACAATTTATTTGTCCAGTTAACAATCAATGAGTTTCCAGTTTGGAGTGATTACAAATAATGCTACTAGAAACATTCATGTTCAATTCTTGGAGTGGACATATTTTCATTTCACTTGGACAAACATAGAGAAGTAGAATGTTGGATCCTACAGATATGTTTAACTTTAAAAGACAATACCAAACTGTTTTCCAAGGTGAATGTATCACACTGCCTTCCCACCAGCCGTGTATGACAGTTCCATCTGATCCACAGCATCACCAATACTTGGCAGTGCCCATCTTTTTCATTTAGTCATTCTAGTAGGTTTGCAGTGGTATGGTGTGGTGATTTTAATTTACATTTCCCTGATAACTAGTGATGCTCAACATCGTTTCATGTGCTTACTGGCCATTCATACATCTTCTTCTGTGAAGTGTCTGATCAAATGCTTTGCCCACTGTTTTAATTGAATAGTTTTTTTATTGTTGAGTTGTAAGAGTTCTTTACATATTCTGGACATAAGCTTTTTATCAGATATATATTTTGCAACTATTTTCTCCCAGTCTGTGGCTTATCATTTTCTGAAATGCTTAATGCCATTTTAAATGGACTCTTAAGATGATCTCAGTATCATCAATGTGACCAGTACAATGTATGTCCCAAATCCTGAAGAGGCCAATGTAAAAATGCTGTCTCCTCACTATAACGGCAGTGTTAAAAAACATAGTGCTAGATTCCAAAAAATCAACTCTAGAAAGACATCTTTGAGACAGTTGGAGAAATCTGAATTTGGGCAGGCTATTACAGGATTTGCTGTTAGTTTTGTTAGATATGATAATGGCATGGTGATTATACATATTTTAAAATGTCCTCATAAGTTATACACTGAAATATTTATGGACAAAAAATCCAAGATGTCTAGACTTCTTTAAAATGTTTCAGAAAATATAGTATGGGGATAGATGAAACAAGATAGGCAAAATTGTTAAAGCTGGCTGATAGATATATGGTAGCTCATTATACTGTTCTTTCTACTTGTGTGTATATTTGACAATTTCAATAATAAAAACATTTAAAAAGTAGTACTACATTTGCTTTAGCCATCACGGCATGCTCACAAATTCAGTAAGCAATCTGAAGCTGCCTGAGTTGCACGCTTTTGAAAGACTGTAACTTGTCAGTTCTAAAACAAAGGTGGAGGGGCGGTGATACTTTTGAAAAGGAGCTTTTAAGGCCACTGGTTCTTGGCAGTTGCAAACCTTGTAAGCCACAGAACCACACAAAATCAGCACACATAATACGGCCATTATACACATTCAAGAGGGACATTATGAAATCTTGCCTTTAGGATGCAACAAATCCTAACACATATTAGCTCAAAGAAATACTTTCAGGTCAACAAACCAGATCTTGTTTCTAGGCAGGGTTAATACAACTCTTCTACTGAGGATGGTTAGCAGTGAGTATAGGAAATGCCCTCAATGCATCTTACAAAAGGAAAAAAGAATCCCTCTGAGAGTGAACTGATGCACTTAAGGCAGTATCAGCTACTAGATAATGGAAAAGGCTTCCTTGGGTCATATCAGCCTCAGGTCAAATCTCCTCGGAGCTCTGAATTATGCTCTCAGTTTAGTCCCTCAGCATGAAGTTCTAAAGCCCATGATTCCAAACCATGCATCCTTGCCTCCTGCAGACCAGCCTGAGTTGGTGGCTCATTCAGAATGCACCATTTTAGAGTTGGAAGGACCCTCGATAGTCATACCATCCAGGGGATCTCAAGCTTGGATGGGCAAGAAACACATGCTCTGGAGATCTTGACTAGTTTGCCAACTGTTCTTCCCCGGGTTCTACAGGATTTTCTGAAGCCATATCAAAGTTTTCTAACCATGGGCTTAATGTAAACATCTCTTCACATAAAGGATGACAAGGACTTGCTGAAGTGGCTTGCCCAGAGTGGCTTGGCAAATGGGCGGCAGGAGCCAGGCAGAGACCTTAAGTCTCTGGACTTCCTAAGTCTAAGAAAGGCACTGCAGGAGGCTTGTCAATGAAGGGTGGGGGGCTGTTAACTCCCTGTCCCCAGAACTGGCCTGAATGCTGCCACAAATGACCGGTGAAGAAAACAGACGTGGCGAATAATAAAATCTGTTTGAAATATTTTTAAGGCAATGGAGAGTAAATGAAAACACAGACAAGGTAAGGGTTGAATAATCTGCCGTGAGGAACATGACAACTTCCCTGAGGCGAAAGGAGACCTGGGCCTCCTCCGCCGCCGCCAGCTGAGCTCCTCACTAGCCCTCTGCCACGCACTCCTCTGCTGTCTGGCAGCAGGGTTAAGGTGGACATCCCCAAAGAGAAAACCTTGCAGCTCTGGGTTCTAGTCAAATCTTTTTAGACATAGACACGGGCATTCATGTTTCCTGACATGACATTAAAAAAAAAATCCCCCCTGGACTTGTGTTTAGATTGTACTTTTCGGAGCGGGGGCATTCAGATGGTGCCTTCCACGTAACTTAAGGTCAAACAGAAAAGCTAACTCCTCAAAAGGGTAACTTAGGCATATAAGCATTACATAACATCGCTTTCAAGTTGGTCCTTAAACTGACTCATTACCCATACATGTCTGCTTCCGTTGATGTCTGCATGATTAAGCTAAAGAGTGGAGCCTGAAACTTACTCCTGTGTGGTTTTTGGGCTCTTTATCCCATTCTCTGTCACATAAGGTGGTTCCTGGCAGGTTGTTCTATGCGTATGTGAGGTGATCTGCCAAAAAGCTCTGATGAAAAATTTAGCCGGGAGGTGGACCTCCCAGGTGGCTGCTGTGGATGTCAGAAAAGGGGCCATGAATGTATCACAGAAGAGGAGCTTTGAATGCTTGTCGAGGGGCCCCAAATAGCAAAATGCCCACCTCCAAATTGTCTGCCTTTTCTCAGCAAAATGTGTAGCCTGGAAGGAGGTAGGCTGGGGGGAACCCAGAAAGACCATAATCATCATGTTTTGTTATGTGAATAATGGCAGGTACCTCTTAATAGACTAAACATTGTACAGTCTGCAGTCATTCAAGTCCTGCCTCCCCTCTGACCCCTGGCAAAAAAAATATTCCAGAGATTTCTTACAAATTCTTTAGTCTGAAATCAATTCCAGAAGTGCGGTGTGGAAACACATATACTGGACTGAGCATCAAGACGTCTACGTTTTAGGGTTAGCTCTGCCATTAGTTAGCTATGTGACTTTGGCCTGATTTCTTAACTGCTCTGAGACATAGTTTCCTCATATATAAAAGAAGGGGCTGATTAAGAGACTTTCTCACAGGTTTAATAGTATCTAGCTGCTTCTCTTTCTTTCCTGGTTAAAAAAAATGGATAAAAAAGTTAAATTATTTTAAGTTAGATTTAAAACTAAATCTATGGTAACAGCTACAATCTCCTCTTGTCTGAATGTGGATAACTGGGATCCCCAGTACTGCACCAATACATCCAGGAACCACAACTGAGATGCAAGTCCTAGCCTTCCTGCTGCTTCTAATAGGATTTTTGAAGTTAAAGATATGGGTACCTCCTCGGACTCCCTTAAACGGGTAGAAAAACGCCACCAGCAGGTTCATCAGGACGGCCAGGTTAAACGAAATGCTGCTCCAGAAAGACATGTTGCGGGCACACCAGTACAACACGGGCTGGGCTGCAGAGACAAAGGCAAAGCCGCGTGAGGCTGGAGACCCCAAGCCGGAACGCCAGGAATGCAATGTGGCCCTTCCGCCAGCTCTGCCCCACAAGTCCACTTTTGTTCCCGGTTTTTACCACAAGAGTAAAAATGATCATTTGTTTGGAACTTGGTACATAATGACATCAGATTGGTTTATTTCTGTGTGGAGTACTTACTGGAACAGAAGATGTATTGGGGGTGGAGTAAGGAGAGAGCAAAAAGAGAAAAGTTGGAGCATCTATAAACCCTGCATACCCCAGCCGCAGCCATCAGTTGCGGAATCTGGGGGTTATCCAGAGTTCACACATTGAGTCCTCGGTTCCCCCTAGGGCTCTGGGACCAGATGAGATGCCCGGAGAGACCCAAAAATTCAATTAGCTTTTTAGAAGTGTGGGGCACTGGGGAGGGGTGGGGGAGATACAGCATTCAGAGTCAGCCCCGCTGGGCCCCAGACTAGGGCTGGTATCATTTCCACATTCCTCTCTGGCTCAACATGCTCCACTAACACGCCAGTGCCTAAAAGCAAGACAATGATTCCTTTCCCGGCATTGAGTCATCTGCCATTTCCCTGAAGTTGGATGATCATTCTTGAGGACAGGGAAGCGAGGGGTACAAGTTGCTGACCTCGTGGTCAGCAGCAGAGTTCCCATCTCCAGGGCTGTGGCAGAGAGAGGATGTGGCAGCAAAGCCATCACAAAGGGGCAAGAGACAGAGACGCTTTGGACATTGCTGCCACCTTAATCCACCGCTGCCCACAGGTTATCCCACGCTGGCCGGGCATTCTCAGTCTTAGAACAACAAACACTTGGTTACAGGGGTGCCTTTTTCCCTGAACTCTTTTTCAGTGGTGCTTTACACTTAGGGTGATGCTCCAAAATAGACATGGTAGGCATAATTTCAGTGTCCATGTCACAGGCAAAGTTTCCAAAAGACAGTCTCATTCCACATCATCCCCCTCCAGAGAAAAGCATGGAGTACGTGAGAATGGATCTCGATCGTATATTTCTTTTTCCCAATGAAGTCATCATGTAACTTTGCGACAGCAGCCAATGACAAATCCAACGGCCTTATAATAATGCTTGTAGCAGCAGCCAAGCCTTTGGGAGCTTCCAACCAAAATAAAATTATGGTACAATTAAATAGAGCCCTGGGTAATTTATTAATCGCCCATATCATGTTTGCACTTGGTAACAGGCAATGTTTCCAAACTGTAGAGTTTTAGAGCCATGAGCAATCATCTAGTTTAAAATCCCTCATTGTATAAATGAGGGAAACTGAGGCCCAGCACAGGGCAGAAGCAGTGGAGATCTTGTTATCCAGGTTAGTGATCCTCTGGGGTCAGCGGCAGGGATAAAAATAAATGACCCATGTGACAATTGAATGGGGGGCCAGCCAGGACCCAGTCAACCACTACGTAGCAATGTACTTTCTTTGGTAAGTTGATTGCTGAAGCAAATTTAAGCTGAGACATTTATCTGCTCTAGAAACAACAGCTATTGTGTTTCTTCTGGGACTGAAGCCCATTTCCGATCTGGATATGTAAACTCCAGAAGAGGACAGAAGAGATGAATGGCAAAGAGTTGATAACCGCTGAAGCTGAGTGATGGATATGTGGGAATCTGAAATATCCTCTCCACACTAGTGTGTGTATAAAAAGCTCATAAAACAAAGTTGGGGGGAAGAAAAGGATCTGGCAAAGCTCAGTGATGGTCTGTGTAAGCCAGCATTCGTTTCAGAGGGAGTGCTCCGTATCAAATGTGAGTGCGTGTACTGCAGGATACGCTAATATGATTGTAATAAATGGTCTTCAACTATGGCATATAGTTCATGAAATGAATCTTATTTTTATAAGGCTAACATTCTACTTAAGTTGTAATGTTGTTTTCAATCTGGACAAACATTCAGTCCTTCAAATCAACTAGGTATTTATCCAGGTGCAAGAAGATACTTAGAGACCAATCTTGACATGCAATGTCTTTTATTTCCTGTGGCACATGGAACTATGTCCCTATCTACCTTTCCAGACACTTCTCCCACTCCCCTTCCCCATATACTCTGCCTTTGTATCCCAATCTAGTGGTGGTTCCCGAACACACCCCGCACTCTCCAGCCTCTGCACACTCGCTTTGTGTCAATTTAAAAATATGTTCATGAATTATTTGATCCTCCTCCCTTCAAGTGGTACATCTTAATTTCCCTTCCACTTGAGTATGGGCTGGACTTAACAACCTGTTACTAATAAATAAGAGTAGAGTGAAACTGCTGGTTCATGCCTTCTGAGACTAGGTGATATTAATAAAAACACTGTGGCTTCCTTCTCCTCCCCTCTCTCTCCCTCTCCCTCTGTCTCATCAATAATTTGCTCTGAGGAAATCATCTGCCATGTCATGAGGATGCTGAAGCAGACCTATGGAGAGGTCCGTGTGGAGGGGACCTGAGGCCTCCTGCCGACAGCCACGTAAGAGCACCAAGGAGCGGACCCTGTAGGTCCACTTAAGCCTTCAAATGATGGCAGCCCTGGCTGACATCCTGGCTACAACCCCATGAGAGACCTGAGCCAGAACCATCCAGAGGAGCCACTCCCAAGTTCCTGACCCCAAGAAACTGTGAGGAAATAAACATTTATTGTTTTAAGTCACGACATGTTGGGGCAATTTGTTATACAGCAATAAAAAGCAACTAACCTACTTTCTGTGGCAGCCAAATAACGTGCCCCCCTCCAACATGTTGACATGTGAATCATTAGAACTTGTGAATGTGCTACCTAACCTAGCAAAAGGGGCTTTGCAGGTATGATTAGGTTAAGGATGTGAGGTGGGGAGGTTGTCTTGGATTATCTAGGTAGGTCCAATGTGGTCACAAGTATCCGTGTAGGTGAGAGAGTGAGAGAGGGAACAGGAGGGTCAGTAGCACAGCATGAGAAATGCTCTACTGAACAATGCTGCTTTGAAGGTGGAGGGAGGGGCCGGGGGCCACAGGTAGCCTCTAGCAGCTGGAAAAGGATATGGCCTTCAGAAGGAACACAGCCCTATCAACACGTTGGTATTAGCCCAGCGAGAATCTTTTCAGACTTCTGACCTCCAGAACTGTAAGATAATCAACGTATGTTGTTGTAAGCTTCAAGCTTTGTGGTAATTTGTTATAGCAGCAATGGGCAACAAATACATCTCCCCATCCCCCAATCTCTCAGGCTGTGTCTATTCAAGTCCTACAGACCTTTCTAGATGCTACTCAAATCCTACCTTTTCTCTGAAGCCTTCCTTTCTTGTACTTCCATGCGTCAATGCTTGATTACAGCTCTAGTCACAAACAGCTTGGTATTGCAGCCACTTAAAAATATGCCGTTGTTGTCTGCCCACTTCAGATAGTAAGTGCCCACAGGAGGAGTCATAGCTTACACACTGTTGAATTCCTCACTGTACCTTATAGCAGGGGTCCCCAACCCTGGGGCCGCAGACCAGTTCTGGCCCATAGCCTGTTATGAACTGGGCAGCACAGCAGAAGGTGAGCAGCAAGCGAGCATTACCACCTAAGCTCTGCCTCTGTCACATCAGCAAGGGCATCAGATGCTCACAGGAGTGTGAACCCTATTGTGAACTGTGCATGTGAGGGATCTAGGAGGCTGCACACTCCGTAAGAAAATCTAATGCTTGATGATCTGAGGTGGGACAGTTTCATCCCCAAATCATCCCTCCGATCTGTGGAAAATTGTCTTCCATGAAACCAGTCTCTGCTGCCCTAAAGGTTGGGGACCGCTGCCTTACAGCACGTTTTCTACTTATCAGGGGCTAAAAGTTGGTTGGATCAATATACCTGCTACATTATAGCAAAAAGAAGGAGTGCTGTGATCCTGGATTGGCAAGGCAATTTAAATAACCACAGCCTAGGGCATCTCTTGGTAACATTCTTTCCTAGTTTTTTGTTTGTGTTTGTTTGAGAGGAACGGGACTTTACTGGAAGGCTTGGACTCCATATACACTTACGAGTGGGATAATCACATGGGAAAACCTCATGCAAGAAAGTGTCAGCACATTCAACTCTGCCTCGATTTCCTCTTTCTTTCTCTCTCTTCTCATTTTCCTAGCCCAGAGTTTTCACTTCACTGGGGATAGGATCTTCAGGAAAGGATATCAGGGAGGGATGGTGAGAGAGAGGATGTGAGTGCACAGAAGACTATGTGTGTGTTCTAGAGTAAATAAAGCAGAGAAGAGAGTTTATGAAGCTCAGAGCAATTGCATATTTTAATCTTGCAGAAGAAAATACTAAGCCCCATCAGTCTCAGACGGATCTCACTACGTGTCTGAGTCCTAGCTGCAGATTTACTGAAGAACAGATGATCCTCTGCAATACATTCAGGAAAAGGTAAAACAGCGAAATGAATGAGCCTGAAAAATTGATTCTGCAGACTTATTAGAAGAGATATAAGCTACTTAGAGGGGAAAATGCATTTCATTTTAATTGTATTTCCGATGAGTACATTTCTCCCTCCCCAAGTGTGCAAATCATGGTTAATTCAGTTATTATTTTCAATTTCTCTCTTACCAGCAGATAGTTTTGAAGCCAATTAAAATCTTTCAGCTGACAACTGCAGTTGTGCTTAAGTTTCACTGAAATGAAAACTGTTTTTCAAAAAAAGAATGACTGAAATAAGGAAGGTATTAGCTACAATATAATATAAGTCTTGGCATAATGACCATGCTACAGTCCATCAATTAGGTCATCTTAATCCCTCACTTCACAGGTGAGGGTCTGGGAGCAGTTAAGCCATTTGTCCCAGGGCCATGGAGCCTGTTGGGGGCAGAAATGGACTAGAACTGATTCCTCACTCTTTGGGCCTGAGGGTCCTCCTACTATTCCAGGCTGGAGACATTATCTCAAAAAAAGGGATAAGGAGATATCTCATCTCACCAGAAAAGGTGAAAACCTTTTTGTCATCTCCAAAATAAGCCTTTTGGAGAACCTATAAAATACATACATTATACATAAACATTTCATAAAACAATTTATAGAGAATGAATGTATCAGTGTATGTGTCTGACCAATTTCATAGACACATATTCTGATAAGGCTAAAATTACAGCCTATTAACTATCATGGAGGTTTGGATACAAGAACTCAGGATTGGCTGGGCGCAGTGGCTCATGCCTGTAATCCCAGCACTTTGGGAAGCTGAGGCGGATGGATCACAAGGTCAGGAGTTTGAGACCCTCCTGGCCAACATGGTGAAGCCCCATCTCTATTACAAATACAAAAATTAGCCAGCCATGGTGGCATGTGCCTGTAATCTCAGCTACTCAGGAGGCTAAGGCAGGGGAATCGCTTGAACCCGGGAGGTGGAGGTTGCAGTGACCCGAGATCGCGCCACTGCACTCCAGCCTGGGCGACAGACCAAGACTCTGTCTCAAAAAACAAAAACAAAAACAAAAACAAAAACAAAAACAAAACACCTCAGGATTATTCCCTAAAGCTGGAATGATGGAATATCCCAGTGAAGGACAAAAGCAACAGATAAGTTTTCTCCTATGTAACATAATAGCTAGAAAAATGAGGATGAAATGGGTGGGGTCTATGTCTCCCTTTTGGAGTACAGGGTATCTTTTTCCCTCTTATTGCCCAAGCATGGTGCTCTGCAAAAGTTTCCATGTTCATGAGGATCCTGGAGCTGCAAGAGTCTTTGAGGAATCTACAGTAGGCTATGAGGACACTCTGATACCAGGTAGAATTGCACCTGTGTCTCCTGAGGTCCATACCGTGGAGGCCACAGAGGCTGGTCTGCTAATGGTCCCCTGGCCCCTCGGTCAGACACTAGACATGGAGCTGGCTGAGGGATGGATTTGGCCTGGCCAGACTTTTTGTAATGTTTGAAGGTGCTGCACAGGGAGGTGCCCCTTAGAGACGAGCAAGAGTACAGCGGGGCTGGAAGTGAGGTGGGAATGGGACCTTTGGGCGAACCTTCTTGCACCACCTTATCTGCCATTAGCCTGATCTAGGGATGCAGGCAGGTAGGGAGAAAAGGGAAGAAAAAACAGACAGCACTGGTCCGTGCCTGCTCAGATTGGCAGCATCACGGAGAAGACGAAAGCTCTGGGAAACTGACCTCCAACACGGCTGTTCTCCACCCCAGGTCTACCCCTCAGAAAGAGCTCAACACGTCACAACTATAGCTGGAATCCAGTGTTTCAAATAAAAAAGTCTGGCTCCTGATGAACAGATAGAAATCAAGCACGATCCTTTTTAAGTTGGTCTCAACAGCCAGTGCCAAGCACAAGGCTGGTACTGAAGGATCACATTAAAACCCCAGTGAAAACCAGGAACACAGAAGCCCCCTGGGGAAGCCCTACGAATGTGTTTCAGACAAGTAATTTCCACCTGACTGGCTGGGATACTCAATGGGACTCGCTGGTGAGCAATGATGCACCTTATGTGGCAAATGATTCCATTGCCTGTAAAACGATTTAGTCTAAAATCCAAGCTACCCCATAAAAGGGAAAATACCAGAGTCTCTGGAGCAGGTGTGCTAGTAAATGAGCCAGCAAGCAGTGTGAATTTCCTGCTCAAGTGAACCACCCTGTGAGCTCAAGGGCCTGGGCTTTTCCCTTTTCTTTTTATTTTCTAGATAGAGATATCAAAAGAGGCATTCAAAAAGTCTTCCATGGAGCTTTCCAATCAAATCAAGTCAAATTCTGATGAAGGAAGCCTTTTCAGGGGAGTTATCATACTTTGGCTTGAGCCCACTGATCAGCTGCAAAACTGGTTATGACTTCCTGGTGGTCAGAGGTGCAAAGTATCATAAATGATACTAGCTTTGCTCCTGCTTGGAAATGAACGCACCATCAAGCCCAAGTTTGTGAAATCCCAGAACTGTGTCTCTCTGTGTTGTTGCTGATGCGTTGGAACCCACCTCTCAGTTTCTTCTGCCAATTCATTTCATTGAAGAGGTCTTCAGACCGCAGAAAGAAATCATTGATTTTGCTGCCTTGTTCGTCTCTCTCTGTAGTATAGTAAATTCGTAGTTTTGACTCCTTGGTTAGGAATTCACATATGCTGGGCACGGGAAAGACTATCTGTTCCATTGTTCGGTCTAATCTGACAATCTAGGATGAAAAAGTGGATGAGATTAAATATTCATCTTTGAAACCTTTTACTAAGACTATTTGCTACTGGTGGTAGACTCGGTGGTCAAGATTGAGTATAATATGATCTCTGATTTTATAACCCCAAACTGGGCTGTGTGTCTCAGATTTATATAAAAAATAGCTTGGGTAACTCTGGAAGAGTATTTTCCTAACTTCAGATCCATTAACTTTATTTATTTATTTTTAATTTTTATTTTTTTGAGACAGAGTCAGGAGTCTTGCTCTGTCACCCAGGACAGAGTGCAGTGGTGCGATCTTGGCTCACTGCAACCTCTGCCTCCTGGGTTTAAGTGATTCTCCTGCCTCAGCCTCCAGAGTAGCTGGGATTACAGGCACGCACCTTCACGCCTGGCTTTTTTTTTTTTTTCCTCCAGTATTGACAGGGTTTTACTATGTTGGCCAGGCTGGTCTCAAACTCCTGAGCCCAGGTGGTCTGCCCACCTCAGCCTCCCAAAATGCTGGGATTACAGGCGTGAGCCACTGTGCCTGACCTAATTTTAATTTTTTTATATAATCCAAGACAATGATGAACCCATGAATTCTTTTTTTTTTTTTTTTTTTTTTTTTGAGATGGAGTCTCGTTTTGTTGTCCAGGCTGGAGTATGGTGGTGCGATCTCAGCTCACTGCAACCTCCACCTCCCTGTGAACCCATTAATTTCTAAGGTGACCAACTTTTATCTGGATCAATTCACTCTGTGTTTTGTGTGCATATTCACATGAGGCTGGTGCTATCCCTAGAACTTTCTGTAATGATGGAATGGTTCTGTGTCTGTCCTATCCACGAGGACAGCCGCTAGTCACGTGTGGCCCCAATCACTAACACCTGTGGCTAGTGCAACTGAGAGGCAGAATATTTAATTTTATTTAATTGTATTTAAATAGCCATACATAGCTAGTGACTATCATGTTGGAGAGTACACTGCTAGGCAGTGGTATAAATCTCACTTAAGGCACTTTCTCAGATAGTAACATTGGGTTATTTTTCCTAGATGGGAACTTTAAAAAGAGATCTTTGGTTATATCCAGTTGCAGTGACCTCCTACCTTGTCAAAGGATCTAAAACATACAATACATGAACCAACATGCCTATTTAACTCTGGGGCAGCACTCACTGTTCTTTATGCTGGGTATGTTTGGGCCCCAGGGGTGGACACCTTGCAAGTTTCCTCCATGCACTTCCTAGACTGGCTCAGTCCCCAGAGAGGAGGTACTCTGGCTGGATTGTTCAAATTCTAGCGCACTTGATTGTGTCATAGTCCTGGGAGGTAGTGATTTCGAAAGGGCTATGGGTTACAGTATAGTAGAGGCACAAGTCTCTCTTCTTCCTCCTCAGAGGTTGGAGAAGTCAGGTGAGGCCCAGGATGCAACGTGCTCTACAAGAAGAGCTGGTTCTAGCTCTCCCAAAACCTTTGTTCCCTGATACAGCAAGAGAGGTGACTCAGGTCAAGCTGTAGTGGGAAACTCTCTTAGAGGTGAGACAGGTTCCCACAGCCCTGCCTCCATAAGTTCTGGGGGGTGTGGTCTTTAGACCAGTGGTTCCCAAATCCATGTGGAGATCAGGTTAGTTACCATACTGATTCTTGTCCATAACTCAACCCCATTTAACTGGAATTGTGGTGTGGGGTCAGTGACCAGAACCTGCACACAAGCAGTTCCCCCATGATCTTGGTGTATGCAAGGGTCAGGGATCACCTCTGCCGTCTCCTGCTATCAAGAGCCTGCCTGCTTCATATAGTCAAGTGGACTATGGACAAGTGCTTCTTCCCACTGAAGGAAGATGATCTGAGGTGTGCATCTGGGTCCAGGAGGGAAAGGAGGAGTAGACAAGGAGGCCTCCTGGCAAGAACTGAGTTCTAGACTCCAGGGCTACCCAGCCTAGTTCACCAGAGTGAAGACATTGGGTCTGCATGGAAAGCCCTTGGTAGTAACAAAGTGTCCCTGGCTTTGCATCGATCACTCCCTAGGGAAACCTGAAGAGCTGGGTGGCTGGCCAAGGGCAGGATTTGAGAGCTAGGTCATGCCTGGTCACTTCTCTTTACCATTTAAGATCTATTTGTAACTCTTCCTCAGTAGTTTTAGAATCTGGAGTCAGGAGAACATATTTCAGTCCTTCTAACATCCCTAAAAAGCTAGGTGACCTTGTTCACACCTCTTAAACCTGATCAAGTTTCAGTCTTCTCCCCAGTGAGTCAAGGAGCTCAATGAGATAATCTCCAAGGTCCTTTTCTCCTCTGAAATTCTGTATCACAGACATCTAAAGCTCGCCTTTTAAGGGCTCTAGAGGACAGAGCTGGCCCTTCAGTCAAGCTCCTAGGCATTAATGATAAATCAGATATTTGCTCACATACACTGGCATGGTTGGCTAATCAGTGAAATGATGTGTTTTATTAGGATAGCCCAGAGACCTGAGACATCAGGTCAGAACACATTCTTGAAAAGTCTCCATCATGAACATTTCATATTGCCCAAAGGAGTCTGTCCATTCTTTAAAATCTTTGTTTCAACACTGATATTGAACTTGTGCATTTCCTCATTAGCAAAACACATCATTCCTTACTGCTCAAAGCCTGTAGAGAGAAGTCTGTGTTCTCTTGGATTCTGAAAGACAGTGCAGGTACAAACGGACCCACAGGCTCAGGGACCAGACAGATCAGGATGAAAATTCCAGCTCTGCCACTGGTGGCTGGAAAAGTGACACAGTCTCTCTGAGCCTTATTTCACAGCTCCCCATTTGCAAAATGGAGATACACCAATGACTTTGCAGAGGCTTTGTTTTTTTGTTTGTTTCTTTCCCCCAGAGAAGATTGTAAAGCTTTATTGAAAGAATTTAAGTCACATTTTCAATATAACACCAACATGTGTGGCTTCAGCTTGTCTTCTTTTTAACTTATGGCTGCCCAGCACCTGCTTCTGTAATTTGAGCATTCCCTAGATTAGGTGGAGTCTCCCCTTTCACATTATGGCCATCTCCACACTCACAATGCATCATGACACTTTTTCTTTTTTTTTTGAGACAGCTTGCTCTGTCGCCCTGGCTGAAGTGCAGTGGTGCGATCTTGGCCCACTGCAATCCCCGCCTCCTAGGCTCAAGCCATTCTTGTGCCTCAGCCTCCCAAGTAGCTGGAATTACAGGCGTGTGCCACCACGCCTGGCTAATTTTTTTTTTTTTTTTTTTTTGTATTTTTAGTGGAGAAGGGGTTTCACCATGTTGGCCAGGCTGGTCTTGAACTCCTGACCTCAAGTGATCTACCTGCCTCGGCCTCCCAAAGTGTTGGGATTACAGGCATGAGCCACTGTGCCCAGCCACATGACACCTTTTTTAAAAAAAAAAAAAAAACAAAAAACACAGATCTGATTGTAATGCCCTCTTGGGGAAAACTCTCCAGTGGTTCCCCATTGCTCTGGGGATGCAGCCCAGACTTCTCATAAGGATGGTTGATAGGACCCTGTGAGATCAGGGCTGCCTGCCTTTCCCTTCGGATCTCCCTCTGCACTGAACTCTATGCCCTGAGCCTTGAAGCCTTGCTTAGCCCCTCCGGATCACCTAGAATCTTCCCACGTCTGGGCTTTCGCTTGCTGTTATTCCCCATGTCTGAAAAGTTCCTCTTGCTAGTCTCTACCTGTTTCATCCCTCTGTTCTTTACGGTCTGGGTTCAGATGAAATTTCTTCAGACTAGGCCTCTGTGACCACCACGATCTACAGCAGGTCCCTCTGCTGGACTTTCTTATGATGCCTCCCACCTGTCCTCGTGAATTCGTGAGGAATGAGAGGTTGCTCAGTGTCCTCTTCCCCACCGGACCACAAGCAGCAATAATGACTGTCTTGGCCATGGGATGTCCAGCACCCAGCCCAGGACCTAGCACACAGTACACACTCACATTTCCATTGCTCAGATGAATGAATGCACGCCAGCCCCAGAGCAGGGCATTGCACACTAATGGCCTCAACACAACCCCATGCCCTGAGTTTACTCAGCTTTTACCTCTATCTGCGCCGTGTGCTTGGCATAAAACTCCAGGGCTTCATCTCCGTCCACTTGGCCACCAGGTTTCAGCATGCTCTGAAGTTCTTTGTTATGCCGAGCCAACTAGAATACAGGGACAGAGATACAGGAGGTTGGTGTCTCTTCACAACAGGAACACAGAAACTCCTTTCTCATGTTGGGTATTTAAAAATGCATAATAACCAGCAGCAAGCCAAAGGGCAAAGGTGCCACGAGGCTTGCTCCATCCCATCACGGCGTGCTGTGCACAGGCGCTATTTTGGGAGCTTGGTAGAAAAGCATGGAAAGCTCGTGCCCACACATGGTTCCACTTTCCCCCGATGTCATTAGCCAGGCAGGAGGGAGATGGGGCTTTCTGTGTAGCCTAGGGAGCCTCCATTCGGAATGTTCAGAAACCTTCTCGGTGGCAGATGTGGTCATGGAAGGGAAAAGAGGCAGGAGACTGTTTGAAATTCTTTAACCAGTGGGTGGTAACAGGGGCCCACCAACCTCGGGCCCAATATCATCATTGTTGTGTATCTGGTTCCCGTACCTGAGTTTAAAAGAGGTGGACGGGACAGGAAACACAAGGCTCCAGCAGGGTTACAGCCTGCCCCTACCCACCGAAAGCTCAAGGCACGTCGGCATCCAAAAAGAGAAAGGCTCTTCAAAAACCCAGCCGCTTGGAAGGAGAATTATGAAACATGGCATTTTGGTGCCAGGGCATAAAGTATTGCCGTATCCCCAAAAAGGGAAACAAAAGGAAGTCATAAGGACAAGTTCCCACAGATTTCCAAGTGCAATATGCAAGGAAGCTGAAGTTTATTTCTTTGGATTGTTAAGAGAGGCTCATCAATATTTATAAAAGCCTAAGACTCCTTTCAACTGTCTCCAGACAGAGTCATAAACCATCCAAGTATCACTGCTTGGGGGTGAATGCTTTTAAGAAACACGGGGATTTCCAACTACATGACCCTATCACTGTGGAAAAATGGAAACGTCCTGGAACTCTGCACACTGGGTCAGGTTGCCACGAGCACCTGTGAGCCGCAGGCTCATGAGTACAGACAGTCCTAGGTTAAAGTCATAAAGGAAAAGCAAGACTGGGGGCACCCTCCAGCTCGGAATTTTGGACCTGTAGGGAGGCAGCATCCAGAGGAGGCACAGGAGAGATCATACCTGATGGGCTAATATGTAGATGTTGTGCCCCACGTTCCTGGGGGACGCCGCCCCATCCTCACCGTTTTCTCCATCCTCAAATTCCACTTCACCTTGCATGTAGGCTTTCTTGATCACTTCCACCTGCAAGAAGAGCCAAGGGAACAAAAATCCTGTTTCAAGGAAGACCCACACAGGACTGGATGGACAGCATGCACACTGGCTGTCTCCCCTCCCAGGGAAAAGGCTGTTCCGCACTCTCTCCTATCGGGCTTGGACACAGCCTCAGAATCCTTCATGACACTGGCACAGGCCATCAATACCAATCCACCTCTCCTGTCGTGAGAAATGAAACTCATTCACTCTACTTAGACCAAGAGACATGCTGTGGCTGGTTAATGTCCTTCTTTAGAAGGCAGCAATGGCTTTCAAGCACCTTGAAACAATAAATATGATATGAATGTAGGCTAGAAGCCAGACTTTTCCTATCTCAACATTTCCTCCCACCAACATTTCCCACTCCCAGCCCTTTACCATTTCAGGAAAACCTGATAAGAAGTCTATTCACATTTAGGAATAGCTGGTGAAACTATTTCTTCATTTTTAAAATTTTCCCAGTCCCCAACAGCCTACTCCAAATGAAAATAACAGCACGAACTAGTATTACCTACTGAGTACTTACTATGTGCCAAGGACTGTGTCTAGGTGTTTAACATTCTTTCAAAAAAATTTAATGCTCACAAACATTTATAAGGTATCAGAGATTCCCCTCCTTTTTTTGAGACAGGGTCTTGCTCTGTCACCCAGGCTGGAGTGCAGTGGTACAATCATGGCTCACTATAGCCCTGACCTCCCAGGCTCAAGTGATCCTCCTGCCTTATCCTCCCAAGTAGCTGGAACTACAGGTGTCCACCACCATGCCTGGCTAATGCTTTATTTTTTTGTAAACACAAGGTCTCACTATGTTGCCCAGGCTGGTCTTGAACTCCTGGACTCCAGTGTTCCTCCCACCTCAGCCTCCCAAAGTGCTGCAATTACAGGTGTGAGCCACTGCACCTGTTTCCTTATTTATTTTGTTAGTGGATGAGGAAGTAGAGTCAAGGAGATAAAAGAACATTCCTAAAGTCACAGGTGGTGAGCTGGGATGTGAACTTGGCCCTATTACCCTTCACAGCCGCACGACTCGGCTCCCGGAGGACCACACACTTGGCTTGTCTCATGGTTTGAGCACATTTCTCAGAGCATTTCTGTGCCTGTCTGATTGTTCCCTCAAGTTTCTGTCTCAGTTTCTTGAGAGCGGGGACTGGGTCTGCTCATATCTGAATCCTTCCCCTAAGACCCTCCGCAATGCCCAGGACAATGTAGGGTGTGGCCAACACTTATCAAATGAACACATCATTCATGATTGAATCATTTCAAGAAGAAGAAAATACCTTCAACCTCTAATTTGTACTAAAAATTATAATCTTCTTTGAAGATTCAGTGGGCATTTCTGCCTCCCCCATTGCCACGAGGCCATTCCCATGAATTATTTGTCATTATCTAATACCAAAGGCCACGTATGTCAGCACTGACACCAAGTCAGGCCCTGGAAGTAACGGTGGAGACAAGAGAGCCTCACTGTCTGAGCTTGTTTCCCTGCCAATTCTCTCAAATACTAAATCGAGCAGACAACATGTTACATGCGATTTGAGGCCAGGAGCATACACACGTATGTACGCACACATGCATGTACACACGTGTTCTATTTGGATTCTTAGAACAGTGTTTGTTCCAGGAAGCCTGACTCCTCCTATGAGCCAGAATGATGTTCTCCAACCACCGGGGGGCTGCCCAAGAGCCGGTGCCAGCCACCTCACTGGGTGTTGACATTTTCCCCACCTGAGATAGGTCAGAGAGCTGGGGCATGTTCTTGATTCCTGGGAAGCCGAATGGGGTCCCTGCATAGTCATTCCATCCCTGCTCAAGAATGACAAACCTCGCCTCCCCAGTGATCCCCAGTTACATAAGCTTGTTATGTAAACTCAGAGAGGCCTTCCATCTCGGGCTGAGAACTTACTCCCTGACCTCAGAGATCAAAGAACTGGGCTGCTCTTAACTTTATTTAAAAGCATACATAAAGGGACTTTTGCCTGGCCCCCAAGTGCACATTCAGGTCACCAGGAGGCAGAAATGTTTTGGTGCCCTCATTTAAGTCTGTCAGTTACAGTTTATTAGCGTGGAAAAAGAGTCCAAATAGAGAGCTCTGCCCTCAACTCATGTCACCGTCTCTGAAAGCTGCTCGTCTCACAGCCTGCAACACTCTCCCAACCTGCAAGTCACAGCCAATTGTGACTATCACCCCTCAAAAATAAACCAGATCGTGTTTTCTTTAAATGAAACAAACAAAAAATCCAAACGTCAGCAACCAAAAAACATTTCTGTAGCTCAGACTCTTGGCACCAAGAAGAGACATGAATTCTTCAGCACTGGACAAAGATATGGCTCAAATACCAGCAGCAAACGAGGAAAGAAAAAGGAAAAGGAACTTCCGTTCATTAAGGGTGTATCAGGTGCTGAGCATGGTGCTAGGGCTTGACATGAATCTTCTCATCTAGTCTTCAAAGCAACCCTCTGGACTAGGGAATATTATTATTATTGTCCTTTTATGGATCAGGAAAGTGCAGCTCAGAGAAGTCTAAGGTAACACAGCAAAACAGGCAGAGCTATGGACTTGAACTCAGGTCTGCTAGGTTCCGTAACCACACTGTCCCCCATGAGGGAAAAACAGAGACGGAGGCTTCTCCATGTGGTTTATGCCAAAGGGAGAGGGTAAAACAGCACGTATTCAATGTCATATAGGTTGGTGCAAAAGTAATCGCGGTTTTTGCCATTACTTTCAACGGCAAAAGTAATAGTGGTTTTGCCATTGAAAGTAATAGCAAAAACCGCGATTACTTTTGCACCAACCAAAATATTTCACTTCTCTACTCAGTCAGAGGCCTGAATTCAATGTTCCCTTTATACTTCTGACTTTGGGAACCTTCAAGAAAGCTCCAGGAAGCAGATCCTCTGCTCTGTCCCAAATATCGTCGCAATGCTCCTTGGTGCTACCATCAGATCCGTCACCCGACTCACCAGTTCCTTGGGCCTCATGTTATAAAGTATCCTCTCTGCGTTTTCACTGTCGTGCCTGCTTTCCATGATGGCCAGGAGCAACTTCGAGGCATTGTTCTAGTTGGAGAAACAAAGGGAGAGGAAATGTAGAGGGGCTGCTTGGGGGCCCGGCCTGAATGCAGGTGCCAACTGGCACATGGGAGGCATCCCGGCTAAACAGACGAACATTTCACCCCATGAGGAAGCTCTGGGTTAAGGACATCAAAATCCATCTGCACCAGGCAGAGAGCATCCCCCTTCAGACCCCAGATACGTGTGCAGAATCTGATTTCGGACAAAGAGGCACATATTTGTCAGGGCATGTGTGTTATGCCCTAATGTTAGCTGGTACAAGTCCTAGAAGAAATTGGGAATTTACACGTGGGTGCTTACGGATACACTGTCACCCTCATGGTGACAGTGGTTGGGAAGAAGCTGCTACTACACAGATCTGTGCTGCCTTCCGGGCAGGTGTGGTTACAAACTGTTATTTGGCCTTGCAGGCCAGAGAAGACAGGTAATAAAGGTAATTCTTCCCTGTCTTAAAATATTTCTATTAGCTCTCATAACCCCTAATATAATGAGTACATCTGACACTAGTTAACAAATGTGACCCAAAGGAACAATGTATGCAGGCCAAGCCCTAATTTCCCATTACATTAAAAACACCCATGTTCACACCCCACATCCTGTACTTCCTGGCTTGACTTCATTTTAGGCCCTGGGTCTATGATACTTTGTATGCTTCTTTATGTACAGGACTTGAAAGCTGTTGGGTTTTTTTTCTTTTTTTGGACAGTGAGAGTGGTCTTATTTCTTCCCCTAGTTTAGGTCACAGCAGTTGAGTCAGGGTATCATGCTATCGCAGGGCACAAATTTCTATCATCATCCATAGATCACTGGATTAGTTGAAAAAGTCACTCAAATGCTGACCAGGAGCACATGAACTTCTGTTTATTTCGGACTTTCTGATAAATGGTGGCCAGGTACACAAGGTTGAATCTGTTAAAATTCACTCTAAAACACAATTTGTCAAAAGGAATTAAAAATAGCAGAAAAAAAGTCCATTTAAACCACACACCCAAATCGACTGTTAGTGTGGACTCTCAGTTCTAAATAGTAAAGAAAAAATAACTGCCATTCCCACAGGTTTCTGTGTTCCCATCTTTCCTAATGACCTTTCCTATGACATCCTTCATGCAATAAATACAGCTCAACCTTTCAGCCAAAACCCTGTAGTTCTAGGCTCTTTCATGATAATGATGAAGTGCTCGCTGCTGCGGATGGGCAGATAGAGGACAAATCTCAACATGCCCTGACATGGGAACAGTTAAAAAGGAAATGTGTCCAGAAAGGCTAACATGTTTTGAAATATACTTTAGAAACCTGATGCCTGCAAGCTCAATTGTTAAAACTGAATCATGGGATTCTCAGAGAACCTATGGAACCCCTACATAGAAGGGAGGGTTTTCTGGGTATACTTTAGAAGTCAACATCAGGAATGGTATATCAATTTCTCAAATATCCAAAAAAGGCCAGCTTGGAAATGCTGCAGGTTTAGCACCTAGAAGTCACGATTTTCATTCCGTTAAGCTGTTTGAGTAATAGAGAGTCCAAATGTCAGTGGGGCTTCCACATCAGTCACCTGCAGTCCCGCATTTGTACACAATACAGAGAAACTCAGCAGAGGCCCGCAGGCACATTTTTGGTTTGTGTAATTTTCCTTATTTTAAACCAACATTATTAACCACCCTTCTGCTAAATCAGTGACAAAAGAGAAAAAGGTATTTCCTTGATTAAGTAAAAATACATGTTTGTTTTTTTGGGTTTTTTTTTTTTGGTCCTAGATAGGCTTAGTTGTACTATTCTTCAACCGGCCCTTTTCCCTCAAATGGGGAAAAATCAGAAACCAGAGAGGGAATGGCGTTTCCACTGTTTCTCTCTTTGTGACTTTCAGAACCAAGGTATTTAGTACTCGATGCTGTTGGGATTCACTTCTTAGCTTGGAGCAAGGAATCTTCATTCTGTGTGACCTAACAGTTCAGAAGCTCCTATCCCCTCATGAGATACCTTACGTGGAAGAGAAAGGTTGGAGTTCTGCATCGTAGTCAGCACTAGCAACCTGGGTCATTCATTTAAAGAACTATCTTTAATATTTACTCTCATGACTAATTGCCCATGTGCATGTGCCAAGGCAAAACACAAAAGTGACTGTTTCCAAATGACTGTCTTCTGCTTTTAATTCCTACTTGCCTTCAGTTCTAACACAAGGTCCATCCTCTTCTTTCCCAAAGGATTGATATCATTGAGGATCAGGGCTGTGATGATGTCAATGCCATTGGATTCATGGGTGGCTATGCAGTTCTGAGCAAAGACACACACAGACATTCACACAAACGCTGGTCATAAATCAGACGTCAAAGGCCAACAGGCTGAACTGCTATTTCAACACAATGCTTACCACTCCCAGTAATGTCTCTAGGGGAGAGCTGCAAATTTTCCGTGAGAAAGTGGTAAGAATAAAAGACAGATGAAAATCTCTAGTTTCAGAATTAACAGTAAACAGTAGGAAAGTCCCCATGCACTGTA
The DNA here is from genome assembly GCF_000001405.40 of Homo sapiens. Classification (NCBI taxonomy): domain Eukaryota; kingdom Metazoa; phylum Chordata; class Mammalia; order Primates; family Hominidae; genus Homo; species Homo sapiens. The sequence continues at coordinate 4,777,038 of NC_000003.12, read as the reverse complement.
ACTGATAAATTGGTTGTGTCTAATCCAAATCATGCAGCACAGTTGGCTTTTGTTCTTAAGGGAAAATATGGTGTATGACTGATTCTGGGTTCTGAACCCTTTTTCCCCTTTCAAGGTGTGTTCCATTCTCTCTAAAGCACTCTTTTTGTATTTTGTACTTTAGCTTAAGGCTTAAGCTTGGAAAGCAAGTTTCCTGTTTAAGGCACACAATATCAAAATTAATCATCTGCCCCCAGGTAACATCTCCGTTTGCAGCACAATCCACTCTGATCTGTTCCTTTCAACAGGCCCCTATTTGGCAGAGAAGCAAACTTGAGGTAATAAGGAAATTCACTTAGATGTCAAATAAAGCCTTTCCCCAAGCCTGTTGTATTTTTTTTGTTCCTTTTCATTTTAACTAGGACTACACCATCTGCTTCATGAGGGAACCGGGAGAAGAAAGTGCATCTCACAAAATGCTATTCTCACATTCACAGACAACTGAGACCAGGTTTTTAATAGACAATGAGTTGTCTCTCATAAACCGTTCTCCTCTGAATGAAGGGCCTGGCTCCCCAAGTCACACAAGTAACCTTCCCTGGCTGCTGGGTTTAGCACTGACCATTTGAAGCCTTGGTCGTCTCTCTCCAGTTAGGATGAAGCTATAATTTGGTATTAAAAAACATACTTGGCTGGGCGCGGTGGCTCAAGCCTGTAATCCCAGCACTTTGGCAAGCCGAGGTGGGTGGATCACGAGGTCAGAAGTTCAAGACCAGCCTGGCCAATATGGTGAAACCCCATCTCTACTAAAAAAATACAAAAATTAGCCAGGCATGATGGCATGCACCTGTAGTCCCAGCTACTAGGGAGGCTGAGGCAGAAGAATCGCTTGAATCCAGGAGGCAGTGAGCCGAGATTGCACCACTGCACTCCAGCCTGGGCAACAGAGTGAGACTCCGTCTCCAAAAACAAACAAACAAAACATCATACTCAACCTAGCACAATGCAAAAACTCACAAAATCCTTAAGATGCCATGTATAAGCAATGACTCTACTCAAGACAAGAAGTTATTGGGTTGTACTCCCAAAATATTCTTCTTTGAGAGACCAAAGTCAAGACTATCTCATCTTTCTTTCCCCTGAATGTCCATGATGTTTAAATCTCAACTATAAAAATGTCCTTATATTACTTTCAAGCTGTCTCACGTGTAGTAATTTTCTTCTCTCTAGCTAGGCTTAAACCCCCTTCCAGTAGTCACTCTTTGAAATCCCCTAGTATTTAAAATAGGTCACTGTCTTTTGGTTCTCATTTCACTCCTGCCTTATTGCCTACTCCTAGAAATCAAGTTAAATAGTTGGACATTCAAACCAAATCAAATGAAGCCAAACCTAGCCAAGGAAAGAGACCATGGACTGTCCCTCCAATGTCCTTCATTAGGAAGGTTCTGAAGTATCATGAAACACCATGGCTATTTCTCAACTGCTGGAAGACAGCCTCCTGTCCTACTGACTCCCTAGGCCAACAGGCACAGGCTTCGTGATTTCTGAACTAGTCTCTATCAACATTTCCAAAATGGGACACTTTTTTTCCCCATCCCAAAACAGAAATTTAATTACCTGGTTCTCATGGCAAGGTCCTTGACAGTATTCGGTCAGACTTTCCAGGGTTTGGTTGATAAGCGCTACATTCTTTTCATTTATATACAAGCCCAGAAGACCAAGGCCTCCAGTTGTGCTTCCACAAATACAGTCCAGAAACTGCAGGGTCTCACATACCAAATTGTAGTTGGTCTTGTTATTTTGGCAACGGAGGAAGTTCTGCAATTGGGTAGTCCCCAGGTTCGGTGAGCAAAGGCAGAGGGAAGAGGGAAACGTTATTCATCCTGCCATTCTGATAGCCTCTAATAGGTTGGTAATTATACAGAGAGATGCCACGTGGGAGAGCATGGAAGAGTCAGTATGCCCCCCACCACCATGATGATAAACCCATGGACTTGGTGTATGGCAATGGCCCTCAACAATGCAACCTGCTCTCCAAGGTGTAAGTATATGGAATGCAGTGCAGTTGACTCCTATAATCTTTTTGAGTCCTCATTTCTCCATTCACTTCTTAACCCTTCCTCTCTCCTGCCCACCCCAGCTTCCATCAGGTGTTGAGTTCAGAGGCATCTGACATTTCCAAGGGCGGTGGTTTTGTTTAAAGATGATGGTTTGATCTGAGTGCTGAATGCCCGGAGCCCAGCACTAGGGACAGTTCACCATAAAATGGGGGTGTGATCAGCTGGCTTACTCCCAGTGCCATGTGGCAGGAGCCTGGATTACTTGTTTGGCCATTTCCACGATTAAAGGAAGGAGTGACAGTGAGTAAATGTGTGTGTGCTTGTGTGCATGTGCCTGAGCAGGTGTTCTCCAGGTGAGTTCTAAATGTAAACAAGAGGCACAGATAGGAGCAAGACACTTCCTCAACAAAATTTAAAAAGCCACATTCACCCAACTTGAGAAATAGAGTATTTTAATGAGGAGATTTTTGTCAGAGGCTCCAGTCATCTGTTCTTAAAAAGAAGCAAAAATTAATTATGTATGTTCTTTTCCTCAGTTACCAAAGCGACATGCTTACTGTAAAAAAAATGGGCAATAGGAAAAGATTAAATGGACATGATCTTTGACCCAGTAATTTCCACTTCTATGAAGTATTCACTTCTACTCACAAAGTATGTATTGGATGTCCACTATAGTACTGCTTGTGACAGTGAAGAACTGGAAACAACCTAATTGCGCACCAATTGAGGAGTAAATAAATTACAGTATATCTACATCATTTAATATTATAAATTAGAAACACCGAGTAGATCCCTATGTGCCAATATGGAAAGATCTCTATGACACACTGTCAAGTTTTTTCAAAAAGGCATATAGATTAATATGTAACAAATGTTCCCGTTCCAATATATAGAAAAAGGACTTGAGGATACAGTGTAAATCAACAACCAATTCTCTATGGATGAAAGAGAGGCAACTCTTGTAACTAAATACTTATTTTCATTTGGTCTTTATAAAAAGAACATATCCACACATTCCTTGTATAATTAAAACATTTGTAAATGCACAGGTTAAGAGCTGGTAACCAAGTTCAGTGCTTGACTCATCACCAAACTAACCACCTCCTTTCTCCCCACTACAACTTAACCCAAATCCCTTTTGCTCCATAACAAGTTCAGGTCCAGGTGGGAGGTGGAGGGAGAACAGATGATTTGGGACTGTGTGGGCTCGATTGTTTCTCTAAGGGAAACCAGAGGAGGATTTCACAGCCATTTCTGCCTTGCTCCAGCTCCTCAGGGAAGATACTACCTGTTTGAGGGGTTGGCTCAGCCCTGCTCTGTGCAGGGGCGCTGGAGGAGTGTTTGGGACAACTCTGGAGAGGTCCTGGCTGTCCATGGCTGAAATTCACAGCAAGGCTCTCCTGGCCCATCTGTCTGTCAAACTTCTGTTACTGCTCCCAGTGAATTTAAAAAGGCATATAGATTAATATGTAACAAATGTTCCCATTCGAATATATAGAAAAAGGACTTGAAGATACAGTCTAAACCAACAACCAAGTCTCTATGGATGAAAGAGAGGCAACTCTTATAACATCTGAGAGGCAACTCTTATAACACCTGTCTCTCAAACTTCTGTTACCACTCCCAATGAATTCATTTCATTTAATTGAGATTATTTCAACCAGTGTTTACAACACACTTCAAGCACTCCTCATTCTCTGCCTGGCCTCCAGGCTCCCACCAGGCAATGCCCTCTGCCTGTTGCTCTCGAGGCCTCCACCCTGAATGACTCCTCTTCCTTCAGGATGTGGTCTAAAGTCACTTCTAGGAAGCTCCTCCGACCCCTGAGCCCTACTCCAGTGAGATGGGAGCATCGCAAGTCGCCTCTTCCAGCCTTCCTCACTCCTGTGATGTGCGTACAGAGGGACCGATCAACTCACCAAGGACCACGTTGACAGCGCTGGGTGCCCAGCAGCTGGCACAGGGACTGGCACCTACCAGCTGCATTGTAAACACTGGATGAAATAATCTGAACTAAATGAAATGAATGGAGGGAAGAGGACTGGGAAGTCCTCAAGGCTAGCTGGGCCCACGTGTTTCAAACTCCCCATGAAGACAATGGCTGCCCATTCCTGAAAGCCTCTCCCATCTCTCATGGCTTTCAGAGTGTCTGGACAGAATCTGTCCCAGACTCAGATCCATTTCCTCTGGCCCTCTCCATAAACAGAGGCACACCACTCACTACGAGGCACAGGGAACTCCTTCTTAGAGAAGAGAACTCCCCTTCAGCATGTACCACCCTGCCTTGTCCAAGCTAGAGAAATCCTGCCCTTTTTGCAGTCTTCCTTGAAGAGCCTGGGACCAAGTTGAGATGGGTGGGTTAAGGAAATGGAAGACTTCAAGTCTGTGCTTAGACAGACTTTGGTGGAAAGAGATCAGGACCTGCATTCATTACCCCAGGGGAAAAGCAAAGCCAGCTTCTCAGGGGAGGGTCCCCAAACACATGCCAACTGGCTGAAGAGAGGTTTTTCCCATCACATTTCTGACCACTGTAAACAAGGCTTGCTTAAGGCAGCAACTGCCTGTTTGGCAAAGTGAGACTTGGTGACTTTATCTCTTCTGAACATTTACCAACAGGAAAGTTAAGGTTATAAATATGACAAGCAACTCCGGGCACGAGCCCAAAGGGTGCTGCTGCAAAAGGCCAGATTCCTTCTCCCTCTGTGCTGACTCTGAGCTGCTTTACACCAGGAAGCTGAACACTCTCTCCTTATGAGAATGCCTTCTCCTTCCCTCCGATCCAAGAGGAATCCCTGACCCAGTGACCCACCCCCTGTTCTGGGATATTGCCACAGAATGGCACTCAGAGTGGCTGAGTCCTGCTTAAAACTATTCTTTGGAGAAGTGGATTTCTACACACCATAATTTTATTGGAGGCAAGTCACCACCTGAGAGAATCTGATTTTGCAGGAGTTTTTAAGGATGATTCCAACCTCCATCCTTGTGAACCACTGGTCCAGATCACGGGCTTCTAACTGGGCCCTGCAGAACCCTGGGGGCTCCCTACAATTCCTCCCTACCATCCCAGGGGTCTCGTAGGTGAGGGAGCACTCTAGTTTCCACTCCGAACAGAGCAGCTTTGCTCTCCTCTGCTGTACTTAGTATATTTCAACAAAGGATCCCGTGCGCTCCCCCAAGCCAAAAAGTTTTAAAGCACTGAACTGGATAATCTTTATGATACCTTCAAACATTATGTTGCTAGGTCTTTTTTTTTTAAGTTAAAATATGTTAAAATATACTATACACCCCAACACCCCACAGCACTGTTTCCAACAGAGCAATGCACTGAGGAACGAGTTTTGGAAGGACTTCATTAAAAGGTGCTTCTGTCCATGGGGTTCCCAGGGCATTGATTCAACGGAGAATTCTGCAGAAAGCTAAGGTATAAAACTAAAAATCTGAAGACTTCCAAACAAGAAATGATGAACCTGTGCAATTAAAGCCTTACTCCGCTTTCACAGTGGAAGGAAGTGGGTGTGTGGGCGAGGGAGGGAAGGTCAGGGAGAGAGGGAAGGCGGAGCAGGCCCATACCACCAGAGCTAAGCTCGGGAACAAGCACATTGGCACTGCACCTCTGACACTCATGGAGGGATTCTACTCCAGGCAGTCTTGAGTTTCATAAGCTCAGAACTCAGCAGATGCCACCTCCTCTGAGAGGCCTTCCTGGACCTGCAATGGGTTGGTTCCTCTCTTCTAAGGAGTGGCTGCTTCCATTCAGTTCAAGTGGCTGCTACCCTAGACTCAGCTCTGTGAAGGAAGGGGTGAGGTCCTGTCACCATGGGTGCTGGGCACAGAGCAGGGATTCACTGATATTGATTAAATGACACACACATGCCTGGGCATCATCTCAACCTACTTCCCCTGTGGACTCCAAGGCTGGCAGAGACCAGTGACACCTGCATAGGGGAATAGTACAGGGGCACTGATCACCATGCTCTGCTCAGAAACAGTCCCCAGCATCAGGATTCCCCCACTCCCAGCCACAGAGATGCCAAGCTCAGCCGCTCAGCATCTAGTCCTCTGTGGGTCACTCACTCCCCCTTTGCCTGAATCCCGTGACTAGTGGTAGGGTTATGGAAGGTGGAGGGTGGACAATGTCAGGGAAACAGTGGCCTTCAGATAGAGGTTATCAGCCAGTGAGATGGTAACCAGGCCCTGAGCATTTGAGGCATAAGTGCTTTGCTCCACCCAACTGGACTACACAGTCCTGGCAAGAAAATCTAGGGCTGAGGTGTTCTAACGCCCCAAAGAGGAAAGTCTGAGCAACTGACAAGAAAACTAAGGAAACCGATGGCTGAGATCCCACACTCAGATGGCGACAGGGATCAAGCAGGGAGCACCACAGGCTGAAATGGGCCAGGCACCAAAGAAAAGAAAGAACCCACCTCATCTGGAGGGGCCCCCACTAGCATGCAAGCCACATGGTACTGTGGGTCCAGCCTGGCCGACAGTGGGGTTTGTGTGAAATTCCTTCACTTTCCAACATGAGTCAGATCTGGCCAGGTGAGGACCTCAGATCTCAGATGCTTTTTCAAAGTTGAGGTTCTTCAATCTGATTGAAAATTCAAACAACTATAGAAGGTATTAACGTTGCAGGCTTCTCTCAGTTCCATTTCACTGTTTGCCTTACTAATTAACAATATAATTTCTTAGCTAATCCAGGCATAGACTCTGTGGCAAGTTTTAAGTGAGAGCAATTCACTGCGGCAGTACCAACTGTCTAGCCACAATCGAGGTGTGACAGGCATCAAGTCACCTGGGGGATAAGGTCAGCCAGGTAAATATTTAAAGGCTGTGCCTTCCCTGGCCAGATCTGGACTAGCATTATTTCCTTTCCATACCCTCATAACCCAAGTACACAGAACTACCACGGCTGACTGGAGTGTCTTAGGAGGAAACATTCCACCACAAAGGAGATAGAGGTTCAGATGCCCTTTCCTTGTTCATCCTCACACCATTCAGGCAAAAAGGGGGTGGTTTCCCTAGGTCCAGGAGTTGGCAACAAACCCAGGCAAAAGCCAGGGACCCAGTGCTCCAGCACACTTCTCCTGGGCAGTGAGGGCCCTCCGCAGATCCAGACCCATTCGGAAGAAAGAAGCGGATCTCTACGATCCATCCTCGGCCCTTCCTAAACAGCTCCTGCTGCTGGGAAACTTTGCAAGGGACATCATGTGCCCTCTGTCTCTCAGCATTTGGTTAACAACATGAGCTCTAGTGTAAGACTACCTGGGTTCAAGTCCTACTTCTGCACTCCCTGTGTCCTCTGCACCTCAGTTTCCTCATCTATATAATATAATCATATAAGCAACACTTAGGATCCAGGATATCATAAGTGCCTAACAAACCTTGCCCATTGTTATCAGACAAAAACAACAAAATGAACAAAGGATTTCTGGAATAATCAGTTCAGCAAATATTTTTGAGCACCTCTTTCTGTAAATCACTGAAAGGCAGCCATTTCCTTCATTCAACCAACAAATATTTATTCAGAACTTTCTATGTATCCAATTTTAGAAATCTAATATATTTAATTATCTAGCCATCCATCCATCCCATTTTTACCTGAGTGCCTAGATGTCTAACAGTGACAGGCTACAAGACACACACATCAATAGGCACATACAGACACTTAACAAATATATATGGGGCAGGCACCTATGTTGGTGCACAAGATGTGGTCTCTGGAGACAGCAGGGAAGACAGACAAGGGCATTACTTGCCCAGGCTTTTGCATCACAGAACTTTGCTGATCTGGCCAGGCTCGGTGGCTCGGTGGCTCATGCCTGTAATCCTAGAACTTTGGGAGGCCAAGGTGGGGGGATCACTTGAGGTCAGGAGTTCGAGACCAGCCTGGCCAACATGATGAAAACCCATCTCTACTAAAAATACAAAAATTAGCCAGGCACTCCTCTAATTCTAGCTACTTGGGAAGCTGAGGAAGGAGAATCGCTTGAACCCAAGAGCTGGAGGTTGGAGTAAGCCAAGATCACGCCACTGTACTCCAGCCTGGGTGACAGAGCGAGACTCCATCTCAAAAAAAAAGAAAAAAGAAAAAAGAAAAAGGAAAAAAAAGAACCTTGCTGGATCCTTGGCTCAAGCAATCTGGCCCAAGTGAGAGGTGCTGAACCATCAGAGGAAGGCAGGCCTTGGCAGCCTTTCCCGAGCTCCCTCCACGCCCCCACCCCCAGGCCCTCACCTGCAGGTCTCGGTTGTGGTTTTCACACAGGAGCTGAAGGAAGCGGAGGATGGGCTGCATGATGGTGATGACCGCGCTCATCTCCAGGTCGTCCTTGGCCTTGTCGGCAGTGGCCTGGGTGCCCTCTCCAGGCTGGTAGTGGTCGTCGGGATCAGCCTCCCTCCTGAAAGTGGTGAAGGCTTTCCTGGTGGCAGCGGAGGCCTCCAGGAGCTGATCCCGGACCTCTTCTGTTATCTGTGTTGTGGGCTCTTTAGCTAGAAAGCAAGCATAAGGCATGAAAGGCTGCAGAGTCCTCATGGGCCCTATTCACCACTCCAAAGGTGACACTCAGAAACCTACATTCCTTTATCTCCTAGAGACGTTCAAAGTTGGCAAAACACTCAAAGAAGTCACAATCTGCTCTCAGTCCTCAGACAGGATTAAAACCGAGCCAGGCCCTGCCACCTTACTTGTGGATCTACCATTTCACCTACGTGTACAGTGTGTTTCAGAGGAAAAGCCTCAGCACAGGTTCTGTCAGCCTCACACATCTAAGGTTCTGGGCCTCAGCTTCCTGATCTTTAAAATGGGAGAGCATCCGTGAATAACATCTCAAGAAAGTTCTTAAGAAGCTCAACATAATGCTAATCACAATTATTGTTGTCGTAATGCCTGACCCTTCTGTAACTATCAAAGCACTGTGATGAAGAACTTTGTGTGTGTTATTTTATCTCATCCTCAGAATAACCCTGTGAGGTAGTTATGGCATTACAGTTAGCAGTACTGACTCTGCGGCCAGACACGCTGGGTTCGAATGCTGGCTCCACTGCCTCCTAGCTGCATGTCCGTAATGACTTAATTACCATCTCTGTGCCCCAGTCCCCTCATCTGTAAAATGGAGGTACCTCAATTGTATCTATCTTGCGGTGGTGACATGAGTCTGAAATGAGGGGAACTGTAAAGAACTTTGAACAGTCCAGCGCAGTGGCTGGACTATAATCCCAGCTACTCAAGAGGATCACTTGAGGCCAGAAGTTTTAGACCAACTTGGGCAACATAGTGAGATTCCATCTCTACAAAACAAAAAATTGTTTTAAACATCAGCCAGATGTAGTGGTGCATACTTGCAGTCCCAGCTACTCAGGAGGCTGAGGTGGGAGGATCATCTGGGCCCAGGAGTTGGACGTTGCAGTGAGCAATGATCGTGCCACTGCACTCTAACCTGGGCAACAGAGTGAGACAGAGCCAAGATTTCGTTTTTTAAAAAAGAACGTTGAACAGTGCCTGATTCCTAGTAAGCACTTAGTAAATGGTAGCCATTCTTCTTTTTCTTCTCTTTAGCTCCTGTCTAGACCAGCTGTTCTCAGCCAGGGGTGATTTTGCCCCCAACCCCGCCCAGGGGACAACTGGCAATGTCTGGAGATATTCTGGGAGTAGGGGTATGCTGCTGGCATCTACTGGGTAGAGAATGTGTATGCTGCTAAGTATCTTACAGTGCACAGGACAGCCAGACAGTCCTGTAACAAAGAATTCTCCAAATGTCACTTGTACTGTGGTTGAGAAACCCAGTTCTAAACTTGAAACGTGAGGCTCAGCATGCTTAACTTTCTCAAGACCATCTGACTCCAACACTTGTGGGTCTACCCACTGCCCAGTACGACTTCTCTTCTGGTGAGATACTGGATAAAAAGCTTTATAAGCTTTCCAATACCTCGGAAAACAAAAGAACATTATCTGACAAAGGACTAACACCCAGTTTTAAAATACGTATTTCCCTCAACTTTCTCTAACATTGAATAGGAATCACAGGAAAAGATTATTCATGGATCCCTTGCCAATAAAACCCTAAGCTCGACCAAGAGGAATGTTCTTTATTAAACAGGAAGATCCTTCTGAGCAGCAGGGCTTCAGCTCAGGTCACTGAGGAAGAATTACATCATAACCAGGCTGGCATTTCTTCTGAAAGCTCCCATCATAATGCATTTTAGAGCACAGAAGTAATGAAAACAATGAAGGATAACAAGGACTCTTCTGGTGTTCATGATCCAGCTGACTGAAGACTGAGGAACATTTACCTTTTTTCCGTGATGGGGCATCCCTGTCTACCTCATCGTCTTTCTTTTTATTTCCCAAGTCACTGGTGTTCACTGTCACTGTTGCTTTGATTTCTTGCTGGGCCACCTTCATCCGGTCATAAAACACCTTAAAGAATTTCTCTGACTTCTTATCTTCTGTCAAGCGACAGAAAAAGGAGTGCTGCAAAGGAAAATCCATAGATTGTGAACACTGTAACTGACCAGAAACTGCACCCCACTCATGACACCAAAACCTAATGAAGATCAGAGCCAGTTGCAAAACCTCACGCATGATCTAAGTTTAGATCAACATTAAGGACCACTCCACACACTGTAGTTCTCTGGGTTCTAAGGCCTGGGGTTTTCAACACAGAGCCTTTGAAACAAATTGCTGTGGCTGCAACAGACACATAGGCTTTGGGAGCATGCTCGAGTGTGGTGGGCAGACTGTTGCCAACTAAGAACAATTCCCTTCCACCCTTGCACACACGCAAAACAACACTGTTAATAATGAAAACTGAGCTTTTCTGGGGGGATTACTGCAGGGCCAATCATTTGTTTAAGGGCTTCTATGCACTCTTCCCCTGGGCAGAGCCCTATGAAAAATATACACATGAATAAGATATGCTGCCTTTGCTCATTAACAGGTTAGGATGACATGTCCATAAATCAGACTAAATTATGTTAAGTAAAAAGTACTCAGGTAGCTACACAATTATATTATAAATGCTCAGAGCTGGTGAGGATGACACTATGCTATAGTGACTCCAAAATCTTCAAGAAAAAGGTCATCTTCAAATCAGGCTTCAAAGGACAGGTAAGAGTGGTTAAATGAAGAAGCTCAGAATGAACAGGTAGCTCTCCTCTTGGATACACATTTGTTTTTGGACCCTCTGCAAGCAATAGTATACACTGTTGATGGAAAAACACAATATGGTGTCTCAACTTCATTTATGAGTATTCGCTTTTCACCCCTTTGCAAACACCACGCTGTTGTAAATTATTTACATAAAAATACAATACGGTCATTTCCAGAGAAAAAAAAAACAAAGCTCCCAACAATATATTTGCTTCTTCCAGTGTATCTTCTGCCAATTTCAAATCTTTCCATTTGGAAAGATGGCACTTCCCTACAGAAGGCAGTCCTAGGCTTCCAATCCCAGAAAGAACTTAAATCTTATCACCTTCTTGAAGCCACCTTACTCTTAAAACTCTCACCCATACACACACCCCAATGCCTGATTCAGCAGAGCCCTAGGGAACCACCAGATTTCCATCGTCGACATGCAACTTCAGCTACTCTGACTCCTCCAGCCATTGACTCACACACTTTGTGGACAAACATCTGTCCTGTCTGCCCACAATGCACTTCTTGGTCATGCCCTTTCTCTTCCTTCCAACTGTTCTTCTTTACCTCTGGTTGCTTTTTACAGCTCAGGATCCATCCATCCTGCCTGTGCTCCCTGGTTCGTTTTCCCTCCAGCCACTGCCAAATGCCAGGACACAAGTCACCACCTCCCCTATGCTTAGCCTTGTCATCCTCCATGTCATTGAGGCCTTCACGACTCCCACTCTGGAACCAAGGTAAGTCTGTAGTGTCCTTCATTGCCTTTTACTGCCTCGTTTCTTTTCTTTTCTTTTCTTTTAGGTTTCCTGCTATTTCATCCATCCATCCATTCATCCATCTACCTACTCATCCATCCACCCACCCACCCATTCACCCATCCATCCATCCATCCATCCATCCATCCATCCATCCATCCAGCCACCCACTACTTATTTTTGCATTTGTCACAAGGTGGGCACTATGTCAGTTATAAGAGAAGTGAACAAAAAGGAGCCTAGACCTTTCCCCCATGAAATTGACAGCCTCAGGAGGAAAACACATAGTAATTCAACAATCACCATAATGACTACTTACTAAATAGCCTTTTACCCCTACAAAAGTGACCCAGGAGGCTGCTGGTAAACAAAGCTGTGGCAGACGCTCAATGCCACTGCCCTATTCTTATATTCCTAGCTCTTCCCACAGCTAGGGCCCCTCATCTTTTGGGCCCACCACCAATGCCACCTGCTCAGTGAGGCTGCCCCTACAGCAGCTCCCAAGCCTATTGCTTATTCTCCATGCCTTGTTTCATCTTCTTCACAGCAATCAAGGCCTCTGAATTGCACTGTTGCACTGACCGTTCACCTCCTTACTGTCTGCCTTATGCAGAGTGCAAGCTCTGTGAAGGCAGATGCCTCGCCTGAGTGGTTTCCAGCTGCCCCCAGAGCACCTAGAAGAGGCCCAGCAAATAGAAGGCACTCCATGATTATTTGATAAAAGAATGAATATAACCCAACACTTTATGGCTCCCCATAACTGGATGCCCCCCTCCCCATGGTCAGATCCTTTTTATATTTGGTGGACATGACAGAAATAAATCTCCAAAATAAATGAATTCTAGAAAATTGCTCAAATATGAGAAAGCAACTTTCAGTTGTTCACTTCTTTGAGAGCTCTTGAACCCTCAGGTCAATAAAGGAGACAAAAAAATCATGGGGGCAAAGAATGCAACCTGAAGCCACCTAATTATGGTGACTGAATTTCTCACCAAGACAGACCATCCAACATCTCACCCATGCGGGCTTACAGAGGACTGCCCGCTAAAGCTGGGGTGCACCAGAAGGTGGCCGTGCAGGGCCATTCGCTTCAGCTGCTATCCCAGCTGTGTTCTCATGGCATGGAAGCAGCTTTAAAAGCATTTTGGGACAATCTGGTCATTCAAGGAAACAAAAGCCCTTCAAGTAAGTAAGTAAATGAATAAATAAAGCCCGCCATCTGTTATCTGACAGCAGCGCCACGCGACACACACAGATAGCCTGCCACGGACCGCGCTGTCTGACGGCCAATCGGGTGACCCAATGGCTGTCAACCGCTAGGGTCAGGGTAAGGGAAGCTCTTATGAGATGAGACAGGGCCAGGCGCTGAGAACGCCACATTGCTGTGTGTGTTTCCGCCACGGTCACTAGGTTTGTTTCGCATTACTGATTCCAGTCCTCAGTCGCTCAAGGGTTCGAAGCAGCTTTATTGATAGAATGTGCTCAATAAAATAATAAAATGGATAATAAGGTCTAGAAGACACAAGTAAGCACAGAAAATCAAAAAGAGAATAGGTTGGGAACTGGAGAATGGGGAATGAGGATTCAGAGGAGTCCCAGGCTGGGCTCTGAGGTCAAGATGAAATGAGAGGTGTGCTCAGTTACACTACTCTTGGTATCAAAAGGAGATATACAACCAGTGCCTCAACGGAAGGAAGACATTTCTTTTTTTTTTATTCTGTTCAAGTAATTTTTAGAAACTTTTTAAATTTGTTAAGTTCTGGGGTACCTATGCAGGACGTGCAGGTTTGTCACAAAGGTAAATATATGGTGGTTTGCTGCACCTGTCAACCCACCCATCACATACATATTAAGCCCAGCATGCATTAGCTCTTTTTCCTAATGCTCTCCCCCAACTCCTGCCTCCCCCAACAGGACCCAGTGTGTGTTGTTCCCCTCCCTGTGTCCATGTGTTCTCATTGTTCAGCTCATACTTGTAAATGAGAACATGTGGTGTTTGGTTTTCTATTCTTGCATTAGTTTGCTGAGGATAATGGCTTCTGGCTTCATCCATGTCCCTGCAAAGGACACGATCTCATTCCTTTTTATGGCTGCATAGTATTCCACATTTTATGGCTGCATAGTTTATGTACTATAATTTCTTTATCCAGTCTATCATTGATGGGCGTTTGGGTTGATTCCATGTCTTTGCTATTATGAAGAGTGCTGCAATAAACATATGCATGCATGTAACTTTATAATAGAATGATTTATGTTCCTTTGGGTATGTACCCAGCAATGGGATTGCTGGGTCAAATGGTATTTCTGGTTCTAAATCTTTGAGGAATTGCCACACTGGGAAGGTGTTTCTTAACAGAGGAATTAGCAGGGCAGGTTTTGCAGTCAGACTGCCTGGGTGTGAGTCCCAGGTCCTTGACCCACTGGCTCTGTGGACTTGGGCACACTGCCCAGCCTCTCTGAATCCACATAGAAGGGCTGCCATGATGCATGCCAAGTGCTTAGTACAGTGCAAACTGATGGTGTTAATTTTGTTTTTCTACTACCATTACATTAGTAGAATGTGAAAACTCCAAGGTGAAGGTGATCCTGTGAGCAGCTAGGACAGGAGAGCAAAGTGAGAGCTCTGTTTCCAGAGTCAGAAAGGCCTGGATCTCAGCTCCACCGCTTACTAGCGAGTGTCACCTTAGAAAGTGACAATGTCTCTGAAACTCGAATCTTCTCATCTGCAAAATGGGCAATAATCGTACTTCATGGATGGTTGTGAAGGTTCAATGAGATCACTACAGTAACACGATAGCTAACACTCACTGACTGCTTTCAAGCTACCAGGAGCTCAGGCAAACCTTCACATGTTATCTCACCCAAAAACCCATGGAGCTAGTTACAAGGCCTACCTGGGCAACATAGTGAGACTTCTGTCTCAATGAAATAAAAAAAATTAAAAAGGTACCCCCGAAGAAAGAAGTGGGGTTTCTAGAACAGAAGCAGTGGTATCTATTGCAAGAGTAGAAGTGAAACATGATGGTAGTGTGGGTAAAGAACTAACATACTTCTTCTTAGAAGGGGCGTGCCCTTGGAGCGAAGGGAGGCAGAGGGCCCTCAGGGAGGGCCTTCTGGAATTGCTGGCTGTGGCTGCTGGAGGCATTCACCTGCCCCCTCTGCTACCTGGTGTGACCTAGACTTAGAGAGACAAGAGCCCTCCACACAGTCACAGACCTGTTCATTAAGCCTCTTTCTGTAATGATGCGTTTGCAGGGCTTGGGTGGGGAATGGAATGTTCTCCTCAGGACTGTCTCCCTATGGCTGGTGGGAGCTGAGAGCAGAGAAGGTGGGTGCACAGCCTCCCCGCCCCAGGCTCCTGAAGCACGGCCCCTCTACCCGCTACACTGCCTCCCTCTCTCCCTCCCGGAACCTCTTTCAATTCATCACTCTTCACCCAGACCAAGAGCAAATCATCAGAGATTTTACTTTTCCAAACTTTTCACTCCACCCCACCTGGCAGGTGTGAGGTAGCCCTTCAACATAAACCTGGCCCAGACTGGGAAACATCAGGTGATGGTGAGAGAAATCAAAATGGTGGTTGCTAGGTACCCATCAACAGTGGGCTGCGTAAAGAAAACGTGGTACATATAAAACATGGAATACTACACAGCCATAAAAGAGACTGAGATCAGGTCCTCTGCAGCAAAATGGATGCAGCTGGGGGTCATTTTCCTAAGCAAATTGATGCAGGAGCAGAAAACCAAATACTACATTTTCTCACTTGTCAGTGAGAGATAAACATTGGGTACTCATGGACATAAAGAGGGGAACAACAGACAGTGGGGAGTGCCTGGGCGGGGGCAAGGGCTGCAAAACTCTTGGGTACAATGTTCACCACCTGGGTGAACCCCCCCAAACCTCAGCATCGCACAATATACCCAGGTAACAAACCTGCACATTTACCTCCTGAATCTAAAATAAAAGTTGAAAAAAACACCAAAATGGTGGTTGCCTCTGGAGGGTGGGGGGTTGTGAGTAGAAAAGGACTATAAATGGGAATGAGACAACTTTCTAGAAGAAAATAAATGTCTTGATTAGGTTGGCAGTTTCACAGGTGTGGTAGACAGAATGGTCCCCGCAGACATGTCCATGTTCTAGTTCCTGGAACCTGTGAAAATGCTGTCTTATGTGGCGAAGGGGAATTAAAGGTGCAGATGGAACAAAAGCTGCTAATCACCGACCTTAAAGTAGACAGATGAGCTTGGATTACCCGGGTGGGCCCAACATAATTACAAGGAGCCTTCGCTGTGGAGGCAGGAGGCAGGAGAGGAGGGTGGCGAGAGGCAATGTGAGAAGGACTCCATTCACCATTGCTAAACCTGAAGATGGAGGAAGGAGCCACAAGCCAAGGGATGTGGGTGGCCTCTGGAAACTGGAAAAGGCAAGGAAGCCTTCTCCCCTAGAGCCTCCAGAAAGGAGCGCTGGCCTGCCAACACTTGCTTTAGTCTAGTCTAGTAAGACTCATGTTGAACTTATAAAACAATACATTTGGTTCCTTTAAGCCACTCAGTTTGTAGGAATTTGTTACAGCAGCCACAGAAAACTGGTACAATGGGTATAGAAACATTTGTCATATCGAATCAAAGTCTACATTTAAAATCTGTGCCTATGATTATATGTCAATTATATCACAATAATAATAATTAAAAAAAGATAACAGAAAGTCTGCTTTGTTCCCAGAAAGCTGGGGAACTCTGTAGAGGGGCCACCTTCTGAGGCTGCCTCTCCACCAGAGGGAACGGCATCTGCCCCCGCCAGGCCGACCTCTCCTCACCCTCCAGTCGTCTCCAAATCACATTTGATTCCAGAGCCCTTTCCATATAAGCTGTCTCACCAGAGTCTTAGGAGATTGCCAAGGCAGATATCATCATTCATAAATCTGTCACATTATAGATGAGAGAGCTGGGGTTAGGAGAGGTCAGTGACTTGTGGCAGAGCCACAACCAACTCTCCTCCCATCTGCACGTTGAACCGACACAGACAACCAGCCCCAGCAGTGAGGCCGGAGTCAAAGGCTGGGAAAGCAGAAGACACAAAGCTGGTCTGCGGGCAGATCCTCAGCACCAGTCCCAGACATCCCTGATGACAGATCTGATCAGATACGCTTTAAGGAAAAGGCCAGGGCAGGGGCAGGGGCAGGGTGAGGCAGTGACCCCGGCAGTGGCTGTTTCCATCCTGAATCCACTGGACAGGGGGAAAGGGAAGTGGGCATGGCTGCTGTCAGCCAACCTTCAACCACAACAAAAGAGCAAGAGAACACAGATCACAGAACTCTGCAGCTGGAAGCACTGGAATCCAGCAGTTTCCAAATGCCTTTTTCAGCAGGGTAACGTGCTCCTCTCCGGTCCCAAAACACCATCTTAGGATAAAGACGCCGCTAGATAAAAGACAAAAGGCAAAACAGCTCCATATGAAGCAGAGCAAAGAGGGTCCCCTCCCTCTTGCCATTGAAACTCCTTGGAACTTCAGGAGAGCAGCACTTGAAAACCACCCATGTCGTCCATCCTTCCACATTTCACAGATGAGGAAACTGAAGCCCAGAAAGGGAAAGAGACTTGCCAGGGCCACACAGAACCTCCCTCCCCTGACTGCCCAAGACAGTTACTTTTGACCACACTGGGGTGTGGCTGGTTGAAACTACAACCCGAGTTTACATTCTTACCTTCTGATAATTGTCAAGTAGACAGTTTTCCCTCCTTGGGTTGACTGAGCTGTAGAGGGGCCAATGAATCCGGGTCTTAGATTAAAAGAATAACAAAACTACCTTTTCAGATCAGCCTTGAAAATAATATAATATTGCTTAATTAGCCTGGCTCCCCCATCCTCCCCCAGCCCTGCAAGTCCTTGCAAAGCCATGGAGCGTGGTTATGACGAGCCTGCCTTGCTTCAGGAACAAGAGCCACCCCGAGGTTAGGGGCTAGTGGACAGTGACGGCCACCTCGGTGACAGCAGGGAGACAGAGGGCCTGGAATTATCACTGGATGCAAGTTGGACACCAGTCTTTGGCCATTTACATAACACCCACCTCCTTTCTGGATCCACCTATCTTACCCTTCCCTGGAAAGGGGTATTATTGTTAGACAACTGTAGCACTTTGCATCTGAGTAGCTCTTGGTAGTAATCAAAGTGTTTTTGACACCTAACGTTTCATAACAACCTTGCTGGACCCCAGCTTCCATGTGATGCTGACATGGCAGATGGTAAGACCCTCATTTTTCAGCTAACGAACCCAGGGCACAAATGAGGTTAAGTAAATTGCCCACGATCACATGGCTGGATAGCAAGGAGCCAAGGCCATAATTTAGGTTTCCCGACTTCCAGTTCTCCAGGCACGCTCTGCCTAGCCAGGTGTGTTTTATTACCTAGTTCAAAGGGGGACACTCCTTTCTTTAGGTGCAAGAGGTCACAGTCCTAATCAAACTGTGTAAACAAGTGGTCCTGGGGAGGAGAATAGGAGAGACAAATCTTCTCCATGACCTAGACATATACCCATGAAGCCATCTTTCCCAGAATTCAGGAAGTTCAGGGGAAAAGACAGGCCTTGCAGTCCAAGGATCATGGTGCTCCCTGGAATGTGAGCCAGCCTACCTGTCCGTTTCTGGGCCACCAGACCATTCTAGGGGAGGAGCCCCTTTGTGGCATCTTAGCTGCAAGACAGGGCAGTGGCGGGGAGCATAGATGTATGTGTCCCAGGGTGGAGCCTGGTGGGAGCGGGCATGGCTTGCGGGGGAGCAGTCCAGCACAGAGTGACGGCTGCAGGACTCAGATCCTTCCTCAAAGAAAAGCATTTCCATCAGCTTCTAAAAGTTGGTCCACCTTTCAGAAGCCCTCGCTCTGGGCCTTGAGAGAATCCAGAGAATGGGATTTTCCACCTCACTGCCTCATAAGACATGGCCCTGACCCATCTAGCCCATGACACTCACCACGGCTGCTCACTTACCTGCTGCAGAATGATTTAAGTTCTCAGGTTAAGGCCAAGAATTTGAAAAATGTGGCTGCCAAACAGTGAGCCAAAGCTTGAGTTTCCACAGGCTGAGGAAAATTCTCTGTGGGCATCTTTGATTTTTCTCTTTTCACATCAACTCTGGGAGTCTCAGGGACTTCAGAGGACATCTCCCACCAGACTAACCCACTCCTGCCCAGCTTGAACAGATACTCTGTGGGTGACAGAGCAACGCCAGTGGCTACCAAGAGGTGGGGCTTACCTTGGCTGTCTTCCTACACCTGTGGTGAACTGAGAACTCCCCACTCCCTGGGGACCCTCTCTCTGCAAGTTTTATTATAGTGAACGGCAACTGAACGTTTCCGATTTGCCGGGCGCTAAGCGCTTTATATGCATTATCTCATTTCATCCTCAGAAGCACCCCATGGGGTAGGTGCCATTATCATCCCCAGTTTACAGATGAAGAAACTGAGGCCCCAAGAAGTAACCCGCTGAGTCATCCACCTAATAAGTGCCCTGGCACCCAAGCCCCACCTGTCCGACGCCTCAGCCCTGTTCCCAACCACATGCTCTGTTAAACACCTCTCCCCTGAGCAAGAGTCTGTCCTGTTCTGAACACCTTTTGGCATTTTATAATCCACCCCACCCCTACCCCTACCCACCAGGTCTTTCAGAGGCATAAACAGGCTCCTCTCACAGTAAAGAATAGTGGCAGAAGGTACACATGCATTCGAATGCCTCAACTTTCCCATGACGTTTAATACATTTGTTAATATGGGTTCCCAAACAATCCCCTTCTGCAAGCTGAAGGGCTGCCAGGGCTGGGGTAATAAATTATTAACAAAACCATTGTCACACAATGACTGCTGTGGGTCTGGAGTCCTTTTTTAGAAACCAATGATTACAATCAAAACTCAAAGACCAGGAACCATGAACTAGGTAATAAAACACACCTGGGTAGGCAGAGAGTGCCTGGAGAACTGGAACTCGGGAAACCTACATTTTGGCCTTGGCTCCTTGCTATCCAGCCATGTGATTGTGGGCAATTTACTTAACTTCATTTGTGCCCTGGGTTCTTTAGCTAAAAAATGAGGGTCTTACCACCTGCCATGTCAGCATCACATGGAAGCTGGGGCCCACCCAGCAAGGTTGTTATGAAACAGTAGGTGTGAAAAACACTTTGATTACTACCAAGAACTACTCAGATGGAAGGTGCTACAGTTGTCTAACAATAATACCCCTTTCCAGGGAAGGTGTAAGATAGGTGGATCCAGAAAAGAGCTGGGTGTTACATAAATGGCCAAAGACTAGTGTCCAACTTGCATCCAGTGATAATTCTAGTTGGTTCTGGTAGGTTGAATGGCCTCTAAATTGACAGCAAAAACACAATGAATGGCAATTCCCATTAAGTGTCACAATGTAGAATTTTTTTTTTTAAGTTTGGACGGCATGAAAAAGAACGAGATCATATCTTTTGTGGGAACGTGGATGGAGCTGGAGGCTATTATCCTCAGCAAACGAATGCAGGAACAGGAAACCAAATACTGCACGTTCTGGCGTATAAGTGGGAGCTAGATGATGAGAACTCATGAACACAAAGAAGGAAACAATAGACACTGAGGTCTACTTGAGGGTGGAGGGTGGGAGGAGGGAGAGGAGCAGAAAAAATAACTATTGGGTACTGGGCTTAGTACCTGGGTGATGAAATAATCTGTACAACAAACCCCAGTGACATGAGTTTACCTGTATAACACACCTTCACATGTACCCTCAAACCTAAAGTAAAAGTTAAAAAAAAATTTGGCTGAAATTTCACTAGCTATAAAAGCCATTCAAATTTCTGCACGTGCAGAGATAAACATCGTTGCTTCCGCTTGTCAAAGTTTAATACACCCAAAGGCAGAATACAAGCTTGTGTCAGACCCTCCTCTCAAGTAATCCCCAGCCTTTCCACATAAAGCATTTCCCAACATTTTAAACCAGTCTCGACTTCAGCAAAAGTCTGACCTATGAAAAGGGCCTAATAGTGAGTACAATGGGCATTCAGAATTGGACCCTCCCTTGGCATAAATTATCACTCACCCTAACAAGAAACTTTTTTGCAAGGTCTGATGGCTTTCAACCAGCCAACATCTGCAGCTCTCAGTTTACCAGCCTCTCTCAGGATGTTTCCAGCTTTAATGAGTTCAGAAATAACATAGACTTCCAAGTAGAAAGGAAGCGATGAAGTGAAGCAAGTCTGTATTGGAGAGGTGTCAACATTTCAATTTCATTTGTCTGAAATAAGGTCCTCCCTCATCCACACTGTACAGTCACCTTTTAACAAGTGAGAGACAAACCAGTTTCAACTACCCTGCCAGGCAAGGGTGGGGCAGACGCCCTTCGCTATGCCTGACACCTGAGAGAAAAGGTGGAGGACAAAGAACCCTTCCTTCACTCTTATTAATCTGGTCACTGGGCTCTGGGGAACGGCCTAAGCTCCAGGGTCAAGGCCAAGGCAGGGGATCTTCATGATGATTTTCAAGGTGAATTCAGTCTTCTTCAAGCAGCAAAGTCCAACCTGTTCTATTAAAAACACTTTTCAGGGTCCAGTATGGTGGCTTACAGCTGTAATCACAGCACTTCCGGAGGCCAAGGTGGAAGGACTGCTTGAGCCCAGGATTTCAAGACCAGCCTGGGCAACATAGCAAGACCCCATGTCTAAAAAAAAAAAAAAAAATGTTTTTAATTGGGGGAAAAAACACCTTTCTTCTGAGACAGAAAGCTCAACAGCTCTCCTTTCCTGTCTCCCAGTGCCCACGGGAACTGGGACTTACTGGGAAAGCTCTGCCCTATCTGGTAAGCAGCGTGGTCCCCCTCCACCCTGTGTGGATCAGAACGCTAACAGTTTCACACATATTCAACAACAACTCAACCAACAAACAGTAATTCCTAAAAAAAAAAAAAAAAAAAAATTAAAGGTATTATCGTAGGAAGCCCCTGATGGTGTAGGCAGGCTACTGGCAACCACTGTTTCCAGCAATTTTCAACAGTAAAACCAGATTTCAGAGAAGCAGGTCAGCCACCACCCTGGAGGACCCTGTGGCTCTGACCCAGGAACAAGAAGTTAAGGAGACTCCAAATTTTCTCTGGGTTCAATAGTCAAACAGATGCCAAAGGCCAGTATCTTTTGTGGGGATACACGGCACAGCCGTCTGTCTCTTCCAGCCAAGTCATGAAGATTGGAAAGCCTCCAGACAAAACAAAGATGACCAGTGGAGTGTCAAATCAACGATACCCTTGAAAACAGATGTAAAATAGATGCAACATCAAAATTTGCCTGAAGTGGAAGGGGACTGTGGTAGGAAGCTCCTTGGTAATCCTCCAAGAGGGCAAGAAGGTGTTCTGGTGGCTCTTCAAGCCAATATGAGGCTTATTAAAAAGGTACTCTAAAGCAAAGGAGAGTTTGGTTAGATCTCAGGAAGGACTTTTGTCCAAGGAATCAGAGGGCTTTAAAATCTCAGTCCATAAAGAAGGAATGAACAATGTGAACTGCATGTCTGGGCTGCAGGAGACACATGCTAGCCTCTGAGGGTGGCTTCCAGGGCTGGTTCTATGATTCAATGACAAGTATCCTCTGGTGGCTCTTGTGAAACTCTCAGGTCCTGTCTCAGCTCACCCACATGATCACTGTGGGAACTGTGGCCAGGAGGACATGAAGACTTTCTCATCAGACCTCCACCTTGTCTCATGAACCCTGAAAAGACAGATGCAAGAGGTGCTTGGAAAATTCTATCATCAAGTCCTCTTCCCGGGAGGAGGGTCCAGTGCT
Source organism: Homo sapiens (assembly GCF_000001405.40). NCBI lineage: Eukaryota > Metazoa > Chordata > Mammalia > Primates > Hominidae > Homo > Homo sapiens. The sequence continues at coordinate 4,754,312 of NC_000003.12, read as the reverse complement.
GAGGACCTGGCAGTGACTTGGGTGCTGTTCCTCCATGGGGGTGGCAATCTGCATCGTGGAGAGCGAGGGCTGAAGCAGGAGTTGCAGGGTCAGGGGAGTCGATCTCTGGAAACAACTCCCCAGGTCTTATTTCCATTCTGTGTACCTGAGGGACAATGAATCAACACCAACCAACATTTCCTGTCCTCAATGCTCCGAGGTTCCCAGGGAATTCAACTTGAAATTTATACAGATGCCAAGAATAATCCTTGCCACCCCCCCCCCATTTTCTGTGTTTGTGCAGTCACACGGCTCAGTGAAAGCGATCTCTATCCTGCATCTTTAGCAAGGTAGAAACATACGCATAGGGGTGACTTAGGAACTGGGTGGGTTTGGACAGCTCATTTATTAACTTCCATCCTCAGTTCCCTCATCTGCAATGGAGAAAGAGGAGGAGAACCACTTGAGATTCTATTGCAAGGAGTGCAGGAGAGAAAACAGGTGAGAGCCCGCACAGTACCGGCAGGGTGTCTACACCAGCCACGTTCCCTTCGCTGCTCTCCACACAAACTGTGACAAGGACACTTGGCCATAGAAGCCGAAAAAAATAAATCCACTCAGGCCGGATGGAGGCAAGGACACTGGCTTAGGTGGCAAAGCATCAAGCAAAGCAAGTGCCTCCTTGATGAAGACTGCAGTCACCCCCAGTCAACCCTAGTCCTTCCCAACTCAACTGACTCTCGGGTACAGCCGAGTCTGGTCCCCAGCAGAATGCTCTGGGACTCTTCATGTCTCCCCACCCTGCATCCCCATCTTGCTGTGTGCTGGCCCACCAGGTAACTTCCACACGGCCACAGAGAGCATCCCTGGCAGCTGACAGTAAGATGTACAGATGGCCAAGCGGTTAGAGCAGGGCAGGGTGAAATCACACAGCACTCATCTGGGTAAAGCTGCTTTGTATATTAGGGCTTTGGCGGCGGCAGCGCATATCCAAGCAGGGGACAGGCCCAAGCCAACTTGGTGCCCTTTAGAAGCACCGACTAGGGATCGGCGGGAACCACAGAGATCACCTCATCCAGCCCCGACTTGATGACAAGCCCATCACCCTGGTGGAGCAGATACTTTCCGCAGCTCTGCCCCTGACCGACCACCATGGGGTAGACCGCGTTAGCTTCCTTCACTCAGCTCCTCCAACATCCCAAGCACAAGCCAACCCTCTTCTGAAATACTCTTGCCCTCTGCTACTCTTCACACAGCTCCTTCTCTTCGCATCTGTTGGGTCTCAGCTTGAACGGTATCTCCCCAGAGAAGCCCTCCCTGGCCACGCTTCGTGGCGCCTGTTTGCTTCCCCATCACACTTCTCTGAAGCTCTGATTTAGCTGATGATGAGCTGATTTCCTAGCTCTGTCTCCCACAAGACTGTAAGCTCCTGGAGGGCAGGGGCTATGTTGGTCTCATCCCTGACTGTATTGACGCCAATGTGTATAGCACCTGACACCCAGGGAGTGCTCAGTAAGTAAACATCTGCTATATTAAGCCGGCTGTGGTGACACAAGCCAGTAGTTCTAGCTACTCCGGAGGCTGAGACAGAAAGATCTCTTCAGCCCAGGAGTTCAAGGCCAGCTTGGTCAACACAGTAAGGCCTCTTCTCTCTTTTTAAAAAATTTACTATATTAATGAATGAACAATAATCCTGAAGGAGGTGCAATTCCGAAACACTCAAGCCAAGCTTTGCATCCATGGCAGCTGAAGTATAACTTTATGGCCAGAAGAAGCCTGCATGTGAAAGCTCAAAGTCCTGCTAAGTGGGAATATGCAGCACACCGCAGACCAGCCAAAGGCAGCTGATGTGGTGTTGTCACCTCTACGGGCTTATCCGGTTTTTGCACGTAACTCTGTGATGGGCTCAGCCTGGCTGAGGATCCTTAATCCATCGAGTTAACTGTTAACTACCCCGGCCCCAGTGACACAGCAGCTTGCATGATTAACTACAGCCCGGGAGGGATGATCATTTGTGCACCTTCCGTCTCCAAACCTGGCTCCCTCCCCAGACTTGATAGCTACAAGCTCTGGGCTCAACAGTTTGTGGGTTTGTGTTGCAAGGAGGCTAATAAAAACATATTTCTCAAATACCATATGGTGAGGGCAACTGCAACACATCCTCCTCGAAGAGCAATAAAATATATATATTTTTAAAGTCCTGAATTCCAGGGGAAAAACGAGGCTTGAAGACTTCAGAGGGTTTACAGGACTATCCCCTTCAGTGTCAGAGCCATCTTGATCAAAAGTCTAAAACCCAGGAATAGGAAATTGGTAGAAACTTTGAGAGAGCCTCTGACAGTTTCAAAGAGGAACTCAGAGGACCTCAGGAAATGTGAGCGGGCATAGATTTCTCCGTGAAAAGGAGGGTCAAGGCAGAAGAACCAGAGGCAACTGTGAACATCAAGTCAGTTCTCAGGGAAGCAGGGGATCCAAGTGTGTACATGAGGCGCCTTCACTGTCCCTGCATCAGGAATCTAGCTGTTGGCACCTTATAATGAGAAAACAGTCTCAACCATGAAGTTAACTCTGCTGGAAGATTTCCAAAGGGAAAGTCCCTCCCGTTACTCAGAGGGGAAAAAAAAATTACCTACTTGGTCTGGAATCCGGGGATATTTTATGCAGATGTCTCTAACAGAAGTTAATAAAGGGAAGTCAGCTTGCCTCTGATTATTCAAACAGGCTACTGCTATTAAGGATTGCACAACTTCTGGGCAAGGCAGAGGTGGGTTTGGCTTTTTAAAAATTTTTTCAGCCTGTCCTCATGGAACTACATATTCTTTTCTAAGAACTTTTCATCCTAACCTCCCTACTCACATCTTCTAAGTGTCTCTGCTCTGGTGGGAATGTGATGGACAACACAGAGCCATCTCAGAAGCCTCTGTGGCCACCACCAGGCCGGCCAGGGTGCAGGGGGCCACTCCCTGGGCAGCCATAGGGTTCTCAGCAAGGTGCATTCGTCGTCCCTGCTGAGAATCTGATGGGGCAGCATTTTTTTTTTTAATTAAATGCAAGCTGAGTCATTTCAACCTGCAACCTTCAGGTAACAGGAGTTACCCAAGCTCCAGGAATTATGATTGTGGGGTAAACCCATTCTCTTGTTTTCTTGCGGTTCTATTTTATAACGCACTAGAGGAGACAGAGACGTCATTGCTTCACCCAGGGCAAGAGGACAAAGGAGGATGCATGGAAATACAAACAGCCCTTCTCCTCCAGGCCATACCGACTGTCCAACTAGCAACAGACTTCACCTGGTTTTGGAGCAATCTGAATTTGGAATATGCCAGAGAAAACTTCTATCAGGCAAGATGGAAGACTCCTAGGATAGGTCTCTCTCATGGAGGGATTGGTAATAAAAAAATCATGGGAAAAGAAATAAGGGAGGGTGGAAAAAACACACCTTAGAAAACAACTTCTGATGTCCCGGGGCTACACAATGGGGGAGCTGAGCACTTAGGAAGGAGAGGGAAAATATTCTGTTTCCGGAGACAGCTCCAAGAATCATGAGTAGGTGTGAGAAACAAGGAAGCTTACAGATTTAAAAAAAAAAAGAAAGAAAGAAAGGAAGGGGGCAAAAGGAAGGAGTCAGGGAAGGGGGGAGTGAGATCTTTGAGAGACAGGGGAATTAAAAAACACCATAGCAACAACGCAGTCCACCTACCCTGGCCGCCCACCCACAGCCAGATTCTTTACTGACGCATTTGAGAACAAGCTGGTTCCTACCAGCTCAGGAAGGTGAGCAAACCCAGAGAGCTCATTAAATCCCTTCTCAGCGACTCTTGTCTGCCTGCAGATAGTGAGCAAGGAGGATATAAATAGAAGTTATATAACATCTCTTTGTTGATTCCTGTGCTTACCAAAAAAAAATGCAGCATGACCTTGTTTTTCTTTAGAGTTTGCCTCGGCCTGCTGGTTGAGGACTTTAATCCAGATAGGAATCATCTTGAAGTTTAAACAGCAGGATATAGATTTCCAAGTTAAGGGTGCTCTGCATGGCCATCCAAGTTAGGAACCCACAGGGTCAAGTCCTCCTCCGCGGATTAAAAAAAAAAAAATCCACCAGCTCTAAAACAACAACAGCAGGTATGGAATCTTGTGGCTTCCTCTTAGAACATCTCCTGAGGTAAATTAAGGAGTAAATTTGATACCCAAGAGCAAAGCATCATTAAAATGGCATCTTGGGTTTTCTAAAGGAGGTTCGAGCACCACAGGTATATTCAAAGGTAACTGGTGGTTTCCACATACCCTCCAGGCCTAAGCAGTTGTCTTTTTGTTCCTTAACAGGCACGATGGTAAGAGTCCAGTGGATGGAAAAGGCCTCCTCCTTAAAGATGGTGATGGAAACGAGCACTGCACAGGGAAACACAAATCAGGTCCCCTGAAATCCAGCCCAACCTGGCCAGACCCTCCAGTGCCCATCAGGGCTTATGAACAGGGTGCTTCAGTGTCTTTGTTAGGGGTGGTTAAAAAGGAGCACGTGCTTATAGGGGATGCTGCTGAGCTCCATGATTTTGACTTCCTGTCTAACCTGTTGATGCTACAAAACTCTTTTAAAAACAGTTACCATGGGAACTTTTCCCTAGCAAGCATTCTTCAAGAAACGTTACAGGTGCTGGTGAATTCAATGCCCTTGGTGTCAATAAGCTTTTGCTGAGTCTTAGAATGTGTGGCTTGAACTGAGAGGACTTTCAAACAGATAATGCGAAGTTTCCAATGCAAATGTCTTCGGGGTTAAGTGTCAGTGAAGTGCAGTGGAAGGTAGGGGGATAAAATGATCTCAGTGTATATGGAGGCCCCACTTAAGCATTCAAAAAATTCTATATACAGTGTTTTCAATGTATTATGTATCAGCAAAACAAAATACCCCATAGGGCTATAATCAGCTCAGGGGGTCACCTCAGCAAGAGATGCTCTGGCTATCACTCCTACTACGGGATTTCCTCTCTCATCAGAACCAGTAGGTGGTCAAAACCACAATAATGCATAAATGAAGGCAGGGAATTGGGTATCCAATGTGAGCAACTGAAAAGGTGCCATGTATTAGCTATTTGCCATTATGGTTCTGCAAGTGCTCAGATGACTCATAAAATGACCAGAACAAAAGTTTGTTCTTTTGTTTTTACTTTGAGAAGATAAAGAATCACGAATTAGTATTCAAGGTTACCTAATACTAACCCTTGTCTACCACGTGACCTTGCATTACAGGGAGCTGTTGTTGGGACAGGACAAGAGTCCACATCCCCTGCCCAGTGCCTGGTTCTGGGTCATGTCACCGAAGCGCATCAGCCCATCTGTCAGCCAAACCCCACTAGCCTTGTGCCTTCTCTTCTAAATCCCCGCGGAGGAAAACAACTTCTGCCTTCTACAGTACGAACAGCGAGGGTCTGCTGGGAACCAATACAACTTCGCGTCCCAGTGCAGCAATGTTGCCAGGTAACAAATGTAGAAACATACTCCAAAAACTGTATGTGACAATATACAACCTCCGCTCTGCAGCTGATAACCGAGGGAGTGTTAAAACACCGCGTTCTCTTAACACTTGGGTTTTTGGTGTGAAAGTAAAATTAAACGGGATACTTCCTCTTGTAAATATAAGACAGGCATACAACTCACACACGTATCCACTAATCGGAAATAGTAGAGGGGTTTGCAATAGCTATCTGCAGTGCATCCCAGCCTTCACTCTTACCCTCAAGATGAATTCCAGAAAACCTACAGAAACGATAACTGAGGAAGAGCCTTTCTTCTGTCGGGGACAAGCTCTCCTCTAACAATTGTGAGGAAGCTACCCACAAGAAAGACACCAGCAGAAATTAAGGAAAAGCTCATGCATTGTTATTAAAAAAAAATGTGCTTCCATTCCACTCCATTTTAAAGGTCTACCTTTAAAACTCATTGGCTAACCAAGCAGTGACTACTTGCTTCTCAGATCAAATAACCAGTGCAGCCTGTTCCCACCCCAAACGAAAACAAGATAGACACTGCTCTCTAGTAGGCAGAGCTCCAAAGTGGGTACAGGGCACTGAATAGCTCCCTCACATTGTACTCATGTAACTTAAAGGCTGGCTAGCATGGGAGAAAGCTGAGAGACTTCTGAGGGCCTTGTGTTCAAATCCCAGCTCTGCCAACTGGGTGACTTTGGGTAAGACACATGGCTTTTTTCAGACTCAGTTTCCTCATCTGCAATTGGGACTATTCCATGTAGCCCAGATAGAGTACCTACTGGCTCCACGCACAGTGCTGGGCACTTTATAAAATGAGAAGACCTTCCTCCCTTTCCCTTCGCCCAAACATGAATATTCTTCAACCAGTAAAGACTCAGATGTGGGGAGTATCTGGTGCATTTAGCTTCTCTGAGCAAAACGGGCAAAAGCTGAGATCTAATAACCATCACATGATGCCAAAGAACATATGCTTCTTTAGACGCAAGCGAAAAACAAAAATCGCTATTAATCCAACTTTTCATAACGGCCCTAATTAGATGAGCTGCTGTCAATCTCTTCCACAGTGAGGAAGTTCTGTAGGACAGTCTTCCTGTCATTAACTTTCCTAAGACCTGGGAACCTGGAACTTGCTGGAAGTACATGTATGTAGCACACATAATTGTCATTTGGCAAATGAGATGCCCAGTCTGAAAGGAAAAGTCTTTCATGATTTCCTCCTCCAGAATTCATGGGCAGACCTTATAAACAAAGCAAATACACTGACCACTCGAGCTGCCTTCTGATTATCAGGAGGGCACAGTGTCTCCCACAAAGACTCCACTACCAAAGAAAACAAAATGTGGAGGCACAACTTCCAATCTGCCTGGCAAACAGACGCAAAGTCCTTGAAGCGGCCATGTCTGTGCCTGGAAAATTGGTGGAGTAAGGAGGCGGCATGGTAGAGAGGTTACAAACTCACGTTCTGGCAGAAAACAAACCCTGGAACAACTACCAGCTGGCTCTGTGACTCTGAGCATATAACCTGACCTCTCGGATCCTCTATTTCCTCATTAGCAGAAAGGGATCAAAACAGTACCTACTACATAGGCGCCCCAGGAAGATGGATGAGACCATGCAGTGAGGGCGCCTGGCTAGCCCGTGGTACATGAGCACTTGTTACCACTACTGTCCATCATTATTACAAAGAAGAAGAAAAGAGGACTGCTGCCATCATAAGGCTATTTCTCCAAGTTGACATGTATTTCCCATGGGCTCAGATCAATTCCCTCCCACACCTAAAGAAGGTCCCCTTTAAAATGGCAATAATCATCAACAACACAAGTTCACATTTCACATCCTCATGTTTCTATTCAAAAATGGTAAGAAGGCTAAAGTAACACGGTGGCCACACTGGGTCAGAACTTCTATCTCTACATTTACAGTCTGAGTGCTGGGGAGTCAGATGGAGACTTGACCCCGGAAGAAAGTGCACCCTTGGGCGAGTTAGTGGGTGAGGGAAGATAAACAACCAAAAAGTAAGCAGAGTTGCTTTGGATGAGCTGTTACGATGTGTTAAAAGCTCCATGCTGAGCTGAGTGCCTTCCACATATTATCTCAGTGAATTCCCAGAATAGTTTATACAGTAGGAGTATCCACACTGATTCATCATGTACACACTGAGGACCTTTCATCCAGCACGTGTGGAGGCTCCTCGAGGGGACTCGGAGTGAAGACAGACTTGGTCTCTGCCCCCTCGGGTCTTACAGTCAAGCTCCAGTTGAAGTGTGGTCATTACTACAGTAAATGAAGCACAACCCATTATCTCTGCCTCAGGGGATCAAGAGGAAGTTTCTAGAGTAGGAGACATTTCAATCAGGGCTTGGGGAGCCTGCCAAAGGGAATGAGGGCACGTCCCACATGAAGCAAAGGCATCTGAGTTCATGGCCCCGCTGGGGATTGGCAGGCATGAGTTGCAGCTGCAGGACAATAAGCGTAGGGGAGTGAGTGGAGAAACCCAGGTGGGGCCAGACCACGTGAGGCACTGATGGGTTCCATCAGGGTGGCCATGGGCTCCATACTCCACAGAAGGCTGTTCAGATGGGGAAGCAGGTAGTGAGGGTTCCATTTGGGGGGCATCACTGACAACCGCGTGGAAGAGAGAAATGCCCAGAGGCAGGAGGCCACTAAAAGGCTATCTCAGTTATCCAGGCAAAAAGGCTGACAGGTGCAGATCTCAGCAGCCCTATGCTGGCAGGCGGTCGAGCCTGGTGGTCAAGAATATGAATCCTGAAGTAACAGTGCCTAGTTTCAAACCGCTGCTCCTCCATTCCCAGCTGGGCCACTCTGAATTCACAGTGCCAACTATCTGGCTCATTATAAGTCCTAACAATGGTTAAACTCCCAGGAGGTAGAGTGGGCACAGATTAGTTCCTGGAGAAAAGCAAGAGAAAAAGAAGTCTGATGACTGCAAAGCTTCTAGCTTGGGTATCCTTGGCTGGTGGTGAGTCCACTGAGAAAGCTATGGAACACGAGAGGGCAAATAGAATGGAGGAAGGGAGATGACAGTGTCATGGGGTCCTGCTAACTTATAGCTAACACAAGTGGAGATGCCCATCAGGGATTTGAGCAGAAATCTAGAAATCGGCAGAGAGGTGGGACCGAGAGCTGTATCTTTGGGAGGTGTTGGCATAAATGGCTGCTGGAGGCCTGGGCAGTAGATGAGATTACCCAAGGGGATCGGTAGAAAAAGAAGGCAAACAGGCTGGAGATGGGGCCTCAAAACATTTCAGATGTTTTAAGGTCAACCGTATATGCCCTGAGAAGTCCCTGTGTTTACCACTAGGAAAACGTTTGTAGGAGGCACAGAAATAGCACAGCATTAAGCCATAAGGGAGTGACTAACCTGAAACCATGATGCTTTGGGGTAGGACGGTCAGAGGGGGCTCACAGATCCAAAGTCTGTAATCGCAGGTGTCTGGACTCTCAGGCTACATATACAATTTCCTAAGGAATGTCCTGCTTTGTCTGCGTCCCGAATCTGTGTTGAAAGATAGTAAACTGGGGTGATGGAGTACATCCTGGCAGAGGCTATGTGGGGAGAGCAGAGATGACTCTAGGGAAGAAAACGTCTTTTAAAAAACAACCCTGTCTGCTCCCACCAAAAGGAAGAAAGAAAAGAAAGAAAAAAATGAAGGAAAAGGGGAAAGGAAGGGAAGGAAAGAAGGGAGGGAGGAAGAGAGGGAGGGAGGGAAGGAGGGAAAGAAAAAAAAAAGACAGTGAGAAAGAGAGAGAAAGAAAGAAAACACAGAAAGAGAAAGGAAAAGAAAGAGATAAAGAAGAAAAGAAAGGGAAGGAGGAAGGAAGGAAAGAGAAGGAGAGAAGGAGGGAAAGAGGGGAACGAAGGAAGGAAGGAGGGAGGGAGGGAAGGAAGGAAGGAAGGAAGGAAGGAAGGAAGGAAGGAAGGAAGGAAGGAGGGAGGGAGACAGAGAGGGAGGAAGGGAGGGAGGGAGGCCCCAGCCTGTTTCCCTGAATTCCCATTTATTAGCTGAGTAAGTGGCCAACATATCTTGGGACTTAGGATATTGCTCATCTGGTGAATATTTACTTAAAAATTGCCATACCAGGGGATGAGGAGCACAGAACAAAGGGGAAATACTGTGGTTCTTTCCCTTAGGCAGTTTAACATCTACATAGTAAAGATTAAACAAACCCTAGGGTCAGCAAACATTTTTCCAAAGGGCCAAATGGTAAACATTTCACACGCTGAGGGTCATTGCAGCTATCTGTCACAACTACTCAACTCTGCCCCTGAAGCAGGAAAGCAGTTAGGACAATCCCAAAGGAAAAACTGCAGCTATGCACCAATAAAACTTTATCTACAAACACAGGCAGCTGTCTGGATTTTTCCCGTGGGCTACCATTTACTAATCCCTGAACCTCCAGAGGAAGACTGACCAATCCTCTGCCTGGCAGTTCCCAAGAGGCATCTCACACTCGGAAGTCACTAAAGAAAGTTAGGAAGAGCACAGACCTCTTGCTAGACCAGAAGGAAGAGAAAGAAATAAGGAATATCTGGACCTGTTGAGGATTCAGTGGGATAAAATGAATTGATGCCTCACTTTACAAAAATTTCCAGGTCTTCTCTGTCATTTTTCTCTGCACTTTTAGTAAAATTTTGGAGACTGTGGAAAACCTGAGGTTCTCTCTGAAGACATCTCCTCTTAGAAACAAATTCCTAGCCAGCGTGGTGGCTCACGCCTGTAATCCCAGCACTTTGGGAGGCTGAGGCGGGCGGATCACTTGACGTCTGGAGCTCAAGACCAGCCTGGCCAACATGTAGAAACCCCGTCTCTACTAAAAATACAAAAAATTAGCTGGGCGTGGGGGTGGGCACCTGTAGTCCCAGCTACTCAGGAGGCTGAGACAGGAGAATTGCTTGAACCCATGAGGCGGAGGTTGCAGTGAGCTGAGATCGCGCCACTGCACTCCAGCTTGGGTGACATAGTGAGACTCCGTCTCAAACAAACAAACAAACAGACAAACGAACAAGAAACAAATTCCTGCTTCTAGGTTTCGCAGAAAGGAAGGAGATTAACATTCTGCTTCCAAAGTTCTTCCCCTCCCCCTTCCCCCTCAACAACTGTAGTCCTCTCATGGAAGGCCAGACAAGCAGATGTATGTAACTGTCCACTTCTGCCCATATTGTTGGCTCTGCTACTCAGGAAATAAGAAAAATCACGCTGGGTCTCCAGCTCCTCTGGAAGCATGAACCAGGATGCACATTCTCCCCTGGGACCACCTCAAAGGGATTGTGCCTCTTATCACCAACCTGGAGGGACTCACAGATGAATGATGCTGACAAGTCTTGCAGTAATTTCTTGCCCCGAACTGGGAAACTGAATGCCAGTAGGTGCATGCATTACCTACTGTCTGCCGTCACTCAGAGAGCTGCGCTAAGGATGACCAGGGCAGAGTTGTGGGAACTGCCATCTTCTTCTGCAGGAGGGCTCACTCAAGTCTGATATGCCTAAGAATGTAACGACTTTTGAATTTTGAGCTTCCTCCTTAAGACCTGGATTTAGACCAATAATCCTCAAGGACTCCTGTTCAATAACAGTCCAGTTTCCTGGGAATGGTGAAGAAGGGTGTGAGGTGTTCAGGTCAAAGGCAGATAAAGTAGGAGGAAAGGAAGAGAAGGAGGGAAAGAAAGGAAAGGAAAAAAGGACAGACAAGACAATGGCCTGGGCCAGGGAGCACTTCAAACCACAAAGAAGTGACTAGATTGCTGTTTTTCTTTCTGCTTCATCCCAGAATGTCTCTCATTACTATTAGTGGCAAAAACCGCAATTACTTTTGCACCAACCTAAATAACCTGTACTCAAGGCAATGAAATTTCCCAATGTCCTGGAGTTCTAAAATCATTTTTAATATACAGTCAGAAGGACTTGGGTCAATTGAGTGTGAAAATAACATAAGACAGAGCGTCCCCCAGGCCTGCTGGATGATAAACCACTATGCAAAAATAGAAAATATCAGAAGTAGGATTTTAGACAGAAAACACATTTCACAAAATACAGCATGTATTTAAAATAAATAAAAATATTATTAATTAGAACCGAGCATGGTGGTCCGCACCTATAGTCCCAGCTACTCAGGAGGCTGAGGGAGGAGGAATGCTTGAGCCCAGGAGTTCAAGTCTAGCCTCAGCAACATAGCAAGACCCTATCTCTTAAAAATATATATGAACAAATAAAAATAAGAACCACATCATCTTGAGATCTTTGTATTGGCCAGATGCCACGTGAGGTGCTTTCTATAAATAGTCTGTGAAAACATCTCAGGAGTTCTCTGAGGTGGGAACCGTCACCATCCTATTCTCCAAGTCAGGAACCAGTGGGATGAGTGAGGTGGACTTCGCCAGGAGTCCTGAGGTGGGCATATAGGAGGCAGGGCTTGAGCCCAGGCTGTACCCACACCACAGAATCAGCAGCCCTGGCAGCAGCTCCACTTGTCTACCGGACCACACACTTTACCCTCATGTTCTTCGTAACTCCATAAGGAAGGGACTAGGCTTTTCCAACCCTCATTTTGCAGATGAGGAAACTGAGTTTCAAAGTGGCCCTGACAAACCCCAAGGTCACTGAAGGCTGGCAGGGGCAGAGCTGGAATTCCAGCACAAATATTGTGGTCTGGAGGCCCGCAGTTGATAGGCTCTCTCCTTCCAGGGGGTCCTCCCTGAGTCCCTAACCTTTACGCCACCATTTCTCAAAGGAGCCAAGCTGGTCCTTGAGCCAACCTGGGGTGGCTTTGCTGACCCCTCACAGCTTCCGCAGAAGGGCAGTGTCTCTGGGGACGCCTGCTGGGGACAAGTCACTGCCTCCCTCTTTCTTTAATGCCAACAGCTCTCGAACCCCCACGTGCAGGAGGAGAGCTGCCCTGACTCCACTGCTGGCTTCACTCCTTTCCCACATGGATAAAACCTGAGGTTAGAAAACACCGCTCAGAAGTGACTCATTCCTGACTTCCCTGCCAAAAACAACACCCATTTACGTAACTTGCTCACACACCAATCTTTTCCTCCTCCTCAGGGTGACTGCCCTGTCAAACCAAGGCTGATCTTCCTCACAAACTGGCCTTCCATTTCCAGCAGAGGCAAATCAAATTGCCCTTTCCGCCCTCATCTCTTTGCTAACTGGGGTCAGAGATAGCCCAACCAACGTGTCCCTCCCACACTGTGTTGGTGACTTCCGGAAGGGATGTGAGATTTCCTATCTAACACTTGTTCTTGGGCTGATTTCTTAAGCCAACCTCAAAAAAAAAAAAAGAGTGTGGTGTAGGAAAGGCCTCATGAACCAGGGATCACTCTCTCTGCTGAATTTGCAGGCCAGTTTCCTGACGGAGCACTTCTCACATTTTCCATCTCTAGCTGCTTACGTGCAGAAAAGAAAACCCTTTTCGGGTGTGTCTGTAGACTAGACTTTGGCATAGGAATAGACGTGGGCAGCCATTTGATACATGAAATTCCCAGTGCTTCTGAAACCAGAAGCAATTAGTCCAAAAAAATGTTTAACTATCTATCCCCATAATGTGCTAGGAGGTTCTCTATGGTCATGTCAGCATATATATCCCAAAACATCTGTATTGGCTTAAAAAAAACAAAAATAAAAAACGAGGTATGTCCAAAGATAGCCTGTCCTCCTCTTCATTCCAGGTAAGGACAGCCCCTGTCCTTCTGTAAGGAAGAGGAAGCGAAGGGAACTTCCCCCAGGCGCTGGTGGGAACATCTTAGGAGGAAGGAACATAGAAATTGGCAAGGACTCGAAGGACGGATATGAAAGTGCCGTGAGCCCTGCTGAGCCCCATGTGTGCCAAAAATTAATTCATAAGCAAATGCTTATTTTATAGTTTCCCACTTGCTACAAAACATCAAGCCACAAGGAAATATTTCTTCTGGGGGCTGACAGGAAGCGGGTGGCACCAGAGTGGGGAGAAAGAAAGCCGGAAGTTCTCTTCAAGACAAGCGTGATCCTATCACCTGACAACGTGTCACCCGTTTCTGGAAAATCCACGGGCTGTGGTACTGTCTCCTTGTTCCCATAAGCGGAGGGTTCAATGTGAAGCCTGCTCTGATGGCAGCCAGGTAGGAGAAGTCTGGGAGTCACGATCTACCCTCAGATGTTATCACCATTGCAGGAGCCGGGGCAGGAAGAAAAGATGCTGGGAGACCTGGGGACACCACCCCTGGGAGTCCATTATGCCAGACTGGGAAGTAACCTGTATTTGGCTTCCAGGCATTTCAGGGCTTTAGGTGATGATGTGATGGATGACAGGGTTTCATAATAAGGGAGCAAACCCTCCATGAGAGTGCCTAGCAAGCACTGTATGTCATTATTTGTGGATTCCCATAAATTGAATCCTCTAGGGTCTGGACAATGAAATCTAGAATTTCTGGAGTGCTGTGATTCCCAGTGAGCTTATCCTAAGGCAGGACTGAATTTTCTTACAACATCCAAAAGGAGAAAGACAAGAGTCAACACTTTTGCAAAGAAGGGATTTAGTATCCAGGGAGATCCAAACTCCTCAACTGCAGAGACAATGGTGTCTCCCTTTCCTGCAGCTGTAGCATCCAGCTTGGGGGCCTGGCTGACCCATGGTAGGTGCTCAATCGATTATAATGGGGGTGGTGGTGAGGAAGCCAGTCCCCAAAGGTGGTCCCCAACAATTCTCTCTTTTTATACATGTACCCTCCTCACAATAAGAGGTGGAGTTTTTCTCCCCGCCTTTGAAATGGGGCTGGCCTCATGTCTGGCTTTGACCAATAGAATGTGATAGAAGTGATATTCTAGGAATTCTAAACCCAGGCTTTGAAAAGGCTAGTAGCTTCCACTTCCTGCTTCTTGAAACACTGTTTCTCAGAACCCAGTCACCATGTTCTAAGAAGCCCAAACCACACAGAGAACCAAGGCACTCCAGGCAGTACCCCCAGCTGAGCTCTCAGCAAAGGACCAGCACCAATGGCCACAGTCATATGAGTGACCACGTAAGCTGTTCTAAGACCAGTCAACCCCCTGATGGTTGCAGACCCAGCCAAGATCACACAGAGCAAAAGAACCACCCAGCTGAGCCCAAGCTCACAGAATCATGCTAGGCACCAAAATGGCCATTGCTTTAGGCTATTAAATTTTTAGGTGGTTATTCAGTGACAGATAACTACAGGTGGAGGTGGGACGGACAAGAGGTACAGGATATTTTATCATGGGTTTTGTCCAGCTCTGGAACTCTGAGTAAGTCATAACCTCCTTGAGTTTCTGTTTCCTTGAGCCACTGTGCCCAGCGTTCCCTAAATATTTTAAATCTGCAGTTGGTTGAATCCACAGATGCAGAACCGACAAACACAGAGGGCAGACTGTATACATTTCTGGAACTGTGTAGGCCTGCCTGCTTCCCTGCAACTCCCCTTTCTACCACCTGTCATCAGGAAACATGGATCTCAAGAAGGCCAGCTGACCACAGACCCATTTCCCTTCCTGAGACCCTCCATGGTGCACCGAACAGGAAGTGACCGTGCTCCACCAGCTCCGGCAAGAACCCACCATGTCTTCAGTGGAGCAAAGCATCTCAGCAATCATTAATTGCCACACTGTGGTCTTAGCCCAAGTCAGGCTCACTTCCCAGCTGGCCACTTACTACTCTGAACCAACTTCTCAACAGCAAGACGAAACTCTGAATCACTCCCCCTGGGGCTTCAAGGTTCCTGTCCTTAACTGGCCCCAGACACAACCCTAGTTCCACATCATTTTCTCCAGAGAAAGAGAAGCTTGGGGCCAAGGGGCTCTGACAAGTCAAGTCTAGGCTAGAAGGCATTTTCCTGGAACCATCGGCCTCCTGTGAGACACTGGGTTAGACTGGGCCCCCCAGGGGTCACAGAAGCGGGGAGGAGAAAACAGCATGTGCGTGCGGCCACACCCGCACCCTTCCATCCTGGCATGGATCCACAGGCCCCCACACCACCCCTGCGTTCCCCCAAGAGAAAACATCCCTGCTCCACACGTGGCTGAACTGCGGTAACTCCATCATGGCATTTCATCTACAGCCTGGGTGTATGAGTAATAAATGTGTGAAACCATGAAACTAATATTCATAATGACCTTACAAGATAAAGAACTTGAAGGAAAAACAGCTTCTGTGTGCCTGGCCGTCACCATCAGGGTGCTCCGTGAAAAACATGGCATCTCACCAGAGCCACAGACATCGTCTCCCCAGGAGCCTCAGTGCTGGCGGCCCTCAGCCCCACCAGCCACTATACTTCATTGTTAGTCCTTAATTAATGGTGCCTTTGTGCACCTGGTCATCCCGATGCCAAGCCCAGAACCGAATGGGGCCTCTGACTTCTCTTCCACGTCTAATCAGACGCCATTTCAGCCAACATTTACCAAGTATCAGCAGGTCCAGGCCTGGGCCTGGTGCAAGGAGTGACAGGGTCTCTGTTTGTGACATCCTGTCCCTCACCCCCACCCCTTTAGTCCCAGCAAGGTTCAGAGTCTCATTCCCTGCCCTCATTTCTTTTATTTGTTGATTGACATATAACATAGGTACAGTAAAGCACACTAATTTTAAGCATATGGCTTACTGAGTTGTTGTTTTTTTTCTTTTTTAAACTTTTATTTTAAATTCAGGGTTGCAATTGCAGGTTACATAGGTAAGCTTGTGTCACTGGGGTTTATCACATAGATTGCTTCACCACTCTGGTATTAAACCTAGTACCCATTAGTTATTTTTCCATCCTCTCCCTCCTTCCGACCTCCACCTTCCGAAAAGCCCCAGTGGGCGTCGTTCCCCCTATAAGTGTCCATGTGTTCCTGTCACTTAGCTCCCACTTATAACTGAGAACATGCGGTATTTGATTTTCTGTTCCTGTGTTATTTTGCTAAGGATAATGGTCTCCAGCTCCATCCGTGTCCCAGCAAAGGATACGATCACGGAGTTTTAAACATGTGCACAGTCATGTAACCACCACCCAAACAAAGAGGTCGAATATGTTTCCAGCACCCAGAGAGCTCTCTTGTGCCATTATGAGAAAATATCCTCTCCCAAGATATGAACTCTTTTATCAGAGATTTAAGTTCAGGTTCTCATCAGCTCTTCCACAAATTACTGCCCATTAACTTTTTAATTCTTAGACTGCCTCCTTGGGACCCTGCTTTCCTCAGTTTACCTGTCCTCTACTGCCAGGTGTATAGTCCTCCGTTACAGCTCCAAAGCCCCTTGGAGGGCTGCACTGCTCCTATATATGAACCCCAACCCCCATCCAAGGCCCTTCACTTCTACATAGCACTCCTCGGTCTGAAAGACCCAACCGCTGTTCTGGAAACCCAACTGCTGCTCTCACACCTCTGGGCCCTCTCTACCATGGAATATGACAAAGATTCCTTATGCCCCAGGTCCATGCCCAATTTCCCCCTTTCAGTCCCATGTCCATCCTTGAAAGCCCATTTCATCCACAGACCGTCTGCAGGCTCCCCAGAGAGATGCTGGTCCTTCTTCCTTGGTGGTTCCCCGGCATCACTTCTACTTCTTGGAGGGCACTAAATGTCATCCTTGAGACATAGCATCGTATGTGCACATCCACGTATCCTTGTTAGAGGTTCAATTTCTTGAGGACTGAGATTCTGGGATTTCTCAAACTGGTAAAGCTTTGAAATTTGGGGAAGGGAAGGAATAACAACCTAGGGTTTCCAACTTCTAATTTGGCCAACAGAAAAAAAAAATCTATCATCCATAATCAACACCATTTCATTAAAGAAGACACTGTGGCTAAGGATAAAGATTGGAGAGATATAATCTCAGAAAAAAATGGCCAGGTCTTCAACCTGAATCCATTGGTTTATGAAAAGTTCACCACATTGTCCTCATTTTCCACACTTGACTATGCCTGGAGAAAATCCTCACAGACGAACTGGCTCCCATGTCTGGAAACCACTGCCCCATCATCGCCCCTGGTATAGCAGCACATACGCAGAAAGGGCTCAATGACTATTCAGTTCAACTGCTCTAATCACAGGAAATCATGTGGTTCTAAGACAAGGAGCATTTCAGCTCTGCTTCCTCCCAACACAGGAGCCCAGAACACAGCAGTGGCTGGGCAACATTCCATTGATGAGAAGGACTGCAGGACCCACCCACACACACATGACAAAATAAAAAGCAATCCCAACGTGTACGACTCGTGCCCACGTGACAACTTAGACAAGCAGTGGGCCTTGCCACTGGCCCAGGTGCCTCACTCATTGTCCCAAATCCCAACCTGGTGCAACACGTGACAATGAACTTCAAAAGTGTACGTTGGGGGAAGCGGGGATTGGAAGGCGAAAGAAAAGGGCCACCGCAGTTGGCTGCACAGGTTGTGCCAAGGCACAAGGGTGCTGGCTGGAGGAGCAGGCAGGGACTGAAATCTCACCTGTGCTGCACCTGCCAAGCCAGGCACCCTGGCCGGGGGCACACTGACTCACAGGAAGAAACGCCCTTTACAAAGTTGCACAAAGAACCAAGACTTCATTAACCGAGACTCCGAATTTCAGTTCAAGGCCAAGAATATGTCAGGTCAAATATATACATCAGGGTGAATTTTACAGTATGTGGATTATATCTCAATAAAGCTTTTATCAAAACATATGTGTGTGTGTATGTGTACACGAGTCTGTACATAGATACACGTCCAAAAAAAAAACTCTTATTCAGAGAGCTAACAAAGAAGGAAGAGTGCATAAAGGAGGTATTAAAAATATTTAAAGGGATCATATATAAAAGTTATGTTATTTATGTATTATTAAAATTCATGTTCTAAGATGACTGTTGTGGAAGAAAAAATCATGAAAATTGTTTTTTAAGGACATCTATAAAAAGTGAACTAGAAATAGAATTTGAGTTTTTATTATTAGTTTTAAATATATATCATACCTACCTTTCAAAAAGTCATCTATTCATTTCTGACTAACATAGCCTGGTATCTCTAGTATTTCAAATTGATTTGGCTTTATTAAACTTTCAGTTAAAAGGTAGGTAAATTTATCAGAAGCAACAGCTGTGGTATCTATAGATACATAAAAGTTAAATCTTCTAAATAGCACACACAGTTCAAACTCTTTGGTCATCTTGTGATGAGATCCCCTACAATCTTGGATAAAAACTGTAAATAAACTTCATGCAATCATTTACTTATTCAACAAACATTTATGGAGTGCCCACTATGTGCCAGATCTTAGGCCAGTTTCCTTTGCGTATTCTCAGTGTTTTATCAGTTTTCAAATGTAACTCATGTTCTGGAACCAAGTCTGATTTATGACCAAATGATCACAGCAGGATACTAGCAGAACTCATTTTTCAAAACAGAATTTTGTGCCCTCAGAATGAGCTGTCTCTCAAACAAGGCTTGGTACCACCCAGACATCTGGCTCCCAGAACAGACTCTCCTCCTGCTCAGCAGGGATGCCATACCAGTAGCCAAGCTGCCTTCCTACCTGGATGGTGGTGTTGCCTCCTTCCAGAAGGGCAATGGCCAGGAGAATGCTTTCATGGAACACTCGGTCACTGGATGCGTTCATGATGAGGTCGATAACTAGATTGGAAGCCCCCTCCTTGTCAAGGTGACACTGAACCTCGGCCAGACTCATCTCACCCCTGCTCATAGAGCTGGATCCGGAACCTCCCCCTAAGAAGATGGAATATTGTTTTTACTAAGCACAATCAGAACAGCTAATGTTTGCTGCATACTTACTACGCACCAACACTTTATGCACTAAATGCTTTACCCATGTTCATCTCTTTTAACCCTTTTAATCCCACAAGGAAAATACTGATTATTAACACAGAGCGATGAAGGTGCTTTCCCTAAGGACACCCAGCTTGTCAGCAGCAGAGATGGTGTTTGAATTCAGACAGGTAAGATGAAAAAAGAATGATACATTTCCAGCAAGGGACCTAAAGCCAGCCAGCAAAGACTCTCCCTTACATTAAAACACAATTACTTGTGGCAGAGTTCAGAACTGGTTTCAGAAACAAACCAAAGTCAAACACTTCTTAGAACACTCTCAAGGAAGCTCAGCCTATAATGATCACTTTAGCTCTCCTTTTAACAAGCCTACTCTAACCCCCAACTTACTCTTTTACATAATTTATCTGTTTATTCATTCAACAAATGTTTGCTCACTGCTTGGCGTGGAGCCAAGAGCTGGGGATGGGGGAGATGAATATACTTAAGAAGAGAGGACCTATGCCATTTAGAATGGATTCTGACTGTGTTTGGGAGGTACATATTTAAGGACTTGCCTTGTATTACTATTGGCAATAACTAAACCATGAACGCACATGGAGAAATGGGCTGATCAGCTTCAAAAGGCAGAAAATTGTCTATCTGTCCTTTCGTGCAGAACTCAATTCCAATGTCACCTCCTTTATGCTGCTTGTCCTTGACTTGTCCTTATATCTATAGCACAAGGTAGAAATTGGGTTGCACATTCTCTCTGCTACAGCTTCTCAGAGCAGAGTCTGTCTTGCATTTCCAAATCCCTGTCATGATGCCTCCCCAAGGGCTTCACATAATTGTTAAATGACCTCACTACAGAAAGTAAAGAGAATGGTTTTGAGAGATTATGTGAAGAACCTCTGCATTGATTTTTGGATTTGAAAGGCCAAGTTCTCATCTCTAGGATGCCTTGAGAACTGCATCTTCACTGAAGCCAGCATAGCTCCATGAACTGGGCAGCTATGCTTCCAGTTTTCATTTAGTGAGAAGTCCAGGCTTCCTCCTTAGCATGTGCTAGGACAAATTAAGCGTACACTGAGTATTTCTGTGCTATACATGGAACCCACCAAGGATCTGAAGCTGCCCCACAGTCATCACCATAAGACAGGAAATCAGGCAACTCACATCTGTGCTTTGAGCACTGCCTAAAAACACAAACTAGGTAAGACCCACCTTTGAGTTCCATGTTTTTGTATCTTTTACCTGTAATTGTGCTTAAACTGATTTAAAGTAAGCACTTCTGTACAGGGATGTTTTTTTGTAAACTCCCATAGGAGTTTGTGGATGTACACAGCATGGGCATTAGAATTAGATATACCAGGCTGAAATTACAGACCAGCCACTAACAAGCTTCCATTTCCTCTGTGGAACTGGGATAGACTGTACCTATCATATAATGAGTAGCTGGGAGGAGAAAATGAGACAAAGAATGCAATGCACTTAGGAAAGCCCCTGGCATTCAGTAAATGTATAATAAATGGCAGCTTTCACTATCCTGGGTGCCAATATCCTCATTATTTTACGGAAAGACAAGAGTCCTAACAACCACGGGACGAAGTGCAATAAAATCAAATCCCTCAAATCATTCAACCATCACCAAGATGGTCACTGCATGGGAAGGAGGAGCAAAAGGCTTAGCCACCATCTAGTTGCAGGGAAATGCTAGTTTGCAGGAAAATATGTTTAGGCATCAATTTGATGGTAGACCAAAGACAAAACAAGTTGCTAAAAAATACACCTGCAACACAAATTCATCTGTTGTGAGCATTTCAACCTGTTAGGAGGAAACATGCAGCTATCACAGAACACACTTGATTCACACACGAAGGTAATTACACCACAAAGCGTACCTCCTCCCCCGGGCTTGCCGGGTCCTCCTGCTGACAGTGGGCCATTGCCAAAGCTGGTAAGGCTCTCTCTTCGTCCCGAAGGTCTGACGTTTCCATAGTAACGGTTGACCAGAACTTGCCTGAGCGCCTCACCCTTAATTCAAACAGGATAATAAAATCAGCTTCTGCATTTAATGCATCACCGAGGGACGAATATTCAAAACACACAGGGGTACTCAGTTATAATTGGCCCAGTTTCACTTGGCGAAAGAATAAATTATTCATGGAAGCATTTAGAAACTCTGAAGTTAACTTCAATATTTTCTCAGAAAACCAGATGTTTTTTAAAAAACGGTAGCAATCTAAAATATTGACTGAAGTTCCCTCTCACACAATGATAAGACAGAACAGTAATTTTGAAGGACAACTAACAATAACAAACAAAAATCTCTTTGGGGTAAGTTGATAAAATTAAGACAAATTGAAAAGGCTTACAGGTCAGCTTCCACATAGCAATATAAAAATGTTATTTCAACCACAAGGTTTATTCCCAAGGTCCGAAAAAATATTAAGATATCAGGGTAATAGAATAAGATGATACAATAAGCCAAGAGTAAGCCTTTCTTACAAAAATAGTCGATGGGCCAAATGGTTAAAAAAACAAAAGACAAACCAAAACAACAACAAAAACCTCATAATGCTATAGGAAATAAATTAGTGGCATGAGTGGCAGATATCAAATATATAAAAAAAAACCCAACATAGGTAAAATGGCATTTTGTCTGGAATCTTCTTTAAAACAATACAGGAGAGAAGGGGAAGCAGCGAGGGATATAAGTGAGACAAGAGTGGGCATGAGCTGACAGTTGCTGTTGAAGCAGAGTTATGAATGAGGGGTTTCAAAACCTTTCTGACTCCTTTTATATACATTTCAACCTTTCTGTAATAAAATTTTTTAAAAATATAAATATCAAAGAGTCCTGAACAGGGATATAGTAACTCTTTGTTATTACTCTAACCAAAAAAACCTCCATTGTTCAGTAATACTGGGGGATACTGGCAAGCCAGTAACCAGAGGCAGCATGCGTTCTGCATTCTCAGCTCTACACTTTCACCCGCACTCCTAAGGGGCCCCAAGACCACCTCCTAATCTGAAGGTTCTAAAAGTCAAAGGCTGTATAAATTTTCCCTGGACTCCTTTCCGGAATCAAAGTAGCAAGTCACGGAGTTCCTCTGGTACGTCATGAAGAGAGGTGAGGGAGAAGAAGTCTGGCCGAGAGGAAAGGTGTTGAAATCTAGCAGGTCTCTAAAACAGAGACTCCAGAGTTCTTTTGAAGAGACCTGCAACTGAACCATGAGTCAGAAGAATTTAAAATGATTTGTTAATAAGCTCTGAGAATAGGTCTGGAGATTTCAAGTGAGGCATTTGCAAAACAAGATGGGAGGGAGCAGACTGAAGCAGGGACCCTGGGAAACGTGAGGCACCCTGGGAGAAGTGGGGGACCAAGGAGGAAAGGAGATAGGCAGGAAACTCTTGGCTCCTGTCAATCATCAAAACCATGGAAAGTCCCAGAAAGGGTTTATCTACTCTGTTAATTCATGCTGCTAATTAAAGATTCCAGGGACAGATTGGGATGGGATAAACAGGGGAGACGGGAGGGGACTGATTTTTAAATGAATGTGCAGAAAACAAAAAAATCCCAAATTTCCTCTCTCCATTCCACCCACAAATATGCCTCTCTTCATAGTTCAGCAAAGGAGGGTAACTTCTATCAGCTCATGAAACTCATTTCCCACTGGACTGACTGTAAATTCAAAATTCCAAGAGTGCTTCAAATGGGTAAGTTACTGGTGATATTTTAAGTACTTTTTAAATAAACTGCTCACAGGTGGGGAAGAAAGTTTCGGTGCAAGATGCTTTAATGACTTGGAATACCCCATTCTGGAAACAAGATACAACTTTACTGGTATTCCAGTCTCAGGCACCAGTATAAACACATCAGCACTCTCTGAAGAAGTCACTGGGAACGCAGTGATTTAAAAGGCTGACTTCATAAGAGAAGTACAAGTTTGAAAGCTACATTCAAGAAAGCCTATGAAGAAAGAATTGAGAGAAAGAAAAGGTTGTCTCCATGTTGAATATGATAGATTAAATATGATTTCCCTTTTTAAATATCATAATGCATCTATTTGATTTTCTTTCAGTATGACACAGACTTTGAGTTCCAGCAACAGGAGTGATTGGCAGCTGACCATCCTGAGTCTCTGACTGGATCCCCTTTGGCACTGTGAGAACATTGTTTGAGCGCTAGATGGCTGGGCTGAGACCCGTAAGCCGCAGCCAGGGAAGACAGCCAACGTAGCCATCGCAACGGGAATCTGAAAGAGCATAGGGTTGAGTGGTCAAGTGAAAGGCAGTATGGTTGTGACCAGTCAACAAACACACATCTCTTAAGGGGGTCTCAACTGGAGCCTGTGTACCACGATTCCACTTGGAGCTAGAGTGACTTGCTTAGATTTTCAGTTTCTAGTGGTGGCTTTTTTCTTCCCCCCTTCGTGTTTTTGAGGGTGAACAGCAAGACCCTGGTCAGTCTGCAATCAAGCAAGCAGGA
The DNA here is from genome assembly GCF_000001405.40 of Homo sapiens. Lineage (NCBI taxonomy): Eukaryota > Metazoa > Chordata > Mammalia > Primates > Hominidae > Homo > Homo sapiens. The sequence continues at coordinate 4,730,629 of NC_000003.12, read as the reverse complement.
GGTAATGAAAGGAGCACGTGGACGCCAGGAACAGGAACTCCACATTTATGCAGACTGGATGCCAAACTCAAGTTACAAAGGGATCTCACATTACCATTTTGTCTCTCCTTCAACAGAAAAACCCTAGCAGTTACCATAGCAACTGATGCATCAAATGGTACATTTTCCCCCATAAGAGAATATCATGAAATGTGCTCATTCTGGGGGAAACACACACACACACACACACACACACACACACACACACACACACACACATTCCACCCAACAAACTTTTTTTTTTGCTTTTAATTATAAGGTTTTTGGCACATATTCATCTCACCTTCTCTATACACACATACACACACACACACAATTAAACTGCAAGGAAGAAAAACCAGAGAGCAAGGTTTTTTTTTGTTTTTTTTTTTTTTAAAGATGAGATTCATTCCTTTTTTGAAAGAATAAAGACTGAGAATTATAGGTAAGAGGGGATAGAAAAGGAAAATGGATAAGAATTATTAAAAGTTATGCAAATCTCTAATGTGAAAACTTGGGTTCAAGGAAAATTCTGTTTGAGCCAGTGGTTTAATTTAAGAAAAATTAAAATCTGCAGAGAAAAGCTTTCCTAATCATCCTGATATAAATTACTCAACAGCACTAAGCTGTTCATAATGTACCAGGCTGAGAAATCTGATTGCAGAGAAGGAAAAAAAAAAAAAAAGACTTCTAAAATAACGTCACTTCTTCAGCTTTAACATTTGGCTGTGCAACCCTTTTTAAAAATAATACCAGTTTTTTTCCAGCAGTTTACACCTACAGTATGCAAACAAATATCAGATGTTTGTCTCAGTCAGAAATTCCCACACATTATTACCTAAGACTGAGAAAAGAAAAAGTCATTTGTAATAAGTGTCACATTAAAACAATGAAAATTGGTAGATTAGTGATGTGGAGTAATTAAACCAAGCTCCTACCTGGTCACTCTACCAATATGAGTTCCACTGATATGAACTGAACTAAATAAGCGAATGAACTGCGTGGGAAGAGAGCCAGTGTTGAACAAGGCACTAAGGAGTTAACATTGCCACACACAAAGGAGAGAGAGAACTGACCTTTCGGTTTCCCAGGTTCCAGCCACTTAAAAATCATGTGCTTCAGGCAAGATCACCCTCTCATGTGAGCTGTGAGCCTCTCACACCTTAGTCGGCATGAGGGTAGCGCCTGGATTTTAAAATACCTTCCTTCTCCTCTTGTTGTCTACAAAATCACCTCAATGTTTCACTCCACAAGGTATCTACAAGTTAATATCCCTTATCACATTCCAGCCACTGTGTTAAGGGCTTCATGTGCACAGCTCACTGTCCTAAGGTATAGGGACCATTGTCACCCCCATTTTACAGCAGAAGAAACTGAGGCACAGGGAGGTTAACTTGCTCAAAATCACACAGCTAGTATCTGGCAAAAAGAAAACCCCAAAACTTGAACCTGTTTCTAATTACAAAGTTCACAGGCATAGGCAGCATTCCATACCAAGTCCTCTGAGAGCTCAGGACATGAGGGACAGCTATGTGCCTTTATCAGCTACTCCTAGGACCTAGGACAATTCTAAAGGGCAGGCAAGGATGGAAAATATAAGAATGCAAGGTGCCTCGGGCCATGAAGTGCAGGAGATACAGGAAGCTGGAGAAGAAGGGCTATAGCCTCATGTCCCGAATTCGGATGAAATGCCAACTTCCTGGAGCTATTCTCTGGTCCTAGTCTGAGAAATCACAAAGTTGATGTCTCTATCAGAGCAAGAAAACAAAAGGGATTTGGGATGTAGTGGGACTGGGCAGGGGCCTGGGTGTGTGAGCAGAGTACAGGTGCATCTGGCTACCCATTTATCTCAGGCATCAATTCTCCAAGACAGGGGACAGGTGGGGATGGTTAATGGGTACCAAAAAAATAGTTACAAAAAATGAACAAGACCTGCTATTTCATAGCACAATAGGGTGACTACAGTCAACAATAACATAATTGTACATTTTAAAGTAACTTAAAGAGTGTAATTGGATTGTTTGCAACTCAAAGGATAAATGCTTGAGGGGATGGATACCCCATTCTCCATGATGTGTGTATTTCACATTGTGTGCCTGTGTCAAAACATCTCATGTACCCTATAAATACATACACCTACTATGTACCCACAAAAATAAAAGAAAAATTCTCCTAGACACCGACGACCATAGTTCCAAGACAGTCTTCATAATGACAGGTCATTTTTGAACTCCATGACCTTAGACAAGATGTTGAACATCCCAGAGTCTCAAGGTCCTACTTGTGAAATGCGGATGAAGCCTGTGTCACCAGGACATCTGGTTATCTTCCCAAAAATGGGCAACATGAAAATCAGTGCTGTCAGCATGCTCATGGATATACACAATCTTCTAGAAATGGTTTGGCAAGGCACAGTCAGCACCTTAAAAACAGATCTACCCCTTGGCCAAGGAATTCCTCTTCTAGGAATTTATTCAAAGATGCACACATTCATTCATTTCTTCATCAAAGGAAAACAGTGATGAACCACCTGTTAATTTGAGGAACTTCAGGCAGCTGTTAACTTTCAAAGATTTTCAAAACAAATGCTCAGATCCAGTACTAAATGACAAAACAGGGTACAAAAGTTGTATACCTAGAATAATCCCAATGACAATGCAAATGTGCCTGTGTCTGTTGGCACATGTGCTCATGTGTATAAAAAATAGGTAGAAGGAAATATTAAAACATTAGTGGGGCTGGGCATGGTGGCACACACCTGTAATCCCAGCACTTTGGGAGGCCAAGGCAAGAGGATTGCTTGAGCCCAGGAGTCTGAGACCCGCCTGGGAAACATAGCAAGACTCTGTCTCTACAAAAATAAAAAATAAAAGAAAACTAGCCGGGTGTGGTGCCTATGGTCCCAGCTACTCGGGAAGCTGAGGCAGGAGGATCTCTTGAGCCCAGGAGGTTGAGGCTGCAGTGAGCTGAGATTGCACCACTACATTCCAGCCTGAGCAACAGAGTAATATCTGTCTCTAAAAAACCACCCCAAATAACAAACAAAAACAGTGGCTCTTGTGGCTAGGTAATGTAATTATGAACGTTTTTCCATTTTTTTAAAATTATAAATTATAATGGTCATCAGCCATTACAGTTTTTCTTTTTCTTTTATATTTCACCTAAATAGAAAGCCACCACAGAAAAGAAAAAAGGACATGAAAAGTTTACTTGGTCATTATTTGGAGGCCAGCTGGTTACAGTGCTCTGATCAGGTAGACAATGGGCAGAACCACTATTTAGTTTCATTTATATACATGGCTGTGATTGCTCTTGAGTCAATTAATGCTTTAACAATATCAACAACAAAAGCTGTCTCTCAATCACAGTGTGTGGCTGATGGAGGTGTTACGGTCATTGATCATTAGCTCCCGATACCCAAGACTCAAGACTACGTACCCTTTTATGGTCTTCCAGCTGCCGCAGGGGTGGACTTGGTTCAAGCTCCTGCTAGGCATGCAGAAATTCCATTTTAATACAACACTAAGGAGACACTACCATCTGCAGCATCAGTCACATATAAAATACATTGAGAGTTCATATATAGACAAGAGTTACACAAAAGGAGAATAGGTCTGGATTTTTGTTTTTCCCCCGTATATCCATGCTTGATTACTTTAGATGCTGCTTAACGACTGTCCCATACCCCCAACCCTAGTGCACTGTTCAAAATGGGCAGACATATGACTTTTTGGCCAACATAATTTATTGCAAAGATCATGAAAAAGAAGTTCTATATTATATGCTGTGACATTAACCCAAAAGGGGTTGTAATGCAAGACTCAATCGGGCAGGTCCTTATGATTCATACATGCATCATTGCACAGCACATGCATAAGGACATCAAGACACACGCCTCTGAGCAGACACAGATATGGGACCACGGCTTTCCCCACCCCACAAGTACACAAGTCTTGTAACAAAACCGTTAACAGAATGAGGAGCTCTGATTAGGATATTAAACACTGATCATTAGAAAACATAGACACTGCAACTTAGCTATTCAATCATTTGTTCATGTTTCATTTTTAAGTCTTCTTTCAAATAAAGTACACTTCATTCTAGCTTGAACTACTGTGATTTTGGAATAGTTTCTGAAATTAAATTTTGATACTTGGAAATATGTCTCCCCAAAAAGCTTCTCTATGATCTTACAGACCTTAGTAAACGTTAGTCCTTCATTTAGTGAGTTTAGTTAGCAGCAAGGAGGATAGATTTTTTTTTTTTTTTTAACTGCATCATAGGCTGGGCGCAGAGCCTCATGCCTGTAATCCCAGCACTTTCAGAGGCTGAGGCGGGTGGATCACCTGAGGTCAGGAGTTTGAGACCAGGCTGGCCAACACGGCAAAACCCCATCTCTACTAAAAATACAAAAATTCGCTGAGCGTTGTTGCACATGCCTGTAATCCCAGCTACCCGGGAGGCTGAGGCAGGAGAATCACTTGAACCCAGGAGGCAGAGGTTGCAGTGAGCCAAGGTTGTGCCACTGCACTCCAGCCTGGGTGACAACAAGACTTTGTCTCAAAAAAATAAAAATATTTTTAAAAGTGCATTGCAAAATTACAAGTTTATTAGTAGCTTTTTCTACAATTATAAATATTCTTTATTATTGATTTATAATAACTTCAAAAGTGCATCATCTCTGCACAGGACCCAAAGTCAATTTTGTATAACAGCAGAAAGGTCTTAACATCCTCACATGTCTCAGCTAAATGTCTCAGGATTAAGATGGTTCTGAGTGAGAACTTTCAAAGAACCATGTCCTGGCACCTGGAGGATGCTCAGTTTGGATCCAGCTCCTCAGAACTTTCTACACTGAGAGCCACATCCACGTCAGCAATGATCTGTTCCCAGCCAGCCTAGAGACCTCCCTCCTACATCTACCACCGGGAGAGACTTTTTGTTACAACAATTCAGACACCCAACCAGGACAACTGAGAGGCATCCATATTTGCTGGCGCTGGCGCTACAAATATAGGCGGGCAACACACCTCAGTGGCGTTCTCAGAATCCGGAGCTGGAGGAAGCTAATTGGGAGTAAAACGAAGTACGTTAGTCATGGCACTTGCATCTCGTGGGCCACAGAGAAGTCCAGAGACCAACACTCAAGGACAAAACACAGGAGGAAGGATCAGAGATGAGGCAACCCTGCTGGATCACCTGCCGAAGTGGGCTTCAGCAATCAAGGTGACCAGATACCTTCAAATCAAACTGAATGTGGTTGTGCTGGAGGAGACAATCGACCTGCGATGGGGGAACACATTTAAGATAAGAAAGAAACAAAAAAAGTCTACCACTAACCAAGGAGGAATGATGCTTTAAAACAAAGCAAGTGACAGGAAAAACCACAGCACATCCTTGTCTCAGTCCACCGAGACAAGGAAAGCAATAGTATGCGTGTCCACGGAGGCTCTCAGGGGAGCAGGGGTAGTGATGAAAGCAGGGGCCCAAGGCTTGGGAAAGTTCCACGTGCCACATGTCTCCTGTGGGTTTAGGCTTTCTCCCATGTCTCTCCATTCTCCACATCCTGTCCTACAGCAGAGAAGAAGACCTAGGCTCCAGCTTGGGCTTAGGGGATGCAGTCTCCCTGCTCCAGTGTCTCTGGGAGAAACAAGGTTTCCTGCACTCAGGGTTACTTTGGAGATGAGTTTCCCACCCCATGCGTTTCCCTTGAGGGCTTCATGGTCTGGGTTTCCTGGCCCCATCCCAGCCATGCCACACAGATACCACCCTCCCCCTTGATTTAATAATTTCCAGCCCATGGATGAGCAACAAAAGGATGCCTCGAAAGGACATGCAGGTGAGGGGGAAGGGGTGAGAGGGCATGCAGGGGCTACACAAAGGTGTGCCTGGAGAAAAGTCCACCGCTCCATCTGCAGACAGTGCCGTGAATCTGCCCTCCAAAAGGACATGTGCCTGGAGCAGAGAAGAGATGTCAGATGGAACTGCCAGACCCCACCTGGGCATCTCGGGACCAAAGTCACACACCAGCGGTGTGACTAGTGTGAGGTGTAGTCTGAGGCCACGAGACAAACCCGAGGCTCACGCTGCAACTATGTGACCTTGGCCTCTAACAGGGCTCCAGCACACTCACCTCAGGGCCAGAAGGTGGCTGTCAGGTGGCAGGCCAGGGCTGGTGTTGAAAGCATGAGATGAGTGACACTACGAAATCTGGTGGTGTCTTCGTCCAGCTCAACATTACCCTTTTGATAGTTTGATCCCCAAGAGGGAAGAAAGCCTCTTAATATAGGGCTGCTATATTATGTAATCTAATGATTTCTGTCTTTTGTCTATTTCCCAACAGAGAAAATGAAAGAAAGATCCAGGGCATTAAACTACTTCGGCAAAGACAACAAGGGTTGCTCACTCAATTCTGGACAGACGACCTTTCCTGCATGAGTCCAACTCCACTAATCTCAGGGAGAAAACTTCCCTCTGAAGCATGCAGCCTCCTGCTCGGGGTGGGGAGGGACAGTGCTGGTGGTAGGAAGGACATGAGTGGGGAAGGAAAGTAAAAGCAGAGCACAGGTAAAGGTATTTTCAAAATGATAGAAAGATCACAATCCAAGAATGCATTTTTAACTCTACCCTTACATTCTGTATGCTAAAGAATTAAAACTGTGTAAACATTTTTGCTATCTTCCCTTAGTGCAAAAAGAACATATGAGAAAAAGCAGAATTAAAGCAATTTCCCATGCATTTTAGAGCAGACAGAGATATAGACAGAAGTATTATATTCTACTATTTGCATGGGAAACCCTCCCACTACAGCATCCTTTATACTGATCCAATATGATCAGAACAAAAGAATTATAGGCATGGATTCACCATAGGAATGCACGGAGCTACCCTCTTACCCCTTTGCCAATCAAAACAAAAGCAAAAGAAAATAAAGATGGAACTAGTATGTCGTCTGTTTGAATTCTCTTGCCTGTGCTCTCTTTGTCCAGAGAAGCATCTTGAATTCTTTCAGAATAGAAATAGGTAGTATATATCTATTTCTTAATCACCCGGCAGGGATTATGTTTTATGATTGTACTGACACACTATTTCCTCTGTTAAACTGCTGTCATGCTTGTTCTAAAATTAGTTTAATTAATTCTTAAAACAAAAATTAAATTTAAATTAATAACTGTCTTTTCCCTTGAAAATTTTACGAAGCCGTTTGAGAAAACAGAGGATGCTTTGCATCTTCAAGAATCGTGTCTAACCAGAAAAACACTTTTCAATGTGATCCCTTCGTGGAATAGACTGGAAAACCCCAGAGCACTGCATGAGCATCCTGTGACTATGGCTCATCCAGGGTTTAGCTCTGGCTCTCTGTGTGGCCCTGAGCCAGTCACTGAACCTCTCTGGGCATCCACTTCCTGACCTACTCAAGGAGGACAAAGCAAATATTCTTTTTTTGTGTGTCTGTCTGTTTTTGTGATGGAGTCTTGCTCTGTCTCCCAGGCTGAAGTGCAGTGGCATGATCTCGGCTCACTGCAACCTCCGCCTCCAGGGTTCAAGCGATTCTCCTGCCTCAGCCTCCTGAGTAGCTGGGACTACAGGCATGCACCACCACACCCAGCTAATTTTGTATTTTTAGTAGAGACATGGTTTCACCATGTGGGCCTGGCTGATCTCGAACTCCTGACCTCAAGTGATCCGCCTGCCTCGGGCTCCCAAAGTGCTGGGATTACAGGTGTGAGTCACCACACATGGCTGCAAATATTCTTTAGGATTCCTTCTAACTAAAATACTAATTAATCCTTGGTTTATTTTCAGTAAATTTCATTTCACAATATCTAGCTGGCAAGTTCCCTAAATAATCCAACCCATGGGCCAGGCATGGAAGGGGCCAGGCCATACATGGTATCTAAGTCGGTAAAACCACCCATAGCCTATACTAGCACTTCCTTCTAATGCGGATGTTGGCTATGTTTCCTTGAGGATAAGGTTATTTTATGGCAATAAGCTGTAATTTCAATAAATATAAGCATATTAATAGGATATATATGTTCAAATAAGATCTGTATAAATACAATGTATAATACCCCAAGGAAAAGATAATGTTTAGTAAATGAATAAATGGAATTATATTTTTATTGTCACGTTTTTTACATGAAAGGTGAAGCCCTCATTGAACATGTGTTTAGGGGGAACATTTTGAGGGCACGGGCTCTCTGAAATTCCCATGTTCTGTATTCCTGCTTAGTCCCAGGACCAGTCACTGCGTTCAGGCGCTGGCACCTCCAGTCAAGGCCAATCTCACACATCAGCAGGCGATTCATAGTGATCTGATGTGCTCTGGTTTTGAACTGAGAAACCAACTAGTGCCCTCTACTGCCTCTTCATATTTACTCTGCAATCTTGTCTTCCCAGTGTTTTTAGGCGAGGTGAGCAAAACCTAACTTAATAGAAAAATGACTCCCAATGAATGGCTTTGAAATAGAAATTCAAACTGCACCTCAAGTCACTGAATCTTAAGTGTCCTTCCTGGATGAGGCCACGAATCAGGCCCTCATTATGGTACCTTGGGTAGTAACTGAATATATGCATATGCGACACTGATCTACTCACTTGCAACACATAATGTACCCAGCATTTTATCAAGGGACAAATTTCTACTACAAATGAAAGAAATTATACTTTATCATTCTTAAATGAAAAGGAGCACACAGACTTCCTAAGGTGACTATTTCTGGTGTCTGCACAACAGCACCCACGCACATCCATCCATCCGCTTCATGTGTGCCTATCACAGACCAGCACAGATCGCGGCCTGCAAATACCCTTTGTTTTCTACTGCCCTCAGCAGTAATCCCCTTCCTACCCTGGGGCTTCTAGAATTTTCCTTTGAAATGGGATGTCTCTTTCTATGACTAACCTGATAGAAACCGAATGCAATTCAAAAAATGTAACTGTACCGTAGATCTAGTTATCAGCAAATCAAAGACAATTTGTATCTCCAGCCGCTCGAATCAGTCTTCAGAGTTCCTTTCCACTCACTCATAACCTCAGAGGAGACCAACAGTGAACAGGCTTGCAAATATGTTTGCTGGGCCCGATCCTGCATCAGCCTCTGAAAACCCACACTAAGAAAACAGAAAGCTTTAAAGAAAATTGAGCTAAAATAGAAGTTATCTAGCATTTCAGTAGAACAACTTTAAATCTTCCTATCTGCTGAGACAACTATCTTTACTAACTCTATTTGTTTTTAGAAACAGAACTAAGCAAAAATTATTTAGCTCCAACAATGTGGTTTCACCTACAGTTTATAGGACAAGCTCATCAGAACCCAATAGCAAAGTTCATTTTTTAAAAACACATTCTGACATGACCAAATTATACAACTTCAGTCATTACGGAATAATCTCAGTGATATGCATATATATATATATATATATATATATATATACACGCACACACACGTATCTACACACAGACATATATAAATATATATAAATATATATATATATATATCCCTCCACTGACTTTGCAATAGGTTCTGTATGTTCTGAGTTGAGTTTGCTCTGTGGTTGCCAGTGTCTAACAGTAAACAGCCCCACTGCATTTATTGGCAATTACTGCTGAAGGTCACACATCAGCAGTGAGCCTAAATTCCAGGAAAAAAAGCAGCTCTTATGTAACTGCTGCCTGAACACTGGCAGGTACCCAACCCAGCAGTTCACAGCAATGTAAAAAGTAGGACATCTCCACCCTGGGTTGGGCGTCATGAGAACGCCCCCTGAAGGTGAAATTTAATCACTCTTTGTTTCTCCTGTTTCCCCCTCTACCTCGAATTTTACAATGGCATCTTTTGCCGGCAGAAGCAGCTCAAGTAGGAGAAGTCGAGGAGTTAACATATGCAGGCTGCAGCCGCCCTGAGTAGCTGGAATGTGAATTTAGCTTTTTTGTTGCAATGCAGGAGGGCAAAGTTGCTAGCTGGCACCAATGGCTCCAGAGATTCCACAGTTCCAAGGAGGCAGTGATTCAGTGGGAATCACATCTCAAATACGTAGAAACAGACACGTCCACTGAACCACAGTACCTGCTTTCTAAACACACCAATCCCTTCTACAGACACATCTATGAAAACTAGGTGGACTACTGTTCTGCTCACCACCTCGGGAGTACTTCGCTGGAACTATCCGTTTGATTAGTGCAGCACTTTAAAGCATAGGAAAGCAATTCACATGATTACCTGTTGGGGCCACTCACCTGTCATCACCTGATCTCCTAAGCCGCTACCTGGCCTCCCTGCTTAGGTAGAAGTCCCCGGATTCCATGAGCTTCTCCTTTCTAATGTGTCTCACAGCTGAGAGCTGTCATCTTGCATGAATCTGTATTATTGTCCCTTTGCCCCCCACAAAACTGTAATCTCCAGAATGGCAGACACTGTGCCCATTTGGGGCACCACTGTATCCAAATCCCCCTGGACGTAACAGGCACTCAAATATTAGTCATATAAATGAATGTCTTTAGCACCAGCTGTTAACTCTTTCAAGCCAAGAATGGCTAGAGGAGGGAACTTTCTGGGATGATGGAAACATTCTGTGTCTTGATTTAGGTGGCGGCTACACAGGTGTACACATGTGTAACAATTCACCCAGCTCTGAGCGGAAGGTACAACAACATGAGGAGTTTCTCTCTCTCCTCCACCCCATCTGTCCCCCTGCCCCAGCCCCAGGGGATTAAGAAAAATCAGGGGGTAAGGATGGAGACCCTGCCTCTTTGCTTGCCAAAAAACAAACAACCCCTCCTCTTCCTGGTTTCAAACAAAATTTTATTCTAGAATGCAGCGGGGAAGACCCCATACCATGCGCTTTTCTTGCAGGAAATCTACACCTGTGTCCTCATTTCACCCTGTTTTCTCAGAGCACTGACAGGGCCTCAGTAGGCATTGTACTTTTTATCAAGTCATTAATTGCACATCAAGTGGCCTTTATGATCAAAGCATGGCGTCCCTTCCTCAGTGGGCCACTGGGCAGGCCCTACACAGCCTTGGGGCTCTTCCCCACCACATTTAGACTTTGGAACATGGGTACGCAGTTCAGATGTGAGGCCCTGCCTTAATCCCGGGCCAGCACGAATTCTCATTAAGCTTCTGCAGAACTCCAGCTGTGGGCTGCAGGTTTCCAGGAGTACACACCGGCAAACGACTTGGTGGGGGAGAAACCACAGGAGCTGTGGTAGCTTCCAGAACGGCATCAATTATAAAGGCCAAGGAGGCATCTCCGCTGAGAGGGCCAGATCCACCAGCCTGAGGGGCTGGGGACAGGGCATCGGTGTCCCAGCGCTGGCAGTTGCCAGGGGAACAACGCAGAAGGGGATCCACAGTTGCTTCTTCAGGGAATTTTCAAAGAATCTGAGTGGCTGCCAGAACATTCCTCTTTTATAAACAGACAGTATTCTATTTCCTAGAGTATAATTACAAACACACCTGCTCCAACTGTGGAATCTTTCCATAAGTGAGCAATAAACTCCCAGCCAGGAGACCCAAGTTCTATCTTGAGCAAGCAAACACATCAACTGATTACTATGGGGCAAAACAGTGTATTAATAACACCACAGACTCTGATTAGGGAAGGTTTTCCTTTCCCGACTTCATTTGTACTTAAGCAAATAGAAACTCAACCTCAATATTTCAGAGGAAAAATTTAAATCAGTGAGGCATTTACAACTCTACGTAGAAACAAGAGTCTTAAAGGGTGCCAACATCAAATTCAGCATAGAAGTGATTTTTCTGGCATATAAATAACCCGGAAGAAGGAATGCTAAACAGGAAACGGCAAAATTCCCTGCAGTTAACGGCAGTTAATTAAGTTGGTGCACTCCCTTTTGTTTTTCTCACCTTCTAGTCTTCCCAGAAGGCATGGCCCTCTCACCTGCTCCCGTCTAATTAATATAAGGAAAAATCTGTGCTTATGGAATTGACTGTGGTAGAACAGTAAGCACATCAGGAAAGCCAGCCACGTGTTTGTCCTGATTTAGTCACTGTCTAGCTGTGTGAGCTAGGACCAGTCACTTAGCCTCTCTGAGCTCCATTCCGGAGGCAACTGTGCCAAATTCAACATAAGCACTCATGCTGCTTTCTGTTTCAAGCTGGTAATTCAAACCCTCCTTAGGGATATCTGAACCATTTCTTAGTATTCCTGAAATTACGGTGTATTAATTAGAGTAGATACTAGAGTAGACAGCATGTTCTATTTGGTAGCTCTATCTCATCTAAAGGCATTAGTTGGTCTACTAAAAGAAGAAACAGAGATCTGAAGTAGATCAGAGAAGTGACTTTTAAAAGACAAATTAAGTTTTTGTCCAGTTTGCTTGATTTGCCAACCAATGAAACCCTCTCAATTATGTACATGAATTCCTCAAATTAAAATTTTCTGGTAGCATTTACCTAGCATGTGTCACAACCTAAAAATACAGCAAGGAATACTGAAGAAATGCACAAAACAGAAAACATTCAAGAGGCCCCCAGATCCCAAACAAAATGACCACTAGTCAGTCTCCATGGTAATTCTGGGTACGGGAAACTAGCTTGATATATAAGTACAGAAGCCACTGGATGATATTCAATTTCTGGATCTATACATAGTTTTCCTAGAAGAGAAGCCATGGATACAGGACATTTCTAACCTTGCCGGTGAGCCTGCGGATGGAAAGTCTCAACTAGCACGTAGGAATTCACACTGCGCTTAAAAAAAGTTTTATATGAACTCTCACACTCAATACTTTTCAATACGTAGACCAAGAGGGTAATGAGTTTTCCTTTTTTACTACTTTCAAATTATACCAATGCTGTTGTATCGTTTTGTATCAGATGCTTTACTCACAGATAGAGAAGTTCTTTAGGCCAATTTCAAAACTGACTTTCAGAGATAGGTTAATGGCCAGCGTCAACCACAAATTCAGCTGAGATTTTAGACAGTGAACAATTAAAATCTTACTGCAGTTTAGAAAGTCTTCATCTAGACTCAGATGAGATCTCCAAGGACTAATGGCAAACAAACTCATGGGAAATGCTAACACAGACACGACAGACTCCACTCACTCCCAGAGGGCACACCACACAAAGCCAGATACTCGACGCTGTGAGACTAGAGGAAGGATCACAGGGCTAACTGGGAAGGTGTCACGGAAACACCACCATGAGACATGAAAAACAAAAAACAACAAAATTAGGACCTCAGCATTATCCAATTCATCAATGGAAATTAGCTGGAAAAGAAAAAAGGGGAGAGAGAGAGAAGGAAATGTTAGGAAAGGAAATACAAGCCAGCCAAGTTTATAGACTTTACTCTTATTGCTGACGTTTCTCCTTAAAGCCTTGCTAGATGGGTAACCATCCTAAGAGGCTTGGGCGCTTAGGACACGGCCAGAGCTCACAGTGACATCTGCTCAGGACCAAAACGGACACGATGCTGCCACGCTTTATTCACATATCAGGCATCAGACCTCGCAGGTCACTTAACCACATGTGCAGACAGCCGTGTGCTTGCTTGTGGACATGAAAACATGAACCGAGCTGGGAGCAAGGGCAAATTCCCCAATGTTTTTTTCCGAAGAGGGTGGGAAAGAGTAGAGTGAAAGACTAGAGTAGAATTAGCCCAGTTTAGAAGAAAATTCTTTCCTTAGCTTCATTTTATGACTCAGTCGGGGGTCAGAAGCTCAAACGGTACCAGCTGTAACTTCAGCAGCTAATAAGACCAGCATATCCCCAGCCTGGTCCTGTGGATGATTAAAGGAAACTATATTCCCTCTAGGATGATTAGTGCCAACTCAAGTGATATTAGTGACATGGGATTTATCAGCATCGTGTCCAAGAAAAACAAAAGCACAAGAGAAGTATCACAATTACGCTTGTTTAAGGATAGTTGGATGATCCTCAACTGATTTTTTATTAGGCTTTGTTAACATTTAGTATGTTTTGCAAATTTAAGTTGCTGTCAGAAACACTAGTAGCTGGAAATGTTAATACTTTACTCAGCTGGAGCAAAGACGCTTTGGTAATTAATAGGAGACTGACAATTTGTATGAAATGAAAACCCAGGCATTACCTGAGGTCATATACTTTCTAGTACTAAAACAGCTACTACTATTCAGAAGGGAAATGGATTTTAAATACATTCTAAGATATCCTTTTACATTAATTCCTGGCCTCTGAATTTCTTTCCAAAGCTCTTTGAGTAATAACTTAAGTCAACAGCAGTTTAATAATAAAAACCCACAGTAAACAAAACCAGTTATTAATAATACATAAAATAATTATGTTTCCTTCTCAAGCAGGGTCTAGGGGCTTGAAGATTTTCTGAGTTAGAGAGTGATTCAGATTAAATTTTAGAGCTATTTAGCTGTGGGAGGTTATTTTCTTTTCAACACAGACATGGTTTAAACTGTAGATTAAAAGCAGAGATTAGTAGGCATTGCACACAGAGTGTTTATAAAGTCCTGATATAATTTTAAAGTTTATTAACTTTGAATACACAGGACCAAAAGACACTATAAGCATCATGCAAAAATGTATTTCATCATTATTTTGGTGATAATTTTAATATTTATTTTATATTTAACGATCTGAGAAGTATATGCATTGGTGGTCCTTTGCATTTTAGAGACATAAGAATTAAAGATTTTTTTTATTCCTAAGTGGTCATGATTAAAATCTCTGGCCATCTTCTTCAGTCAGCCCCTACCTTTCATCATATGTGATAATTTGTTGTCGTTGTTGTTTTGAGATGGAGTCTTGCTCTGTCACCCAGGCTGGAGTGCAGTGGTGCAATCTTGGCTCACTACAACCTCCACCTCCTGGGTTCAAGTAATTCTCCTGCCTCAGCCTCCCAAATAGCTGGGATTATAGGAGTGTGGCACCACGTCAGGCTAATTTTTGTATTTTTAGTAGAGACGGGGTTTCTCCATGTTGGCCAGGCTGGTCTCGAACTCCTGACCTCAGGTGATCCACCCGCCTCGGCCTCCCAAAGTGCTGGGATTACAGGCATGAGCCACCATATCCGGCCATGATAGTTCTTGAACAGGCACTTCTTGGGGGCACTGGACCCAGACAAGTGAACCAACCACTTGCTACTCACTAGTCTGATTCCTCTGTGTGGGAACTGACCAAAACTACAGGTTTTGGATGACCTTGGGACAATCACACTTTGTAAATGCACTTGGCGTCTATTGGAGAGTGTTCTCAACTGTGTGAAAAATCAGCAATGAGCTGAAGACTAGATGTTTAAGTTTTGATACATTTAGTGCTCTCAGGGCTAATGCCCACTATTGTTTACATAATCGTGTAACATAAAGGAAACTTACAGGTTCAACCTGTAGGTGGACCTCAAAACACTCAAATGGTGTCCATCTGTTCACTGATAATGCAGTGGTGAAGAGCTAGGACTCTAGGATCGGACTGTCTGGGTTTGAAAGCCAGGTTGCCTTGTAATTAACTATGTAACCCCGGGCAAATTCTGTAGCTCTCAGAGCCTATGTTTTCTCTTCCTTGCGTATAAAATAGTTAATGACAATAGTGGTATCTATCTCTGAGGCTGAACTGAGATAAGGCAGATGTGTTTAGTATAGTGGCTAGCACATGACAAGAGGTCGATCAATGTTATCATTGTAACTTATAATCTAGGAAACTAGTGAATATCCATGACTTTTAAAAAGTGTAGGTCAGTCTTACAGTGATTCTATCATGTTTTAGTCTATTTGGTAATATGGGTGACAGTTCTTCATGGCCTTTCTTCCCCAAGGCAGGGAGACCCAAACAGGCACGCCAAAGTTTTTGAACAGGATAATAAAGAATGATGTCAACTTTCTTTTTCATCTGTGACCTTGACTAAGTACTAAAGTTGAATGAAAAAGTAAAGATGGGTAAAGGTACCTACGTCTCGTCATCTTTAAGGATTATCGCTTAGAAAAAAGGCAAGAAAACCCAGCCCACACATGGTGGACACCACCTCAGGAGAGGCTGGAGAGGACACCTCACAGGGATTTGGGAAACCCAGACGGTAGTCTTGATCTCATCTAGACTTCACACGTGACCTCGGGCAGTCTCTCAGCTCTTAGCCCCAGCCTCCTCGTAGGCACAGGGAGAGTTGGAAGAAGCCATGCCAGGGCCCCTCCAGATCCGATTCTTTGGCGGTGAAGGCTCAGGAGAGGGCAGAGAAGCAGAACAATTCTGGACATCACCAGGGAAGTGTCAGTCATGGGACAAGCTCCATAAGAGGCCACTCATCAGAAAACAGGGATGGGAGGAGGGAAACGGCCTCCACACTCACCGTGGTGTCGTCCTCAGCACCCAGGCCAAAGAACACCTCATTTATTATATTGACTCAAGCCAACTGGTTTGCTTGAGAAAGCTTAGTTCTTTGGCTCCGGGTTATTTCTGCCCTTGAAAAAGTCGGCCTGCCCTGTGCGTCATGCTTCTTTAGTCAAACGGGGCAGCCAGTAAACCATCAAAAAGCATCTTCAAAAAGCCTTAGTGAGACAGACAAAGTGAATACCAGCTACCAGGTCAGGAGACAGAAATACTTTAGTGTCCCTTGTTCTCCTTCTCTCTCTTTTGAAGCTCAATTAATAGGAATGGCTAAGTAGCATTTCCTGGCAGTCAAGCATTGGGCCAGAAGCACGACAAGTCTTGCAGGTTTGGAGTGGCTAACATGGGTTTCTAGAGCATCTTCCTTGCTTTCATGGCATTTTCCTTGCTGGCCTATAGTTTGTTCACATTCATGGATGGGAATGACAGCCCTAACCAGACTGGAAAGAAAGGCCATCTCTTCTCCAAGCCTCTCTGCTTAGGTGTGACTGATTTCTTCACCAGCTGAAAAGGATTTAAGCTAGACCCCAGGAACCTCTACAAAACTGTGATATAATTTACTCTTTCCAAGTGATCTCCTTTGAGGGTCCTCTCAACCCTATGCCCTTTCTTTCTCCATGAGCTTTATAACATGCATTACGACATTTCTCATGCGGCATCCCCTGGGGTCTGGGATGCTCTCCCAGTTGGCACTAATGGGTAGGGGCAGGGAGCAGGGCAGCACACCTTCCACATAGCCTCAAAGACCCTGACATACTTGTCCGCCAGGCAATAGAGACTCAGGAAACTCCAGGACAATGCTTCTACGTTCCAGGTTATAAAAAGACAACTGCAGGGAACTGCATGTATAATCACAACTTGTAAGTCACTAGAATAGAGGCACCGAAGTTTACTTTAAATACCTCGGTTATGGAAAGAAATAGATATTCCAAATAAGAGAAAATTGTGGTCTCCAGATTTGAAAAATCAGGTTTTATGCCCATGGATGCAAAAATATTCACTCAGCTTTGGTGGATTTAACCTTTTTTATGGAGAGCAAGTTTCTGTAACTAGATTCATATTTTATAAATGTTTCTGAAAACTCACTTTAAGAGAAATGAAGATCTTGTGAAATAAATGGTTAATATTTATTTGTCTGGTAAGTGTATTCTCTGCCATCAGCCTTCCCCCGTACCCCCCACCTTTTTTCTTTTCTTGTTTTTAAGAGATCTACTAGGTGCCTATACAGGTATGAACAGGCCATCCCAGCACTTCTCACCTTGCCAGGGGTCTTCACTTCCATCATTTATATTTATAAACTCTTGTCTGGCAGGTTTTCTCTGCAAAATTCCTACTGAGTTACAGAAACCTATGTTCTAATTAGTTTCTAAAAAATGTAATGGACATTTCTAGTCATGGAACTCTTGTTGCTTACAGATTATGCCCCGTGGTATAAACTAAGAAACTGCAAAATCCGTTTTCTGTTTTCTTATCCAAGGAGTCTCACTAGTAACATTGCTCTAATATTAATGACAGATAGGTTAGAAAGCAACATTCCTGCAGACATTTATACTTGTGACAATCTGGTTGCCACCATCGATTTTGACAAGGCAGGCTGATTTAATTATCAAGGCTTCTTCCTAGAGCTGAAAAATGACTTACTGGGTATTTTGATAAGTCAGTGATATCAGCATATTCACCTACTCAGAAATTGTTGCTAAATGTAGCTAGCTGACCGTTACTGAACATTATTACCTTCAAATGAAAATGAGTGAGATTTCAATTCACGCCCATCATTTGTTGCTGGGGGCTGAAAGGAAAGGGAATGACATTGTTTCTGTCCTGCTCTACCCAACATCAGAGGTGTAAGGAATGGATCTGGTATATCCTTGTTCACTGCATATACTAAGAACAATCAGGTCACGGGACTGTCCATTTCCCAATCTCCCTCAGAAGTGGTGACGTGTATGCCTGCCTTAATTGCAGTTAGAAGTGGAGGGCGTTTCTTGATGCACTGAAAGGATTGCGCAACAGCTCATCTGAACGAGGCAAGTAAACCCACAGGTATGCTTGGCTGAAACCTAAAAATCAGAAACGCATACTTTGATACAAAAGAGGCATTTGCTCCTCACTGGGAATTTAAATAGATGGAAAATCTTGTTATTACCACTTCTCTGACATTAGATTATGTGGCAATCAGCCTATAAGAGACGACTAAGTATATTTGACTTTTAAAAAAGACAGTCATATGATTTAGCTCCCTTTAACGGCAGGATAAACAGCTTTTTCTTTCTTTCTTTCTTTCTTTTAAAAAAAGCTAGCCCCTCAGTCAGTAATGCCTGAGCTAAGGTGGGTTTTGAAAGGTCCCTCCCTTCAGTTTCATAGTAAAACCTGGTTTGACCATGAAAATAAAATGCAGTACCTTTTCTCCATAGCCTCTATCTTTGGTCATCATTTCCCTCAGGGTCTGTAGGACCTTAATGCAGAGCTTCTCTTCATTTTCTTCTAGCAGCTGTTTTGTATGCTTTATTAACCTGAATGGGGGGAAAACCACGGATTACTTCCTTGAAGCTAATTTTAAATTAAAAAGACTTCACAAGCAATTTATTTTAACTAGTCCGTTAATGAACAAATATTTATTAAGAGCTCTCAGGTTAAAGATACTTCAGGGCATTCCCTGCACTGAGAACAGCCAGTTAGCAACTGTGTCTCAATAGTGACACCTGCTGGTAAATCACAGCAAACAGGCTCACTGGGCAGGAGTCAGCCACATACAATGGAGAGATTATATGGAGAGGAGAACCGAGACAGAGGTCCACTCAGACCTGCTCGTTTATAAAGCGTGGCTATTTATCCACTGAGAATTGCCAGTAAAATGGGTCAAATATGCCAACACTGTAAAACAAAAACAACTCATGAGGATGATGGTTGAGGCCAATACACACAGTTCCCTTATGCACAAGCTTGTCCTTAGAGGGGCCCAGAAAAGTAAGAAACTCACATGCAGAGTCCAGCCCCAAGCTAAACAAACAACTAATCTTAGGGTAAAAATCTCTTTTTTTTTTTTTTTTTTTTTTTTTGAGACAAGGTCTCGTTCTGCCACCCAGGCTGGAGTGCAGTAGCGCGATCTTGGCTCACTGTAGCCTCTGCTTCCTGGGTTCAAGTGATTCCCCTGCCTCAGCCACAGAGTAGCTGGGATTACAGGAGCCCGCCACCATGCCCAGCTAATTTTTGTATTTTTAGTCAAGATAGGGTTTCACCATGTTGGCCAGGCTGGTCTTGAACCCCTGACCTCAGGTGATTCACCAGCCCCGGCCTCCCAAAGTGCTGGGATTACAGGCATGAGCCACCGTGTCCGGCCTTGGGGCAAAAATCTAATGGAGATTTCTAACCATGGGTCTGCTTGTTGCTTACAGATTACGCACAAGGCATAAACTAAGAAATTACAAAATTATTAGGAAAAGATGGTGAGGTCACGATAGATCTGAGATTTCTGAGGGCTGAGGGATCATGGCTTTTTTATGTCTGTACCACAGCACACGGTGGGTGCACTGTAATGAATGAATGAATGGGCATGCAGTGAAAATAAGAACTTCTCACCAAAAAACAAAGCAAAACAAAACAAAACAAAAAAGTGTCAGTAAGCAGGATTTAATAGACAAACTTACTTTGGGGAGGTCAGAACAGGACTTTAGCACATGACCTTGCATTCATCAAAGTTAAAAAACAGGACAACGTCTCCTTCTTCGGGAACAAAAGCTTTGTGAGGTCATCAAGGTTCTGGCAAATGAACACCCCAGAGAGAGAGGCCGCTTACTTGCAAATGAAACCGCCACTTTCACATTTCCTTCTGGCGTCTGTGTTCTCTGGGAAAAGCAGCTCGGGTCTGTGGAGAACATCCACGAGCACAGATAACTCTGCCTGCACCAGGGGCCTGAGACGGTCCTCCAGCGCGGAGACGATGTCCTAAAACGGAAACACAGCCTCAGTCAACGGCTCAGGCAGACGCTGACCACAGGAGGGTGAGGACATTGATTTCTGCCCTAAAACACTGATGCACGGGTAGGCTAGGTTAGAGTAACTTTAGTACCGTCTGGCATCTCAAATTATTAGACATTGCCCAATGGTTACCTGAAACATTAGCCTCTGATGCAGAAAACAAAGTGAAAACAAGTCAACTTTCCCACCACCCCTTCTTTCAAGGTGGCCCTTATGCTACTCAAGGTACCACTGCATGTAGCTTAAAATATGACGCAAAAAATCAATTTAACAACATGGAAAGATGTCTATGACATGGGCATAACAAAGGTCAAACAATAATAATCCTATTTTTATAAACATCATCAATATCTAGCTAAAGGATAAACATCAAATATTAAAACATTACTACTGGTTTTCTCTGGGTGGTGGGATTACAGGTGATTCTGATTTTCTTCTATATAGAAATACTTGTCAGTGTTGTTTATTTTCAATGAGCATGAATTATTCACATAATAAAGTCATACAAACATGAGGACACCAATGAATGAACATGCTGTATCAACATGCTAAATACATGTACCCTGATAGCATGATGGTCTTCAAATGCAAAACACATAGCTGTAGGAAAGGAAAACAGAGAGAAGTTGAAAGAGCAGCAAAACCAACACAACAAACACCATTTGAAGGCAAATGATAGAAAACAGATGAGAAATTATCTTCAAAAGATGCTAAAGCCTGCTCCATGGTTTGGTGACTCAGAACCTGCCTACAGGCATGTTGGCTAAGACAGGGGCCAAACACAGCACGTTGGATAATACAGGAAGGCCTGGTTACCCAAGGACATTTGCATGGGAAAAGCTGCTTAAATTGGGACCCAGTTGGGATTGACAAAGAATTAACTAATCTTTCATCCAGAAACTAATGACATGAAGATAATTTAATCTTAGATTTAACACAATTTGGGTGATGAATGTAATCACTCAGTAAGGTTTAAGATGCATAAAGATACATGAATCAATCAAATAATTTTGAGTGGGGCAATTTTCCCAACAAGACTGTAAGACGGTACTTTGCAACATCCCTTAGTTCATACTGACTTTCACAGCACAGTCAAAAAAGGGTCATTTCTGCAAAATTCTGAGGCTCTTATCAGTTCCCCCCATAGCATCCCTTTTGGAAGCACCCAGTCAATATTCTCTTCAATAGTTATTGATCCTGACTCTGGCAAATCTTTGTCTACGGTATTTACACAGGATTAAAGTTGTTCTTATCATGTTCATGTATTTCATGAAATCCTGCATCTTTTGCACAGTTTGAACTTTACATTGCAATTGATTTGCATTGTACTGTCAAATGTATAGCATTCAGCAATCAAGGAGACATCAACAAAGATGGCAAAGCAATGGGCGGGGAAAGATGCTAGCATTAAGTGAGAAGGATGTCTAGATGGGGATTAATTATAGAAGTGGTCTGTTTGCGAGTGAATTTCTTATATTACAACTTTTGCTGCACTAGGCAATCTCATCAACCACAAAAACTCAGACAGTAAATAACTGGATAATGCAAATCCTTTACGTCACTGGCCAAGTCCTTAGAACAGTACTGCCCACCTACGCGTTTCATTTAACTTCCCAAGAATATGCATAATAAATCTAAGAAGAGCACAAGAAACCAGCATGTTTGATTGCAGATAGTTTGTTTCATTTGAGCAGGCGAGAAAATACTGTATGCTCATGGAGTGAGGAGTCTACAACATCCCTCCCGCCTTTCTAAAAGCATAGTGGGATCAGGAAGCACTCCATCAGGAATCAAGAACTGGTTCTCTTTGTTATTTAAGAACTGGTTGTGTTATGATAAAGGCTGAAATTCTTAACTTGACCCGAGAAATCCCGCCAGCCTCCCCAGCTTCCTGGCTCCAGCCACACTCAACTTCCTTTGCTCATAAGAGCAGGGTTTCATAGGTCAAGTTAAGATGCACGTTTAAGTGTTTAACACCCATCTAATACGACTCTCCCTTTTAACAAAGGGAGAGCAGATCTCTTGGTAGACGCTAAGAAAAAAAAGGAATAATCTAGCTGGAATTGAGTAATACTTTTATTTTCATCTTCTTTTCGGTATAACGGTCTTTACACATGCTGTTTCCCTCCCTTTTATTCTTTAAGTCCTGCTGTTCCTTCTCATCTTGGTTCAAAATGTTACTTTCCTCAGCAAGGTCTTCCTTGACCCTCATCCCTAACCTCAGACAAAATTAGTTTCCTCATCAGAATCTTTCAAGCGCTCCTCACTTCTCTGCACTTCTCACTTGTCCCTCTCACCATTTTATATTTAAAATTAATGTCTCTTTCTCCCTTCTGATACTTGAGATACTATGAGACAAAGATCATCATTTCTGGTTTTGCTGACCACTGTATCCCCAGAGCCTAGCATGGAGCTGATGAATGATTTAACGAATTCATCTGTCTTCAAGTAGGTTGTGTAACTGTACAGAGACTCAGTAACTATTACAATCATAGCAGTAAACAACAGTAATAATAGTAATAATAATAATAGCAGCCCTCAACTGAGTGCTCACTACATGCCAGGCACTGCTCTATGTGTTTTATGTGCACTCTATTTTCCTAAGATGGCTATACCACAATACATCCTGTCTTTCACATTCTTCTTACAATGTGACACTGACATCCCTTTCACTGAATGATGGTCTAGATTCCCTCCCCCTGAACTGGAGTGAACCTTTGAGACTGCCTTGACCAAAAGAGTACAGTAAAAGTGACGCTATGTGACTTCTGAAACTAGGTCATAACAACAATAAAGTTTTCACTTGTCTCTCTCTACACACACTCATCTTGGGACACAGCCGCCATGATGTGAGGAAGCCCAGGCTATATGGAGATGTTTCAGTCGACAACTCCAGCTGAGGTCCCACCTGACAACCAGCATCAACTGCCAAATATGCGAGTGAGCAAGGTGTCAAGATGAGTCCAACCGCAGTCACTATCTGACTGCAACGCCATGAAAGACTCTAAGCAAGAAATAGCTAGCGGAGCCCAGTCAACCTCCAGAAGAGCAAAAGAGAATAAGGTAATTGTTGTGATTTACTGCACGAAATACAGGTAACTGGGACATATTATCAACTCTCTTAATCCTCACATCAACCCCACGAGGTAGGTGCTACTGTTTTACAGACTAGGAATCTGAAGGACCGAGAAGTCAAGTAACTTTCCCAAGATTACACCATTTCTAAGCGGCAGAGCCAGGATTTAAATTTAACCCAGGCACTGGCCTGAGACTACACTCTTAAACACTGCTTGTGGGCTCATTCAAAGGATCTGCGATTCTCAAACTGTGACCTATGTACTACCTGTGAGAGCATCAACTGAGGTGCTTGTATAAAAAATACGTTAATGTTAAGATGCATGTTTAAGTGCTTAACATCTAATACTCACTACTCTCCCCTTTAACAAAAGGAGAGCAGATGTCTTGGTAGATTCTACGAAAAAAGGTAAATAATCTAGCTGGAAGGAATACTTTTGTTTCCATCTGGCTCATTCTGATGTAAAATTCTTCTCTCAGGTATCACCACCCTTGTTCACCTGCTGATTCAAGAGGCTAAATAACCCCAGAGTGATGGGGAAAATGGAACATTTATGCTCTTACTCTAAACATCCTCTGTAATACTTCAATACTTCCTTCTAATAAGAGCAGAGTCCCAATTTTTCACCAAGAAATCTGCAAATCTAGGAGTAACCTTTAAAGACCATCACTTTTCAGGAACTTTTCTATTCCTAAGTAACTTCCCACTCCTGGCCCTACATATATAACATTTGACTATTCGTTCAGCACACCGACATCTTCCCACGGCCCAGCTTAGATGCTCTGTGGCTCAAGGATGCACTGCTGTGTGTGGCAATCACGTGAGGCCAGGCTAAGCATCACTTCTCTCAACACCAGGCATTACCTGCAATCTCTCAATGATATTCCGGTAGTCTCTGGAAGCTGCCAGAACAGAGTCCCTGCGTGCGGCATTGCGGGCTGAGAGCCGCCAGTTCATGGCTGTTTTCTGCACAATGCTGTGGGACTTGAGAAAGAGGTTGTTGACTTGGCTGTCCAGGTCCACGGGAATGGCAATGGCCCGGCTCTTGGCTGCACAGGAGAAAGATGAGTCGTGAGCCTACAACTTTTATGGGGGACACCCTACAGATGGACGTAATGCCCTAGTCCCCATCCAGCAGGTTTTTCACACCCAGAATGGGCCAGCTTGCCTGGTATTGAGCTTAAAGACTGAGAAGCTCAAGTCAACTTTACCATCTTTTAGGTCAGGGTTTCCCAGTGTGAATTCTGGGGGGAAGCAGTTCTTAGGAATGTTAAAATGCTCTCAGGTCATAAGGCCAGGGCATGTCAGAGTTAAAGTTCAATGGGTTTCCTCAATGAATGGCTTCTTAGGGTCACTGAGGTGTGTGTGTATTTTAAGAATAATCAAGACAGGGAACTCGTTTGGCCAATGAATCATTTGCTAGTTATTTTTCAGGTTTGTTCAACAATCTACAAAAATGCTGGGTTATCCCAAACATAATCCTAAAGGTAGCATTCACAATGGCATAAACTCCTCTTTCTGGATAGGTGCTTCTTTCTTCGTCTTAAAAAAGGAGAACTCCAGTCTAAGCATGAGACAAACATCAGTCAAACCCATAATGGGAGACACTCTACAGGACTCCTGACTAGTACTTGTCAAGACTGTCAAGGTCATAAGAAACAAGGAAAGGCTGAGAAATGGTCACAGACCAGAAGAGACTGGAGAGACATGACAACCAAATGCAAGGTGGTACCTGGACCAAATCCTGGAACAGAAAAAGGGCATGACAAGGGACAGCAGTGGGAAAAGTGGTGAAATTCGAATCGAGCCTGGAGTTGAGGTAATAGCACTGTACCAGTGTCAGTTTCCTAGCCTTGACAAAGGTGCCCTGCTAATGTAAGATGCTGACAACGGGTGACAATGGGTGAGGGATTTGTGGGAACTCTCTGTATTACCCTTGCTACAGTCCCATAAACCTGAAATTATTCCAAAATAAAAGATTTTGAAAAGGAAGATAATTAAGACTAATAATCACTCTTTTCCATATGGGAAAATGTCCAAAAAACAATGATTTCCTGTCTTCAATGCTTCAAAACACTAGAAGCAAAGAAAGTACTCAACTATCTAATTGTAAAAACAACTCCAACATCCTGAAAGAGGAATCTGAGAAGCAATTATTTAAATCCCATTTAAAAACATACACACACACACAATTTAGCGGAAAAAAAACTATAAGCCAGCCAACAACTTTCTAACAGTCTAATATAGAAAGTGGGAAATTTGGAAAAATACAAATAATTAACAATTGAAAAGCAGGATGCACAGGGTACACCCGTCACAGCTAGAAACTCTATGCCTTGGATATTCATAAGCTAAACAACTAACACAGTGGGTTCTGGGTGTGGTATTAGTCATGAGGAAGCGACCCCCAAGAGGCACAGAGGGGACTCTGGGTAGTGCTGTTTTCATGTCTTACCGTTCCACAGACATCAACTCTCCTTGTCTTTTGTCTTATCACCACCAAGACAAATGGAAAGACTTCCCCTCTCTAATGAGCACTGAGCTACTAGTCAAGTCAACCACTTGCTAAAATATTAAACAAAAACTAACCTCTGTGGCAAGGGCTTCCTCCTACGTTTCCTTTGGCCTCAACAAGCACAACTTTTTTTTTTCTTTTTTCCAACTTTTATCTTAGAATCAGGGGGTACCCGTGCAGGTTTGCTGCAGAAGTGTATTGCTTAA
The DNA here is from genome assembly GCF_000001405.40 of Homo sapiens. Lineage (NCBI taxonomy): Eukaryota > Metazoa > Chordata > Mammalia > Primates > Hominidae > Homo > Homo sapiens. Next base: position 4,704,494 of record NC_000003.12, on the reverse strand, counting down.
TGCTGAGGTTTAGGGTATGATCGAACCCATCACCCAGATAGAGAACAGAGTACCCAACAGGTAGGGATTTTTTTGTTTTTTTGAGACAGAGTTGCGCTCCTGTCGCCCAGGCTGGAGTGCAGCGGCGTGATCTCGGCTCACCGCAACCTCCGCCTCCCAGGTTCAAGCGATTCTCCTGCCTCAGCCTCCTGAGTAGCTGGGATTACAGGCATGCGCCGCCATGCCAGGCTAATTTTGTATTTTTAGTAGAGATGGGGTTTCTCCATGTTGGTCAGGCTGGTCTTGAACTCCCAACCTCAGGTGATCTGCCCGTCTCAGCCTCCCAAAGTGCTGGGATTACAGGCATGAGCCACTGCGCCCGGCCTCCAACAGGTAGTTTTTCAACGCTTTTCCCCCTTTACCCCTCTAGTAGTCCCCCATCTTTACATCCACGTGGACCCAATATTTAGCTCCCACTTTAAGTGAGAACGTGTGGTATTTGGCTTTCTACTTCCACATTAGTTCACCAGGCACATTCTTTTTGATAGATAATCCTGTATGGAAAAAGTATAGGGTTATCTGGGAATTTCATTGCAGGGCCCTGTTTCTAAGATATAACACAATGAACCTGTCGTGTATATATTTTCCAAAACCTAATTTCTTACTGTGAAATACGGCCACACCAATAATAAAAAGACATCAACACCTACCATAGGAGAGTAAAGGAACTGGGCGAGAGACTACCGAAATCAGGCAACAGTCCTAATAGATTATACGTATCTCCCAAGGTATATCCAAACTGACTTGATATCTTACCTACACAATTGACAGTTGCTGGACAGCCACTAAATAATGCTGAGAACTACACCTGTCTTGCTCTTCTTGTTACTGTCTGCAAGGATCTAAGAGGCCACTCCAGGCAGGTAACTCTCTTCTCAACTTCAGGCAGGAAGCTTACCTCTTTGCACAACATTAATAGGGGGTGGGGAATGGGTCAAGTCATGGAGTCTGATAAAGTCAGGATGAAGGAAAAAGAAATTTTCCTAACTTCCTTTCAAAGGCTGCCTATGAGAGGCGGGACAGGAGGGGAGTCACAGAGGAAATGGAGAATCATTTCTACTCAAGGGGAAGAAGGGAGCAGTGCACCATTTCTGAGAAAGGGTGTTCCTTAGGATGTGACAGGTGCTTTCCAGGAAAAAGTTACCACATGGTCAAGTACATTTGCTGGATTAAACAAATTAGTTTCTTGAATGAGGGACTTCCCAGGGCCTTGAATAAGCTGTGTGTATCGTTACTTGCCAAAGAATTGCCTAACAACCATGGAAGCTTGTTTATCTAGGCCTATCTGACTTAGGACTCACTGGCTCTTCCCTTGGGAAATGCTGGCTTGGTAGATAAAAAAAGAAGCCCAGCAATCAAGAAGACCTTGGTTCCGGGTCTGGCTCTGAAACTTCCTGTCTGTGTAACTTTAGAAGAGTTGTAATGAGTGCTCAATAAATGGCAGCCTTACTACTGTCAGACAATTCATTTTCATCACGTATATCCAAACTGACTTGGTATCTTACCTACATCAGACAGCACCCGAATACAGCTCTCCACGGAGGCTTTTTGGCTTGGCATTAACCAGTTGCAGTGGTAAACCCTGAACACGCCTTGCAGCAGTTGCACAAAGACAGGCTGGCGAGTCTGCAAGAAGCCAAAAGAGGCAACGTGAAAAACAGATTTTTATTTGTAGACTACTGATGATCCGATCAGAGACAGAGACATTGTCTTGAACCACTGGACCCCAGATCAGAGACAGACACTGCCTTGTTAATGGACCCTGAGGCAAGGGTGAGAGGGGATGCCTGGATAAGAGCTAAATTCCATAAGTTACCTAGCCAAGGGAGAGCAACTCAGAAGCATTTTAGGGCAATGCATTAACTTGATGCTATTTTAACTAAGTTTGAGCACAAGAAGGAGCAATGGATCCACAGTTCAAAGACTGGTATTCTTATCCAGTTACCAAGCAGCTGCATGACTTTAGGCAAATTACTTCACCTCTCTGAGCTTCAGTTTCATCCAATGTATAAAATAAGTGGATTGAGGCAGACTGACCCCAAAGTTCCTTCCAGACATTATATCCACTGAGTAGAACCCATGTCTTTAATCAGCAAAAACAAACTGATACGTGGATCTCACCTCGACTGCTACTTCTTTATTTCTGGCAAGGTCTTCAATGACATAAAGAGAATTCGGATAGTTACTCTTTATAAATATTCATTTATTATGATGAGTACTTCGAAGTTACATGAGAAGATTTATTCCTTTCTACAAAGGTATAAATTTATACTCATTTTAAAGTAAGAGTACTCAAACATCCACTGAATCAATTTGACACTGACTTTCTGAGTACATTAAAAAATTATAGTTTTGGTCTCCATTCAAAGGGTAGCTTTGGACCAGCAAGGCAAAGATAGATAGCTGTGTGTGCTGCGCTATTCAACTGGTCTTTTCGTTTCAGAGGGGACAACTTGCATAGCCCCTCTAAAAACAGCGGAAGTTAATATAGTAAAGAAAAAAGTATTGAAAACCCCGAAAGAGGTCTCTGAGATGAAAGAAAAAGGAAAGCGTCAGGGGAGAAAGGAAGTCTATTTTAAGAAAATAAAAAAGATTAATTAAAAATTCAGAACCTCCCTGATAAACATGGTTCAGATAATCTCCATTTATTAAGGGCATGCTATGTGTGAGACATTTCACATATGATCTCATTCAGGCCTCAGTGAACAATTCTGTGACTTGGAATTACCTTCCCGTCACGCATGAAAAACAAAGGCCCAGCAAGGATAAAAGAAATTATCCAAAAGAAAAGAGAAGTGACGGCAAAGCAGGAGGTCAACTGCAAGAGTCTCTGATGGCAAACCTCCATGCTCTTTCCATGAAGTTCACCTGGCAGCCAGAATCTCATTGCCTTCTTCAGGAAGTACTTTCTGTCCTATTGCCTGCAGCCACCCAAGATAGTAAGCTGTGTTCCTAATAGAGGACAGGAGCAGAGGCAGCCCGGGAAACTGGCAGGGGAAACCTAGGATTTAGTCCCTGAGTTTTGTGGCTGCTTGTTAGCTCTGGAGCTAACTCAAAGGGCCCAATGAGAACGGTCATTTACCCCCAGCACTTCCTACATGCCAGGCTCTGTGCTAAGCACTTTATACATATTTAGCCTTCACCATCACCCTGTGAAGGAAGCAGTGCATTATCGCCTGCCCTATTAGCCAGTAAGTGCTGGATTTGGGATGAGAACCCAACAGCCCAGCTCAAAGAAAGCAGTGTCTCTTGACTAGATGAATTCCACTGAACCCTATTCCTGGAACACCTGATCTGCTCCTATTTGACACCTCAGTGTACAAAAGATGATTAAATGGATAAGAGTAGCCACCTGCTAACCATCCAAACGCAACAGGCAATCTGGTGGGATATGATTTGACTGTGTCCCTATCCAAACTTCATCTTGAATTGTAGCTCCCACAATTCCCACATGTTGTGGGAGACACCTGGTGGGAGGTAACTGAATCGTGGGGTGGGTCTTTCCCATGCTGTTCTCATGATAGTGAATGAGTCTCGCATGATCTGATGGTTTTATAAAGGGGAGTTTCCCTGCACAAGTTCTCTTCTCTTGTCTGCTGCCATGTGGGACGTGCCTTTCACCCTCCACCATGACTGTGAGGCCTCCCCAGCCACATGGAACTGTGAGTCCACTAAACCTTTTTCTTCTGTAAATTGCCCAGTATCGGGTATGTCTTTATCAGCAGCGTGAAAATGCACTAATACAGGTGACATCAGCTCACTCAACCTCCTGGAAGAGCAAAAGGACACGATGGCTCACCATCTGCTTTTTTCCTAAAATCCTCCCCTTTCTTCATTCCTGAGGTCCCAAATCGCATCCTGCCTGCATGAAAACTCCTGATCTTGTTCTGCCTCTTTTACATCCCATCCTCCATTATTTGTGTTCTCTCCAGGTCCCTTTTCGTTCACCGCTTCATTTTCCTGGCTAAGGCTTCAACCAGTACATGTTTATCTCTGGTCTCTACCGCTCTCCTGAGTCTCATTTATTCATTTGTTCAACAAATTAGCAACTCAGTGCCAGTCACAATGCCAGGTACAAGGGATAGAGTAGTATATGAGATGACCATGCATGTAAGGCATAACTTTGTCTTCATGTAGCTTATAGTCTGACAGAAATAGCACAGGCTACCATTTATTAAAGCACCTACTCTGTGTCAGGCACTGTGCTAGATGTTTTATAAATGTTATCTCTAGGATTGGAGGGCAGGGAAGCAGAGGACTGGAGGACAAAAAAAGCAGAAAAGATCTCAAGGAGAAAATCAACAGTTAACAGAACCATTCAGTATAAGAAAATATCCCCAGGTACTTCTTTACCCAAGAAATCCCATCAAAGCTATCTTCCACCAAGAGAAATATATCTTGTATTAATGCCTTGCAGACCAGTTCATTTACAATTGCTTACTCCCAAATTCACATCAAGCCCAACTGCAGAAGGTGTATCGTGAACATTCTGCTTGACGTTGGTTATTTCTTACCTGCAAAGTCGTACTCTGGTCTGAGAAGGGAGAGCTGAAGAAAGTAGTAACAATACTCATGACGATTTCGGTGACATACTTCTCCAAAATCGAGTCTGCATGTTTCCTGTCACTAGTGTTGTTACAGGCCTGGAAGACAAGTGGGTATGTTAAGCATTACACCAAAACCTACACCAAACATTAAGAAATCTGCGACTCCCTCCTGTGGGTTACTTTTAACAAATGAAAGGTAAAGGCCTGCTGGCCAATATTTCTCCCCTTAAGGAATCATAATAATAAAATATAAATCATGAAAAAAAGAGAAGCAGATCAGCTTGGATATCATGATGCAAAATCACAAACATTAAAATGGGTATGAGACCAACAAGGCCACCGCTTGCAGCTTCCTACGTGTGTCTGGAAAATCCAAAACCCCAAACGGCAGTAAGAAGCACAGTGACTACAGGTGTCTTAAATTTCCCCTAAAAGAAAACTGCTCTCCTGAGTAATCCATTCCTCGGTTCTAGACCATGGTTTCCTCATCCAAATAGTCAAATGTTACTGAGGTCCTGTGGACCTGACCGTCTCCAATCCTTTTTTTGTTTTGAGATAGAGTCTCACGCTGTCACCCAGGATGGAGTGCTGTGGCATGATCTTGGCCCACTGTGGCCTTCATTTTCCAGGTTCAAGTGATTCTCGTGCCTCAGCCTCCCAAGTAGCTGGGATTACAGGTGCCCACCACCATGCCCAGCTAATTTTTGTATTTTTTTTTTTTTAGTAGAGATGGGGTTTCGCCACATTGGCCAGGCTGGTCTCGAACTCCTGGACTCAATGGATCTGCCCACCTAGGCCTCCCAAAGTACTGGGATTACAGGTGTGAGCCACCACACCTGGCCTGACCATCTCCAATCCTACAACAATCTTCCATTCAATTAAAATCTGACCAATACACAACATTGTTCAAAATAGCAAGCCATATTTCAGAATAACTGACTATACACGTTTTGGGGTGAGGAGACACCTACGATTTCACCCGTACTCTGCTTAATTCTGCTGCCTAGAATAAGATTTGCCATTGAGAGGGTTAGCACATTTTTTAAAAAATCAAGTTTTATTACTGAATTCATTAGTTCTATAATTTAAGAGATAAAATTGCTTATGCTGAAAAGAATGAATGACATAAAAATCAAGTGTTCTAAGAGACTCTCATGTTCTCACCTTAAAACTAGACAGTCTGAGAACATATTCCAAGAATGATATTAATAACTGATTTTACAGCATTTCTAAGTAATTTAATGCAAGGATCGGCAAAATCAGGGCCAGTAATTATCTTTATAAATAAAGTTTTATTGGAACACAGCCAAATCTGCTTGCCATGGCTACTTTCATGCTAGAAGGGCAGAACTGAGTAGTCATGAAAGAGATGAACAGCCCACAAAGCTGAACATATTTACGATCTGGTCCTTTACAGAAAATTTCACAGAGCACTGATTTAAACAAATAAAGCAGGCCTGCCATTCCAAGCCAAAATCCCTAGGCTAATGGGATTAAAAAACTAGGAGGAGTTTGAGATTTTTAAAAAAATATGTCTGTGAAACCAACACCTGACCAAATATTACTAAATACGGTTCTCACTCAGAAGGAAAATAAGTTCTTATAGGCTTCTGTCTCACACTAGTAATCATACAGTCAAGCAGAAAATACCACATTCTAGGATTCTACAGTGCACCTTTTTCACACCACAATGTTTCTGAAACTGGTATGTATCTGACAATTATCTTCTAAAGAATCTTTTAATCTATCTGCTTGCCAAATTCCACCATCACAAAACTCATTTTAAATCTGTGGTATGCTTGTTATGTGGCAGTCTTGTGGCTTTAGCATGAATATTAGGCCCAATGCAAAACCAAATGAAGTATCTTAAGGCCACTCTTGAGGCTGAGCCAGGAAAGCAGTAAATGGAAGTGAAGAGTTTTGCAGAATCCTCAAGTTCAGATTGCAGGAGACAAATGCTCAAGCTCAGGGAAGTGCCCTTCAAGCACAGACATATTACCAAGGAAAATAAATCCTTATAAATTGAATTTTAATATGCCCAGGTTATCATTCACCAACCAATCCACAGGGGTGACATGAAAACCAGAAATAACCTCTCTTCCCTGCAGATTGATAAATAACATCCATTCTCGGCTAAGAGCAAAAGGTAGGAAGAATGGCCAGGTGTGGTGGCTCACGCTTCTAATCCTAGCACTTTGGGAGGCTGAGGTGGGCAGATCATTTGAGGTCAGGAGTTCAAGACCAGCCTGGCCAACATGATGAAACCCTGTTTCTACTAAAAATACAAAAATTAGCCAGGCATGGTGGCAGGTGCCTGTAATCCCAGCTACTCAGGAGGCTGAGGCAGGATAATTGCTTGAGCCCAGGAGGTAGAGGTTGCAGTGAACTGAGATTGTGCCACTGCACTCCAGCCTAGGTAACAGAGCAAGACTCCAGCTCAAAAAAAAAAAAAAGGAAGAAAGGATACATGAGAAGAAAGTCACAAGTGCCTCCTCATGCCACGGATTAGAGTAGAAATGATGCAGCTGTTTTCTTCATGTGTGCACAAAGATGCTACACACACACACACACACACACACACACACACACACACCTCTCACTCTCCAACTCTGCCTCCTCAGTTCCAAAAGCCTTACCCTGCAGATGTCTACAAGGAAATTCTCAAACAATTTCCACATGTGATTGCTGGTATAAATCTCCTTCATTTCCACCTCTGTATCCACATAGCAGTGATTCAGGAAGTTAATGTATGCAATTTTAACCTGCAAGATAGAAAGAAGCTTTTCTGAAAAACCATCTTGGTGTGTATGGAACTCATTAGCTGCCTCAACTTCACAGCAAGGACCGATGAAAATGGTCATCCCATTCCCCACTGCCAAGTCTTACTTCTATGATTTTCTGATATTTGAAATTCACAATTATGAAATCCAAAACCATAAAGCTTTTGGAAGAGAATATTTTCATGATCTCAAGGTAAAGAATGAGGCAAAACCTCTGACCACAGAACAGGGACAAGTTTGACTATTTGAAATTAAGAATTTCTGTTCATAAAAAGGCACCATTCAAGAGGTAAATGGGCCCAAGTTGGGACAAGATATCTGCAAGGCGTGTAACAATGAAGAATGCCCCTAGATCTGTGCTTATATGATAGATACCCCCAGAGAAAAGGTAAGCAAAAAACCGGATCAGATATTTCTTAAAGGAATATCAAATGTCAAAAAAAAAAAAAAAAAAACACACGGCAAGGGGCTCAACTTCAATTAGGAAGCAAGGACGTAGAAATTAAAACCACTATGGTTAATGAAAACATGTGTCTATACAAAATCCTGTATACAAGTGTGCACAGTAGCATTATTCACAATAGTCAAAAAGCGGAAACAATCCAAATCACCATCAACTGACTGATGGACACACAAAACGTGGTGTATGTATAGAATAGAAAATTACTCAGCAACATAAAGGAACGAAGTGCTGATACATGCTACAACTTGTGTGAGCCTTGAGAAAAATCATGTAGGTGACAAAATCCAGTCATAAAAGACCACATGTGTATGATTCCATGAAATGTCTCAAATAGGCAAATCCATATATTCAGAAAGACAATCAGTTGCCTAGGATTAGGGGGGTTGGCAGGAAATGGGAAGTGACTGCTAATGGGCATGGGGTTTCTTTTTGGGGTGATGAAAATATTCAGTAACTAAATTGTGATGGTGATTGCACAACTCTGCAAATATATTAAAAACCACTCAATTGTACACTTTAAACAAGTGAATCATATCTGTAAACATCTCCATGAAGCTTCTAAAAATTAAGCTGGTATGCGATACTATCATACAACCATCAAATTGAAAAAAATAATAAAGGATCTGATGATAGCAAATGTTAGCAGGGTTGGGAGGAGGAATGGTAACTGGAGCAACCATGCTAAAAACAACTGGACTGTATCACATCAAATTGAAGAAATGCACCTCCTGTGATCCAGCACTTCCACTTCTGACTATCCACACACCCTGGACGGAAGTGTACACATGTGGGCCAGGATGTATGCACAATCCTAACAGCCAAAAGCTGGAAACAACTAAAATGAGCATCAGTAGAAGAATGAAAAACCTATCATGGTGCCACAATAGAAAGGAATGCTCCAAAGCAAAGGAAATGAACGCAGCTACATATCAGGGTGGATCAACCTTAACAACACAGAACTGAACTTAAAAAGGCATGGAATGATACACAGAAGAAGTCCAAAACCTCACAAAACTAAACTATATTGTTGAGGGATGTATACAGAAAAGCAACTGCAGGATTACATAAAAATCAGCTTGTGGTTACCCTCAGGAGACAGCCCTTGGGGGAGGTGAGGACAGGAAAGGGGAATGGGGGGAGGTTTTTGCATATTTCTTGACCTGGGTGGCAGTTACAAAGCTGTTCTCTTTATAATCGTTCTATCGTTCTTGCAGTATACAACTGAGTTTATGTACTTTTTTGCACTTCCGTTGTATTTCAAATAAAAAAGAGTAAAAAACAAACTAATGCTTGTTATAACACGACGCTTCTCTCATCCCTAATACTAGTTATAACTCTACCTTCTTTATCCATAACAAGTGAACTGTAAATTAAAACTATGTTGAAATGACCATTTTCACCTGCCAGATATATGAGAACCCAAAAGTGTGATAACATACTGTGGCCAAGACTGTGAAAAGAATGCAATCTCATTGCTTTCTTATTACAGCAATTAATTATTCATTATTATCTCATTACATCATAAATTAGTTCCACACTTACAAAGGGCCGTGACAGTACATCTATACAATGGCATTTTATGCAACTGTAAAAAAACATCTGGCATCTTTTTATGAATTGATATGAAAAGAAGTTACAGTGTTAAGGTACAGAATAGTATACCTAGAGTATCATCTTCTGCATTTACAAAAAGGGGGTGGGGAAGTAAAGTATATATACTGTATGCGTTTATGTGCAAAATTCTAGAAAAATACACAAGAACATAATAAATTATTTTCTGTAGGGTGGTGGGAAAACAGATTATAAGACTTTTCATGGTTTACCCCGTTACAGTCTTTGATATTTGAACTTTTCAAAGAGTATGGTCAGGTACTGACTAATGACATTTTGGTCAATGATGGGTCTCATACACAACAGTGACCCATAAGATTATAATACCCAATTTTTACTGGACCTTTTCCATGTTTACATACACAAATACAATTGTGTTATAATTGCCTTCGGTACTGAGACAGTCACATGTTGTGCATGTTTGTAGCCTGGAAGCAAGAGGCTGTACCATATAGCCGAGGTGTGTAGCAAGCTGTGCCATCTAGGTTTGTGTAAGTGCGCTGTATGATGTTTGCACAATGAGGAAATCACCGAAGAACGCATTTCTCAAAAGATATCCCCACCACTAAGCGACACATGACTGTTTTTAGCTTTTCAAAATAACCTAAAAACATTATATGATATATGTCATATATTTTAATGTAATATAAATGTGTACTACAAACTAATATTACACATTGTAAAACCTACAATACATACTTTATAATATACTTTATATATCATAAATATATACTTTATAATATACTTTATATATCATAAATATATACTTTATAATCCAGTTTTTCATTACTAATCAATATAATCTATGAGTAGGAAAAAAGGAAGCCTGGAAGGATTAACTTCAAAACTTAGGTATTCATTATTTTTTTTTTTAATTGATTGTCTGTAGTTCCTAAATTTTTTATAATGGCCATTATTTCTGTAATAAGGGTTTTTGTTTTAAAGAATTAACTTACTAAGTCTTACATTCATATGGACTAGATCTCAACCTACTCTTCGTCACATTTCTGAAAAGTTCATTCAGGTCATATCCCCTTTGCTCAACAGGCTAAATTAGTCCACAGAGCTGAAGCTTTTTTCCTCACTGTTCTTAAAGATACAGAAAGAACGACTAACTTCTTCCGTGTTCCTTTCATGCAAAATCAATGCTCGAGAAAATGTTTTAGGGAACTGAAATCCCACTACAAAATGAGCTGCAGCTTTCAGAGCCATGAGGGCTCCCCCAGGCCAGCCACCACCATGTCTCCCAGTGAGCCACGACAGCACACACCACATAGCAACGAGAAGGGCACAGCCAGGCTGGGCTCGCTCACCTCAGGGATGCAGTCCTCGTGGGTCACCACGCGAACGATGTCATCCAGCGGGAGCAGGGAGTTGCACTTGATCTCTGTGTAGACATTCTTACCCTCCGTGCACACAGCCAGGAGCTCGACCAAGTGGATGTGGTACATGAGAGGGCTGTTCTCATCCATCCGATCCCGTTCTGACCGCATCATCTGGATCAGAGTCTGGAAAGAGGCTCTGTCGTTGTAGAACACGAGGACATCCTCTCCCGAATTGACCAGCTACATAAAGAACAGGGTGGGTTTAGATTACAAGCTTGCAGGGGTGGGGCAGCATGAAAAAAATCTATTCACAGAGGAAGAGAGAGGTTCTGTTAGCATTTATCTTCCCAAATCAGTCTTACCTATTTTGACTTCATTCATTTATATAACTGAACAACTAGAAATCTTCAGCATCATAATTTTAGTCCACAGATACAGAAATACCACACTGGCCCTAGAAAGCTATTAGGGGAAGAGAAAGCCTGCATACCAGCATTAATGCATCAAGTGGAAACAGAGATTGCAAGCTTGCACTGGTATTTCCATACCTACCAATTAGGCTATGATATTTCTTTTTAAATGTTTCCATCTTATTTATTTTTTTTGAGATGGAATTTCACTCTTGTTGCCCAGGCTGGAGTGCAATGCCGTGATCTCGGCTCACCACAACCTCCGCCTCCCAGGTTGGTTCAAGCGATTCTCCTGCCTCAGCCTCCTGAGTAGCTGGGATTACAGGGATGCACCACCATGCCTGGCTAATTTTGTATTTTTAGTAGAGACGGGGTTTCCCCATGTTGGCTAGGCTGGTCTCGAACTCTCAACCTCAGATGATCCACCCAACTCGGCCTCCCAAAGTGCTGGGATTATAGGTGTGAGCCAATGTGCCCTGCCTCCATCTTATTTTTATGCTTTACAATGTATCCCCTTTACAATTCTTTCATCTACCATCTTATCTCTTCAATCAACAAATTACTTTTAATTAAGATATGCCTTCCTCTCCATACTTACTCTTCAAAAAGTTGAGGCATTCCTGTTTATAACTTGTCCCCTAAGATGAGGCTTCTTGCAAATTTATTTAAGAATAAATCGATTTCATCAGCAGTACATGAAGTACAAAAAACCCAGAAAGGGCTGGCACAGAAGTCAAAATAAACATGGTCAATACTTACTAATGACTAACCTTTATGAGCTCTAATGATTAGATGCCAGATACCAAGATAAACTCTTTAGACAAACTTCCTAACCTCATTGTATCTCAGTTTCTTCATCTGTGAAACCAGGACAAATACAATAGCTAACTCACAGTGCTATGTAGATTAAATAATTTATTATAGACAAACTGCTTAGGACTGTGCCTAGAGTATGACCGGCTTCCAAAAAGTGTTAGGCATTAATGTCACCATTATCTCATTTACCCCACATATCAACTCTTTAAAGTGAAATCTGCGTATCTTCATGTTATAGAAAAGCTCACTGAGGAGTTGAAAGGTCAAGTAATGTATCTCATGGCACCCTTCAGTGAAGGGGTTCAGGTGACATTTGTATCCCAGGTTGAGCCGACTCTCTCTTTTTTTTATTTTTTTTCTAAGAGACAACGTCTCACTCTGTTGCCCAGGCTGGAGTGCAGTGGGTGCCATCATAGCTCACTGCAAGGTCAAAATCCTGGGCTCAAGGGATCTTCCTCTGTAACTGGGATTATGGGCACATGCCACTACACCCAGCTAATTTTTAAAATTTTTTGTAGAAACAAGGGTCTTACTATGTTGCCCAGGCTGGTCCTGTACTCCTGGCCTCAAGTGATGCTCCTGCCTCAGCCTCCCAAAGAGCTGGGATTACAGGCATGAGCCACCACGTTGGCCTCAACTCTTAATCACACTACCCTCCCTGCCAATGGAACCATATACGTAGACAAGATTGTAAATCAAAGTGAATTCATAATAAACCAAGTAAGGCTTTTCCTTGATTCCACAGACCAACTGCTCCTCAAAAAGCATCAGGCAAAATTTTTTCCATCTAATTAATTAGGTGAATAATTTTTAAAATTCATAATCCACAAGAATGGAAGCGTTCTGGCTCACTGGGTCCTGACTACATTTTATCTCCATTCCCTATAATTCAGTTCCTTATTCCTCTTTCTGTCCCCTGTCAGAAAAATCCAAGCCATCCTTCCTTAAATTGGTTGCTATGAAATATCAGATCAGATTCTTGCCTATATCTACAACTTAAGCTCACACAAGAGATGACACAGACATATGCACACACAATTACTTTCTGTCCTTCTGTATGGCTCCTGAAGAGGGTGCAAGTTCATACAGATAAGATTAAATAATTTTAAAATTTCTACAGAACACCAGATGGAGGTATACAGAAATATATAACAATCACCTCGGCCATAACCATGTCTTGGCATTTTTTAATAAATTTCCCTTCTGCCTTGACAATTGTCTGTAAGAACTTTATATACTGGACATTCCGACCGTGAGTCTCTATGCAGTGAACGAAGTGCTGAACAACTCTCTCGTTGATCTCACTGCAAAGCTGGAAATTGTTCATGAAGATGTGCTGCATGGTTACTGCCTCCAGGATCTGGCACAAGAGTGAGGAAAAGAGCACAGGGACAAGTCAAAAAGCTGACAGAACAGATTAAAAAGTGAGAAAAAGAAGAGTCCACTGAAACACACACAAGGGAAGCATTTAAACCCATGAAGATATGTTTCTCTCATTCTTGCTTCTGTACTACCTTCTTTTTTAGTAAGCTTTTTTCATTGACATATAAATAAACATACAGAAAAGTAAACAACTCATTAGCATTCAGCTGAATAGATTATAAAGGGACCTTGAACACCCAGATCAAGAAACAAAACAGGTCTCCTTTATGCCTTATCTCACAATTTAACTACTATTTTGACTTATATAACCAGATTAGTTTTGCCTGTTCTTAAACCTCTTGCACTCTTTTTCACTGATATGTAAGTTCCATTGCATGAATATATGACAGTATCTTTATTCTATGGTGGAAGGGCATTTGGAGTAGGATCCAGTTTTAATAGATAGTAACATTCCTAGTATTATAAATACTAGAGTTGCTGTGAACATTCTTACACATGTCTTCTGGTGAACTTAAACCCATACTTCTTTTGGGTCTAAGAACAGAATTGTTGGGTCACAAAGTATGAGTATGTTTGGCTTTAGAAGATACTGACAGCTTTCAAAAGATGTTAACAAGTTGCATTCTACATTCCAGCTGTTCCTATCCTTGTCAACACTTAGTATTGTCAGTCTTTTAAATTTTAGCCACATCTTATTGTGGCTAAACATAACTTAATTTGCATTTCTCTGATGTCTAATCATGTTGAACACTTTGTCACATTTACTGGCCATTTGGATATCCTCTCCAACAGGGTGTCTGTTCAAGTTTTTTGCCTTTACGTTCTTATTTACTTATTTATTTATTTGAGATACAGTCTTGCTTTGTCACCCAGGCTGGAATGCAGTGGTGCAATCTTGGCTCACTGCAACCTCCACCTCCTGAGTTCAAGCTATTCTCCTGCCTCAGCCTCCAAGTAGCTGAATTACAGGTGCTCACCATCATACCCAACTAATATTTGTATTTTTAATAGAGATAAGGTTTCACCATGTTGGCCAGGCTGGTCTCAAACTCCTGATCTCAAGTGATCCGCCTGCCTTGGCCTCCCAAAGTGCTGGGATTACAGGCGTGAGCCACCATGCCTGGCCTATTTTTAAAAGAAGGTCAACTTTTTCCTTAGTGACTTTTTTGAGTGTGTTATGTACATTCTGGATATGAATTCTTTGTTGAGAACGTGCATCGCAAATGTCTTTTACTCTCTGCCTCCCCTTTGGATGCTCTTAATGGTGTCAGCGGACAAACAGAAGTTCTTAAAAGAAGGCCCATTTATCAATTTTCAAAAATAGTGTTCTTTGCATGCCTTGTAAGAAAATTTTGCTTACCACACAGCCATGAAGATTCTCATGTTACCTTCTAGAAGGCTTATTTTTCACTTTTTACCCACAGTTATTGAGTTTTATATTTGGGGTGAGGTGGTGGCTTTAATCTTTTTATCTTTTGACTTTTCTTTCTCTTAACATGACACTGAGGGAACACAGGTTGAGTATCCCTCATCCAAAATGCTTGGGAGCACAAGGGTTTCACATTTTGGATTTGGGAATATTTGCATTATAGTCTGCTGGTTGAGCATCCTAAATCCAAACATCTAAAATATGAAATGCTCCAATGAGTGTTTGCTTTGAGCATCACACTGGCACTCAAAAGTTTTGAATTTTGGAGTCTTTCAGATTTCAGATTTTCAGATCTGGGATGCTCAACCTATATTATCCTACAATCCAGCAATCCTTTTTCTGGAAAGTGTTAGCAGTACTACTGAGTGAGTGAGTGTGTGCATGCACAAAGATGTCCTTTGCAGTATTGTTTACAAAGTTAAAAATCAGACATTGCCTAACTGTCCATTAATATGAGAATGTTTTTTTAAAAGTTACAGCCATTCTATGGAATGTCATTTGGCCATCAGAAGAATGAGAAAAATTTATATCTCTCTGATTTGCAAAGGCATCCATAATGTGTTAAGTGAAAAAAGCAGAACACAAGACAATGCATAGAGTGTGGCATCATTTTTCTTTACAAAACCTACAATACATTTAATATACTTCTAGAAATATATTTAACAAACTAAGATGTATTACAGATATGTTTGATATGGAAATATTATATATGTATACATAGCCACAGAAAACTTTATGCATGACTTCAGTAGCAGGTGGCAGGAGAGACATTTAGCACTTCTATATTGCTGAAGTTTGATACAATGAAGGACTTGACTAGGAAAATATAGACACGTATCTTACTTTATCCATCTCACTTTCCTCCTTTTCCCCTCCCCAACTCCTGCCATCTCATCCCCAAAAGATGAGTATTTATGTCCTCGTGATAAGTGATGAAAATGTTCCCCTTTGGAATGAATGTTGCATTATAACAAGCCCCAGAAGCCACAACAGCCAAAGAACAAGCTGTTCCTCCTCCCTCTTCCCTGCCCTCCTCCCTCTATAGATTTGCAGATTGGCCTCAAGTCTTACCCCTGGGTTGAGAAACAGGTTTATGTGTTTATGTAGCAAAGCTTGATTCTGCTGGTTGCCTGCGCAGAAATTCTGCAAAAATTCATGAGCCAACCTCATTATCTCTTGCATCTTGGTATCTTCGGCCTGTGTGGGAGGAGACAGATGAAAGCACTGATTGCTGGGCCAGGAGACCAGCTTCTCCTATACCCAACACCTCCTGCTAACGTGGGAGTCAGAAGGTGTTTGCTGGGGACCTGTTGTGGGTAAATATTGAGGGGCTGCACTGCTGACGCTGAAAAGAAGCCAGTAACTTGTCTATGCTCATTGGATGAAAGTGAAGATCTTATTTGGGTGGGAGGGAGCACTGCAGAGTAAGGCTAATAGAAGGCATCCATGAGTCCATTATCCAGCAAGGACTGAAACTTCTGAACCCCCTACTTCTAAAGACAGGGACGGGCTGGGCACAGTGGCTCATACCTGTAATCCCACCCCTTTGGGTGGATCACTTGAGGGCAGGAGTTTGAGAACAGCCTGGCCAACATAGTGAGACACCCATCTCTAACAAAAGATAAAAATAATAAAAATTTTAAAAGTAAACAAAAACAGGGACTGACAACAGAACTGGGGCTGACTTCCTCACTGACGCTGAGTAGTCATTTTCCCTCTTGGGTTCACCTTTTTAAGTTGTCCGACCTATTAGACATTAACTTTTGCCATCAGCTCCCATGGCAAAGTGGAAATCTCCTGAGATCACACATTAGAGCAACTGTGCCTGCCGTAACTCCTCTATCATCCCAAGTACAATTTTTAACCTCAGACTTAGTTTTCCCATCAGCAAAATGGGGATAATACCCTCCCTGGCATTTCACGTGGTTGGATTATGTGATTCATACATTAATAGCATAAACTCAGTATTTTAGAGTTAAATATTCCGTAATAAGCCAATTCTATAAAACCCATGGCCATTTTGTCCAATTCTAAACAAGCAAACATTTAAGAGAGTAAAAACAGAACAAGAATTTCTAAACTGGAAATCATCCTTCATATTCTTACAGCCCACAATAGTCTTCCTAAGTCTTCACAGCCATCACCTCATTTCAGAGGCAAGAGAGGATAGCAGGTAGGAATGCAGGTCACCAAACCTGACTGCGCTACTCTTATCCCAGATCTCCAACTTCCTGGCTGTGTGACCTGGAGCACATTTCTTAGCCTCTCAGTGTCGCTGTTTACTCATCCGTGAAAAGGAGATAACAAAAGTGCACACTTCATGTGATTGTTATGAAGATTAAGTGAGAAAAGTCACATGAAGTGCTTAGACAGTGATTACTCTGTAAATGTTAGCTTTTGGTTCCGGGCTAGACTGAGGTCAGCAAGCTTTTTCTTAAAGGGCAAGGCAGCACATACTTTGGGCTTTGTGGGTAGAGAGGGAGTATCAAGGACATTATGTAGGTACTTATGTGACTATTTTAAAATGTAATAACCATTCCTAGCTGATATGCTGTTCAAAACAGGTGGTGGATTAGATTCGGCCCATGCCTGTAGTTTGCTAACCCCTGGTCTAGAAAAATAACTCTGTGACAAAACAGAGTTGTGGGAGGAAGGTGAGCTCCCAGCTTTGACAATCAAACCAAAACAGAGGAGAATTTACAAGGACATTAATAGCAAGTCCCAGGACAACATAATGGGGATTACATTTGTCCCTTATTAACAGGAGGGGTGGTGAACCTTCTAGCTCTAAGAAATCAGAGGGCTTGGGACAGACAGCCACTGCTGGTTGACAGCTGTAACCTTAAACAGTTCCACACACCTCCAGTCCTTCCGTATAAAAGGAATCTGCTGGTGCACAAGCTAAGTGAAGAACCCTTGTGGTGTGAAGCGGATTTTTCCAAGGAAAGCAAGCCCCAAAGACATCAAGTCACAAGAGATTACCTGTGGGGGATTCCTCCACCGTTCTTTGGAAGTCTGTGCCCATCCAAAAGCAAACAAAAGCGTGCACATGTACACACACAGATATACACACACATGATATTCTTCCTTTGAGTCACCAATTCCAACCACATCTGGTTACCTGTAGATTAAGCCTGCTCTATGAAGGCATAACTCTCATTAGGGAAACTGATGATATTATGAGACAACACTATGGTTAGCAAATGACCCCCTCGCGTTCCTTACACACAAGGAAGTAGATCAGCTTGTTGGTTCTAGTCTAAATGACAGGCAAAGTTTGGATGATAATGCACACCTGTATCAACTACAAGTTAGCTAGGTATTATACCTACGACAGGGATTAAGCTTGGACTTTATTTATAGCTACCGAAAGGCCTGACCTGCCCGATTCATATGGTCCCCATGACTGAGGAGGAGGATCCTTTCATAGGAAATTTCCTGGAGTAGAAGGCGACAGGCATAGGGAAGGCAGCAGGCCCCAGATCCACAGTGAAGTGGAGCCAGTTTCACTCTACACAGCTGTGCCATCCACGCAAGTTACTGAACCTCTCCCGCTGCAGCTCTCTCATCTAAAATGGGGCTAAAGATAGCACCACCCATCTCATCCACGTGTCTTGAGGATGGCATGAGCTAATAATGTGTATAAAGGCCTCAGCATGGCGCCTGGCACCCTGCAAGCACCTAGAAATGAGCCTTCATCAGGTGAGTCTTCTCTAGCAAATCAGTCTCTCTAGCAGTTAATAGTCAACTCAAGAGACCTGAGTCTGAGCTTTTCACCTCTAAACCTCCCCAAGCCTCAGTCTCCTCATCTGTCAAGTGGGCACAACACAAATACCCGAGTGGGTCTTGTAGGCTTGAATGAATGATTTCATAAGTGTCTTGTCAGCCTACATGCATGCAAAGCACTGTCAGCCTGCTCCTGCCTCCCCAAATCAAATACGTATCAATGACAAACGCTAATGTGAAAAATTAGAGGCAAAGTACAACTTCCAGCAACAGAAAAGAAGACCTAGATCAAAGCATCACCTGATAAATCCAAATACTTAAGCAGATGTCAGCGTCTTACTGAGGACTTCAAAAGTGGGCACATCCCATGTTCCTACATGCACTTAATAGCTGGTGATACTTAAATTGGTTGAGTCACATTGCAAATGAAATTGAAACACACCAACTCATGGGTAGATATAGCTCTAAGCTCTGACACAGACCAAGTTGTCTCTATCCAATATGTCTTGGGAGTATGGAGAATAAATGGACTCTCTTTCTTTACAGAATCTTAAAACTGGGGATGAGGATTATTCACGGGTGATTTTACTTTATTTTTCAGATGCTCTGTTTCATATCAATACCTGAAATTGCTTTGTAGTCACAATAGTCACACTGGATGCATTTCTTCACTAACAATATCCAGATGTGAAGAGTTTGGGGAAACCCAGGGATCCGCCCCATCCTGAGAGCAGCTGCTGTGCATGAGGCACCGCTCACCTTCTCATAGGGAATCTGCAGCAGCTCCAGCACCACGGCGTGCGCGCCCATGTTCCGGAGCAGACGCTGTTGCTGCTTCCTGCTCTTTCTCACTGAGGCACTCTCTTGAACACAGAGTTTGCTAAGCCGAATCAAAATCTAGTAGAATGAAAGAAATCAGTCTCAGAAAACTAGGAACTATAGCTGGAAAAAGATTGCAGAGGGTGGTGGCGGGCAGGGAGGCAAAGGGGATTATAATGCATTAAAAACGTAAAACAAAATTCCTTCAGTATGTGGCATTTCTGTTGACTCCATCAAGCCAAATCCATAAGACTAAGGTCACGTCTTCCAGAATAAGCAGGGGATTATGGCTTCAACAACAAGTGGGACAGTTTCAGAGATATCGCTTAAAATGGAATGACCTGGCATCATTGCCGAGACCCTGGGAAGAGTTTGCTCTGGGGTAAAACACACAAAGCTCCCAGCCTCCCAACTTTGAACCAGCGTACGCAAAGGTTTCTAAAAAACTACAGCTCTCAGTGGGGACACTGTGTACCAGGCACTTAGATGACTCCCTGACAGTATTCTCAATTAGTCCTTCCTTCAATTGTAAAGCTTCAGAAATATGCGGTGCCTACGAAAGGTTGCACCTACAAAAGGTGAGGAAGCTGAGGACAAAAATAATAAGTAGAAGAGCTGGGTGTGGAGCCCAGATCTGATGCCAAAACCCATGAGCTTAACCTCTGAGCTCTACTTTCTCCCTGTTAAACCACATGAAGAAAAAAGCTCAAATGTGTGTACCTTCAACTTGACTATCACAAACTAAAGCTCCTTAGAGAATTCATAAAGAAAGGAAAAATGGTGGTGGGGGAGGAGCTTACCTCTTTGACCACTCTGTAGTTGTAGCTGCTGGTGCTTTCATGCTTTTGTGGCTTGTTATTTCCCTCCTAGAAACCAAAGTGAACACAAGTGTGATCTGTACAACTCTTGGGCTACTGTCAGTTTTTTACAGTTAGCATCGACCTTTAGGAAAGAAAGGGAGTTCTATACTGTTTTACAATAGTCATGCTGGGCTTATGCCCCAGTCATCTACCTACTTGCTATGGGTTTCCTTGGGAAGGGATAGTAGTGGGCTGGGCCATGCCTAGAGAACAGGTCAATTCCCAAGTGGGTCTGTAAGGGAAACCTGGTGCTAATTCACTCAATATCGCAGTCTCTTCTACATGGTCCAAGGCTGCACAGGAGACATAGCTAAACTTTGATTCGTAGCTTATTTCCTAGGCAAACAGCTTGTGATCTTGGTGACTTAACAAGCAGATCTCTTGAAAATAAATCCTATCACATTTATACCTAAAACCAGAAGAGGATGCTCCCTAGTTTCGAGAAGCCCATCCATCCACTTTGGCAGCATAACTTGTGTTTCACTCACCTCCGTTTTCTTATGTTCATTTTCTCCAGATGCACCATCCATAGTCTCATCGGGGCCCTGCCCTTTGTACACCCAAAGCTCTGACTTTTCCACGATGGACCTCAGTTGATCCAAGTCTTGTTTGATCTGTTTGTAGTTGTCCACATCTTGGCTGGTAACCAGCAGTTGAACCTTAATGAACGCAATCCGTTAGGTGCACACAACAGCTTCTTGGACAGACAACACACACGTGGGTGACCTGAGCTACCTGTTTGAAGGCCTGGAGCACCTCCTGCCTCTGGCTGAAGTGCCGGAAGAGGAGCTGCAGGGCCCCTGACACCAGGGGTGGGTAGTCATGCATCGTCAAGTGGAGCAGGACACGGAGAAAGGTTCTGCCGCCGTGGTCATCCAAGTCCAGTGGGGTGTTCTCCTCACTAAAGGAGCACAAGGTGGGGAAAGGCCAAATGAATGACAAATGCCTCCTCTCACGCCCCTTGGGCCCAGATGCACCTAACCTAGTTGCATTTCTAGCACTGTGATCTCCAGACATGCAATTTCACTTTTCATTAGCTCCTTTAACAATACAGCCTTGCTTCATCTTCAACTATATTATGAGGTGAGGGGACAAGGAAGATGTCATATTAAAAGATAAGTCAAATTTTAAGCCAAAGTGACAAGACTAGCATTAGATTCTCAACATCTACATAGGGTGTTCTTCTGCTGGGCTTCGTCTGTGGTCTGAGAACTGCAAGAGGATGTGTTTCTCCTAAGTTATTAGTTTATGTATTTAGTTTTTAGAGATGAGGTCTTGCTATGTTGCCCAGGCTGAATTCAAACTCCTATGCTCAAATGATCCTCCTGCCTTAGCATACTGAGTAGCTGGGACTATAGGAATGCACTACCATGCCTGACTATATTTAAATATTAATAAGCATATCCTAGATCAAATGGCAGACTACTCCATAACTGAGCACTGCTAGTCAATTATTGGGTCTGCACCTATATTGGGTTTAGAGTCAAATGAATGACAAATGGTGGAAACTTCCTGGTTGCTGGCTAATAAGAAAAGCACAGAGAAGACTTATAAATACTGTATTCATGCTATGTATTCCAAAAAGGTGTGAAGGTTTCAATGCTGTTCACTATGAGGAAAATGGCGGGAGAGCTGAGTGATCACACAGCACATGGAACCTGTATTATGCTAAACTCACAATACCATGTTTAAGTTTCAGAAAAACATCTTCCATCATAGTACATAATGTTGCTAATTCAAATTTCACAGGTTTTATATTAAGCATTGAGGTAGACTATTAACACTGGTGGGCCCCAACAGAGTGTTCAAACCCTTATGTAGTCCCCTCCCACACTGACAATGAGCTTGGCCATGGGATTTGCTTGAACAATAAGATATTAGGAGATGCAATGCAAGCAGAGGCCCAATTAGCACTTGCATACTGTTGGCTTGTCCTCTTAGAACATTTGCTTTTTGAGTCAGCCACCGTGCTGTAAAGAAGCCCAAGCTATCCACATGGACAGAGAGAGAAAGAAGTTCTGGCCTTGCAGGCATCTCTGCTATAGTGCCAGAAATGTGAATAATCCAACTTGGAGGTGCCAGCCCCAGTTACCACCTCACTACAGTATGACAGACCCAACAGTGACCACCAGCAGAAGAACCATCCAGCTTAATCAAGCCACAGGACTGTAAGAAGTATTAATAAAATGGTGGTGGTTTGAATCCTTAAGTTTTTTGGAGTAATATGTTATAAAGCAATAATCAAACCAAGTGTGCTAATTATAAGAACTATGTGCATATGGTGTTTATACCAAATTTTATACTTGGAGGTATAAGAGTTCCATAATTATAATAATGTCTTAAGTCAAAATTGACCAGTGCGGTTTTTTTTTAAAGGGGTTCATACATTAATATTAGGAACAATGAAAGACCAGATTTTGCTTTCTTTGTTGCATAGCCTGTAAGGAGCTCAGGGATAAAATTGTAGCCCAGCAGCAGCAGCAGGACATGATCTTACTAACTTCACTCTGTTTTGAGCCCCTCTCTCTTTCTATTCTTCTTTTGATTGCATTTCCTCACTATGTAAAAATAATCTTGTAATGTAGGTATTTTGAGAAATCTCCTTAAATCCTTTCTGTCCTAGGTGGGACACACACACACACACACACACACACACACACACTTTCTCTCTCTCTCTCTCTCACTCTCTCTCTCCTCCCAATCAAGCCAACCAAGTTAACTCTGACTTGAGTACTAACAGTTCCAAAGATAGCACCAAAACAACCTAAGCCCAGAGACTAAATATTTACTAACATAATAAAGGGAAGGCCTCTGAGAGCTCTGGAAGAGCAGCCTTCCCTACAAAACAGTAACTGAAAATATACTTTCCTTCCTCCAAAGATGCCTTCTGCTTGTTCTTCAATGTGTTCAAAGTCAAGAGCACCTGAAAAGTTAGAACATACCACTTCAGATGCAGGAAGGTCTGCAAACATGCTGCTGGTGAACTCATCCATAAGTTTTGCAGGGTAAAGCTGTTGAGTTAACCCCAAATCTCCCAGAACATTATATTGCAAAGCTATGCAGAGTGACTAACCCAGATGACATTAACCACATATTCCACATTCCTGCCCCTTCCTCCCTCACTGCATGGTCCCCTGGTAAAGGACAGCAATGATCTCACTCATGGAAGCTTGGGCTTGGTAGATGGGATTATTTCTACTCCTACCATCTCCCGTCACCACTAGTTCCTGGGCAGGGAAAAACTTCCAAAGTGAGTAAAAGCTGCTAGTGGTCAAGAAGTCTCCTGGAGAGTTTTTTGTTACTGTTTTTATTTTGGTATTTTTGCGGGGGAGGTGGGTAGCCACAATGCTGGAAACCTCAACTGTCTCATCACTAAGACACTCCCAGATGGAAGGAAACAAGATCCAACCCAGAAGGAATCTGGGCTCTATCAATTATTCACTTGCTCAAAAAGAGTAACTGCCAGGATGATGCCCTGGTGCAATAATCCTCAAAACCATTTTCACCCTTTTTCTAGAAGATACTGTTTGCTCTCCCCATTTTCCTTAGAGCCAGGTCCCATTCTATGGCTGAAATTCCATTCTGAATCACTAACCTGGTACATTACTTGGCCCTTCTTGGCTGCTGTTTCCGGAGGATGTTTCTGAAGTCTGGGAATTGCTTTCATCAAACTCTCGCTTAAATATACACAGGAGGCAGGAGATCCTATAATCCAACCTCACATTCAAAATAAACTAAAGATTCAAGTGGAAATGGAAACAGATTGGTTACATTAACATACCATCTTGACTCTGCCAAGCCACCACACACTGGCGGGGCCTGGTATCAGCTGCATCAATTACCTTAAGCACTAAGTGAGCCAAGTATTTGGCTTAGATTTCAACAGTCATTTTAACAACAGCAGACTTCCATGGGGCATATGAAGTCTGCCCATAGCACCTTAGCCTCTAGTGTAAGCTTCAGCATCCTGGCAATTAATTTAACAATTGGAACACTAAATCACTCACTCCTGGCTCCATAAATGGAGTCTATAAAACAAGACTCCATTTCAGTAAGTATTGAATGTCAACTCTGGGCCTAACACTGAAAAGAGTGAAGTTGCCTGCTTTGGATTTAAGAGAATTAACAAAAAAAAATTTGTTTTTTACTATGGAAAATTAGCTTGGTTCCTATTTCCTGTTTCTGGTTGTTTCCCCTGGTTTGGGTACAAACCCTTGGACACCCTCTTCTTTTGCCTCCTGTATTCCCTCACCCTTTATTCCAACACAGGGTCACTTTTCCCAGGATTGCTGCTAGAACCAAAAAGAAAGATTGAGCAGCTGACATCATGTAGGGATCTCACTCACGTTCTTCCTTCCGTTCTCCCCTTGTCTCTGCTTAGCCTCCCAGCAACCTTTCCCAGTCCAGTGGCCATCACCTCTTCCAGAGGGAGATAGGTCTCTGGCCTGCCTCCATGCTCTCAGTGTATGTGTCCTACAGACTGTTGGACATCCTATTTGCTATCTTCCCAGGGCCTCAAACTCAGTGTTTCACAAAAGTAACTGCGATGGTTAATTTTATATGCCAACTTGACTGGGTTCAAGGACACCTAGACAGCTTGTACAACTTTATTTCCGGGTAAATCTATGAGGGGGTTTCCAGAATGGACTGGCATTTGAATCAGTGAGCTGAGTAAAGAAGATCCGCTCTCACCCAGTGTGAGTGGGCACCATCCAATCCACGGAGGGCCTGGATAGAGCAAACAGGTGGAGGAAGACCGAATCCACCTGTTCTGGAGCTGGGACACTCATCTTCTCCTGCCCATCAGAGCTCCAGGTTCTCCGGCTTTTGGCCTCAGACTGAGAGTTACACCTTCAGCTCCCCTGGTTCTCAGCCTTGGGACTCAGGCTGAATCACACCACTGGCTTTCCCGGGACACAGCTTGCTGTGGCAGACTGGGGGACTTCTCGGCCTCCGTAACTGCGTGAGGCCAATTCCCATAATAAACCCCCTCTTGTCTATCTGTATGTATCCTATTTGTTCTGTTTCTCTGGAGAGCGCTAACACACTAACATTGTCAGTCTTGCCTTCATCTACTTTCTGCCTGGGTTTCCTCAACCTCAGTCAGTTGCCTGATCATCAGCGCCTCCTTCCTGGACACACATCTAATCAGAGACTAAGTCCTGGTGGTTCTCCATTTACCGCTTCTCATAGAGTTCTCCCCTACTGCCGTTTCTCCCTGCTCAAGGCCTCATTATCTCCTGCCTGTTCCATTTACAGAACCAAATTCACCAAATCAGCCTCCTAACCACTTGTTCTTATGTTAAGCTCCCGCTTGAAGACTTTCAAAGGCTCAACAGAGAATAAGCCTTAGCATTTTAGACACCCAAAGCTCTGTGCAGTGTGGCTTGGTCCTCCTTTCCAAACTCACTTCTGACAACTTCCCCTCAGCACACTCTATGTCTCTGCTCAGCAAGAACTGCCCACTGACCTGCATCCCATGGTACTCGGCTTCAGGCTGCTCCATCCACCTGAGAACGGGCCCTTGTTTCTCCATGTACAAAGCCCATGCACCTTAAAGGCTCAGATGAAACCCTACCTCCTCCATCAACCCTTCTCTGATCTTTACCATGTGGAGTCACATGACCCCACTCCCGGACTCCAGTCTCAGAAGAACTTTCTGGTGGTTTTATTTCCACATCCACGCAGCTTCATCATACCTTATTCTCCCATCAGACTATAAACCCCTGTGGATGGAGCCCCTGTTCGAATCATTTTTGCATTCCTCACAGTGCACATGGTAGGGAGTCAATAAGTACCCGTGGAAAGAATGACTCAATCGACCAATCCTTCTTAGGTCACCACGGTGAGTGGACCTCAAGATGTGACCAAGTTTTGCACTGCGTCGTTTCTGATAAACGTCCAAGACACCACTTTGGAACACATGGACCATGGCCTGCAAATTTTATATGTATATTTTGTCTCGACAAAAAAAATTGAAAATAAAAGTAAAAATAAAATTTATTAAAAAATAAAGTTTTAAAAAAGGAATCTTTCTCTACTGTTGCTCAGGCATAAATTCAGTAAGATTTCTCCTTTACTTAAGCTGTCTTTATCGTCCTAATTACATGACTTTGAGACAACCCATTAAAACTTTCAAAGCATTGGTAAAGGGTGATTTCAGACTAAAAAATAAAACCCCCAGATCTTAAACATTTATGAATTTCTACTACATCTGTTGGGGTTGAGATCAGGCAACATGGGATAAAAAAAAAGAAGGTGCTAACACATAATTCTTTCCATTAAGGAGCAGATGATTTTGTTGATGAATAAAAGTTACCTACACGGCACAGAAAGAGGGAAGCGCAGGTTGTCGGGTGGGGTTCAAAGCTGTAGAGAGGCTTGGGAGGGTTTCATGCCTACGACCAAGCCTTCCCTATATACTAGATTCCACCCCCGCTTGCCTACAGAAGGACTTTGCTCTTACAATTATTCTCTCCCCAAACAGCAACAAACTCTCCCTGTATACATGATCATTCCTATTCACCATACAAGCTTGTTATAACCCACCCACTTAAAAAATATTACAACAAAAATAAACCATGTTACCAACAATCGCTCTCTGCCCATGTCCCCACTTCTCTGTGCATCCTTACAGGCAATCTGTCCAAGAAGCTATATATATTTACTCCCCGACTTGATCTTCTCCCATTCCCTCTTGAACCCCACCTGTTCCCAAATGTGCCCTCTTCACCATGGGGTCTTTGTGTTTGCTGCTCCCTCTGCCTCAGATACCCTTTCCCAAGATATCTGTGTGGCTATCTCCTCACTTCATTCAGGTGTGTAATCATGTCACTGTACTGGAGAGGCCTTCTCTGATAACCTCACCAAACACAATAACCCCAGCCCCCTGTCCTCAGTGTCTCCAAACAATCCTGACCCTCCTTTACTTTTTAACGTCTCTTAGCACTTATTCTTAATACATGCCCATGCCCCTCTATCAAAATGTAAATTCTAGAGAAGCAGGAATTTCATCTATTTTTTTCATTGCTGGACCCTCCCAGTGCTTAAGGGGACTTGGCACAGAGTTGGTCTCAATAAATATTTGTTGATTGAATGAAAAAGGGAAGAAGGGAGGAAGGCTTTGCAAAGTTGATGGAACCCTGAACCTAGTTATGATCAATAAGCAGAGATGCAGCTACATGGAGACACAGAGGTAAGTGAATTCTAGGCAGAGGGTTGGCATGGAGGCCAATGATCATGGAAAGCTAAGATAACAATGGCAAGTCTTGACATGGCTGGAGGGACATGGCCATGTTGGGAGGGTAGGAGAAAGCAGTAAAGGGATTAAGAGGAGCCAGCTCATAAATGACACGGAGGGATGAGCTAAGGATTTGCCCCCATTTTCTTCCCAGAAAGCCTTGGGCTCCATCAGAACAGAGGGACTGGATCTGAATGGCGCCTCTGTGACATACCCTCCCTACCCCAGCTCCAGCTAGTGGATACCTGGAGTATCTCAATGATCTTCAGCTTGGTGTCCATGACCATGATGTCCTCCTTCTCAGGCTCTGCCTGCTTCACATTGCCTTCAGGGGCAGCAGCCATGGGAGTCATGGGCAAAAAGCCTCCTCCCCGGAGCACCACCTGGGTCATCAGCTCTCCCACGCCATGAATAGATCTCATCACGTTACTGCCTAGGAAAGGCCAGGAGAGACCACGGTCACAATGTCTCTAGAGAATGCTCAGAGGCATATGTCAAGGGGCAGGGGCTCTTTGAGAGAAATTATTTAACATATCCCTATTCCAACATAATCTCAGGACCCTGGAAACCTGGAAAGGTAAATGCACATCAAAAATCTGGGCTTCTGAGAGCAACAGAAAGATCACGGGCTTCAAAATCCCCAGAGGGGCATTTCTGTGCACTAACTTGCCCATCAAATTTTATTTTTTTTAATTTTCTTTAGAGACAGGATCTTCCTCTATCACCTAGGCTGGAGTGCAGTGACACAATGATGGTTCCCTGTGGCCTCAAACTTCTGGGCTCAAACAATCTTCCTGCCTCAACGTCTCAAGTAGCTAGGACTATAGGCATGCATCACCACACCCAGCTAATTTTTTTTTTTTTTTTGGTAGAGATAGGTTCTCTCTATATTGCCCAGCCTGGTCTCGAACTCCTGGCCTCAAGCAATCCTCCTGCTACAGCCTCCCAAAATGTTAGTATTACAGGTATGAATCACTATGCCCTGCCCAAATTTTATTGATCATCAACTATGTGCTTGTTATGAGCACAGAACTAGGTACATAAAGTTAACAAGGTACAAATCCTGATGCTGCTTGACCTTAGGTGCACCATACTACCTCTAAGCCTCAGTCTCCTCATCTACAAAATGGAAATAAAGGAGCTCAACAAAAGAACTAAATGGTATAATGCAACATGACTCAGCACAAGACCTAGCAAATAGAGATAAGTCAATGTATTTCTTTCTGTTCTAGCTGCAGAAGACCAGTTAACAATAATTGATACATGATACCAATATCTGCCTACTCTGACCCTAAAACGAGGAAGAAATAAACATGCAAAGGCAGATTGTCCTTCTCACAAAGTGGAAATAGCCACCAAGATAGAAGCCTGGATTTTCTTACATCCTAAACAAATATTATTATCAAGGGTCTCACGAATGTCAAGAACAATGATAGGACATGTATTTGTTATATAAACATTCAAAGTGTTAAGTAACTTTCAAATTGTTCAACAAAATATACACACGACTCATACATAAACACATAAATACAAAATAAAATACACATAAATACACATAAATACAAAATAAAATTCAGCAAAACGTGAATAACTGTTGACTCAAAGTCATGGGTACGTGGGACTCCATCGTACTGTTCTTTCCGCTTTTCTTTACACAGTATTTGAAAATGTTCACGATGAAAAGTTGGGAAGGAATGAACAAAGAAAGGATGTGGCATCACATATAGGGTATGACATGAGCATAACAGGAAAGGCTGGAGGGCATCTCTCAGATGTATGGGCACCCTCAGATACTCACTCTTCAGCTTCTCCACATCATTGTTACCTTTATTCTCTTCTCCTTTCGCCATCTTGCTAATGGGGAAGATTGTTGTCACATGTACACAGTCCAATATGGCCAGAAGGATCTTAGTTAATCGTAGAAGGTCAGAGAAGTTGTAGAAACCAAAGTATATGAGATTCCTAGCTAAATTTACAACCTATTGTATTAAAATAAAAGAAGAAGACGGTATTACATAAACTGCATCCCCTTCAATTCCATTTGATGTTGACCAGTTTAGAAATGACAGACTTGGACCTTCCTTATGGTAAGAGAAGGCATGTATTTTCCTTGCACTTTCTGATAAATTTTCATTTTGTTTCATAAGGAGGAAAAATAAGAAATGGAAAGCTACTGATCTGCTCTGATGACTAATCAAAAAAAAAAAAAGACCTCATCATTTGCTCTACACAGCTTCCCAAGGATAATATTAACACCAGGCAAGCAGAGTTATTCCCAATAAGGACACAGATAATAACACTCTGCGATCCTCAGCAATACAGCTCTTAAAAGGCAAAAGCAGTCTCAGAAACGTTGTTAACTCAGAAGTAACAAGGATTTATGTTCTGCAAATGATTAAGCTATGGCAGATTGCAAGCACAGTGTTTCTCTCTTGTCAGTTTTAACACAAAGTGATGTTCTATCATTTTATGTGGTTCAAGTCACCTTGTATATTTCTTTTAAGCCCATAACTACTATTAAGCCATGTGACTGGTATCCGTTTTATTTTATTCTGGAACAAAACCAAGCTGAATTCCTTTCCATTACAAAACCAGAGCATCATGACCAAAATCACAACCTACTCACATATTTTCTATTTGCCCCATAGAAAAATGACCACTGAGAGGCAGATAATACACATAGAAGATTTCATCATGAGTTACCTCAAACGTAAGCTTATTCTTCTCTTTATCAGAGAAAGGGAACCTCTGACAAACCACATCTCTTAAATACTCCTCCACAAACTCCATGGTCTGAGCAAATCTCTCCTTAATTTCATCTTTGGAAGCTCCACTACTATCATAGCTGAAAAGAAAGGAGAAAGAAAGGAAACAAAATTTCAAGTTATTCCCAGAGAGGTCTTCCTGGGTCACTCAGCTTCAAAAGTCAACATCCCCTAACCCTTGGCATCCCTTGACCCTACTTTATTTTTTCCCTCCTTAGCATATATCACCAACTATATATTTGAGTCGTTTATCTTGCCTATTGTCTGTCTTCCACCAACTAGCATAGAGATTGCTTTCTAGTTTGTTCACTGATATATTTCTTGAGCTTGGCACATAGTACACACTTAAATATTTGCAGAATGAAAGAGGAGATAAATGAGATATAAAAAATACAATCGGGGCCAGGCGCGGTGGCTCACGCCTGTAATCCCAGCACTTTGGGAGGCCGAGGTGGACGGCTCACAAGGTCAGGAGATCGAGACCGTCCTAGCTAACACGGTGAAACCCCGTCCCTACTAAAAATACAAAAAATTAGCCGGGCGTGGTGGTGGGCGTCTGTAGTCCCAGCTACTTGGGAGGCTGAGGAAGGAGAATGGCACGAACCCGGGAGGCAGAGCTTGTAGTGAGCCGAGATTGCGCCACTGCAGTTCAGCCTGGGCAACAGAGTGAGACTCCATCTCAAACAAACAAACAAACAAACAAAAACCAAAAACATAATCATGCCATCTTTCACATTCTTGAGGAAAAAAATATTTGCCATCCACTTAATTTTATTTTAAGCTTGAAGAAAAAACCAACACTTCATCTTTCTTCTAAGATTTAATGAGACCATATGGGGCTATCTACTGCCGCACAGAATAATGTAAAGTGAGGTTTTCAGGTGCCAGGCTCACTCGTCAATGGCGATCTCCGAGGGAATCTCCGACCAGAGGCGGGCATATTTCACGGGGGTGACTTGTTCCTGGGGATCTCG
Organism: Homo sapiens; assembly: GCF_000001405.40. Taxonomy (NCBI): domain Eukaryota; kingdom Metazoa; phylum Chordata; class Mammalia; order Primates; family Hominidae; genus Homo; species Homo sapiens. The sequence goes on along the minus strand of NC_000003.12, from coordinate 4,673,307 downwards.
GTCCACATGCATGTGAAGCATGAGGCGGCAGAAGGACGCCCTGAGGTCATAGGGCAGGTTCTCGTCAGACATGCAGCGGAGAATGAGATCGACATCCAGCTGGCCTGAGATTTCGTTGATGGCCAGGTATTGGCGGTCCAGACACATCCTCGCAAAGAGGTTCAGCTGATATCTAGAGGAAGGAACAAGGGCACACAGCTCACGCTCCAGAAATCATTCAGGATGAATGAAGGGTCGTCTGGGCAGCCCTGACTGTCATGGGAGTGACATTTGGCCAACTAAACTCATACATCAACACCCCTAAATTGCTCTTGTATACCAGGATTTTGGCTTTGGTACCAAGCAGATAAAAGAACTATTCAAGCTGTGCAGTAGAGTGTGGGTTGACAGCCAACAGGAACACATGTCTATCCAGCTGTGTTGGAGCAATTATGTGACGACCTAATTCCACTAGGTCCTTAATGTTTACTTTTTAAAATAAACGGGGGGAATGCTAAGGCCTAAGATGGTTGTCTATTTCTTTCCCTTCAGCTGTGTTTTATACAGTAAAGACCATGTAGGAAATGTTCAAGATATCACACATATTCAGCCTAATTAGAAATTTTATAACATTTTAAAGATCTTATATCATGTAAGTCACTCTAATTCCTACACGTGTAAAAAAACATTTCATTTACAAAAGTAGGAGACTCCTCACTTTTCATCTTCATCCAATTGCAAGTGAATGTTGTTAACTGGAACCTGACCAATTAAGGCACTCTTTCTCATTCACTTGGGAGAAGATTCATCAAACACTGAAAGAGTAAACATACTTGAAATGTGAAATAACGAGAAAGCCACAGGCTTTCAAAATACTGCCTTCTGAATTAAAAACTCTATGTATTTCTAATAATCATGATTTGAAGACATTCTCAGCCTCATTAGATGTCGGGGAAATGCAAGTGTAGACATGAGTCTATTTCACACTTATAAAATTACCAAAAATTAAAAAGCATCATGATATTCAAGGTTAACAAAGACATGAAGAAACAAAGCTTGTCGTCTACAACTGGTGGGTGTGTACACTGACACATCCAATTTAGAATTGCTTAGTAAAGCTTAAAATATGAATATCCTCCAAGCCCACCTCCCAGTGTGGAATGGAAATTCATACATATACTCAGAAAAATTTGAATGAAGATGTTTCCTGACATGAAGAACTGCAGCATGTGATCAAATATCAAACAGCGATGAAAATGTGATAAATCAATAAAACAGAATATCATCCAACAGTCCAAATTACAGAAATGGATTAATCTCTATTAACGCAGATATATTCAATATGGCTTCAGTACCCGTATTGAATAAATAAGGCAAGTTTTAGAATGGTATTTGGAGTACAGTCCCATTTATATAAAATTTTAAGTAGAGATAAAATACTACATATGATTTACAGATGCATACAAATGCAGCACACAGAGAATGTGGATAGGATGCGTACATCACACATGAATGAAAGAACAGAATACAGGAGGCAAGAAAAGGCATTTTATCTGCAGTTTTATTTATTTTATTAAAAAATAATAAAAGCCTTGCTTTATCTTCCCTTTCCTTTTCTTTTAAAAGTATTAATTGGTTCACTTCCTTTCTTTCTTCCCCTTCCCTTCCCTTCAGGTGGCAGGACTGGCAGGTCTTACAGCTGGAGCCAAGGAGACACTGGGGACCGTGGAGGTGGGTGGCAGAGGTGAGACAGGTACACACAGGGAAACGGGCAGATGGGTAAACATACAGGGAATCGTGGCAGCTGGAGGGAGTCATGAAATGGAAAAGGTGAAGGCTAGAATAAATCCTATGGTGTTGGAATGGAATTGGAAGTATTAGTGTAAGTACATGCTTTTTATTATATATTTGTGTAGTTATAGAAAGATACATGGATGAATGTGTAGATATATGTGTATACAAACACACACATCTTCTGTCTCTGTCTATAAACATTTGGTGAGATTGGCACTATCACCTTCATTTTGCAGATAAAGAAATTAGAGCATAAAATCAAACTTGGCCAATGTCAAAAAACTGGTAAGCGGAGAGGTAGGGATGTGACCCCACAGCCTGCCTCTTACGTACCTACCACCATATCTATGGGCCATGCTGCTGAAGGATAAACTATCACCAGGGACTGAGGCAAGCACTCATCCTTTTTGGGAACCAGCCACATCCAGATGTCAACTAACTGAAATCTTACACTCCAAACTCCTAAAACACACATCTGGCTTTTTTCTAGACAATCTTACAAGATGACTCCTTGTGATTCCTTGAAGTAATCAACAAACGAGCAACAAATTCCTAAGTGCCACTGTTTTGGGGCACCCCAATCTGAGCCCCACACGTGTCCCACGCACCTGTAGTAGCTGAGAACGTCTCGGTCCTCCTTCTGCCCTTCTTTAGCATCCTGAGCCAATTCCCTCACACTCTTGCTGCGAATCTCTTTGTTGCTGTCCCTCCAAAACAGCCACACCTCTTCCTCGTCTTCTCCTGCCTCCAGAGCATTCTCTCCAGTGGAAGAGACACCTTCAAATTCAAAACGAGAAAGAACCAACCTAGAAAACAAGAGGAGGAGGGAAAAGTTACTATTTTTAAAAATACTTTGAGATCTAGCTTTACTTTCAGCATAAAGACACATGGAAAGACACTTTTTGTTTTGTATTTCCCCCAAGGGCAGAGCCGCAGAGAGCCTGACATTAACATCTTCATATACTGTAACCCAGTGGTTCTCGACTATGGTGCTGCTGCCCCCAGTGGACACCAGGCAATGTCTCTGGACAGGTTTTTGGTTGTCACAACCGAAATGGAGAGGTGCTACTGGCATCTAAGTGGGTAGGGGCCAGGGATGCTGCTGAACATTTTACAGTGCCTAGCACAGCCCCACAACAAAGAATTACCAAGCCCGAAATGTGAAAATACCTAAACTGAAAAACCCTGCATTAGCCCAAGCCCAAAACTGAGTTATACATGTGAATCAATGAAGTATCACTAGCTCAGGACGTAATTTAGTATGTTTTTTAAGGCTGTCCATATTACCGGCACTGTACTTCTCAGGAAAACTGCTCCTTTGCCAAAAATGAATTACTACTGGTAACAAAAATTCTGCAGACCAATAAACATGTTCTGAACAGTAATAATTTAAAACTCCTCCCAACACTGACTTAATCTTAACACTGAATATTCATTATGTCATTTGAAATTTTAAATTGATGGTCACACTTACAAAGAGTTTTAAACTCTTAAAATGTAGCTGTATAAAATGCTCCCCGGTGAGTTTACATGACTTCTAAACTTGTATGCAAAATAAGTGACACCACTATGAAGAGGAGGTGACACCAAAATCAAATTCGGGAATTCTCCTAATCAAGACTTTTCCAATAAGAAGATCAAATGCCAGCCACACTGACTTTAGATCAACTCAAAAAATGATAGGGCTAGGTTTTATTCCTCATGAGCACCAACACTGAATGAACCCCATGTTTTCCATCTAAACCCTGGCTCCCCACTCACTTGGTCTCAATCAGGATGTCAGCGTTGGTGGGGTTCAGCACAGCTTTACATATCAGTTCCTGGGTCACTGGAATTGATTTGTTCATGGAGACACAGAGGTCGGAGAGGTAATCTAAGAATCTAAACAGAAACAGAAACAAAACATTTTCTGTAGATAGAGCAGAGGTTAGGCTCCTGGACCCCAATTCTTCCTTAAGTGCACAGGTCCAACATACCTTTACCAAGACATGTCAGCAGCATTCTAAGTCTTGATGCCAATGTTTATGGCATCACCAGAAAGCCACATGCCAGAAAGAAGGAAGAGGAAACAAGAAGGAAAGACAGGAGTGGCTGTGGTCAAGGAAGAGGTGATGAGGCAAAGATGAGAAGAAGGAACAAGACAAGAAAGCAGCTCACATAAGGAAGGTGTGGTGGAGACACAGGGGAACCACAGTGGTGAGAGGCAACGCCCTGATGTTTGGCTACGTGTGTTGGAAGCCCAGTTAGGATCTTATTAGCGGAGTTCTGCTATGGAGCGTTCATTTGGGGAAATTACTAATTTCACTGTGCTTTAATTGATGCTCGTCTACAGAAAAGGATAATGTGTCACTTCTGAGGGCTGTCCTGCGGATTAAATGAGATAATTAACGGAAGTGCTTCCATTGCTCACTACCTGAGCCCTTGAGCAGGCTCCAGAAAATGCGGGTTATTTTCAAGGGTGGTAGTAGGTGTTTTTACAGCAACTGTGTCCGTGCTCCATTGTAATCATTTGTGACACCCACATTGTAAATTGCTTCCCGCTTCAACTGAAAATATGGGTCTTAATTAGAAGGACAAGAGAAGGGGAAAGAAATGGGGAGAGGGTGTACGAAAGAGGAGCAGATCTGTGTGAATGAGATACAATCAATAGAATTCACTAATCTATAATAAAAACGCTCAACCAACAACTGAACTTGCAAGACTCTTACTGATTATACTGAGGGAGGGGAGTGTTTAACTGATAAGCAAGAGGTGCTAAAAAGTGAATGAGGCCGAGCGCGGTGGCTCACGCCTGTAATCCCAGCACTTTGGGAGGCAAAGGCGGACAGATCACGAGGTCAGGAGTTCAAGACCAGCCTGGCCAATATGGTGAAACCCCGTCTCTATTAAAAACACAAAAATTAGCTGGGTGTGGTGGCACGTGCCTGTAGTCGCAGCTACTGGGGAGCCTGAGGCAGAACAATTGCTTGAACCCGGGAGGCGGAGGTTGCAGTGAGCTGAGATCTCGCCACTGCCCTCCAGCCTGGGTGACAGAGCGAGACTCCATCTTAAAAAAAAAAAGAAAAAGGGAATGAAAAGAGTGAGATCCAGTCATTTGCAACAACATGGATGGAACTGGAGGAGGTCATAATGCTAAGTGAAATAAGCCAAGCACAGAAAGACAAACATCGCATCTTCTCACTTATTTGTAGGATCTAAAAATCAAAACAATTGAACTCATGGACACAGAGTAGAAGGATGGTTACCAGAGGCTGGGAAAGATAGTGGGAGGGCAGGGGGGAGGTGGGGATGTTAACAGGTAAAAAAAAAAAAAAAAAAAATAGAAAGAACGAATAAGACCTACTGTTTGTAGGTAAATTGGGTAATTACAGAATGAATAAGACCTACTGTTTGTAGGTAAATGGGGTAATTACAGTCAATAATTTAATTGTACATTTTAAAATAACTAAAAGAATAGAACTGAATTCTTTGTAACAAAAAATAAATGTTTGAGGGGATGGATACCCCATTCTCTACAATGTGATTATTACACATTGCATGCCTACATCAAAACATCTCATGTACCCCATAAATATATACACCTACTACGTACCCACAAAAATTAAAAATTAAAATTAAGAACATTTTTTAAAAAGTGAATGAGTGGCCAACAATTTGTCATTTCCTCTGCATCCACTAAGTGCCTGCACGTCACCTGCGTTTATTCTCATTTAATTTTCATAACTACCCATTTAGCAGATAAGGAAATTAAAGTTCAGGAAAAAACCCAAGCTCATCCAGGTGGGACACACTGGAGCTAGGAATGCACCCCCAGGTCTCATTTTAACACCAAGTTCTTGCCACTACTCATCAAAAAGCCTCTCCAGACCTAACTAATCAAAACTTGTCACTAGCAGCACAAGGAAACGTAGTAAAAAGCACCAGCTAAGTCCCTGCATCTTACAGGCAGAGACACCATCCTGCATGGACCCCACTCCCGCCTCACCTGGGCTCCCTGTTCTTTCGCACCAGGCTGACAAATGTGTCAATCTCTGCCGCGGTAATGTGTTTTTCCAGGAGTTTCCGATTATTGTGGAGCAGGGCAGTGATAGTGTCTTCAGCCAACACATCATAGCCAATCTGCTTCTGCATGAAGCCAAACTGCTTGGCTATATACTCCTTTATAAGGAGAGAAAAGAGACGTCAGTAGGAAGGATAAATGACAATATGGTTAAGCGTAGACTAAAGAAAGCAGCAATGTTTCCTGATGAGAACTACTGCCCCTAAGAGACATTACAGTATAAGGGAGGGTCTTCCTACAACTTTCTATCCTAGGGCAACAGCTGCAAACTCCTTCACATCCTTTACTTTTCTAAGCCTGCCACACAAATGTAATTAAGCAAAATAGCCTGTATTTACACGTGGATATTTTATTAAGTGCACAGTATAAATTTTAATCTAGTGATTTATTTTTCAAAAAGGTCCAAAGCTGGTTTTCAGCTCTAAACGTATTCCTAATTCAAGAGGACTTAACTGTGCCCCCAGTGATCTGTGCTGCTAAATAAACACAGATAAAGCCTACCTGGAGATCTGGAACAATGTTACCCTGTTTCATTTCCTTTATTTGTGGTAAAAATACTTTTTTAAAGTCAATGAGTAGCATAAGAAGGTCAGGAATAAATACCTAAGAAAATCCATCATATGCATGGAACTCATGAATACATCTCTGGTTTCTCTCTTTTGGGATCAGCTATCACATTCCATAGAAATATTTGTGAACTCAAGGAAATCTCTTACAAATACCTGTTTGTTTCTGTTCAAAGATGCTTCCCTGGCCAAGATAGACTGCTTGCTCAAAATTCAAGTGGCCCTTGAAACTTGCTTTAATTTTTTTCCCATTAATTCCTAAATCCCGGTTAACTATTTAGGATTAACATAATGAAAACAGGCCATGGTTTTCAGCCTGTATTCTATAAGGAGGCATTGTGTAGGAACTTATCATCTGCCAACTGGTAAAGGATCCGAAAACAACTAAGCAAAGATGTCTAATCCAGCAATTCCAAGAGTAACTAGTTTGTTTCCTCATGTACAAGCAAAGTGTCTTGACACACCCCACAGACCCAGATGTATCCTCATCTGAAGATGGGAGAGAGGAACAGAATAAAATCTCTCTGGCTATTGGATTACAGTATCAACGCACTGAAGGTGGATTTAAAGCAATCACAGCTTGATACACTTCAAAAAAAGCACTATTCAAGATCAACACTATCTTTATGATGACATGACAAAAACCTTTAATTACAAAGAAAAAACTCTAAAAGTCCAGTATAGTGGCAGTCAAAACCTTAAAAACAAAAGCCTTTTGCCCCAAAAGGCAGGGATAGTTCACATAAAGTGGTAAGAGTCAAGGTTATGATAAGCATCATTTTGCATGCCTACGGTACTCCATGTGGCACAAATTTTCTAAACCTCAGCACTACTGACATTTTAGGCAGGATAATTCTTGGTTGTGTGGGGATGTCCTTGGCACTGCTGGGTGTTTGAGAGCATCCCTAGCCTCCCCTCACCAGATGCCAGCAGCACCATGAAGTTATAAAACTCAAAAGGGTCTCCAGATGTTGCCAAATATTCTTTGGGGGACAAAATTACCCCCAGTTAAGAACCAATGATGTAGCAATATAGTTCTCAGGTTTTCTTAGAATCTGAAGGTTGTTTGGAGCTCCTAGGACATTTATTTCATAGGAGACTATACATTGTGTGTGTATATAAATACACATATACTATGTATAATATGTAAAATATAACTATGTATAAGATATCTCTATAGACAATGACTTAGAATGTCATAAAACATGAATCAGAAACAAAATAAAGATCATGTTTCTAGAAAGAGACGGAGAATTTTAAAGGTGCAGGAAGAAAAGACTCCACTATATCTTTAATATAAACACATGGCATCATTTCACCCCTAAGCCCTAAGGGAATACGTCATAAAAAATTCTATAAATGTAAAACCAACTCCAAAACCAGAAATCTCATAGAAAGATGTCTGCAGAAGAGAATTCTCCAGTACGTTTCTTAACGATTAGGTAATAATATTCTTCCTGGGCTTGTGTTTCCTTCCCAAGAGCAAGCTCAACACTGAACTATTCTGCATCCATTCTATAAATAGACATGTGACACTAAAAACTCAGGAGGAAAGTTCACAAACTTCAGGGAGGAAACTGACAACCACATCCCACCAATGCTTAATCCAAACCTGGTTCTTCCTGTAGTCTTGCTGCGAGTGTCTCAGCACCCTGTAGCAGAGCCGGCAGATGTGTCTGAAAGGAGCGTGCCGCTGGTCCCCGAGCTCTTCCAGCCGAAGCATTGGGCCATCACCGCAGTCTGTGAATGGGGCTTGTAACAACTTGAAGATCTGTTTGTGAAAATGAAAAGCAAAAATGGCAATCACTTAGGGCTTCAAAGCTAACCCTCTGTTTGGAAGTAATGCAAGCTCAAGGGTGGCTGGATTACATTAGAAAATTTCTCTATCCCAACACATCCATAACCTGAACACTGCATTCAGCCCATCAACTGAGATGGGAGACGCGCTGAATTAAGTCTACTGGACTCCACTGGTCCTCATACACCTAACAGCACAGTGCTTAGAGCAAAGCGTTTAAGAACACAGACAATGGAATCAGCAGATTCTAGGTGGAAACACAAGCCTTTATTACTCCCTAGCAGTACAGATTACAGTCAAAGTAAACCCGCATTTCCTTACCAGCAAAATGGAAAGAATAATGCCTATATCACAGAGGTGTAGTAAGGATGAAAATGGATGATAATTTTAAGTCGCACTAGTGCCCAGCACAAGTAATCAATGAAGGCTCCTGCCAGTGAGTCAGTTATTTTTTGCCTCTCAGGAATTACTATTGTACAAATGAGCATGGGCATTAAGCCAGAGGTCTAATTTGAGAATCATCACATGAAACAACAGCTGGACATTTACTCTTGAACTGGAAATTCTTGTTGAAACAAGATGGATTGTTAATAAATTCTGTCTATCATAGACCAACATGAAAAAATAATCTCAAATCCCTTGTTCCATGGGGACCAGTGGGACTTGTAACTAATATGTTTCTCTTTTAGCTTTGGTGGCCAGGAATTCCGGTGGCAAGTTTGTGGGCTAATCTCCAGTTGGGTTACAGAAGGACATGGTATGCATCTCTGTGCATTTAATCTACTCTGGATTTGTCACTTTACTGCCTCTAATTTGTCTTTATACCAGTTTATTTACATTTACATCCAACAATATCATCTATGTATTTCCTGTCAACCACTACTCATTCTTTACGGAAAGATTCTGTGGTGACTTATAGGGCACTCTATAAGAGCCTATATGGGCCTTCTGAGTTTATAGAATATGCCAAATCTCCCAAATGTATGAAATAACCTTAAGGTCACATTGAACTTTACATTATTTTTGAGGAAAATAAAGTTGTCAGCTGAATGTTTCTTGAGGTTCCTAACAGGTAAACTCTCACATGATTGATATCCAACAAGTACGCTAAAAATCAATTGAACTGAACTATCAAGCCATGGACAGACACTGAAGAACCTTGGATGCATATCACTAAGTGAAATTTGCCCCTCTGAAAAGGGTACATACTGTTTGATTCCAACCATGTCACATTCTGTAAAGGGAAAACAATGCATGCAGTAAGAACGTTCATGGCTGTGAAGGGTTAGCAGGAAGGACAGACAAATAGGAGGAGCACAGATGATTTCAGGGCAGTGAAACTATTCTGTAAGATATTTTAATGGTGACTAAATGGCATCATACATTTATCAAAACCCATAGAAAATAAAATGCCAAGAGAGAACCCTAATGTAAACTATGGACTTCAGGTGATAATGATGTATCAATGTTGATTCCCCAAATTGTCACAAATGTCTCACTGTGATGTAGGATGTCGGTAGTGGGGGAGGCCAAGTGTGTGAGGACAAGAGGAGATATGGGAACTCTCTGGACTTTTTGCACAATCTTGCTGAGAACCTAAAAACTGCTCTAGAAAATAGTCTATTGAAAAATCAATTCATCAAGCCTTTGAGGTGGGAATCACCAATATCCCTCAATGATCCCATTGATTTCTCTTTTTCTTTCTCTTTTGAGACAGGCTCTCTCTCTGTCACCCAGGCTGGAGGGCAGTGATGCGATCAGCTCACTGCAACCTCCATTTCCTGGGCTCAAGGGGATCCTCCCACCTCGGCTTCCCAAAGTGCTGGGACTACAGGCATGAGCTACCACTCATGCTTTATGATTTCTCATAAAGCCAAATCCCCAGTACGCCACATCTCACCGACCTGCTTGAGAATATTCTGTTCTCTCATCAGTTTCTGCCGTTCTCTGTTGGGCTTGGAGAAGACAACTTCGAGAACATCTTGACCAGAATTAGTTCCACCAGTGACGAAGTAAACCAAATCTTCTAGCAGCTTGGTTACAGACCTTAGGAGGAAAGACGCTATTAGAGACAGATGTGTTCAGTGTTCAGCAGGCTGGAAGCTTTGCCTTGGAAGCCTTCTGGACGAATGAGCCAGTTAAACAGGGGCAGACCCACACTTTCCAATTTCTTTGAAACTGACAACAGAAGCCAAGTATCAAAGAGAGTGAAAGACACAAAACATATCATTGTCCACAAAAGGATGATCACCTTTATGAAATATCAGACACAAAATTTTATCTCAGAGTAACCTCATTCCCTGACATTTAGTAATGTGGTTCTAGAGACCAACTTAGAGACAGAAAGAGAGAGTGAGGTCTTCATCACTTGATTATTATTATTATTTTGAGATGGAGTCTCACTTTGTCACCCAGGCTGAAGTGCAGTGGTATGATCTTGGCTCACTATAACCTCCGCCTCCTGGGTTCAAGCAATTCTTCTGCCTCAGCTTCCTGAGGAGCTGGGATTACAGGCATCCGCCATCATGCCTGGCTAATTTTTGTATTTTTAGTAGAGATGGGGTTTCACCATGTTAGGCAGGCTGGTCTCGAACTGCTGACCTCAAGTAATCCACCCACCTCAGCCTCCCAAAGTCCTGGGATTACAGGTGTGAGCCACTACACCTGATCTTCATAATTTTAGAGACTCAAAAAATGAATGCAAAAGTACTATTTCTTAAAAGTTACACATTGAAGCCACCCATAAATGCTAAGGCCTGCTACCCCATGTTTAGCTGTTCAGAGTCACCATTCTCTCACTCCACCCCATGGATGTCAGAAACTCTCAGTGCGGGAGGGCGGCTGTGCTGAGCATGCGGGAGTGCTCACCTCCTTTCATTCTGGGTGATGGTGCCCTTCTCTAGCTTCCCAGCAATGGAGCCCAGCACCTTGCTGGCATCATTGGCAAAGTCCAGGTCCCGAACTTCAGCAGGAGAAACCGGAACTATGGCAAATGCTTCCTTATCCTCCTTCACAGGAGAGGTGCCAATCTGAAATTCAAGGTGGTCCTTGTGAGATAATCTCTTGGATGGGAAGGATAAGACTTTAATCAAACACTACATTTACGAGACACTGGCTGATCCCAAGATACTAGAGCTATCTTGCAGTTAAAATGATATAGGAAAAAAATCTACAAGGACGTACTCCAAATGGTTAACAGTTGTTATCTCTGGAAATTGGTATTATGGGGGCCAGTGTGGCAGGAAGGAGGCATTAATATCATTTTTAACTTCATTTGTTACAGGGAGCATCCAAAATTCTCATAACTAAAGAAGATGTTTGTAAATATACAGAGAAAAAGCAAATATGGAAAATGGTAATTAATGATTCTAAGTGAGGAGCATTATAAGGATAGACACTGCACCATTATTTCAACTTTTCTATAAATCTAAAAATGTTCAGTAAAGAAGTAAAAAATTTCAATAACCTTCCCCAATGCCACAACAAAAGAAAAGTTACATGAGAGCATCCTTCCACTTGTTAAAAGAAAACCCCCATGTCTATTTACTTATACTGTATGACCCTGGAGACAGGGGGAAGGAGAAGTAGGGAGAGAAAGTAAAGGGGCTGGAGAGAACATTCATGAAATAAAAGTGTATATTGACATATAGAGAGAAACAAATAATAGAGATTGGGGGAAATCAACTAGATACTTGATGTACCTCAAGACAAAAGCAAACATTCCCCAGCCCAAATTATCCTTCAGACAGTCATGAAATGCAGTTGAAATCCAGAAAATTGCTCAACCATTATGGCAGAAGCCATGGAATAAAATTAAAAAGTTGTAGTTATTTCAAAAGCCCTGGGTTTGCTCCACTCAGGTCTCGTGGAGAGTATTCTTTTGTCACATTCAAGTTCGGCCATGACCACACTCTCGCCAAAGCAACAAATCTCCACGCTCCATACTCCCTGATCTGTCCTCAAAGGAGCCCTTTCATTAGGAAACACGAGACCAAAAGGAGACAGGCAAGTCCCAGGACTTACTTTCAGCATCACGGGCTTTTCTTCTTCCTTGTCAATAGGAATATTTGTGCTGTGAACCCAGGTATTAGTACATAGGTGTCTGAGCCGAACATAAGAGTTCCTAACAGGGAAAAAAGGAGGGTTTTAGGGAAATAAATATTGAGGTTTACTCTATAGCCCCTAGTCTAGAATATAATCTATCAAAATAGAAATAGCAAAGTGGTTTCCTACTGCATACACTGGGCAGTATACACGAAGGGGCAAATGGTCCAGGTCCAAGCCACATTCTGATGCATTTACAATAGAAAATCATTCATAACGACTCTACAGTTACTGTTATATATTATACTTCTAAATATAAGATCATACTCCATGAATGAGTGTCTCAGCATAAACAGAGCATGAGACAGAGCAACAGGAAGTATTTACGGGTATATATTAGTGCTTATAACAAGAAATAATAATACAGCAATGATTGAAATTTTCATAGGGATCAGTGAAACAATAAATGAGATCATAAAATTTCTGGAAAAAAATGAGTATTTACTAATCTTGCAGTAGGGAAAGCCTTTTGAATCATATAACAAAATATAAGATTCCTAAATTTTAAAAGTAAAAGACGGATAACTCTCATTACATAGTTTAAATTTTATATAATCTATATAGAAAAAAAAAAGAACCATCATAAACAAAGTTGAAAAAAAATCACCATAGCCTGGGAAAATAAAAGAGTAGCCCATTGCATTAAAAGGTTATTACTCTACACACAAAGGGCTGTTACAAATCAATAAGAAAAATATGAATATTGGAAGTGAAAATGGGACAAGGACACAAACGGGTAATTTAATAATGAAATACAAAGAAACATGGAAGTATAGATTCAACCTCCTTAGTATAAAAGTTACACAAGTTAAAACAATATCATTTTATTGTATCATATTCCAAAGATCTAAAACCCAGTCTCAACAAGAGCTTAGGGAAGTAAGTCCTATGTATGGTTGGTGAGAGCGTAATCAAGCAAAACTCTGAAAAGAAGTCTAGCACCTTGTAGAACACATAAAATATATCTATAATTTCATCTACCAATCCTATTTTTAGGTATTCTTCCTTCAGTGGTGATAGTACAGGTGCAAATGAGGCAAACAGATGTTCAACAAAGCATTATGTGTAACAATAAAAACTGTAAACAATCTGATATCTCAATAATGGACTAGTTAATAGAATACAAATTTATTATATTCTATTGTTACAATGTAATATTAACATATTACATATGAATACCTATATTAATATATTGTATTAATACAGTATAACAGAACAGTCCAATAATGAACCAGTTAATACAATATTAACTAGTTGATACTACTGTTATTTAAAGATGATTACAATTGACTATAACAGTTTCTTTTTTTTTTTTCCTTTGGAGACAGGGTCTCACTCTGTCACCCAGGCTGGAGTACAGTTGGCACAATCTGGGCTCACTGCAACCTCTGCCTCCCAGGCTTAGGATACTCCCACCTCAGCCTTCAAAGTAGCTGGGACTACAGGTGTGTGCCACCATGCCCGGTTAAATTTTTGCATTTTTTTTGTAGAGTCGGGGTTTTGTCATGTTGTCCAGCTGGTCTCAAACACCTGGACTCAATCAAGTGATCTGTCTGCTTCAGCCTCCCAAAGTGCTCGGATTACAGGTGTGAGGCACTGCGCCCGGCCTGATTACAACAATTATTTAAGACAATGACAACTGATATTCATTCGCTTGGAGATATGTATAAAACATACTATTCAGTTAAAAATGTTTAAAATAGCTTATGATCCCATCTATAATAAATGACACAGTCATCTCTGTGTGACCAGAGACTTGTCTAAAACTACATAAACAAAAATGTTACCAGTAGCTACCTCTGAATGGATGAAACACAACTAATACTTCACGAGGGGCCATACGTGTAATCCATAAATGACAGTGACATTTCCATTAACCAACATGGTATTGGAGAGTCAGAATTGCCCAAATAACCCTATGTGTCTTAAACATTTAAGATTTTGGGTTCTGCTACGGGACTCACTGACTTATGATATGTTGCTTAAACTCTCTGAGCCTCAGCTTCTTCATCTACAAGAAAGGGTGATAGCAATACCTATCTCTCACTGGGTTTTTTGAGAAAGATGAAATTATATAACACAAGTAGAGTACTTAGCTTTGTGTCTAGCATGCAGTCAGCGCTCAATAAGTGTCAGCCATTATTATTAATATTGTTGATTCTGTTGTTAAGAGTAAGCTTGTTTCCCTATTTATAGTCCAGTTATGTCCCCTGAAAAATGCATTCTTAAGCAACAAAACTAAAGTTAAATTTAAAAAAATAACTAAAGATTTCTGGTTGAATGTCTCAATACTTGTTAATAAAATTTACTATGCAAACAGTGAACTTCAGGTATTTTATCTTGTAGAATTTCTTTTCAATGGTTTATTCTATTTCCATTCAATTTCCTAGTTTCCTCTACTCCCTTCCTTTTTCCCCAAACCAAGAGCTCTCCCAAGGTTTGGGGAAGGAGGAAGGGAGTAGAGGGAACTAGGAAAATTGAGCTACTTGGGCTTATGGTTTGGCTTGTTTACCTAAATATAGCACTTCTCATTCAACTACTGAGAACTTATCAATGGTGAGCCATTAAAAAAATCAGTTGCCATACCGGGCAGTCAGTGCAAACCTTTCACCAAATCCTTTATAAAAATCTAAAAGAAAAGGCAGTAACGATTTGGATTCCAAGAAACCTGGTCAGGCCACCTACACCAGGCCTGATTCTTTGGGGAAAAGCAATTTTAAAATGATACCTTGGGACAAGGCTGTCACCTCCACGCAGAGTGGTGGGATCTAGCTCGAAAATGGAGGAGATGTCATTGCCTTCAGGCACAGAGACCAGGGAGTATACCATCTTTTCTTGGGCATTCCGCAACCTACTTCGAGAGGCGTCCTGATCAGGGTCCACCTGAGGAGGTAAAGTCACCAAATCAAGAACCATGCATGCCAAAGCCTTCACTTTCTACAATTATTCCACAATCCACAGGAACGGAGAAGAAAGGATCGTGAATGTCAGCAGTTGGCAGGAAAAGGACCACAGTTACAGAGCAGTCCTAAAAGATGACAACTGGCCATGCAGCCAGGGATATTTACGCTCTACCTCTTTGTGTTGCAATAAAAATGTTCCAGCCGGGCACGGTGGCTCACACCTGTAATCCCAGCACTTGGGGAGGCCAAGGCAGGTGGATCACGAGGTCTGGAGTTCAAGACCAGCCTGGCCAAGATAATGAAACCCCGTCTCTACTAAAGATACAAAAAATTAGCCCAGGCTGGCTGCAGTGGCTCAAACCTGTAATCCCAGCACTTTGGGAGGGCCAAGGCAGGCAGATCACCTCAGTTCGGGAGTTCAAGACCAGCCTGACCAATATAAACCCCGTCAATACTAAAAATACAAAAATTAGCTGGGCGTGGTGGCAGGCGCCTGTAATCCCAGCTACTTGGGAAGCTGAAACAGAAGAATCACTTGAACCTGGGCGGCAGAAGTTGCAGTGAGCTGAGATCGCGCCACCGCATTTCAGCCTAGACGACAGAGTGAGACTCTGTCTCAAAAAAAAAAAAAAAATCTTTCAAAAACGTGCAGTTACACTAAGAGATGACCGTGGAAGGAGTGCTCCAGATGATTAAAAAAAAAAAACAAAAAAAAAACTCTAGGTACATCCATCCGCAGGAGCTAGGGGAGAGGGGATGTTGAGGAAACTCATCCTGCAGATTTGGTTGTGGGCAGCTGGATTCATCTACAGTGATAATTGTCTACTCACAATATGATATAGCAACTTCCCAGGAGAAAAACTAAAACAAAATAAACCTGAATCCAAGTGTTCGTAAGCAGCAACCCCAACGCAGCCAAAAGAAATATTTGAGAAGTCAGCGTAGCCCTGAAAAAGATGTCCAGCATTAATTGAGAGGGCTGCTGATGACAGGTCAGGGAAGACGGGCCTCTCCTGAGACATCAGGGATTTGGCTGAGAGCGAAGAAAATCTCTGATAGCGAAGGCTGAGGAACAATGATGAAAACTTTCCTGAGAAACTAAAAAAGCATATTCTAGGCTCCAAAGCCCATCTGCCTACAGATATTCAAGGAGGGGGCTTAGACAAGGAGTCTGCTCAGAAGAGACTGGCCAGCTCGCGCTCAGCCCGGCAACTCTACATCGCGTGATTTTCCATGTCTAACATCCTTGCAGGATGACAGCCTCCACCTGCATCTATTGAGGAAGCACATTTTCTTTGTCACTACAGCCTGCTTTTCTTAGGCTGAAGCTCTGCCCCCTTTCCAGACAGAGAGGAAGGAGACTTCACCAGGAAAACAAAAGAATCAAGAAACGGAAATCAAATCAAAGGCAAAGGAGAGAGCCTGGGAGAATCTAACTCTTACGGGGCCTGAAATGCAGGAGCACAGGGCAATAGCCTGTTAGTTCAGCTGCGGCCCCCAACCTCTATGTGTGTTTTTTTAAAAAAGGTTCTTTTAATATCCAAAACCTGTATCTCTTCCCTTTCTCACAATTTCTCCTCTAATTGCTCATCCCTTTACTTGCACAAACCCCAGACCCTTTATTCTATCTACGCTAAAGGAAGAATTACCTGGACAGTGACAGAACACTTCTACAACTGCAGTTTAGGAGTAAGAACTTTGAGCAACATTTGTTCTCTCCGAACCATCTGGCATATTACTCCACATGCCACTTTCAAAATAAACTCTGACCTGGCTATGGTTTGAGACACAGGACTCAGCTACAGGCTGGCAGTTAAGTTTCAGAGACCTGTGGGAGTTGAGAGGAAAATCACAATTGCATTACGTCCACTGTGTCTGGAAAAGTGACTGAGAGGCAGCGTCCTGACATCCTTTCATTGTGCAGTCGGCGCTTGCCACCTAGTGGAAAGAAAGGCACATGTGCAGAAGCCTGGCAGAGGAGCGGGAGCCTCTGGTGGTCCTTTTTCTCCCTCTGGCACCAAGCAAGTGTCTTCAGGGTGCTGAATTTAGAAGGACGAGCACAACAAAGCCAAGTGAGGTCCGAGGCAAAAACCACAGGCACTGAAGCTGTTCTTAGGGAAACCAATCAACTCAAAAAAATTCGAGGTTTTCCATCCAAGTTTCCAAACCAAGAAGAGTATGAGGGGGGTGGGGTCCTCCCAGTACTAACACCTTGCCACCGGGCAGATCTGTGCTGTTGGCCGTGTGGGCGTCGGGTAAGATCCCCTCTCCATGCACCCCTCCTCTGCAAGCAGCCCACCCCCAATCAACATCGAAGTAGCCAGAGTGATGCAGTCTAGATCTGCACCCAAGGCTGCTGGCACATCCGCCTCTCTGACGCCAAAAAGCACGAAAACGTCAAAAGACCACTGAACTCTGAGGGAGCCTGAGATGGGGGATGAGTCTGGACCACTCTCAACGGCTGCTTCCTCCTCTGTACCAGGAAGATCCTAAAACCCACCCTAACTCCTTTTATACACTGCTGTGCAGCCCAGACAACCTGGTGGACGCAAAGGCACTAAAAATGCTAATGATCTGGGAGAACCTGAAAAATGCCACTTGTATAGATGAAGGAATTGAGGCTCAGAGAGGGCAAGTAACTTGTCCAAGGTCACACAGCAGCTCATAAATGGTAGGTCTGGTATTTAAACTGCACTCTTCCTCCTGCACCATAAATGCCAGTCTTCCCTCCTGTACCAGGAGGCCAGGAGAGCAGCCCTCTACCCGCCAGAGCACAAAGTTCACTTGGACATCAGCGCTCACCGAAAGGATCCACAGCTTGCCTAATCTCAGAGGTAAGATTTCCTCCATGTCACCACAGACGGCAGCATGGAGACCACCAGATGTTGGCCACACAGAGGCAGCTCCTTCTCTTGAAATAAAGAAGGTGCAAGGACAAGAACCATCCTGTGAAACATGACGTCCCTCCCAGTCCAAGTGTTCAAACAATAACAACATGAACATGATGCAGAGAAGTTTTACCACAGAGTTCCTCATGCACTGACAGAGGGTTAAACTGGGTCAGGGTTTTCCAAGCCATATTAACTGTGGAAGCAAAGCTTTCAAAATGGACTCTAGAAATAGGGGTGACAAGGATGAAAAAAAGGAAGGTGAGCCTCGGGTACCCCAGTAAGGAGCACAAAAGGGAGGAGAGGCTCCCCAGCAAATCCACAAACCCACAGCAGGAAGGCCTCAGTCAGAGTGTCTTTCAAAGCCAACATTTCACCAAGACATAACTAGAAGGATAACCATAACAGCAGAATTCACAACACTTTCCAAGGACAATTACAATTTGAATTCCCTTCACCCAATTCCCTTCATTAAAGTGCCTTAAGAAAATCCCTCCATTTCTTTTTCAAAATCTTGCCAAAAAAAGAAAGAAACACCCTCAATACCACCTTCCATGCCCACTGCTGAGATCATCGTGTAGACACACATGTCAGACACAGGAGCAACTGTTTCAATCCTAGACCAGAATCAAGCACTCCACAAGAAAACTGTCTTACTTATACCCACCCTTTCCATGTAACACAACCGCTGCCTTCTTCAACCCATAAATGTGGACACCTGAAGTCCAAAGTGTCTACGTATCAGCATTACTTGGCGATATGGTCTCCAGAGAAAGAGCCATTTTGCACTTAAAATTCTAAACCATCCTATACACTAAAGCCTATTTCTGACCTTGCAGAAATCAAGGACGGATTAGCTGAGTATCTAATCACACGCCAGGTGCACTAAGCCTCATGTGTTACCTCCATAGCCTCAGTAACACTATCCACCTCACATACTTACTCCCTGAAAAAGCTGTGTGAGTCATGGATTGAGGTCAACAGCAATAAGGCAATTGGTTTGAAAAGACCATCTTCCATATGAGGTGTCACTGTCTCCAACCCTAGGAGTCTTCCAAGTGATACCATGAACTTCTCCAACTTAGAAATGGAGACCCCGTTACTACACATGGAAATACCATCATCAACAACAGTCCCTGGACCAATCGAGACACAAAGGACTATGGTCCCTCTCAAGGGAAGCACAGAACATGATCGTGTTTTAAGGGAGCCTAAGGTTCCTCCTTCCCCAGCACTCCGTGACCACAGTGACAGTTTCTTAAATGGAGCTCCAGATCATTTGGCCGCACCCTACCAGATGAAGACAAGAAGGCTCTTGTCCATACTTACTGAGGGCTGAAACTCCAGGCATTCTTCCTCAAAGTCAGGGTCTACCTGATGAAAAAGAATCATTAGGAAATTAAAACATCCATTGCTTTCTTAAGGACTGGGCCCCACTTGCAGGAGACTTCAAGGCCTGCAAACATCCTTGAACAGCTAAGAACTTGTCCATTCCCTCTGTTCACAAAACCAGCATGCCACGACAATGATACAGGTCACATGGGTACAGCACACATGGAACATCCACCAGTCACCAAGAGACGGCTCTCAAGTATAGACAGAGGAAGACAATGAATTCACTGGCAAAGCAATAGTTAAAAGCCTGAGATGAATAAAAGATCAATACACAGTCACTGATAATCCTATTTTTAGCTAAAAATAAAAAATGTAGGCCTCCAGCAAGAGCTACATTAGCTTCAAAACATGACAGATAATGCCACCACCATTAGTCTTCAGGAAACCACATAAATCATCTCTCACAGCTGATTAGCTGGGTCTGTAATTCCCTATGGCTTTATCTCAAATTTGAACTTGGAGTTCTTGATCTTCAGTTCTTAAATATATCAAAATCATCACTTCATGTATTAGGCACCGTGGGGGGCTGAGCACACTTAAGAGCCAGCCTTCCTCGGGTCAGGCACAGGAGCAGTGCTGACACCCACCATCACCTTGGAAATCTCTCAGTAGTCTCATGGGTGGTCCCAGACAACAGTGGGGGTCTTTTGATGCACGACTAGAATCTGATAGAAATATGCATCATACATCTCCCAGCAGATCAGAGTAAAGCTCGACATGTCACACAGTAGGATGGCTGCTTCATTTGATACAAAAATTAAAAGGTAAATTCCTCCTGTCCTTCAGCATTGAGTCTTTCGTCTCCTCAAAAACTCTTCACAGACATTTTTTTTGAGACAGAGTCTCATTCTGTCACCCAAGCTGGACTGCAGTGGTGCGATCTCGGGTCACTGCAACCTCTGCCTCCCGTGTTCAAGCGATTCTCCTGCTTCACCCTCCCAAGTAGCTGGGACTACAGGCGTGCACCACCACACCTGGCTAATTTTTGTAGAGACGGGGTTTCACCATTTTGGCCAGGCTGATATTGAACTCCTCAGCCTCCCAAAGTGCTGGGATTATAGGTGTGAGCCACTGTGCCTGGCCCCTTCACAGACATTTAAGGTAAAGTTAATTTCCGTGATTTTTGACATTCCTACAAGTAAAAGATAAGCCACTGTCTATTCCACTAATGCTCTGAGTAGCCAAATTTCTTTATAAGATTATCTAATTCCTTATACGTCTTAGTGCTTCCGGTTCCACATATCATGTTTCTGCTGCAGCCTCAGTCGCTCATGCTAGGTGTGGGGCTGGTAGACAAGACGTGGGGAGGGTCGTATATAAAAGCGAAATGGAAAATAATACCGAAAACCTAGATCGGCATGATCTTCTAACTTACTTTCTCCCCACATCTTGATCAGCATCCCTGTCACCTACCAAAATGTGGTAATCATTTTTGAGTCTTCTAGGAAAATGAATCAGAAGGAAACAGAAAAACAGGAGGAAAAGCAAGGTGACTGAGTGTATTTCCCTAAGCCTTTTACAACACGACGGCTACAGGCGAATGAGGAAAGGCGGTGAGGTGCGTCAGCCTTGAAAGAGAAAACCACAGGAGCTGCTACTTACCTCTGCTGCCAAGTAATGCCCCGTGGCCAGATGCTTGAAACGGAAAAGGCTGTTCCAATACCCTGCTCCGCCCCGACATGGGTCATGCTGGACCACCTGCAAGAATGATCAACAGGAGTCAATGAAATGTCAACCTACACTAGGAAGACATTAAATCGGAGGTATCACAAGTCATAGTTCAGGAGGGATGTTTATAAGCTAGAAAAAGAAAATCAGCATCTTCAACAAACCCATTGCCAGTGTCACGTGTAGCATCCAAACTGAAAAGTAAGCAGTGTCTCTCCAAAGAAGGCATCGAGTCTCCTAGTTAACATACAATGGTTGGAATAAAAACTTCAGTGGTTTTCAGGTTATTTGCCTTAGCCATAATGAAGTAGCAGATTCTGAAATTTACCTACCAAAAGCACAGCCAATAAAAAGGACTTTCGTGGAGAACTGTCAAAGCAATCTACGCATGTACTCATGTGCTAGAACACACACGCAGGCCTGTGCTCTGAAATGTGAAACTCAGAGCCGGGGCCAATGTATCAGAAAAATAAATGTCACATCAGCTTCTGGCCATGACAGAGTTAACTAGCAGTGGTAGTTGGTGCCATAAACAATTAGACACTGCAGAGAATAGATGAAATTGCCATAGACAACTAGAAAACTGGATAAAATATCCCAAACAACTGTGTTCACATGTTGGACAACTGGTGGTACACAATGGTGATCTCTGAGAATAGGGAAACAAACAAGGCCAGCTTGGCTATTGCTTTGATTTTCTACCTGAGGGTCCTCTCTGGATGGCAGCATAGGGAGGAAGAATCCAAGCTAAGGGCATGAAGCTCATGGAGTTAAGGAGACAGATCAAAGTTTAGGGAGACTGAGGCAGCTAGAATTTGTGGGGATGGGGTACTAATGCATACAGAACTACACACAGAAAAAGCTCTGGAAGTCTGCACAGGAGGCTCCCTTGAGTTTTGGGCTGAACATCAGACTGCATATGCATAAGGCAAGACCCTATGAAGCCAAATGAAGAAAAACAAGGTGTCTGAAAGCTGAACTTTCCCAGAGCGCACACAGGGCTGGGAGGAGTCCTGATTCTGGAAAGCCAAAGCTGAGGGATCATGTGGAACACCCTGTGCGTTAGTAGACACATCAAAGGGGTCCCATCTTGGAAGGGGAGTTAACCTAGCCCCAAAATTAACTCTACACAACACCTGGCTGAATAAAGCTTGAAAATAAGCCTTCAAAGGAGCAAAGGGATCCACAGGTCACTTTAGTGTACAACAAAAGAAAATTCAGTACTCTTTAAAGAACAACAGACTCCACATACTCAACAAACTTGTATTACAATGTTCAGTAAATAAAGGACTAGACAAAGAATCAGAAAAACGTGACCCATGAACGCAGGACCTGTCAGACAATATCAAATGACCCAGCACATGTCTGCGTGGGTTGGTCAGGGCAGGAGAAATATTTGAATCATAAACATAATGACTCAAAGTTTTCCCATTTGACACATACCCATAGATTCAAGAAACTCAATGAACTCCAGCAAGGTAAACACACAGACACAGACAGACGCGCGCACACACACACACACACACACACACACACACACACACACTAAGGCATATCATAATCAGATTAATGTAAACTAGAAATAAAAAAGAAAAATCTTTACAGCAGCTGAGGTTGGGGTAGGATGCATGGCAGAGACACTATATACAAGGAACATTTTTTTAACCCATCGAATAATCACAAATGATGCAAGCCAAAAGACAATGGATCAAAATCTTTAAAGTAAAAAACTATCTACCTAGAATTCTATATCCAACAAAAAGTCCTTCAAAATGAAGGCCACATGGAGAACTGGGACGCTGACACACTGCTGGTGAGAATAAAAAATGGTGCAGCCACTCACTGTGGAAGGCATTCTGGCAGTTCCTCAGAAGGTCAAAAATAGAATTCCTACATGACCCAGAAGTCTGCTCCCAAGAACCTTGAGAACATATATCCACATAAAAAGTTGCATATGAATGTTCATAGCAGCAGATGACTTATTCACAGGAGCCAAAATGTGAAAACAATCCAAATGCTATTAAATGATAAATGGGTAAATAAAATATGATACATCCATACAATGGAATATTACTTGGCAATAAAAAGAAATGAAGTACTGATACATGTGGCAATATGAATACACTTTCAACATGTTATCTGGTATGGTCTAAATGTGTGTGTCCTCTCATTATTCATAGGTTGAAACCTACCCCATAAGGTTATAGTATTAGGAGATCGTTTACGTTATACTTCACCTTTGGGAGGTGATTAGGTCATGAGGCCGAGTCTTGATGAATAAGAACACTGCCCTTATAAAACAGACCCCAGAAAGTCCCCTCTCTTTCTGCCATGTGAGGACACAGCAGATGAACCAGGAAGAGTGCCCTCACCAGACACTGAATCTGCCAGTGCCTTGATCTTAGATTTCCAGCCTCCAGAACTGTAAGAAATACATTTCTGATATTTATAAGCAACCCAGTTTATGATATTTTATAACAGCAGCCTGATTTGGACTCAGACATCATCCTAGGTGAAAGAAGTCAGATATGAAGGACCATATATGATAGGATTCTGTTTATATGAAACATTCAGCACTGGCAAATCTACAGAGATAGGAAGTAGATTAGCTACCAAGCGCAGGAGAATGGGAGGATATTGAAGGGGAAATAGGGAATGACTGCTAATGAGCATAGTATTTGTTTGGGGGTGATCAATAAGCTACAGACATATAATGTAAACCCTGGCTCATTACTACAAATATAAAATACATGGTGTTGTCTTCCCTCTTTTATTTTGAGGGGCACTTGACTTTCCAGAATCCATTTTAAAAAATGAGAGAAAGAACTATTCAACGTCTTCCTATGAAATTCAGGAGAACAAGGTGGAAAATTGTTTATAAAATGGTATCAACTATGCAAAAATATCCTGTTCATAGAAAAACAGCTCAATGGAAGTAGGCACATTAAATCAGTGAAACAACACTTCACTTCTTCCCTTGTTTTCTTGATTTTCTATGTTTCCTTAGTTTGCATTATTACTTTAAACTAACTCTGAAAGATGAGAAAGTCTCCATTTTTTTTTGTACCAGTATCCAAATTACACATGAGAAGTGGTTCTGAGAGACTGTTCTGAATGTAAAAAACTCTGTGGTGGGGACCATGGGGCATCAATCTTCAATGACAAAGTTCAAGACCAAATTCTGCCTCTCAAGCAATTTTGTTTTTTGCAGGTTTTTCTTTTGCAAACAACAAGTTTTATTTCAGAAACTGAGTTCACCATTTACAAATACACTAAAGCACAGTCAATGCAAATTTAGAGTAAGCATATGTACAGTATTGTAACAAAACAACTTTTCTTTTCGGAGACAGGGTCTCGCTCTGTCACCCAAGCTGGAAAGCAGTGGTGCAATCTTGGCTCACTGCAACCTCCGCCTCCCGGGTTCAAGTGATTCTCGTGCCTCAGCCTCCCGAGTAGCTGGGATTATAGACATGTGCCATCATGCCTGGCTAATTTTTGTATTTTTAGTAGAGACAGGGTTTCACCATGTTGACCAGGTTGGTCTTGAATTCCTGACCTTCAGTGAACCGCCCACCTCGGCCTCCCAAAGTGCTGGGATTACAGGCATGAGCCATCGCACCTGGCCAAAACAATTTTTCTAAAAGGTCATAGGCAAATGAGTGATCTGTTTTACCCAGCGTATTTAATTAGCTTAAAATGAGAAAATGAACCTTTTTATAGATGTTAAAGCAAAAACTCTGAAGACATAATTGTTAAAAGAATCTGACAACTGATATTTCATTCTGACGTCTCTCAAGGAGTTTATAATCTAGTAGGATTGACAGGTCCCTGTGTAGACACATAGAGTAACTAAAGGGCAAATGCATGTAGAGAGGAGGAAGAAAGGGGAAAATGGATAGAGGGTGGGAATTAACAAAAACTTTATATAGATTCCTTTTTATCATAACTGTGGAAACTTTTCTATACAATGCCCAAGATGAACTTGATCCTTTTTTTTTTTGAGACAGAGTTTCACTCTTGTTGCCCAGGCTGGAGTGCAATGGTGCACTCTCGGCTTACCACAACCTCCGCCTCCTGGATTCAAGTGATTCTCCTGCCTCAGCCTCCCGAGTAGCTGGGATTACAGGCATGTGCCACCACGCTTGGCTAATTTTGTATTTTTTAGTAGAGACAGGGTTTCTCCATGTTGGTCAGGCTGGTTTCAAACTCCCGACCTCAGGTGATCCACCCACCTTGGCCTCCCAAAGTGCTGGGATTACAGGCATGAGCCACCATGTCCGGCTGAACTTGATTCTTACAACATCCATGTTAAAAGAGTGGTAAGACAATTTTTTTAAATGGGCAAACTATCTGAACAAACATTTCACCAGAGAAGCTACACAGATGCCAAATAAGCACATGAGAAAAATGCTCAACATCGTTAACCAAACCCACAATGAAATTTCACTACACACCTACTAAATCAAACAGGGGATGCAAATCCAACCCACATTGAAATTTCACTATGTACCTACTAGAACGAGTAACATTGAAAAGACTGACTATACCAAGTGTTGGTAAGGATATGGAAGAACTAGAACTCTCACACATTACTTGTGGGAATGTAAAATGGTCCAATCACTTTGGAGAACAGTTTAGCAATTTCTTATAAAGTTGAATATATACCATGCCATACCATACCATGCCATACCATACCATACCATGGCTACCATATGATCCAGCCAATCCACTGCTAGGTATTTAATTCAGAGAAATGAAGAAAAGTTACATCCATACAGAAACTTGTGTACAAATATCCCTAGAAGCTTTATTTGAAATAGCCAGAAGTTGGGAACAACTCAAATGTCCATCAGCAGGTGAATAGATTAGCAAATTGTGGTGTATCCATATGATGGAGTATTATGCAGTAATATAAAGGAACAAATTAATCTGATACATGCAAGAATATATACGAATCTCAAAATAATTATACTGAGTGAAAAAAAAACAGAACATAAAGACTGTATACTGTATGACTCCATTTATACAAAGTTCAAGAACAGGCAATAGAAGTCTCCAGGAGGAAAAAGGAAACATTGCCTAGAAAGAGAGGCTCAAGGGACCTTCTGGGTGCTGCTATCATTCTATTTCTTGTTCTAGGTGCTGGTTACATGGCTGAACGTATACGTAAAAATTCATTGAGTTGTATACTCTTGACTTGGGCACTTTACTATACTATACATAGGCTAGACCTCAGTAGCAACATGAAACAATTGAAGCTAGGGAGGAGGAAAAGAGAACGCAAGCAGAGACAGAAAAATTTATCTATTCAAATTAGAAATTTGAATTAGAATTCTAATTCATGCTGCAATTACACAGAAAGGAAGGCTTGAGGTGAAGAAAGAGCTCCATGTTAGTTGAAGCTCTCATTGCCTCTTTCACCAAGCATTCAGAACATTTCCTTCTTTGTCCTGCAATTCTAGACTCTCCTTACAACAAATTACATGCTGTGGGCAGAATCTTCTAGCTTCTTTAAGTTGCACACTGATTATGTTATTCCCTTCCTCAAACAACTTTCCAAATTTCTCCCCTGCCCATAAATTAAATCCCAACTCCCTATAGCCTGGATATATGGCCCTTCAGCCTCTGGTCTCCAAAAACAGTTCTGTTTAATTTCCCATGCCTATCCCGTGCCCTTCACCAAACAAGTTACTGAGTTTTATCCCACGCTGCTTCACGTTTCCACATTCTGCACCATTCTCTTACATGAAGTAACCTACTCCATTCATCTCTTCCTTCTGAAATACAAATCATCCTGCAGGTACCAGATCAGATGCTATCTCCTTCAGGAAGTCTTCCTTAATTCTTCACCCACCCAGACATTCACCCTCTCTCACTGAAACCTCCAGAGCATGTGGAATATGCCTCTTACCACCTTCACCATCCCCTTGTGTGTTCCAGTTATCTGGGTGTATATCTTCTCATTTCTGCCCCATCACCAATGTGGGCATCACCTATGTATTGTGTCAGGTAGACACCTGGTTAAATATTGTTGTGATAGATAAATGAGCAAGGGAAAGAAAACAATAGAAGGGATTAGATGGCTCAGAGAAAGCTATTTCTAATTTCGTTTTTGAATTTGTTTCCAAAGTACTTATTCTTTCCTTCTGCACAAATATGCAGCACCATGATATGCCATGATGCACTTACTTCACTATGCCATCCCCAACCCATTTTTGGAATAAGGTGGGTATAAGTACTTGTTTGTGACTTATATATATACACACACATGTATTCTGTGTGTGTGTGTAGGTGTGTGTATGTGGGTGTATAGACACATATAGGTATATGTATGTATGAATATTTGTAGGATAGAGAGAGAGAGAGCCTATATACAGGCTGATATCCTCTAAACCCAGGAGCCCTTTCTCCACCCTACCCTTACCTCCACCTCCCACAGGGCTTTTGAACTGGTGGCAGATGTGGCCGACTGCCGGCCCGTGGTTCTCAGGAAGACGTGCTGCTTCTTCCTGTGTTCGTCACAGGTGAGAAACTTCTCCTGCTCAGCATGAAACAGCCTCACCACGTCACCCTGACAGTCAACACAAGAAAGAATTAAGGAAAAAAGAATTTAAAAAGAGAATTAGACTGCTGCCCCCAAGAAGAGCCAAGTAATGCTCAGCCCATAAAGCATCAAACTCACCCCCTTTAATATGTCGTCTTTGTTATCACTCCATTTCATGAAAAGGACTATTTTCCAGCTTGTATTGCAGTTGACGGAATTGACCTGAAACACAGATTCGAGTTATTTTTTCACGTACCCCTCACAACAACTGTGTCATCCAGCCCCCAGACTTCTCACCGCAGCCTAGGAAGCAAGGCTGTACTTGAGACTAAAAACTCTAAAGATTGACGCCACTAAAATCACAGCACCTGCAAAATCAACTGGCCTGCTGGCAGAGTTTGGAAATAAATGGTTCATTTGCACCAATCACTATGCACATTCCAACCATGACTAATGGAACCAAGCCTCCTGCCTTTCTGGAATGATATTTTCATTTTCCTCCAAGTCTCTTGTTCTGTAGCCAGAAAGTAAAGGCCTGATGAAAATAAGTACTTATAAAATGGGATGAGCCATAAAGGGAAAAAAAATGAGTCCAGTGTATACACTCGAAAATGTTAATGATCATTGTTAACAACAGCAGCCATTGTTTGTGCACTAAATCTGTGCCAGGCACTAGGTTTAGGTGCTAACACGCACAATCTCCTTTAATTCTTGGCAACACCCTGAAAAATAGGTCCGACCGCCGCCCCCATTTCAGAGATAAGGAAACTGATATGCAGGGAGACCGGGTAACCAACCTGCCGTCACAGAGCTTGGAAAGGCAGACAGGATGTGAACCCACATCTATCCCACTGAAGAGTTTATGTCTTTACCCATCAGACAAATATTTATGTCACAAGGAAGTAACATCCTTGCATCCTATAATTGCTAATTTAGAGGAGAAGTAGATGTATTGCCAAAAGCAAGCTATCACTCTTGCAGGGCTGCTGATAAGCTGCAGTGTTCCTTTTTGAACAGTTAAAAAGAGGCACCCTGTATATGGAGACAAATTAGAAAAAGGTGCTCCTATGGCCAGAAAAAAATTAGTAAAAGGGTTCATCTCTGGCTTCACCAATGAAAAAACAACCCCTCAGTGACGCAAGGCTTCACAAACTGAGCACTAGAGTGAGTATCAGCCCACATCTACTACCCACTGCACACAGTTGCACAACCTTACACGGCAGCCTTGACCCTGGGCCTGTTTCTTCACCTGCAGAATGGGCACCCTGCCCCAAGTCACTGCTGAAGTCACTCTCAGCACACGCATGCACTGGCGCCTGCCAGACCCGCTCCTGCAGGATAACCACACCCACACACATAACTCAATGTCCTTACCTCATTGCAGCCTGGGTTATCTACCAGTTGATGGCTGCTAGCATGTAGGGGCTGACCAGCATTGACGGGGTTCAGAACCACCTTGTCACCTATGACCACCTGGAATGGAAAGGAGCAATAGAGCTTTGCACAAAACTGATAAGGACTGCGGATTGACCACTGGGCAGTTCTAGAAGACATATGAGTCTGTGCTGAAGAAGGCAAGGCCTATCCCCAGCAAGTATAAAGATGTAGCACACACCACGCCTTCTTTAAAACCTGACCCTGTGCAGAGGGGGTCATGTTTACAAGGCTAAGCCTGAATGTTGTTCCTCGAGTGTCACTGATTATACAGAGATGTTTCAAAGCCAGTTCAGAGCAGGAAAAAAAAAAAAAACTGTTCAGTTTAAGGTACCTATATAAGTAAGTTTTAACTAAATTTAAGAAAAAACAAGATAGAGTCAGAGTAAGTCTTTATCTTTGACAAAGCCATAACTTTATGTTTCTAAAACAATTACTTTCATATTTTTACTATAACATTCGGAAATACATGGTCTATGATCAAGTCATATATACAGCCATTGAGACTTATACGCATGTTTCTATAATTATAATACTATATATATATGTAACTAAAACAAAAGTTACCCCCCCCCCAAAAAAACAATACTTATCATTATGTGATGTAACACAGTCTGATCTTTCTGTTCTATCCCACTTTCAAAAAGGATAGTCACAAGCCACTAAACTGATTTCATGGCCCACAAATGGGTCTACACCTATTCTTTGTAAAATATTATTTTAAATTCAAGTCCATCTCATCTTCTCAACTAAGCCATGGCCACACACAGATTCGTTTAAAGGATAGGAAACCAAAGGATGTGCTGAAAATGAAATTCAGAACAAGGCACACTTGTCTTTTATTTTTGGTTAGAAAAGATGGTTTCCTAACATGAAAAACCATCTATTTTCAAGCTTATCACATTTGAGGAGCATATACAATTGAATTTTCTCTAACTCCAAATGAATATAAGTTCATTCAATAAATCCAACACTTTTGGTGAAACCTAAGTTTTACTGGGCTTTTCTTTCTGTTCACTGTTAAGGATCAATTATTTACCAACTATGAGGGAATGGTCTGGTACTAGATGTTTCTGGTACATTCCCTATCTTATACACACAAATACACAAACATATTTAAACTTCCCAAAGCTTGTAAATTTAAATGGCACTATTAAAAAGTGTCAAAACCAGTTTTAAAGTTAAGGCTGGTTGAGCATTTTGAGACTATTTCATGCTGTTTGCGGCATATTTTTCAATAAAAAGCAGCTACTTTAGAATCGTTAACAAGGTCAAAAATACAGCTGATAGAATTTAACCACAGTCACTGTGAAGTATATGCCCACGTAATGGCTGACTAATTCAGCCAACAAATATCAGGACTGCTCTAAGTCTCCCTGAAAAGCCTTCCTGTGGCTTTATATACTGTGGAACCCTCAGGAGTGGGCCCTGCTCCAGACCTACTGCATTGCTGAACACGACGGGGAGCCTGCCGGCTTCTCGACACAGCAACAAATGAGGCTGATCCCAAATTCTACTCTCCTTCTTTACTACGGTTGTTTCTTTTCCATCCTCTATCCTTTATGAACTTTATTTCCAAAATAGAAAAGATATTTCTATTCCACTAATGGATCTGGAATGACAGGGACCCTCTCCAGGACATTAACACGGAATAGCTGTTTTTGTGGTAAAGTTCCTAACGCAATGGGCTGTTCATACAATGTTTTCAGACATCCAGGAGGAAAAACACAGTGACAGTATTTAGGTCACACTTCTCTCCACAGTTCCCTGTTTCCCAAACACTAGTTTCCATAGCAATTCCCTTCTCTTTACACAGGACAAGCCTCTGGTTCCAACTTTCAACGTCTCCTCCTTAACTCTAATATACAGTCATGCTTGGAAGCATGGCACGGAAGACTTTCTAGGTGGAGAATCCGCACTTACGCTGTCTCCAATGGATCGCAGCTTGTAGAATGGCTGAATATAAAACCAGGACCCTTCATTTCCAGCCTCGTCCAATGTGACTCTCATGGCATTCTTCTCCAACAGAGCAGGAAGCCTCTTATTCACTGTTAGGTATTTATTACTTTTCAAATGCAGGAGCTAAAAACCCACCAAGAGAATAAAGTGAGTGTCAGCAAATCTGAATTTTCTACCATTCCTTCTCTCAATCATACCAACTATGTAGCAAACATTCCTCCCACCATTGAGCTGCTGGTGAAGCCAGAGAATCACAAAGTGCCTACGGCTGCAGATGATTAGAAAAGGAAGAACAGAAAAGGGAGCAGAAAGAGAGGGCAGAATACAAGAAAAACTATCATGTTTTATTTTTCAGCAAAGCCTTGGACAAGATGGATGTTGCTCAGGTCAACTGTGCCATCATAACCTGCCATCCGTCAGTGGGGTGGACCTAGCCCTATGTGAACGGGCTAAGGAACTGCAGTGTGGCATGCCCTGACACAAAGGTGGAGCTGAGGAAGGCCACTCTGAGCACAGGCAACAGTTTAAAAAACAACGCAGGGCCAGGCGAAGTGGCTCATGTCTGTAATCCCAGCACTTCGGGAGGCAGAGGCAGAAGGACTGCTTGAGCCCAGGAGTTTGAGACAAGCCTGGGCGACACAGGGAGATCTTGTCTCTACAAAATATTTAAAATTAACCAAGTGTGGGGGTACACACCTGGAGTCCCTGCTACTCAGGAGGTTGAGGTGGGAGGATCACCTGAGCCCAGGAGTTGCAGGCTACAGTGAGCCGAAATCACACCACTGTACTCCAGCTTGGGTGACAGAGCAAGACGCTGTCTCTCAAAAAATTAAATAAAATAAAATGCAACCCCTTTAGGGGATTGTCATTTCATTTGGAAAAAATGGCTTGAATTTCCAAGTACTTTATTCTTGACTTTGGGGTAATAATTACATGAGGAATATGGAAAGACTGAAGACCTAGAGGGGATATAACGTGTCTGATAGTCAGTCTAGACCAGAAAGAGTTGGCCAAGGCTTCCCAACTCAACAGGCTATAAGAGAAAGCGGAAGGGAATACGAAAGACTGCCCAATCCCTTGAGAAATGGTACAACCAGCAAAAGACTCCATTGCTAATTGCGATTATCCTCCTTTTCACATGTAACAGATACAGCTGCTAGAACTGTTAGGAGGTCCTCCAAATCCCCGAACAGCGCAGTTGGAGGTAGAAGAATAACCTGTCTGATCCATAAGCCCCGATGACCCCTAGCTAAAATAAATAAGGAGAAGGCAACGTCTTCCCAACCCCTCAACTGTTCCCCTGGTGAGTAACCTCTGGTCCTGCACACATCTGTCTAGGTGCCAGACTCAGTTTGTTTATAAACGAAAGTTACCTACAGGTAGGCCCCAAGATCCAGGGCTGGGGGAAGTAATAATAACTAAGATTAATTATGGTGTATCCACTGCTTATTCTGGGACAGGCACCTCTCAACCATCCTAAAGAGCAGATGCCATTACCATTTCCATTTTGCTGGTGAGCAAAGTGATACATGGCAAGATTTCTTGCCCCAAATCTCACAGTGAGGTACAAAACCTAAACCGGAATGCATTTAAAAGTTTATGTCCTTAGCCTCTGCACCTTTCATCTTCATTTCAAGCCATATTCTCCAATCTAACCAAATCAGGAAGTCCTGTACTCTGAATTTCAGGGCACTGGCCTGGCCTAGTAATAAAGCTGACATTGAACTTGAAGCCCACCTGGACACCTGTGTCCATTCTGAAGAGGATGGAACTTAAGGAGGAGGAAGTGCATGAGTGGGACTGGCAGGATCTAATCTTCAAGCAGATTTTGGAAGCTACTTTCACTATTTCAAAAGGCCTAATGTAAAGAACCCATTTAAACCCCAAAGGTTGCTTTTACTAATCTTTTACTAGTGTTCCCATCTTCCTGATTAGCCCTGCTCTATACCTAATAGCAAGAGAAAGGGGAAGGACTCCTATGTAATTAGTAAGGTTTACATAGCAGGCAAAATCTTTCAAAAAGGAAAATAATGAAGGAAGATCACCAAATGGGTCTAGGTGCTCAATAGTTGGTAACTACTACTCTTTGTGCCTGGACAAATCAAGAAAGCCACATGTGGCCCTGGGCTTCCTGCAAGACTGGCATGGACCCAGAGAGATCTTCTGAGCAAAACCTGTTTAGCTTTTCCTGGATTGTGTTTTATCTCCACGGCAAATTTAAAGGCACAAAGGATAAGCAACCCATGAGAGTAGACATGAAAACAATCAAATATTTTTGATAAGTATAAAATGTATCAAAATGATAAATATTTTTTATTTAAAAAGTCCCAAAGGTACAGAATTGCTCTTATTACCTCCTGGGAGCAGCTGTTTTAGGCCAGTAGATAAAAGTTATAGGGAAGCTAATTTTCACCGAAGTAGGAAGAATTTTCAAGCATTACAAATTAAACAGAACTGCCACAGCCAGGTTCCTTTTCAAGTAGGAAGCTTCCCATTTGAAGTGTCTGGAGTGAAATGATCAGCCACAGACAGAGAGAAGTAGATGCTCACGCTGAGAGATGACCAGCAGAATAGCCCAAAGAGTCTATCACATCTAACAAGAAACACTAGACTTTTTGCAATAAACTGGCTGCCTCCATGGAGTCCTGCTGTAAAGGTGTCCAAACCCTGTCTTAGGTGTTTGTTTCCTCAGCTGCATTCTTTGTAACGCTTCAGCTTCAGAAGGGAAGAGCTGCCTTGACCTACCTGGATCACATTGCCATACTGGATTACGGTCCCCAGCAATTTCCTGTTTTCTGTCTCATTCTGCTTCTTTTCCAAGTCTGCAGCGTGCTGTGCATTGAGAAGAAAGATTGATCACAAAGAGGAAACCATGTGTTCTATCCCACTGCAGTGACGCAGAACAAATGTCGCCAGTTCATACAAGAACCACCGAAATACGCAAATCCCTGAGGACACACCCTGAGGCTTCAAGAAATGAGCCAAGGGGTTCAAACAGCCCATCCACTCCGCCTTTGCTTGGCTGGCCTTTTTGCCTTCTTTAAAATGCTTTTTTTTCTTTCTTTAAGGAATTCATGGGTATTTGCTTAGGGTGAGAGTAAGTCAAAAGCTGAAATATCTTCAAAGAAAATAGGGTCGGGGAGGGAGGGAATTTGCATAGCCCCTTTATAATCTGTGAAAGTCCTCTTTAAGGCTTTGGAGTAAAAGAAGATTGAATTTAAATGCTGGATTTGGGTGGTTTGTGGTTTTGTGAACTTGAATGTGTTATTTAATATCAGTGAGCCTGGGTCTCCTCCTTTGTAAAATAAGGATCAGATGGTACCTGCACCTCACATGAACTCCACTGCACGGTACCTGATACACTGTAGCACACATGGAGTTATTAGCTATTCTTGTTAGACATTAATCATAATGTAATCAATTTTATAATCATTCCGTGAAAAGAACATTATTATCCCACTTTTAAAGAAGAAATTGACTCAAAGTGATTAAAAAATTTGGTCACCCTTGCATAGCTAGTTAGATGATGGGTAGGAAAGGGATTTGTTATACCCTTTCTCCACTTCTGTGTACATTTAAATCTTCGCTTAATAATGTTTTTTAAACCATGCATTTATTAAGTCGCAGAGATAGTATTCAAATCCACATTTGGATTAACTGTATAGTCACAAATGAGACTGGGAGAGGTTACCATTCCAAATGTGACATGCTAGGGGGGGAACATGGTAAAGCTGAATAGAAGGTTCTAGAATAGTCTGGCAGGGCCACCTTCCCGAATTCATTCACCTGTGCAACTCTGAAAGCACTGTTACCACACTACAATAATGGTAAAGGGCAACGGGCTTCATCCCAGGCAGTCAGCAAACTGTTATCCCAACCCATCTCCCAAACATAGACTGGTGAAAGGGAAGTAAAATAACTGAGAAGAAATTCAGTATTGAATCTGATGGATGGTAAAACCCTGATGATAAGAGTGTTCTTCAGAAGGGTTTCGAAGGCACTCTTCCTAGAGGGTCTCCTTTCCTTGGGGCCAGATGCTACCAGGTGCCAGTGGGTCCTCTTTCCCAGGTAATGTGTCTTCATTTTCACAGAGTCTTCTGGACGTGGTCTTGGGTCGCCTACCTACCGGCTTCATTATCTTGTCCTCTTTACTGAATCCCACCAAGCCTCACTCAGTATTCTCATCACAAAATGGGGACAATACAAGCCTTTTAGGGCCATCGTAGAGATCAGAGAAAATGTATGCCAGACACATAATTGCCATTTGATCATAAATTTTAACCATTATTATTATACGCTACTTTCTAACACTAAGAAATGTTCTGCTGATTAACATTTCAAAAGGTGACCTAAGTTGGCTAGGTCAAGAACCTTTCTGTTTCCTTCAAAGTCAGCATCTGTTCCATTTCTACCTGGAACACAGGTGTTTTTAGGAAAGCACATCTTTTGAGAAAAATGAACTGCCAGAAGCAATTCTAAGCCAAAATGAAACCATATTACAGGAGGGGAATGATCCACACAGGTTAGCATAGATCACTGCAAGTTGACCCCATCTGTATCAGCTCTTTAAAACAACAGCCCATTCAAAACTTCCCTCTCTCTCTTTTGGAATTAGTTACCAGTCTGCTATTCTCAGTGACACAAGGATAAAATCCACTGGGTGCAAGACACATTCAGAAATAATACCAGTGCTTGCAACGTGGCAATCTTTGGCATGCAAGTTGCCCTCAGCACAGTCCTCCTGAACCTTTTCTTTCCTCTGCATAAATACTCTCCTTAGCAGCCTCCCACCTCTTGTTCTCCCTAATTTCACACCTGAGCTTACACTCCCTTCAGAGATTTCTACAGTACCCACAGGTTCTGCAGGTAGTCTTCCAAACATAACATTGGACTGCATCCATTTGGAATGAAGGCTTATTCTTTGCGGAGAGCCATTTGTTCTTTCTGCTTAAGAGTTCTCAGCTAACACTGACTGCAAACTCAAGAGGGGGAAAATATCAAAGGGAAAAAACTCAATGGATTCAGTAAAATAAAATATAACATTTTCCAACATGCAAATATGGTTTTTCTCTGTTCAAAGCCCAAGCTGAAAGGATTCACCTTTAGAGAGTTCTTAAGTAGCATTTCTTGGACTCAAATGATCAAAGAGCTCATCTTTAAGAGAAAAACTGCTCATGAGCATTCCCCTTACTCTCAAGAATGTCCAATGGCTTCAGTTTAAGAAATGCTAATATTATGTTTCTACCTATGCTTAGAATAAGTACAGTATAACAACAGCAACGCAATGGTTACTGGTTCATCTAGAAAGAAATGTCAAATTAACCATCAAGAAGGCATATTCCACATTAAAGACTAATTAAACACGAGCAGCTCTAAAGAGCATAGTCATTTGTCAAAAGACATATGAAAGGCAAGAGAAGAACAGAAAATTAAAACAACATTGGAGAATAAATATCTAAAGACTTCTCTTAAAAGAAAGATACTCTTGGCCAGGAGTGGTGGCTCATGCCTGTAATCCCAGCACTCTGGGAGGCCGAGGCAGGCGGATCACCTGAGGTCAGGAGTTTGAGACCAGTCTGGCAAACATGGTGAAACGCTGTCTCTACTAAAAATACAAAAATTAGCTGGGCATGGTGGCGGGCGCCTGTAGTCCCAGCTACTTGGGAGGCTGAGGCAGGAGAATCACTGGAACCCGGGAAGCGGAGGTTGCAAAGAGCTGAGATAGTACCACTGCACTCTAGCCTGGGTGACAGAGACTCCATCTCAAAAACAGATAAATAAGACATTCTCAAATATCACATCTAAAACTTTGTCAAAACTCTGTTAAACTAAGAGTTAATACTATTT
Organism: Homo sapiens; assembly: GCF_000001405.40. Classification (NCBI taxonomy): domain Eukaryota; kingdom Metazoa; phylum Chordata; class Mammalia; order Primates; family Hominidae; genus Homo; species Homo sapiens. The sequence continues at coordinate 4,636,368 of NC_000003.12, read as the reverse complement.
TAATTCTGTTATAAAGTTTAATGATGCCTGAGCCTTCACATCACCACTGAATTAGCACTAAATGTATTAAGCTTATGGACCATTTTAAGAATTCACTTTTCCTATAAGTTCTCATTAAGGAGAAAACTTCCCATTTCTTTTCTAAATGCACAAATATCAAATTTAATTCATTTCAGTTCACATGTTAGTTTTTATATAAATCCCCTCACAAAACCAAGTCTGGGCTAGGCGCGGTGGCTCATGCCTGTAATCCCAGCACTTTGGGCGGATCACGTGAGGTCGGGAGTTCGAGACCAGCCTGACCAACATGGAGAAACCCCATCTCTACTAAAAATACAAAATTAGCTGGGCATGGTGGCGAATGCCTCTAATCCCAGCTGCTCGGGAGGCTGAGGCAGGAGAATCACTTGAACCCAGGAGGCAGAGGTTGCAGTGAGCTGAGATCATGCCATTGCATTCCAGCCTCAAAAAAAAAAAGCAAGCAAACAAACAAAAAAACAAACAAACCCAAGTCTGGTATTTAGACAAAACTATCCATGATTCTTTTTAGGTTCAACAGGAGGCAAGGCAATAAGGTAGATGAAAAGGTAACAAGGTACAAACACTACAGGCCACTGATCAAGGCTGTTTCTACCCTCAGAAAGAATGAGATCTGGTTGGTTAAATCCCTCAAGTACATTCCAAGAATGGGCCCTCACTGTGAGATACTGAGTTAGCACCTTTTGGCTGGGCGCAGTGGCTCATGCCTGTAATCCCAGCACTTTGGGAGGCCGAGGCGGGCAGATCACAAGGTCAGGAGATCGAGACCATCCTGGCTAACACAGGGAAACCCCGTCTCTACTAAAAAAAAAATACAAAAAATTAGCCGGGCGTGGTGGCGGGCACCTGTAGTCCCAGCTACTCGGGAGGCTGAGGCAGGAGAAAGGGGTGGACCCGGGAGGTGGAGCTTGCAGTGAGCCGAGATCGTGCCACTGCACTGCAGCCTGGGCGACAGAGTGAGACTCCGTCCCCACCACAAAAAAAGAAAGATATTGAATTAGTACCTTTACTGAGTTAGCACCTTTCTAAAGGATACTCAGGCAATATTGACCAAAAAACTTTTCACTCAACATAACATTGACTTAACAATTCCACTTCTAGGAGTTTCTCCTAAGAGGACAACCTGGCATATGCACAAGGCCATACAACTTTTTTCAGAATGGCAAATGTTGTCAAGATCCTGAATATCACTCCCTACCTAACGTCTGCCCATAGAGGCTGCTTATCTAAAATGACAGTACTGCCAAACAAGGAAGTAACCGTGTAGCCATTAAAAATGAGGATAGAGGCCAGGTACGGTGGCTCACGCCTGTAATCCTAGCACTTTGGAAGGCTGAGGCGGGCAGATCACCTGAAGTCAGGGGTTCAACACCAGCCTGGCCAACATGGCCAAACCCCGTTTCTACTAAAAATACCCCCAAAAATTAGCCAGGTGTGGTGGTGCATGCCTGTAATCCCAGCTACTCAGGAAGCTGAGGCAGGAGAATCACTTGAACCCAGGAGGTGGAGGTTGCAGTGAGCCAAGATCGCACCACTGTACTCCAGCCTGGGCAACAAGAAAGGGAAGTGAATAGCACACTCCTGTTGATACTTTAAAATGTGGAGACACAGGAACAGAATAGGGGGTAGGAGAGTAGGGAAAACATCAAAATAAAACCCAAGGTTATCTTTGAGGAACACAATTTACGAATCACATCAATTAATATTTTTTTGCTTTTCCTACTCACAGATTTTGGAATACTCCTCCTAAAATACAAGTGTGTAGTTTCTTCAAAAACACCTTCATCATGTCTCTGTGTCAGGTACTCTGAATTTTTTAAAGTCATGCCATGGCTCATGTCTGTAATCCTGGCACTTTGGGAGGCCGAGGTGGGTGGATTGCTTCAGCTCAGGAGTTCAAGACCAGCCTGGGCAATGTGGCAAAACCCCAACTCTTCAAAAAATACAAAAATTAGCCAGGCATGGTGGTGTGTGCCTGTGGTCCCAGCTACTGGGCAGGGAGGTGGGAGGATCACTTAAGCTCAGGAGGCTGAGGCTGCAGTGAGCCGGGAACATGTCACTGCACACCAGCGTGGGTGATAGAGTGGTGAGACTGTCTCAAAAAAAAAAGAAAAAGGCATCTTAAATGTGTTACCTTTTCATTACTTTAAAATCCTGATAATTTAAATATCTATTACTCTTTTCCCTTGAATAATGGGTTGCGGGCTGTTTTTAATTTCTAAGGGGAAAAAAAACACTCTATGAAATGGTTCCACCACTATTATTCACCATGTTCCCTAAGCAACATCAAGGTCTGCCCCATCATAGCCACCTGTTATTTTATTTCAGCAACAGAGAAACTATTATCGAATGACAATAGAAAGGTGACTGAAACAGTAAGGAAAGGTTATTTTGTTAAAGTCAACAAGCTCTGAATCATGTAATGCGATATTGAAGCAAGGCTTCTAAAAACAAGCAATGTAGTACCCAGACAATAAGGACCTGTCACTCCTCTAGCTCTTCCTAGCTGGTCAAAGCTGTGACTTAAGTAATCATTTCTCAGAACAAAACAATGTAGGTGCTTGTTTCAAGGTAACAGCTATGCTGCTGTCAGAAAACAGTAGTAATGGCCTTTAGAAGAAATTTATGTGATTTGCGGATGGGAAGAAGCTCATTTTGTCAAGAGACCCTTAGGAAAACATGACCAAGAGAGTCAAAATCCAGTTATTCCTGCAGAAGGAAAAAGCATAGACAGTATCCAGCCACTAGATGTCACTCTCCTTCAAAGTGCTGTTGATGTTGCTCATCCTAGTCAAAAGGAAGTCAAGTGGTCTAGACAACTAATTCCTTAAATGGCATTAATTTAAAATAGTCTGACTTCTGATTGGGGTGCTGCATAGTAGTTGAGAAAAATAAAAATGAAAACCCACTGGAGACTGGCCATCAGTTCCAAAGGCAAAGTGGCTGTCCAAAATACAACATCGTATTGGCTGGTGGGAATGTAAATTGAATGAAATATGTAGATAACTTTAAGACACTAGGGGGAAAAGTTCCAGCTAAGTAGGAAAGTAGGAACTGCAGAAAGTGAAGCACAAAGTCAACATTCAAGACCTGAGGCCGGGCCCAGTGGCTCATGCCTGTAATGTCAGCACTTTGGCAGGCCAAGGCAGGTGGATCATGAGTTCAGGAGATCGAGACCATCCTGGCCAAAATGGTGAAACCTCGTCTCTACTAAATACAAACAATTAGCCGGGCGTGGTGACGCACCCCTGAAGTCCCAGCTACTCAGGACGCTAAGGCAGGGAAATCGCTTGAACCCGGGAGGTGGAGGTTGCAGTGAGCTGAGATCGTGCCACTACACTCCAGCCTGGCAATAGAGCAAGACCCCATCTCAAAAAAAAAAAAAAAAAAAAAAAAAAAAGACCTGAAAGTCACATCAGTAATCTTAAATCAGGGAAAAGAACTGGCTTCCTTTTTTATTTTTTAAAAACATAAACAGCATGAGAGAGATTTCTGTTTTTCTCTTTTTTCTTTTTAATAAGGAGTTGACCATTTTTGATCACCTTATGATTGAACTTTTTTCAACCATGCTGTTTTCTTCACAGTTCATTCATAGGAAGGAGTGTCGAAAGGACTTGCTGATGAAACATAACATATAGAGCACAGGTTGCAAATGGGGCTGAAGAACCACATCCAGCCTGAGCCATTTCTTTTGGTGTTGAGTGTATATTTCAAGCCTTAATTGAATTAGTTCCCAACATCTTTTTAAAATTGAGATACTACACTAAAAGCATGGATTTTTATCTTCTCTTAAAAAGTGGAAGACGTGGCAGCAGCTCTCAGCCCACATTCCCAAGCAGTGACAGTAGGGAAGTAGAGCTGCCCCTCCAGACCCACCCATGGGACTCTCCACTTGGCAACACTACCCACCAAGCCCACTTTATTCCTGTTGATTTCCCGTATGGCCAAGAGGAATCTGAATTTACAACCCCTGTGGTAAAAAGTATAGGAGAGGAAAGAGTTGGAGATGTATTAATAAGATCTCACTGAACAAAATGATCTTTATACCAGAAAAGCAAAGTGAGGACAACTAAAGACACATAGACCCTCCAGAAAGATAGCCCCCTATGGGCATATGCACTAAATATACATACATGCAGGACTGACCAACCTTCCCCACCTATTCAACTAGATTCCCATGTTCCCAGCACAGACTTTGAGGAGATTATGGATTGCTGCAGTGACTGGAAGAGGGTGCTACTGATGTTCAGTGGACAGGAGCTAGGGATGCTGGGTAAAGTGAACGCATGTTACAATCCTATGCAAGGATGAACCATCATTTATCCCATACAATTGTATGTCCAGCTGGATATTCACATAAGTTAAAAAGTTATCTGTCGGCTGGGCGCAGTAGTCCATGCCTATAATCCTAGCACTCTGGGAGGCTAAGGCAGGAGGATCGTTTGAGCTCAGGTTGTCAAGGCTGCAGTGAGCCATGATGGCATCACTGCATTCCAGCCTGGGGGTATCTGTAATTACCTGAACCTAGCACCCCACTCCATTTTACATATCAACAGAAATCACAGCTTTCCATGGTTTTATTAATACTATTAATAAATTTTCCAAACGTGCAAGTACTACTTAAGAAAGAAAAGAGTGTACTTTGCATTATTCATAATATAATTAAGAACTGCTGATTATTTTGGAAAAAGATACGATCATAATCCCAAAAGGCACAACAATCCTGAATGCCATAATCCCAAATGTTAAAATCCCCAAAGGTCAAAAAAGACCAAAATCCCCAAAATATAATTCCGGAAAAAATAATTTTAAAATTCTTTAAAAGAGATTGATATTTTTAAAAGAGGATTTGAGAAACATATAAAAACACAACAGAACACTTCACAGGCCATTTTATACAATAAAATGGGGAATAGTAACATACATATTTTTGCAAGCATAAATACTCAGGTATACTAACAATGGTCACAGGGATTATGCGCAGATTAACCATAAAGAAATAGGTCAAAAAGGGAAATGTAAAATCGTGTATCACTATGGTTGGTGATTGTGTGCACCAAGCTCATACTGCAGTCATCTGAAATACCATGACCAGCAACCTGAGTCTTTTCACAAGATCGATCAAAACCACAGAGGGTCACCACTGGATATGCAGTCGCCCAAAGAGCTGAGAGCTCAAGTAATTTTATCTTTCACAAACACAAACATCTCTTCATTCATCGAGGAAGAACATCCCTTTATTTGCAGGGGAAGTTCCCATGTTTTCACATATTCACGTCAAGTTGTAACAATGCACTTTCATGAAGTTAAACTTGCAAAAGAATGCATAAAATGAATCAGAACTCTTTAATGTTAGTCGCCACACCATTTAAATCTCCAATATTGAAAATGATGCGAAGATTAAACACATAGCATAGTGAATTGTAAAAAATAATGCTGACAGGGCTGAGCACGGTGGCTCACCCCTATAATCCCAGCACTTTGGGAGGCCGAGGCAGTGGATCACTTGAGGTCAGGAGTTCGAGACCAGCCTGGCCAACATGGTGAAATGCTGCCTCTACTAAAACTACAAAAAAATTAGTAGGGCGTGGTGGTGCATGCCTGTAATTCCATCTACTTGGGAGGCTGAGGCAGAAAAATCGCTTGAGCCCGGGAGGCGGAGGTTGCAGTAGGCCGAGATGGCGCCACTGCACTCCACCCTGGGCAACAGAGTGAGACTCTGCCTTAAAAATAATAATAATAATAATAATAATAATAATAATAATAATGCGGACAATTTAAAATAGTAAAAAAAAAACTTTAAAAATCTGATATAAGAAAAAGTGTATTGCAGGAATAGATTATGGGCATTTGAACAGAGACAGTCCACAAGAGCTGGCCTAACATGCAGCTATATCCTACGACTGTGATTTTCAGGATTTTACACTTTAGGGATTTAGACTTTTGGAACTGAATTTTTAGGGATTTCAACATTTGGGATTATGGCACTTGAGATTATGTCTTTTGTGATTATGCTTGAAGCCCTTTTAGAAAACCACGTCACAGATAACATGCTTTTCACACTGCCAATACCATATACCTACACCAGTCACAGTCTACAGCTGCCTCACTCATGGGGTTTATACAGAGAGGTGCAAGCACTTACTTCCTCACGCCTTCCAGAGCAGTCATCCCTGAGCATTGACTTAAGAAGAGTATTCAATTTACTATATAATTTATTACTTTCCTTTTATTTCTCCTTTATAATTTTTTAAAATTGGTATCTATTATTTATGAATTTTATTCCATGTTCATAAAGCCATATAATATTTGCTCTAAAGAAGGTACAATGCTTTTGTTGGGATTGAGGATGTCTGATATAATCATCATTATTCAAATAACGATGCAATTCCAGAAGTCTTCAAAGCAATCACTAGCCTCCAAGTCTTTGAGTCCATTGTTTCTTCTTCTTCTACCCTCTAAATCCCATGGGTGCCTCCGACTGAGGCTTACTCGGCACTTCCTTCTTCCTCCAGGAAGCCCTCCCTGACCACTGTATCACACCCTCTTATCCAGCAAAGACCGATTTGGCACCCTTCCTATGTGCTCCCACAGCTTTGTGTGGTTTGTCCTGTAATATAGTACTTATCACTGCCTCTTTATTCTTTGATATTCAGCTCCCACAGGGTTAAGACTGTTATACTTCTATCTCTAGCACCTAGCACACTGCTCATTCATTATTCAGTAATTATTTCCGAGCACCTACTATGTGCCAGACACTATTACAGAAGCTGGGATACAGCAGTGAGCAAGAGAGATAATGCCACCACCTGGTAGAGCTGTCATTCTAATAAGCGACAGGTGATAATTAACGAAGCTACTAAATATAATTGCAGACCCTGATCAGTGCTGAGAAAGATATAAGCAGGGTGCTATCATGGAGAAAAACAAGCAAGACATCTCTTAGATAAGGTGGGAGGGGAAGACCTTGCTGAGATGACACTTCGGCTGAGACACAAAGGCTCAAAGTCCTAGCTCAAGAAGAGCCAGGAAAACAATGTTCTCAACAGGACAAACTGAGGGTGCAAAGGTCATGTGACAGTTGAGAGTCTGAGGTGCTCAAAAAATAAAATAAAATATAAAATAAAATAAAATAAAATAAAGCTCATACGGCCAGAATGTAGTTAAGAAGCCTCTGTGGGGGCAGCAGGGTCCAGGCATGGACCATCTTGTAGATGATGACAGAAAGTCTGGATTTCACTTTAGGTTCAATGGGAGTGAGCTTAGGTGTCCTCATGCTGGACTGTAAGCTCCCTGAGGTGAGGAGCCTGGGCTTTTCATCACAGCCCGTCTGAAACAACACACACTGCATGTAGGACTCCCTTCACGTGACCCTCACCTGACCAAATGCAGCTGGCTGTGACTTAGCCATACGCTGGTCAAAAATGGAGCAAGGTGAGAGGCAGGACCTCTTGAGGTGCTTGGGGCTCACAGATGCTCTAGGTCTTCAACTGTCATCACTGAGCCCCAGGAAAGATCACTGTGCATTCCGTGAAATATTTGATGGGAGTGCCTGGTAAGTGCCCAACCTTGTTGTAGACACAAAGCCCACTGCAACAAGCAACACTGACACAGACCTGGGCCCTCAAGAAACTCACATGCCAGAGGAGGGAGGCAGCCAGTAACCAAAATACATTAGAAAGATGATGTTACATGACGGGGAGAAAATGAAGTAGCTCAGGGAACAGGAAATGGGGCACAATTTCGATGTTAGTACACTGGCTATACGTCATGTCTCCTTTTAAACATCTCAGAGAACTTCCTGATTAGCCTCGGAATGCAGGGCACTAAAAGAACTATGTCATTATTTTACAGAAGGTGAAACAGGATGAGAGAGGCTCAAAAACTTGCTATGGTCACACAGCACGTCAGCAGTGGAATGAGCACATCTTTAATATGCCAGATAACACAACAGATACAATGCTAACAGCCAAAACTTATCAAGCATTTATTATGTGCCAGGCACCATTCATGTGGCTTTTATGTCTCATTTTCTGTAATCCTCACAATGACCTCCTGAGGTGGGTACTGCCATTTCCATTTTACAGGTGACATAACAGAAGTGGAAAACAGCACATAACGTGCCCAAGAGCACCAGTTGCTGAGTGGTGGAGGCAGGATTCCATTCCAGGCAGTTTGCTTCCAGTGCCTGTACTCATAACCACTTCTCCATCCAAAGCTACCCATGCAAAGAGAGTGGCTGAGAAAAGAAGAACTCTCCAGACATCTCAAGATGACTAGGATCTATCCCTCTCTACGGTCGGTTCCCTTCTACCCCTTCACGAAAAAAAAAGTAGAAAGCTGGCTGCTAGAATTGGAGGGTTGCATAAGCAGTCTCCCACCATTACACCCAGATACCACCAAGGCAGCCACTCACTACTGCCCCATCGACAGCCCCATGGCAATACGTACGTGCAGTTTGTTGAGTAGCACTGCGTCTGTGGTGCTGTTGGCCCCAGGCTTAGCGGCTTTCCAGAACTGCTTTTGGGCAGAGTAGCGGTTCATGGGACATAGCTTAAAGAGGCAGTCTAGAAGTGAAGCAAACAAACAGAAATTGCCATTGAGGGTGTATAGAGACTCAGCCTAAGGAAAAAAAAAAGGCTTTCCACTTAAAAAATTACATAAAATTACATCATACATAGATATAAAATGAGAGTACAAAGCTCTTTGACAAATCTCTTTTTGAATTTAATTGCCACCACCGCCGAGGAAACCAAGGCTTAAAGAAAGTGAGTCGATTGTTCTACAGAACCACTTGGTAGCAGAGCTGTACAAATTCAGTGTTTTGTGTTTTTTTTGTTTGTTTTGCTTTTTTGTTTTTGTTTTTAAGACTGAGTCTCCCTCTGTCACCCAGACTGGAGTGCAGTGGCACAACCTCGGCTCACTGCGACCTCCGCCTCCTGGGTTCCAGTGACTCTCCTGCTTCAGCCTCCTGAGTAGCTGGGACTACAGGCACATGCCACCAAGCCTGGCTAATTTTTTATATTTTAGTAGGGATGGGTTTTGCCACGTTGTTAATGCTACCCCATAGTTATCTCATTTCCTTTACAATGAACAAATAAATACAAGGACAAATAGTCCTTGCTGTATACAACAATGCATACAAGTATTTTTTTTTTTATACAAATCCAACTCTCTTCAGTACTATTCAATTTAGAAAAAATATTACAGGCCCGGCACGGTGGCTCATGCCTGTAATCCTAGCACTTTGGGAGGCTGAGGCAGGTGGATCACTTGAGGTCAGGAGTTTGAGACCAGCCTGGTCAACAAGGTGAAACCCCGTCTCTACTAAAAAATACAAAAAATTAGCCAGGTATAGTGGTACGCGCCTGTAATCCCAGCTACTCCAGTGGCTGAGGCACAAGAATCGCTTGAAACTGGGAAGCAGAGGTTGCAGTGAGCCAAGATCACACCACCGCACTCCAGTTTGGGCGGCAGAACAAGATTCTGTCTCAAAAATAAATACATAAATAAGATGCTTATTTGGAGGGCTCTCCTAGGGCAGTGGTCTCTTGAGTACTGTGTGCAAGATGACCTTCTGGGACACAGAAAGAAAATATATAAACTGGCATTTAGATAGTCTGTGCCCTTGTCCCCTCACTCTCAGTGCACTGCGATGTGCTTCCATTTAGCATGCCTCGGTTTATACAACTTTATACATTGTCTTATGTGGTATAACCAACATTCATAAAATGGACAAGTGGCTTCAAAAGATTTCTGCAGAAAAATCAAAACATCAAAGGTAATAGTAATGCAACCCAGCAAACCAAAAAAGGCAGAACCAACCCTTCCCTTAGAGCTCTTGTAAAGCAAAAAGAATGATGATCTAATCAGATCTGGAAAAAGCCATCCAGACATTAAAAATCATAACTAAAACCACTTAAAATATTGTTTTTAATGATGAACATTACCCTAAAGCATCTATGTGTTTTAAGGTATTAATGATAATATGAAACCATCATAAATAACAGGGTACATTATTGTTTAATCTTAATCTGAGTTATTACCTTCTACTTTCCACTTGTTTTATATTGCCTACAATGTGTTACTACAATAATACACGTTTGTAACTTTTAAAAATACACACACACACACACACACACACAGAAAGTTTAGGGTATAGCCACCAATTTTTTTTTTAAAGAGATAGGGACTTGCTATGTTGCCCAGGCTGGAGTGCAATGGCTATTCACAGACAATCATAGCACACTACAGCCTGGAACTCCTGGACTGAAGCCATCCTCCTGCCTCAGCTTCTCAAGTAGCTAATATTTGGGCTTCACCAGATTTTTCTGACAGGGATATGTCATCAACAAACCAATAACTACTCTAGGAAACCAATATTTAAAATTGACACTCCCCATGAAAAGTTTACATTTTGACATACTGAGTTTTCAAATAGTAAATATCTGAAGAGTAAAATTAATGAACTTGGGCCAGATGCGGTGGCTCACGCCTGTAATCCCAGCACTTTGGGAGGCCAAGGCAGGTGGATCATGAGGTCAGGAGATCGAGACCATCCTGGCTAACATGGTGAAACCCCGCCTCTACTAAAAAATACAAAAAATTAGCCGGGCGTGGTGGCGGGCGCCTGTAGTCCCAGCTACTCGGGAGGCTGAGGCAGGAAAATGGTGTGAACCCGGGAGGCAGAGCTTGCAGTGAGCCGAGATCACACCACTGCACTCCAGCCTGGGCGACAGAGCCAGACTCTGTCTCAAAAAAATAAAAATAAAAAATTAACGAACTTGAAGTGGATACTGATATTCAGAAAAATGACACCCTGAAAGTAGGTCTGGACAAGCATTTAAGGAAGTTACTAACTGTACATTTATTCTTACCTATTCATTAAAACCGATTCCCTTAAAGTGCCTTGAACAGGTAAATACCTAGCTATTGTCCTAGTCAAATAAATATCTCAAAATAAGAAAAATGGATTTGCAGTCAAGTACATAAACACTAGGTCTTTCCTCTAATTCAGATCACTCTTTCTTCTAGTCATGATCCATAATTAACTGTTACTATGTACTGCATACACAAATACCTGAGACTGTTCAGAAAAAAAAAAAAAAAAGATCACTTAATTGTAGAATAGGTATTTTTCCAGTTTCTGTAATCTCCTTCATCACTAAATATTTCTACCTAGTCACAGGCAGTTATAAGGTAAATATGGGACCATGATAGCTATCTTTATCAAGAATCTAATCCATCTACTGAATAATTTCTACTGCATATGAAAGATACTCTCTAGGACTTTGGAAAACAAAAGATAAAGCAGGAGACCAGTTTAAAAGACCAATCTGCTCTCCCCACCTCTTAGGAAAGACACAGGTCATGGTCATTTGCTATATTAGTGGCAATTTAATGACATTACATCCAGAGCAGCAGTTTTCCTACCAGCTTAATATTAATATATGTGAATTCTCCATTCACTCCATGAATAACCATACATGACCAGGAGACAGTAGTTTACATTAACTATCCCATCTTTGACACAGGCCTGAACATTATCCCAAAGCATCTATGTGTTTCAAGGTGTTAATGATAATATAAAACTATAATAAACAACAAATAACAGAATACTGCATTATAGTTTAATCTTTTTTTTTTTTTTTTTTTTTTTGGAGACAGAGCCTGGCTCTGTTGCCCAGGCTGGAGTGCAGTGGCACGATCTCGGCTCACTGTAACCTCTGCCTCCCGGGTTCAAGTGATTCTTCTGCCTTAGCCTCCCAAGGTGGCTGGAATTACAGGTGCTCACCACCATGCCCAGCTAATTTTTGTATTTTTAGTAGAGATGGGGTTTCACCATGTTGGCCAGGCTGGTCTCGAACTCCTGACCTCAAGTGATCCACCCACCTTGGCCTCCCAAAGTGCTGGGATTACAGGCGTGAGACACTGCACCTTACTGTTTAATCTTAATCTAATTCGGGAAACTGGGTTGGGCCAGAATGGCTTCCTTAATGACCACATGACTTTTTAAAATATTCAAGATATTTAAGTCACTGGCATTAACATTTGACACATGACTTACTTTATGGACCAAATGGGGTTAACAATGTCAGTTTTCACCAATAGTAAGCTATAGAGAGTAAAATGACCTTTTCTCTCCAGCATGCTTCATATGATGACACTAAGTGGTATGCATTCCCAAAAAACTGATTTAGGTAGATGTGGGGGACACTCAGGGTGGATTCATGATGCCAAAGGATAACAGACAATGGAAAGCATTTTACAACTGTTCACAGTACCAGCAAGTCAAGCACGTCACCTAACAAAGGGGCTACATCACAAGCTCAAAACTTCCGATAACTTTACATTCCCCTAAGGTGAGAGGGTGTATTTAAATAACATCAATCCAACCAAAGCCTTGCTCCAACTTCCACATCAACTATTTTCCTTGGGCGAAACAGAGTATTGCATTGCATTAAGTGTATTTACAACCAACTGTCTGTGTAAATATAAGAGATGCTAACATACTAGTAACAGAACGAAATTAGCCTTGCTGATTTTGCCCTGCCTTCCCAGTTGCTTAGCAACTGATTCAAAGTGAAAATTAAATTAAGCAATTCAAATGTAATGTTAGAATAACCTTCCAAAATTTTGCAATTTGCAGGTTCCATATTGCCCTTTGCTATTTGGATGGCACAGCAGAGCAAAATTAAACTTGCACTGGGCCCTAACACTCTGCTAAGTATAGAAATGTACAAATACAGGAAAACCAGAAGAATATATTTAATATTTATTTGGGGGAAGGAGAACACATGTGTGTACATATGTGTGCGTATGCATGCATGCACACACACATACACTGTTGTTTGAACTCACCCCAAAGAAATGCCACAAAGAATGTCTTATGTGACAAGTATTATTTTAGGCCTTTGAGGAATAAACTAAGCTAGCTTTCAAAAAATTATGGTGGAATATTCCAAAGTTAGAGCATATGCCACATTGAGTTAGCAAAGGAGAATGCAGCTGAATAAAGGGGTTGAAGCAGGCGTTAAGGGGCTGGGTGGGCTAGAAGCCAGACAGAACAGGCCACAGGTGAGCTTCCATTGTATCAAGGGCATGCTGGAGCCAGGCTGGAGGGAGAATGCTCAACTGCTTTATAGATGAGTTTGACTATCAAATCAGGACTTGTGGTGCACACTTAAGAGGAGATGGGAGCAAGGGGAGCCACAGGTGTGCTTCCAGCACTCTGGGTTGGGGCAGAAGCAAAGTGAGAAAGCAAAAAAGTCAGCCGACCTTCAGAGGTATCCATGTCAGTGACCAAGTAAAAGAATAAAGGTTGCCAGACCAGCAGAAACCCCACTGTGTCCATGCCCTCCTCCCCACTGCTAGAACTTTCACCACTAGACTGTAAGGTCTCTGAAGGCAGAGACTTCTGTCTGTTTTGTATGTTTTGGTAGCCCAGGGTCTAAAGATTGAGTAGAAGCACAACAATGGTGTTGAATTAATGATTTAAATGTGCTACAATCCCCAGTGCTCCAGAAACAACTGCAGATATGTCCACTGAAGTCACTTTCAGCTCTAAGCTTCCCAGTGTTCATTCTTGGATTCAATTACTACTTATTAAAATGTTTAGGCCGGGTGCGGTGGCTCACACCTGTAAGCCCAGGACTTTGGGAGGCCGAGACAGGAGGATCACGAGGTCAAGAGATGGAGGCCAACATGGTGAAACCCCGTGTCTACTAAAAATACAAAAATTAGCTGGGCGTGGTGGCGGGCATCTGTAGTCCCAGCTACTCAGGAGGCTGAGGCAGGAGAACCACTTGAACCCGGGAGGCGGAGGTTGCAGTGACCTGATATCACACCATTGCACTCCAGCCTGGCGACAGAGCAAGACTCCATCTCAAAATAAAGAAAGAAAGAAAGAAAGTCAAAGGCTGGCCGCAGTGGCTTATGCCTGTAATCCCAGCACTTTGGGAGGCCAAGGCAGGCGGATCACGAGGTCAAGAGATCGAGACCATCCTGGCCAACATGGTGAAACCCCATCTCTACTAAAAATACAAAAATTAGCTGGGCATGGTGGCATGCGCCTGTAGTCCCAGCTACTCAGGAGGCTGAGGCAGGAGAATCGTTTGAACCCAGGAGGCAGAGGCTGCAGGGAGCTGAGATCACGCCACTGCACTCCAGCCTGGGCAACGGAACAAGACTCCTTCTCAAAAAAAAAAAAAAAAAAAAAAAGTCTACTATGTGCTGGTACAAGACTGGATGCTGAAAATACAGCAGGGATCCAGTTGCACAAGTCTGTTACCACAATACCAGTGACAGGGACAAACTGGTCAAATATCCATGTTGAATTACAGCAAGTTAGAAGTACTATGGAGGCAAAATTTATCTATGGATGCACTAGGGCTGAGGTGGGGAGGCAACACTTTCTACAGGGTCATCAGGAAAGGCAACTCTAGGACTGTGGCATCTGAACTTGGAGTTGCAGGAGGAGAAAGGAGGAGCCAGCCTTCATAAAACTCGGGCCAAGCCCCTCAGGCAGAGGGAACAGCACGTGCAAACGCCCTGAGCTGGAAGAAAACTGACAGATTGAGTAGAAAAGCAGGACTGGTAGTAGTAGGCAAAGGCTAGAGCTGCAGAAGATAAGGCTTGAGAGGGAAGCAGAAGCTGCACTGTGCAGGGCAGTGCAGGCCATGGGAAGGCATCGACTCATCCTAAACACAGTAGGAAACCACACAAAGGCTTCAGCAAAGGAAGAACCTGGTGTGCCTGGCTGATGCTCCTAAGGGAGCTTTCATATTGGTGATTGATATGGTTTGGATCTGTGTCCCCACCAAATCTCGTGTTGAATTGTAATCCCCAGTTTGGAGGTGGGCCTGGAGGGAAGTGACTGGGTCATGGGGGTGGATTTCTCATGAATGGTTTAGAACCACCTCTTTGGTGCTGTGCTCATGATACTGAGTGAGTGCTCGCAAGATCTAGTTGTTTAAAAGTGTGTGGCACCTCCCACCTTGATCTCTTGCTCTTGTCATGAGTGATGTGCCTCTTCCCCCTTCACCTTCTGCCATGACTGTAAGTTTCCTGAGGTCTGCCTAGAAGCCAAGCAGATGCCAGCATCGTGCTTCCTGTAAAGCTTGTGAAATTGTAAGCCAATTAAGCCTCTTGTATATCTTGTATTTCTCTGTAGCAGTGCGACAACATTACGCTAATACAGTGATGGTACCTACCAAGAAAGGGAAGAATGAGGAGTGGGATTGTGGGGAGAGGAATGGACACCGAGAATTTTAATTTTGGCTCTGCTTAGTTTGAGATGCATACGAAACATCCAAGCTGAAATGCTGAGTAGTGAGTAGGCTGTCCATCAACTAGTAAGTTGAAAATATAGAACAGTCAGTTATTTAAAGGTGTCAGAGGGTGGGGGGTGGCAGAAAAAGAGGAAGGATGGGGAGTTGGAGAGGAGGAAAGTTGAGGAAGTCAGTATCACAAATCCACTGTAGCTATACATCTGGAGTGAGGGAGATCCCAATCTCCCGATTCAAATTCAAAAAATAATTTAATTCAGGCTGACAAAAGCTTGAACTTGATTCAAAGCTTCACAGAGCAGAAAAAGGCCCTTTCTACTCTCTTTACTGTTCACTACCACCAAAAAAAAAAAAAAAAAAAACCCACAAAGAAAATTAGAAGAAAAAACCCAACTCCATCTTCTACAAAACCCAAATCAATCTTCCCAAGTTGCAATAAATAAAGATGGAAAGAGGATGGAGGGATGGAGCTTGACAGATGAAGTAAAGTGAGGCCTCTGTTTCTGCACAGGGTACCATGAAAAAACACGCAATTAGCACTGCAGAACCCTGGAAAGGCTTAGTAACTGGGGGCTCCAGGCATCAAGGGTGACAGGAGTGGGATGAGGACCAGTAACGGAGGATTGGATGAAAACACACAGGAAGAGCAGTCAGACCCCTGTGTCCACCCACCCCATATAGTCCAGACATCTGTTCCTTCTCAAACCCTGCAGGAGACTAAATCTTGGGAGAAAATGGACCATTGAGGCTCTGCAGCTGCGTGTACCATGTACAACGAAGGCATGTAAAACTGAGGAGGAGAAATAGAAGTAAAGTGACTAAGTAAAAATCCACACCTGGGATGGTGAAACGCACAGGCTCCACCCCAGCCAGGCTTCTCTCCAGCAGGTGTCTGGAACATCGTCTTCTAACTATAGCTCAAGACCCAAACTGGGTCCACTGCAGACCATTTTTGTATGACTCACAAACTCAGAGTGGTTTTTACCTTTTGAAATAGGAAAAAAGTCAACTATAACATCCTCAAAGACTGGAAATAATAACCAAAAGTGAAAAAGCACATAACTTTAAAATGCAACCAAATAAAAACTCTGAGAAATTTAAAATGCAATGACAAAAAATGTTTTAATGTACTACAGAAAGTAGAAACAAAAAACAAAGAGAAATGGAAGGGGAAGAGGAAAAAGAGAAAAGAGAGAAGGAGAGGGGAGAGGGGAGAGGAGGGGAGGGGAGGGCAGAGGAGAGCAGGGGAGGGCAGAGGAGAGCAGGGGAGGGCAGAAGAGAGGAGGGGAGGGCAGAGGAGAGCAGGGGAGAGCAGAGGAGAGCAGGGGAGAGCAGAGGAGAGCAGGGGAGAGCAGAGGAGAGCAGGGGAGAGCAGAGGAGAGCAGGGGAGAGCAGAGGAGAGCAGGGGAGAGCAGAGGAGAGCAGGGGAGGGCAGAGGAGAGCAGGGGAGGGCAGGGGAAGGGGGAAGGGGAAAGGGCAGGGGAAGGGGGAAAGGGCGGCAGAAGGGGATGGAAGTTGGAGAAGGGGCAGAAGGAGAGGAAAGGAGAGAGGGAGGAGTGAGGAGAGAGGTAGGTAAGGAAAGAAGAAAGGAGGAAAGGAAAGGAAGGAAAGGGGGCAAAAGAAAGAATAAGAAAGGAAAGTAACTTACAGAACAATCCATAGGTCCAATACAAGAGGAAATTCAGGAAAAGAAACTGAAGGTATGGAAACAATCAAAGAAATATACAAGATAATATCCTAGAACTGGAGATGACTCCCCAGGTTGAAAGAACCCAGTAATTCCCCAGCATAAGAAAATACAGACCCATACATGTCATTGCAAAATTTCAGACTAATGGGACAAGGAGAAGATCCTTAAGGCTTCCAGCAAGAAAAAAGAAGGCTCAAAGAAAAGAAGAGGAATAAGAATAACATCAGACATCTCACAGCAACCCTGGAAGCTCAAATATAACACAGCAGTATCTTAAAAACACTGACTAAAAAGAATTCTCAATCTAGAATTCTGAACTGTATCGAAATAACAACAAGGTATGAAAGTACAATAAAGTCAAGTCTAAAATCAGGAAGCTGCTGGAGGTTGTACTCCACCAAAAAATGGAGAGAACAGTTTTTAAATAGTTGTGTGGTTGTTTATCAAAGAGGTTGCCCTGGCCCAGCTCAAATGCCAACCCTTGTTCTATAGTCGAGACAGTATGCTTAATATGCTTAATGCTAGTCATCCATCCCACAGACAGATGTGAGAAAGAAAGTCCCACAGTGACACCATGTAGGGCATGTCACTGCTACAACCTGGAGCAGAGGCAAAGTGCTCCAGGGATAGAGGACGGTGGTGAGGAACAGGAGGGTCAGATCATCCGATGGATCCGGCACATGGAAAACATGCTGAGGAATTGGAGAGAGGGAAGACTCGGTAAACGCTACAAAAGAGCTATGCAAATAAAGAAAAATAAGACAATCACTAACTCTAGGGGAAGGTTGCATATGAAAATTCCAATATGTCTTTGGCTCATTAGCGAACAATATTTACATAGTCATAAAAATATTAAGACTGAATATTAGTTTAGCCAGAAAACTGGGACATAACTCTAGTGGGAGGATGGAGGAGGAACAGAGAAGTGTCACAAAGCTAACAATAACAGTAAGTTGACAAATGTTATTTAAAATACATTCATCTACAGACATCAAGAGACACACATCATCTAGAAACACAGTGGTAAATATCAGAAGAAAATGTTAAAATATTTGAAATTGTTGCCTCTGGAAAGTGAGAAGGCGTGAGGTGTCATACTGTTATGTTTATCAGTATTTGACTTTTTTGTGGTGAAATTCACATAATATAAAATTAACCATTTTAAAGTGACCAATTCAGTGGCATTTACTACAGTCACAATGTTGTAAAACCATCGTCTTTATCTAGTTCCAAAACATTTCATCATCCCCAAAAGGAAACTCTGTACCTATTAAGCAGTTAATTACCCCCCACCTCCTCAACACCCTATATTTGACTTTTTAAAGGATGTGCATATATCAAATAAAACTTTTTTTTTTTTTTTTGAGATACGCACGGTCTCACTTTGTTGCCCAGGCTGGAGTTCAGTGGCACCATCATTGCTCACTGCAGCCTCAACCTCCAAGACTCAGGTGATCCTCCCACCTCAACCTCTCAGGGAGTTGGGACTACAGGTGTAAGCCTGTAAGCCTTTTTTTTTTTTGCATTTTTTAATAGAAATAAGGTTTCGCCATGTTGCCCAGGCTGGTCTTAAATGCCTGTGCTCAAGCGATTTATCCACCTTGGCCTCCCAAAGTGCTGGGATTATAGGCATGTGCCACCAAGCCCAGCCAATATTTCAATTTTTTTAACCACCTTTTGGTACTCAATTGGTGTTCAGTTTTTCACAACTACAGACTGACAAGAAACAACAAAATCTGGATCTTATGATTTGAATGTTTGTCTCCTCCAAAACTCATGCTGACATTTAATTGTCAATGTAATGGTATTGGGATGTGGAGCCTTGAAGAGGTGATTAGAGGGCTTCACTATCATGAGTGGGCTTAATGCCTCAACACAAGAGCTTTTGGGGTTGGGCAGGTCTCTCTCTTGGCTCTTTTGTCCTTCTGCCCTATGAAGAACAGCCATCCTCCCCTCCACAGGATGCAGTATTTGAAATACCATCTTGAGAGCAGAGACCAGGCCATCACCAGACACCAAAACCTGCTGGCACCTTGACATTGGACTTCCCAGCCTCCAGAACTGTGAGCCAACAAGTTTCTGCTCATTATAAATTATCCAGTCTGTGGTATCCTGTTATACCAGCACAAATAGACTAAGACACTGGAAAATGCCAAGTATCAATGGGGACAGAGAAATCTTCCTACACTGCTGATGAATGCTCACACTGGGGCCACTACTGTGAGTGGCAACTGGTATAAGTCAAAGTAAGTACATATGTATAACCTATAACATGTAATCCAGCCATTCTGCTATAGGGCACACATTCCAAAGAAATTCTCACATAGGTTCTCTGATCTCACTACGTCCACAAGCAGAAGGACGCTGTAGGGAAGAGAGTGATGAGAAGGCACACCGACTCTTCACTGCTTTGGCCTGGAGGCAACGCAACACTCGCACTCACATGTCTTCAGTGATAATGAAATCACAAGACCCCACCATGATGCAGACAAGCTAAGAAATGAAGTTTAGCTGTGCCCAGGAAGAAGATAGGAGTTTCCCGTGCATCCAGCCCATCTCTGCTACACCCTGTCCTTGAGGTCAATAAATAATCTATTTCATTCTTTCTTATTACCCCACACCCCAGGCAACACTCTGGCTGGAGTTGCAGCAATTAAACATAGTCCCTTCTCTTTCAGAATCTGAACTCTTCAAAACCATCTCATTGACCAAAAAGACAATCCACGAGCTACCATTGTTTTAAAAATTCTTCATTCAGCCAGCATATATAAATGCAATTTTATATGAGATGAAATCAATAGGTGATATACACAAGCAGTGAATATGAAAATGGGAAGTGTTCAGCATTCATATCTTTTCCTGTTTTTGAAAAGGATAAGAGGAAAGAGAATAAAAATTTCAGAAGGAAAAGACAAAATGATTAACACAGGGAAGAGGGAGTATTAATTCCCCACCAAGGGGGTTAAGATTTAAAAGTAGTAATGAGAGGGGAATATAAAATAATCCATATTTTAAGAACTAACCCAATTCAAACTTATTAGACTGTAAGCCTCATGAGGTCAGGGCTTATTTGCTCTATTAATCATTCTATTCCTGATATATTCAGTAAACACAGGATCAATTAATAAATGAATGGATAGTCAAGGTAGAAGAATAATCTAAAATTGCAGTTAACACAAGGAAAATCTCCAGCAAGCCTTCCATAAACAAGCAATTAACTCCAGTTCAGTACAAGAGGAAACCAGTGAAACACTGTTGTGTCTGCTGCATGCTAATCACATTTCTCCAGCCATGACGGTAGCCTTTTGAAGTTAAGTGACATTTTCCAATTGGAAATGCCAAAAACCCTCCCATTACCCATCTGCAAAAAACATAGACCGTGTTATTAGAAGACAAAAGATGAGCTAATTTTTTCCCCACTTCAGACAACCAGATGCTTTCTCTAAATAGAAAACTCGAGCTGACAACACCCCAGGCTGCTGCCCTCTGCCTTTAACCACCTCTCCTGCTTGCAGGTCCACCACTCACCAACACATTAATCAACTGGAAACATGAGGAGAAACTTCCTTTTTGACCTGATCTAGTTCAAGCAATTAAACTTTTATTTAGCTACTTACAATGATTACTGTATGTGGATCAGCTTAAACACAGGGAAAGGTGATAAGAAGTCAGTTGGGGTCAAGCTCAGTGGCTCACTCCTGTAATCCCAGCACTTTGGGGAGGCCAAGGCGAGTGGATCACCTGAGGTCAGGAGTTCGAGACCAGCCTGACCAACATGGTGAAACACCATCTCTACTAAAAATACAAAATTAGCCAGGCGTGGTGGCACATGTCTATAATCCCAGTTACTCGGGAGGCTGAGGCAGGAGAATCACTTGAACCCGGGAGGCAGGGGTTGCAGTGAGACGAGATCGTGCCATTGCACTCCAGCCTGGGCAACAAGAGCAAAACTCCATCTCAAAAAAAAAAAAAAAAAAAAGAAAGAAATCAGTTGGAAAGGCAAGTCCTCTCCCCATTGTGGAAGACAAAAGGGGCCAGAGGTTCCTTCCAACCAGTAGCCCGAACACAGGTACCTGCCCACACTTAGTTGTTCAGATGCTCTGCCCTGACTTCTGCACCTGGAGAGAAGGCTGCAGAAGACTCAGGGCTTATTAAAGACTGTGATAACTGGGTCAGAGGTCCAGGAGCAATGTGGAGAAGTGTCAGTACGGGACAGGGGTCACTGTGACAGAGGCAGCACCCTTCCAAAGGTTCCCACACATGGACCTGGCTCCGCAGCCATGCCTCCCATAGTGCCTGGGCCCCATTCCAAGCCTCCTTATTGATTCTGTGAGCTATACAATATTCTTGAACAGTTTCCTTTTGGGCTTATGTTAGTCAGTTTCTGTTGTTTGCAAACAAGAGTCCTAGCTGAACCATAGAGTGATAAGGCATTGTGCTCTGCTGGGAATGAAAATACACAAAGGCTTTCACCATCACCCAAGAAAACGCTGAAAAAAATAAGAGAAAGGGAATCCAGAAACCCAGGTTTCCAGGTTTCCAACAACCCTGTTTCCTCCCCTCCCTGGGTGAGCAGCCTTGTCTATGTGCTGAAAGCTCTCTGTGTCTGCATGTCTTCCTCCAGAAAAGAGATCATCACCCAGAAACTGCATGCCTGTTGTAAAAGCTCAAGTTGCATGTCATGCGTCTAGCAGAAAATCTAGACCTGGAAGCACTAAAGTGTTCATCAATCTAGAACCTGACGGACTGGGTTGAAACTCCAGCTCTATCACATGTGAGCTGTATGATTTGGGGGAAAATTATCTAATCTCTATAAGTTTTAGTTTCCTGACTATAAAGAGGTAATAACCACATAGCTAACTCAGAAATTAACTTTAAAAATTAAACTACTTTGCTTGAAGTCCTTCAAACAGATCCTGGCACAGAGTAAACATTCAATAAATACTAGCTGCTATGGTATGATAGAAGGGATAAACAGGTGACACAGCCACGTTACACTGCAACGCTGGAAGACCACACTGCAATGAAAAACAAGCTACTGTTACAACATGGATGAATTTCACAATCGTTATTTGTTTTTGTTTTTTAAGATAAGGTCTTGTTCTGTCACCCAGGCTGGAGCACAGTGGCGTGATCAAGGCTCACTTCAGCCTCCATCTCCCAGGCTCAAGAGATCCTCCCACCTCAGCCTCCCAGGTAGCTGGGACTAGAGGTATGCACTGCCACGCCTGGCTAATTTTTTTGTATCACAGTCATTATTTGGAGTGAAAGATGCCAAATCAAAGAGTCCATTTATACTGAATGAATCCACTTACATGAAGTTCAAAAACAGGCGCAACTAGAGTGACAGCATTAAAACAGTGGTTATCTCTGTCAGGGGTAGAGGTGGAGGTGGTATTTTCTGGAAAGAAGCACCTTCTTGGGGACTGGAAATGTTATCTATCTCAATCTGAGTGTGGGCCATGTGGAAATGCACATATGCAAAATTCCATCCAGCTATACATTTAAGGCGTGTGCATATATGCCTATATATCTGTATACACATGCATATATGAAATACCTCAATAAAAAATAAAAATAAAATGCTTTTCATGTCCCCATGAAAAGAAGGATGATCCTGCTGATAATGGAAAACAAATTTTCCCTTCATGTAAAAAGATAACAATGTCCAATTTGCACTGCTGGAAAAACATGCTTTGTTTTGTCAGGGTTTGGAGGTTGGAGGCTGCTGGTCTATAAGGAAGAGAGAAAGGCAGAAGAGAGAGAGATGACATCACCGACTCCCCTTATGGCCTTGGTATTTGCGTCACCCACAGGAAACTCAGGCAATGAGCATTCCCTGGCCCAAGGACAAGTGCCTAGAGGAGCAGCAACAGAGGGAAGTTCCCCCCAATTCCCTCTTCCGTGAAAGAAAAATAAATCTTGGGACCCCCAAATCACTAAGCTAAAGGGAAAAGTCAAGCTGGGAACTGCTTAGGGCAATCCAGCCTCCCATTCTATTCAAAGTCATCCCTCTGAGGGTCACCTGAGACAAATGTATATCTGATTGCTTCCTCTCCCCTATTGTTTATGTAAAAATACAGATTCACTGAGCCAGACTAAATTGTATATTTAGTGGAAGACTGACAAAGGACTCAGAAGAATGCAACCTTTTGTCTCTTATCTACTCCTAACCTGGAAGCCCCCACTTTGAGTTGTCCCAAATTACTGGACCCAACCAACGTACATCTTACACATATTGATTAATGTCTCATGTCTCTCTAAAACGTATAAAAGCAAACTGTACCCCCAACCACCTTGGGCCCATGTCTCAGGACTTCCAGAGACTGTGTCACAGGCACGTCCTTAACCTTGGCAAAATAAACTTTCTAATTTGACTGAGATCTGTCTCTGATATTTGGGATTCACATATCCAGACAGCTTTAAAACATTAATAAGCAGCAGTTTTGTTACTTTTGTTTGTTTTGAGATGCAGTCTCACTCTGTCACCCAGGCTGGAGTGCAGGAGCAGGATCTTGGCTCACTGCAACCTCCGCCTCCTGGGTTCAAGCAATTCTCCTGTCTCAGCCTCCCCAGTAGCTGGGATTACAGGCCCCCACCACCACACCTGGCTAATTTTTGTATTTTTAGTAGAGACGGGGGTTCGCCACGTTGGCCAGGCTGGTCTCAAACTCCTGACCTCAGGTGATCCGCCTGCCTTGGCCTCCAAAAGTGCTGGGATTACAGGCATGAGCCACCATGCCCAGACAATAAGCAGCAGTTTTAAAATGTAATCTCTAATGAAATGAGATGATGTCTGACATGTACTTCAAAATGATCAGGGGGACAGAAGTGGGGGGATATAGAAAAAAACAAGATTAGCCATGAGTTGGTCATTGTTAAAGGTGGGTGTTGAGGTACTGCCATTGTCCTTTGGTATCCATGGGGGATTGGGCCCAGGACACCCCTTGGATTCCATAATCCACAGATGCTCAAAAGTGCCTGATATAGTGGCCAGGTGCGGCAGCTCACGCCTGTAATCCTAGCACTTTAGGAGGCCGAGGCAGGCGGATCACCTGAGGTCAGGAGCTCGAGACCAGCCTGGCCAACATGGTGAAACGCTGTCTCTACTAAATGTATAAAAATTAGCCAGGCGTGGTGGTGGGCGCCTGTAATCCCAGCTACTCGGGAGGCTGAGGCAGGAGAATTGCTTGAACACAAGAGACAGAGCTTGCAGTGAGCCGACATGGACTGCACTCCAGCCTGGGTGACAGAGTGAGACTCCATCTCAAAAAAAAAAAAAAAAAAAAGGGCCTGATACACTTGTTATGCTATAATTTTATTTGTATTATTTTTAATTGTTGTATTACTATTTGGGGGAGGTGGTTTCTGAGTATTTTTGACCTGAGGTTGGTTGAATCTGTGGATTGGAACCTTCAGACATGGAAAGCCACTGTGCATGGAGAGTCATTGTACTTTTATTCTCTTGATTCATAAATAGGCTTAAATTATTTTTACAATAGGAAGTTTTAAAAATCATCTATGAAATTTATTTTCAAGTGTAAAATTTTCATAAAAACCAAGCAAGTATTCATTGAATTCAAAGCAAGTTTATTTTCGTTTATTTTTTGAGAGAAGGTCTCGCTGGCACCCAAGCTGGAGTGCAGTGGCATGATCTCAGCTCACTGCAGCCGCGGCCTCCCTCTGAACAGGTGACTCTCTCACCTCAGCCTCCCGAGTACCTGGAACTACACGCACATGCCACGACACCTGCTAATTTATTTATTTATTTATTTATTTATTTATTTATTTTTGAGAGAGAGTCTCGCTCTGTCACCCAGGCTGGCGTACAGTGGCGTGATCTCGGCTCACTGCAACCTCTGCCTCCTGGGTTCAAGCCATTCTCCTGCCTCAGCCTCCCAAGTAGCTAGGATTACAGGTGCGTGCCACCATGCCCAGCTAAATTCTCTAATTTTAGTAAAGACGGGGTTTCACCATGTTGGCCAAGCTGGTCTCAAACTCCTGACCTCAAGTAATCCACGCGCCTTGGCCTCCCAAAGTGCTGGGATTACAGGCGTGAGCCACTGCACTCAGCTGGGCTAATTTTTGTACATATATAGTTTTTTTTTTGTTTTTTTTTTTGTAGAGATGAGGTTTTGACATGTTGCCCAGGCTGGTCTCAACCTCCTGTGCTTGAGCAATCCACTCTCCTCAGCCTCCCAAAGTGCTGAGATAACAGGCGTGAGCCACCATGGCTGGCAGTTATTTTTCTTTAAGTCAAGAAAGACAGACAGACAGAAAGGGAAGGAAGGAAGGGAGGGAGGGAGGGAGGGAGGGAGGGAGGGAGGAAGGGGAAGGGGAAGGGAAGGGAAGGGAAGGAGAAGGAGAAGGAGAAGGAGGGGGAAGGGGGAAGGGGAAGGGGAAGGGGAAGAGGAAGGGGAAGGGAAGGGAAGGGAAGGAGAAGGAGAAGGGGGGGAAGGGGGAAGGGGAGAGAGAGGAAAGGAAAGGGAAAGGGAACAGGAAAGGGAAAGAGAAAGGGAAGGAAAAAGAAAATTTGCCACTCCACCTGAAAACCAGTATGTTCTGGAAAGGAGGCCATAGCTGGGCGGACCTGTGGAATAAGTGGTGCACAAAAAAAATGAGAATGCCCTGCCCTAAGTTAGATCTGTGAGTAACAAACAGTAACCATGGACTTCGGGTTAAACCCTTTGCTGAGGAGAACTCTACATCCTCAGTACCTCTCAGTACCTCATTAAAGGCAAATGAAATTTCCCTGTGCATTCCGCTGGCTATTTAAAAAAAAATGACAATACTTAAGAATCTCTGAGGATATGCCACATCTACAAAAGGGCATTCAGAAAGCCTGGAGCAGCTGGCATGAAAGGAATTACATAAGCTATTGGCTTGGTCATCGAGATCCTCCAGGAAAAACTCTTTTCCTATCAGGAACTCCCACTACACAAAGGAAGAGCAGACTGTCTCTCTTGAAGCAATTTTATTTCTCTCTCATTCAAACAATTATTAAGTGCTTGTGTGCTGCAGATACAAAGTCAATAAAACCTGGTCCCCGAGTGTCATCAGGGAGAGGGAGGAACCAACAGGAAACTCCAAGGTGTCTGGCGCACAGAGGAGCACTAACCCAGCCCAGGTAGAGATGGGAGAGGCAGTAAGAAGGTTTCTCATTTGAGCTTTGCAGGATCCACTGGACAAGCCAATGGGTGGGACAGGAAGAGGGATGGATGATGACAAGCAAAGAATGAGATGCCACAGAAATCTGTTGCATTCCAGCCAGCACAGTGGCCCTAGAATGAATTTTCTGTGCAGTGGGCCAGACTTCTTGATACAGCCCACCATGTAGAATGGAAACATCAAGTACAGCTGACCTGGTCCCCCCTCCCTTGCTCATCTGGGCCGGGCATCCCTTAGTCCGCAACAGTGCCTTTTCCTCACGTGTCCTGCTCTCAGAGTTCAAGGCAACATGGCAGGCTGAGCAGAGCTGTCACTGCTGGTTTGGCCCCGTTTCTCCACAGAGAGACAAGAAGGACCAAAGGAAGCTCTGTCCTGTTCTATTCCTCTATGTTGTCCATTGAATACGTGGTGACCCAGCCCTGAGCACCAAGGTCCTTCCCTCTCTATTCTAGCATTTCCAACCAGCCCCGACCACATGTGAGGTGGCCAAGCCACCACCCCATCTGTCCCATTCCATCCCTCCATGTTCTCCATTGAATACGTTGTGACCCAGCCCTGAGCACCAGAGTCCTTCCCCCTCCATCCCAGCATTTCCCATCCAGCCCCGACCACGTGTGAGGTGGGCCATGGCCTCATATAGTTTTGACATCTGTACATATTCAACGTACCCCTAATGAACACATTCCTTCCAAAGAGACCCTTTCGCCCACCCTAAGCCCAACAAGAAACAACTAATTAGACGAATCAGGACTTACTCAAAAACGTCGTGTATATACCCTAAATAAAGAGAAAAGCTGCTTTCTTATTTCATGACCTATGTTTCCTTTGCTTACCTTTTATTTTTATCCTAGCAAACACAGCCTACCACCAAACAGGTTTTTTCAGTCCAAATATCTGCCAAGAACAATGACTGTCAAGCTTTTTCTTTTCCCCAGAACACCACCTGAAAGATATGATACCTTCCCACCCCAAATAGAGGCTTATCATAGTAGAGATTCTCAAGGATGGCACCTCAAGAATGACCCCACCCCTCCAAAATGGTGATTAGATTAGAAGAGGATGTCTCAACACCACCACTGACATACGTGTGTGTGTATATATATATATATATATATATATATATATATATATATTTCGTTGTTGTTGTTGTTTTCTTTTGTTTTTTTTTTTTTTTTTTTTTTTTAAAGACGGAGTCTCACTCTGTTATCCAGGCTGGAGTGCAGTGCGTGATCTCGGCTCACTGCAACCTCTACCTCCAGGGTTCAAGCAATTCTCCTGCCTCAGCCTCCCAAGTAGCTGGGATTACCGGCGTGTGCCACCACACCAGGCTAATTTTTGTATCTTTAGTAGAGATGAGGTTTCACCACATTGGCCAGGCTGGTCGGAAACTCCTGACCTCAAGTGATCCACCTGCCTTGGCTTCCCAAAGTGCTGGGATTATAGGCATGAGCCACCGTGCCCGGGCACCACTGATATTTTGGGTGTCATCTGTAATTCCTCATTGTGGGGGTGTCCTGTATCTTGTAAGATGCTGAACAGCATCCCTGGCTTCTACACATTGGCTATCAGTAGCACCCCACTCCCTAGTTCTAACAATCAAAACTGTCTCCAGATTACCAAATGTCTTCTGGGGGCTAAAATCAGCCCCAAATGAGATCCATAGGAGGAAACCTTCCTCCCTATCCTTCTTGAGAACCAATGCCCTAAAGTTAGCAAAAGTGGGAAGATGGACTGATGAATACAACAGAGTGAGTGTAGCAAAAAGCATTCTAGACCCTTCTGAATCGTGTCTCAAAAGAAGCTTCTTTGCTGTACTTCTTGGAATCCTACTTGATGGCTGGAATTCTACACTTGACACCTCTGCCTCAAATCCTGTAGGGCTGTGATTCTCAACCCTGGCTGCTCCTGACAGTCACATGGAGAAGGTTTTAAAATGATACAATGCTCCAGAGGATTCTGGAGTAAATCAAACTTCGGAGTAAATCATAATTGCCAGGGTAAAACTGCTTTTGCAAAATGTATAACATTGAGAAAATTGTAGCAGTGGGGAGGATCTGATCTGGCTAACCCTCATCTTCCCGTTAACCTTCAAACTGCCCTTAACTGTTTCTGGGCTTAGGCAAAGCTAACTTTGGGAGACATTTAGTTTACAGTATAAATGATAACAGCCCTTCCCCAAAACTCAACCCTTTGTAAAGCTAATGAGAGGCTACCAGGCTAGGCAGATGGACGAGCCTGAATTCTGCTAAGGTGTAGACATAATCAATTGGCAGCCATTATTCCGGAAGTCACAAGATATGCAACTTACCCATTACTACTGCAGGTAACATCACTGTGGTAGATCCTAAGATTGGCCTTTTGAGGTATCTTTTCAAGTTTTGTTGCAAATCTGACTACTGATGGCCTCCACCTGGACCTGCCAACTGCTCCTGAGTGGCCCAACCCAGAAGCAACTCAGCGCACCAGAGGACCATTACCCACACCCGTATGACTGCACCCCCACAAATCAGCAGCAAGCACCCATTGCCTGCCACCCCCACCTTTCCCCAACCAACCTTTGAAAAAACCCTTGCCCCCAAATTCTCTGGGAGGCTGATTTGAGCAATAATAAACCTCCAGTCTTCCATTTAGTCAGCACTATGTGTATAAAACTCTCTCTCTTGCAATTCCCCTGCCTTGATCAATCGGCCCCATTTGGGCAGTGGGCAAGAAGAACCCATTGGGTGGTTTATAAGGGGACTTTATTAAAACACACGGACCTGGGTGGAAGCGTGGCCTAGGAATCCTCATTTTAAGCAAGTACTCAGGTGATTCTAAGGCAAGCGGCCCTGCAACCACACTCTGAGAAACACTGACCTGCAGGATAACTGAATTCTAACAACAGCGCTTCTCAAACTTTAGTGTGCAGTCAAATCATCTAGAGATCCTGTTAAAATGCAGACTCTGATGCAGCAAGTCTGGGTGGGGTCTGAGACTGCATTTCTAACAAGCTGCTGGTCTGAGACCACACTGAGCAACAAGGTTCTAGGACTCAAGTCACTGCCAGCAATCAGGGTGATTCCCAAGTGCTGACGGGACACATCTGTAACAGCTCACCCATGAAAATATCCAGAGGCCTTCGATATTATTGTTGTTTGGTGTGGTAGAAAGAATATTAGCCAGGAATGTCAGACTTCTCACGTGGCCCCTGCACTTCTCCAGTTTCATTCCTTTAAAACATCTCCCCCATGAATACTTCACTCCAGCCATTCCAAATTCACAACAGGTCTCACAAATGTAAACCATGCAGCACTCTTCTGTGCCTTTCCCAAGTTTTTCCTTCCCTCTGCCAGAAACTTGTGAAAGAAAATAAAAACTCGGACCCCAATTTATTATGCCAAAAAGGAAAAAAATTAACCTGAAAGCTGAGTCATGCAAGAGCCTTTCCTCCTATTCCTAAGCAGATAGCTACAGATAAAAGGTTAAATATCTCCACAGGTAGCTACTCTATGTTCACTTTATCTTATGTAAAGTGCATGAGGCTGAGCATGAGACGAATACATAATTAACATTCCGCTACCTGCTCCTTTTCCCTTGCAACATGTGTTTTACCATACCCTCCCTGCCTCCCCTCCAGCACACTCTTGCCCTTTACATACCAAAGTCCTCAAAATCATCTCTGGAGAAAGGCAAGGACCACAGACTATTTCTGTGATTCTGTGTTTGTTTCTTTTTTTTCCTTCCAGGCATCACCTTAACCTTGGTAAAATAAACTTTCACACTGATTGAGACCTGCCTCAGATACCTTTTGGTTTACAAATTGTATTCCCATGTTACCAGCAGCATCAGTGCCATTTTCTACCTGGGACACCCTTCATCTATCCTGCTGTAAGCTCACCCTCAAAGTTCCACTGCCAAAGGAAGACTTTTTTGTCCTCCATCCTACTCCACCCTACCACACAGGGTTCGTCACTGCCTCCTCCAGAATCCCAAACACTACCTTCATTCTAGTACTGCCCTAGAATTTGTCTGTGCAATGGGTATGGTGACCATTAAGAACCTGTATGACATAATCAGAAAACATATTTGTCTTCCACTGTTGTTTTAAAATTTATTCAGTGGGGAAGGCTCTTTCCCCTGCTCCTGGATTTGGGAAAAGAAAAAGTTGATCAAGCCTCTGGAAACTGTTGCAAATGGTAATGATCCAATTAAAATAATTTAGACCCACCTGACAGCCAAAGCTAAGATTTTTCCTCCCCACGATCCCTTCTCTCTTTCCTGTCTGATGTCGGCCCCACTCCCTGTTGCCTACTTCACTTTCTGATTTCACCTTGGAGGAGGCAGAGGATGTGGAGAGAGGAGAACAACCAGAAGACCAGGAAAGGCCAGTGGAATCACGCCAGCTTCACACTCTAGGCCTCAGCGATAGATGCTGAAAGCTGGGCACTCATGGTCATTTTTTCTTACATATTTGTTTGGAGACAACTGCAAATTTACAGAAGTTGCAAGAGAAATGGTACATGGACCACTCTATACCGAGTCACCTTTTGCTAACCTTTTACACAGCTGCTTGATCATTCATATTCTTTCTGCATGTATAATACATACATACAAAATAACTTCCTGAACCATTTTAGAGTTAGTCACATATATCATGCCCGTATTTCAGTGTCCATTTGCTAAAAATAGGACAATTCTCTGATATGACCCCAGCACTACTATCAACTTCAGCAAATCTAATACTGATCCTATGCTTTTATCTTATCTATGGTTCACATTCCCATTTTGTCATTTGACCAGACAATGTCCTTTCTGACACTTTCTACCCTCCAATCAGTATCTGGCTTAGGATCAGGTACTGCAGTCAGTTGCCATGTTTTTTATAGCTGTTCTCTGTCTTTCATGACCAGGACATTTTAAAATAATATGTGGTCCCCCATTTAAAAAACTATAGGGCCGGGCAGGGTGGCTCAGGCCTGTAATCCCAGAACTTTGGGAGGCCGAGGTGGAGTTCTAGACAGCCTGGCCAACATAGTGAAACCCCATCTTTACTAAAAATGTAAAACATTAGCTAGGCATGGTGGCGTGTGCCTCTAATCCCAGCTACCAGGGAGGCTGAGACAGGAGAATTGCTTGAGCCTGGGAGGCGGAGGTTGCAGTGAGCCAAGATTGTGTCACCGCACTTCAGCCTAGGCGACAGAACAAGACTCCATCCCCCCCACCCAAAAAAAAATAGCATGCTACTCATTTGGGGCTTGTCTGATGTCTTCTCATGGTTAGATTCCAGCTGGAACACTCCATGCAGGGGTTGTGTCCTACCCCGGGCATCATATCTGAGGACTCACGATGCTGTCCATCTGTTCTTGCTGGCATTTCCATAGGCATTTTGGACATAAGCCTGCCATTGCTAGAGGCCTCTCTCTGCATTCCCTCTTCAGGGGGAAAGATCTCTATTCTGGTAGTCACAGGTCCTCCCCAACTACTGCAGATCCTAAGCTCCACCCCTAGGTTCTCTTCTGCGCAGGGCCCCTTCCCAGCTAAGATGACCCCACACCAGTTCATTCACACACGGCCCATGCGTGTCCATGAAAGAGTCATGAATTCCTTTCTCAGGCAAACTGATGCCAAATTAGCTGAAATGCTCCTTTACATTGCTTGTCATTGCAGCCAGATAGCTCATCTCCTCGCTGATCCCACATCAGAATTGAACACCCCATCCCTCCCTAAGCAAAGGAGACACATAGACAGTTCTCCAAGTAATACAGTTGTAACTTTTTCAGCTAACACCTTTATAAATACCTTGACCCATCCTCAGGAATGGGACATGCTTTACATCTTGGTGCCTCAGCAGAGACTCCTGACTTCCATCCTGCCTACCTGACCTCCCTTCCACCTCCACAACTCCACGAAAGCCCACAAGCATAGGTCCAGCATCTTACTCATCACTGTGTTCCAAAGAGCCTTGCCAGCACAGAAGTCTTCCATAACCTCTGTTAAATGTATGTGCCTCTCACCTAAAACATATCCTCAGACACATCTGAAAACTCACCCAATGTACAGCCCTTCTCAAAGGAAGACTTACAGATGGTCAACCAACACAGGAAAAAACGCTCAACATCACTAATCACTGAAGAAATGCAAATCAAAACTACAATGAGATACCATCTCCATCTCACATCAGTCAGAATAGCTATTAAAAAATTTAAAAAGAAGACAGATGTTAGAGAGGTTGCAGAGAAAAGGAAACACTTATACACTATTGGTAGAAATGTAAATTAGTTCAGCAGTTTGGAGATTTCTCAAAGAACTTAAAACAGAACTATCACTCAACCCAGCAATGCCATTACTGCGTATTACCCAAAGGAAAACAAATCGTTCTACCAAAAAGACACACGCACTCGTACGTTCATCACAGTGCTGTTCACAATAGCAAAGACATGGAATTGACCCAGGTGCCCTGTCAACAGTGGACTGGTGAAAGAAAATGTGGTACATCACACCTGTAATCCCAGCACTTTTGGAGGCCAAGGCGGGTGGAACACGAGGTCAGGAAATCAAGACCATCCTGTCCAACAGGGTGAAACCCTGTCTCTACTAAAAACACAAAAATTAGCTAGGTGTGGTGGCGCGCCCCTGTAGTCCCAGCTACTCAGGAGGCTGAGGCAGGAGAATTGCTTGAACCCAGGAGGTGGAGGTTGCAGTGAGCCGAGATTGCACCACTGCACTCCAGCCTGGGTGACAGAAGGAGACTCTGTCTCAAAAACAAAAACAAAACCAAAAATAAAAAAGAAAAGAAAAGAAAATGTGGTACATATGGACCAGGGAGTGAGGGCTGAAAAACTACCTATTGGGTGCTATGCTCACAACCTGGGTGATCATTCATACCCCAAACCTCAGCATCATGCAATATACTCATGTAATAAACCTGCACATGTGCCTCATGAATCTAAAATAAAAGTTGAAATTTTAAAAATAAAGAAATAATTTTAAAAATTATAGCTGACTGTAAAAAAAACAAAATAAAAAATGCCTGTCATCTAAAAAGCAAGTCTTGCCTTATTTCCTTCCCCTTTATCACTTTTTTCACTTGTTTTGTAGTCAAAAGTGGATGTTTTATTATTTTATTTGATGCCTGTTGTTTCATCTGCATATATTTTGTTACCAGTAAGCTTGAACATTTTTTACATGTAGTCATTTTTATTGAGATATTGTTCACATCCAACAAAATTCAGAGTACAACTCAGCAGTTTTTAGAAAATCCACAGATTGGTACCACCACCACTATCGAATTCCAGAACATTTGCATTATCCCCCACAAAAACATCCTATACCCATTAATAGTCACTCCCCATTCTCCCCTTCTCTCAAGAGCCCAGTTATCTAGTGTCTGTCTCTATGAATTCTCGGTATTTTACATAAATAGAATCACAAAATAGGTAGCCTTTTTGTGACAGGCTTCTTTCACTTAGCACGAGGTTTGCAAGGTTCATGCATGTTGTAGCAGGTACTGGCACTTCATTCCTTTTTATGACTGAATAATATTCCACTGTGTGTCTACAACCCTTTTTAAAATCCACTTATTAGCTGATGGACATTTGAGTTGTTTCTACTTTTTAGCTACGATGAATAATGTTGCTATAAATGTTTATGTACAAGTTTTTTTTTTTTTTTTTTTTTCTGAGAGGGTCTCACTCCCATTACCCAGGCTAGAGTGCAATGGTGCAATGTCAGCTCACTGCAGCCTTGACCTCCTAGGCCCGGGTCATTCTCCCACCTCAGTCTCCTGAATAGCTGGGACTACAGGTGCACACCACCATGCCTGGCTAATTTTTTGTTGTTGTTGTTGTTAGCAGAGACAGGGTTTTGCCATGTTGCCTAGGCTAGTCTCAAACTCCTGGGCCCAAGCAATCCACCCACCTTGGCCTCCCAAAGTGCTGAAATTGTAGGTGTAAATAGGTGCACCTGGCTCGTGTACAAGTTTTTATGTAGACGTATGTTTTCAATTCATTTGGGTATATCCCTAAGGAGTGAAACTGCTGAATCATATAGTAACTCTATGTTTAACCTTTTGAGGAATTGCCTAACTTTTACAAAGTGGTTGTGTCATTTTCAATCCTGCCAGCAATGTGTGAGAGTTGCCATTTCTCCACATTCTCACCACTGCTTATTATTGTACATCTTTTTTACTCTAGCCATCCTAGGGATTTCTCACTGTGATTTTGATTTGCATTTCCCTAATGACTAATGCTACTGAACATTTCTGCATGTGCTTATTAGCCATTTATATGTTTTCTTTGGAGAAACGTCTATTCAAATCTTTTTCCTATTTTTAAATTGGGCTATTTGTCTTTTACTATTGAGCTGTGAGAAGTCTTTATATACTCTATATACTGGTCCCATATCATAAAAAAAATTGAAAGTATTGTCTACTTTTCTATGAGTTGTCTCTTCACTAGACAGTATCCTTTGAAGCAGGAAAGGTTTTAATTTTGACGAAGTGCAATTTATCTAATTTTCTTTTATTGCTTATGCTGTTGGTGTCATATTAAGAACCTGTCACCCAATTCAGGACCATGAAGATTTACACCTATGTTTTCTTCTAGGAGGTGTATAGTTTTAGCTCTTATATTTAGAGCTTTGATTCATTTTGAGTTAACTTTTGCATACAGTGTGAGGTAGGTGTTCAACACTTTTTTTTTTTTTTTTGAGACAGGGTCTCACTCCATTGCCCAGGCTACAGTGCAGTGCAGCCTCGACCTCCTGGGCTCAGGTGATCCTCCCACCTCAGCCTCCCGAGTAGCTGGGACTACAGGTGTATGCAACCATGCCTGGCTAATTTTTGTATTTTTTGCACACATAGGGTTTCACCATGTTGCCCAGGCTGGGTTCGAACTCCTGGGCTCAAGTGATTCTCCCACCTTGGCCTCCCAAAGTACTGGGATTACAGGCAGGAGCCAATGAGCCTGGCTCAACTTTACTTTTTTGCATGTGGAAATCCAGTTGCCCCAGTGCCAAAAAAAAAAAAAAAAAGAATATTTTTCCCCATTTAATTGTTCTGATATCTATGTTGAAAAATCAATTGACCATAAATTATGGGTTTCCTTCCCCTTTACATCTAACAGGTGATTCATGTCTACCAAACCCTCTCCACAGCCCACCACCACTAACAAAAGAAGAACAGAATTCCTCAATTAGTTACTCAGAAAATATTTACTTTCTGAAAAGAATTAATTTACTCCAGGAAGAAATGCAACTTAACAATGAATGAATATCTCTGAACAACACAAAAATCATGGTGTGCTGTCATGAGTTGTCCCCACACAATCAACAAATTAAATAGTGCTCATATTTTTATTTCTCCATTCCTGCATTGTCTGATGGCTACTGACATTCTGTGGGAGTCGCCCTTGTTGGGGGTGGGGAGTGAATCAATTTTAGAGCGACAGGAAATTAGCTCATGTGACCCAATCCTGACCTCCCAAGGAATATGTCTACCATCAACTTCACATTCCCAAAATGCCACCCTTCACACCATAATCCCCACATTACAGTTACTAAACAGTCCACGGACTATCATTTTACGTAGAAGACACAAACATTCACATATATTTGACAAATGCCAGGAAAATGTTCTCAATTTAGAGGCGAAAAATTAAAGCTATTTAAATTCTTCTCAAAACAGACACAGACACACACACAAACACGCACACACACACACACAAAACAGGAAGGTCCGTAGAGATGGTACCCTTTCCGAGCTCCAGCCTGTGGGCCCTCAAAGAGCCCATCCACAGTATCCCCAGCAAGACCACCCACAACAAAACCTGGGGCTCGGAATCTCCTTAGAATCACAGAATCAATACACGACCACAGAAATCCTCAACACCAGTTCTAATTCACAAGGGAACTTGAGGGATGTGTAGAATGAATGGCTGTGGGTACCAGAAACTGGGGGCCAGCATGTCCAAAAATCTGCCTTGAGTGGAAACTGTGGTATGCAATGAAACAATGCCACAGAGGTAAAATTTTTAAAAAAGACAAAAAGACTAAATAAACTATTGATGCATACAACACAAATGTATTGTAACATACTTATGCTATGTGAAAGAGCTCGGGCAAAAGAGAAGACTTGCTGTACAATTCCATTTGTACATACAATGCTAGGAAATGCAAATAACAGCGATAAAGCACATCAGGCTTCCTGGGGGCATGTACCAGTGTAGGAAGGAGGGAGTAGGGACAACCAATGGGCAGGAGGAGACTTCTGGGAGAGACTAAGATCTTCATTATCCTGTGGTGAGTTTCACGGTTTCATACATACGTCAAAACTGACAACTATATCCAACACCCTACATATTGGCACTCCAACCTGACACTGTCCACTCCAAGACTGATCCAGTGGAGAGTATATCACACATGTGCCTCCTGCTGGTATCAGGGAAGTCAAGTCCAACACACTGCAGAACTCAGCTGCAAAAACAGCAGCCACTGTCGGAGTAGGGGAAGGCTTGCTGCAACCAAGGTCCTTCATTCAACCATTTTCACGTTTAGAGTTCACTGCTTCTCTTGTTCCCAGTTTTCATCAATCAAGTACAGCATCACAAACCCAACTGCCTACAGCCATCACTCAAGAACTGTAAGGTGAGGACCAAAGGAAGTAGGATGTTGGCAAGACTGTAAAAGTCCTTCTCCCCTCAAAAGAAGAAAGCTTTACTTAGTTTCTGACACTTGTTGTCATCTGGCAATGCTAATCCACTGTGGCTAGATTTTCTGCATTTTCCCCCAAAAGCCAGAAATTTGTTTTTTATGTAAAATCTCCCAAACTGTAAGGGTAAACCAATTAACTCAGATTTTAAAACACTGTGCAAGTTAAACAAAAAACAAGCGTGAGCAGGAGTCAGCCTATGAGCTGCTGATTTGCAGCTACAGAGAGTGAAGGCCATGAACACAGGCTCTGTGGTTACTAGCTCTGTGACCGCAGGCAACATATTCAACCTCTCTGAGATCCCATATCCATATCAGCAAACCGGGACTAACAATAAAGGATCCCCATCTGAGGACTGTAGTAAAAATGAAATATTTTACCCATAGGAAACCCTCAGTAAGTATTCTCAATATTAGTCTCCAAGTGAGAACATTTCAATAGGTTTTTCCCAAAATTAGGTGATAGCCAGAAAAGATGAAAAAAAAAAAAAAGCTCATCAGTAATGATCCTGTGCACTATAGACCACACCTAGAATATGACCTTTAGTTCTGGAAGCCACACTGTACAAAAGAGGAAAAATAGTGGATATGGCCACTGTGAGAGGTACCGGGACACCCAGTGGGTTTGACGATGTTCTCAGAGTAAAGTGAGATTCAGAGAAGTTCAGGAAATGACATAAAATTGCACCTGAATTGAAACACTCTGATTTAGAGCCCAAATTTTTAGGTATAATTTTGGAAAACTACATTGGGACAAAGTTGGGACAATTTCTTTATTGCAAGACTTCACAGAGCCTTTAATATATAACTCAGCCACTTATGAACATCTTAAAGGCAGAAGTGATAACCATATTTCCTAAAACTTTTCTGCATTTTTTTTAAGACAGGGTCTAGCTCCATCTCCCAGGCTGAAGTGCAGTGGTGTGATCATGGCTCACTGCAACCTCAACCTCCCGAGCTCAAGCAATCCTCCTGTCTCGGCCCCACCGAGTAGCTGGGATCACAGGCACCCACCACCACACCCAGCTAATTTTTGTATTTTTTTGTAGAGACGGGGTCTCACTGCATTGCCCAGGCTGGTCTCAAACTTCTGGGCTCAACTGATTCACCCACTTCATTCTCCCAAAGTGCTGAGATTATAGGCGTGAGCCACTGCACCCAGCCTGCCTTTATTTTTTAATTCTCTGTTCAAACAAGGGTCTCCCCTAAGTGAGGAGAGGACCTCCTTGCTACACTCAAGTATCACACATCCTGGTTAAAGAGATTACTACCATATGACATGCACAGAAGCCAATGACAGGTCACAGAGGAGGATTTGCTTCCTTTCAACCAGGGGAGAGGGGAAGGATGGTACAAATTTTAACTGAGAGGAAGCACTAAAGTTCTAGCCATGCAAGGCCCCATAGACCCTGCATAGGTGCTAAAGGCCCATGCCATGTGCCAACCAATAAGACGCAGGAAACGGAAGACTCAGCAGGCACTCAGTCACAGAATCACACCGCAGGAAAGCTGAAGGATGGTTTATCAACCTAGCTCTCTGAATCTGAGTCTTCTAATACTATCTGCCTCCTAGTACATGGGATTGGTCTCCACAGATGTTTGCAAAACCAAGTTCAGGCATGAACACTAGTGAGAAGGCCACTGTGACTCTGTATACTTTAAACTCTGGCCAGACAGCCAGGAATGGTCTGCCAAGCTAGGAGGTTACCTGCAATGAACAATGGCTAAATAGGATCACATATCACACCAGGTTGCAGTTTCCAGATCAAAGTTAACCTGGACTTTACCTCTAGCCAAACCGGGTCACTGACCACTTCCAAAACACAGCTTGCTTTCTCTCTCATTTCTACAATTTGATGCACACTCCCTGGTGCCTAGAATGTGCCCCCTTGCCTCATCTCTTTCACAGAGGAGCCCAAATGCCCCTTTCCCTCGGTGATGCCAGCCAGAAGTCATCTCTCCAACTTGGGAAATTCCAACACCCTTTTGTCTTCCCTCTCTTAGGATACTTCTATACGGCCTCGGATTACTGTGTCATTTCCTTACCACACTACAGTCTCCGTGGGGGCTCAAATGACGTCTTCATCATCTACATACACCCAAATCCCCATAAAACCTTACTTGCTGTTCTGCACATCTGGATATATTTACTGGACTAATAGTAGCTTCATTTAAAAAACATTACCTTAAGCAAAATTTGCCAGCTGGTTGACTTCAAGCCAAATCCAGCTCACAGACAACATTCTATCTGGCCTACACAATGTTTTAAACAGGCTGGTATTAATTGCCACTATTTTTAAAAGAGGGCAATTTCACATTCAAATCCACCTCCACATCTTTTCCTTAAAAAACAAACAAAACAAATGAACCAGGATTTGGCACCACGGGGCTCATATTTCTGCATGGCAGCAAGAAGCTGGAGGCGAATAAGAAGACCCCTTCAGACAGGCCACATAGTTCCTTTTCTCACGCAGTCCTCTCTGAGCAAATGTACTCACTCAATGCTCTACAATCCTAACTCTCTTTTGCTGAACATACAGTAAGCGGCAAACCCCTGGTAACATATCAACACACTAAAACTATCAGCCTCTAAAAGGTGACGTACTTTTACTGACCCAGAGAAACAATATAAAGTCAACTTGTTTCCATGTGAATTACAACCAGATTCCTATTCCCCCAGGGAGTGACATCTGGCTTGCCCTATATAATGAGCATGGAGGAGTTGGGGTTTAAACACTGCCAGGGTATACAAATGAAAGGTGACTGTGGGAAGACCAGCAGCTAACGAGCAGCTCTGATCACAAGAGGCTAAGATTTCAGGGAGGAAAGACAGTTCCATCTACCAGAATTAAAAGGATTCTAGCAGAGGCAGTCATATAACCCATATGACCTCAAACCAAAAAGGTGACACTTTATACCTTTATTACAATAACAACCTGGTTCAGATAACTAAAAACCCATCTGTGACCACCAGTTGCTAAGCCTTTTGAAACACAAATAAACCCCATGTTCCAACCGTGCTAGCTTTAAATAAGTGATTAGTAAAGCAACAAACACCATTGTATATAGTGAACAGACTATTACTTCACTCAGCTAATAAGTCTGCGATTTGGAACCAAAGATGATAAATACAGAGTAGACATAAACATTTTTAAAAACTAATACTTTAAAAGCAGGAAAGAAAAACTCATGGAAAGAGTTTATCTTATGGTAAAAAGCCTTGGCTTTTTACCATAAAGTCAGACCGTTTACAATAAACTCTAAGGAACTTTTGCTTAATTCTTGGCTCATCAGGAAATTTCGCTGTAGAAACTTACCTGAAGTATAGATACATAGATAGCAACTTAAGCTCGGTGAAATGCAGAGCTTTCCAAAGTGCAGAGAAGTTTTGAGAAGAGCATTTGTCTGTAATTTGGACGTGTCACAATTCTGTAACCGCTGCTGGTATTCACAGCAAACGCCCCCACCCCCTGCAATAAATCAGGGGATCTGATTTCATTTCTGGTATCACCTTCATCAGTTGAGTGGTTGTGGGAGTGGCAGGGCAGGCTGCACTTAGGCCAGTTTCAAAGAAAAACATACAGTCACCATAGTTCTTCATCTACGACATGAGAGCCATACCTGACCTTTCTGATTTCTTAAGAACATTCCGCCACTGCCATGCTACCACAATGCTCTCAAAGGTCATCAGTGACCTAAATGCTAAAGTCAACTGACTTCTCAGACCTCATCCTCTCCAGTCTTGGTGCCATGCGACCTTCTTCATCACCTCCCCTCAAAGCATCCACCTCCCTGCAACCCCCAGCTCCTACTCTTGGCCTTGCTGTCCTTGTAGGCCTGTTCACTCTCTGCTCTTAAAAACATCTCTAAGCCGACACCCCAGCTCCTCATACATAAAATGGCCAAAATTAACTATAATATATACCAGGTCTTATGCTGAGTCTAAGAGTTTTGATATAGTTTGGATCTGCACCTCCACCCAAATCTCATGTGGAATTGTAATTCCCAGTGTTGGAGGTGAGACCTGGTGGAAAGTGATTGGATCACAGGGGTGGATCCTTCATGAATGGCTTCGCACCATCACCTTAGTGCCGTTATTGTGACAGTGAGTTCTCACGAGATCTGGCTGTTTAAAAGTGTGTGGCACCTCACCACTCTCTCTCTCGCTCCCACTCTGGCCATGTAAGATGAGTCTGCACTCCCTTTGCCTTCCACCATGACAAAGTTTCCTGAAGCCTCCCCAGAAGCCGAGCAGATGCCAGCATCATGCTTCCTATATGTCTGCAGAACCATGAGCTAATTAAACCTCTTTTCTAATAAACTACCCAGTCTCAGGTATTTCTTTATAGCAATGCAAAAACAGACTAATACACGTTTCATTATGATACTTGACTCAGCAAATTCCCATGCCAACCTTTTGAGCTATTTTCACCAACCTTATTTTTCAGAAGGGAAAAGTGAGGCTTAGTAATTGGCCCAAGTCATACATCAGGCAAACATGAGCACAAAGGAAGGGTTTGAAAACCAGGTCTAAATCCAGAACCTATACCCTTAACCACTTTGCTATACTTCCCCCTCCTCATCCAGGGTGATACGATCTACACTCTCAATTTCAGTTTTAACTTTTGTGGCAGAGACTGCTGCATACTCAGTACTCATTCCACCTTTCTTCCTTACCAATCGACCACTTTATTATAGGAGATGACAACGGGCCCAGATTAAAACACTCCTGCCACACATTTCCCGGTCTCACTTGCAGATATCCATGACTGAGACGGCCATGGTGGGGGTGGGAGGTGGAGGGCTGGGTTGGCCAAGGGTTTTAAAGGAGGCTCCCTCAATGGGTAGGTGCATCCTTTTGCCCTTTACTCTCTTCTGCTTCCTGGAATGTGAACACAATGGCTGAAGCTAGCGTAGCCATCTTACGATAAAGAGACAACCTAAGAATAGGCACACACTAAGAATGGGAGAGTAGAGACAAGGGATTTGGCTCTCATCGATCACGCAGCTGCCACACCAGACCTGGATTTGATTTACCTAAGATAAAAACGAATCTTTATCTTGGGTTGGTTCAGGGGACCCTGGAACAAGTGATTCACATACAAGTGATTTATTAAGGAAGTGCTCCCAGGATAAACCTGTAAGGAGGTAAAGGAAGCAAGACAGGGAAGGGGGAAAAGCCCATCACGATGGGATTTTAGGCAAAGTTCTAAGGAGGATGACTTCAGCCCGATTGCGTGAGGAACTCTGGAATACAAATCATGCCTCCTATTATCCTGACCTAAAACTGGGTTACTGAAGCTTTGGTTCTTCTGTACCAGTGAGTCCCTGGTGAAGGTGGGAAAGGATGGAGACTCCTTCAACTTCTCTCTCTCACTTGTATCTCCCCAAGCCAATGAACAAGCCCGAAGTCTACCTTCTACCTATGGCCACCTCCACCATTCTTGCTGCCTCTGCCACAGGTTCAAGCCCCGCATTTCCCATATCATATCTCCCACATAGATTCTCCTGGTAGCCTCCCTGGCTCCAATTATCTCAGCTCTCCAGTAGGAATGGCTTTCAGAAACACTGTTGATCATCTCCTTTCCCAACCAGAAATCATCAAAGGCTCTCATTGCCAAGAATAAAGGCCTGAGCTCCTTAACCCAGCAATCAATAGGCCTCAATTCACATTTCCAGCTTCTTCTCCCACCATATCCTGTGTGTCTTTGATAACATGTCTCATGTTTCTTTTGCACTGGTCTCTCCTGGTATATTATACAAGTCTGTTTAGCATTTATCTGATCATGTCTTATAAGTGAACTATAACAAACACGGTTGCCTTTTATCTTTTATAGCATTCTATATGTCCAAAGAACAGCATGGCCCCTCTTATTTTTGTATTCTCCCAAGGCATTAGCATCTGAACTTCACATATAATTATCAGTTTATGTTTCTGAATCAAATTTGAGGCTTCTAAAAAATATGTCACCAGCTTTCTTGTGTTCACGTTGTAATTTTAGCCCTTAGACAAACTATAAAATGCAACCCAGATTCTGCTCTTAGAGAAACTATAAAATGCAACCAATTCTGATCTCTCGCCTTCTTGAGGTCTCATATTTCCTCTTGAAAATAGAAGGAGTAGCCTAAATGACAGCATAAAGTTTTAGAGCTAAATGTGACCTTGTCTAAGCCTCCTTTTTACAAATACAACAGTTACTAAGCAAAGGGAAATGGCATGTCTAAGTTCACGAAACTTCAGAATAAATATCACCCATGAAACCAACAGGTAAAGTACCAACAACAGGTATTGTTAGACAGTTCCAAGTGCCATAGCAATGATCAAAAGACCTAAAATCTCCTTCAACCCCACACCGCATCGTGTTGTTCAATGAGTTAGTGAAAATGTATTTAGATTTCTAAATCACACACACAAAAAGAAGAGCTGAAATCTCCTGACTTCGAGCAAGTTCTCCTCTAGCACACAGCTGGTCCTCAGTTATCAGACGATGGGTCACTTTCAATTATTACACCAGAGAAGCCAGTTGGTCTTGGTGTGCCCAGCTAAGACCACTCCCGCAGTGTTCCAATAATACTTCTCATATTTCCTAAGGGAACCAGTCTCCCACCACTCAGAGTCCCTGTATTTGGATGGAATTCACTCAATCTCCTTGCTCCAAAGGTGGGCCTGTGACCCAGCCCTGGTCAAAGAGGCATCTAAGTGCTAAGACCTCACTGCCTCAGAGTTGGTGGGATTTAACCAGCTGAGAAACAGGGCAAAGACATTCACCTTCCACTAACACAGCTAAAAAGAGCTTGCAAATCCAGAGTTGCAGACGATGGTGTGGACATTAAGAGGGAGGACCTGCCTGACAATGGAGTCCACCTAGAGGGAAGCAAAGATGAAACATGGAGAGGGTGTCAGACAGTCCAGCCCCTGGAGACATGACAGCATCACTTCAACCACCGAGCTCCAGCCAGTTATGGGAGCCAACTAATTCCTGTATGAGCTGAATTTTCAGGTGTCTGTACCCTAGAGGACCATGATTAATCCAAAGGCCACAAAGGGAAAACAAGAGGAATCACTCTGCCTAAAGAGAAAAAATGGTCTCACGATAGATGAAAGACCGTATATTTTATACTTCATGAGCAAAATTTGATGCAAATGTTTACGTACAATGAATACCATCAATGTGTTAGAACTAAAAGACAAGGTGCATAAGAGAGACCAAATGCTATTAAACACAAAACATAAAACAAGACAGTCAGTTTGTATGCGGGACTGAATCTCGCACCTGAATCACTACTGCTCAAGCAACTTACTAGCATTCCCAGGTATGGCAGGTAGGCATTAGTGATACTTCTCAAACAGGACTGACGTAGTTCCCTGACCTCACTCAATTTTGTTATTACAAAGACGTTATTGTGTGTTCTCTTTTAAACTGAAGAATTCCTCGGAACCCCAGCTCGGAATTAACCTACTGAAGAAACATGGATCAAGGGCAAAAGATCAAAAGCAGGAAGACTGATCTCAAAGGATACAAAATAAAAGAAGTTCTAAGACCTAACTGAAAAGCCCTTTCAATCTGTATCCTTGAAAAGTCTGATTATGTAATACAGTTATGTCAGATCTGACTGTTAAACTGACACTGCTCCAAATGAAGACTTAAAAAAAAAATCAGCCACGTTGAAGTGAGCCATTATGTTCAATACAGCATCTCCAAATCCAAGCCAGGATCACCTCTGATATTTCACATTCTGATATCAATCTTAGCTACTACAAGTGATCATAAGCTTCTCTTTAAAAATGTTTTTGATCAGGGTAAATGAAAAGTCTTCCACACCCTATCAAAAAAGCAAAACCAATTCAAGGCAAAGATCTGATAATTTGAAGACAGTCATGTTTCTTCAGGAAAATAGTCAGGCTATCCTGCCATTTTTTATTTTTCCTCTTTACATTCCTCCCTTAGGAAGAAACAAGGAAATGCTTTCCTGAATCAAAGTTGAACCAGGCAACAAGCATATGAAGAAAAGCTCAATATCACTGATCATTAGAGAAATGCAGATCAAAACCTCAATGAGATACCATCTCACACCAGTCAGAACAGCTATTATTAAAAAGTCAAAAAACAACAGATGCTGGCAACGTTGT
Source organism: Homo sapiens (assembly GCF_000001405.40). NCBI lineage: Eukaryota > Metazoa > Chordata > Mammalia > Primates > Hominidae > Homo > Homo sapiens. Next base: position 4,591,370 of record NC_000003.12, on the reverse strand, counting down.
GGAGAAAAGGGAACCCTTACACACTGTTGGTGGGAGTGTAAATTAGTTCAACCATTGTGGAAAGCAGTAGGGTGATTCCTCAAAGAGCTAAAAGCAGAACTACCATTCCACCCAGCAATCCCATGACTGAGTATACACCCAGAGGAATATAAAGTATTCTACCATAAATACACATGCACAATTATGTTCACTGAAGCACTATTCACAATAGCAAAGGCATGGAATTAACCTAAATGCCCATCAATGACAGATTGGATAAAGAAAATGTAGTAAATCTACACCATGGAATACTATGCAGCCATAAAAAAGAATGAGATCATGTCTTTTGCGGGAACACGAATGGAGCTGGAGGCTATCATCCTTAGCAAACTAATGCAGGAACAGACAACCAAATACTGCATGTTCTCACTTATAAGTGGGAGCTAAATGATAAGAACTTATGAACACAAGGAAACAACAGACACCAGAGTCTACTTGTGGAGGGGGAGGGTGGAAGGAGAGAGAGGGGCAGAAAGGATAACTATTGGGTACTGAGCTTAATACCTGGGTAATGTAATAATATGTACAACAAACCCCCGTGACACGTGTTTGTCTATGTGACAAATCTTCCCATGCTTCACATGTACCCCCAAACCTAAAATTTAAAAAAAAGACACAAAAACCAAAGTTGAGCTGGGCATGCTGGCACATGCCTGTAGTCCCAGCTATTCAAGAGGATCGCTTGAGCTCAGGAGTTCAAGGTCAGCCTGGGCAACACAGTGAGTCCCAGTCTGTAATAATAATAATTAGTAATTATTATTATAATTAATAAAATAGTAATTATAATTAAAAAATTATTATTATTATTAAGAAGAACAAAATACATGGAGAAGACCAGACTGACCGTTTACCAGGGATGAAGCATTCTTGCTTCTGTCCAACCAGGGCCAACTCAGCTATAAAAAGCCAGAAACACCATAATGCAGTCAACCACTGACTACTCTCATTCATCATAAATACTATTCATCATCTGCTTATGGCCAGACACTGTTCCAGGTATCAGGAATACAGTGTTCAACAAGACAGATAAGGTCTCTGTCCTCATGCAACTTAAATTCTACAGAGAAAGATAAAGAGCAAATAAGTAAGGAAGTAACACGACATACAGTGTTGAGAGTAGTACCTGCTATGAAGACAAAAAAAAAAAAAAAAAAAAAGCAAGACGAAGAGGAGACACAAAGGGGGGAAGCAGCTAGAGGGATAAGTTGGTAAGACAGGAAGGTCACAGAGGTCTCTCAGGGGTGGTGGCATCTGTGCAGAGGCGTGAAACAAGTGAGGGCATGAGTCCTGCAAGAGAGAATTCTAGGCAGGAGGAACATTAAGCACAAAGGCTCTGGGGCAGAAATGAGTTTGCTGTGTGCAGGGAACAGGAAAGCAGCCAGTATGGTTAGAGCTGAAAGAACCAGGAGAGCCCGAGATAGGCCCACTTCCAGAGGCAGGCAGGGGCCTGGTCTTCTCATACAGCTGTTCTCAATCCTGGCCGCATACCCAGAGATTCTGATCCAATTTGTCTGTGATGTATCCCAGGCATGAGGTTTTGTTTTGTTCGTTTTGCATTTTTTTTTTTAATTCTTCTGGGTAATCTTAATGAGCAGTCATCCAGGGTTGAGAACCTGGCTTGATTCTGTTCCACATGAGGTGGGAGGCTGGTTAAAGCAGGCACAGGATGACCCAAATGGCTTTATAAGGACCACTCCAGCTCCAGCCATGGTAGAAAGACTGTGAGCCATCAGGACTGGAAACAAGGAGATCCACTACTAGAAGGCCACAGCAGTCATTCCAGACTAGTGACACTCACACTGCAATTGCCTGCAAACTACCTGGGCATCTCCTCCAATGCATGTTATGATTCAGGGGGCCAGGAGAGGGGTTGAGATTTGCATTTCTAAAAAGCTCCCAGTTAATGTCAATGTTGCTGGCTCCACAGATCACCTTAAATAGCAAGGATCCAAACCAGTGTTTTTCAAGCTGCAGATCACGACTGAAACTGGGTCATGAAATGGGCCTCAACCACCATTTGTTTTTTCACGAAATAAGAGAATGAAATATCAGACTATACTGCAAACAGTAAAGGTAAGTACTGCTTTGTGAACCTTTTGCTTATATATATGAATATGTCTCCTAGGTTGCAGTTTTATATACACATATATGTGTGTATTTTTTTTGAGACACAATGAGACAGCATTTCACTATGTTGCCCAGGCTGATCTCAAACTCCTGAGCTCAAGCAACCCTCTGCCTCACCCTCCCAAGTAGCTGGGAGCACAGGTGCACGCCACCATGCCCAGCTGAAATAAATTTCTTGCTATGAAGTGCAGTCAAAGAAGTCTGGGAAACAATGGTCTGGGTAGCACAATGACGGTTTAGAGCAGAATGAGGGCTGTAGACTAGGTGGTGAGAAGTAGGCAAATTGGGACTATAACTGAAGGCCTAGAAAACTGGACTCAGATGGCTAAGATGTGACGTGTGAGGGAGGGAGAGAAATCAAGACACTACAAGCCAAAACAGTCACTATACATCACGATGGGGAAGACCAGGGATGGAACAGGTTTGAGGCAGGGAGACACTGCCAGTTGGAGACAAATTATGTCTAGTATGCCTGTGAAGTCCATTCAAGTGGAAGTGTCACTTAGAAAGTTGGAGATGCACATTTAGCTCTTGGGAGACAGATGGGCACTGGAGAAACAAATCTGTTAGTCATCAGCACATTTAACCTCAAGGAGTGGATGAGATCATCTAGAGAGTGAACACAGATAGAGATGAGAGCCAAGGCCGAAGCCCGGGACCAGCCCAGCATTTAGAGGTGAGAAAGCGGAAGAGAGAGTCAGGGAGATCCAGAAGGAACAGCAGAGGAAGTTCTGGAGAACCAGCAGAGAACTGTGTCTGCAAAGCCAAGTGAGAAAATGACTTCACAGCTGCTTTGAATACACGTTTAAAAACCCAGTGTAATATTAAAATACACCCCACTAACAGGCTTTAAAAAAAAAAAAGAAACAGGTATGCACATACGTAAGTACACTCAAAGAAAAAAGTCTGCAAAGTTACAGAGCATTCTGGTAATAGCTAGCTCTAGGGTCAGGAAGAGAACAAGGAACAAGCCTTTGCAGCAAGAATATGAGAAGACTGTATGCATCTACTTCTTATATAATAGAAAATCATTTCTTAAACCTCTTAATGATTCTGATATGCAGCAAGGTCTAGGGATCCCTCAGTGGGGGTGCTTAAGGGGACAGCTAAGCATCAAGTGTCAGATTGAACCAAATGTCTTTGAGGACTTTGTGATTTTATATGACTAATTTCATACCAAGAGGGGGGAAAATCAATACAGTCTTAACAGAGCAGGCTTGGCAGTAAATATGCTTAGGGAGAATCTCCCTACACAGCTTCTATTTTGGATTCCAGCAGGCTATTTAACAAAAGTCAGATGAGAGGTGTTAAAACCTCTGCAGAAGCTGTCTTTAAGAAGACTCCAGGAAGCATGATTTGCAGCCTTCAGTGACAAAGATTAGATACTAAGCTACTAATTAGCAATGCTTGTCTTTTTAACAAGTCCTTCCCAAATTGAGACAGTTTCTCTTTCAGTATCTTCCCATTTTGCTCCTTTTTCTCACTTTATCCTGTGGGCAATTACCTCCAGTAGGTTGTTGGAAGCCACAAATTCCAGCCAGTGTGAGACACAATCCACTAAATAGACTGAAAGGGTAAGAGAGTACAGTCAAAATGCACAGTCCAGACCCCAGCTACTCAAAATGAGAAGTGTGGGCCGGGCAGGGTGGCTCATGCCTGTAATCCCAGTACTTTGGGAGGCCAAGGCAGACAGATCACCTGTGCTCAGGAGTTTGAGACCATCCTGGCCAACGTGGTGAAACCCTGTCTCTACTAAAAACACAAAAATTAGCGGGGCATGGTGGCATGCACCTGTAGTCCCAGCTACTGGGGAGGCTGAGGCAGAATTGCTTGAACCCGGGAGGTGGAGGTTGCAGTAAGCCAAGATTGCCCCACTGCACTCCAGCCTGGGCAACAGACCAAGATTCTGACTCAAAAAAAAAAAAAAAAAAAACCATGAGAAGTGTGAACCAGCAGCATCAGCAGCACTGGGTGCTTGCTAGAAATGCAGGCCCTTGGGCCTCAGTGCAGATCAGATAGCAGGCTGTTTCGGAATCTGCATTTTAATAAGATCACACAGTACACCTGCAAAGTTTGAGAAACTCTGCCTTAATGCAAAGCAAGCCGGTCGTCGAAATCTCCAGGGAAATGTAAAAAATATTTATTCCCGAGTCTTATACCAACTGCAAGGATGGAGCCAGGGAATATAATTTTTTGAATCTCCCGGGTGATTCCCAGTACAATCAAGCTTGGGAATCAATGCCTTAGAGAACCCGCAGGTCGGAGACCTACCTAAGAGGTGTATGAACAAGAGTCAGAGAAAACCACAATAAGGTAACAAGTGAAGGGAAGTTTAAAAGAGAGCATAGCAACAAAGCAGGGCAAAGATCTGGCCTCATGCAAGAAACAGTGATCACCAAACAAACCAATATGCATTTAATCTAGGTAGTCCTTGTACCACGAGCTCCAGAGACTAGTTGTATTAAAAAAAAAAAAAAAATCCAGCCTGGGCAACACAGGGAGACCTCATCTCTCCAGAAAATTAAAAAATTAGCTGGGCATGGGGACAGTGCCTGCAGTCCCAGCTACTCAGGAAGCTGAGGTGGGAGGATGGCTTGAGCCAGGGAGGTCAAAGCTGCAGGGAGCCATGATCGTGCCACTACACTCCAGCCTGGGTGACAGAGCAAGACCTTGTCTCAAAAAAAAAAAAAAAAAAAAGCACTCAAGGCTACTTGCCGCCAGACAGTGACTTAAATAGCAGTAAGAAGCAGCATAGCAAAGCAGTTAGGCCGTTTCTAGAGTCAGACTACCAGGGTTAACACTTCTAGCTAACCATGTTGCTGTGGGCATGTTAATCCTCTAAGCCTCAGTTTTCCTCAATAGTAAACCAAGGATATGACTAGCACCAGCCTCATGGTGTTGCTGTATGGTAGAAACGGGTAAAGCTTTCAGAACAGAACAGGTGCAACAAAAGTATTAAAAGTGCATGTTACCATGTATGTTTATTGCGGCACTATTCACAATAGCAAAGACTTGGAACCAACTCAAATGTCCATCAGTGATAGACTGGATTAAGAAAATGTGGCACATATACACCATGGAATACTATGCAGCCATAAAAAGATGAGTTCATGTCCTTTGTAGGGATATGGATGAAGCTGGAAACCATCATTCTCAGCAAACTATCACAAGGACAGAAAACCAAACACTACATGTTCTCACTCATAAGTGGGAATTGAACAATGAGAACACATGGACACAAGGAGGGGATCATCACATGCTGGGGCCTGTAGGGGGCTGGGGGGCTAGGGGAGGGGTAACATTAGGAGAAATATCTAATGAAGGTAACAGGTTGATGGGTGCAGCAAGCCACCATGGCACGTGAATACCTATGTAACAAAACTGCACGTTCTGCACATGTAACCCAGAACTTAAAGTATAATATAAAAGAAAAAAGAATTACACAGTTAAAAAAAAAAGTGCATGTTAGGCTGGGTGCGGTGGCTCATGCCTGTAATCCTAGCACTTTGGGAGGCTGAGGCAGGTAGATCACTTGAGGTCAGGAGTTCGAGACCAGCCTGGCCAACATGCTGAAATGCCGTCTCTACTAAAAATACAAAAATTAGCCGGGCGTGGTGGTGCACACCTGTAATCCTAGCTACTTGGGAGGCTGAGACAGGAGAACTGCTTGAACCTGGGAGGTGGAGTTTGCAGTGAGCTGGGATCGTACCACTGCACTCCAGCCTGGGTGACAGAGTGAGACTCTGTCTCAAAATAAATAAATAAGATAAAAAATAAAAGTGCATGTTAGTAGTAGTAGTAATCATAATTAGTATGACAAAGAGTTTTGTGTACCAGGACTGATAAGGACAGGTAACTAAATCCAACTGAGAGACAGAACTCTCTAGTGCAGAATGACTTAAGGCAGTTAAATCAAAACATTCTGTATATTCTATATAGAGAGGTAATTGGTTGGGTTTCTATGCTTGGCCCAGCATTAGGCAAATAGGTTCATAACATACCTAGCATATTGCTTTGAATTTTCACAAATTTGCTAGCTATTTTCTAAAAGGAAACAAATACCCAGAAGAGTATAGGACTGAACTGAGTATCAAGATGACAACACAACTGCCCGGGCAGGGAACAGCCGCACACAGTTAGGACCCTCGGAGGGTGGGTCTCACCAGCTCTCACTGACGTGGGTAGACCAGTAATACACTCTGACAGTGGGCAAGTCAGTTTTCATTCTGGTGTTTCACATTCAAAAGCTACCCTTCTGTTTTTCTCCTTTACTCCCTCCACCCAGTCGATTTCTAGATGTCTTGTATTTGCCTCTTCATTTGCTTCATTTTGTCTCTTCATTTGCTTCATCTCCTATGATGGGGACAGTCCCTTAACTTCACACCTACACTCCAGAAATGAACTGCAGGGCAAGGGAGATGAACGGGGGTCTTTCTGTGACAGGCAGGGCTGGAAGGGAGAAGCAAAGCCAAAGACAAAAAAAGCCTCCACCAACAGGTTCTTGAAAATGAAAGTGAGTTCCGGAGCTTCACTAATTCTCCCACTGAGTGGCAGCCTCCGCATTCTGGGAGGGAAAAACGTTTCCTTCGGCCCCCTCCCTCCAAACTCTTAATAAATTCAACTTCCTTTCACAAAAAAAAAAAAACCCACTAACTCTCTGGGCAAAGAGAGAAGGATTCACTTACATCAACCTCACTTCCTCTCCTCTCCTCTCCTCCCCGCTTCCCCGTTCCCACCTTTCATCAGAAAGAATATAACTATCTTTCTGAGGACTGGGGGGCCTGTAAACTTCGTTTTTAGGCTAAGACACAAAACGAATATAAGCTCCAAGGAATAAGCCACATCTTCTCATCTCTTTAAAACTTAGGCTAATTATTTTTACAACAATGCTACTTAGGAACCAGAGAAGGATAAGTTGTCAGGATTCTGGATTCCAGTTGGTTTGGGGGACAAGAAGGGGGTGAGGTGGGTGCTGAGAACATGACTTCATACATAATGAACATGAGAAGAATAAGTTTCCCTATAAACAACATCAGAGGAGGTACTGAAGATAATAATAAACTGTGAGCTTCATTAAAACTTAGGATGTGCAAATTTAACGTGAGCAAAATTATGTGTTTCTTATAAGGGATAGGAAAAAGCCCCCAAAGAGATAGAAAGAATGCAGAAATGAAAAGGATAATTGGGGAAAAGGCAATCTAAATACCAAGACCCTGGGAAAAGCGAGAAAGCCATGCCCATTCCAGGCCCTTGGACGAAGCAAAAAAGCCAGCATCTTTTGTGAGTACCTAGTTTCAAAGGGAAGTTTACATTGAACTATGTATCTGATGTGTAAACATCTCATTAGTGAGGGGTACATCACCACCAGCCATGGGTGGTGAGAATTCTTCAGGGTACCCCCATCCTGCAACTGCCCCAGTTCAAATCAGATACCCCAGAGCTGCAACCAAGCTCAAGTTCCCAGCGCAGAACTAGATGGAAGTGGGAAATAGTCCTTGAAACTGGTGAAACAGCCCTTTCCAGGAATAACGAACCCCGCAGCTTTACCAAATAAGGCAAGTGAAAGCTAAAAGCCAAGGAGGAACAGGCTCAAGCTGTATCTTTCCTAAAACTAGCCAGCTGGATGATAGAAATGTGAGTATCTCAATTCCACTAGCCTGGATTGCACAGGGGAAGAGAAAATGCTGAGAAACTACAAACGGAAAAACATTTTGCCAAGGAGAGGCCTGTAACGCACTCATCCCAGCCCCTGCAACAACCTTCAGGAAGTTTCAAACCCACGAAGCTGCTAAACATTCCCTGTGAAACACATAACACAAACTGGAACGGGTGTCCATGCTATGATTAGTGAGAAAAAAAAAAGTTAGTGAAAAAACGCTAACTTTTTTTTCCCAAGTCTACATTTGTAGAGTTTTAGAGCATGAAGTTCAGATATAACATGGATATTATCATAAAGTGACACAATGAATTTCCATTTTTGAAACTGAAAATATTTATGAGACCACTTCCATTTAAACGTTTATTTAGCTGTATTTTTTTGCTTCCAAAGAAGGTCCAAATCCAATTTCCTGTTGTAGCAGATCTCCCTTATAGGAGAAATGGCTTGATTTTTTAGAAATCTTCTTCTTCTCCTATATGCCAAGAGTTTGTACATGCTGAGAAAATTTTAAATAAATATTGGAGAGGAAGATTGCTAAAGTAAAGGCTGGTGGGTGAAAAGAAAGAAAGAAGGAAAATCTGCCTAGGGTTCTGATTTAGATTTCACCACTGTCTTCTTCAGGTCTCAGACAACGTGCCACCAGCCCAAAGAGCACAGACATACTAAAGCAGAGGCAGCAGCTTCCCTGAAGCACGCACAGAGCTGGAAGAAGGAGAACACATTCCATACATTTTTCTAGAAAGTCTAGTATTGCTTTCACTTCCCTTGAGTCATTTAGGTTTCTGAAAGCTAATCATCTCCCAGAAAAAATCTAACAGATGGTAAGACACTTTCACAGCCATAAAGAGATGTATACAAAGGGTTAAGAGGCTTAGAAAGAATACGTTGTCCAGTCAATTGCTAGTCTGTTCCAGAATGAATCCTCTCTATCCACTTCCTTTTCATGCAACATGGTCAACCACTCATCATCTTGGATCTTTTTTTGTCCTTGAAGTGTGGAGCTGATAACACAAATCTCAGCAGAATAGAGAAGCACACAAGACTATGTCCATCTTCACACCCACACCGGAGAACAGGCTGAGTGCATACACATGGACGCGTGGGGAGAAGAGGAGGTGACCATCCGTCCCTTCACAGCATGCTAACAATTTTGTCAACTGGCTCCTCAACATACTCAGGCTGGGGTGGCGGGGGTGGGGGAGGACATTTTCCTACAGACACAGTAGGAACATGGCCTCTAGGCATTAAATTAACCAGCGGTTTCTTTGGCATGTTCGAACAAGTCTAGAACCCAAAGCGCATATGCTAAGGGGAGAGGAAAATTGCCTACTTGATAAAAATAAGCGGTATCTAACCTCTGAGCTCAGAGCTTGATTTCTGATGCCAGTTTGATAAGACTGGCAAATGCACTTCTTGGTAACAACACTGAGGCCAGTACGGGAGCACCGAGTATTCAAGTCTCACACATAGCATGACTTAAGAAATGACAGCAGCATTAGGAAATGTGCTAAAATTTTTAAAGGCGTAACAACCCTGTCTTCTGGTTACCCTAACCTGTGATCTGTTTATTTCCATTTTCCTTTTTAAAAAAAAAAAATCCTAAAAAAAAATAAAACTCACAAAATCTTCAAGACCCAAACAGACTATTTCTTTTAAGCAATAAAAAAGAAAAAAGCCTGTCTAAATTATTTTAACAGTTTGTGTGGGCAAGATGACATTTTGAGTCCACAGGGACAACTGTAGGTCCCTCCAACACCAGAAAAGCCTCAGAATGACCTTGCAAAACTAGTTCTTGGGCACAATTCCTGCCGTACACTATTTAGTTATAACCAGGGCAGAAAACAACACGGTTCCCCCTACAGTCATTTTTGCATCACAAATGGTTTCTGAGCATTTGGTTATTTTTAGCACTTTATACAGTGGAGTCTGCACAAAGCAAAAATAGATGTTTGCTTCATATAAAACTTGTAATGGGGTGGGTGTTGCTTGTTGTCCCAGACTCATTTAATACTGAGTTGAGATGGCTCCCAATATAGATTACCACTACCATCCCAAATATTCCTAAAAGAGGCTCGTGGAGAATATGGCAACCCACCTAAAACTGATGTAAAAGCAACCACCATACACCATACTGGTCTGGGAAGAACAAAGAAGCCTTTCCTGGGAGTTTTTAACCCTACACCAGGGAGTGAAGTCAGGACAGAGACTAGCATAGCACCACAGCATCACTGCAGATGTGTTTCATCATGCAGACCGCCTTCTGAAGAGGACAAGACTCACATGGGCCTCTCTGTAGCACAGAAGGTGCTGACCTTGCCTGGTCCTCCTCTACCCTGCTGATGCTGCCTCGGCAAAAACACTCTCCAAGGTGGCTGGGCTGTCGGGGTGGATTTGGGAACCTTCTAAATGATCCTTGGGGGAATTACTTGGAATTTTTTATCAGTATGTGAAACAAGCGGTATTTTAAGCTTCTGAAACGTTTGAGTTTGGTATGTGGAGGAGTCGGGACAGGTTTATATCCCAGGTCAACACAATTAAGTCTTATGAGTTATGGAGTTCAGAGGTAGAGAGGTTAGTTAACTGCTCTGGCACCTAACGTGATTGGTATTTACAGAAGAAATATTGGCTGCTCCGAGATGGAAACGTTCACTCCTCCTGCCTGACGTTACTCTTACTGTCGGAATCTGCTCAAGGGCGCCACTCACCCTATGTGCCCACTGTATCCCTCTTCCCCAAGAGGCGGCCCCATTCAGTGACTGGCAGGTTTGGGAGAAGGACTAGGCATGCTCAGTACAGCCTCTGCGGCTTGCTCACTGAGGATCTGTTGTAATGGGCTCAGCAACAGAAATTCTGGCCCTGCAAGAGGTTGGGGGTAAGGACAGTAGTGGAGGACTATGAACAACACCTGGGACGGCAAGGCAAAGGCCACATCCTTGACACGCTTTACCAGTGAGCTGCAGGACACAGGCACAGCAAGCTCTCTGCTGTTCATCTGTCACCTCCCCGTATCACTTGTTCTCCTGCCAGGGACATTAGGAGATTAGATGACTAGGCTAATTTGAACAATTGGCTTGGCAGTTCTTACAAAACAAAAGGTGGGGGATCTGTGGGGTTCTCCTGTCCTGCCCCCACTTTGAGAGGGTAATGTGGGTCATAAGGAATGGCTGGATGAGTTAAAAACCACTTGTTTGAACCAAAAGCCAGACAATCCTTATCGAACCTAAAACTTAACCTTCCTCCTCACTCCTGAATACTTAATGTTAATATCCTCCATCAAGGGCACGTGAACCATATATGCTTTAAAAAATAATAATAAAGGTTTTTTGGTTTTTTTTTGAGACGGAGTCTGGCTCTGTTGCCCAGGATGGAGTGGAGTGGCATGATCTCGGCTCACTGCAAGCTCCGCCTCCCGGGTTCACGCCATTCTCCTGCCTCAGCCTCCCGGGTAGCTGGGACTACAGGCTCCTGCCACTACGCCCAGCTAATTTTTTGTATTTTTAGTAGAGACAGGGTTTCACCGTGTTAGCCAGGATGGTCTCGATCTCCTGACTTCGTGATCCACCCGTCTCGGCCTCCCAAAGTGCTGGGATTACAGGCGTGAGCCACCGCACCTGGCTAATAAAGGTTTTTTTTAAGGCTGAATTTAACATTCAAAATACAGTTAGATCTAATTGTGCAATACAGATATAATATGCCTGGAATCTTTGGGGGATGGAACTATAAAGAAAATGCAATGAAGGAGAACAGTCCCACAAAGTCTCTGTCTAACCCTGATTCAAACAGCACCAGAAAGAACCCATCATGCCATCTGATAATGCCAATTTTCAATTCTCTATCATTAAAATAAACAAAAACCCTGACTCAATATACTTTCTAAAATGAACTTTCCTACGGAAAGGAAGCAAGATCCGTAACAGGCTTTTTGTTTAAAGGGAAACCACCAAAGATGGATACACTCAACTTGTGATTGATTAACCAATATTTCCTTTCTCTAAGCAAAGCCAGAAACCAATTTCAGAGTTATTTAACCTGCAGGTAGAAAATTAATTTCCATGAAGATAGCTCTTGATCAGGTTACAGAATCTATATCATACTTCCTCTAATCTATTATTTTCAATGTTTAAGCTGTATAATATATGTTATACATATATACATATTCAGCCATTTAGTAACAAGTATTTAGAAATATTTATTGATATTAATAAGAAATTATCATCAAAATTACATAACTAATATTTACAGGGATCAGCAAATGCTCAATCGTATTGCTACAATGTAGCAGTAACAACGTTCTAGGTACTATGCATGTACTGGACAATATCGTTTCATCATCACAACGACACATCTTTTAGAAGAAGAAATTGCAGCTGGAAGAGGTTAAGTAATCTTCTCAATGTCACACAGCTGATGAGCTATGGGGCCGGAACTGAGACCCAGGTAAGGTGACCCTGAGCCTGCTACGTTAAGTCAATACCCAAATGGTGCTTCTTTGTATCAGAATGTTCACGTCACAACAGCCTCGCCTGGAAGCAAAATCAGCAATATCACATGGGTCAATGGAATTTTTGTTCTACTCAGTATTTTGGAAGCCTCAGAACGACAAGATAAAAAAACAAAAGATGCCTTGACCCTGTGGGGCCCCCTCTCTCAATGACAACGTGAAGCTCACTGTTTACTTCGTTTGCTATGTGTCTACATGGACCAGTGTAAGGGTTGTGTGTTCACACAAGATAAAACCAAAATAAATTAAAAATCAACAATAAGAACAACTTTCAGAGGTGCAGTCATCTAGCCCTCCTTCATTGTTCCTTGGAAACTCAGTATGGCAATCATGAGCGCGCCAACCACGTTTAAATCTCATACACAAACGTTGGTTGGAGGAGCACTTAGCACGTGGCTCTATGAACAACGGTAACTCAAATACTGAAGAAGCTCATCACAGAACACAGGACCAGCTGGTCAGGCTAAGCACTAAAGCCCCTTCTGGCTGTGGGACATTATGAGCTCCACAATTCTCACTGGCACACACACTATATATATGTATATGCACACACACACACACACAATAAAAATTCTCACTGGCAAAGCAACTTGGAATAGCAACTTTGTTGTCAGACACACAACTCCTCATTTGAATGCAGAGGCCTATACACAATTAATCCATCAGGTCAAACCGAACCGCTCCCTCCTATGATTTTTGCATTCTCTGATACTGTCACTCAAAAGAAAAGAGAGGAAAAAGATCACTCTAGAAACCAAAAAATAAAAAAAGTGGCAGAAAAAAAATGTTTTCTATAGAATCTTACATAATTTAGTTTTTAACCTCATATCAAACCATTTTTAAAAAGAAACATGCCTACACAAGAGCTCAATTTATTCACTTACAACCTTTAAAAAGCCCAATGGTGTCAAGCGTTATAGCAATCTGAAAGTAATCCTTTTTCTCTTTTTGCTTGCTATAAACAAACTATGAGCTGGAAGGGCTAATATTTCAAGATGAGTATAGAATGCACAGTTTCACTGGCACTGGTTGCTGGATGAGCTTCAGGTAAAAATGCAACTATCCTTCAAGATTTTCTGTGCCAGCCTATGCCAACTTATGCAGTAATGTAAGATTGAGGTGGGGGAGAGCAGAACAAGAAACCAATATGGCCTCTATCCAAATAACTACAGTTAGAGGACCCCAATCTAGACAGCCCTAGCCTCATTTCCTTTATCACGTTTGTCACACTTGTAATTACAGTCTGTTCTGCTATTTTGTGACAGTTGGCGAAGTCAAGAAATTTTGTTTTATCCAAAATGTTATCCTTTTTTCAGTGACGTACAAAAGAATTAGAGGTTACAGAGGACACGACTTTCCATCATAAAGTTGTTTTTCTGGACAAATTTCAACAGCAAAGGTATTATTGTAGTTATAATGCACCTCGTTATTATAAGCTACTATATATAGTAGGCCTTGTGGCTATAAGCTGAAAAAATACAAATCAGTTGATCAACACTAACAAAAACCAACCTGATCTCAATTTAGGAGATCTTCAGTGACCCAAAAGACTTCTGCTCTCTCCAGACATCTAGCACTAGTCAGCATGGTTCGCCTGCTAGCAACGTCAGCATCCCTGCAAGTTTGGTGAAAATACAGGGCACCTCAGTTTTTATTCTAGACCTACAGAATCTGTATTTTTAACAAGAGCCCTGGGTGATGGCCTTGCAAATTAAAGTTTAAAAAGCACTGCTGTACACGATCCAAATAAATCACAGCAGATTGCATACAATGAAAGAACTCAGGGCCAACTAGAAAGCCATTCAAACACTGCAGCTGCACAGAGAGCCGTGTGGCTCGTCCTGTGCCATCGTGTGTCATCATGTGCCCAGGGCCCTCATTTCAATAAAAGTGTATTCAGTAGGGGGGTCTGTGGAATGCAACTCTACCACATATAACTGGCAGCGTGGGGAACACAATTCATTGTAGGAAAAATTCCCATACTTGTTCTACAACTGACACCTTCATTAGACTGTCAACTCCCAAAGGCAAGGCTGTATTGATTTTCTTCTTTTCAGCAGGATCCCGGGGTCTAGCCCAGGACTGGGTGTTTAGAGGAGGTGCTTAATAAGTTTTGATGAATAAACAAATAAGTGTTTATGACCCTTCAGGAAATCTCTGAACTTCAGCCAAATCTCCGCTGATCCCTCATGAATTACTACCTCCCATTCCTTTCTCTTAAATGACAGGGTTGAATAGGAAAATAACCTTTAAGGTATGTTCCAGCCTCCACATGTTAAAGTGCAAATTATTCAAGAATTATATTTTCATTTAAATATTGACTTCGTTCTGAAGGAACCTGCAAATAAAAACATTAGCTACAGATTGTAGCATTCCACGGATAACGGGCTCCATTGCCATGACCCGTTTTGCCATCAGTCCGTCCAACGCTAGGAGCTGCCTGGCATATTTATTGTTTCTAGATAAATTTTCTTTTTCTGTCTCAGGAATGAGTCTGCCTCTTCACTGAATGCTATCCTTTTTTGCTTCCAAGCATTTGCCTTCCACCAATCCTGCCCTCTCTCCCTGCCAAGACTCCTAGTCATTATCTCTCATGGTATTGTCTGAACCACCTACACCTAAACCTCTTTGTGAAGATCCATAACCCAAGGCCTCACCTCAGACCCACAGAATCTGGGGGTTGGACCCAGGAATCTACATTTTTAACTTGTTACCAAGATATTCTTATGCACATTCAGGTCTGGTTCCAACCTATTTGTCCAAAGACCAATTTGGGTACTATCTACTCTAACAACTCCAATCGCCCAGCAGTTCCATTCCCTATTCATCAGTTCCTTCTATGAGCTCAATGTACTTAACAGTAAAGAAATTCATTTTATACCACCTTGCAATGTTTCCTATATTAATTATTGCCTATTATGATTTTGTTCATTCATTATAAAGAAAACAAACAATAAAACGACTTTGTGCCTCATTAGACTATAAATCTCTTATCACCAGCCACATTTCTTTTTTTTTTTTTTTTGAGACAGCATCTCAGTCTGCCACCCAGGCTGGAGTGTGGTGGCATGACCATGGCTCACTGCAGCCTCGACCTCCCGGGCCCAAGCGATCCTCCTGTCTCAACTACCCAAGTAGCTGGGACTACAGGCATGCATCACCATGCCTAGATAATTTTTTATTTTTTGTAGAGATGAGGTCTCACTATATTGCCCAGGCTTGTCTTGAACTCCTGGCCTCAAGCGATGCTTCTGCCTCAGCCTCCCAAAGTGCTGGGATTACAGGCATGAGACACTGCATCCAGCTGCTGGCAACATTTTTTTTTTTTTTTAAAGAAGACATCAACTTTTTTTAGCCATTACTTTCTCACTGCTCTTACACAAACACACCCTACCCTCCTCCAACACAGGGTCACTGCCAGCTCTTAATAATATTAAATATTTCACAATAACAAAACACATTGATGAGAAATACACAGTCTTGTGTTTCAGCTCTTAGTCATTCATCAATCTAGTTATCCATGCCAACAGTGAGACAGGTCTGGAGAGACAATCATCAACAAACTCCCTGAGGGTGATGATATTTAATAAATTTTCTGCTTTTTAAGGCAATATTTTATCTTCCAAGCATATTTTAACTTCCAAGCATGCTACCACAGAATCAGGATTGAACCCATTTACTCTGGTTTCCTCATATAAATCCTTATTCTATATGGAGGAAGCCAGGAAAAGATGATAGATAAATCCCATTTAAACCTTCTCTCTGGTTTTCCTCTATCCTCCCCCAAAGATGAGTGTGATCTCTTTTATTTGTGCTCCCATAATACGCTTTGCTTAATCTTGGCACTAAGTTGACTGTGTGATCTTCTATTTGAGTATCTCCACCAGGAGATCTTCTTGCAGGTAGAAACTATGGTTGGTTTGTTTTCCTAAGAAAGTCTTTTTCACTAAAATATAACATATTTGCAAGAAAAGTACAGAAATCATAAGTAGAGAACCTGAATTTTCATAAACGTACACCCATGTGTAAGCACCATCCAGTACAAAAAGCCAAGCATCACTTGCACTCTAGGAGGGCCTCAGGGAGTGTCCCTCACACTGCATTTGCAATCATCTTTGAATCTCTTGCAATTGATAGACCTCTGGCTACCTATCCAAAGACCCCAGAAGCCTGCAGATCCATTTTAATTACTGTTGCTTCTAACAGACTAGTAAGACTGAAATAGACTTCTCCAGGCCATGAGGCGGTGGGAACAGGCAAAATTGATGTTCCAATCCCATGACATTATCACTGTGACTGACGCATCAGGAGCTCTCTCCCACAGCATGGAAGACCATTTAAGGTAGAAGTACTCTGCTCAGCAAGCGTGTGCAGATCCTTTAGAATTAACTGACTGTTTCCATCAGAACAACTTCATCACAAACCTAGCCGGGGGAAAACAAAGCCGTTATACATGATTCTAATCCCACAGCCCCAAAATACAGGAGGATGCCAGTATGATCCCAAACAAACTGGGAAGAAAAGCCCATTGTTTTTTGATATTTTGGTATATTTTACAAGGAGAGTAAGAGGAGATTCTATTATATAATTCACAGACTTGTCAACCGACCATCTCCCCTGCAGGAGGAATTTCTGGCTTTGCTTTATAATGCTTTAAAATCCATTTCCGGCATTCATTGTGCAAACGAAGCATTGCCCTCACATTACAACAGGAAATGTGACTGCAGGTAATAAGGAGCAGCCAAGACTCAGGAAGGATGATCTGGGGCCAAAAGGGCAGAGGCAAATAATTCCCATCAATCCCTGAATTTTTTTTTCAATAAGAGGCTGAAAAAAAAAAAAAGAAGATAAGGCATCTATACTTTCCCACTTAGACCTCATGAACAATAATAGCCCATAAATTATTTCTAGCTGGAGAAATTGGCTAGAAATGGTAGACAGATTACAGCATTTTCCTGGGCAACCACCTCCACCTAAGGCGCCATGTGTACATGGGGCACCTCTGTCGCCATGGCCAAAGCTGCTTAAACACATGGCTACAAAATATTATTTTACGCACTCATTCCACAAATAGTTATTGAGCATCTTTTCAGTATCAGACATTCTTTCAGATGCTGAGATAGAATCCCTGTATTCATGGTGTTTACATTCTCTTGGGGAAAACAGCCATAAGAAAGTCACAAATAAATACACTACGATGTCAGAAAGTGGCAAGTGCACAGAGGAAAAGAAAGTACGGTAAGAGAATAGAAAAAGTTGACAGTGAGTACCTTTTTAAGAGAAGGCTGTTTGGAAAGGCCTCTGTGAAGGGCAAATGTCTGTGAATACAGACACCCAGGTGGAGGAAACATCGAGGACAAAGGCCCTGAGGCAGGGACAATCTTAGTGTGTTTAAGGCAAGTACAAAAACCAGTGTGTCTGAAGCCAGGCAAGCAAAGGAATGAGAATTTTTAAGACATTATAAACCAAGGAAACAACTTTGAATTTTATCCTCAGTGTGTGATGGGAGTCATTAGAAAGTTTTAAGCAGAGGAATGACAATATGTAGCTTATATTCTTAAATTACTACTCTGGTTGTTCTATGGAGATCAGACTGTAGGGGGGCAAGGATTGAGACCAGGAGACCAGTGAGAAGACTAGTATCATAGTCCAGACAAGAGCCAATGGTGACTCAGAAAAAGGTGACAGTGATAGATGGGAAGCAGTCAGATGTAGGATATATTTCAAATATAAGTCAAGAGGATTTACTGAGGGACTAGATTAGGGCATGAAATAGAGAAGCCAAAAAAAGACTCCAAGGTTTGGATAGATGTGGAGAAATTAGAACCCTTGTACACTGTTGGCGAGATTATAAAACGAAACAACTGTAATGGAAAACAGTATGGAGTTTCCTCAAAAAATCAAAAGTAGAGCTACTATATAATCTAGTAATTCCGGTTCTGGTATATAGCCAAAGAAATTAAAAGCAGGGTCTCAAAGAGATTTGCACGCCCATGGTCATAGCAGCACTAATCCCAATCGTCAAAAGGTAGAGGCAACCCAGATGCCCCGTGATAAATGAATGGATAAACCAAACATGGTGTACACATACAGTGGAGTATTATTTCACCTTAAAAATGAAGGAAATCATGTTACATGCTACAACACTGATCAACTATTAAGACATTCTGCTATGGGAAATAAGCCAGTCACAAAAACACAAATACAATATGACTCCAGTTATATGAGGTATCTAAAGTAGTCAAATTCATAGACACCAGAATGTAGAATGGTAGTTACTAGCAGCTGGGAAGAGCAGGAAAAGGGGACTTACTGTTTAATGCGAACAGAACTTCAGATCTGCAAGATGAAAAAGTTCTGGAGATCTGTCTCCCAGCAATGTGAATATGCCTAACACTCCTGAACTTTACACTTAAAAATGGTTAAAATGGTAAATTTTGTATTATCTGTTTTTACCACAATTTTTAAAAAATGAAACTCACATTATCTATTATGCTTGTGATATTAGTAAATAAAAATATGAAGCATCCTAATTAGCCAGACATTAAAGATCTAGTTTACTTAATCAGTGTCACATGAAGCTTGCAAATTTGCGTTCTTTTATAATATATATACTATATTAGAACTATAATATATGCATATAATTTTAAAGTATGAATATTTAACCAAGGATTTGATTCCGACATTTAAATAACTGGAAAACTGAAATTGCCATTTACTGAGAAAAGACTGGGAGAGGCAAATTATGAGGAGGAAATCAAGTGGTCTATGTGGGTGTAAGTTTGAGATGCCTATGAGATACATCCAAATGGACATGTGGAGTAGGATGTAGTATATGTGAGTCTGGAGTTCAAGGGAGAAGTCTAGGCTGAAGACAGAAACTTATGAGTCATCAGCATCAAGACAGCATTTCAAGTCATAGGACTGGACCCGCTCAATAAGCAAAGTAAAGAAAGAGATGAAGACTGAGCACTCAGCTCTAGGAGACTCACAAGTAGACTCAGGAATAACTAATCCATGAGCTAGGATTTAGGGAAATGAATTAGACTCAGACAGTGAGGTCTAATTCATATCCCTAAATTCATAGTAGGTGCTTGAGCCACACAACTGCATACAATTAAAATTGATGTGGCCACAAGGGGTCATAAGAGTAGGGAGTGGGGCAGAGGGGGAGAAACAGAGAGGAGCAGAGATGAAACAAGGGTCTCAAAGTCTAACATCTAGCAGTCCCAGTTCTGGTGAGACCTGCCCATTCTAGGTTTCCTATTTTTATAGGCCTGTGAGCTTCCCTGTTCTGTTTATGGTAATCTTCAAGCAACTTGAGTGGGTTTCTGTTCTTTACCCCCAAATATTCCCTGATGAAGGCCTAAAGAAGGGAGACAACACGTGTGGTAGGTAAGAAGTGAAATCAGGCCGGGTGTGGTGGCTCACACCTATAATCCCAGCACTTTAGGAGGCCCAGGCAGGAGGATTGCTTGAGCCCAGGAGTTCAAGACCAGCCTGGGCAATGTAGCAGTTCTACATAAAATTTTAAAAACTTAAACCAGGCGTGGTAACATGTGCCTGTAGTCCCAGCTACTCGGGAGACTGACGGGAGGATTGCTTGAGCCCCAGAGGTCAAGGCTACAGTTAGCTGTGATCATGCCACTGCACTCCAGCTTGGGTGACAGAGCAAGACCCTTTCCAAAGAAACAAAAGAAAAAAAGGGAAGAGAAGAGAAGAGAAAAAAAGAAAAAGAAGTGAAATTACGTGTTATCAATAAAAATTCTAAATCTTATGTAGTGAACTGCATCATTTAGTCCCAGCTCTTCACTCCTCCTTGTATCCATGCCCTCTGACATGAAACTTTGTAATGCCAATTTACCATAGGTGGGCAGGCCGGCTCTGCCCCTTGACTTTGGACTCAGCCCAAAGAGACATGCTTTGGTCAGCAGATATGACACAAACAAAGGCTTCACGGACTTGTGCACGGGGCTAGCTCTCTAGAGCCACTGTCATTGCCACAACTGCTGAAGAATGAGAGACAGATGGAGCAGAGCCAAGTCATTCAGTCACCTCACTCTGTCCAACAGCAAGCCAACCCTCAGGCACATGGGTAAGCTCACCCAAGATCAGCAGAACCTCTGTGACCACAGACACATGTACAAAAAAGCACTTCTTGTTGTGTCTGCCTGAGGTTTTGGAACTGCTATGTGTCAAAGATAACTGATGCATCATATATAAAAACACACTTGGATTTGATCAACTTTCTTCTGATCCATTTATCACCACTGATACGTGGGGACAACTTGGCTCCCCAAAATGGCCAAATATGGACGGTAAGTAATTGATAGGGCAAGAAAAGGGAGCTTTAAGAAAAATCTAGATTATACAGAATGTGGTTGATCTATCCACAGCTACTGTAGAATTAAATATCATTTTAAAGTTTATTGTAAAATAAATATATAAATAAGCAAAATAATACAGAAGGCTATCAGGCATTCAGATTCTCCTATTCATGATTTGCTGTACAGGTGGTTAAAAACTAAAAAAGCAGTCTCTTGTTTTCTTTTAAGAAACAGTCTTTAATTCTTGTAGCATAAAAACATCATTCATCTTCAATGAGTGGTTACATGGTCTACTTGTAATTGTTAGGTCAGACTGTACACTGGCTTCCAAAAGCATTACTTAGAGGATGATTTTAAATACACTCACATTCACATTGCTTTCTTAAATGCTATTCACAGATTATAAGACATTTTTAACACAGAAATGGCTATTTTATGAGAAGTGCAAACATTCATGATGAACTGAAATTAACATTTCAATAGTCTGTCCTTTTAATTTGATAATATCATGAGGCTCGGGAACTTAAGAAGTTTGAAAGAAGTCTAATTAATGACCTCACATTTGCCTCAGATAAAGTTTGAAATCTAATCATTTTTTTTCGGCAACTATATTTGTTTTCTATACTGAAATAGTAAGCCTCAAAGTATGAGTGTAAAAATACGCAATTCTCCAAAGTGAAGGGCAGCACAATTGTGGCTATTACAGTTGGGACTCATTAACTCAAGAATATCAGTAAATACCAGCCCTCCACCAACCAACAATTTAAAAATGTTAAACTCCCACAAGAAGTTCTTTCCTTGAAACCTGAATATAATTGTCTTAGGTCTTTAATAGCCATTCAAAAAAATTAAATATGCATAAATGCATTCAACAACTGCTCTTCAAAAACCACTGCTATTCTAGAGTTCAATGTGAACAAAGTTTAAGGTTAAGGACTGATTTCTAAAACTATGCAACTCCCATGACAAGCTGGAAGATCTGTTCTCAAATATCAAAACACTCATGTACCCTTTTAAAGACATCTCTAAAACAGCTGTGTTACCTATGCTTGCAGACACATGGCATCATTGCTTCCCAGTTTTTAGATCATAGGTTCCATGATCCCTCTTACTACACAAAAAGAAAGTAAAAGGCATTTCTAAAAGGCATCAGAGATTTGAGTTTAAGAGGCTTTAGTTTATGGATGAGGCCAACACAGAGAATCAGCAATGCACAAGCTTGTCACACAATGTTTTGTTTGTTGACGCTCAATATTCATTTTTCCATTGAAAACGTAGTCATAAAAATGAGTTGACTTATAAAAACATAAAATGTCCTTTGTTTATAAATCTAAACATACTGTTATACTGTTAGAATACTAGAAACTGTTTTAAAATGTTTTAAAAATCAAATTTTATATTTTATATGGCCAAATATAAGGAAACACATCTTCCACACTGTCACCAAAATTAACTTTCTTTAAAATAAAAATAAGGCAAATTTAATGATGTCACTTTCCAGCTTAAAAAACTTTCATGGGATCCCCCTGGATTCTACAAGATAAAAGTCCATGCGCCTTGAAGAGAGCATCAAAGAACCTGCCCCATTCATAGAGTTTGGATATTTGTCTCCACCCAAATCTCATGCTGAAATGTGATCCTCAGTGTGAGGGGTGGGGCCTGGTGGGAGGTGATGGATGGAGTGAGTTCTCTAGAGATCTGGTCGTTTAAGAGCGTGTGACCCCTCCCCATTCTTCTCTTGCTCCTGCTTTTGCCATGTGACATACCTTCCACCATGGCTAAAAGTTCCCTGAGGCCTCCCCAAAAGCTAAGCACAAGCCAGCACCATGCTTATACAGACTGCAGAACTGTGAGCCAATTAAACCTCTTTTCTTTATAAATTGCCCAGTCTCAGTGGTATTTCTTTATAGCAATGCAAGAAAAGCCTAATACACTCATAGAGCCCTCATCAACATTTTCAGCCTCATCTGGAACCATATCCGCCTGACACCTGGCTCCCTCTATTCCAGCCACACAACATGGCTCATTCCTTACTCAAACTATGGACTTCCATATCTCCTTGATTTTGCAGGCTGCGTTACCTTTGCTGGAGTGCCTCTGTCTACCTGGTCACTATCTATCCATGTGGCAAGACTTTCAAGATCTTGAAGCCATCCCTGCCTTCTTAGCCCAGACACACCTCCTCCTCCCACACAGCTCCCTATATTACCAGCCACACTTCACACTGTCAATTAGTTCTTCACACAACTATCTTCCCCTTTTGGGTGAGGTTAGCTCCAGGGAAGAAATAATGCCTTAACCCAACTTGGGATCCCCTGCATCTGGCACATAATAGGTGTTCAGCAAAGCTCTGTGGAGTGAGCAAAGGGGAGAAGAATAAAAGAGAAGTTAAAATAGAAAAAGATGAAAGCATGCAGTCCTAAAAGACAGTAAGGATCTCAGCAGTAGAGTATGCCTAGTTTTTACTTTGTCTCAGTTCCCATCAAAGTTTTTAATTTTGTCTTCTGAGGTTCTCCACAACAACATCACTAGCTACCAGAAAGTTTTAACACAAACTCTATGTAATGACCCTGGCCTCCAGGGCCCAACTATGTAAAAATCACAGACTCTTAATCTCCTTCTCTTCTCAGGTCTGCGCCTTCAGGCTCTCCCATCCCCACCTCACTGCACCGACTTTGGCATAGATTTCAAATCAGTGACCACATACCTGATAAATAATCTACTGAGCAGCACTCTCACCTTAATTACGTGACTTACTGGGAGTGTTGATAGTGTCTAT
The DNA here is from genome assembly GCF_000001405.40 of Homo sapiens. NCBI lineage: Eukaryota > Metazoa > Chordata > Mammalia > Primates > Hominidae > Homo > Homo sapiens. Next base: position 4,567,938 of record NC_000003.12, on the reverse strand, counting down.
CATTGAACCTCTCACACCTTTAAGAACTAGCTCAAGGTGGGGCACGGTGGCTCACACCTGTAACCCCCACACTGTGGAAGTCCAGGGCAGGTGGATCGCTTGAGCTCAGGAATTCACGACTAGCCTGGACAACATGGTGAAATCCCATCTCTACTAAAAGTACAAAAAAATTAGCTGGGTGTGGTGACGCATGCCTGTAGTCCCAGCTACTCGTGAGGCTGAGGTGGGAGGATCACTTGAGCCCAGGAGGAGGTTGCAGTGAGCCAAGATGGCAGCATGCACTCCAGCCTGGGTGGCAGAGTAAGACCCCGTCTCAAAAAAGAAACCAAAAAAAACTAGCTCAAGCGTCACCTCCCCTATAAAGCCCTCCATGACCCACCTCAGCCCCCAAGCCCACCGCACGTGGTTGACTGTCATCTTCATTCGCCTATCTCTAATCTCAGTTTCGACTTGGAGTCTAGCATGTTCCATGTTATACTGCAAACCATTATCAACATGTCTCCTTTCCTACAACAATTTAAAGTTGCAAGAAAAAAGGACTTGGTCTTCTTAGGCTTTATCATCCCCCCTCCAACCTGGAACATTACACAAATTCAACAAGGTATTACTCTATTAGCAATCACGTCTTTTATCCTGATCACTAGTGCTACAGGAATGGATAAAAAAGAGTAAGAGCTAAAGAAAAATAGTGACAACAAAGTATGAAATTGTCCAGTGTTACTCAGGTAAGAATTGAAGGGGAGACTCCACTTCTCTTCAATTAATGCTAATTGAACACATTACAGACCACACCCTACGAGCTTTCCACATATCAACTTGTTTAACTCTCACAACATTCCACTGAAATAGGTATTATTATCCCCATTTTACAGATGGGGAAACTGAGGTAAAGAGATTAAATGTCTTTCTTGAGGTCATTCAAGTCATAAGTGGCACTGCCAGGATTCAACTCAGGCAGTCTTAACCTACATTGCATTACCTCTCAAGATACACAGCTAGGAGAAAGACTGCAGAATGGAAGATTGCCTAAGCTGAACAGAGAAAGAGAGAGGAAAAGAAGAGAATATGATAAACACTCAACTCTCCTGAGGAGGAAATTAAGAGAGGGAAAACTGGTCCTGACTACTCTTGGTGCCAACAGAATATCTAGTAGTGGCCAAGGCCCAGGCCCAGGTTGGGCTGATTACAGGCCAGAGTTGTATGGGAACAATGAAGGGAAGGTGGAGGAAAGAATCTGCATTGCATTCAGGAGGTTAGGAACCTGGGAAACACCTCAATTTTTGCAGAGTGTTTCAGTGTGTGTGTGTGTGTGTGTGTGTGTGTGTGTGTGTGTGCATGTGTCCCCATTCAGGCTTCCTGGGCCAAATAGTCCTGGCTATTTCTCCCCACTCTCAACTCTGACCTGGCTCTCAACTCTAATTCTATCTGGCCTTACTTGGCTGAACTGACCCACCTATTCCTTACCTTTAAGCTCTTTATTTATTCAGAGCTGAGGTTCCAGGAGCTGATTCAACAGATAGAGGTTTGCTCATAGTAGAGACTGGAATAAAGGTCAATACCTTCTGGGAAAACAACTCCTGTGCAACAAACTACTACTCATACATAAAGTCAGAGTTCATTAAGGTAACTGTCCATCTGAAAAGCAATTATCAGACTCACGAGTTGAGGGTGGCTCTTAGAAGATCTATCCAACAGGGGAAGGAATGAATACAGCCCTGGAAAAATCTGAGGTTCAGTTTCCAAATTGGCTCTGAATTTGGCTTATGAATTCTTACAAGTCATTCACTTTTTGATTTATTTGTCCTCTGAATTTATAGATCTCCTCTCCATCTCCAACATACTTTTATGCAGTTCATTTGAGGATATGTTACAGTTCGTTGTACAGGGATTTGGCTACCAGGAAAATCAATGAGCAAGACGGGGCCAGCATTACGCCACTCAGATTCACTAGGAGTGAAGCTGAACTTCCTGGCACAAACCTTAGGTCAAAATGGCAATAAATGAAAAGGACAAGGAAACAACTGCAGCCCAATGTTCTCAAACATCAATATCACTTTTGATATTAATATACTTAGTGGAACATGAAAATCGCTTTTCAAACCACTTGGACATTCATCTCCAAATTTCTGAAGTTGCACTCAATTTAATTCCCTAGAAGTTGAAATTTTAATTCTGTTTCAATATCAATCACATTTCCACTTAGCATAGAGTCAGCTGTTCAATTGTTTGCAGAATCCAATCTAGTTCAAAAGAGAATTAGTAGCCATTCCGACCTTCGTCTTGGGGAGACAATCAATACAGCCTGCTCTCTGTGGGAACACACTCTCCTGCGGGCCAAGGGGAGATGCTGACCCCAACCAGGAAGGAGAAAGACTGTTTATTTCTTGGCACTAGGAGGCAAAATTTAATTTAACTTTAAGTGTTCATGAGCTTTTCATCCTCAAAGTGCTTCACAAGTATTAACTAATTAATCTTCTCAGTACTGCTGCGTATTACATAAACTCAGGGATAAAGAACAAGGGAGGCATTGAATGGACCAGGTGGTAGAATTAGGAAGATAAGAAACTAACCTCACAATGAGAAACCTTTTACGTGGAGGTGCTATTAGTGGCTAGGGCAGGCTCCAGTGCTAGTGGCTGTGACTATTCTATCAACTCTAGCAGTAAGAAAAATCATGCTGAAACTAGGGCTGCGGTGATGAGCTGAAGGTTCTTTCTGGAACTAAGCCTCAGTTCCCTCAACTGTCAAGTGAGGCTGCTCACAGAACAAACTCCAGAGGGTGCTTATGAGGAATCAACAAGGTGACACATTCAAGATCTTATCACAGAGGAGCCTACCAATGCTCAGTACACACCAGATGTTATTAAATAAAAAAGGGGCCGTGGCTTCCAGGTGTCTGAGCAAAAAATGGGTTAAACAGCTTCAAAATGTTTGCAGGTATTGTCCGTATTTTCATTTGTGAGAGACAATGAGTTTAGCCAAATTATATGCACCTCTTTTATGAACTGAACTGCGTCCCCATTGTAAAATTCCTATGCTGAGTGTTACAGCTCTTTTAGAATTTGTCTAGCGCTGGAAAACCCCTTTTTTAAACTCCTGTGTTGAAGTCCTAACCCTCAGTCGCTCAGAAAGTGTCTGAGACAGTTCAGGCAGCTTAAAAAAATATCATAAATTAAGTGGCCCATAAACAACAGAAATGTATTTCTCAGAGTTCTGAAGGCCTGGAATTCCAAGATCAAGATGCCAGCAGGTTCAGAGTCAGGTGAGGGCCCTAGTTCACAGATGGCACCTTCTTGCTGTGTCCTCCCATGGTGGGAGGAACAAGGGGGCACTAATCCCAATCACCTCTCAAAGTACCCAGCTCCTAACACTACCTTGGTTATCAGGTTTCAACATAGGAATTTCAGGAGGACAAAAACATGCAGAACGTGACTCATTTGGTAATTCGTTCATTACAGTTGTCATTAGTTAAGATGAGGCCATACTGGAGCGGGGTGGGACCTATTCCGACATGACTTAGATTCTTATAAAAAGGGTAAATTTGGAGAAGGCCACACCTGTACAAAGAACACACGCAAACATGAAGGCAGAAGAAATACAGCAGAGCCAAGGAACACCAAAGACTGCCCGCCAACCACCAGGAGCCAGGCAAGAGGCATAACGGATTTCTTCCTATGCCTTCAGAAGGAACCAATCCCGGCCGGGTGCGGTGGCTCACGCCTGTAATCCCAGCACTTTGGGAGGCCGAGGCGGGTGGATCAGCTGAGGTCAGGAGCTCGAGACCAGCCTGACCTACATGGTGAAACCCCGTCTCTACAAAAATTCAAAAATTAGCCGGGCATGGTGGCACACACCTGTAATCCCAGCTACTCAGGAGGCTGAGGCAAGAGAATCGCTTGAACCCCGGAGGTGGAGGTTGCAGTGAGCCAAGATCGCGCCACTACACTCCAGTCTGGGTGACACGGTGAGATTCTGTCTCAAAAAAAAAAAAGAAAAGAAAACAAATCAACTCAGCTGACACTTTGATTTAGGTGAGACAATAAATTTCTGTCGTTCAAGCCATTCAGCTTGTGGTGCTTTGTTGCAGCAACCCTAGCAAACGAATAAAACCTCTATATAGGATTAGTTTTGTTTAATAAACAACCATGAACCCACCAAATCCTGCACACAAGCACACTGGTCTGTGGAGTCACAGGTACGCAAAAATATCCGCATGAAAAAATCTAGCACCGTTCAATCTTGAAGCCAAAGAGAGAGTAAAGGGAGCACTGAACATCAACACAACTCAGGGTACCAGAAACACGTACTCTGCAATTTCGTAGGAAATCAAATTTTTATCACCCAAACTTCACGTGGCTAATAAAAACCCAACTTATGTAATAATTCTCAATATGCATACAGAGAGGACAAATTGCTTTTTTATTTTTTTTGAGACAGGGTCTCATTCTGTCACCCAGGCTGGAGTGCAGTGGTATGATCCCAGCTCACTGCAGCCTCGATCTCCCAGGCTCAAGAAATCCTCCTACCTCAGCCTCCTGAGTAGCTGGGACCACAGGTGTGCATCACCATGCCCAGCTAATTTTTTTTATTCTTTGTAGACGTACGGTGTCCCTATGTTGCCCGGGCTGGTCTTGAACTCCTGGGCTCAAGCAATCCTCCTGCCTTGGCCTTTTGAAGTGCTGGGATTACAGGTGTGACACCCAGCCAACAAATTAATTTTTACATGGTCTTGACTACTCCCTGAGGTGTGCATGGGCCAAGACACACCAATAGGCTCCCTGCTGTTCAGCTTTCTTACTGTTTCTCCAACACTGCACGTACCTACATCATAGCTTTTACCCTTGGTGTTCCTGATGCTAGCATACTGTGTCCCCAGAGATACAAGTGGCCAGCTCTTCCTAAACTTGTAAGTGTCAACCTCTATGTTACCTCCTCCAGAAGATTTCCCTAACTGCCCTATCTAGTGCTGGCCCACCCATCCCACCCCCAGTCATGCTGCATCACATCCTCCTTATTTTATATTCTTTCCAGTGTTTATCACTCTGATGTAATCTTGTTCATTACGTATTGTTTGCTTCTTGGTGTCTGTCTCACTCCACTAGAATGTAAGTTCTATGGGGGCAGAGACTACATTTGTCTCACTCAACACTATCTCCAGTGCTTAGCATGGTGCACAGTGCACTGCACGCACTTGATTTTTTTTTTTTTTAATGAATGCGTACCACCTTCAAAGGTGAGTCATTTTTAGCTAAGTGCAAAGTCTTGCAGTTTATTCAAGGGAGAACCACTAGCCGGTGCAATTATAAGATCCTGGAAAATCTCAACATACAGGGTTGGCAAATCTAAAACCTGAGATATTGGTAATGCATATTTAAATGATCCCTACTATAAACAATTTGCTGAATGTAATATAAACATGCCAGATAGTCCTTCCTAAGTAATCTTAGTGTAAACAATTAGTCCAACTGCTTCACTCACTATCTTTTTGCACATACTATCAGTAAAATAGTATGTGCAAACAAAATAAATAAAATTAAAATTAAGAAATCTATGGTTATCATAAGCCAACCTTTTAATAAAATTGGGACTATTACTATCCAAAATGCAAACCTACTTGCTGCAACTTAACATTACTGTCTAATAATTTTTCTTAGAAAAAATAGAAATTGAGAATTACTTTTAGAATAGCAAGATATTTTGATGAGCTGTATCTAAATTCCAGTCTTTTACAGCAGGCTTGTCCAACCCACGGCCCAGGATGGCTTTGAATGCAGCCCAACGCAAATCTGTAAACTTTCTTAAAACATTATGAGATTTTTTTTTTGCATTTATTTATTTATTTATTTATTTAAGCTCATAAGCTGTTGTTAGTGTATTTTCTGTGTGGCCTAAGACAATTCTTCTTCTAATTCTTCTTCTAGGGAAGCCAAAAGATTGGACACCCCTGTTTTACAGGTTCAAAAAGTAAACAAATGTTAAAGACAAAATTGAATAAATGTCAGTGGCCTAGGAGCTATTCAATTCAACTTGTCTAAATCATTCCTCTAAGAAAAATAGCCATCCTGAGTCATGAGCTCTGAATCCTCAATGTGACCTTTGAGCAAAACAAACAGTTATCTGTTTATATTTTAAAATAGTTATTGGCAGGTCTATTGCTCATGTTCTTTTAACCCACGTTAAATTAAAAAATAAATCCTTTAAGTCATTCAGGCTAAACCATGAATATTACAAACCAATGCTACGATTAAAAAAAATAATAAAGAAGTCCCCAGGCCAATTTAACACCATCCGAAATCCACCCAGATCCAAAAATCTGAGTTAACTAATATACATTCTTTCTTATTTTCTCCTTTCCTCTTCTTTTTTGTCCTATATTGAGCATTGGACCCAAAAAAGTAAGTTTGAACCTAGAAATGTAGTGAGTTTCGTTCTTAGGACACATATTCTATAAAATTATGTATTTGCAAAAGTCAACAGATTTAATCCCCCACTCCCCACCTGCCAAAGAAAAAAGCTGGAAAGCTGGTCAAATCAAGCTGGGATTTCTTGAGCCATTATTAACCACTCGGTCTCAATATCATTATCAGTCACTGGAATTGGTCGTATATTTTTAGGACAGTACAGGTAGACAATGGGAAATTCCACGTCGTCCTTCTCCATTAGGGCAGCTGCTGCACTTGTTAAGATAGAATTTCACTCTCGTCATTATCAATTCCAGAAAGAATCAGCTACTAGGCCAAGTAGATCATCTCACTTCATATGAGACTATTTATTCAAAACGACTCAGCACTTACAAACATATACTACATACAGACAATTAGCAAATCACAGCTAGCCAGGTCAGCTGCTAAAAATAAATCAGGAGACATTAAACCCAAGATTCTCCTCCTCGTTCTATGGACATCTCCAGCAGAATCAATGAACACAGGACCTAAGTCATCAGCCTGCATCCTCAAAGCAGCAAAAGGCCATCTTGAAATCAATTCATTGGCCCCCAAGTTGTCTAGGATCCTGGATTCAAAGCACCTATCTTTTAGCAAAATTCAAAAGGTTAAAAGAACATGAACAAAAAGCCAATCAAACCAAGATAGGAGTTCTAGAACATTCACTAACCACTCAGTTACGTTATAATAAGTCGCTGTCACCTCTACTTCTTCCCTCCATGAGACCTTGGGGATAGATTAAGTGGCAGAGGCTGAACTACTGTATCTACATGCACCAAAGTTAATCTGTTCCTCCAGAACTGTTCAAGAAGATTCTTTCAAGGCTGTAATGTGACTAACATTTTTTTCTTTCTCCTTGAAAGAAAAAGTCCAAATCCAGTTCTCTCTTCTTCCAGAGAAAGCTTAACATGAAAGTCACCTCATGCTTAACACAAAAGTCGCCTCTTATGCTTCTGGATTATTCCATAAACACATGATTTAAAGAAAGAAGGAAAAAACAGATACTATTCAATTTGGTTTTTCCTTCTTTCTTTAAAAATAGTAGTCAGGAAGTTGATATCAACATTGAGCATTAAAAACTCTACAAAATAATAACTAATGTATGTGTATACCATCAATAAAATTTTATTACAATTTTGTTTAAAAAATCTACACAACATTCTGAGACCTGAGAGAGAACCTTATTACATTAACTGGGGGAAGTGCCTTTGCTTTTTATTGGTGAAATATAAGAAAAAGTAGCCTACAATTTGCTCCCTACTTTTTATTTGTTTGTCCATCTGTGCATCCACCAATCCATATATATGCCAAATGCAGTATTTCTGTGCTGCAGTTACTTAAGCATTTTTTAATTCATGGACGTGCCAAGTACTGTTCCAAGGTCTTTTCAAATAGGAAACCATTTAATCTTATGAGCCAGGACTATTTTCTCCATTTTACAGATGAGGAAACTGAGACATAGAGAGGTTAAGCAAGTCACCCAAAGTCACAGAGCTATTTAGTGGGAGAGCCAGAGTCAAAACCAAGCAGTCTGGCTCTAGAACTCATGCTCTGAACCAGTACATAACGCCGCCTCTTAGGAGGGGAGACTAGCATGTCAAATTGGGAGGCCCTATACAGTTTAGTGATTAAGGGTATTAGAAAGACCTTGTTCCTATACAGGCTGTCATTTACTAGCTGAGTGACCCTACACAAAGTTACCTAATCTCCCTGGGCTTCAGGTTCCTTGTGTGGATTATATGGATTCTCCCACAGTGTGTGGTATGGATAAAAATAATTTAAAACACTTAATAAAATGGCTGGCTCCTAGTAAGGAATCCATTAACTATTAGCTTTAAAAGTAATTACTTCCATGTGGCAAAATGCTTTGGCAGGCATGTCCACAAACTGCCCTCTCTGATTAGACTAAAAAATACTGGAGAATAATCATTTTTACTCATCTTGGCATGCAAAGAATTGTGCCCAGAATAACTGATATGTAAAGGTTCCTGCATTTGAGATGTTTAAATTTAGTCATTAAAAACAAGTTTTTATAAAAATACCCTTACAGAGAACATAAGACTTTTAAAATATATAAAGTTGTCTATACTTTTTAACCATTAAAATTTTAAAAGCCAATTAAAACTTCTTGAAAATTTTTAATCAAATTAATGCATGCACACATTTTTAACATCAAATATTATTCAGTAAGTCAATGGCATGATAAAAAGGAAAAGAGGACTATTCAAGATTAAAAGACTCAGAAGAGACTAGAGAGACATAACACCCATACACAAGAGGGGGCTTTGTTTGGAACCTGACTTGAATGTATTAACTATTAAAAAAAAAAAACAACTTTTTCAGGTGGGCACAGTTGCACATGCTGTAGTTAACTACTCAGGAGGCTAAGGCAGGAGGATCATTTGCACCCAGGAGTTTGAGACCAGCCTAGGCAACATAGCAAGACCCCATCTCTAAATAATACTACTACTAATAAAATTAAAAAGTATTTTTTCAATCAAACAAAATTCAATATGGTAATAAGGAATTGTTAGTTTTGTTAGGTATGATAATGGTATTGTGGTTATCTAAGTAGATGTCCTTTTTCCTGAGATGCGTTTGGAAGTATCCGGGGTCAAATGGCATGGTATTTGAATTTTTTAAGATACCAGCAAAAAAAAAAGAAAAAAGACAGATGAAACAAAAATGGTAAAATGTGGAATACTGTTAAGGCTAGTGGGTTCTTGGGGGATCACTGTATCACTCTATTTTTCTGGATTCGTACCTGCACCAGGAGCTCCTTTTCCCAAATGCCTCTCCAGAGAAGACATATTCATAGTTCTTTTATTTCCTAGTCATTATTTTCCTTTTAAAAAGATTAAACTGCTATTTCCTTGCCTATGTATGTTTTCATTTTTTAAAAAAGTAGTCCCTTTAATTCCTGTTGCATCACCTACAATAACTCTTAACTGCCCAACTTTGATATCATTAGAGCCCTCTTCACTTTTCCACGTCTTTCCATTCCTTACCATCTATTGTCTATATTTTTACTTTCATATCATTGAGGTTGATTAGCATTACTGTTTTATAACCACGAGCTTTGTAATTTGTCTATAAATTGATTGTGTTTATATTATAACCATGTAAATATTTTTCTATGCATCTCAAATAATGTAATATGAATACATTTCAATTTTAGCTCAGTTTTAGTTTTTCCTGGAGTTTCTAATTGCTTTTATTTTTCCTTGCACTATTTGCCATTAGTATGTCCTTAACTTTCTTCAAACTCTTCATCATATCAGGCATTCTATTGGGTAGCTGTATGTCCAATTAAGATTCTCCCCCTACATCTTAGATATGTTAAACCTGTCAAATGATGGAAGAAATTCTAACTCAGAACATCTATTCTTAAGCATACGTTCCAATTTTTTAAACTGAATTGAGAAGTTGGCCGGTTTGAGAATGGTCCAAACACTTTACTAAACTTATTCTGAGGGGACAAATGATGTTCTTGTAGGAAAGAGAAAAGAAAGTGAAGGAGGAGGTTTTAAAAAGCAGCTTATGTGGATGTAATAAAACTCACTTTATAACTAGAGGGTTTCACCATAAATTTATGAATACCAGTGAATTTATAGTGAGCGCTAAAATAACCATATTTTTTTAGAAAGGAGGTATGCATCCACATGAAACTCTAATTACATTTACATTTAGAATAATTGGGAACACCCCTACCCCCATCTGGCTTCTGAGTCATATCCCTACACTATAACTTTGATATAGGAAAAAAGTATAAAATCTGCAAAAATAATGTGAAAGAAAAAGAAACCTCAAACAATTAGTTTACAAACAATGCCAAGTGCTAAAGAAATATATAATCCTTGAAGCTTGAAAGCCACAGATTACTACTCAGAGGTCTGTCAAAAGCTTTAGCCAAAATATTTCATCAAAAGCAGGCCCAGCTGAACACAGTCAAAAGGGAATTATCATGGCCAACCTGGTCAACATAGCAAAAACAAAAAAAAGTGGGGGGTGGTGAATGACACAGTGATATGGTTTGGCTGTGTCCCCACCCAAATCTCATCTTGAATTGTAGCTCCCATAACTCCCACTTGTCATGGGAGGGACCTGGCGGGAGGTAATTGATTCATGGAGGCGGGTCTTTCCCATGCTGTTCTCATGATAGTTAATAAGTCTCACAAGATCTGATGGTTTTATAAAGGAGAGTTCCCCTGCACCTGCTCTCTCTTGCCTGCCACCATGTAAGATGTGTCTTATTTCCTTCTTCACCTTCAGCCATGATTGTGAAGCCTCCCCAGTCATGTGGAACTGTGATTCAATTAAACCTCTTTCCTTTATAAATTACCCAGTCTCGGGTATGTCTTTATTAGCAGCGTGAGAACAGACTAATACACACGGTGATTAAGAGTTGAGATTCTGGGCTCAAGTCATCAATTGTCAATCACTAAATTGGTGATATCGGGCTGTAAAAATCTTACTACATTGTCCTTTCTGTAAAGAGTTGCCATCTGACTAGGTGTTGTGAGGACTAAATGAGAGACTGCATACGAAACATTCAGCACAATGTTAAGTAAAGGCTAGTCACTGATAATATTATCAGCACTCAAAAGCCATCTTGTGCCTGAATGCTTGACCATTTCTCCTCAGAAGAGTTTCTCTGATGATCCTTGGTATTTACTCAAATAAGCTGAAAAAATAAGTCCACACAAAAACCTGCACAGGGATGTTTATAGCAGCTTTATTCATAATTGCCAAAACTTGGAAGCAACCAACATATCTTTCAGTAAGTGAATGAATATATAAATCGTGGTATATCCAGGCAATGTAATATTACTCAGCGCTGAAAAGAAACGGGCTATAGAGCCATGAAAAGACATGGAGGAAATTTAAATGCACATACTGAGTGAAAGAAGCCAATCAGGAAAGGCTACCTGGTGGAAGATTCTAACATTATCACATTCTGGAAAAAGCAAAACTAGGGAGATAAAAAAAAAAAAATCAGTAGTTGCCAGGGGTTGGGGGGAGGGAAGAATAAATAGGAGGAGCACAGAGATTCTTAGGGCAGTGAAACTATTCTGTACGATACTTCAGTGATCTATAGATACATCCCATTATACATTTGTCCAAATCTGTAAAATGTATGACTTCGAGAATGAACCTTAACGTAAATGATGGTCTCTGGGTGATACTGATGGGTCTAGGTAGGTTCATCAATTGTAACAAATGTACCATCCTGATAGAGGGTGTTACTAGAGAGAGAGGCTGTGCACCCTGATGGGGGATGTTACTAGTGAGAGAGGCTGTGGAGTAGGGGAAGGGACATATGAGAAACCTCTGTACCTTCCTATCAATGTTGTTGCAAACCTAACAATAATAATAATAAAGTTTTTTAACTAAATTAGAAAAAATGTTTCTTTGATAATTCTATTTCTATGCTACCCATCACATAGTTAATATTTGCACATGTGAATGAAGAGCTAGGTGAAGGATCTCACTGCTAAAACACAGCACGACGCAGTGTCTACGAGCACAGACCCTGGAGCTGAAGTGCTTGTGTGCAAATCCTGACTTCGAGCCATATGATGTTAAGCAGATGGTTTAATTTCTTCCTGCCTCAGTTTCTTCATCTATAAGACAGACAAGCCTCCTTATGCAGTAACAAGGATTAAATTGGTTAATACTTGTACAGCATTTAGAATAGCAAGGGGCACAAAAGTAAGAGCTGTATAAATTTTTTAAGTAAATTGTAGTATTGCTCATGATGGTAAAAAATAAATAGTTTGAATTTTTATCACTCAGAGAATGGCTGATTACACTCTGGCACATCCATACTATGGAATAATCCTCAAATGCTGAAAAAAACTAGATTGTAGATTAGTAAGTTTCCTCCATGTCTTTTCATGGCTTCATAACCCACTTATTTTTAGCACTGAGTAATATTCCATTGCCTGGATATACCATGGTTTATTTATTATTTTGCTATTGACATTAACAAAAAATGGGTTAAGAAAGGAGTCAGGTGAAAAAACCAAATTGCAGAATAATAATTACGGGTTTAAGAAAATTCATAAAAATGTATGTTTTAATATACGCCTATATGCCTTCAAATGAATAGGAAACATCCTGGAAAGATACACACCAAACTGCCAAAAGCAATCGCTTGCCTCTGAAGACCAAGTTTCTAGTCCTGTCTCTGTAATAACTACCTGTACAATCTTGGCTAAGTCACCTAACTCAGGAAACACCTAAGGTAGTTTCCTCACCTTAAAGCAGGAGAGGCAGGGATGACTGGATTCAGTAATGCCTCTAATTGATTCCAATCCCCCAAATACCCTGACTTTGATTATGGGATTCTGGTGCTTTCTACAAATAAAAACACTGAATTCTCCAACACTTCATCCTTTATTAGAAGCCCTATGGAACATGGTGTGTTGTTTCAAAAGCACAGCCTATGACAGATGGAAACACATTCCGCGGGTACAGTTCCATCCCCAGATCATGCTCTCAGTAACGAAATCTTTCTTCACCCCTATTCCCCACACATGAATGCTGTGTGCTCCTAGAGAAGATAATTGCCTTATCCATTGATATATGAGCAACAGTTCTTTTATTGCCATTTTTGCTTTTTTCCCCAGATTGTCATCAGAAATGTATTTACACTATCATTCATAAACATATGTAACCCAATTAATCCACCCACAAGCAGGAAGACAAGAAACTGCTGTTTTAAAATCAGGGGCAGGTTGTCATCCTCCACCCAATGACCAGTGAGACAGATATTTCGAGTCACTGGCCCCCATCATGATTCTAGGTTACCACCGGGTTAACTGAAACCTCAGTCCTCAGTCTCTGCCCATCTGCTCTCTCTCAGGGGGTTGATGTAACCTGTAGCCACACTGTCACTCCTTCCCAACCAGCCTGCCTGCCACCCTACGACCCCTTTCTCTCCAGCCCAACCCACCAGTGAGCTCACCACCGTAGGTCCCCAGCACCTACACCAGTGCCTGGCACATAGCCAGCATCAAAAACAAGGATTCAATTGATTCATGCCCACAAAAAACATTTACTAACTAGGCCAATACACGTAATTACCAGACTAATCTTCCTAAAGGAAAGTACTGATTCCTTCTGCGACTCGGCAAAAAATGTATTCTCTAAAACCTGGAGCACCTATGATGTGCCAAACACTGTACTCATTTCTGACAAAATAAAGAATGATACACTGCTAAGCTCACAGGTATCAGTGGGCCTCTATTCCTATCAAAGAGAACAGAATTCATCACTAACTGTGCCACTCAGTGACTGTTACCTTGGGCAAGATACTTAAACTCTCTGAACCTGTTTCCTCACCAATAAGATGGGATTGCCCTCACTGCTAAATGAAGTAATGAACATAATACATTTAGTGTAGTAAGATACCAATAAAGGTTCTTTTTAAAATTAATAATAGTAGTAAGGCTGGGCGCGGTGGCTCACACCTGTAATCCGAGCACTTTGGGATGCCAAGGAGGGCGGACTGCTTGAGCCCAGGAGTTTTCAAGACCAGCCTGGGCAACATGGCAAAATCCTGTCTCTAAACAACTAAAAAATGTTAGCCAGGCTGGGCGTGGTGGCTCACGCCCGTAACCCCAGCACTTTGGGAGGCCAAGGCAGGTGGATCACCTGAGGTCAGGAGTTCGAGACCATCCTGGCCAACATGGTGAAATCCCGTCTCTACTAAAAATACAAAAATTAGCCAGGCGTGGTGGTGGGCACCTGTAATCTCAGCTACTCAGGAGACTGAGGGAGGAGAATCACTTGAACCTGGGAGGCAGAAGTTGCAGTGAGCTGAGATCATGCCATTGCACTCCAGCCTGGGCGACAAGAAGGAGACTCTGTCTCAAAAAAAAAAAAAAAAGAAATTATCCAGGCGTGGTGGCACGCGCTTGTAGTCCCAGCTACTCAGGAGGCTGAGGTGGGAGGACTGCTTAAGCCCAGGAGGTAGAGGTTACATTGAGCTGAAATCGTACCACTGTACTTCAGCCTGGGTGACACAGCAAGACCCTCCCTCAAAACAAAATAATAATAACAATAGCAAGAACAAACTTCAAATGTCTTAGTCAATCAAAGACTTCAAAATCTGGTACCAATAAACCACTTAAGCCTCAACCTCACACACCCTGTCTATCTGTCAAAAAAATCATAGCTGGAGTCTGCCCATCTGTGTCTTTGGTCCTGTAATTCACTGTAGAAAAATGTCCCACCCCTCTATCCCAACCCTCACTCCATTCATGTTTAATGCCCGCCCATCCTTTGTTGCCCGGCTTAATATGCCTTCTCCGTAAGTTTTTCTACTCATGACATCACCTCCCACCACAATAAACTTCATCTGTGGTCCCATGGCACTTTAAAACAGCACCTCATCTATTCTTTATAGTGCACTCATTCAACATGCTTTTGTGATGAAAGACACATCTGTTTTCTGACAGATGTTTCACTTTGTGTTGGGGATGCTGGGGTCAACGAGAAAGTCCCTACCCACAATCTAGCAGCGGAGTTAGGCATAAAATAAATCATTACTGTCACATTGTGAAATATATATTTGGTCTTTGACCCTGTTTCCTGGCATACAACCCCTAAAATCCTCAGAAATGCCAAAGTGATGTCTTTTGCATGCTAATGAGTTGACTGGTAGCTGGCAGCCCCCAGGCAGCTTCTAGATGGAGCTGGTCACCAGAAAAAAACAAGGCAGGATTAGAGGGTCCAGCTTTCAGCCCAGAAAGAGGAGAGGGAAGAGAGGCTGAAGGTTAAGTTGATCACCAATGGCCAATGATTTAATCAATCATGCTTACATAATGAAGCTTCCATAAAAACCCAAAAGGACCAGCTTCAGATAACTGAACATGTGGAGGCAGACAAGATGGTGAACAAGAACTCATCCACCCACTGGGAGGATAGTGGGCCCCAACTCCATAGGAACAGAAGCTCCTACACTCAAGACCCTTCCAGACCTCACCCTGTGTATCTCCTCCTCTGGTTATCTGTATCCTTTGTAATATCCTTTATAATAAATGGGTAAACATGCTTCCCTGAGTTGTGTGAGCCACTCTAGCAAATTAATCCAACCCAAAGAGGTGGTCATAGGAATCCAAACTTAAAGCCAGTCAGTCAGACGTTCCAGAGGCCCAGACTGGTGTGTCAGGTGGGAGGTGGGGCATTCTTGGGGGCTGAGCCTCCAATCTGTGGGATCTAATACTATCACCAGTTAAACATTAAAATAGAAGATACCCAGCTGTTGTCTGCTGCAGAATTGATTGCTTGCTTGGTGATGGGGAGAATTTCCCCCACCCCGTTTGTCACAGAAATCTGTGTTGACTGCTGTTGAGTGAGAGACTAGAAAAAGCACTTTGAGTTTGTTTTTTTCCACAATCAGAATTATCCAAATAATTTCTGCATTAGAACTGTGATAAGCATCCTAAACAAAACAGATAAAAATACAAATGGGATTACTTCTGCTATCCTGAGACCTAGATTAAAGACAAGCCTGTTTCACATGGAACCTCCAGAGCATATGTAATAAATGTTCGTTAGAGTCAATCAAATTATCTTTTCTATTAAAAGTTAACTCATTTGAGAGTAGGGACCTTGCCTCAGACAGCAGAGATGTAGTCAAAAAATAAGATACGACTGGTTGCAGCTATTGCTTGTTGACTTACCAGCTATATAACTTAAGCCGACTTCTCTGATTTCAGATTCTTCATGTGAATAAGAGAATAAGCCTTTAGAAACTGTTAAAAGTACTATATACATGGAGTATTATCTGTATCTAGCCCACTACAATTAACACATGCTGTAAATATAGTGAGGGTTTGGCAGATGTTTGCTGAATGAACATTAAGTCCCTGGCCAAGGCCAGGGGTGAGCTCTGTTGTGACCTTGATTCATGAGCAAGAACCAACGTCAGCCCTGAAACAGCTACTCAACCCTTTATAATTAAAACATGGAATAATCTCTCTAGATAAGAAGCATGGACACTTCTTGGCAACGCTGAGAGATTAGAAAGATCTGTTCTCATAAAAAACCCTGTATGCTGAAGCTATCAGAAGACAGTATTTTCATAAGGACACATTTCTGAATCGCTTCATGATTTCACATCTCAATCTCAGCACCAAAAGTGAGGGCCAGTAGAATAACTCATCCCATAAATACGGTGATACTGCTATGATTCTAACACCATCTCTTCATTCCCATTATTTTTGCCTTCTAGACTCCAGATGGTCTTTTTTGTTGTTGTTACAAGCAGACCAAGACAAGAATAAGAGCAACAAAACACATGTTGCAGAAAAGGCACTTCCCTGAAGCCCTGCCTTGGCCTCCAAACCTCCACTATGAGATGCCGCAGCTGGTATCTTCTCTTCCAAGTTGCTGTCCCCTCAAATACATACACATGAGCACTTCAGCTACATCTGCTCTGTGGGGAGGGGAAGATAGCTCTATGTGAGATGTAAACACAAAGGCAGGCAGCACTATTCTATTCTCAGTCCTCTTCCTCTTCACCAACCATTTTTGTTCCTAGTGGAGTCATCTCAATCTTCAACAAGTTAGTGTTTCTTTTCTTTCTTTTTTTTTTTTTAAAGACAGGGTCTGCCTCTGTCACCCAAGCTGGAGTACAGTAGCATGATCATAGCTCACTGCAGCCTCTACTTCCTGGGCTTGGGCTTGAATGAGCCTCCTGCCTTAGCCTCCCTAGTAGCTGGGACTACATGTGTGTACCACTATGCCTCGCTAACTTTTTAATTTTTTGTAGAGACAGGATCTCACTATGTTGCCCAGGCTGGTTTCAAACCCCTAGTTTCAAGCAGTCCTCCTACCTCTCAGTGTTTCTTCTTTTTTTTACTTCTTTCAGCCCATGCTGGAAAAGTCTGCCATTTGTCCCATGAACGAAATCTAACTTGGAGATAACTGGCCTAATTATGCTCTCAGGGAATTTCTATTTTTCATGTAACAGTTTAGGGATATTTATTATGTCCCAGGCATGAGGATAACAATAGTCTGCAATCATTTATTATGGACCAGGCACTACATGATTTTCATGAAGCACGCAATAAAATCACTGTCACGACCCCGTTAGGTAGATGGCAGCGCGTCTGTGGGTTGGACGGTCACCAAGCGCTCTGGCAGCGGACTGGTCAATGCCCATTTGCTGTCACCTGTGCCTACAGTGTTTCTGCTGTGAGATGGGGAAGCTTGCTGTGGCCCTTGAGTCTAAACAGCACATGTGCTGGAAATCCCCAACATGGCCCTGCTCAGAGAGATCTGGGGTCTCAGAGAACTTTTAATAGCCAGAAATTAACCCCACCGAGAATAGCTTTCTGGCATGCGCCAAGCTGTTAGCAGACAACTTGCTAATAATGACAGGGGAATGTTAAAACTATAGAGAAAGAGACTGAAAGCACAGGAAATCCTGCAGACATTGATTTCATTAGCCAAAACAGTCCTCTAAAGAAAACAGAGGCATTGAAGGGTTGTCTCAAGAAGAAAATCTTGTTTTGTTTTTTGGCGGCAGGGAAGAACAAACCACCCTTGGCTTTTCAGTTAGTAGACATATCCACGTCCTTTTCTTTCCTCCCTTTTCTGCCCTCGAAAGGTTCCGACTATGTGGGGGCATTTCCTGAGTCAGAATCACCTCCATGGGAGAATATGCAGAGAAATGGCCCAAGAGAAAGAGACAGTTAATTCTGACAATTTCTTACTTCTCAGCACTCCAAGTTATAGGTCTAGGAGGAAAAAAGGGCCAGAGGCTACTGATGAAAACCCAAGATGAAGAACCCAAGACTTTGGTTCCATTCCCCAGAAGAGGACGGCAGCCCCACTTTTCAGATGGAAGACAGCACCTAAGGCACTTGGGAAAAAATTCATCTGGTCAGAGATACCAAAATGTTCCAGGTTTCAAAAAGAAGAGAAAAGAAAGAAAAGGGGAAAGGAGGAAGGGAGGAAGGAAGGGAGGAAGGGAAAAAGGAAGAGAGGGAGGGAGGGAGGGGTCCTCCAAATTCAAGGGCTGATGTTTGTGAGAAATGAACAAAGCACTTTAATGCTTCATTTACAATGAGGCTGTCAGGATTTTAGAAGCTTAGAAGTTCTTTCCTACTTTTTATTTTTTGCCACAGAAAAATAACTTCAGGCCCCTCTGCTTAAACCGCCCTGGTTAAGTCTCTAAATTATGTGCAATGTCAATTTTAAACATTCTGTGACAAAATGCAAACAATGATTACTAAATACCCCTGTCAGTGCATTTGTCTATTTTTAAAAAGAAAAGCATCATATTTATTTAAACTATGTATTATAAGGCAAATTGGTATTTAGAAGTTTCTTTGTAAACATTTACACACTACAATTTTCATGTTAACTAATAATTCATAAAAATTAACAAATGGAGAGGGCTTAAGTTCTTTCCTGCTAACTTGACAACCAAGAGTGGCCTGGTGTTGTTTGCACTCTGTGACCAAGAAGAAAAACAAGTCCCCCCCTCCCGAAAAGTGACTCCTTGGTAACATGGGAACACACATCGGCCTTCCATTTCAAGAAGTCAGTTTTTACTGAGAAGGGAGAATAACCCAGATCTTCTTAATGGGGTTCCCAGACTAGGTGAGAATTGGAACAAGTGTCTAATGCAAACACTTACTGGAAACTTGTTTCTCTGACTTACAGAGAATGTGGGTTTCTAAGAAGTTACTTTAGATTAAAAGGTCATTAGTTATTTCAGATTAAAATTGGAGGGCTAGTGGCTTTTCAATTTAGTTACTAGCCCTCAAATTTAGCCCCCAAATGAAACTCCTGACTTGACTGAGACATCCCCCCAAATAAAATGCCTTTCATGTCACCTTGAACGAACTGAAGTGACCAATGAAAAGGGTCACTGGCACAACTCCAATAAACAGGACAAAGAGTTCATTCATCACTACCTGTACATTTCATAAGGAGGCATACGGGCTTCGGGAAAAGGTGCTGAAATTTGTTTTCTGCATGACAGAAATTAAACAGTTGCTAAATAGACCAAATTAAAGTCACATGCCATTAGAGCAATAAGAAATAAAGGAATGAGTATTTACTAAAAAGACAAGAATGTCCTAGTTTCACACACACGCACACCCCTTTTCACTTTACGAGTTCTTGAATGATGTTGCTAGAAAATATTGTGGAAAAGGAAATCCAAATGTATAACCAACCCAAACTTGATGTTTGAATGCAGTACAAAGGTGAAAAACTGAAGATGAATGCTGACTGAGACATAGTACACAATCAATTAACCAAATCCAATTCCACCGGTTTTAACTCAATTGCAATTTAATCTTGGCTGTGTCTTTCCACTTACAGTCAGATAAAGTCTTATTAACTTTATCCAGTACTAAAAACAAACCTGGGCTGAGCTGGGGAAAGACTCCCTCACCCTACATAGCTCTGACAAAGTGCTGACAAATAAGAGAGGGTCTGATTATTAAATTCAACATGAGAAATAAGAAGTAGAATGGCTTACTCACAGGCCGGTACTTAGACTGAGCCAATCCTGTAGCTATGCTTCGTAAGTGGATGCAGAAGTAACTTGAATTTAACAGAGTGAAAAAAAAATAATCTGAATGATACTCAAAGGCCTCCGCACAAAGAAACAGGCTGGTGTCCTGTTTGATATTCCACCTATCACCCACTAAGTCCTGAGGAGGGAAGGGCAAGGGTGGTTTTGATGTATTTGAGGTTGAACTCCTCGGACTGGGTAAATACTTAAATTCCCAGTGTAACTGCATATGAAGGGGGTTGGGAATCAACCTTTTTATGTGCCTACGAGACTCCTAACAGATCACCTTTCTTGATGTGGATATTATGCTACAGTTTAAGTAACTAAGTTCCAAAGGTATTAGCGTGTAATAAATGGTAAAGCCAGTACTTGAACCCAAGTTACATTACAGAGTCTTTCATATTGTCACCGTGCCACCCTACCGCCCTATGTGCTAAAGTCCTTTGAAGCCATAGAGGCCTGGATACAATTAAGGGGGACAAATCCATGTCATCTAGAGGGAAATGGAAGTAGGAGGCCCAGGAGCAGTAACACAAGACACATGTGAAGAACGGTCTTTTCATTGCTTATATTACAGCTTTCCATGAATGGTAAGTTTAGAAGAAAGTTTTAATTCCTTTGCTAAGTGGCTTTAATAAATACATATGTTATTTATTCATATGAGTAAATGTAAGTGATAAATCTATGTGCTTCTTAAAACTAAGATGTAAGAATAAAAATAAAATGTCAGGCCGAATCTTTCCTAAAAGAGAAATTAAAGTTTATCAGGGACGTGAGGGAATCTGAGACAGTGAAGAGACTGTAACTACAACCGTACTATAAATCATGCCTAGCACAGGCCTTGAATGGAGTAGACACTCAATAAAAGTTTTGCTGTGTTTCACTTTCTAGTCCAACGTGTTCATGCCACAGATGAAGCAGCAAAGGCCCAGACAGGTCAAGAGCGTTATTGGAGGTCACACTGCTAGTCAGGGACAAACCAAAGACTGGGACTCAAGTCCTCCAGCTCCTAAACCAGTGTTGTTTTCCAAACACTCAAAGTTAAGCCTTCAGTGGCCCCTCTCTTCCCCTGGTCCTATCTTATGAGCCCACACTTCTTCACACAGCACTTCCTTCAGGGTGGTATGTCAAGATTTCATCAGAATGCAGCACAAGATGATTCAAAGGGATTAAAAAAAAAAAAAAAAAAGGTCAGAGTTGGCCCAGCGCTTGGTTTATGTCACTGAATTTGAATCATCACCCTACACCTCTGCCATTAAATTATTTGTCTATCCTTAAGACAGATTCACAACCTGTTTAAGTAGATGACGTTTTAAGAGGAAACAACACAAAGGACACTACTGCTTGCGGACTTCTGTGGCTGAAGGCAGAGCATGCATTTGCTACTGACTGGTCAGAGGAACACCAGCTAGAGTGAACGGTGCACGAGCTCTGTCTGAGGCAAGAACTCCTGGAAAGGAGGAAAGATTCAGGAACTCTTAGCTCCAAGTCTTGGCTCTACCTCTGGCTAGAATTCTTAGTTTGGGCAAGTTTCATAACCTCAGAGGTCATCCTCTTTTGGCTGGAAAATGGGTATAATCCACCAACTTCACAAAGTTGTGATGAGGAAAAAATGACATAGAAGCAGATGACAGGTTCGAGTGCTCACACCCTCTAATGCACCAGCAATCCTAAGGTCCTGCCGTGGTGCCTGGAGAAGACACTTTCTGCTCCCCAACTCTATCCTCTCAAAGAAAAGAATTCCTTCTTCCAACTCAAGAAGAACTCAAGAAGAGGGGGAAAAATTTACATCATTATCATGATAATCATGTACACTGACTGCACGCTTAAAATGTACCTGACGTTGTCTCAAGAGCATTGCATATCTCCTTTAATCCCCCGAACCTCTAAAGTTGTTCTTGTTGTGACCGTTTTACTCAAGAGCAAATTAAGACATAGAAAAATTAAATATTTCGCTCAAGATCACATGTCACGCCTGTAATCCCAGCACTTTGGGAGGCTGAGGCAGGAGGATCGCTTGAGCTCAGGAGTTCAAAACCACCCTTGGTAACATAGTGAGATCCCGTCTCTACAAAAAATTAAAAATTAGCCAAGCATGGGGGTCCTAGCCTATAGTCCTGACTACTCAGGAGGCTGAGGCGGGAGAATCACTTGAGCCCAGGAGGCTGAGGCTACAGTAAGCCTGGATCACGCCACTGCACTCTAGCCTGGGTGACAGAGCAAGACTCTGTCTTTAAAAAAAAAAAAAAAAAAAAAAAGTTTGCATACTAGCCGTGATATGAACACAAAAAAAGATGCTTCCAAAGCCTTTTTTTTTTTTTTTTTTTGAGACCGGGTCCCGTTCTGTTGCCCAGGCTGCAGTGCAGTGGCACAGTCATGGCTCACTTCAGCTTCAGTCTCCTAGGGTCCAGAGATCCTTACACCTCAGCCTCCTCAGTAGCTGGGACCACAGGCATGTGCCACCAAGCCCAACAAATTATTCTATTTTCTGTAGAGACGGAGTCTCACCTTGTTGCCCAGACTGGTCTCAAACTCCTGGGCTCAAGTGATCCTCACATCTTGGCCTCCCAAAGTGCTGGAATTACAGGCAGGAGCCACTGTACCCAGTCCAAATTCTTTAATATACCATAAGCAGCCTCCATATACAAGTATAGAAATAAGAACAGGAAAGTTTCCACACTGCTTTCTGGGAAAAACTACTTCCTCCTTTAGGATGAAAAGGAAAATAAATATTAAAGTTTAAACAGATCAACTGATTCATTTTGGGTTTTTCTCTCATCTGTTCGAGGGTGAAAATTATTAACCAAATTGTTCTTGATTCTACCAGGGAGCTTTTGATTCATGAGAAGCTCCAGGCTGAGCACAGTGGCTCACACCTGTAATCCCAGCACTTTGGGAGGCTGAGGCGGAAGGATTGCTAGAGCCCAGGAGTTCGAGACCAGCTTGGGCAACATAGGGAGACTCCATCTATACAAAAAAATAAACAAAATTAGCCAGGCATGGTGGCACACACCTATAGTCCCAGCTACTTGGGGGCTGAAGTGGAAGGATTGCTTAAGCCTAAGAGGTCAAGGCTGTAGGCTGTGAGTGCACCACCACACGCACTCCAGTCTGGGCAACAGAGTAAGACCCTGTCTAAAAAATAAAAAGTTGTTGTTGCAATGAAAGCAAAGCTATGGGCAAGCTAAGAGAATGACCCTCTGCCAACGCCATCACTTAAAAGGGATGACAGATAAAGAGAAAATCTCAGACTATGCATTTCCCTTTACGAAGTTAGCAATGTCAGTCCAAAACGACTGAGAGGATCCCTCCCAAACTTGGTCATGTGTATAAAATGCTTTTTTCTTTACCTAGCCCCACTTAGCTAGCCAAACTAAGGCATCACTAACAAAAAGCAGAAACTATTAGCTTAGGTACTTCTCAGATGCAAGCCAATAAAACAAATGAAGTGCCTATTACTCATTAAAGCCTCTGCTGTCACTAACACTCATACTATTTATGGTGAATACTGGCATCAGGTGAATACGTATGGTTGCTTGCATCCATTTGAGATGGCTAGAGTAAGAGCTACTTGCTCCTGTGGATAGTTACATTACCTGTACTGTCGACAAAAGCTGGTATTCTTCAATCACCAAGACACTAAAAACTAGATGGAAGGAGAATCACTTGGATTCCTCAATGTGCAACCAATAAACCACAGTATAGAAAGCTTGTTGTCTCCCAAACAATTTCCACCACATGGTGACCTGGCTGCTTCTTAACATAAAGGCTGAAAAGACAAAACCTCACTTCCAGTCAAACTCTCTGCAGCTAGGAATAAGCATTAAACCCAATTTTGACTAATGAAATAAAAGTAGACTGCTAGGAGCATGAAGATAAGTTTTTGTTGTCTTAAAAAAAAAGGAACAGGAATGAAAGGAGAGCTCACTGTGTTGTCCCTTATTCCTTATCATGAAAGCAAACAGGATGCCTGGAACCACTGCAGCTATTTTGTAACCATGAAGTGACAAGAACATGGTGGGGATGGGGGCACCCATACACTAAGGATGTGGAGCAAAAAGACACGATTTTGAGACTTTCACTACATAAGATATTGCCTATCTCTGGATTTCTAAGGAAACAACAAATGCCCTTATGTTTTAAGCCACTATTAGGTGGATTTTCTCTCTTACTTGCAGTCAAAATCATTCCTAACAGACTTAAATACGGCCAGGCATGGTGGCTCACACCTGTAATCCCAGCACTTTGGGAGGCCGAGGTGGGCAGATCACTTGAGATCAGGAGTTCAAGACCAGCCTGGCCAACAGGGTGAAACCCCATCTCTACTAAAAATACAAAAATTAGCCAGGCGTGGTGGCACGTGCCTATAGCCCCAGCTACTCAGGAGGCTGAGGCAAGAGGATCACTTGAACAAATATCATTCTTTATCCCTTGATTACCATCACAGTGGATACCTGGACTGTATATTTATTACCTGTTTTGTTTTTGTTTTTGTTTTGTTTTGTTTTGATTTGTTTTTGGAACTGAGTCTAGCCTAAATGGTTTTCTTGGGAGCTTCCATGTTAACACAGGTAATCCAAGTCCCCAGCCTAAGCAGATTGACCCAGAGGAGGAAATCTGACCCAAACTCAACCACAAAGTTCCTTATCTAGAATTGCTTTTTTCTTTTTTTTCTCTTTTTTTTTTTTGAGACAGGCTCTTGCTCTGTCGCCCAGGCTGCAGTGCAGTGACACAATCACAGCTCACTGCAGCCTTGGGGTCAAGCAATCCTCCCACCTAAGCCTGTCGAGTAGCTGAAACTATAGGTGTGAGCCACCACACCCAGGCACTTGTTTAAATATTCAAACACGGATCAGTCTTTCTCCAATGATTATAACTGTAAAATTATACATTTTAAGAGCTATGGGTAGCAATGTTTTCAATCACACAGAAAATGACAGTGAGACAAAAAAAGGAGCAGGAAGCAAGTATGCATTTCTTACAGTATCAATTAATACACAGAAAAAGCTGGATGAAATATTAGAAAACATTTTGAAATGTACTGAAGCAGTTATATAGAAGGGAATCCAGAGAAGCCCGCAATGAAGTGGAAACAAGACCCCTGGAAGGTATGTCCTTTCTAAAGCGAGAACTCTGAGAATATCTGGAGAACCTAATAACCTTCCATTATGATACTAGTGCCAGGTAGAGGGGATAAAGCTCTGCACCTACTCAAGATCAAAAGTTTTCTAAGAGACCATTGCATAAAGCTCAGACCCACCCCCCCGCCACACACAAGAAGCTACAGCTTCAATGCAATGGTGAACAACAAACCAACCAACCCTAAAAATAGGAAGGCAAGGTAACTTGTTTGTGAACTACGAGGAGAGTTTTCTCTCTTATACCTAGAGCCAAAGTCAAGATAAATAAGTTACCCTCATACTCGTTTGTCACCCTAATTAACATATATAGGAAATTCCCAAAATTTAAGCAAAAAATACCTAAAACAAAATTTTAAAATTTTCAGGCAAAGAATTTGATTTAAATAGTCTTGAGTTGGCAGCATCTCTGGCAACTGGCAAAAGGAAACAATTTTCTGGGGAGAAACATGACTTTAACCCAGGCCTCAAACAATTCCCACAGATGAAATGCCAAAAAAACACAAGCTGATAGTCAAAATCACAAAACACACAGGGAAATAAGATACCATTTTCAGAAACAGCCAATGTAGAAAATAGAATAAGATCTGTAGAGATAGCACCTACTGTAATTTTTAGAGATAGAATATATTTAAAGTGTGCTTTTTTGGTAACAGGAAGTAAAGTAGAAGCTTGAAAATATGGAGGAATGAGAATGACCAAACGTTTCAGAAGTCCCAAATAGAACATTTAGAAATGGAAAAATATAATTCAAATTAAACTCTCAATGAATACAGAGCAGATTATAATAGAACAGAAATAGTAAACAAAGATGAGAAGAAATTACCTAGAGTCCAGCCTATGGAGCAAAGATGAAAAAGATGGCGAGATTAAAAAATAGCCTAAAGCGGCTGGGCGCAGTGGCTCATGCCTATAATCCTTGCGCTTTGGGAGGCCAAGGTGGGTGTATCATCAGGTCAAGAGATTGAGACTATCCTGGCCAACATGGTGAAATCCCATTTCTACTAAAAATACAAAAATTAGCTGGGCATGGTGGCACGTGCTGGTAGTCCCAGCTACTCGGGAGGCTGAGGCAGGAGAACGGCTTGAACCTGGGAGGCGGAGGTTGCAGTGAGCCGAGATCACGCCACTGCACTCCAGCCTGGCAACAGAGTGAGACTCCATCTCAAAAAAAAAAAAGTGGTATTTGAATAGATAACAGCTCGGAATTCTCCATAATTGCTAACAAAAAACAACCTCAAATCTAGGAACTTAACAAATATCATGCAGGATAAATAAAAAGAAACTGACACCTATATTCATACTAGTAAAATTACAGAAAATCAAAGACAGAGATTCCTCTAAAGTAACCAGAGGGGAAAAAAAAATACTGAGCAAGGTTGCTTTTAACAACAATGAAAGGCAAAAAAATAATGATGCTGACAGAAAGTACCCATCAATCTACAATTCTAAACCAAGCAAAACTGTCACCTAAAAATAAAAGTAAAATTTTCAGAGAATTAAAAGTGAATATTTTCAAACAAAATAGAATTTACCACTAACAGATTCTCCAAATTCTAAGAATGTGCTTGAGGCAGAAAAAAAATTATCCAAGATAGGTATAGTAAATACTAATACGTAAGTTAATTTTTTTAATGACAATATAAAACAAAATCATATCTAATATGCAAGTTTTAATATAAAACAAAGCACTAACATCATGAACAGGAGCATAGACTGAGAGAGGATGACAGGAGTTTAAATATTCTATAATGTCCTAGTATTGTAGGAGAGAATAATGATAGTTATAAACTTTAGGGTTAATTAAATATGCACGTTAAAATATCTGAGGTAACTTCTATTAAAAAAAAACACATATAAAGTATATCCTCCAAATCAGTAGAGGGGGAAATAACAGAATGGAGAACAACAATGAAAAAAACCTTCAATGAAGCACAGCTAGGCGTGGTGTCTCACATCTGTAATCCCAGTACTTTGGGAGCCTGAGGCAGGTGGATAGTTTGAGCCCAGGAGTTCAAGACCAGACTGGGCAATATGTTGAAACCCTGTCTCTACTAAAAATACAAAAATTAGCCAGGCATGGTGGCATGCCTGTAATCCCAGCTACTCAGGGGGAGAACCACTTGAACCCAGGAGGCAGAGATTACAGCAAGCCGAGATCAAGCCACTGTACTCCAGCCTGTGTGACAGAGTGAGACCCTGTCTCAAACACACACACGTGCACACACACATACACACACACACAAAAGCCTTCGATGAAACTTAAAGGAGGGGGAAAAAAAGATTTAAAAAACCCCACAAATTAAAATCATAAATATAAATACATTACAACAAATGTAAATGGACTAAACATTCCAATTAATAGATAATAGACAAAGATGGTCAGAGAGAGTAGTTCTCTAGTTATGTACAGTTTATGAGAGACAGCTCTAAAATATAATGACAGAGAATTTAAAAGTAAATAAAATGTATATTTAAACAAATACTAACTAAAACAATTCTGGTGTAGGTATATTAATATCAGACAAAACAGACTATAAGACGTCAAACACCATTAGAAAGAAAAATGTTTCTTACATAATGATAAATATTTAGTTCACCAGAAAGTAATAATAATTGTATAAATCTAAGCATTTACTAATATAACCTCATTATACATAAAGAAAAAACTGAGGGTAAGGCAAAAGAAAAAACCTTTTTAAAAAACTTAAAAACTACAAGGCAAAATTGCACACCTACTGTCACAGTGAGAATTTTTTTAACCCTTTTAACTAATTTACTTATAGTAAAATTCACTGTAAGTAATTTTCCTTTTTTTTTTTTTTTTGCATCTTAGTCTGCTTTCCATTGCTTATAACAGAATACCTGAAACTGGGTAATTTGTAAGGAAAAGAAATTTATTTCTTAAGTTATAGAAGGTAAGAAGATCCAAGTCAGAGGCCACATCTGGTGACAGCCCTCTTGCTGGTAAGGACTCTCTAAAGAGTCCCTCGGCAGCACAGGGTATCCCATGGCGATGGGGCTGAGCATGCTAATGTACTAACTTGGGTCCCTCTTCCTCTTCTTATAAAGCCATCAGTTCTCTTTCCATGATAACTCATTAATCCATTAACCCATTAAATCCATTAGTCCATGAATGAATCACCTCTTAAAGGCCCCACTTCTCAACACTGCCACATTGAAGACCAAGTTCCAACCTCAGTTTTGGGAGGGGACATTCAAGCCATAGCACCGTATACAGTTCTATGAGTTTTAACATATACACAAATTCATGCAACCACCACCATAATCAGGAACAATTCCATAAGCCCAAAATATTAATAGAAAATTTTAACAAATGTCTCTCAACACTGGATAGATCAAGGAGATAAAAAAACCAACAAACTCATATATAGCACATTGCACCTAAGATTGGAAATATATATATATTCTTTCAAGCACAGTAGAACATGCATAAAATTTGATAACTTGCTAGGCCACAAAGCAAGCCTCTCAAGTTGTAAAGGACTGATAAAACAAAGATATTATCTGACCAACACACAACTAAGTTGTAAAACATTTTTTCAAAAAAGAGAACTAGAAACATCCCTTAAAATCAGAACTATAAAAATACTTCTAAATAACTCGTAGGTATAAAAAATAACAGACATAAGAAAATAATTAGAACTCAATAAGAAAAATACTGCATGTCAAAATGTGTAGGAAGAAACTAAGGCAATTTTTTGAAGTCAATGTTTATAATTATTTCATATGCATACATATAAATTTTTTAAAATCTTAAGTTCTGGAATACATGTGCAGGATGTGCATGTGTTTGTTACATAGGTAAATATGTGTCATGGTGGTTTGCTACTCCTATCAACCTATCACCTAGGTATTAAGCCCCGCATGCATTAGCTGTTTATTCTGATGCTCTTCCTCCCCTCACCCATCCCCTAAAAGGCCCCAGTGTGTGTTGCTCCCCTCTCTGTGTCCACGCATTCTCATTGTTCAGCTCCCACTTATAAGTGAGAACATGCAATGTTTGGTTTTCTGTTCTTGAATTAGTTTGCTCCATCCATGTCCCTGCAAAGGACATGATCTTGTTCCTTTTTATAGCTGCATAGTATTCCATGGTGTATATATACCAAATTTTCTTTATCCAGTCTATCACTGATGGGCATCTGGGTTGATTCCACGCCTTTGCTATTGTGAATAGTGCTGCAATGAACATACATGTGCATGTATCTTTAGAACAGAATGATTTATATTCCCTTGGGTTTAAACCCAGGAATGGGATTGCTGGGTCGAATGGTATTTCTGATTCTAGGTCTTTGAGGAATCGCCACACTGTCTTCCATGATGATTGAACTAATTTACATTCCCACCAACAGTGTAAAAACATTCCTATTTCTCTACAACCTCACCAGCATCTGTTGTTCCTGACTTTTTAATAATTACCATTCTGACTGGCGTGAGATGGTATCTCACTGTGGTTTTGATTTGCATTTCTCTAATGATCAGTGATGTCGAGCTTTTTTCATATGTTTCTTGGCCACATAAATGTCTTCTTTTGAGAAGTGTCTGTTCATGTCCTTTGCTTGCTTTTTAATAGGGTTGTTTGGTTTTTTTCTTGTAAATTTGTTTAAGTTTAAGGCAATATTTTAAGGGAATTTATAGATTAAGATGCTTAACATTACAATTTGAGAAGTCAGATTTGTAAATTGATTATCTAATTTAAAAGAATAAAGGAAGAACAAAATAAATCTAAAGAAAGAGAATGAAGAAAATAAAAACAAAGGCAAACATTAATGAACTTCAAAACCAACCTATCGTAGAAAGAATTAATAAAGCCAAAATTTGTTTCTTTAAAGAGTAATAAGACAGAAAAAACATGGGTCAGTGCTTATTCAAGAAAAAAAAGAACGCACAAATAAACAATATTAGGACAATTACTACTGTATTCTTACCAATGCTATAACAAATAATCAAAAACGTAGTGGCTTAAAGCAACACAAATCTACTCTCTCAAAGTCATGGAGGTAAGAAGTCTAAAATCAAGGTATCAGCAGGGCTGCATTCCTCTGGAGACTTCAAGAGAGAATCAATTTTCTTGACTTTTGCAGCTTCCTGCATTCCTTGGCTCATGGCTACATCACTCCAACCTATTGTTTCTATCCTCCCATCTCCTATTAACTCGAATCCTCCTGCTTCTAGCCTACAAGGACCCTTGTGATCAGGCACACCTGGAAATCCAGGATACTCTCCCCATCTCAAGAGCCTTAATTAATCACATCTGTGAAATCCCTATACCATATGAGGTAACATATTCACAGGTAACATATACTAGGATGAAGACATTCAGGGGCCATTCTTCAGCCTACCACAAGGACAAAACCAGTCAATCTAGGAACAAAATAATACAAGGAGACTATAGATTTGAAAACTTAGATGACATGGGTAAATTTCTAGAAGAACAGAGCTTACAATATTTACCCAGGAAGAAACAGCCCTTTAAAGACATAAGGAATGTGAATCAGTAGTTAATTTTGACATAAAGAAAACAGATGGCTGGGATGACTTTACTCACGTGTTCTACCAAACTGTCAAGGAACAGATAATTCCAATATTACACAAACTCCCCTAGAGAATAAAAAAAGGAAACACTCCACAACTCATTTTCAGTGTGGTATAACCTTGATATCAAAACCCGAAGAGGACAGGACAAGAAACCAAGGTGAAAGATGCACAGAAAGAAGACACAAGATATGGACGTAGGCTGCTGACAGTACTCAAATGCCTGAATCTGTGTTTTCCTGAGCCCCTGCTGCACTCCTGTCCTTCATGCAATTCAGCTGTTCGTCTGGGATTGACCCCAAAAAATCCCCCTTTTGTTTAGGTTAGTTTAAGCTATCATCCAAAATCAAGAGTCTAGTTCACCATTCCAACAACCAACCTGACACATCTAACCTCTTCAATGGTATTTGCTAAATATCAACTCAATTATCCATATTCATGGAAGGGCCTGTGGATATTTGGGTAATGAAAGCCAGGTCAACTAGAAGTAATTTAAAATGCATGCTGTCACTTTTCCAGCAAGCTCTCTTACTGCATTTTTCGTAAGCTATTATTAACATGAATTCAAATTATTTGGGCACAGTGATCTGATGGCATAGATAAAAACAATGAACATCAGGGGACTAAAAGCTCATCTGGGATTCAACATTCTCCAAGAATAATCCACAAAGTAGTTCTCACTCATCTCTCTTCATAAAATTGCAAATTCCTTAAGGGCAGGGAGCATTTCTATTCATTCAGGTAGGTGACCTTGTAAATAGTCAAGAAGCTTGCACAATCCAATGACCTTTGAGGCTGTGTTTCTAAGAGTCTTGCCAAGGACATATTTTCCATTGCAATAGTTGAGATGCCACTACAGAAACATGCAAAATGGTAAAAACGTCAAACAAAAACATTTGTATTCCCTTAAATATACCTCACCCTTCCAATTCTATTAGATAGTTATCTTAAAGTCCAATTAAAAAGCTGAAATCATAAAACTGAAATTAAGAAAATGTATCAATATGTAATTGACAAAGAGATACAACAATAGAAGTTCAAGAAAACCCAGAGCAATGTTTCCAATCAGTGATAAACCTGGCAAACGACTGAACTCCAGTTGCACCTCTGCAGCCTCCAGGGCAGGTGATAATAAAATCAGAGAAGAGTGTCAATGAAGGACCAGAAACCTCTTTGTCCTGAAATTACAAAATCTGGAAGCCACTTCATTCCAGAAATGGTACCACAGCTTTCTAAGTTCACACAATATTGATGACATTTCCAGCCACTATCAGAAACATGAGCTACTGCTGGGGCTCTTGATAAGTAGATGAAAAGAGATGTCAAATTTTACATAATCTTCATACAGATTATTGCTTATGGCCTGTGGAGTTGGGGGAGGCAGATATAGCTGTACTCAGAACTAGGAGACGTTGGCCCCACTTAATCACACATTAGGCATTCAAAGGAACAAGAGTCTAGAAATTAGTTGCTTTAAAATGCCCAGATTTTGGAGAGAAAATAACTTTCCTGGCTGGGCGAGGTGACTCACACCTCTAATCCCAGCACTTTGGGAGGCCGAGGCGGGTGGATCACAAGGTCAGGAGATTGAGACCATCCTGGCTAACACAGTGAAACCCCGTCTCTACTAAATATACAAAAAAAAATTAGCCGGGCGTGGTGGCAGGCACCTGTAGTCCCAGCTACTCGGGAGGCTGAGGCAGGAGAATGGTGTGAACCCAGGAGGCGGAGCTTGGAGTGAGCCGAGATTGCGCCACTGCACTCCAGCCTGGGCAACAGAGCAAGACTCCGTCTCAAAAAAAAAAAAAAAAAATTAAAAAAAAAAAAAAGAAAATAATTTTCCTTCACATAAAGTCATCTAGCAGATCACCAACAAGTGTCCTTATCAGAATCCTAGCCCAACATCATTTTCACATCTTGCCTTGTTAGTTTGTACCCTGTAGGGGACAACTGGAAATAATGCTGAATGTTTTATTTTGCTCTCTCAGCAAGCTGTATAAATTCATTCCTGACAGATCTGAAAATAAAACCAATACTAACATTTTTAAAAGAAGTAAAGTTCTTGTAGCTTGCAAGAGACCAGTAAAGGAGCACTGTGGGTTTCCTCCCTCCCCCCGCCCAGATCAAGGGACTGCATTCCCCTGGGCTTTTATATCCTTGTATAATATTTAATTAAATACTCTGTTCCTACTGGTTTATGTACTAGAGAACACTAATTTTAGAAAACCGATTAGCTGGTTCTTTCTAACTGTATGTTATTGTAGCTAAGGTCAAATTTTTCACTGAAACTATGGTAACAAAACCCCGTATTCTTTGTCGACAAGACCGAAGCAAAGTTCTCAAGTGATAGTCCTTCACTTGATTGCTAAACCTAAGTTGGGTTATTCTATTTCCTACCTTTACCTCAAATGCCACGATTCTGGGAATGGTTATAGGGGGAGGAGAGGACCTTAGTCACAGAAATTTGCTAGCATAAGTCCAAGCGAGCTTATATATAAGTGTCATCACTGATAACATTTTTAGACACATATAATTTTAGCAGCACAAAACATCCAGACATTTCAGAAGCACCCAAATTGGAACTCAAATGTACCCGGAAAAATACCAGACGAAGAAAGGAACTTTTAAATCTCAGTTAGAGGAATAATTGCCCAACTTATTTTCTCAATTATTGCAACTGCTCAAGTTGGAGTTTTTCTACACTGACCTCCAGCTATTGTTTTGGAAAGGAAAACACGTGGGTTCTTTGAAAAGATGTATTCTTTTCTTCACACCTATAGCCCCTCTCCACTTATCTCTCCCAAATCAGTGCCAATGAGAATAAGCACAATTTTTGCCTCCTGTAAGAGCCAGGCTGACCACTCACCTTGGGGAGAGATGCCTCCACCTTGGCCAATAATATAGAAGTAGCCGCCACCGGGGGAGCTAAACAATGGGTACACATGGACATAATAGAGGGGAATAATAAACACTGGAGGTTCCAAAAGGTGTGGGGGTGGTACGGGTTGAAAAATTACCCATTGGGTACAATGTTCACTACCGGGGCCATGGGTACACTAAAAGACCAAAGTTCACCACTACACAATACATCCAAGTAACAAAACTGCACTTGTATCCCCTAAATCTATTAAAAGAGAAAAAGAAGTAGCCTCTGGACATTCCTTCTGCAAATGCAACTGTCCTCAAAGCCCGGGAGAGAATGCCACTTGGCAGGCTGGCTGGCAGAAACCTCTCTAAACATGCAAGGAGCACGTTGGGGGCAGGGAAGGGCAGCTTTTGGGAAAGAGCAGATTGGCAATAACTTCCTCCTGTCTGTCAAGAGTCACTGGAATGCCTGCTGTTTGGGGTAAGATAAACACAACTTCCTCTCTGGCTAGGCTTGTAATTCTATACAGAAGGCAGGATTACCATCTCGAGCAAACGACCCGTCAGTAACTGAGGCTCTGATCAAGGCTCGTGCGAGGAGAGAAAAGCCCTGATGGCTTCTTTTCTAATAGCCCCAAGCTCTGTCATAGCTGGTTACCAGGCCCACTCAATAAAATCTAAAAAATTCAGGAAGGCTAAAGTCTGCCTGGCTATGGATTCCTTTGTATACTCCACTGGCTGAGTTTTTAAAACGGACATATCGATGTTTTACAAGATGGCAAAGGCCATGTTTGAGCTTCCTAAGAGATGTCCCGAAAGCTGCTAATTGCAAATTCAGTCACAATAGCCACTCTTCACTGAGTGCTGAGGCTGTATTGCAGGTATTTACTGTGTTACACATGCACCAAATCATCCTCACACAAGCCTATCAGCTCCACAGTGTTATTCACCATGGCAGCCAGGTGGGGAAACTAAGGCATAGACAGGTTAAATGACTTGCCTGTGGTCATATAACTAGTAAGAGCAGGGCAGGGACTTGAACCCATGACTGACTCCAGAGCCTGTGCTCCTAACCACCACGCTGTAGTGTCTCCCCAGGACATCTTACCCACTCATTATGACCGGATTCGGCAAGCCTTGACTTAGAAAGCTATTGTTTTTTTCTATTTGTTCATTTTTTCAAACATTCAATAATGCCATCTTTCCACTAATGTTCTCTTACCAATTGGATTGAACCCATTCAGTTTCCAGAGAGTTTCTTGTCTACAGTGCATCTGTGCTCTCCCCAGCTGTTTATTGACCCAACGCTCCCAACCATAGGGCTTCCACAGGAAGCAAAAACAGAAAGAACAGCTGGGTCCTTCGGTGGGAAAACACACACAGTCAAATGGAATCATCCATCTAACCTCTGTCCCAGAGCAGAAATTCCCTCTGCAAAATCCCCGACAGATGGTCAGCCCTCTTTGAATCGGGGGAAACTCAGTAATTTGAAGCAGGCCTCTTCTTTGAGTAACTGCTCAGCACTAATAGTCAGAATTAAGTTCTTTTAAGCCTCATATTCTACCTCTGGGCACTTTGATCCACTAGCCCTCATTCTCTATTGCTCTGGGCTCAGAACATCTGTCTTCTATAGGACAGCCATAAAATAAGGGAAGATAACAGTCAGTGGCTCCCGAGAGCCTTGCAGGAGCATGACAACTTGTTAGAAATGTAGAATCTCGGCAGGGTGCCGTGGCTCATGCCTGTAATCCCGATACTTTTGGAGGACAAAGTGGGAGGATCAGTTGAGCCCAGGAGTTTAAGACCAGCCTGGGCAACGTGGCGAAACCCCGTCTCTACAAAAAATACAAAAATTAGCTGGGTGTGGTGACACACGCCTGTAATCCCAGCTACTCAGGATTAGGAGGCTGAGGGGGGAAGATCACTTAAGCCTGGGAAGTCAAGGCTGCGGTGGGCCTTGATTGCATCACTGCTCTCCAGCCTGAGCTACAGAGCAAGACCCTATCTCAAAAAATAAAAATAAAATAAATAAAAAAGAAATGTAGAATCTCAGGTCTCACTTCAGACTACCTAATTAGAATCTACACTTTAACAAGATTCCAGGTGGTTCCTATACGCAGTCAGATCTCAGAAGCAATGCCTTAGAGGTCTCTCTTCATTCATTCCACAAACATTTTAGTTCCTAATATAGTCCAGAACCTGTGCAAAGCCTTAGGGAGACAGGCATGGTTTCTGTCCTCACAGTTAATGCAATAGGGGGGAAGGGCTAAGTCAAAACCATCAAGTTAAAAGTCAAAACCAAAAATTAGCAGTGTTATGGCATTTAATATGGACCAGGTAGTCCCGTAAGTGCTTTACACAGATTAACTCATTTAATCCTCATGAAAACCCTGTGAGGTATACATAATAATTTCCCCATTTTCCAGATGAGAAAGTGGAGGCATTGCCAGGTTAAGTAATACATCTGAGATGACATGACCAGTCAAAAGCAGGGCTGAGAGCCAAACCCACAGGGTCTGGCTTCAGAGTCTGTGCAAAAGGAGCAGCTGCTTGCCTGCACACAAAGGTTCAGTAAAGGTGCCCCAGAGGAGATGCCTGAGATTTGAAGGTTGAGTGGGCATTAGAAAGACTGGGGGGTCCAGGAAGGAACAACAGAGATAGGGAGATCATTTCAGGCAGAAGAAACAGGACATGCAAAGTCCCAGAGTACAGAGCAAGTATTCTGACTGCCAGAAGGAAGTCAATCCATCTGGATGGAGCAGAGAACCTGGAGGAGTTACTGCAGATAAGGCTGAGAGGTAAGCAGTGGTGACTCATGCAGACTGCTGGGAACCCTGAGAGTGTGTCTTTTATCCTGAGCACAACTGGGGAACCACTATGAGGTTCCAAGCAGCTGAATGACATCTTCAGACCTGTGCTGATTCCCCTAGCCGCAGTAAACGGTGGATTGGAGGAGGTGTCCACACTCAGACACAAAGGAGGCAAAGGTGGAATTACAGAAACAGGTGAGGAGTCTGTGCAGCAACTTTGGTGAGAAATGTTGTTGCCGGAGCTAATCTAAAACGTCATCATTCAATATCGAATGGAGACCTAGCCTCCAAGTTACCCCTGCGTTAGCTTTATTCCCACGAAGCAACATGCCTTTGAAATGTGGAACCTAGGACATCAGAAGCCTCAAGTGTTTTCTGAGCAGCCCAACTCTGTGAATTCACTTAAGTGGCAGACACTGTGTGGTCCTCCAGACATAGGTTCAAATCCCAGATACACCTTGATTGCTAACCCTCTGTGGGTTCAGGGTGCCCAACTGTAAAATGGGGACATAACAGTACCCATGTCACAGTGTGCTCCAACGGTCAAGAACAAAAGCATGCATGACCCTATCAGAAAGCCAAGCACAAAGGAGGAAGGTACTTAACAATTATTTGTTTTTCATGCTCATGTACTGAATGCAGCCAAGGAATCTCAAAACTATAGGCATGAAAGAGAGAAAAAAGATCAAACATTAGGAGTCAAGGAGAAGACACTCTCAGAGAATGAGACCAATAAGATCCACTTTCCAGGGAGAAGACGAGTCAACTACAAGACAGTTTTAGGGGTTGTTGTTGTTGTTGTTGTTGAGTCTTGCTCTGTTGCCCAGGCTGGAGTGCAGTGGTGCAAACATGGCTCACTGCGGCCTCAACCTACTGGGCTCAAGCAACCCTCCTGCCTCAGCCTCCTGTGTAGCAGGGACTACATGTGACCACCACCATGCTTGGCTAATTTCATTTTTTGTAGAGACAGGATCTCACTTTGTTGCCCAGGCAGGTCTCAAACTCCTAGGCTCAAGCCATCCTCCCGCCTTGGCCTCTCAAAGTTCTGGGATTGCAGGCATGAGCCACCATGCCCAGCCTACAGGAAAGCTTTTCAAGAGTAACAGGCTCAGGTAGTTTGGAGCAAGATTACAGGGCAGCGTTAAGTCATCAGTGTAAAAAGATCAGCGGCCATTCAATTTAAAATGTCAGCAAAAACACTGCTAGAACTGGGAGCAGTCAAAATCATATCAGAAAAGAACACCAATTCCTTTTCAACCAGTATTTAAAGAAGGACCAACATTATGCCAGGTGCTGGGCCAGGAGTGCAGGGCAAGATTTGGTCCCTTTGAGTGCTCCAAAATCTGGCGAGGAGAAAACAGTAGCTGTGTATTTATCAGATAGTGATAAATACTATACTCAAGATTGTTAAGTAGGCGGTTAGCATGCCCCTCTTGTCTGTAGACTTTTTCTTCTGTGTCAATGCAGCTCACAATGACATACTTTGGGGTTGCAGAGGAGGAAGTTAAGAAATCGGGTAATTTTTGTCAAAGAATATTTCAAGGCCAGTCCACTTCTAAAGGCAGTTTAGAGTAGCTGTTAAGAGGAGGATTTATGGTGTTAGATTGACTGGGTTCAAATCCCAGCTCTGCCACTTCTAGCTACGTGATCTTGGACCAGACACTAAACATCTTACATGTCAGTTTCCTCATCTGTAGAAAGGTACCGGTCTTACTTATGGGGTTGTTATGAGGATTAAATAAATGAGTGTATGTAAAGTATATTAATTAAATAGATTATATTCACTAATGTCTCTTAGCACTACACAAGGTATTCACTATTATTTGCATTTATAAAAAGTAGGTTATCATTAATTACACAGGGTGATGGAACCAAAAAAAATTTTTAATTCATGGCTCAAACACAGAAGCCTAAAAGACAGTGTGAGTAGAAACTGGGGTTGTGCCCCAACCCTAGTTTTGGCACAGGATTGCTCTTTGACCCCAGGAGACTTTCTAAATCCCTCTAATTTTCTCACATGTCAAACAAGAAAGGAAAAGAGTTATCATAAGCTCAAGTGATTCACCACACATCTTCATCAATGCTCAAGACGGGATTATAAAACCCTTTGCCAAAAGAAAAAGTCCGTAATCAACCACAGTATACTGCTTTCAGGAGAACCATATAACAATATGACAATATGACAATATGACCCCATTACGCTTGCTGAGATTTCCAAATCAATTTCACCCTCAATGGAGGAAGTCACAAAAGCAATACAGTGATTCAATTGGAGGACAAGGTAAACTTATTTATTGCACTAGAAGCATTTTATGCACATAGTGAAAATGGTTCTCCATTAGCAACTAAATCATAAGGGTAAATGACTATAAAAGAGGGGTCTGAGGTCTACTTTCCAGGGTGACTCAGGTATGCAAAAAAGAATGGATCCAGGGCATCAAAGTAAACACAAATTCCCTTATGCTCATTTTCAGGGTACCCAGAGCCTTCAGACATGCATCTCATAGCTTGAAGCAAGTAGGCAGCAATCCAGTGAGGGATACGCTGCAGTGTGTGGGACTCCAGCATAATCAGGCAGCAGGCACCATCCCCAGCGATTGTGTAACACACTGTGAACATTCTATGTTGCCCAGGGAATTGACTTAAATTACAGTTTTGTTCCCTTTAAATGGAGTCTGTTGGTCCAAGATTGAGATAAACTAGTAAATCTGAAATGAAGATTACAAAAAACTATTAATCTTTTTATTAAATTTGAATTGATTTTGTGAATACAGAACAAGTTGGAGGAGACTCTCCTACAAGGCAGCTGCACACACTCTTGAAACCTTCAATATGCCTCAAGGCATATACTTGACAAGCACCTTAAATAGACTGATTTTTCTGCCTTATTTAACAAGACAGGCAGAAAGTAAGTCCTATACCCCTACTATGAAAGGCCTGTCATGGATTAGAATCAAAAGAACAAACAAAATTTAAGTTAGGCCCTCCCCTTTGCATGAGGGTATTTAAAACTAAGTAAGATACGGATTCATTCCTTCGATGCCTTGCCAAAAGAAAAAAATCAAAAAATACTGTTGCTTAGCAACATTTAAAACAATGTGCGGCAAAGGAGGGTCGTTTGAAAGAAAGCTAAGCCGGTGAGTTTGTTATAGCCACCCTAGATGACCTTTGTGACCCAAGACCCTGCCTGTGTCCCCATCTGGCCTAAGGGTAAGGTTAAGGCCTGGCTATTACCAGCACTCATCTATCTTGACAAAGAGACCTGTAATCCCAAAGAAATAAGAACCTATTTCTGGACAGCACAAGGCTTCTAACGTTAACCTGCCTGTTTCCGCCACTAATAGCAAAGTTTCAAGCTGGATGAAATCTTGGAAAAACCCAATTTAACAGATGGGGAAACTGAGGCTAAGAGAGACGAAATCACTTCTCCAAGGTATTGGAGCAGTTCATGGCAGATTCTGGGCTGGATGCTAGCTCTGGCA
The DNA here is from genome assembly GCF_000001405.40 of Homo sapiens. Taxonomy (NCBI): domain Eukaryota; kingdom Metazoa; phylum Chordata; class Mammalia; order Primates; family Hominidae; genus Homo; species Homo sapiens. Next base: position 4,528,098 of record NC_000003.12, on the reverse strand, counting down.
TCCAGAGGTTGCTCTTTCCCCTATATTTAACCTAAATTGCAGGCAAGACCAAGATCAGAGAAGTAGGCTATTGACACTCAAGTGTTTCTTATCACTCAAGCATGAAAAATGCCATTCTTATTTGAGGACCCTTCCTAAGCTGCTGGGAGGTTTCAAAGTCAATTACAAAGAGCTTGCATGAGATGTAAAACCCTTCTCTCTCTCAATAAAATAATCCTACTAAATCCACCAGCATGCTACTAAAAGGGGCTAACATGGTGCCAGCACTCTGGGACTGGGGAAAGAAGGCACCAATAAAAATAAAAAGGCCACAAGTGTGATCCTCAAGTTCATGGCCATGCTTTAGGTCCAAGAGCGGCTCATTATAGCCAAGCAACATACTCTTCTCCATGCCAGTATCATGGTGACTGCACAATACTCAGACTGTCATTATTTCTAGCCGGGCATATGTTGAGGAACCAGGGGTCTTCCACCAACATTTTACTCTGGAAATGCCCAGAAACTGGGTTATACTGCCCCAGGCCAGACCCTCGTTTGCACTACAAACAGGACTCATCCTACTGTAAGTAACATACTGCGCATCCCACAGCTGGTTGGGGCAATGGCTAAAAGTGCATTAAGTGTGGCAGGGTGCAGTGGCTCACACCAGTAATCCCAGCAATTTGAGAGGCCAAGGTGGTGGATGGCTTGGGGCCATGAGTTCAAGACCAGCCTGAGCACCATACAAGACCCCCATCTCTACAAAAATTTAAAAAGAAGCCAGGCATGATGGGGTATGTCCGTAGTCCCAGCTACTCGGGAGGCTTAGGAAGGAGGATGGTTTGAACCCAGAAGGTCGAGGCTGCAGTGAGCCATGACCACACAATTGCAATCCAGCCTGGGCAACAGAGTGAGACCTTGTCTCCATAAAACTACAAAGGAAGAAAAGCACTGGGCCCAGCCTTTGGAAGAGGGCTCTGGCTACGACACTCATAAGTCACATGGCACTGGACCAGCTCATAACTTGTCATCTCAAATGGCATCAGGTACCAAATAGATGCGCTCTGGTCTCAGGGTGCTGCACAGCGAAAGATTAGGACATGAAAAGCATCCTCATTTACTTTTCCCCAGTAGGCCAGGTTTTATACTAGGTAGGAAGAAATTTCACCTGCTTTGCTTCTACTTATATATAAATAGTTGCAGTGAAGACAACAAATTACTCTAAAGAAGTTTCTTAAAGATTTTCACTACATATTGATGTAGACTTCTTTGAGAATGTCTCTTTCCTCATGGAGTACAAATGGCTGGCACATGGGAACTACCCAATAAGTGTTTGTGAAATGAATGATAATCATTCTAAGAAGTGACATTTAACTGACTATGGGCAAGTTACCCAACTTCTTAGAGCTTCCATTTCCTCAACTGCATAATGGGAACATCAAGACCTACACCTCATAGGTGGGTTCCTCAGATTAAAAGAGATAATTCAAAGGAAGTGCTTTGCACAAAATAAATGCTGTATTAACATTGGCTATTGTAACTTATAATGTGGGTCTGTTTCTCCATGAAACTCTAAGACTCCTGAAAGCAAGAAGGAGTGTAACTCATCTTGTCCTGCCATCACCAAGGCCAGCAGCTGGTACACAGTAGGGCCTCAGCGCTGGAGGTCAACACTCATTTTTCACAATACATTTGCTTAGATTAGACTATGATGCTTGAAACCAACTTCACTGGGAAAGAGAAATGTAAGATACTTATCTGGAACATCCACATATTCAGTCTGTCTGATCCCCTCCCCAATTCATATGAACCACTTAGTGATAGAATAATGATTCCTTTCACCTCATTTTTTCCTGCCCCAACTTCTCCTCATTTTGAACTGTAAGTTTCCCTTCGAACAGCTTTTATTCTGAAACTAAGGGGCTCCCTGCAAAGTTAAAAGCTGCACATTTTGATATTATTGATATGGTAACATCTGTCCAACATCAAGAATTTGGAGCCATGACTGGCCTCTTGATGTGAACAGAGAAGATTAGGTTTTGAAAGCAAGAGCCTGACTGTTGCCCGAATCTTATGCAATAATGGCATGATCAACACTAAAGCCTATCTAATTGCCCAAAAGCCCAGTTCCCTTGTTTCTACTCCAACAACCCTGGAGGTGATTTATATTTAAAAAGAGCAGAGATTCTGGGAGCAAAATGAAGACTGGTTGTTAGTTTCCACCTTTTCTTTGTAGATATCTTTATATTTAGCACCGGGGGAGCTGGGGGAGGGACTGGTAAAAGTGGGAAGAGGAAAAGATAATACAGATAAAGGAATTCACTAACCACAAAGTTTCTATTCCCTGTTTCAATCTGATGTTTGCCTTCTCTATTCTTTCAAGATTATGGGCAAAGACAACACAAATCAGGGAGAAGAGGAGGTTCTGCCTTACCTTCCATGGATGTTGGGGCTTTAAAATGGTACCATATTAATAAAAGAACTAAAGTTGCTGTATTATTCTAAGTCTCAGCTCTCCTCATCCCTTACGAGGACAATGATATTGTCCAAAATTCATTCAGATGAAAAAGATGTGGCTTATGTGAAACAGATGTGCAGCCAACCTTTTCTTCCTACAGAGGAAGTTAGAGGCAAGAGATACATTCAAGGAAATCACACACACACACAAAAAAAGCAATTCACTTTGGAAATGTACTTTCAACCATCAGAGAAAAAAAAGCAAGTGTGTTCGATGTTGAACTCTTCTATATCTTCTGTTCGATGTTGAACTCTTCTATATCTACTGTGAAAATTAACAGCAACCACTCACTGAACAACTACTGTGTACTAAGCACTCTATTAGGCTTTTTATGCATATTATCTTGATAAGGATGGAATTGTTTGACCCTAACTCACAAGTGAGGAAAGAAGCTGAGAAATATTATGGAATCTATCAAGGTTACTCAGCTTGCATACACGAGCACTGGGGCTCAAATCCAAGCCCAGGGGTTCATGTGCACGTCCCCACCCACAAACAATTTGAAGACAAAAAAAAAATAACAATATATAATTATTCTCATAAAATTAAACATGAGATTTACAAGTACCAGGCTCTGTACTAAGTACTGGGAATACAAAGAAAAGAATAAGGCTTAAACTCTTAACTAAGGGTCAGACTCCCCCCGTACTAAATTCTTAACACACAATTAATCTTCTCAATGACCTTATGAGATAGAGCCTATTATCCTCTCCCATTTTACAGGTGAGAAAACCAAGGTTGGCAAAGGTGAAGTAATCTGTTCAGGGTCACACAGCAAAGAATTCATGGAACTTGGATATGAACCAGGAAGCCTGATCCAAGAGCCTCTTTTATTAACCATTAGGGCTGCAGATCTCAGGAGCTCACAAAATTAAAGATGCAAAGTCAGAAGCCATGGGGAATATTGCATAAACAGGCCTTGGATTTCCATTTACTTAAGAACAGGTTATGATGGTTCTCAATATAGGAAATAACTTGGCAAGGAAACAATGGAAGCAAGAGCAAACCCAAATGACTACATGCAGCTCTGCTGATTGCTCAGATAAAGACTCCATCATCCCATTCGGCTGCTTGCCAGCATCTCACTTTTCCATATGTGTTTGTTAAACTCTAGGGTGCAACGAGTCCATGAGGAAATGGACTAGAAATGCCTCCAAATTGCCCAACTGCCCTATGCACAATTTCTAAACATCAAAATGACTTCAGCTCCAAAATACACTTATATTTGGAAACGCAGCAATTGCTTCCAAAAGAGAGATCTTTCTCTTCATTTAAAAAAAAAAAAAAAAAAAAAAAAAAACGTCAAAGTATGCTGCACCGCAGTTGAAGGAATGCTTTGGAAAATTTTTTAAAACTCACTGCCCAAGTTCCACGGTGGAGAAGCAGATCTTTCCAGCACTGAGGCAGCCTGCAAAGGCAGAGCTGCCTAGGCCCCTCACCTGGGTGCAGGGGACCTCTGGTTTAGCACATGGAATTAAGGAAGTCCTGACCTACATTCCCAAAGCCTGCAGCAGAGCTTGTTTTGAACCAGATTTTCCCACAAGGACGAAGCATCTCACAACCCAGAAACCTTTATTTTTAATTTAGGGAGAAAAGCACTCAACAAATCAAGTCACTGTCACGTGACCACCTGTAGAACCAGGCCAGGCTGTAAAAGGAGTTTGCTTCCTTCCAAATAGCTTCTGTCAGACTATTACCGTTATCTCAAAACAGTCACTTCAAATCAGCCACCATACATACATCCAAGCACCAGGCACCTTTACAGTCGTGCCAGAAAAACATGTCTCCTCCGACTTCCCCTGCTATAGTCCTATTTATTTTTAACATTCTAACCCTGTATTCAAACAGTCCCTGGTTCATTTGTGACAACATGAATGAACCCGGAGGACATTATGCTAAGTGAAATAAGCCAGGCACAGAAAGACGAATACCACATGATCTTGCTTATATGTGGAATCTAAAAAGATTGAACTCCTAGAAACAGAGAGTGGAACAGTGGTCACCAGGGGCTGGGGTGGAGGATTGAGAGGTTGGCCAAGGGATACAGATTTCAGTTAGGAGGAATAAGTTCCAGAGATCTACTGTACAACACAGTGACTACAGCAAATAACAATACACCGTATATTTGAAACTCACTAAGAGTAGTTTTTAAATGTTCTCACCAAAAAAAATAATAAGCATGTGAGGTAATGTATATATGAATTAACTCAATTTAGCCATTCCACTATACATGCATATTCTAAAACATCATGTTGTACACCATAAATATATGTCGATTTAAAAAACAAAATTTTAAATTATGTGCATGTATTTGTAAAAAACAAATAGCCACTAGTTAACTTCGTACAGTACATTAGAATCTCTCCCAGGTTCATCTCCCAGCTCCCAAGGCCCGTATATAGAACAAGATAAGAGCTCACGCTGGACCCAAGCAATGCCTTCCGGACGCATATCCCTCCCCTTGGTCCCAGCTGCAAAAGCGAAACCTAGATCAGCTCTTCCCTGAATAACAAAGTTCAAGTTTTATTAGCCTAGATTTCATTAGCCATGGTTCTTAACCTTGGCAGCACAAGAGAAACACCTGAGAAGCTTTCAAAAATCCCAATGCCCAGTTAACTCAAAATCCCTGAGCTGGATTCAGCTATCAGTGTTTCTGAGAGTTCTCCAGGTGATCTCCCTGTGCAGCCAAAGTTGAGAACCATGGCTCCCACTCCATCCGTCACCAGCCATGTGACCTCAGACAAGGTTCTTAAGTTCCGAGGGTATCAATCTCTTCCTAGGGAGGAGGGATGGCTCCCTGAGCTAATGCAGGCAGAGTGCTTAGCACAGGGCCTGGCACAGTCAATTGATCTTGTCCCTTTTAATATTCACAGTGGGGAAGTAATTCTATGAGTGACTGAATTATGATCGTTGGACGAAACATTTCATTTTTGCAGCACTCAAGATTTTGTCTTGTCTTGGAAGGAAACATGAAAGAAGGATTGAGAAGAAAAAGGCGGTGGAGGCAGTAGCCGCCTTGGGTTCCTCTTACAACTTGTATCAACAACTGTTATTCTCTCTCTTTAACAGCCTCCCCTACCACCACCCATCCTCAGGTGAAAACATTCTCCTGATTGTCTCACGCCAACTGGATGCAACTCAACACCAAATGTCTTCCAAATGGCTTTTCTCCATCTGAACGTCTGAGTTCTATTTTATTCTAATTTATTTAGCTTTTATCCAAAAAAGTCAAACAGTTTCTAAACCACTAAACAATAAGAACTTAGAACTTGAGTTATATAATCTGCAAATGGCAAGATTTGAGCCCTTTGGGACTGAAGTCATCAGTCAAATACCTAACCCAGTGGTTTTCCGCCCTGGCTGTAAAGAATCATCCCCAATTCCAGAGGTTACCTTAATTGATAAATAATTTAATTAATAAATAGATGTTAGGGCTCTATAGTTGATCCCTAAGCTCTACAATGGAGCCCCAAGCATCTATTTAATTTAAAAACTTCCTCAGATGATTCTAACATGTGCCTAGAGCTGAGGACCACTAACCACAACAACAAAAAAGAAAAACAAATGTTTATCATCTAAGATACCAAGTGTATTTCAAAGACCTCCTACAATAAACTAAGCTACCTTTGGAGAAAGATACCAAATTCAGGAGGCCTAAAGAAAAAACTAATTTGGGTAGAAAAGCTGCCCTGCCTATGTCTTGTTTTTGTTTTTGTTTTTGTTTTTGTTTTTGAGACAGGGTCTCACTTTGTCGCCCAGGCTGGAGTACAGTGGTGCGATCTCGGTTCACAGTAGCCTGGAACTCCCAGGCTCAGGTGATCCTCCCAACCTCAGCCTCCTGAGTAGCTGGGACTACAGGTGCATGCTACCACACCCAGCTAATTTCTGTATTTTCAGTAGAGACAGTGTTTCACCATGTTGCCCAGGCTGGTCTAGAATTCCCAGACTCGTCTAGAATTCCCAGGCTCTAGCAATCTCCACACCCTGGCCTCCCAAAGTGCTGAGATTACAAGCATGCGCCACTGTGCCCAGCCTGCCTATGTCTTTTAACTCAAAAAACAAGTGCAATAATTAAGAACGTTTCATTCCAGTGAGACATTCAGTGAGGTATCATTAGATACCTCTTAAAGAAGGTATCTAAGAATATCAGCATCCCCAAACGGACAGTGAGATCTGCTGAAATAATGAATGTTCCCTGTGACTGGATCCATAAATACTATTTGTTTGAAGAAATACCTGTACAAATGTAAGACTTTAAACCGAATTAGCACTTGTCAACACATATTCAATAGACAAATTAAGGACCCAGTAAAAGCCAACCCAATCTTGATACTAAATTTATGTATGCATTTTTCAAGTTGTAAAGCTTAGAACTCAAATCATACTCTGAAAAAAATACATAATAAATAAGCCTATTTTGCTTATAAACACACACACACACCAACAACACACTTCAAGAATTTTCAAGTGAGTCAAGGTGACTACTCCAGGAAAGCCACCACCTTACCTCTGAATTTCTTAGGTGGATTGTTAAGGTCCCCGGTTTCTGGCTGTACAACACAACGATCATCAACCAGGCTGTAAAGAAGACAGATAAATGCTCTGTCAAGTGTATGAAAATGAAACTCTTAGCACTATGCAAAAATCAGATATCCCAGGGCTTTTCCTGCGCAACATTTAGATTGCCATATTCTCCTGCCAGGAACTCTTTACACTAGAGGCTTCCTATGCATGGATCTAAACCTAATCCAAAAGCCCAGGGTTCTGTTCTGTGAAGGACACATTAAGGCTACTGTTTTCTGTGGCTCCTTTCCCATAACCATGTCCATGGTAGATCTGAGTATAGCATGCAAGGTGGCTGAAGTCGCGAGACACAGCAAGGGGCTGTTGCATTCAACTAAGGGTAGCTGAGGAGCTGACTTTGTGCCAGGTGAATATGAGCCAGGCCCTTGCTCTTTGGGAGCTCAAGGCTAGTGCAGGAGCCTTAAGAACAAACTGATAAGGAGAATATAATCTAAGGGCTGTAAGAGAAGGAAGAAAAAAAAATACAGCCAGAAGCGAACTGTGCCTGAGGTCATCTGAGAAGCTGCAGACAGAGGAAGTTCTAATGGAACTACTGGAAGATTCGAAATAGATGTTGGAGGCTAGAGGGGAGCGTTTCCAGGTGGAAAGAACCATGAGCACAAACTCATGAAGATATGAAAGGACTGTGGAGCATCAAAAGCAACTAGTGGGGAAAGTACAAAAAATTACAAATAAATAAGCTCACATTACATAAAGACTCAGTATTTAAAGTCCTGACTGCTAAGTCTAACTTGCACAATTCTTTTAGAAGAACCACTTAAAAATATATTTTTGAACAGATGAGGGAACTGAGACTCTGAGAAGTTACACAACTTGTCCAAGCTCCTAAAACTGGTACTGATAGAACTGGCTAATCTTCCAAGTGACCACAGAACTTGCAGTTGTTCCCAGCTAACACACCATGGTTTTCCAGGGTTCCTCCATTCATCTGTGCTGCCTCCTCTCATCCCAAATGCAAGGTACCATTAAATATTCAGCCTTGACCCTTACTGTTCTATTCTCCAAGATTCCCTTTTGCCTCCTCAAGTCCTGCCTGTCTTTCAGGACTCAGGGTAAGAGCCCCACCTTCTCCACAAAGCCCCCCCGACCAAGCTTCTCCTGCGCCAGACACTCTCTGCCTCTCCTTCTCTGTCCTCCCAACCTCACTGACTGAGACTCCAAAGGGGCACCAGGCTACCAGCTCCATGAAGGCCAGAAGATGCCCAAGGCTGGCAGCTCAGTATCTATTTGGTGGGTAAATCAAAGTGTCCATGGTACCCCACCAGCAGTTTGCCTCCTTCAGCTTCATGACACAAGACTTCACTGTATAAACAAGAAGAACAGTGTAGCCAATGGCCTGAGTTCTCATGTAAAAATCAAGAGCAGAATATACATATATAAAACCACCACCTTAAGCTCCTGTAAGTATAGTAATGCCCCCAGAGCTAACATAATGCTTGACAGGGTGGGCTCAGAATCCAAGGTAGGGCTAGGTTAATAAATCATCAAGCCATGGCCAGGCATGGTGGCTCACACCTGTAATCCCAGCACTTTGGGAGGCCGAGACAGGCGGATCACGAGGTCAAGAGATTGAGACCATTCTGGCCAACATGGCAAAATCCTGTCACTACTAGAAATTCAAAAATTAGCTGGGCGTGGTGGCAGGCGCCTGTAGTCCCAGCTACATGGGAGGCTGAGGCAGATGAATTGCTTGAACCCAGGAGGTGGAGGGTGCAGTGAGCCAAGATCGTGCCACTGCACTCCAGCCTGGCGACAGAGTGAGACTCCATCTCAAGAAAAAAAAAAATAAATAAATCATCAAGTTCTCAAATGGGGAGGAAGTGGTAAGAGGAGCCCCAGTCAAGCTCAGATGACAAATGAATTGTAGATGGCACTCTGCCACCTACTAGCGGCATGATCATGACTGTGGCATTTTACCCCTACCGGTCTCAGTTTTTTCATCTGTAAAATGAAAGTTGGTCTCAGGGATTCTTAACGAGGGGGATGTTCATCAGACTTATTGTTTCCAAATATACTGACGCCAGGACTCTGTCAACCCAGCTTACTAAAGCTGTGCTGTAGGATGAGGCCCAAGAATCCTGCCCGTCTTGTTTTTATAAAGAGACAGGGTTCTTGCTATATTGCCCAGGCTGGTCTTAAAAGCTGGTCTTGAGCTCCTGGTCTCAAAGGATCCTCCCATCTCAGCCTCCCAAGTAGCTGGGATTACAGGCGTTAGCTACCGCACCAAGCTGAACCTTTATTTTTAACAAGCTAAAAAGGCAATTCAGAAGCATGCCACTGAGTAGTGTGCACACACACACACTTGCCCTCCAAGATCCTATTGGAGTTCTCAAGTTCAACCAGTAGATGAAGCCATTTGGAGGTAACCACCATCTATATAAATGGGATGGGGCTGGAGTGCTACACAGTGAGTCCCATAACGACTGGCACTCACTCACCGTAGTCCACAACAGGTCCCCCATAAATATTAAAAACAGGAAGGGTTGTCAAACTTTCTTTCCAACCCCATTTTTACACTGCTATCCTCAAATATGTGCAAGCAACTGAGAAAATAAAGTATTCATCTCAAGAAAGTATTAGCAACCCAAAGTTCAAAAAGAAGCCCTCCTCACTTTAAAAGGGCAGGAGGGACTCATCATTAATTTGTTTACAATGTTTGAGGAAAACACTTAAAAAGCACTTCATATGATTTTAAAGAAGAGATGCCCTGGAAGAGAAAGAAGGTACTAAGATCCCGGGGGCTCAGGAGGCACCTGGGTGACTGGGAAATCAAGACCCCCAGGGGAAACATGGGAATAGAGTGGGTTGAGGTTTAACCAGGCATCCAGATAGGGGCTGTGCACAGTCAAGGAGGAGGGAGAGCTGCGGGCAGACAAGGAAGCTGGAAAGAGAGAAGCTGGCCTGCAGAGAGCAACTGCTGGCAGCCCTAGCCTTGGAGTCTGGAATTTTCTGAGCTGTGAAATCTTGGGCAAGTGACTTTGCCTCTCTGAAGCTCAAAAGTTTTGCCTCCACAAACAGCAATGATGACAATGTTCACCATAGACAGTTGTGTGAGGATTAAGGAAGATGTAGGCACAGTATTTAGCATAGTGCCTAGCACACAGCAAATACCCACTGGGCTCATTTAGTGCTTTTCATTTATTACTGTTGCTGTCATTACTGAAAAGAAGAAGAGGGTAAAAGAGTCAACCATAGACGATGAAAACAGGAAGGAGCCAACCATGAAGAAAGGAGGGAGAGTCAGAGGCAGGGCAGAAGGAGGCCTCTTTGCCAAAAGCCACAGAAGATAAATTGTTAAGGGTAGGTCCATAATGGAGAGAGGTCAAATGTAGAAAGTCACTGGATCTGGTGATCAGGCAGCCATGGATGACTTCTTTTTCACTGGATGACATTTGAAACAAAATCTCTCTACAGTGGGAGCACAAGTCTAATTGAGCTATAATTCTGTATCTATAATAATTTGCTCCCTGAGTGTGGAGTAACCTGCATGAGAGCCTAGGAATACTCATTCTGCACAAATACCAGGAAACAAGCATGCTTTAAATAATAGCTATAATTGAAAGGAAGGTCTGGCTGCTGTAAAAATGAGGTTCTTGGAGAAGCTGCTGGTCTTCCTTCCCCCAATTTATTTGAGTCCAGCTCTTGCCAAATTCAACAATGCCGCCCCGGGGCCTCACTACTCCTTTCTACACAAAGACAATATAGACCATTCGTAACTATTTTGGAGTTAACCATCTTGATTCTCCATTCTGCCTCTGTCTGCCTTTGGGACTATTTCACCTCTCATTTCCTCTTCTAGACAATAGGCGTAGGAGGAGACGGGAGAAGATAATCAAATGAGTACATTATGAAATATATTTATACCCTTAAAAGTTGTATAAAGATTGGGAAAAAAGCACAAAAGAGCAAAAATCTGATTTATAGAACTTTATGCAATTTATAATTTTCAAATGCATACAGCAATGTAAAATAGGAAATGTCTGCTTCAAAGAAAAGAGATAGGCAGCCCAGGAGGTTTGGTCTTTGCTTATATTATAAAGGAGTCACTATCTGAAAAGAAGAGCCTTTACAAAACTAAAAAGCACTTCTTTGGGCTCTGCAAATATTCATCTTTACACTTTATTCCATTTAAACTGTATTCCATAGTGGAATAAAGGCACTCTCCCTTTTATATAGAAAGGAAAAGCAAATTTTAATAAACTCAGAATAGTGTCCTAAATAATGAGGTTTTGCTCTTTCAGAAATATACAGAAAATTGTGTTTTTGTATAAGAGGTTAAACTTGGCTAACATGAGATTTGGTGTTTGTGATTTCAACCGCACTTAGAAAGCCAAGTAAAACGGTGACGTTCTTATGTTAGAAAAATCACAGTTTTAAGCTGATGTTATGATGTCTTAAACAAACCGTGCCACACAAGAAATTGCATGCTCTTACCCCAAGGTGCTAATAAATCCATTTGTCGATCCCTCCGCGTACAGAGAACAAATGTCTCCAATATGTAGGAAGCTAGACATTTTGTCAGACATGTCTTTCTTGAAAATCCTAGACAAAGTAAAATATGCAGCATTGTTAGAAGAAAAGAAATGTTCAGAAGGGGAAAAAAGTCACTAAGAGTTGGCTTAGCTCAATTTTCCAAAGCGCCTTACTTAAAAGTCAAATTTAAATAACAGTTTGACAGGCAGGCGATTCAATGAGCCAAGTAAGGACATATGCAACAACACTTTTTCCCCGTATATTATCTAATTTCAGGATATTCCAACCACAGTAACATTTGTTTCTAACAAAACCATGCCTGAATCAGATTCTACAAGTTGAGGACCCTTGATAATAAAAACTGCAGTGAATAGAAAGCCTGCAGGGAACTCAGCCAAGAACGTGGCAGTGACTAGGGAGTTACCTGGAAAGTCTGACTTATGAAACATTAACATATTCAATTTGCTTCAGGGAATGTTAAGTCAGAAGGAAACACCTGGTATAAAAACCTGCTTCTGGCAAGGCCACAGTGCCTGGGCTAAGGTACCAAAGCAACAAAATGACATTAATAAAAAGAAACCTGCCAATAAATACCACAAATTTCCAGCAGCCTTTTAGGCCTTTTCAGAATTCCACAACTGTACGCATGTCACCCAAATGCTACTTAAATGTCTTGCCTTCTCATCCTTCACCAAGAAACACTTCCAGAGGATGAAAACCCTTTAGACAGTACCTGGCCCAGATCCTTCAGTATTTGGGTAAGAATAATAAGGTTCCCTGCCCAGGAACACGCAGCTAGTTAGAGGCAGTCTTAGAAAAAGCTCTTAAGTCTCAGGAAATCTCTACATAGCTCAGAAATCATTAAACACACATACACACACATAAATATCAACAAAAATATTGATGTGACTCCTAGAAACAGCTTTCATCAGGGCCATAAATATTGAGGAGTGGGAACCAATTGTAAAAAGCTAAATTGACAATTAAAAAACAAACTCAGTTATGTGGGAAGACTGTGTGCTGGTGTGGACTGCAGCTAATAGCCCAGTGTTTCCTCAGGCATCTGCTGTGGAGATGCCCAGGGCAACCCAGGTTTTCCCAAAACCCCTCCTCCAAACCCAGACCCCTTTACACCCCTTTCCCCATCAATTTACTCGACTTCCCCTTCCAGAAGCCATTTACCCCACACAGTTACAAGAGTTGTAACAGTGTGGAACGGTATTGTGTCTCCTTCAATTGCTTCCTGGGTGCCAAGTTTTCTTTCAGGAAGAATTATGCAGCAATGATCAGCATGACACCTCAGGAAGCAACCTACCACCTTAGCAGGAATGTCAGTTACTGAAAGCAAACTTATGTTAAAGAACCTCAGTTCACTGCTTATGAGAAGCTGCAGGGAAAAGCTGATTTGTCATCCCCTTCCCTCCCCTCCAACAACCCAGACATTGCAGGAGAGATAAAGAGCATTTCATTAAACATGAACTTATTTATAGAGGGAGACAGCAACTGAGAACACAGAATAAACTCTCAAACAAAAGAGCCAGCATCTCTAGACCTTGAGGGAAGATACACAAATAATGTACAGAAGGACGGTTTGCCAAGTACCACTCTAGAATCATGTCAGTCATTGTTTAATTCTTCGTAACTACATATTTTATATTTAAAGGCAAACCAATGTTTTAAACAGCATCCAGAAAGGCGGCACAAATGGAAAACATCAAGGGGGATTAATATTTCCCTTCTGCGCTTATATTATAAAGCTTTATCTTAAAGGGTCAGGAAGTCAGCATACTTCTAAGACCAATTATTAGAAGACAATTTGTTTGAATTTTGAACCAGACCAAATTTATGTCTGTACACCCTGGCATCCCGAAAGGACACCAGGGAATTTCCAAATGCAGAAGAGCAGGTATGTGCTCCGCAAGAGGACTAGGGCCTTGTCCAGTGTGACTAAGGCTCTCCTTTCAGGATCACCCTTCAGATAAGCATTCAGCCCTAGTGGAGACTAGGCCAGAAAATGCCTGCTGTTTTGTGAACCATCACCGCCACCTGGATACCTTACTGAAAGATTCCAGGCCCTTAATGGGAAGAAGCAGACAATTCAGTGTCCTCGAGTGACAAAGCATGATGTACCCCATGTTGCTTGCAGCTGATCATTGCAATAGATGTCTGGACATTGCATTCCTACAGCACGGTTCTGCATTATTTTCTTTTCTGATAATAATAGCTGGCATTTATCAAGGATTTCTCATGCCCACCATTGTGCTGAGTGCTTTACAAATGTTCTCTTAGTGAATCCTCATGACCACAGCAGGAGGTAGGAACTACCATTATTGCCATTTTGTTGTTGAAGACACTGAGGTGTAATACAGAGAGGTAAGATCCCCACATCACATAAAATTAGTAAGCAGGAGGACCAGGGTTGTTACAACCCAGGTCTATCAGACTTTTTTTTTTTTTTTAGACAGAGTCTTGCTCTGTTGCCCAAGCTGGAGTGCAGTGGCACAATCTCAGCTCACTGCAACCTCCACCTCCCAGGTTCAAGCGATTCTCCCGCCTCAGCCTCCTGAGTAGCTGGGATTACAGGCACCCACCGCCATGCCTGGCTAAACGTTTGTATTTTTTGTAGAGATGGGGTTTTGCCATGTTGGACAGGCGGGTCTTGAACTCCTGGCCTCAAGTGATCTGCCTGCCTCAGCCTCCCAAAGTAATGGGATGACAGCCAAAAGCCACCGCACCCAACCTAGGTCTATCTGATTCTTCAGTGGAGGTGTTTATCAACAGTGATCCTGGGAACACAGGTTAAAATGTTAAATGTTCTTATACTCCGGATGATTATGGAGAACTGAGTTTCTTCTTATGCACAATTCTGTTTTCTAATTTTTCTACCATGGCTCTGTAATACTTCCATAAGTCAGAAAAAAAATTAAGCATCTTCTAACCAAGATACTTATTAAGTGGCCGAGATAAGTGAATAAGTAACCTTTAGCTACATTTTACATCTCCCCCTGAAATCACAGGCCAGTCCACCCACCACAGCTAATGATCCTCTGGGCAATCTGCCAGGGGTCCCAATTAAAAACAACCAAAAAGTAGGGGAGGACAGATCCTTCCCCAGGGGTCTCATGTGATAATTCCCCTCACAAAGGACTGGGCAGAAAGCTTGCTGGTCTGGCTAGAAACCTCTGGAGATCTCCTCCGGCCTCGCCTTAGTGAAGTGGAGGAAGGAGATGGGGGGAGGAGGATAGGTTTTAGTGCAATTATCAGTGATGTCCTGGAAGGAAAAACAAAGGCCGGGAAAGTCAACAGAACAGGCCTCTGTGGTGTGGAGGGGTGGAGGTGGAAAGTCCGCCCCAGAAGTGATGGGCCTAGGAGCAATCTTCTGGAAGACTTCCTGTTGTTCAGAGCTGGGTGGGAGAGCCCGCCTCTTTATCTGATCGTGGACCATTTGTGCCTGTGAACTTCTAGCAGCTGCACTCAGGGCTCCTATGTCACTCACACCATGACAAGGACCACCTCAGAGAAAACAGAGCTGGCGCCAACCTGCCACGGAGCTGCGGAACTTCAAACACTTACAGACACCGAGGGCTCGGCTCTGCTGACAAGCCATGCCTGACATACACGAGGGCAGGCTTAGGCGCTCAGCTCCCGCACTCCACCCTGGCTCTCTGCCCCTAAGCTCTTATTATTATTATTATCATCTAGCTTGTTATTAGGAGCCCACCACAACCTCTCTGCTTTCATTTCCTCCTCTGTTAAATGGGGATAATTTAACTTCAAGAGGCTGTGGTGAGCAATGGGTGAAATAATGCTTGAAAAGCACCTGGTACAGTGGCTGACATACTTGAATTAATCTATGCTAGTTATTTTTATTTTTCTTCCACGAGAGATAAGTGGAATTCTGAAAGATTCCAGGGCATCAAAATTTAAACTCAGTAAAGGATCCCCTGTTTAAAAAATCAGATGTGTATCATAACAAATGAACTCCTATATGACCCATGATGACAGATTTTACTTCAGGGAAGATAATTTATCCTTCCTAATTCCCCTGATGAAAAAAGGTGAACAATAGCGAATTACACTCAACTGCCAGCCACAGAGCATTCTAACCTTTCAAAAAACACAGAATCATGGAATAAAAGTTGGAAGGAACCCTGTAAAGCATGTAATTCCACCTCCCACCCAATAATGAAATCTCCCCATCGCGCTGCCTATGGATGGTCTCACTGGGCAATAGAGCCTATTCTTTGTTCAAACAGCCTTGTTCAGACAATTACTCCTAAACCAGGCACGGTGGCTCATGCCTGTCATCACATCTTAAACAGCCAAGGTGGGAGGATGGCTTGAAGCAAGGAGTTTGAGACCAGCCAGACCCCATTTCTACAAAAAATAAAAATAAAAACACATTATCAGGGCATGGTGGTACACATCTGTAACCCCAGCTACTTGGGAGGATCACTTGAGCCTGGGAGCTCCAGGCTGCAGTGAGCTGTGATCATACCACTGCATTCCAGCCTGGGCAACAGAGCAAGACCCTGCCTGTGAAAAAATAAAACAATTACTCCTGTCCCCTCCCTTAGCCCCACAAAGGATAGCCGCCTCCCAGAACTTTTGCTATTCATCTGCCCTCTGAAGCATCTAAGACCTCTGCATATGTGAATGCTATCTAGATTATTTCTCCTTAAGGCTTTGCTTCTTTTCACAAAGCATCACCATCCTCCCCGCAATTCCTGACGCAGAATGACCTCAAAAGCACCTCTCAGCCCATGGCAGGCAGGAGCTGAGGCTCCAGAGTCAAAGTGCCCAGGTTCAAACCCCAGCTCTGCCACTTACTCACTGAAGAACTTCAGGCAAGTTCCAGAACTTCCCTAAGCCTCACTTTTCCCAGCTGTAAAATGGGGAGAATAAGAGCACCTACCTCAGCAAGCTGACATAAGGTTCAGCAAGACGGTATTTATAAACACTCAGCAAAGCATCTGGCGTGAAGTAGGCATGCCACCAATATATAATAGTACTATCAGACCGCCACCCACCACCATTCTGATGGGTGCAAGCACCTGTTAAAACAGGATTCTTCCAGGGTGGCTTTGGCCAAGGCAAAGAAAGGTAGATCACTGCCTCTGGGAGACACTCTTGCAGAGGGAGGCTGTGGCAGCTTTGTTGAGCCTGACACCACCCTCTGGCTGAGCTTCCCTTTGCCCTCTATTGAAATTGCTCCCTGAGCTGTGCGTAAAAAAAAAGGGGGGGCAGGGAAGATTTGATTCTATTCCCAAGAAAAGTGCAAATAAAGAAAAAAATAAATGCAGAAAGATCTCCTTGGGGAAGAGAAGCCAGAGCTGCTCTTCAGCGTCTGTATTGCTCTCTGCCTTCTCTATACCTTTCCTGGTCTTCTCGTCCACTCTGCTGGCTCCAGTCACTGTTACGTGAAGAGGATTCCCAAATCTGTCTCTCATGTCCCACAGCTACTAGAGTTTTGCTCCTAGCGGCTCACGGCATCTCAATGTACCAAAAAGAATTTACCTGCCTGCCCAACCTGTTCCTCCTTCATAGCCATTTCTCAGTGACCACCAGCAAAGCCTGGTGGCTCCTCCAGTCCTCCCTCTCTCATGTTCCCTGCCACAGGGCCCTTGCCTGTGCTGTTTTCTCAAGCCCACAACACTCTCGTCCCTACCCCACCCCTTGCTCTAATTATAGCCAAGTCACCCTCCAGCTCTGAATTCAACTACCATTTCCACCAGAAAATCTTCCCCATCCCCTCAGATGAAGTTAAATTCCACTCTTATAAACTCTACACCATGGATCTCTACTTCCCAGCCTTCATCTCAGTTACAAGTTCACATTTACTTGTGCAATTCCTGTCTGACACCGTACAAGGCACATGCTGTATTCTAGAGATCTGTGTGTGATGTGTTTTATACACAACTGTATTCCAAACACCAATGCCTAGCACATAGTAGGTATTCAGTAAATACCTGTTGAATAAATGAATGAAAAAGTCTAATCCAGCATCAATTTTTGCTGACTTTAAGCTTTACTATATCTCTTGATTCTTCTAGTTCCCTTGCCCCTGCTAACCTGAGTCTCAGCCAGTATCATTTCTCAACTGGACTCCCTAAGGCCTTCCTACTCGTTTCTCTGAATCTGTCTTTCCTCCTCAATCTATTCGGCATACAACATCCAGCATGATATTTTAGAAACATAAATCAGACCATATCATTTCCCTGCTTAAAACCTTCCAACATCTCTTTGGAGCTCTTCATGATCTAGCCCTGCCTACCTTGAGCCCTGCTCTCCATACTCCAGCCATAATGATTTTTTTTCCAGGGCCCCCACCATGCTCTGTTCCCTGGGCCTTTGCACATGCTGTCTCTCAGCCTGAGACATCTCCCTCCCTCTCCCACCACCACTTGTGGCTAACTCCCACTCACCTTCACAGCCCCAGTTTGATGTCTCCACCTCTGGGAAGCCCTCTCCGACCTCCCAGATCTGGGTTATACGTTTCCAACATACTCTTCTATACAGCAACCTGGGTCCACTACCACTGTCCTAACATTGCTTATTCACTTGTTTGTTTGTCTTCTCCACTAGACTGCAAGCTCATGAGGGCAAGAACCTCAGTTGTCTTCTTTCCTGTTGCATCCTAGTACCTGGTAGTACCTGGGATAGAGCAAGCAGTCAAATATGGGTTCAATGTCACTTTAGTGCTATTGTATCTGCTGCCTAGAAGAGTTTATACTGGTTTTGTTTTTTAGAGTTATGGTCTCACTCTGTCACCCAGGCTGGAAGGTAGTGGTGCAATCATAGCTCACTGCAGCCTTGACCTCCCAGGCTCAAGTGATCCTCCCACCTCAGCCTCCTGAGTAGCTAGAACTACCGGTGCGTACCACCATGTCTGGCTAAGTTTTTTCATTCTTATTTTTGTAGAGACAAGGTCTCACTATGGTGCCCAGGTTGGTCTTGAACTCTGGCCTCAAGTAATCCTCCTGCTTCAGCCTCTCAAAGTGCTGGAATTACAGGCATGAGCCACCACACCTGGTTTGTTTTTTAGATGACTGCTCTCCAAAACAAATTAAAGCCAAATTTACAGTGTTAGATCAAGAACAGAAACCTACTTGGCCCTTTTCAATAGATTTCTATGAGAAATTTGGAAGCAAGAAACAAAATATCTAACTTTTATCCCTGGAAAGATACTCTAACTTTTATCCCCATTGACCATCCCCTCCACATGTCCA
Organism: Homo sapiens; assembly: GCF_000001405.40. Lineage (NCBI taxonomy): Eukaryota > Metazoa > Chordata > Mammalia > Primates > Hominidae > Homo > Homo sapiens. The sequence continues at coordinate 4,509,315 of NC_000003.12, read as the reverse complement.
AAATGGCTTGGAGTACTGACAAGAGTGTACACTTGGAAACAGACTCAGAATATGTGAGTCTGAATTCCAGCCTCATAAATTACCAGCTGTGTGTCCTTAAGCAACTTCCATAACTTCTCTGAACCTCAGCTCTCTTATCTGTAAAAAAGGGGGCAACCTTTCATATTTCTCAGGGTCATTGTGAGGAGTAAACCAAATAATCCACATAAAGTGGTCAACACAATACTTGGCCCTTTATGCTCACTTTCTGTATGTCTGAATGAGTCTGAAATGAAAACATTCGTTTTTGTTCCTTCAAAGTCTTCACTCACCTCTGTCCTGTGATTCCTCTACTTGATGAATGTTGCTTACCTGGTCAATACTCTAGGAAATACATCTGGAGAAACAAAGATCCCAGAAATGTTTAAATCCTCTGTAAGCCCACGAGGTGGCTGATACTTGGACAGCATCTCCAAAGTACTGTTGTTTTTCAGTACCCAAACTCACAATACCAAAGCTGGCCAGACCTCAACTCAACTCCCCCGCCTTCTAACATCAATCTAGGTCCCCTGCTGGCAGTGGGGGTGGTGGAAACCTCTTCAAAGGGATAGTAATTCAGTATTTAGAACCTCTTCCACTCTGGTGTTAAAACAGGCCAAAGCACAACCTCACTAAAAAAGAAATATGTTCATTTAATTTTAAGCAGCAGCTCAAGATAGGTTTGGAATTTTTTTTTTTCTAAAAGCTTTTAGTGTGATAGAAAACTCACTCATTTGACTGTGGCAGAAAACTCACTTATTGAAATTTTTCCATCTATTAGTTCTCCTGCACACACTTAACTAATTGCATTACATTCATTTAAAAAAAAAAAAAAAAAAAAACCTTGATTTTCGCCTACACAGAATTCCGAATTTAAAAGTTAACAACTCCTGAAACTGAGACTAAAGTAGAACACTTCATTAACCAATAAGTTACCTAAGGGATCACTTAATCTTCAAGGGTGGACAGGCTTGGGAGGAAATGAGAAATTGACTTTATACTAGTTAAGGGACCCCAAAACCACAGACCTGCCAGTTTTTACCAAGACACAAAGGCAAGCCTCCTACGTTTAATTAAGATGAAGCCACCTGGCCACTGGGGCTGAACAGTCTGACTTTCAGTAATCGGGTGGCAGGGTAGTCCCACTGACAGTCTGACCTTAAATGAAACCCTTCTGAGCATGAGAGTCAGGTACTTTGGATCCCCTGCCTGCCTGCAACCCCTCGCCTCGTCCCCACAGTGCACCATTAATTTCCTGATGACCAAGCTCCTCTGTATTTTACCACACAATTACCTTAACAGTGAAAATCTTATATATCACTGACCCAAGACACACGCAAAACACTCCCCAGAAGCCTGAATTTGTAATCATTTAACCTCCTTAAACAGTGAAGCTGGCTAGCACAGAATATAGCTCATCTATTATTAAAAGCTTCTATCCTGGTTCCTTAAACACCAGTTATGACAGAACCTAAGAGCAATAAGCATCAATCTAATTTCTATTGTAGGACACAACTTCATCTGAGGCCAAAAGCTACAAAAAGAACAAAGTAAGTGTTGGAGACTAACAGTTATAAAGGAAGTTACACTTGAAGCTGCTATTCTCAGACACAGAGAGGAACCTATGCTTTATAATTTTTTAATGACCCATCCCACTGCAGAACTTCTGGACTGCTTGGTATAATCTTGCTCATAAGAAAAAGATGAACGTAGGACAAGTACCACTAGCTTCCACATTCTCAGCGTTTCTTTGCATTTCAGGAGGAACTTTAGGAAGCAATTTTGTTTCACAAAAACAACTGAAAAGTATCCCCATGCATTTTTTTCTGAACAGAAAGATCTCATACAATACCCAGACTTAGAGATGGTCAATTGCACCCTGTCACTTAAGCCTTCAATTTCTCCCTCTCTCTAATGTTCCATGCCACAACCCCACATTTCAAATTACCTATGTACTCTAGGAGCTGGTGGCCCAAGGGTCAGGGAAACTTCAAGGTCAAAACTATTTCACAATAACATTGGGGCATTATTTTCATTTTCACTCAGTCTCTCACACATGTACAGTGAAGTTTTCCAGAGGCTGCAAGGCACATGATGTAACAACAGACTGAAGACAGAAACAGATATATGATCTGTGAATCCGGCTATGTTCTGTGAAACCAGACCTCAAAGTGATTCGCAAAAAAAAAAAAAAAAAATTGCTACTCTTCTCAAAATTTTTGTTTGGGAAAATATTCTTATTGTTCATTAAAAATATGTCAATACGTTAATGTGTAATTGGTTTTTAAAAATATTTTTTCAGTGTTCATTTTCTCAGTGTTAATTTCTAACATTGTAAATACAGACAGATGTAACTCACATCAACAGTTCTTTAGGGTCCTGAATTGTTTTTAGGCATGAAAAGAGCTCCTGAGAGCCAGAAGTTTGAAAACTGCTGCCATAAACTTTTCTTTAAGAGTTGTCCTGGCAATGACTGTGTGCTTAGGACTCTCACTGTATAAGTTTGGAAACTTTATATAACAGGATGAAAATGCAAAATATAAAACTGAACAGCCAGGGCTCTAGAAAGTGAACTGTTCCATGTGAAACTTAAATCTTCCTTCTTATCGAACATATTTATTGATACCTACTATATGCCACCCCTATACTAGGTACTGGGGATACAGATCAAAGCAAGACATACAAGGTCCCTGCTCCCGTGATACCTATATTCTAGTGAGGGCAGACAGACAGGAAACAAACAGATAAAACAAGCAAGACAAATCAGATAGTGATGAGTATATGCAAAAAATTAAAACTGGTGATATGATTAAGTGACAATGCAATTTTGGCTGGTCAGAAAAAACAAGATGAGATGTTTAAGCGAAGACCTGAAAGTCAAGATAGAGGCAGTCATGCAAAAAAAAATCAGGCGGAAGAGCATTTTAGGTAGAGTAAACGGCTAGTACAAAGGCCATAAAGCAGAAAAGAGCTTAGCAAATTCCAGAAACAGAAAGCCAGCCCAATGTCTGCAGCATTAATGGGGAAAGGAAGAAAGTACAGGCTAAAGACAGGGTAGAGAAGATAGAGCCAGTAGGACTTCACAAGCCAGGGTAAAAAGTTGGCCTTCTATTCTAAATGTAATGGGAAGTCAATCAAGTTACCTCCCTTATCTGGCCCTCAATTTCCTCATCTGCAGAATGGGGATAATGAGGGCTTATCTCATAGTTATGTTGACAATTAATTGTGAAAAAGAAAATATGCTTACTTAGCACAGAGAAAGGGGGACGGAGGAAGCATTCCTATTGGCTGTTATAATTCTACTTTCTAATCTGTTCTATTTTCTATTCTCATAAACTACTCTTTCTAAACTTCTTAGGCTTATAATCAGCAGAGGATCAGCTCTGCCAAACAGCAAAGTCCAAATGACAAGTGAATATACAAAAGGGACACATGAGATGTACTGACCTCAACATGTCAATGCCAACTCCAACAATGTTTTCCCCACTATTCCTAATAAAACCAGAACCACCAAAGCACAGCCAGGTGAGGAGTGAATGCCAGCATCTCACTCACACAGCACCCTTTGCGTCTATCCTCCAGTCGTCAAGCTTTGCCACCTAGCCCCAAAGCACCTGCATTTGGACAGTCATTCTTCTGCTAAAAAATGGAGCCAACAACAAGTCCATCAGCCTTCCCCATTCTTTCTTGGCATATCCACACTACCTCCACCTCCTAAAAAACAAAAGGCCCTTGCCAACGTCCTTTGGTGCTGGTTTTCTTGCTGCTTGCTTTAAAAATAATAAAAATCAAAAAGCTTCCTTTAGGCCAGGCACAGTGACTCATGCCTGTCATCCCAACACTTTGGGAGGCCAAGGTGGGTGGATCACTTGAGGTCAGGAGTTTGAGACCATCCTGGCCAACATGGCGAAACCCCGTCTTTACTAAGAATACAAAAATTAGCCAGGCGTGGTGGCTTGTGCTTGTAGTCCCAGCTACTTGGGAGGCCAAGGCAGGAGAATCGCATGAACCTATGAGGTGGAGGTTGCAGTGGGCTGAGATCATGCCACTGCACTCCAGCCTGGGCGACAGATGAGACTCCTTCTCAAAAACAAGGGGAAAAAAGCTTCCTTTAAAGTTAGGCAGCAAAGAGAGGGGCTTACACACAGGGCTTTTGCTCAAAGCACCTGGCAAGCCAAGAGGCCATAAGGCAGTTGGCCCCTCAGAACCGAGGATAAGGACGAAGACAAAAAGGCACCGTTTCACTTTTTAGGTCAAGCAGCACCCAGCAGGGCAGGTTAACGATGGGCCGAGCCTGGCAAACCATGAGGTCTTTCACAGGAAAAAAAAAAAAAGGAGTATGCCCAGAAAAAGGAAGAGGTGCTGGCATTTGATCAATCTCCTGGCAAGAGGCCAAGGAAACTCCCTACAGAGTGAGCACAAGTCTCCCTGCGATGCCCTCACCCAGGTACATATATGGTAATATGGCTGTAAATACGAGGTAGAGAAAACCTAACGCATTTACGGTTGACTTTTTCAAGAGGGAGAAAAAGGCTCCCTTTACAACAGTCTCTGCTCCTGTTCCTGGGCACTCAGGGTTAATTTTGGACTTCCTTTGAGCAAAGATGCTTGGCGATATCATCTTTATTGTGAAATGAGGAGGAACAGCACATTTTTGACTTGGACATAATGCCACCCTCCTCCCCACACGTTTTCACACAGCTCCCCCTCCTTGCCTTCTTGTCCCATTAGCTGCTAATCAGATCGTCCTCAGAAATGCAGCATGTCCCCATCATCAGATAATTTATTCTCTTGCAAAAAGCACTTCTCTGGGAGCATAGAAAATTGTATTATGCTTTCGTTTTCAGGCAGTCCCAAAGGAAGTCACCAACTCAGAAGTTTCATCTTTAAGCAAGGCCCTTCATGGCCTCCCAGAAACAGCAGCTGTAAATCTGAAGTTCAGAGGAGTGATTCTCTAGTATAATACAACGTTGCTCATTCTCCATTCCCCCCGCCGCAACACACATACACACACAAAAATAAACCTACTCGCTTTTTCAGACATGTCTGCTAAATAACCTTTTCCCCAACCAGGTACAATATCTACAAAGTTATTTCTCAAAAAAAGATGCCCGCACTGACATTTGGTCTCATGGCTTCTATTCTTCAAGGCCAAAGTAAGAGAAGCCAACCAAAAGCTCAATATTTCCAAGGCAAAGAGCTGCAGATTTGGTGAGTGGAGGGCATTTAGCTAAAACTCTTTAATTTACGGGTAGAAAAAACAAACCTGAGGCCTAGTGATTTCTTGGAGGTCACACAGCTGATGAGTGCCCAAAGATAGACCACAGGGCTCCAGATACCAAGGCCAGTGTTTTTTGGTTTTGGGAGGGGGCGAGAGGGGGAGGGTGCTTATTTTGTTAAAAAGTTGAAGTCAGTCCCAGCCTGAAGAGACACCCCTCTGCCCACATAGCCCAAACCTCAAAAAACCAGCAAATGAAGTTAGGTCAATATCCTCAGAGAGAGACAAAAGTCTCACCAAGCCAGAAAAATTCACTCAAGGACAGGGTTTCTTAACCGGTTCACTACTGACATTCTAGGGCAGAGAGGTCTCCGTTGCGTGTGTGTGTGGTGGGGCAGGGGAGTGGGGGGCTATCCTGTGCACCATAGGATCTGTTCACAAAATGCCAGTAGCACCCCACCCCTGCCTGCCAGATAGAACAACCAAAAATATCTCCAGACGATACCAAATGTCCCCTGGAGGACACAAATCACTCTCCCTGTCCCCATTGAGACCACTGCTCTAGGACATAGATAGGTTTTGCTTTGTTTTTTTATCTGTAACGCCTTCTGCAAACATTTGTTTTTAGACAACTCGGCAGCAATGACCCGAAGCAGGTATTTTTATTTTTACACCTATTCTACAGAAGAGGAAACAGATGCACAGATGTTCCATGTTTTGCCCCTTACCCAAGAAGCAGTCAACACTCGGTACTGCGGAGTCCCCATCCTGTGGCTCACCAGGGCAATACCAATATGACCTGAAAGCAGCTTGGTTTCACTACCTGATTTTTCCACTCCCTTTTATGAATACTCAACAGTTTCCCAAGACAAATGTCCTGCAGAGATTTGTACTGAACAACACCTCAAAAGCTATCAAAAGGAAATGCTTAATATCTCTACATGGTCCTCACGTCACCCTCTGCAATAAAGGGCTTTTCTTTTTTTCTTTTTATTGAGATGGAGTCTCACTCTGCCCCCCAGGCTGGAGTGCAGTGGTGCGATCTCAGCTCACTGCAACCTCCACCTCCTGAATTCAAGCAATTCTCCTGCCTCAGCCTCCCAAGTAGCTGGGACTACAGGTGCCCACCATCATGCCCAGCTAATTTTTTTTGTAATTTTAGTAGAGATGGGGTTTCACCATGTTGGCCAGGCTGGTCTCAAACTCCTGACCTCAGGTGACCCACCCACCTTGGCATCCCAAAGTGCTAGGATTACAGGCGTGAGCCACGATGCCTGGCTGTAAGGCTTTTCAAAGAAAGATGCCAGTTCAAGAAATATTTAATCAGGAGAGGGGTACAGGGGCCAGGCGCAGTGGATCACGCCTGTAATCCCAGCACTTCGGGAGGCCAAGGTGGGCAGGTCATGAGGTCAAGAGATCGAGACAATCCTGGCCAACATGGTGAAATCCCATCTCTACTAAAAATATAAAAATTAGCTAGGCATGGTGGCACATGCCTGTAGACCCAGCTACTCAGGAGGCTGAGGCAGGAGAATCGCTTGAACCTGGCAGGCGGAGGTTGCAGTGAGCTGAGATCAGGCCACTGCACTCCAGCCTGGTGACAGAGCGAGATTCCTTCTCAAAAAAAAAAAAAGGAGAGAGGGGTACAAAAAATTAGTTTTTCCAAGCAGCCTTCAAAGGGAGAAAAAACATATATACAAATTACTTATTGTGTAAGCACTTCCTGTGTGCCAGGTATTCTTATGAGTTAAAAAAACACAAAAGGCCCAAAAGGAAAATAGGTTTTAGGGCCCTGGAGTTTCAAATGACAGATTTTCAAGTATCATAAAAAACTTCCCGGAGGAGGAAGCGTTTGGGCTGGGCCCTAAGGAATAGAAGGATCTGGCGAGGTGGACAGACGGGGGTGGGGAGGGACACATGAGGTACAACATACACACACACGACAAGGCAAACAAATGAATGTCCGTCGTCTGGGTGTCGTATCAGCTTTTTCTGTTCAGAAATATGTGCTTGGGATGCTTTTAAGCTGTTCTTGCAAAAGAAAATCATTTCCCAGACAAAGCTCCTTCTGAAATGCAAAAGAACAGCAAGAAACTTGGAGACTAGTGATATTTTTCTTATGTTCATCTTCTTCTGATAAGCCGCATTATATCAAGCCATCCAGAAGTTCTGCTGATGGGACAGGTCAGAAAGTATGATAAAACATAAGTTCCTCATTGTCCCATGACAGCAGGTGAACAGCAGTGACTTCACAACTCTAAGTAGGGGTACATGTGCCTTCTGGTCTCTTTCTGCCTTCATGTGAACAGCGAATAAAAGCTCCCCCAAATGTAAGCATCAAAGTTCCCATGTTTGTTGGAGAGGGAATCATGTGAAAACTACTTACTCTCACCTCAGGTTGGTGATTAGCCTACCTTTCCACTTCACTGAAAATAAGGCTGCAGGGGAAAAGTACAAAGGTCAGCTTCAGCCTGAACAGGTGAGAGCTAGCCATGAAAAAGCAAAGGAACCACTAAATGACAAGGACTGAAAAAGCACAGGGACAGGCATCCTCCAATGCATATCTTCTCGTATTTTCACGTGTGTGTGAATCACTTGAGGATCTTGCAAAAATGTAGGTTCTCATTCATTGAATGTGGAGTAGGGTCTGAGAGTCTGCAATTGCTAGCAAGTTCCCAGTTAATGTCAGTAACGCTGGTCTGGGGACCACACTTGGAGTGGCAAAGATGTAGTACAGTGTTTCTCAAACTTTTGACTGCAGCTCAGAGTAAGAAAACTATTGAACTTACAACCCAATGTTCATTGTGTATGTGAGACAAAGAATTTTGTTGCAACATACACAGTTCTTTTTAAGTATCCACGAAATACACTTCCATGTTTTCTATTCTAGTGCATGTCATTAAAAAAAAAAAAAGTTTGGCTGGGCCCGGTGACTCACACCTCCAGTCCCAGCACTTTGGGAGGCCAAGGCGAGAGGATCGTTTGAGCCTAGAAGTTCAAGGCCAACCTGGACAATACAGGGAGACCCAATCTCTACAAAAAAAAATTTTTTTTTTAAATTAGCCAGGAGTGGTGGGGCACGCTGGTGGTCCCAACTACTCAGGAGACCGAGGTGAGAGGATCGCTTGTGCCTGGGAGGTTGAGGCTGCAGTGAGCCAACATCATGTCACTGTACTCCAGCCTTGGCAACAGAGCAAGACCCTGTTTCAAAAACTAAAAATAAAAAGTTCATCAAGGCCCACTAAATTGATTTAACAACCTCTTAGTGGGTTTCCACAGAGTTTGAAAAACACGGATACAGAACAAGAGTAACATTCCTGCTCATCTGGGGAGAACAATGATGTCTTAGCCTCAGGACACTAAGGCTAAACCCAAAACCAATTTTTAAAAAAAGTTTAGATTATATTCAGAATTCTTTGCAAAAAGGCAAGGATAGGTCAATTGCATTTTGGAAATACTTTCACCTAGGAAATTCAAGTTTTAAGTTTTCTTCATTTTAATTTGTCTTCTCGTCTGTAAGATGAGGATGACAAGAGTACCTACTTGGCCCTAGGTGGAGATCTCTAAATACCATTTTGGCCAGGCATGATGGTCTCACGCCTGTAATCCCAACACTTTGGGAGGTCAAGGTGAGAACACTGCTTGAGCCTAGGTGTTTGAGAGCATCCTGGACAACATGGCGAGATCCCGTCCCTACAAAAAAACAAAAAAGATTAGCCAGGTGTGGTGGTGAATGCCCATAGTCCCAGCTACTCAGGAGGATTAGGTGAGAGGGTAGCTTGAGCCCAAGAGGCAGAAGTTGCAGTGAGCTGAAATCATGCCACTGCACTCCAGCCTGGGCAGCAGAGTAAGACTCTGTCTCAAAAAAACAAAACAAACAAAATTTCCCTCTTAAAAGAGCAAAGGCTCCTTGGAGAAAAGGCCGATTCTTGGTCTGGGATAAGAAATAGAGAAGATGAGCCTGGAACATCTTGTTATACAGAAATCAAAAAAGCTAGCAAAGACAACAAGGGCTGTGTCGAAATCTCAGGAACTTTACCAGCCCATTTCTCACTGACGAGAGAACTAATGGATTCAGGTAGTGAGCATCAAGGGGTGCTCATATAACAAGAGTAGACATCCAACATCTCACACCCACCTAAGCAAAGTTTACAGAGCAGACTTACTGGAGTCCCAGCTACTGGGAAGGCTGGCACAGGAAGACTGCTTGAGACCAGGAGTCCAAGGCCAGCCGAGGCAACATAGTGAGACCCCTTCTCAATTTAAAAAAGAAAAGAACCTAACTTTGATGAAGCCTCTACATCTAACTACCAAATTATGGTACCCCAAGGGGATACAGAAACATGTTAAACCACATTGCACTGATGCAGTCAGCAAAGTCTAAACTGTGGAGACGTGTATCACCCAGTTTCTTCGATAACAACAAAAAAAATGCATGGAAAAAAGATCTGTAGAGGAAATACAGAGATTAGTGAACATCAACCATTTGTAATGTATTTACCTTATTTGGATCCTAATTCAAACTGTTAAATACGTGTATGTGTAAAATTATTATATTATGTATTTTTTACAAATATCTATTTATATATGTATATATATCAGGGAAGTATAAACCTAGACTCAATAAAAATGAAAGGCCATCAAAGGGGTAGGCACATTTAGAAAAATGAGACACAGATGTCTGTTTATTAAAAAGATGTTCAAGATGTACAAAAGGTAATTTACCAAATGAGAGATACTGTGTTAGTCCCTTTTTATGAAATTTAAATATATACGTAAATTTTACATATGCATACTTAGAGGAAAAGCCTGAAACCCTAATCTCTAATAGTTGAATTGTTTTGTTTTGTTTCATTGCTCCTCTTTATTTCCTAATGTTGCACTACAATGAATATGCTATCTTTTTCTCCTTAAAAAAATTTTTTTAACAGAGATGGGGTCTTGCTGGAGTACAGTAGCTATCACAGATGCAATCATAGTATATTACAGCCTCAAACCCCCGGGCTCAAGTAATTCTCCTGCCTCCGTCCCCTGAGTAGCCGAGTCCAAGGTGTGTGCTACATGAATATGTATATCTTATGTAATAAGTAACAAAATTTGAGGTTTGCTTTAAGTTTGCACATGTGCAGGGGTCCACTTCACTTATTAAGGAGAATCACTGATGTGAAGCTTCTAATTCCTCAAGGATGCTGGAGAGCAGAATATTAGTCCTCCTTGTAAATATCTCTTAAAACGACACTGGATACAACGCAGGGTGGCGGTAAGACATAGGTTTGTGTTGAAACTCCAGGATTATCATTATGTTCTTACAATTTGCTCTCCAAGTCAACTGTACGTTCACCTATTTGTCAAACTTTCCTTTTCTACTGAAGTGAATTACAACTCCAGGTAAGTCCTGTCATTAACCAGACAGTCCAGAAATCTGGGTTTTACCCCCTATCGAGTTCCCATCTGGTATGTGATCCTGCCAACCTTACCAGAGTCTCTTCAGAAAGGACAATGTAGTTTTGTGATGTTGAAAACCACACTGAGAATTCCGTGAGAGTTTACAAGTCCTCAGATAAACCACTGTTGACCTGCAAAATCTGGTCCCTACAGGTCTGGACCTTGACTCCCTCTCCCTCCTGAACTCCTAGCACTCTCCCCTGGCCTTCTTCTCCTTCCTCCAACATGTCACAAACACTCCTATCTCAGGGCCTCTGTACTTGCTGCTCTGACATTTGGAACACACTTTTTCCCTGACAGCTACAGGGTCAACTCGTTTGCCTCCTTCAGATCTGTGCTGAGATGTCATGTAGTAAAGATCTAATCCCCACCTGAGTACTCCCTTAATACCCCTCATCATGTTTTGTTGCTTTTTAAAATTACTGTAAAATATACATAACATAAAATATACCACTTTGAAATGTTATAACTCAGTGGCACTAAGTACATTCACACTGTTGTGTGACATCACCACCATCCATTTCCAGAACTTTTTCATCTTTCCAAACTGAAACTCTATCCTCAATAAACACTAACTCCCCCTTCCTGTCTTCTATCTCCCCCAGCAATCCCCATTCTACTTTCTGTCTGCAGGGATCTGACTACTCTAGATGCCTCTATAAGAAAAATCATAAAATATGTGTCCTTTTATTTCTGGCTTGTTTCACTTAGCATGTTTTCAAGGTTCATCCACATTGTAGCATGTGTCAGAATTCCCTTTTTAAGGCTGAATAATATTCCATTGTATGTATATTTCACATTTTATCTGTTCATTCATCAGTAGACTTGTGTTGTTTCTACCTTTTGGCTACTGTGATAATGCTTCTACTGACACAGGTGTACAAATATCTGCTCACGTCCCTACTTTCAATTTTTTAAAGTATATACCTTGAAGTGGAATTGCTGGGACATATAGTAATTTTATGTTTAATTTTTTTTAGTAACTGCCATGCTGTTTTCCACAGCAGCTTCACCATTTTACATTCCCACCGGCAATGCACAAGGGATCTAATTTCTCCACTTGTTATTTTCTGTTCCCCCTTTAACCAGTTTTCTTTTTCTCCATAGCTTTTACTACCTCTAATACTATAATACTTACTTGTTTATTTATATTGGCTGCCTCCCACCAACTGAGATGTAAGCCTCTTGGGAACGGGATGGTTTGTTCATTGCTATATCCTGAGCACCTGGAATACATCTTAGTACATAGCAGGTGCTCAAGAAATTTGTTGAATAAAGAATAAAACATTTGAATCGCACACAACTTGAACAGGTCTTAGAGTCTGTTAAATAGATTTACCACACCATGTGCCTTAAACTACATCCAATTTAGAAATCTCAAAGTTGAATGGGTGACGGTTTCAGTGGTGTATCTGGCTTATTCTCATTAGCAATCATCTCAGAACCACAGAAACCAAGAGAATTGTAAGGAATCATAGAAGTTATGTCATTCACATCACCGACTTCAAGCCTTAATTGCATTCATCAATTGAGCTATGCACAAACTTAAAACAGCAAAAATGGAAAAAAAAAAAACTGCATGGACTTCTGGTTAACAGACAGCCTGCAAATGCAATGTGTTTTATTTTTAAAAATCAAACCAATAGTAAACAAGATAGACACTGGCCCTGTGGAGACTCCTTAATTAGATGTAGCCAAAGACAGCTTGACCTAGAAACCTAACTCCAGGCCTACTTTTATTTTGGCTGTTTTTTTCTGTTGTTCATATTTGGTGTTTGTTTTATTTTTGTTTGTTTTCTAAGAGCTGCTCATGAAGAAATCAGACAGTTTCCATGATATCTTTATAAATGAGTTGAAAAGCCATGTGATATTCCCCCCTCTGGAAGTCAGTTGGTTGCACACCATTGGATTAAAGGTTTCTTTTTTATCTTTCTCTCTGCCCACTCTCCTCCCTCCCCGCAATACCAACACCCTGATCTTCCTCACTTAAAAATATTTTGAAGAAAAGACTCTTGATCTTTCTGTGGAGTTCATCTATCTCTTTTTTTCTAAGCAACCATTCCACTTCTCATTCCTAAAGAAAAGATGCCAATTCCCTCCAAAAGACAATCACTTGGTTTAAATAGATACCATTGTCAACCCCAAATGACTTTCATGGGTCTCAAGGCAAGAGCCAGAGTAATTCACTTAGAACATGAAGAACTTTCCCTGCCTGATAAGAATGATATCTTGAAAGGATTTTCTGTTCTGATTTGAATTATTCAAAGAGCAGATTGTACTTTCAGTGTACATATGCATACACACACACACACACACACATGAACTTGAAAGAAAAAATGGAGAACAAAAACGTCTGCACAACTGGCTGCAAAGCAAACTGGAAGGTATATGAAAAGGTATCAACATTTCACATTGCAGTCTAACTGCAGTTTAAACTTTCGAATTATTCAGATGGGGAAACGCCTGATCCTTTTAACCTACTCAGATTCTTTGATGTAAACAATCAAGATGTATTTCAGCTAGGAGGTGAGCCTAATGCTTAACTTACATAATGTTCCTTGTGGTTTTGTTTCTTTTTACTCTCCCCATTCAGGCTTTCCAAAATGAACTCATTACAGTATCTAATACCTCCTCAAATATCTGCACTCTTTTATCCCTATGTTTGTGGCTACATCCTTTCCTTCTTACATCAATGTTATGTATTATTTCATCATTGGTGGGAGGTATGCAAGTTATTTCATCAGTAGCAGTAAGTTTACCATTTTTCCTAGCTTCCCTCTCACCACCAGCATCCCCAAATCAACTGAGGTCCATTTGTGGGATGCAGTACAGCCTCACCGCCTGAGGTTACACCCTGCTCCTACTTTGTACTAGCTACTGGGCAAGTGATTTCACTCTCTGCACCTCAGTTTCTTCACCTGCATCTGACGCACAGGGTTTCTGAGATACATGGCTCTGGACCTGGCTTACAAGTACTTAATGTGTCCATCTTATTATTTTTAGCAACCAGTTAGAAAAGAGTCTGTGGACCAGTTTTTCCTTGCTGTACAGCTAATTCTGAAAAGGGGAACTGGGCCTAATCCTTGGCTCTATGAGCACCCACACAGCCATGTGAGTCAACAGAACTCCAAGAAGAAACTAGAGTTCTCACATCCAAATGCTTCTCACTCCGCCAGTACTCCTGAGGATCTTATCAACAGGAAACAAAAGCACTATACCACTATAATGAAGTGTCTGACTTTTATTTTCTCATTAGAAAAGCCCAAAGATTGTAGCCCAGGGAACAGCTAAATATTTAGAATGTTAAAAAAGTTATTAAGACCCAGCCACCCACCCCCACCTACCTCTGTTACCCTGTTATTTACCATGTTCCTGAACATTTCAGGAGAAAAAACTCCTGATAGCCAAATCTGCAGCAATAGTGATGTACGTGCACCCGTTGAAACCTCCCACTCTTCAAATGCAGTCTGACCATTTTGGGGAAAAAATAGGAACTGTTGTGTTTACAGATAAATGCTGCTCTCAGCTCATATTCCACCACGGGCCCCAAAACAACAGGGACCTGCCAGATTCCTTGACACTCAGGTGGCTTGAGTCAAGGGCTGGATGCTACCACCTTAAGCTTCAATAACTCACTTCCCTTTTTAAAGTTCTAATTCTTTCAACTTGCAGCAACCACTTTCATTTCTTGCAATCCAACCTACTCTGATTAAGCACACGTTCAAAATTAGAAAAGAGTGACTATTTCTTGAAGGAGAGAGGCAGTTAATACTGCTTACACATTTTGGCATATGAAATGCACTGTATCCTTCAGAATTTAAATCATCAGCATGCTTTTCAGACCGGCAATGGGCCGCCGTTTTATTGCTCCATTTAATGGCCTTTTCCCCTCCTCTCTCATAAACTTTCAGGCTCCTTCAATTCTCAGCTACTTCCAAGAAACGGACTGTCCACTGGACCTCTGCTCCCAAAAGCCCTCACCAAAGGCAGAGGCAAATTTTGAAGACTGAGCCACGGAGTTTCTTTTTCTTTCTTACTCCCCACCTCCTTGGCGGTTTAGATAGAACTTAAAATAGGCTTAGGACAAAAACTCATTATTGACTACAGCACTCAGGCTTCCACACTCACCTGACCTGGGTCAGGCACTCTGTTGCCAAAGCAAGCCCAGCGAGGGGTGCAAATCCTGCTCCTCTGTAGTCAGCTCCTAAATATTTAGAAAGAAAGAAGACTGAGTACCAGACCGCGGAAGATGAGCTCTAACAGAAATGCTCCAAATTACAAGTTTCCACCTTCTTTAGCCTCCTTCACTGGGGACAGCCCCCCCGCCCCCAAACTTGGTAGGCAGGTTGGTGGGATCGCTTGGGCGAAGATTCCAGGTAACTACGCTTACTTATTTCCAGGATGTAACTGACAATTGAGACTAGGCACGCACAAACTTCGAACGTGCGGGAGGCTGGAACTAAGGGAAGTGTTTGGCAGATCCCAAAGCACTTGTTTCCCGGCGAGAAGGCCAAGTATCCGAAGCCCGCATCCTCATTGGACATGAGCTTCGTCCACACTTCATCCCTCACCGCTTCTCCGGTTTTCTTCCGTTTTTAAAAACCCTCCCCACGGGGGGCCCCTACACATGCATTATTCTCCCAACCACGGAGCGCAAGAGAGGGATACATTTTTAGAAAGATTATTTCCTTGAGCAGACTCACATATGACACCCCCACAACCTCTCTTCAAAAAAAAAAAAAAAAAAAGAACTATTTCCTGCAGCTGCAGCAACAGTTTCCAACTTGGGGGAATGCCACATCAGACCAGAATGGGGAGCCCCCAAAGCCACGCACTAGAGTAGAGGATATTTGTTTTTTAAGCTTCAAATGAGCTCCCCCCAAAACAACTGCCCGCAGTAAAGGAACCCCCAAATGCATGCCAAGTGCATGCACATCCATCAAGATCTCCCCGAGAGCGGGGCAAAAACTTCTGCGCCCGGGGAGCCAGTGCCAACTCCCCGCGCCCTCTGCCCGGCCCCAGCCGCTACCTTGGTGCCCGGGGAGCCACGCCGGTTTGGGGGAGCAGGGCGAGGAGAGGGGTTAGCAGCCGCTGGGTAATCCCATGTCCGCGAAGAGGGAGCTCGTTCCGTTAGGATGGAAGCGGAACACCCACACCTCCTCTCGGCGTGCGCTTTCTCTCTCTCCACCCCCTGCCTCCTCCTCCACCACCACCTCCTCCTCCTCCTCTCCTCCCACCCCAGCGAGCTTGAGGAAACGCTTCAGCAGCACATCCACATGGTTACTGCACTTTAAAGCGGCTCCGGGTGGCTTATATAGGCCGGGAAGCTCCCTGGGCAATGTAGTCCAAGTAGCGGGTCGTGGCGGCGCCTGAGGCTGCGGGGAGGGACTACAAGTCCCAGAATCCCCTGGGCGCCCGGGCTGGGCCCTAAATAGACGCGTGCGGGGACAGGGGAGGGGCGTCCTGCGAGGCTTTCAGGCTGCTGAGCCTGTTCCTTGGCTGGGGTCGGTAGGGCTTGGAGCCAGCCGTTCAAAGTCACCCCTGGGAAGCGCCCGCAACCCTTGGGGACGCCTCTCCTCCGGCTGCCCCCCTTCCCTGGAATCCAGGTGTCACTGGGGCCGGGGAGGGGCTAGGAGCTCGGATTTCTGCTTTGGGAAGTTTTTACAAGCCCACCCTCCCCCTGCCTTGGTTCCCCGAGCCAAGAATTTCAGAAATCCGGGGCACAAAAACGCCAGTGTTTGCGGTCAAGGATTAAAGGCGCGAGGTGTCTTTATTTAATCTGCTCCGCCCTGCTCGGGTTTGCACGAGAAACCAAGCCTGGGAGCGACGGTCCACGCAAGCGGAGACACAGGCAAGTCGCGTGAGAGCACTTTTCTGAGCCCGAGTTGCTTGTCTTTTATCGCCCGTGAGGAGGTAAAGAAAGGCAGACCTCTCCGGTGCACAAATAAAGGAGCCGTGTTGTGACTTGCCGGCTCTGAGATTGGGAGGCAGAAAATAAATACAAACCGCGACCTCAGTCCTGACCGTACCTCTAGCAGCCCCTCTGCTCCTGGGAGCTGTAAATGCTTAAGTAAATAAACCGCAAACCAGAAAAATAAGGGCTTAGGAAAGAGCCGCTCACACAGAGATGCGCATCCAGGCGGGGCGCTCTCCAAGAGCTCCGAATGGGGCAAGGTGGGTTTCACCCGCTGCCAAGTAATGCCTGGGCTCCCGGGCTACACGCTGCTTAGGGCTCCGGCTTTTGCAAGGAGGGGAAGAGCTAAGCCCGGAGGCAGTCAGCCGACTGCCCTGTCTTGCCTCAAATGACGTATATTCATTCCTCAAACGTTTCCTGAGTGTTTACTAGGTGCCAGGCGCTGGGGCATAGTGGTGAGCCAAACGCATTATAGCATCCCAGACAGGCACTTCCTGACGCCGCCTAAAGATCTGTTATAACAATAGTAATAATAATGATAATAATCAATGGGGAGGCTGATTTTATTGAGCCCAGACCACATGCAGTTTTCATGCGTCATGCTATTGAGTTTTACCAACTGTAGGTATATTTATTATATCTATTTGGCAGGTGCACAATCCAGGGCTCAGAGAAATCAGGTAACTTCCCAAATGACCCCTCGAGTTAAGTGGTACAGCCTGGACTCCCGTTCCAGACTCTACGTGTATGAAACCCTTGTCTTTGGGGAAATCCACCGCCATTGCCTTAAATAGCCTCTCTCCCCATTTAGGAGCAGCCTCTGAGCCCTTGGGCAAGTCATTTTCATCTCTTTGCCCCAGTTTTGCCATCTGAAGGAAATTCTTATTAGAATATGTCTACTTTTTAGCAGGATTCCTTAATATAAAATCGAGTCTCATGAAACTTTAGGAACAAATTAGAGGAGAATCATAGCTAATAGTTATTACTGACATAATAATGCCAAAACGAATCATAATTATTGACACTTATTGGGTGAATGCCATGTGTCAGGCATTGGTCTAAACTCTTTCTGTATAGCACCTAATTAAATCCTATTAAGCCATTTTTTACTTATGAGAAAACTGAGGGGGGGCACAAAGCGATTAAATTACTTCCTCCAAAGTCACACAAATAGCTGAGTCTTGAACCCTGGTCCTAAACTACTAGTCTCCGCTACCTCCCCAATGTAAACATGTGCACTGTATTTGCCTGCTCAGATAAGCATTTAATGTCAGTCCAGGAAGGGGCAAAGCTCTTGAAATAGACAAAGTTTGTGTTCACGATATTCACTCCTGCCCTCCGTTCCCTGTCAGCATTATCCCCTGGTCACTGGACGCTGGGGTCTAGTGCCTAATACGTTAAGCTGCTTCTCCCCATCATCAAGAAACTGCCGCATCTGCCATATAAAGGAGATGTTTCTCATTCGCCCCCACTCATCTCTTCCCCCATGAAAACCTCTTCCATTTTCAAAGGATCTTCGGCTCTACTTTTCAAGCAAATTCAACAAATCAGTGTATGCCTGTGTAACTGGTAAATAGTGAAGGGTAATTATTTCATGTGCTTCTAACTCAGAAACAATGGAATATTAACAGCGGTTTTCTGAAGATCCAGTTGGACAATTTTCATTTTCATCATATAATGGACATTTATCTCCTACCTGCATTATCCACTGTCTTCCCTCGGAGACCACAAATTTCACTGAAGGCAGCATCTATGTCTTATTCATGCTTGTGCTCTCTACCTCCCCTGACCCAGAAGGACTTATTCTTCTTTCTGCACATTTTAGTAGATGTGTTAAAAAAAAAAAAAAAAAGTTTGTTAAGAAGATGTTTTAATGGAAGGTGTGTCAGGCATATGGCAGGATACATGACCATATTTTTGGAGCATGCAACACCTCGTAGCCCATCTCTATCATAGCCTATTTTCTCCGCCTGTATGTATGGATAATCCTATTCAACATTTTTAAGGTCTAGAAGCTGCTAGGTCACTAGAAAGTAATTTTGCTATGATGTGAAGAGGTTCTCTATGATGATGTATGACTGATAAATTATGATGATTAATGTCAGAATATAAGGGTCACTGCCTAACTCATTCTCTGTTATCAGTAGAGGGAAAGGAGCTGCTTTCTCTTCACTATTTTTTTCTAGAAGAATTTTCTATCCCTGTGTTTTCCAGTATAGTGACTACTAGCCATTTAGGCACGTAAGATGTGGCTAGTTCTGAGATGTGAAATAGATGTTAACACATTGAATTTCAAAGACTTAGTACAAAAAAAAGCAAAATATCTTAATTTGTATAGTGATTACATGTTGAAGTGGTAATATTTTGGATATTTGTGTTAAATAAAATAGATTATTAGAATTTATTTTACCTGCTTTTTCCTTTTTTAATATAGCTACTAGGAAATTAAAAATTACATGTATAGCTCATATCATATATTATGCAGCACTGATCTAGAAAACCAAGAATCTGATTCCCAGGATCACAATTCGAGATGATGACCAGCCCATTAAAATGGCCATTTATGACTTTGCCCTTGAAATGTTCATGCAGGGAACTACGAGGGCTTTGCAAGGTCAGTACAGTATCATAGACTGAGCAGAAGTCTGAAGAAAGTCCAAAACTAGCACTTGAGCCTACCCCCAGGGAAGACCTACAAATAGAAGCAGGTTTCATCAGCAGTACACAGCTGAAAACTCTAACTGAATTCATCTGCCTAGAAGCCCACCTCAAATGCTGCCCTGGTTAAGAGAGCAAGATAAGCTGGAGAAAGGAGGGATCGGAGAAAATGGTTTTGACACCCAGCTGTACCATTTATATCCTGTTTTGTTTTGTTTGATAAAGTGATACTAACAATCCTTGCCTTGTCAATCTCACTGGGTCAATGGGTCATAGGACATGAAAGGGCTTTGCAAACTCACCCTCGCTATACTAAAGTAAGAGAATATTATTGACAAGAATGGAGATAATGTTGATGCGTCCTGATACAGTACTCAGTTCCAAACCAAACTTCAGATTATTGGGGCAGCACTATTCCCAATTTTCTCTCAGGCATAAGATTTCAATTGCCTATGGAGTGTAATTGGATTGTGACTCAAAGAATAAATGTTTGAGGGGGATGGATAGCCCATTCTCCATGATGCGCTTATTTCACATTGCATGCCTATATCAAAATATGTACCCCAAAATGTATACACCTACTATGTACCTGTAAAAAATTTAAAAAAAAAGAACAGAATCACCTATGAATGTCACAATGAGCCTTGAGTGCTTTAATTAATAACTCTAAATGACACTTAAATGGCAAGAAAGAATGTCCAACACCCAATCATAGAATTCAATCTATATTTTGGCACTGACACTATATTATCTAATGTGATGGACTACCATTGACCATGGAAAACATCAGCAAAGACAAATAGCTACTGCATAGCTAGTCCAACTAGTCTCTCTTGGTCATTGTGAATGTTTTATGGTGGAGGGATAGAGTCACAGCCCTCGTGGAAACTCACAAAATCCATGGGCACTTGCCCCAGCACAACACAGATACTGCAAATTTCTGCACCAGTTCTTAAGTTTCTTGTACCAGTCCTCTAAAAATCATTCATAGATACTCCCACAAGACTAGATTATCTTTTAGCTGTATTTTTCGGTGATTTTTGTCTCACCATTCAGATAACCTCTTTGAAGATAGGGACTAAGTCCTATAAATGTAGGACCCTTTGCAGCATCTTGTTCTGCTCTGGATACAGAGTAAGCATTCAGCACTTACTGGCTAATTGGAACTTACAAAGATGACCAGAAGAAATGACCTACAGACACTTAATCAACCCTACTTGACATGGAAAAAGTGGAGTTGCTATTCGAACAAGGGCAGGAGAGAGGACGACTTGGTATGGAGCTATAGAAAGTAAGATGTTTTCTGAATCCAGGCTCTAGATATCCTGTGAGAATGAGAGAAGACACAGCAAGAGGGCCTATTTTTGTTGTCCTATCTCTGAAGTGCGGAAGAAACTGCTGGTCAGTCACCTTGTGAGTGGAGGGAACATGGACAAAATGTCAATAATTTAAAATCTGGAAGGCAGCATGATAACTACAAAATAATGCAAAAATTAAGAATTCTTAGTACTCTATGCAATATGGAAGTAGCTGCTATACCATCTCTGATGATTGCTGCCAGTGTTGTCTAGAATCATGTAAGCAAGTAAAGAGAACTATTATTTTCTTATTCATTATTTTCCTGTAAAACATGCAGAGCCAGGGGTCTATTATTAACTACCCCATCTCCTGCCTCCCATCTGCAAGACTGTCATCCTAAATTGCTCTGGTAGACAAGCTAGATCTGGGGACTTGAAGAAATCTTGGAAAAGGCTTTTTTGTCTTATCCTAGTGTTTAAACTGAAATGAAATCTGTGTATCAAAGAAAAAACATAAAGCTCTTCCTTACAGAATAATTCAGCTAATACATGTAGAAGAAATAATAACATTAGCAAATTTGCAGCTTCCAGTATAATAATTTATTTAGATAGGCCAGGCACAGTGCCTCAAGCTTATAATCCTAGCACTTTGAGAGGCCAAGGTGGGCAGATCACTTGAGCCCAGGAATTCAAGACCAGCCTGGGCAACATGGCAAAATTCCATCTCTACAAAAAATATAAAAATTAGCTGGTCGTGGTGGCATGCACTTGTAGTCCCAGCTACTTGGGAGGCAGACGTGGGAGGATCACCTGAGCCCAGGGAGATAGTGGCTGCAGTGAGCTGTGATCATGCCACTGCACTCCAGCCTGGGCAACAGAGCGAGACCCCGTCTCAAAATATAAATAAGTAAAAAATTATTTAGGCAGATTATCAATAGATGCCAAACACTCTGGGGAAAATGTTGATGAGGAATAAGATAGTCATGTGGTCCTAAAAATCACTCCATACATCACACACAAATTATGAAGTGAAAAATGGACCTTTACAGTAAAGAGATAATGGCAATCACCCACGATTCACCCACATAACCACGTGATCAAATTTATTACCAGCAATACTGGGACAACTAGACACTATTTACATATGTATATGATTCTATAAGAAGTACACAACATCACATATGAAATGTTCTTGCCAAAAATATTCGTGAGGAAACAATCAAACAAACTCAGAATGCAGGACATTCCACAAGACCATTGGCCTGGATTCTTCAAATGAATCAGTGTCATTTAAAAAATATGGCAGGAGGATTATCTAGATGCAAATGCTTAAAGTGATGCATTTGGTAATTACCCTGACTGGATCATTATACTATGTATACATGCATTGAAACATCACATTTTACCCCATGAATATGGACAATTATGTGTCAATTGCAAATTAAAAATTTAAAAAGACTGAAACACACTTTACAACTAAATGCAACATGTGACCTTTGAATTTTGGATTAAAAGAAATTTTAAAATGAATCTATAGAAGACATTTCTGAGCAACTGTAAACAATTTGCATATTATAAAAATTGTAAATAATTTTCTTAGGTGTGATGATGGCATTGTGGTTATGTATGAAAATGTCCTCAAGAGATGTATACTAAAGTATTTTGAAGTGAAATCTCATGGTATCTGAAACTCACTCTCCACAAATGTGTGGTGGCATGCACCTGTAGTCCCAGCTACTCGGGAGGCTGAGGCACAATAATCCCTTGAACCCGGCAGGCAGAGGTTGCAGTGAGCCGAGATCATACCACTGCACTCCAGCCTGGGTGACAGAGCAAGATTCTGTCTCAAAAAAAAATAAAATGCATGCCAATTTAATCTAAAAATTATATATGATTACACTTACCTATCTTATTCAAAAAATTATCTAAAATCTTGCCACATTCGTGGAGATGTCTGTGCCCATTTTTGTGATAGTTTTACAGTTATGCTGGAGAAGTAATTATTTTTTACCTTTGAAGGTGATAGTGATGTTTCAACAAATGATTGAAAAATTTACACTTAGCTTTTTGGGTAAAATGCAGAACAACCTACTTATTATAACTAAACAACTTTTGTGTCAGTCTCCAAGTTAGGAGTAATTGTATTTGTTGCAATATGTCCTTCTTAGGGTCTTTACAAATCAACCAGAAAAGCAAAAAGAATTATGCATAAGAAAAGGGAAATGGAAGGCCAGGCACAGTGGCTCATGCCTGTAATGCCAGCATTTTGGGAGGCCAAGGCAGGAGGATCATTTGAAGTCAGGAGTTCCAGACCAGCCGGGGCAACATGGCAAAACCACATCTCTACTAAAAATACAAAAATTAGCCAGGTTAGGTGGCACATGCCTGTGGTCCCAGCTACTTAGGAGGCTGAGGCAGGAGAATCCTGGAACCCGGATGGCGAAGGTTGCAGTGAGCCGAGATTATACCACTGCACTCCAGCCTGGGCGACAAGAGCGAGACTCCATCTCCAAAAAGGAAGTGGAAAACTTGAGTATTGCAGGCTTCATCTTTCCCTTCTCCTGGGAAAGCTTTTTAATGATCATTAGACTTAGTTACTAAACTGAGCAGTGAATTCTATGTAATTCAGTTACCAGCGAAGTAGAACTTATAGCTTTTTTCACTTCTCATGCTCTATCAGTGTAGACTCATGCAAATTAACTGCTTTGTTTTGCTCCCACTTAATTTTATTTCAAGATTTTAAGTAGTATTTCCCCCTCTAACTTTAGTTTTAGGATATAGGTAACCTGTATCATGAGTTCAATCCAGACAGAGAATTTGAGTCAATCCTTTATGAAACAGATCATTTGGGTAGGGTCAGCCCAGGGAAGTGGGATTGGACTGGTGAGGAATAGGGTAGAGGGAGCTATTAAGAACATTTGGTTGGTTTCATGTCTGTCATTATTAAACTGATGTTTAATAGGTACCTACCTACCCTAGCAGGTGCTACACTAGGCACTAAAAAGACTGAACGGAATGCATAGAACTTTTACTATCTGCCTTTTTCTTGATCACTACCTTTCTTACAGAGGAATTTCATACATGGTGCTTAGAGGATGACACATAAGAAGACTGGCTGCTTTTTTATCAGAGGTTATTGTCATCAGCTGATCTCTCATGCCATTTCCCTCCTTGTTTCTTCTTTCAAGTAAGAGTTTGCAGACCTAGCAGTTGTGACCTAGGAAACGGCTGGTGCTGTGGTCCTCTGATCTTCCTTGGTTTCTTCACCACCATCCAGGCACCTGTCCATTCACACTGGAATATTTCTCCATTATAGGCCATATTATCAAGATGATTCTTTGTCATTGAAACATTTATGTTGAATATAACATAGCGAGTCAATGAGGGAAATACCTTCTTCTGAGTAGTTTCTCTGCTCAACTGTCCTCCAAACAAGCCCTTTTATTTCAATTTTTTTTAACTGTGTTACCTCTTAGAAGGAAGAGGGGGAGGAGGAGGAGGAGGCAACAGAAAGTGCATCGATTTTAAAAGTAGTCTAAGTCTTACTCAATACCTGAAATACCTTAAGAAACAGAAAAAGACCGTGGCTCATGCCTGTAATCCCAGCACTTTGGGAGGCCGAGGTGGGCAGATCACTTGAGGTCAGGAATTTGAGACCAGCCTGGCCAACATGGCGAAACCCCGTCTCTACTAAAAATACATTTAAAAAATTTAGCTGGGTGTGGTGGTGCACACCCAGGAGGCTGAAGCAGGAGAATCACTTGAACTTAGGAGGCAGAGGTTGCAGAGAGCCGAGATCATGCCACTGCACTCCAGCCTGGGGAACAGAGTGAGGGTCTATCCAAATAAAAGGAAAGGGGAGGGAAGGGGAAGAGAGGGATGGGGAGGAGAGGGATTGGCTATCTTAAAGCAAATTCTATAAAGATTCTATAAAGATCAGTGTTTATTAGAAAAAAAAAAAAGAAACAGCAAATAGCACTCTTATAATCAAAAATAAATAAGGGTGGTGGCTCATGCCTGTAATCCCTGCACTTCGGGAGGCCGAGGTGGGCAGATCACCTGAAGTCAAGAGCGCAAGACCAGCCTGGTCAACATGGCAAAACCCCATCTCTGCTAAAAATATAAAAAATTAGTAGGTTGTCGTGGCAGGCACCTGTAATCACAGCTACTCGGGAGGCTGAGACAGGAGAATTGCTTTGACCCAGGAGGCGGAGGTTGTAGTAAGACAAGATCACACCATTGCATTCCAGCCTGGGCGACAGAGCGAGATTTCATCTCTATAAATAAATAAATAAATAAAGATATTTAAAAGAAAAAGATTGTTGTTTCCAAAAGAATCTCACTCATAGGCAAATCAAGGCTTTTCTTTCTAAATTTCTGAATATACTCTTTTGAGCCTGAATGAGGAAACATTGTTATAAGGCGTAATGAAAAAATTTCCATGTGGTAATATGTAAATAGATTTGGTCTTTCCAAAAAAGGATACTGTCCCGGCACTTTGGGAGACCAAGATGAGCTTGAGCCCAGGAATTCAAGACCAACCTAGGCAACATAGTGAGACTCTCTCTCTACAAAATAAAAAATAAAAACATTAGCCCAGTGTGGTGGCACAAACCTGTAGAACCATCTACTCGGGAGGTTGAGGCTGCAGTGAGCCATGATTATGCCACTGCACTAGTCTGGTCAGAAGAACAAGATTTTGTTCCAAAAAAACAAGGGGGGGTGGGATTTGTTAATCATTTTTAACTTCTGTATTATTGAACACTCATTTGGCCTTCAGAAAAAGCAAAATGGGCCTGGTACAGTGGCTCCTGCCTGTAATCCCAGCACTTTGGGAAGCCAAGGTAGGTCGACTACTTGAGGTCAGGAGTTTGAGACTAGCCTGGCCAACATGATGAAACCCCATCTCCACTGAAAATACAAAAACTACCCGGGCATGGTGTCAGGCGCCTGTAATCCCAGCCATTCGGGAGGCTGAGGCAGGAGAATCACTTGAGCCTGGGAAGCAGAGGTTGTAGTGAGCCGAGATAGCGCCACTGTACTCTAGCCTGGGCGACAGAGTGAGAGTCCATCTCAAAAAAAAAAAAAAAAAAAAAAAAAAGTTTAAGTCCATCTGGTTTTGGAAATCTTCACTTGGTTAGAGAAGTAGGGTGAGAAGTTGCTATTATTAGATTGGTACAAAAATAATTGCAGATTTCACCATTACTTTCAATGGCAAAAACACAATTACTTTTGCACCAACCTAAAAAAATAGAAAATCTTTGTATTATGTTTGTTGTCTTCACTTTTTTTTTTAAAGGAAGAATGTGTACATTCTGACCCCAAATCAGTATTAGAAACTAGGTTCTCAGATTAAATTGGCCTTTATTTCTCTTCCACTTAAATTATTTTCAGAGCATATCACAAGGGAAGAGGCACCAACGTTAAAAAGAAAAGGGAAAAAAAGACTTCTTATAATGTTAACCTATTTTAGAATGATGTTTTGAAGCAAAAGAGTGGCACTTGGTAACATATTAATCCATACCACAAGGTAAAGTAAAAGGAAAAACAGTTTTCATGTGTTTCATGGAATAACTCTTAATGAGTAAGTAAATTGATTAATTGTGGTATTAAATTATGAGTCACATTTTGTGTTACTATCTCATTTAAAATGCAATAGAGGCTGGGTGATGTGGCTCAAGCCTGTAATCCCAGCAGTTTGGGAGGCTGAGGCGAGTGGATCACTTGAGGCCAGGAGTTCGAGACCAGACTGGCCAACATGGTGAAACCTTGTCTCTACTGAAAATACAAAAAATTAGCCAGTCATGGTGGTGGGTGGCTGTAATCCCAGCTACTCAGGAGGCTGAGGCAGGAGAATTGCTTGAACCGGGGAGGCGGAGGTTGCAGTGAGCCGAGATGGCACCACTGCACTCCAGCCTGGGAGACAGAGCACAACCCTGTCTCAAAAAAAAAAAAAAAAAAAAAAAAAGCAATAGAAACAGAAAAATTCTTGGTGAAATAAGGAAACAGTTGAGTTTGTCTTAAAGGTCTATTTTGGATGAAAGAAATCATGGACCTCTATCATTACTCCATAAGGAAGAAGCCTGTTCAGGAAGTGTAGAAGACTTTTTGCTTGTAGGATGATATACTCTTCTAGAGAAGTATATTTAGCAAATATTGGCATACATAAAGCACACAATAATAAAGAGATTTGGATAGAATTTAGAATGCACATGTGGATTTCAGGATAATTTTCAACACTATGCCTTTTTATTCTGTTGGTTCTTGGGTTCTTATCGCAATGCCTGGCACATAGTGGATACTTTACATATGTATTTATTGTATGGACATGTGCAGTCAATATATTTCTGGGTCTCTAAAGTGATAATGAAGATCCTTAAAATATTATAAACAAACTAGGTGACCCTGGTTATTTAATATTCAATTATATATATTAAGCAAAATTCATTCACTTAGAAATTTTAATTAAGTTAAGATATAGCCAGCTGGGTGCAGTGGCTCATGCCTGTAATCCCAGCACTTTGGGAGTCTGAGGCAGACTGCTTGAGCCTAGGAGTTTAAGACCAGCCTGGACAACGTGGTGAAATACCATCTCTACAAAAAATGCAAAACTTAGCCAGACACAGTGGCACATGCCTATAGTCCCAGCTACTGGGGAGGCTGAGGTGGGAGGATGGCTTGAGCCTGGAAGGTCAAGGCAGCGGTGAGCCATGATTGCACAACTGCACTCTAGTCTGGGTGACAGAGCGAGACCCTGTCTCAAAAAAAAAAAAAAAAAAAAAGACATAGCCAATACTAACTAGTAAGTTATCTATATCCTAGACAGGCCAGACTTCAAGAAGTTTACCATGCCCATAAGTACAGTAGACTCAAAGTGCCTAGATTTTCCCTCTCCTAGGTATCTGTCTACCCAAGAGAAATGAAAACGTACATCCACACAAAAGCTTGTACACAAATATTCATAGCAGCCTTATTCATAATAGGTAAAAAGTGGACAGAAATGTCCATCAACTGATAAATAAACAAAACATGGAGTATCCGTTCAATGGTATATTATCTAACTATAAAAACTGAACTACAGATATATGCTATATAACATGGATGAACTTTGAAAATATTATGCTAAGTGGGGGCCGGGCACGGTGGCTCACTCCTGTAATCCCGTAACCCCAGCACTTTGGGAGGCTGAGGCCGGTGGAACACCTGAGGTCAGGAGTTCGAGACCAGCCTGGCCAACATGGTGAAACCCCGTCTCTACTAAAAATACAAAAATTAGCTGGGCATGGTGGCAGGCGCCCGTAATCCCAGCTACTCGGGAGGCTGAGGCAGGAGAATCGCTTGAACCCGGGAGGCGGAGGTTGCAGTGAGCCGAGGTTGTGCCCCTGGGGGACAAGAGTGAGACTTCGTCTCAAAAAAAAAAAAAAAAAGAAAATATATTATGCTAAGTGAAAGAAGCCAGTCACAAAAGGTCATTTATTCTATGATTCCATTTATATGAAATGTCCAGAATAGACAAATCCATAGAGACAGAAAGCAGATTAGTGGTTGCCTAGGGCTGGTTGGTGGAGAGGGTACTGGGAAGAAATGAGGAAAATTGCTAAAGGGGATGGGATTCCTTGTTGAGGTGATGAAATTGTTCTGAAATGGATTGTGATGATGATTGTAAACACTGTATTCAAAAAAAGCATTGAATTGTATACTTTATATGGGTGAATTGCATAGCATATTAATTTTTCTTTTTTCAGACAGGGTCTCACTCAGTCTCCCAGGCTGGAGTACAGTGGCATGATCACAATTCACTGTTGCCTCGACCTCCTGGCTCATGTGATCATCCAGCCTCAGCCCCCAACTCAGTAGCTGGGACTACAGGTGTTCACCACCACACCTGGCTGATTTTTTAATTGAAGCCCAGGCTTATCTGGAACTTCTGGAATCAAGCCATTCTCCTGCCACAGCCTCCCAAAGTGCTGTAATCACAGGCATAAGCCACCACCCTCAGCCCAATTATTTATCAACGAAGCTGTTACCAAAAAACAAAAAAGTTGGATCTGAATCCTGGGATTTGCCATTTACTAGTTTAGGTAAATTGCTTATGTGAGAAGGGACCAATATAGTTTCTACCTCACTGGATTGTTGCTATAAAGAGAAAATCCTGGTAAAAAGCCTCTAACTTAAAAAGCAAAAATAAGTAGTAGCTATTATTATTATTATTATTATTATTATTATTATTGACAGAGTCTGGCTGTATTGCCCAGGCTGGAGTACACTGGCACAATCTTGGCTCACTGCAGCCTCTGCCTCCTGGGCTCAAGTGATCTTCTTGCCTCAGCCTTCTGAGTAGCTGGGACTACAGGCGCATGCCACCATGCTCAGCTAATTTACAGATTTTTTTTTTGTATAGATGAGGTCTCACTATATTGGTCAGGCTGGTCTAGAACTCCTGGACTCCAGGCTATTATTAATTAATTGTTAAAGGACATTGGTCCATTCACAGACCACTCTGCTTTATTTTGTACCATTTAGGGTGCATCTCAGGCCCCATGCTTGACAACCTGCAGCATTGCCTTATGTAAAATATGCCCTGGGTCAATGAAATTCCTGCTCTTTAGATTTAAGTGGTGAAACAGAGACTAGGGCAAATGACTGTGAGGCCTGAATTTTCGGTCATAGGGGTTGGATGAGCAACAAGCAAATTGTCGTGGTGAAGGAGCAGAAGTAACCATGAAGCAACGGAGAAAGATAGGTAGGTAGTGAGAGGAGAACACAGACGCCATGGAGAAGGAGAAATTCTGTGAGTGATGTCCCGGTGTACAGTCCCGAAAATTGTCTGAATTCCTGGTAATTTACAGATCCAACCCCGAGGCATTTGGAGGATCGCAATATGCCACCACCATTGTGTGAGGTGCCACCACCAGACTGCAGAGGTTCAAGACCCACATTCAAACCTCAGTTTACCACACCACCTACTAGCCTTCTGACTTGGGCAAGTCATTTAAACTCTCTGAGCCTCGCTCCCCTAATCTGTCCAACTGGCATCATGATAGAACTTCCTTCATAGGATTGTTGAAAGAACCACATGAAATCTAAGTGCTCAGCACATAGTAAGTACCAATAAATGAGAACTATTATTAATTAATACTACAGTCTATTTTTATTAATGTGTCTTTACTCCTTGCAAGCAAAGATACTTAATTAAATAGCTGGTTATACAAAGTTATTCGCAATGCGAAGTCTTTTGATTGAAAAGTGACATTTATAAAAGGATGCTTGATAATGAAAATTGTAGAAATGTTAGTGATCTACTCAATCCCTTCTTGCACTGATAAGGAACTGACACCTGAAGAGCCTTCCAGATCACACAACCAAAGACAGACTATGCTGGGATGAGAGGCTGAGCTTCCTGACCCCAGGCTTGAGTTCAGTCTGTTGACTCTCAGATTACTGGGATTTAAACTACTAAATAAATTTAGCAAACTTTTCTATCTATTCGCTTTACCAGTTATTTATTTATTTATTCATTCATTCATTCTTTCATTCATTTTTTGAGACACATCCAGGCCGGAGTGCAGTGGCGCAATCTTGGCTCAGTGCAACCTCCACCTCCAGGGTTCAAGGATTCTCATGCCTCAGCCTCCAGAGTAGCTGGGACTACAGACGCGTGCCACCACACCTGGCTAATTTTTGTATTTTGTAAATTTTGTATTTTTAGTAGAGACGGGCTTTTACCATGTTGGCCAGGCTGGTCTCAAACTCCTGACCTCAGGTGATCCACCTGCCTTGGTCTCCCAAAGTGCTGAGATTATAGGCGGGAGCCACTGCACCCAGCCTAGTTCTTTATTTAAAAAAATTTTTTTAAACAAAAGGCATGATTAAAGTCCTAATGCTACTTAGTGTATTATATGTTATGTTATAATAAATTCACTGTTTATTACAGTAGAGTTTTATTCCACTGGGTTATTGTCCATTGATATGCCCAATTGTCACCAGGAAAGAGACACTTTTCCATGGGGGAGATCACAAGCCTGTCCTAGTTTCCCAGTGACCTACCCTGTTCTGCTGCTGCTGTGATCCAGAGAATGAACTCCTCATAGTGGAAGGAAAATGGGGTCCTTCAGGTGGCTTTTTCTTTTTTCACATAATGATAATACCAATTATCCCAGAACAAGGAGGAGAAAAAAACCCAGTTCTTACTTTCTTGTCAGATTTCCCAGAGGAAAGAGCATGGCATAGTTCCTTTTTCTTCTCCGAAATTATTTCCAAATTAGTTTGCTCCTGGCCCAGTTTACGTCTATTCATTTCTGTAGCCATTGCATCACACCCAAATGAGTTTCCTCTTTCTATTGTTCGACAAATTTTCACAAAATATTTGAAAATTTTCTGCTTCCTCTTCATTCTGTTTTGTGGGTAAAGCATTATATTCAGACTCTTTCCTCTGGGAGTCCTTTGAGTTACAAAGTTAAATGACATTCCATGGGCAGGAGACTTGGAGAAAGCTCTCACTGTTGTGAGGTGAGCGGTTTGTGAGCGGACATTTATCATCCCTGTTGGCTTATCCATGGGTGTGCCTCTGGGTGCCTTGTACGCTACTTAAGAACTTGTCATTAATTATAATAATGGTAACACATTATAATAGAAACTATTAAGGTCTTACTATGTGCTAAGTCCTTCACATAGATCATCATATTTAATCCTCATCACAATCCTAGGAGGCGGGTTTTATTTACTCTATTTGATAGATGAAGAAAATTAAGAATTCCAAAATTTAAGTAAGCCGCCCAAGATCATTCAACCTGGAAGCAGCAAGGATGGCCTGAATCCTAAACTCTTATCCACTATTTCCATGGTGCTCAAATGGTAGTCCTCAGACCAGCAGCAAATCAGCACTACCTGGGAAACTGAAAGAAATGCAAATTCTTGGACTGGGCAGTGGCTCATCACCTGTAATCCCAGCTCTTTGGGAGGTCAAGGCAGGAGGACTGCTTGAGGCCAGGAGTTCAAGACCAGCCCAGGCAACAGAATGAGACTCTCCATCTCTGTAAAAAAATTTTTAAAAATTAGTTGTGCATAAGGCTGCACAGTGAGCTATGACTGTGCCACTGTACTTTAGCCTCTGTGACAAAGTGAGACTCTGTCTTTAAAAAAAAACAAACAAACAAAAAACAAATTCTCAACCTGCACCTCAAATCTACTGAATTAGAAATTCCCAGGGTGGGGACCAGCAATCTATGTTCCAACCAGCCCTCCAGGTGATTGATGGATGCTGAAGTTAGAGAATTAATTGCACCTTGCTATGCTTTACATGCACAAAGACCACACATGTAACCAGAGAACTATAAAGATTGTCTGGGAAATGACTCCAAAAACTTTGTGTTTTTGGCCAGGAACTTGCTGGGACCCGAGGTTTCCTATCTCTCAGTGGGAGGGCTGAGAACCCCATGGTGTTTCAGAGACTCCCCTGGTATCTCCAAGTCAGGACAGTTAGCATTTCTCAAAATTCCCATTAACGCTGACATCTGAACTCAGACTATCTGTGCCTGAGCCCCAAATGGTTATCACCACCTCTACCCCATGCAAGACCACTCTCCCACTTTCCTGGCAAAAAGGGAGCATGGTGAGAGGTTGAGGGGCAGAGTCCCTCCTCTGGTCACAGTCCCACTGTGGTCCAGCTGTGTCATAGCCAAAGCACATTACCTGACTCCCCAAAGGATGCCAAGAGGATGGAGGGCACACATCTATTGACCCTTTTGCCTCTGAATTCCAGCCTGCACCTAGTGATGATGGTGGAACTGAAATATTTGGATTAGTTTCCCCTTGCTGCCATTACAAATGATCACAAACTTAGTTGCTTAAACAATACAAATGTATTATCTTACAGTTTCATAGGTCAGAAGTCCAATCTGAGGCTCATTAGGCCAAAATCAAAGTGTTATCAGGGTTGTGTTCCTTTCTGGGGGCTCTAGAGGAAAATGTTCCTTTGCCTTGCCCAGCTTGTGACAGCCACCCACATTCCTTGGCCCTTGGCTTCCTTCCTCCATGTGCAAAACCAACAATGTTGCATGTTTCTGACCATTGTTCCATGCTTTCTGACCACATTGTTGCATCTTGCTGACCACAGCCAGGAGGGGTTCTCCTGCTTATAAGGACTCTTGTGATGACGTTGAGACCTTCAGGATAATCCAGGTTATCTCCCCATCTCAAGGACCTTAACTGAATCATATCTGCAAAGTCCTTTTTACCATGTAAGGTGGCATATTTACAGGTGAGACAGGAAAAAAAGAGATAATGAATTCATATATTATTTATCAATTAGAGGAATATATAAAGCCATTTTTCCTTTGTTCCAAGACCATTTGCTAAAATATAAACCTCTGCTTTAAAAACATTTTTTTTTTTAGGGAAGAGGAAGTACTACCACATTATAGGCATCCATAGCTCAAAAAATACGTCTAGATTTCAGAACCATAAACTAGGATGGAAATTTGTCTTATAAGCAAAGTAATACCATAATAATCTCATCTAGTGTTTATTTTCCTTCTTATAACTGCCTACTTGATTTCAATGGAGCACTGTTATGAAGTAGGCAAGAAGAAGAAACTCAGGCTTACAGAAGCTTTGTGACTAAACCTAAAGTCCCCTAAATAAATTCCAGGACCCAAAGTCCAGTCTTTGACTCTAACTCTAGGACTCTTTGTATTACACTAGTCAAGACTGCTCTAAGTAGAAGTAAGTCTTCCTGGAAAGAAGTTACTTCCTCACTGAACCCCTAAGCCACCTTAGGGGATCCCCTTAGTCACACATCCCTGGGAAACCACAGAGTAATTACAAGGATTGAGAGTTCACTCCTATGTTAAGCACTAGCTGAGGTCTGAAAAGGTGATGTATATTTGTACCTTCAAATATATACAGGTGCTTCTGATGTGATTTAATATGCAGTTTCCTTTGCTAATGGACTGCCTCACAGCAGCATCTTGACATTCCATTTTCTAAAAAAAAGAACCCTAAACGTAAAACTGCTATTGAATGAACATCTGAAATATATATATATACAAAGACATATATATCTCCTCTCTACAATTGAGCTCTCATTTGTGAAAAAGTTGGGAACCATTTTTCTCCCTCATTTTATCTGACTTCAAACATTGTGATATCTAGGCTCTAAAAGAGACTCATGACTGTGATTTCTTCTATTATTTCTTCCTCTCTCTTTCCAAAGGCACATAAAGCATCTTTCACTTGCTCTAAATTTCTTTTGGTGCCGTTCTGGCTACTTCTCACCCTTCTCTCCAAACACCACTGCCCAGGAACATCAGGAAGACAAACGGTAAGTTTGGAGGAGAATAATTACAGGCTGTACTGGAGTTGTCCATCACAATGCCTGTAATGCTGCTAGCATTGCTAAGAGAAAAGTGCCCCACCCAGCACAGGTAGTAAGGGGTAGAACTAGTGGCTTATTTTGTGAACGCAGTAGTTTGCAAAATGTATGGATTAGCATCATCTTGGAGCTTGTCAGAAATGTGAATTTTTGGGTCCCACCCAAGACGTACTGAATATGGTGGCATCCCCAGCAATCATTGCTTTAAGAAGGCCCCTAAGTGAGTCTGATGCAAGCTACAGGTTTGCCTGACCCAATTGCAACTGATTGGACCAGAAATAGCTACGTGACTCAAATGCAGCTAAAGCATAGGCTTCCTATTGGTCTATGGTGTCTTGTGGTGAGAGAAAGAGGAGCTGGGCAAACCAGGCTTCCCCTTTGTGGCAGGTGAATGGGGAAACAGTGATGCTGAATGAGGCTGTGCAGTAGCATTGAGGCCATGAAGGGTCAGGAACATGCTGGGAACGGGAACTGTGACTAAGCAGAAGCTGTGAAGCCAAAAACAACAATGACAAAAAGACAACGAGGAGGGGGGAGGAAGGCAAGCCAACTGGAAGAGAAAAAATAAGTGTGCAGGGAAAAGCAGACCTTGGAGAGCTGGGGAGTGAACCAGGAGAGCAGCAGAGTGAAGTTCAAGAAAGTCCGCTGCTGAGGTCCCAGAGCTGCTGCAGCCTCTAAGCCAACTCCTGGTTCTGTTTTTCACAATGTGCCAGTGCCTTCTGAAACTAATCTTTCTGTTGTCTGCAGCTTCTGTCCTGTGTATTCTTAAAATGTATCTTTTCTTTGCATTTTCTTTAAGGAAGTCTTTCCCCATGCCCTCCACCCCCACCCCAGTGCTTTCAAGGAGTGGGGAAAGTAAGACCAGAAGCATTTGAAAAAGAAAAGGGGGCGGGGCGCGGTGGCTCACGCCTGTAATCCCAGCGCTCTGGGAGGCCGAGGCAGGTGGACCACGAGGTCAGGAAATCGAGACCATCCTGGCTAACACGGTGAAACCCCATCTCTACTAAAAATACAAAAATTAGCCGGGCGTGGTGGCGGGCGCCTGTAGTCCCAGCTACTCGGGAGGCTGAGGCAGGAGAATGGCGTGAACCCGGGAGGCGGAGCTTGCAGTGAGCAGAGATCACGCCACTGCACTCCAGCCTGGGCGACAGAGCGAGACTCCGTCTCAAAAAAAAAAAAAAAAGAAAAAAAGAAAAAGAAAAGAGGAAATGAACAAACCAAAACGAAACATTCTCTGTACATAACTTTCTCCACAGCACAAACTACAGTGCAAACTAGTAAAACTAAAAAGCCTAAATTAATAGGCTTTCCAATCAGATAATTTCACCAATAAAGGGCTCCAAAGACAGTCCAAAGAAAGAACCATATGAAAAATTTTTTTCTACCTCTAATTATTTGGACTTCTCTCTTTTACTCTCTAAGTATAGAGGAAGGTGTCCTTTTTTTTTTTTTTTAAAATACTTTGAAATGCTCAGTTTAGATATTAAATGGGTTGACAATAGAAATAATCATAACTAAAAACTCTTGAGCTATTCTTATGCACCAAGCAATGTTGTATGTCACATGGTTTAAGTTATTTAATGTCATTTTCACAAGGGCAAGAATTCTTTTCTGTTTTTTTTTCACTGATGTATTCTCAGTGCCTGGAATAGTGCTTGGCTACTAGTTGACACTCAATAAACACTTGTCTAATGAATTAATGAGAATCTTCATACAATCCTTGGGTACTATTATATCCATCTTGCAGGCCCTCCTGGATGTAAAAATGGAAAGCCACATTTCAAATGTCTATGTGAGTATAACCCTCCTGGATGTAAAAATGGAAAGCCACATTTCAAATGTCTATGTGAGTATAACACTGTCAGGCAGCAAGTTTCTACTTGGACCAAGACCATGAAGGTTTTTATTCATTGGATGATATATTCATTCATTCAGTAAATATTTACTTAGCACTTATACATACCAAGTGTTGTTCTAGCCATTGAGGTTACAGCATTGAATCCTGAAGATGCTATAGCTGCCCCCATGGGGAGACAGAGGAACAAAAGAAATCATTTCAGATAGTGACAAGAGCTATAAAGACAATAAAGGAGGTGAGGTAAAAGAGCAGAATGGGAAAGGGTTATTTTGCATTTGAGAATCAGGGAAGGTTCCTCTGAGGAGATAAGGTTTGTACTGAGACCTGCATGACAAGAAAGAGCCAGCTTTGAAAAAAGTAGGATATTGCAGGTAGAAGGAACAGCAAGTACAAAGACCCTGAGGTAGGGCTGTGCTTGATGTGTTCCAGGAGCAGTAAGAAGGATACCATGGCCAGAGCATGGTGAGCAAAGGACAATTTGATGGAAGAAGAGATCAGAAAGGAAGGCAGGGGCTAGATCATGGAGGACCTTCTTGGCCACAGTGTGGCAGCCCGGGAGTATGTGCTGAGATTGCTCTTCAAGACAGAACCTGCCTCAAGGTGTACAGTCAATGGAGAGCCCACAGCAGAGCTCTTGTAGGATTGGCCAGTGTTCCAACTGAGGCCACGCTCTTCCTGGGCAGCTCCAACAAATGATTGAACCTGGTGGGAAGAATAGGGTTCACCATTTTGGCTCAATGCATAACTCCTCTAATAAGAAGCCTTTGCTCTGGACTTCTGGTTGACCTGGACTAGACTTTCTCAGTGCAGTACCAGACTCAGAGGCTTTTCCTCCTCCATGTTCCTTCCTGCCTCCCTCCTTCCACAGGTAGGACTTGTATTCAGTTTGGAGGCTTTCCCTTCTGATTCCTTCCTATTCCCTCTCTCCTTGGGGTTTCACAGGTGTGACCCTCCCCCCAACCCCATAGGATTTCTTGCATTTCTTTTTCTTTTTTTTTATTCTTTTTTTTTCTTTTCCTTTTTTCTCTTTTTCTCCTTTTTTCTCTCTTTTTTTTTCCTTTTTTTCCTTTTTAATGTTTTTTTTTCTTTTCTTTTTCTTTTTAGAGGTGAGATCTCGCGGTTACCCAGGTTGGCTTTGAACTCCTGGGCTCAACTGCAACTACAGGTGCACCACCATGCCTGGCTTTCTCTTGCATTTTTAATGACATCTTGGCATCTCTTTTTAAGAGGAACCACACTGACACAATTGGTAGTGTGAGTAGTCTGAGAAAGCAGGTGGTAAAGTGGAGTTTGGGGACTGGGTCACTCACTGCCTGCCTGGTGATAAGGATCCCATCTTGAGTGGGGTTTGATTATTTTTGGGCACAAGGCCCAGCTGCTAAAAATGTTACTGGCAGTGACCTGGGAAAATGTCCAGGTGAAAAGGAACGCCTGTGCCAGCATGCTGACTCAGGAGTTTGAAAAGTGTAGAGGAACAATGAATGCAAGGATAATGGAATTGGCTGGTTATTACCAAGCTGCACTGACCCTCTCTACAAGGGATAATGAGAAACTGAGAGCAGTTAATAAACAGCTGAGAACCAAGTGTGAGAGCCAGAGGGTCTCTTTGGTAGTTTGCAAAGAAGTCTTCTCCTGCCGTGCAAGAGCAGACCCAGCTGAGCGGCAGAACCCAGAGTTCCACCACAGATGTTTGGATGCTCAGCCAAAGTAGATCTCCTATGCTAAATTCAGGAATCTGGTTGGAAAAACATGGGGCCTGGAACCTGAAAAGTGAGGCAGGGACATCTAGGTGGATGGCCCTGTGAAATGTGGCTCTGCAGACTCCTTTGGGACCCCAGAGGGAGCTCGCAGAGGTAGCCTCCCTACTGAGAACCAGTAGTTTCCACATGTGGAAAATACTGCATATACCAGAACTTTTTTTTTTTCCTGCTTAAAAACAACAGCCTCCCACCCCCAAGAAAGTGCCTCTACATCCTCTTGTGGCTGCCAGGTTATAGCCAGGGTCAAGTTTCAGTATAACCTGGCTGAGGGTAGGCTGGGCCTGATAAAGGACAAAGAGATTTTACTCTGAAGGAGGTGGAAGAATGAACTACGTCATGGAGAAATTGGACGGCTCATACATTGTTAGTGGGAATGTAAAATGGTACAGCCACTTTGGAAAAGTCTGGCAATTCCTCAGAAGGTTAAACAAGACCAGGAGTGGTGGCTCACACCTATAATCCCAGCACTTTGGGAGGCCAAGTCAGGAGGATCACTTGAGGCCAGGAGTTCGGGACCAGCCTGGGCAACATAGTGAGACTTCATCTTTACAAAAAAATAATAAAATGACCTGGACGTGGTAGCAGCTTGTGATCCTGCAGGCTGAGGTAGGAGGATTTCTCAAGCCCAGGAGGTTGAGGCTGCAGTGAGCTGTGATCATGCCACTGCACTCCAGCAATCCAGCCTGGGTAGCAGGGCAAGATCCTGTTTTTTTTTTTTTTTTAAACCCAAACCCAAAAGGTTAGAATTTCCATATGACCCAGCAATCCCACTTCTAGTATATATGAAGACAAATGAAAACATGTGCAAACAAAAACTTGTACATGGATGTTCATATCAACATTATTCATCAAACCCAAAAAGTGGAGCCAAGTGTCCTGCACGTGTGAAGTAGATAACATTTTGACTTGTGCCTTTCCTACTCCAAGAGCCTCAGGCAGCATCACTGTCTGAGGGCTTTCAGAATGCCTTATGCATAGGCATATATTCCTACACCACATGACATCTGACCGGGGACCCACTTCACAGTGAAGGAGGTGCAGGGGTAGGCCATGATCACAGAATCCAGTGGTTTTATCCCTTACAATACGAACCCAAAGCAGCTGGCCTCATAAAGGGTGAAAATGGCTTACTGAAAGCACAGCTGAAACGCCAGCTTGGATGCAATTTCCTGCAAAGATGGGGCCATCTATAAGGATGCAGTATACGCCCTCAATTAGAGATGTCAGACTTGTTCCCACGTAGGAAGAATATATAGGTTCCACCAAGAGGTGGAAGTAGAAGTAGCCCCACTTACTATTACTCCTACTGACTTACTGGGATTTTGTTCTCCCATCCCTGCAACTCTGAGCTCTGCAGAGCTGCAGGTCCTGATCCACAAAGGGATGCTGTCTTTCTGTGGACACAACCAGGGTCCCATTGAACTACAAGCCATGGCTACCATCAGGGCACTTTGCATTCCCTGTGTTCAGGAACCAGAAAGCAAGAGAAGCCTCTAACCTGGAGGGAAAATTGATGCTGCTCAGCAGGAAGAGTGTCAGATGTCTTCTCAAAACTGCAGTGGCACCAACTTTCACAGTAAAAGCTTACCAGAACATCCATGACTTGGCCCAATGTTACCTTTCTGTTCTCCTTTCATCCATGACTTGGCCCAATGTTACCTTTCTCATCTCCTTTCCTTTCTTCTCTCCCCCTTGCTCACTCCACTGTAGCCATGCTGAACTCTTTGATGTTCAGTGAGCAGACAAGCTGCTTTCAGGACTGGGGTCTTTCATCCTCCCAGCTTCATGAGATAGAAGGAGCAAGAAAGGCTACAAAATGCAGAAGGAGCTCACACGTGAGACGGAGGGTGAGAGATATTTTATATAATTACACTAATTCGTACGAGCTGATGGCTGAGTTGGACTTTTTACCTCTTAATTTTTAGAACAAGCCTCCTCACTGACAGGAGCAAAATATTAGAGTGGAAAATATTGATGAGAAATCTCTCATCGATCTCATACTCATTGATTATTGACTAAAAAGTTAGCCTGAGACAAAAGAATGATCGTCCTGGAGAACCAACAAAGTTCCATCTTTCATAATGATTAGTAATAGCAAAGTTATTTTTGAGATATGTTAAATGTCAGGTACCAGGCTACACCTTTTATATACTTTGTGTTATTTAATCCCCATAAAATCTATAAGAAAAAGGAATTATTATTCCCATTTCACACACGAAGAAATAGAGGCTCAGAAAGCTGAAATAATTTGCCTAGGTCATACTTCATGTAAAGTGGCCAGCTTTAACCACAGCTCTTTGTGAGTCTAAGACCTATATTATTTTCTCCACAATTTGATTCCCCTTAAGAGAAAGAGATAATCGTTACTTCATTTGTTCATTCACTTATCCATAATTTAATAAATGTTCACTGAGTGATCATGTGCAGGCTTGGCCTGATTTTGCTGATACAGTGGCAAACGAATAGGCTCCTGCCTTACCTTCATGGAGGTTATAGCCTAATGGTATAGCTGGACCAGGAATCAAAGAAGTTCAGGTCTCTGAAGCGCAGCTGACACAGCATGTGCTGAGACTGATATTTGAAGGAGGCGAACAAAGATTACCGTTGACCTAGACCTTGACTATATATTATGCACAGTAAATACATACAACCTTGGTTAAGGCATTGACCTTTTAGCTTCATCAATTTTGAAATGAGTATAGTAATAATACATTTCTTGCCAAGTGGTTGTAATCTCAAATGAGAAAATGTGTGAAAGGCCTTGGCAAACTGTAAAATAGTCAACAAGGAGAAAAGGCCTTTTTTTTTTTTTTGAGAGATGGTCTCACTTTGTCACCCAGGCTGGAGTGCAGTGGCACAATCATGGCTCACTGCAGCCTCTGCCTACCAGGCTCAAGTGATCCTCCTGCCTCAGCCTCCGAAGTAGCCAGGACCACCGGTGTGCGTCACCATGGCCAGTTAATTTTCTTAATTTTTTGTAGAGACAAGGTCTTGCTGTGTTGCCCAGGCTGGTCTCAAGCTCCTGGCCTCTAGCGATTCT
The DNA here is from genome assembly GCF_000001405.40 of Homo sapiens. NCBI lineage: Eukaryota > Metazoa > Chordata > Mammalia > Primates > Hominidae > Homo > Homo sapiens. The sequence continues at coordinate 4,468,734 of NC_000003.12, read as the reverse complement.
CCTGCCTCGGCCTCCTAAAGTGCTGGGATTACAGGCTTGAGACACGGTGCCTGGCTGGTCTTTTCTTTATGCTAAAAAAATTCAAACAGATGCTACATTAGAATAGTGCAATAAACACCCAGATGCCCATCAACCAGCTATGACAGTTATCAACTCATGGCCAATCATGCTTCATCTTTAGCCAGACCCTGATTACCCATTTTTTGGGAAGCAAATCTTTGACTGCCTATATTTTTATCCATATATATATATGTGTGTGTGTGTGTGTGTGTGTGTGTATACCTCAGTGAGTGTGTGTGTACCTCAGTGAGGGGATTCTTTTAAAAAATATAGCCACAAATACCATTATTACTCCTAAAAGCCTAAAAACAAAATTTACAGCAATTCCTTAATTTTATCAAATATTATAATTTGACTTAGTGGTTAAATTTCCCTGATTATCTCAAAAATTTTGAACTCAGTAGGTTTGAATTAGTATTTAGATAAGGTTCACATATTGCAGCTGGCTGCTATGTTTTTTTTTTTTTTTTTTTTTTCAGATGGAGTCTTGCTCTGTCCCCAGGCTGGAGTGCGGTGGCGCCATCTCGGCTCACTGCAAGCTCCACCTCCCGGATTCATGCCATTCTCCTGCCTCAGCCTCCCGAGTAGCTGGGACTACAGGCGCGTGCCACCACGCCGGGCTAATTTTTTGTATTTTTTAGTAGAGATGGGGTTTCACCGTGTTAGCCAGGATGGTCTCGATCTCCTGACCTCGTGATCCACCCGCCTCGGCCTCCCAAAGTGCTGGGATTACAGGCTTGAGCCACCGCGCCCGGCCTGCTATGTTGTTTTTTAATCTGTAAGTTTCTCCTTCATCTTCTTTTTGTTTTGGTTTTGCATTTTGTTCGATTACGGAACTGTAGAACAGTGGTTCTTAAACTTAAGTGTGGATTAGAATCATCTGGAGAGCTTGTGAAACCCTGGATTGCTGTGTCCAGTCCCCACGGATTCTGATTCCGTATTGTATTTCTCTTTTTTTTTTGAGACGGAGTCTTGCTCTGTCGCCGAGGCTGGAGTGCAGTGGCGGGATCTGGGCTCACTGAAACCTCCGCCTCCCAGGTTCAAACGATTCTCCTGCCTTGGCCTCCCGACTAGCTGGGACTACAAGCGCGCCATTACTGGGTCTTTGTGAGGATTAAATGAGATTTTAAAAAGTGAAGTGCTTAGCATAGTACTCTGGCACTTACCAAATGCCCAGCAAATTTGACTGTTATTTTTCAACCAAGAAATCATAAAGGGGTGCACGGTCTGTGGAAGGCCTTGAGTTTTGTGGAGTTTTGTGTTTTGCTGCGTTTTGACGTTAGCACAGGCAAGCAGCAGCGCCAAAGAAGTACCTGAAGAAAGGTGAAGAGCAACTCTCCTGGTCACTTCGTAAGTCAGCTCAAAATTCTGCCCCTTTAAGGAGGGCTCAGCCACGTGACCAACCGGGTCACATGGCCCGCGGGACAACATGGCTGCGCCCGCACTAGGGCTGGTGTGTGGACGTTGCCCTGAGCTGGGTCTCGTCCTCTTGCTGCTGCTGCTCTCGCTGCTGTGTGGAGCGGCAGGGAGCCAGGAGGCCGGGACCGGTGCGGGCGCGGGGTCCCTTGCGGGTTCTTGCGGCTGCGGCACGCCCCAGCGGCCTGGCGCCCATGGCAGTTCGGCAGCCGCTCACCGATACTCGCGGGAGGCTAACGCTCCGGGCCCCGTACCCGGAGAGCGGCAACTCGCGCACTCAAAGGTGCTCCATCGATTCCTCCGAGGCGGGTGGGGGCTGCTCGGTTCCTGGACGGGGTTGGAGTAGGCAAAGCAAGGCACTAGTAGGAAGGGAAGTAAAGGTTATAACCACACCCCAAATCGAGCACCTGCTGTTCCCGTATGAGGAGTTCCTTCTCCGTGCCTCACCGGAAGACTCCATTTAATTGACCATTAGGGAGTTTGGTTTGAGGGTTATTGTTACTTCTTTACCCCCTATTTCTTTCTCCCTCCAACCTGTTCTCTTAATGAGGATCTCATAATTTTAAGGCAATCAAATTATGGTTTAAATCACCATTTCCTCTCTTATTAACGGAATAAATTAGGATCCTGGGTCTCAGTATCTTCACCAGGGTTGTTGTATACTTATCTGTAGTCTCCTCGAGTACACTCTGCTTGAGGACAAGGGCTTGAATTGTTTATCCTGCTATTCTTAGCACTTTAGCACTTAGGAAGGGCTAAGCAAACTGTAGTTGTTTTATTGCTATTATTTATCTGTCTTGCTTAGCGCCTGTATGTGTTAGGTGCCGGGATATATAAATAACTTACTGGCCGGGCGCGGTGGCTCACATGCCTGTAATCCCAGCACTTTGGGAGGCCGAAGCGCGCGGATCACGAGGTCAGGAGTTCGAGACCAGCCTGGCCAACATGGCGAAACCCCGTCTCTACTAAAAATACAAAAATTAGCCGGGCGTGGTGGCGGGCGCCTGTAATCCCAGCTACTCGGGAGGCTGAGGCAGGAGAATTGCTGGAACCCGGGAGGCGGAGGTTGCAGTGAGCCGAGATCTTGCCACTGCACTCCAGCCTGGGCGACAGGGCGAGACTCCGTCTCGAAAAAAAAAAAGAAAGAAAGAAATAACTGTTACTTCAATCTGTCTGCCCGGTATTTTGCATATTGATGTGTTGTCGAAACAACTTATGGGTCTAAAGGTCAGGTCTTCTGACTCCTAAACTAGTGCTCCTTCTTGTTTACTTAGCAGACACTATCCTTTTCCCATTCCATTTTTCTTTCCTTTGGGTTAATCCTGACCAATATTTAGGACTTAGGTGAGAGGTAACATCCACAGTAGGTTTTACCTGATCTCCTCTTTCTCTCCCCTTCAATATTTCCGTATCCTGCCTCAGTAGTTATGTGTTTATTCTGACATAACAATTATTAAAGATGTTTTTCTGCTGATGTCTCTCCCCAACTGGACTGTGAGGGTGATGGGGTCAGGACCATGATTTAGTCTCTCAGGTGTAGAGTGTAGGAGGTTGATACCTGGGCTTCTCATTGTTTTTCCATCCTGTATAATTTTTGGCCTTTACTTTTTTTCCTGTTACCCTTAGAGCATGTCCTGCAGTACTGTTTATCTTTTGTGTGTTGAAGACTCCTGATTACTGTTTTAGTGTGTATTGGCCATACTTGATATTAATTCCTCTCTAACTTGCCTGGTAATTGATAATCAATCTCTCTTTCTTTTTTCTTTTCTTTTTTTTTTTTTTAGACGGAGTCTCGCTCTGTCACCAGGCTGGAGTGCAGTGGCGCGATCTCCGCTCACTGCAATCTCCACCTCCTGGGTTCGAATGATTCTCCTTCCTGCCTCAGCCTCCCAAGTAGCTGGGATTACAGGCACACGCCACCATACCCAGCTAATTTTTGTATTTTTAATAGAGATGGGGTTTCACCATGTTGGCCCGGATGGTCTCAATCTCCTGACCTTGTGATCCGCTTGCCTTGGCCTCCCAGCGTGCTGGGATTACAAACGTGAGCCACCGCGCCAAGCCAGTCTGTCCCTCTTTCTAAGGAGAAATCCTTACATCTGTTTATCTATTTTTTAATAGGGCAGCCATCTCATTTGCATATATACATTGGTCTGTCTCAAAATTTTATCTAGATTCCTCTGGCAAGCATTGAACATTTTTCATTTTTAAACATTCTATTTTCCTCTGGGTTCCAGAATGGGATGTGGATGTTAGAATCTTTTGGATTACATTTACAAGATGTACATTTTTCATCCCTATAGAGTGGTTTTGTGTCTTGACTGGATGCTATATGGGCCATCTTTGGCCAGTTCTTATAGTCTGCTTTCTACAATGCTTAGGGGCATCTCAATTTATTAACAAATTAGTGGTTGATGAGAATATACCTTCAAGCCTTCAAGGGCTGAACTTAATGACTGAAACTGAAGCAGTCTTGTTATCAAGACAATGACGTCATAGGAGGCTGTTCTTAATCTCTCTATTTTCCTTGGTTTCAAATGTTTTAGTTCATGTGCAGATGACTTTGGTCTAATTCTGACACTTTACCATTTATTCTAAATTCAGGAACTCCAATATTTCAGGAGAAGTAAATGAGCATAGTGGTGTTTCTGCCTTTTTTCCCCTCTTTGTTTTCTGTTTATTTGGTTTAATTAAACAAATGTTTATTTGGCACATTACTATATAACACTTGTTATGTAAGATTCATCCTATGTGCTGGGCATACAGAAAAAGACCCATACACTACCCACATGGCATTTACACTCTGGTAGGTGTTTCTCTCTCTCTCACACACACACACACACACAAACACACACAGACACACACATAAGTATCATTTTTCTATAGTGAGAATACTATAGGAGGGATATGTCCAGAGTACCTGGAGAGGAAGAAAGAATTAATTCTTCATGGACAAGTCGAGTAGTGCCTCAAAAAAAAAAAGGCCACATTTGAGCTAGGCCTTGGAGGAAATATTTTTCGGAGCTGGGAATGGAATTCCAGATTCAAGGACATTCCAAGAAGGAGAATAGTATCAACACATGGCACATTGTGGAAATGCGTGGTGTGTGCTGGGAAACATAAGTGATTTAAGATCTGGGAGTGACATGTTCACACTTTTTAATGTAACACTTTTTAGATGAGTCTTTTTTTGTTTTTGTGTATTCATACAATGAGTGTGTGTGGCAAGGTGAGGGGCACAGAGAAATAACACTGGGCTTTGCCCTCAAGAAATTTTCAGTTTCACTAGAAAGTTATGGCGATTAGAATTGTCTGGGAAACAATATAGATGTTTAAAAATTTAATGTGTATTCCCTCTGGTTATAAAAATATGATTCTCATTGAGAAAATTATCCTAATAGTTTTCTGCGTGGGTTATGATTTTGTAACAAGGAAGCAAAATGTTTTAGTCTGCTTTTATCTTTTAGAAGAGTTATTTGAAAGGCATTTAGGATCATGGGATGCTAAGATTGTAGGTGGCATGTCTGTACATATGGATAAAGTCAGTCTTGATTTCCTGTCTGAGGAGGTTTCTGACTGGTAATGCTTCCCTGGGCAATGAGGCACAATCGAATGCCGTCTCTTCCATGAAACCTTTCCACCTCCTACAAAGAAGTAGTTTTTCTATCCTCTCAGTTCCCATAGCTTATTTTGTTGTTGTTTGATGACAACTTGTATATTTTCTTCAATATGGTGCTAGTGTTTTTTTGTTTTGTTTTGTTTTGTTTTTGAGACGGAGTCTCGCTCTGTCACCCAGGCTGGAGTGCAGTGGTGCAATCTCGGCTCATTGCAACCTCTGCCTACTGGGTTCAAATGATTCTCCTGCCTCAGCCTCCCAAGTAGCTGGGACTACAGGCACCTGCCACCACGCCTGGCCAATTTTTGTATTTTTAGTAGAGACGGGGTTTTACCACGTTGGCCAGGATTGTCTCGATCTTTTGACTTCGTGATCCACCTGCCTCTGCCTCCCAAAGTGCTGGGATTACAGGCGTGAGCCACCGCGCCCAGCCCTAATGTAGTGCTAGTTTTGTAGTTGTCTGATATTCTACATTGGAAGCATTTTTAGATGTTTTAATCTCTATATCCCCCACGTGCCTTATACATTTTAGGCATTCTGTAATAATTTCTTGAATGACCTGTGTTTCCTTTTTTGGTGGATACAGTATTGAGAAACTGCCTTGGGAATAGAGAAGGTCACATACTTTTTCAAGAAACATTTGTAAAGTATTCTTTTGCTGTATTCATCCTCCTAAGAATCCTGTGAGAGAGATCATCTCCCACTTTACAGATGAGGCAACTGAGGCTTAAAGGAATCATATAGCTCAGAACTGCAAGAAACTTTGAATGTCATTTCATCTATGATTAGTGTCTGTCTGTAGAGGCAGGAGGGTGACAGAATGGTATAGATAAATAAGCCCTGTATAGATAGATAAGGCAGGAGTTTGTGGACAGATCCAGAGAGCATGCTTCTCTTATTCACCCAGCTTTCTCATGAACCTTTAGCTTATTTTATTTTATTTTTTATTAGAGGGGACTCAGAACAAGAGCCTTTAGCTTTTAATGTTAAGGTTGAGGAGAGGAAAGAAGGAAAAGGAGAAGTTACACAAAAAAGTTACGTATGAGCTGATTCTATTTTTGTGTACAAGACAAAAATCTTACGGTAGCAAGTGAAAAAAAGACAAGACTGGCTTAAGCAGGAAAAAACTGGAAGGGACATTTATAGCTCCCCTAGTTGGGAAGTTCAAGAGTAAATATGGCCCCAGACACACCTGGATACAGGGCCTCAGGCAGCATCTCCAAGGCCTTTCTCTTTGGCTATCTCTTGGCTCTTCTGCATAGTCGGCTCCATTGTCAGGTAATGTCCCTTCTCCTACTGATAAGATAACTAGAAGAGAAAAAGTTCTTTCCTGGTAGCTCCAGCAAAAGTTCAAAGATGAACTTTGATTGGGTCTTGGGCCTATCCCTAATTACATCTCCGTGGTCAAAAGAATGCTATGGTTGGCCAGGCTTGGTGGGGGTTGGGAAGTAGGATAGAGTCATCCAGTACCCCTGGGCCACTTAGAAAGCTTAAGAAATGGTTTTGGAAAGGAACTTCAGTATTTTACAAGAAGTAGAGGGATTGGGTGCCGGATGGACCAAAATAGCAGTGCCCACTGCACATGGCCTAAGTGTGTAGCCCACATATGGTTCTGTTATTCCAATGAATAATAGAGTCATTCTTTACTTCACTTATGCTTCTGGCTTGAGTGGCAGTGGCAGAAGCTGTGGTGTGGCAGGGAAGGGGTTATCTCACCTTCAGATTGGAGGAGATATGGATTGTTTGAATTTGAACCTTCAGTGAAGAGTTGACTAAAATGGTCCTTTTTATGTGGCTTTGGATCCTACAGAGTGAGACACTTGGTTCTCTGGTTTTCACTTGAATGACATTTGACATTTGTAGGACAGAAAACTTTATTTCATTAGTATAAATGAGAAATTATGATCCACTCAGAGTGATCCAGGCTATTTTTATCTATAGTCTCCAGAATGGAAACTTGGCTTATTCAGCACTGGCTATCTCTGATGGTTAATGAAAGAAGGAAAAAAAAAAAACTCGGCCGGAAGTTCACATGGAAGTCATGATTGCATTAGCATTGTTGGTACTCACCTTGAGGGAGAAGAAGATGAGAAAAGTTAGATAATTGTAAAAGTTCATTAGGTACAATGGGCACAGCTTCCTGTGGTCCTTTGAGCTGAGGGATGAGCAACTGTTCTCCTAACAGGAAGTATTTGCCACAGGAAAGCTTTTTCTTTAAGTCTTTTATGAAATCTCTTATTAGAGCCTCTTAATCATTTTAAGACTGCTCTTGAAACTTTTGTCTGATGTCTTCAATTTTTCTACTTCTTTGTAGAGCTGCTTAAAATGTTGATTTCTCCTTTTAGGACTGGGTTATCTTGTGTCCCAGCACTTAGAGTATAGTGAGAATAATGGACAACCTAGTTCGGTCCTTGACCTACATCTGTTAGACAGGTTTCACTGTGATGTTGACATGTTATGCATGTCTAGAACTGTTATAAATTAAATAGCATTTTTATAATTATGCATAATTCAAATGATAAATTCCTCATTACAGTCATGACCTCATTCAATTGGTAAAGATTTTTGTGTCTGCTGTGGACCATGCACCATGCTAGGCAGTGGGGATATAGAAATAAAAGATTCATTTCTGGTCCTCAAAGAGCCTAGGTTCTAGGGAAGATGAAAACACAGAATTAAGATACTTTGGGTGGGATGCGGTGGCTCATGCCTGTAAGCCCAGCACTTTGGGAGGCTGAAGCAGGAGTATCACTTGAACTCAGAAGTTGGAGACTAGCCTGGGCAACATAACAAGACCTCGTGTCTACTAAAAAAAAAAATTAGCAGGGTGTGTTGGTGTTCACCTGTAGTGCCAGCTGCGTAGAGGCTGAGGTGGGAGAGTTGCTTGAGACCAGACGATCAAGGGTGCTGTGAGCTGTGATCACGCCTCTGCACTCCAGCGTGGGGTGACAGAGTGGGACTCCATCTCTTAAAAAATATATATATATATATATGTATATATATACACACACACACTCTCACACACACACACACACACACACACTGTGTGTGTGAGGGCACATGAGCTAGAGGGATATGCAGGCAGGAAAGGCCTCCTGGAGGAGCTGATCCTTGAACCATGACAATATTTACCAAGAGACAAAGTGGTTTATGGAAATGCGGGTGAAAGACAGGGCAAGAGAGAGTGTGAGAGATGAGCTCTGATGTTTATATATGTTATTCTGAAAGGCGATAGGAATTCCTGACAGTTTTAAGTAGGAAAGTAGTATGGTCAGATTGACACTTTATTTTTTAAAACAGGTAGTATATTTACGTGGTTTAAAAATTTAAAAACATATAGAAGAGTATATAGTGAACAATTTCTCATTTACCCAGTAACTTTCCCCTCAGACAACCACTGCATGCATTTCTTATATATTTCCTCAGAGCTATGTTCTGCAAATATAAGTAAATACAAAAATAGTGTACCTGTATCCCTCAACCTACTTTCACGCTAATGACAGCATACCATACTTAGCATTTGTGCACCTTGCTTTGTTCTTGTAGCTCATCATGGTGAGATCTTTCCATATCAATATATCAAAAGCATCCTTTTTTATCCCCCTCTTCTTTTTTCTTTCCTATGGCTGCTTAATTTTCCATTTTATTGAAGGCCCACAATTTACTTAAAATGAGCCTGCTATTGATGGACATTTAGATTGTTTCCAGCCCTTTTCAGTTGGAAAATTGCATTGGGTACAGTAGACTAACATTTTCAGAAGGATTAGTAGGGGCTTAAATATTTGTTGAATGAATTATTGAATGGAAGATAGATGACTTGGAAGCAGGTGGGGATGTGAAAGGAGACTGAAGACAGGAACACCAATTACAAGGGTTCTGCAGTTATCTGGGGGTAGAAAAGAGGGAGAGATTAGAGAGATACATATTTAGGAAATCTAGTGAGACTAGGTGGCCTGTGTAATATTGGGAGTAGGGGATGTGAGTAGTCAAGGTTGATTTCTTGGGATAGTAGTAATACATTAGACAAATAAAAACACATTTATTACTAATTTATCATAAATGAAAACAGCACCATTTTTATTGGGAAGTACACGCATAGAATCAAAGCAGCCACCAGCAAGGAAAGCCAGTAGAAATGGAAAGTAGAATCAATGACTGTGGATTCCTAATTTCTGTTTCTTCTGATGTTATTTTTCTAATGCTTCTGCCCGTATTGCTAAGTGACTCTCTTTTTTTCCAACTAGTCCATCTCTCCTTGACTTCTTTTTTTTCCCCTTTCTAATTTGAGCCCTTGTTTTTTAAAATTTTATTTTTAATTGACAAATAATTTTATAATAATTTGTGGGGTACAACGTGATGTTTTGATATATGTTTACATTGTGGAATGAGTAAATCAAGCTAATTAACAAATCCATCAGCTCACATACTTATATTTTTTGTGTGGTGGAAACATTTAAAATCTATTTTTTAATAATTGCGAAATATATAATGCATTACTTATTATAGTCACCACTCTGTGCAATACATCACTAAAGCTAATTTCTTCTATCTAACTGAAATTTTGTACCGTCTGATCAACATCTTTCCTTTCCCCATCTTCCCCTCTCCCCCAGCCTCTGATAACCACCATTCTACTTCAATTAGTTCAACTTTTTTAGATTTCACATATGAGTGAGATCATCAAGGCATTTGTCATTTTGTGCTTGGCTCATTTCACATAGCATACTGTCCACTAGGTTCATCCATGCTGTCATAAATGACAGAGTTTTCTTCTTTTTTTTTCTCTTGAGACGGAATCTAGCTCTGTTGCCCAGGCTGGAGTGCAGTGGCTCCATCTCGGCTCGCTGCAAGCTCCGCCTCCCAGGTTCACGCCATTCTCCTGCCTCAGCCTCCGGAGTAGCTGGGACTACAGGCGCCCGCCACCAACGCCTGGCTAAGTTTTTGTATTTTTAGTGGAGACGGGATTTCACCGTGTTAGCCAGGATGGTCTTGATCTCCTGACCTCATGATCCCCTTGCCTCGGCCTCCCAAAGTGCTGGGATTACAGGCGTGAGCCTCCGCACCTGGCCGAGTTTTCTTTTTAAGGCTAAAAAGTATTCTGACATTTATATATATATGTATATATAAACATTTTCTTTATCCATTTATATGATAAGGGACATCTAGGTTGCTTCTGTATCTTAGCTATTGTGAATAATGCTGCCATGAATTTGGGAGTGTAGATATTTTTTCAGCATACTGGTTTTATTTCCTTTGGCCATATACCCAGAAGTGGGATAGCTGGATCATATGGTAATTCTGTTTGCAGATTTCTGAGGAACCTCCATATTGTTTTCCATAATCACTGTATTAATTTACATTCTCACCAACTGCAGTAGAGTTCCTTTTTCTCTACATCTTCTCCAACACTTGTTATCTTTCATCTTTTTGATGATAGCTATTCTAACAGGTGTGAGGAGATAGCCCATTGTGGTTTTAATTTGCATTTTCCTGGTAATTAGTTGTGAAGAGCATTTTTTCTTATATCTGTTGGCCATTTGTATGTCTTTTGAGCAATGTCTATTCGGGTCCTTTGCCCATTTTTAAATTGAGTTCTTTGTTTTCTTGCTATTGATTTGAATTCCTTATATATTTTGAATATTAACTCCATATAAGATGCATGGTTTGCAAAGATTTTCACTCATTCTGGGATATCTCTTCACTCTGTTGTTTCCTTTGCCATACAGAAGCCTTTTGGTTTGATACAATCCTATTTGTTTATTTTTGCTTTTGTTGCCTGTGCTTTTGGGGTCAAGTCCAAGAAATCTTTGCCAGGCCTGTGTCATGGAGCTTCTTTTCCCAATGTTTTCTTCTAGTAGTTTTACAGTTTCAGACTGTACATTTAAGTCTTTAATACAGTTTGAGTTGATTTTTGTATATGCTGTGAGATAAGGGTCTAATTTCATTCTTCTACATGTGGATATTCAGTTTTCCTAATACCGTTTATTGAAAGATTGTCCTTTCTCCATTGTGTGTTCTTGGTGCCTTTGTTGAAAATCAGATGATGGTAAATGCATGAGTTTATTTCTGGACTCTCTATCCTGTTCCATTGGTTTTTGTGTTAGCTTTTATGCCAGTACCATGCCATTTGATTAGGTTTGTAGTATATTTTGAAGTCAGATAGTGTGGTACTCCACCTTTGTTCTTTTTGCTCAAAATTGCTTTCGCTCTTTGGGGTCTTTTGTTGTGCTGTACAAATTTTAGGATTTTTTTTTCTATTTCCTTGAAAAATGACATTAGAATTTTGATAGGAATTACATTTGATAGGAATTACATTTGATAGAAATTACATTGAATCCTGGCCTGGGATTAATTTCTTAATATCTTTTTCAGATAGTTTGTCATTAGTATAAAGAAATGCTGGCTGGGTGTGGTAACTCATGCCTGTAATCCCAGCACTTTGGGAGGCTGAGGTGGGTGGATCACCTGAGGTCAGGAGATTGAGACCATCCTGGCTAACATGGTGAAACCCTGTCTCTACTAAAAAAAACAAAACAAAACAAAAAAAATATATATATATACACACACGTATATATATATATATACACACACGTATATATATATACACACACACGTATATATATGTACACACACGTATATATATACACACACGTATATATATATACACACACGTATATATATACACACACGTATATATGTACACACACGTATATATATACACACACACGTATATAGATATACACACACATATATATACACACACATATAGATATACACACACATATATATACACACACGTATATATATACACGTATATATACACACACACGTATATATATACACGTATATATACACACACACGTATATATGTGTATATATACACACACACGTATATATGTGTGTATATATACACACGTATATATATGTATATATATACGTATATATATATACACACATATATATATACACGTATATATATATATACACACACATATATATATATACACGTATATATATATATATATTAGCCTGGTGTGGTGGCGGGTGCCTGTACTCCCAGCTACTCAGGAGGCTGAGGCAGGAGAATGGCATGAGCCCAGGAGGCAGAGTTTGCAGTGAGCCGAGATCGTGCTACTGCACTCCAGCCTGGGCAACAGAGTAAGACTCCGTCTCAAAAAAAAAAAAAAACAAAGAAAAACATGGCATCTACAGTCAGGGACAACATAACGTCTTTGTTTCCAGCTTGGATGCTGTTTCTTTCTTTCTCTTGCCTAATTGCTCTGTCTAGTATGTCCGGTATTACATGGAATAGAAGTGGCAAGAGTATGCATCCTTGGCTTGTTCTGAATCTAACAGGCAAAGGTTTCCATTTTTCCCCATTGAGTATAATGTTAGCTGTGGGCTTTTCATATATGACTCATGTTAAGGTACATTCCTTCAATGCCTAACTTGTCAAGAGTTTTTCTCATGAAAAGATGTTGAATTTTATCAATGCCTTTGCATATATTGAGGTGAACATTTGGTTTTGTCCTTCATTCTGCTAACATGGTATATCACATTTGTAGTTTGCATATGTTGAATCATCCTTTGATCCTAGGGATAAACCCCACTTAATTTTGGTATATGATCCCTTTAATGTGCTGTTGAATTCACTTTGCTAGTATTTTGTTAGAATGTTTGCATCTATGTTCATTAGGGATATTGGCCTGTATTTTTTTTTCTTCTAGTAGTATTCTTGTCTGGCTTTGGTGTCAGTGTAATGCTGGTATCATAAAATGAGTTTGGAAGTGTTTCCTCTTCTTCAATTTTATGGAAGAATTTGAGAAGGATTGGTATTAGTTCTTCTTTAAATTAGAATTCTGCCATGAAGCCATCTGGTTCTGGGCTTTTCTTGATGGAAAATTATTATTATTATTATTATTATTTGAAACGGAGTCTTGCTGTGTCGCCCAGGCTGGAGTACAGTGGTGCAATCTCAGCTCACTGCAACCTCCACCTCCTGGGTTCCAGTGATTCTCCTGCCTCAGCCTCCCAAGTGGCTGGGATTACAGGCGTGTGCCACAACACCCGGCTAATTTTTTGTATTTTTAGTAGAGACGGGGTTTCACCGTGTTGGCCAGGCTGGCCTGAAATTCTTGACCTCAGGTGATCCACCTGCCTCGGCCTCCCAAAGTGCTAGGATTACAGGTGTGAGCCACTGCACCTGGCCAATTTTTAAAATTATTTATTCAGTTTCCTTATTTGTTATCAGTCTGTTCAGATTTTCTACTTTTTCTTGATTCAGTCTGGGTAGGCTGTATGTTTCTAGGAATTTATTCATTTTTTTCAAGGTTATCAAATTTGTAGATATATAATTGTTTATAAGTAGTTTCTTATGATCCGTTTTATTCTGTGATATTGAACCCTTGTTTATAGATGAGGAACTTGACAATTCCTAAGCTGCTGAGGAGTCTATTAATTGGCTCACTCAAATGATTTGAAAATAAGACATTGTGTCTGTAAAGAGTGTATTTCTGACAGATGGTATGGTTGAAGGCCTGTGGTTTTTGAAAAAAGTTGAGATAGAATTCATATAGAATGCAATACACTCTTTCAACATGTACAATTCAGTGGTTTTTAATATAGTTATGAGGTGTTACAACTATCACTGCCTAATTCCAGAATACTTCATCATCTCAAGAAGAAACTCTATGCCCATTAGCAATCATTCCCCATTCCTGCCTCCCCCTAGCCTCTGGCAACCACTAATCTACTTTGTGTCTCTTTGGATTTGCCTATTCTGGACATTTCATATGAATAGATTCATACAATATGTGGCCCTTTGTGATTGGATTCTTTCACTTAATATAGTATTTTCAAGGTTCACGCATGTTGTAGCATGAACCAATACTTATTTATGTCTGAATATTATTCCATTTTATAGATATACCAAATTTTGTTTACTTATTCATCAGCTGATATACATTTGGATTGTTTCTGCTTTTTGGCTATTATGAATAATGCTGCTATGAATGTTTTTGTACAAGTTTTTACATGGACATATGTTTTTATTTCTCTTGGGTATATACCTAGGAGAACTGCAGGGTCATATAACTCTTCGTTTAGCTTTTTGAGAAACTGCCAGACTGTTTTCCAAAGCAGCTGAACTATTTTACATTCCTACCAGCAATATGTGAGGGTTCCAATTTCTTCACATCCTCATCAGCACTTGTTGTTGTGTCTTTTTTGTTATAGCCATGCTAGTGATCATGAAGTGGAACCTCATTATAGTTTTGATTTGCATTTCCCTAATGACTCATGATGTTGAGCATGGACCTGCATTTTTTAACTGAAAATTTTCAGTGTCATCCTCAGATCCTGTGCTCAGTGTTGGGAATAGAGCTGTGAATAAGGCAGCCCCAATTGCTGTCTTCTTGGAGTTTAGAGTTCATGTGGGAAGGTAGATAGGAACAAAGTAGTTGCAATTAGGGTTTTTATAAGGAATTATACAAACAGCCCCTTAGTAAACTTTAAAACTTTCTATTTTAGTGAGGTAAGCCTTTTTCATGATTGTTGGAGGCCAAAATTCATGCAGTGGTTATTTAAAGATATTATAGATTGCATTTTTACATGTGCTTTTAAAAATAATTCAAAAGAAACAAAAGCATATGCGAATAAAAAATGTATAAAGAAAAAAGTGGGGCTGGGCACAATGGCTCATAATCCCAGCAGTTTGGAAGGCCGAGGTGGGAGGATCACTTGAGCGCAGGAGTTGCAGACCAACCTTGGCAACATAGTGAGACCTCATCACTTAAAAAAAAAATCAGCTTGGCCGGGCGCAGTGGCTCACACCTGTAATCCTAGCACTTTGGGAGGCCGAGGCGGGTGGATCACCTGAGGTCAGGAGTTCAAGACCAGCCTGGCCAACTTGGTGAAAACCTGTCTCTGCTAAAAATACAAAAATTAGCCGGGCATGGTGGTGGGCGCCTGTAATCCCAGCTACTCAGGAGGCTGAGGCAGGAGAATCACTTGGACCCGGGAGGTGGAGGTTGCAGTGAGCCGTGATTGTGCCACTGTACTCCAGCCTGGGGCGACAGAGCAAGACTCCGTCTCAAAAAAAAAAAAAAAAATTAGTTGGGCATGGTGGCACATGTCTGTACTCCAGCTGTTTGAGAGACTGAGTTGGGGGAATCGCTTGAGTCTGGGAAGTCAATGCTGTAGTGAGCCCTGATCATGCCACTGCACCCCAGCCTGGGCAAAAGAGTGAGAACCTGTCTCAAAAAAAAAAGAAAAGTGGGATATTCTCGCTACCTCTGCATTCTAGCCGTTAGCGGCTTGGTGACTGTTATTCCAGACCTGTTTCCAGTGCAGGTACAGATTTGTATCAAGTAGTGGTTTGATTAAGGAGATTACCTTCTTAAAGAATTTTCACTTCTTTTTGAGACTCGTGATTCACCTTCTTTGGGGTATAGAGAGATTTTTCCGAATTTTACAGTTATTACTGTGGTGAAGATTTACAAACTTGCGTGCTTCCTGGGTGCTAGGAACTTTACCCCTACACAGGTACACCTTGGCTGTGATGCATGACTTCCTGTGTTTCACCTTTCATTGTAGATGGTCCCCATCCCTGCTGGAGTATTTACAATGGGCACAGATGATCCTCAGATAAAGCAGGATGGGGAAGCACCTGCGAGGAGAGTTACTATTGATGCCTTTTACATGGATGCCTATGAAGTCAGTAATACTGAATTTGAGAAGTTTGTGAACTCAACTGGCTATTTGACAGAGGTAATGGGATTGGGGAAAGGAGGGAGAACTTGTTCTTTTCCAGAACTTTTAAGAATGCTTTAATAGCAGCTAAGATTGACTGACCATTTTTACTGCATTCTGTGGCAGAACTGTGTGAAGCATTTTATTGTATATATTTCATCTTAATTTCTCACAGCAACCCCATGAGGCAGGTTATTTTTCAGGTGGCATACTGAGGATAAGAAAAGTTATTTGCCCCACATCACACAGCTAGTTGGTGGTAGAGCTGGGATTCCAGCCTGGCCAGTTTGACCTCAGAACATGTGCTATAACTATTATGCTATATTGTGTTAATGCTTAATGTGTCAGAGAATACCACTGTCCACTAAGGCTTTTTGAGATAACAGATGGCATGTAAAGTAAGACCACTTTTCTTCTCAGTAAGTTGCAGTTTGTTTTTTTCCAGAAGCATTTCATATTTTTTAAGTGATAAATGCAGAAGTGCAGCTTTTCATTTTCGTGTCTTTATTCCAACACCTTGACAACTCACACATGCTGTGCTATAGCAGTTCCAGACATCATCTGGTGGTCACTGAATCACAAAGCAAGGTTCTGATAGTGGATGCTTTCCTAAATGGGAATAGGAAGAGGAAAGCTTTCTAGTCTATGAATGTTTATGTCAGTTTCTGAAATATACTTATTTTATATGCTTTCCAGTTTTCTCTCACGAAAAACCTTTACTCTTGTCTTCAGTTCGTGGGGTCCCTATTCTTTTTTTTTTTTAAGACCCCAAATGTCTTTTTGTAAATTATTATTAAATGAATAATTTGAGAGTGAATGTTTAAAGTAAAACAACTTTCAGATTTGGTTTTGCATTGTCACATTTCTTTGGAATTTTCTCAAATATATAAAGTGGTTAGAAACCTTTTTTGGGCCAGGCGCGGTGGCTCACGCCTGTAATCTCAGCACGTTGGGAGGCTGAGGTGGGTGGATCACGAGGTCAGGCGATCGAGACCATCCTGGCTAACACGGTGAAACCCCGTCTCTACTAAAAGTACAAAAAATTAGCCGGGCATGGTGGCGGGCACCCGTAGTCCCAGCTACTTGGGAGGCTGAGGCAGGAGAATAGCATGAACCCGGGAGGCGGAGCTTGCAGTGAGCCGAGATCCGGCCACTGCCCTCCAGGAAGAAGAGCAAGACTCTGTCTCAAAAACAAAAACAAAAAAACCGTTTTTGTACACATTCGTAATAAGCAGAAGTCCTTTTCCTTTTGGTTTCACAGAGATACTCTCAGCTCAGGTTCCTCAATAGTTTACTTAAGTTAGAAGACTTCTACAGAACCAGGGTTCTCCATGAAGATTAGATAGAATAAGCAGAATTTGGGGCATCTAAAAACATGGATAGGGAAAAGTTATAAGTTGGTACAAAAGTAATTACGGTTTTTGTCATTACTTTTAATGGCAAAGACCGCGATTACTTTTGCAGCAACCTAATATATCTGGTTATTTACTAC
Organism: Homo sapiens; assembly: GCF_000001405.40. Classification (NCBI taxonomy): domain Eukaryota; kingdom Metazoa; phylum Chordata; class Mammalia; order Primates; family Hominidae; genus Homo; species Homo sapiens. The sequence goes on along the minus strand of NC_000003.12, from coordinate 4,451,401 downwards.
CCTCGAGCCACAATGTAGTATTTTCTTCAATTATGATGCAAACAGCAAACCACAGCAGTAGTAGCAGTACCTCTAACTTTGTTACCAGTAGAAATCACAGACATTTTTAATCATATTTTTGTTGTTGCAGAGATCTTGAAATATTGTTTGCATTCATCCCCACTTTGAAATATGATAATTATGAGACCTGCCACTAGATCTTATTTAATATATTAATGAAGAGCATATTTAATACTATAGCACTGGTTTGTTTATTAATATTTTGATATAATGACTTTTCTTCATAATACTATTTATTTTATTTTATTTTTTTATTGATTTTATTTTATGCATTTAAACATTTTATTCTGAGAAGGGGGTTCTTAAGCTTCACCATACTGCCAAGGAGCTCAAAAAGGACCAAGAACTGCCTTGGACAAAATGCTCTGTTTTTTTAATGGCACTCTTTTCCCATCTCTCCAGCTTTACTTTATATCATGCTCCTCTTGTATACTATGTTCTAGCCCTGCTGGTTTTGTTTCTATTCCTTGAAAACTCAACATTCTTTCCCACCTCAAGAACTTGGCCCGTATTTTCTCTCTGCTTGGAATTCGCAGTCCTCTTGCTTATCCCCCTTCTGCATGGTTGGCTCCTTCTCATTCTTGAGTCATCTCAGCTTAAATGTCACTTTCTCAAGAAAGTTTTTCATGACACTCTACCTTACAAGGTGTAGTAAAGTTATAATTATTGTCTTCCATTCGTTGTTTGGCTTGATTTTTTTCTGTGCTCCCACACTTAAGCACAATAAGGATAGGGGCCATGGCTATCTGATATTGACCTTATATCCCCTAATTTAGCCCCAAACTGAGCACATGGTAGGTGTTTGATACATGTTTGTTGAATAACTAAATGGCTTAGGTAGTTAGTCATGGCAGTGTCACAAGGGAATGCAGGAAGAAGATTAGGGGTGAAGAAAAGATGGCAGCCTCCACTCCGGAAAAGGAGTTGGAGATGCTTGTAAGATCTGCAATATAAGGATCCAGTACTCAGTTAATTTCATCTAGTAAGAACAGGACAGCACTAGAGGTAGAGATTTGAGAGTCATTTGGAGTACTGGCTATAGTTAATTTGATGAGATTGAAAGTTGTCCATCAACAAGAATCGATCAGTGTATCTCAAAGTGCATCTCTTGAACTACTTGTATTAGAACAACTAGCTGTGTGCTATTTACACACACAGACTCCTTGACCTCACCCTAGACCCCCAGAATGAGAATCTCTGGTGTTGGGGAGCAGCAATATGTAGTTTTAACCAGCTGATTACATAATCTCAACTGCACAAAGCCTGAGAGCCACTGGTGTAGTAGAATTGCAGAGAGCCAAGGGCAGAGCTCTGGGGAGCAGCAGTGTTTCAGTGGCTGAAACAAGAGCCCACATATTTTAGGAGATGAATAAGAACACTGACAAATGTAGGAGGAGAGTCATGGTTACCAAGGGACAAACGACCTAATTTTCAGAATAGGGTTACATGCAACAAAAATAATCAGGTGGATGAAGAATTGAGACACTAATGTTAAATAAAATCATTAAAATACAGATTTCCATTTGATGCTTGAATTGGCCAGTTGAGATTTATAAGCACATTTGACCCCTTAGTGGAACTAGAATGTGTCAGAATGTGAGCAAACAGTGCTATTTAATTCGTTTAGCTAGATTCAGGACAAAGGACAAAGATTGATTATGTAATCTCACACGTACAGAATACTATTTCCCAGAGTCATTTGTGATACTTGGGGAAATGTATTTCCTTCAAGAACAGTCACGTTCTCAAAAGCTAATCTTGTTCAGTCTGCATTCTTATCAGCTAAGTGAGTCTTAAACGAAAATGGTCTCTGTAAGTGACATTAATTTAAGAGGAAGCCAGAGACTTTTAGGTCATTTCTGAGTCCTCTGGGAAGTCATAAGAAAGACTCAAGTTCAATTGGACAAGAGGAATCACTTTAATAGTGTGGAGAGAAAAGGGCACACATGCAACACATTACTACAACCTTTTCTGGATTTTTATTTCCTACCTTCCTTATAGGCTGAGAAGTTTGGCGACTCCTTTGTCTTTGAAGGCATGTTGAGTGAGCAAGTGAAGACCAATATTCAACAGGCAGTAAGTAATGTTTCAACAGGCTCCTGTATTTCTCTAAGGCTCATTGAAAAGGGTTTGGGTGAAAAATCCAAACCACATGTGTCACCTTCCTCTCCCTGTAACACCTAACCATTCTCCTGCTGAGGATTGACCCCAAATAATAGGCCCATGGACCAGGACACCTTATCTTAAGGAAAATGGGACAAGATGGTATCTGAGGAAGTGATGGGTCTGCCTTGAGTTTCTGTCTTGTGTGCCAAGGAACACACAGTGTTGCTAGGTAGAGCTCAGTAGGCTCCAGACACTTCCGAGTTTCATTTACTTATAGCCATTTCTAGAATGGAGGGCTCAATGAGAACATTTTAAAATTCTATTCTAAAAGTCTCCATCTCCTCAGGTGCTGGTGTGGAGATAGAGCTTCCTTAAACATTTTTGAATTCATGGGATCAGAGTAGCACTCAAGAAAGGAGCCCTTTGTTCTGAATGTTCATGAAAAATGGAGGTGGTGAACTGGTTCTTTACATGCAGGGGTGTACCCTCCCATATGGAGGATCCAGGGAATGCAGATGAGGTGTGTTTTTCTCAGACATGGAAACAAACGGTGGAGTAGATTTTCACAAGCAGCTTTGTGATGAGTGGAACTTGGGATTCTTGTTCCAGACATTTTAGCAGGTTTGTGTATGTTGGAGTATTTGCTTGCTTACATGTCTCTTGAAAATATAAGAACAAGGGAAGGAGTGAGGGTAAGCTGGGAAGTTGAGGGTTCACAAAACAAAGAGGGTAGAGAATGCAGAAGGGATAGGAGATGGTGAGAGAGGGAAGGAAACGGGGGTCTGCCCACTCCAGGGAGGCTGATGAAGCTAGAGGCATTGAAGACGAAGGAATCCAGCCCTCATCTTCCTTTTTAATGCAAGTTACCTTTTAGCTCCTGTCTGCGCTTCATCTCTGTGGGTGGGCCTCACTCTGTCCTCTCGTGAGCAGCAGTGCAGTGCAAGAAAAACGAAACTGTCCTGGCTTATGTTTGCTTTCTCTTTAATATAGAAAAATGTGGGGGAAACGGTGAGGTAAAACAAGACTTGCTTTCAGATCATATATAGGTGAATTGAGCCACTTTTTAATATGTGTTTTAGATAAATGTTTGAAAAATGTGATTGAGCTCCATTCGAATTTCACAGCTTTCTTTGCTCCTTACAAGTTTATAAGTCTAATATGTAATCTGATATTCCCCTCCGCCCTACTTTTTTTTTTAAAGGGCTTTGAGGTCAGTTGAGGCTGGTGTTGATTAGCCAGCAGCTTGGGACATGTGCCTTATTTTAAGATACTGAGTTCAGGTGAGGGTGGGCGTTTGCGCTTATTTTTGTAATTTGCCTTTTCAGATACAGGGCCTCTTGTCACTTGAGAACCTCCAAACACATTAGGTATGAAGACAGAGGTGGGTCATTGCTAGGCTGTGAAGGTGCCTGTTGAGTACATAGTAAAGTGTGTGTGCTTGTGACTAGGATGAGGACAGGCAGCTCTCACTGGGTTGTAGTGTTGGTCACTTGCTTAACTGCTGATAATGGAAAAGCAAACCTTTTAAGCTTATTTAGAAAGGGCTGAACAAGTAACATAAATGTGTCAATGATCAGGGAGAGCTAAGTTTTTGTTTTTTCATCCTCCTCATAAGGTCTGACTTACCTTCATTCACTGCACCAGACCTTTTTTTTTTTGTAACCCAGTGTCTCCAGAAGAGTAAGATGTGAGTTGGCCTACGAGGTAAATTTGAGCAGTAGGGGAGATGATTTTGGGTGGTAGATTGGCAAGCCTCCAATCTCACTGAATCACATAGTGAGAAAGCACTTTCCTTTTAGGTGTCTTTCAAGACTTGATTAAGTTAGAAAGAAAGACCTGAATCTTGCAAGTTTGAGTGCTAGCATATCCTTAGTACTTGACTACACTTTTACTCTCCTTTTAACATAGAAGAGGCCTTGGAAGTGTCCTCAGGCTACCACAGCTAGTTAATAATATGGTTTATTTTCATGTAATTATTTTAAGTGTTGCATTCTATTTATGACAGGTTATAAAAGCGAGATAAATTCTCCTTTTTTTTTAAAAAAATCTTTTTTTGGTAAAATAAGACAAATACAGAAAATCACACAACACAAATGTACAGCTTACTGAGTTATCCTAAGGTGAACGTACCTGTAAGCATTACCCAGGTCCAGAATTAGAATTTTTCTGCCTACCCCAGCAGCCCCATCCAGGTGCCACATCCTAATCATCACCCCTCTCTGTCCCTAAAGTAGCCAGTACCCTGCTTCTCAAAGTAGACACTTCTTTGCATTTCTTTATAATATTATTACCCAGGTGTACATGCAAAGTTTAATCTTGCTAATTTAAAGGAAATTTGTGTCTTTTAAGACTCTTCTACAGGTTTCCCTTTCATTGTGTTGCTTCCCCTTACCCCCTAGTTTTTCCTACAATGATTTATCTATTGAAGAATCTAGGACATTTAGCCTGGAGACTTTCCTGCAGTCTGGATTTTGCTGAATGCCCTGTCATGGTGCAGTTCATCTGTTCTCTCTGTCCTCTGTATTTCCTGCAAGTTGGTAGCTGGATCCCCAGGTGTGATCAGACTCAGGTTTGAACCCTACAGTAAGACATCAGATAATTGGTGGGTTCTTTCCCCATGAGGCACCTGATGTCTGGTGCTTCTTCTTTTTATAATGTTAGCGGCTGTTGATGCTTAGTACCTAATCCATTAATCCATTGGGGGCTATCATAAGATGGTGTATTAGTCTCTTCTCGTGCTGCTAATAAAGACATGCCCAAGATTGGGTAATTTATAAAGAAAAAGAGGTTTAATGGACTCACAGTTCCACATGACTGGAGAGGCCTCATAATCATGGCTGAAGGTGAAGGAGGAACAAATGCACGTTTTACGTGGTGGCAGGGAAGAGAGTTTGTGCAGGGGAGCTGCCCTTTATAAAACCATCAGATCTCGTGAGACTTATTTACTATCATGGCAACAGCACAGGAAAACCTGCTCCCATGATTCAGTTACCTCCCACTGAGTCCCTCCCATGACAGGTGGGATTATTGGAGCTATAATTCAAGATGAGATTTGGATGGGGACTCAGCCAAACCATATTAGATGGTGATAATCTAATCTTTTTCATTTATTAATGGAGATACTTTCATAAAGAGATAGTTCCATCATCTACTATTTCTTAACCATTGTTGCAGGTCATACAGGACAGATAGGATAAATGCTTGATTCTTTACTAGCTTTTAAGATAATGAATTGGTTCCCTACTGTTCTTCAAAGGTGACCAATTAGAGTATTTTTTGATTAAATATTTCATCTTAAGATAATTATATGTTCTCATGCAGTGTAAGAAATAATACAGAGAGATCTGGTGTACCTTTCACCCAGTTTCCTCCAATGGTACCATCTTATATAACTATAGTACGGTTTCACAGCTGGAAAATTGAGCATTCATATGACCCACTTGTTTTTGTCTGATTTCACCAGTTTTATATTATTCATTTGTGTGTCTGTGTATATATTTAGTTCTGTACAATTTTGCCACAAATGTAGATTTGTGTAATCACTGGATTTAAAAAAGTCTTCATGAACTCATGGATTTAAATATATTTTATGGCCAGGCATGGTGGCTCATGCCCACAATCCCAGCACTTTGGGAAGCCGAAGCAGGATGTTCACCTGAGGCCAGGAGTTCAAGACCAGCCTGGGCAAGAGAGAGAGAGAGAGACCCCATCTCTACAAAAAATACAAAAAATTAGCCAGGTATGGTAGCATGTGTTCATAGTCCTAGCTACTTAGGAGACTGAGGTGGGAGGATCACTTGAGCCCAGGAGTTCGAGGTTTCAGTGAGCTGTGATGGCACCATTGTACTCCAGGCTGGGTGACAGAGTGAGACCCTGTCTCTGGGGAGAAAACAAAACAAAACAAAAACAAGCCATATTTTATTTTACACTGAAACCATGATCCCTTTTGAAGGTTTGGGCATATCTTTTTTTCCAACAGCTTTATTGAGATGTAATTTACATACCATAGGTTTTACCATACTAAGTGTATAATTCCATATTTTTTATATAGTCCAGTTTCACAACTAGAAAGCTGACCATTGATACAACTCACTTATTTTGGGGTTGTATCAAAAATTTATCTATATCATTACAATCTAATTTTAGAACATATCTATCAGCCCTAAAAGAAACCACATGCCCATTTGTGGTCATTACCGATTCCCATCCCCAGCTTTAAGCAACTGTCCTGAGTCCTAGCAGTGCTTCAGTCCTAGTAGTCCTTCATGGCTTCATGGCTTCATAGCTTTGCTTTTTGTGAGGCCAAGATCTGCTCCCTCCCCTACCCCTCATCCTTAAAGCCATTTCTTTAAGAAGCTCTAGTATCTTGTAGTAGAAAACAGTATTTCGAGGACCCTGTCTAGGCCCTGGGTATGCTCATTGCTATTAGGTTGGTCATTGTTTCTAGGCCTCTGCAGTGGACAGACTGAGATAAAATGCCAAAATGAGTATACACTGATACTTCCATTTTGTGATTTTTAGTTTAACCTGTTCTGTATTACATCTATCTCCTTTCTTCCACAGCAGGAATACTGGTTTTCAAGGACACAGGGGATGATAGACTAGTCTATAATCACGCATTTATTTTATCCCAGGTTACATACACAGTGGTCTCAATAATACTAATGCTACCATCCCCAGTGTAATTACTGAGAATAGGTTTTTAAAACTCCCAAACATTTATATATGCTTTTCCTGTTTCTCCCCTAGTTTTAAAATACTGTACTATTTCTGTATTATTGAAACATATGTCCATTATAGAGAGTACTCTTTCCATTTTAGCTCTCAACTAATCTCAGTTCTACAAGTGACTATACATGTTTAATACTCTCTGTGATCATGTCTCTCTAGTCATTTGAATTGATCAAGCTCATTCTCAACTAGATTCTTCAGGAAGTGGCCATGGGAACAATATGCCCTGAGTTTTTGCCCGTTGATAACAGTTTGTTAGTGCTCTTTATACTTTAAAGTCAACTTTTCTGGATATGAAATCTTTGGTTCACATTTATTTTTCTTGAGTAGCTCACATACTTTATTTTTTTTCTTTTGGAATAAAGCATTGCTATTGAAAAGCCTGATGGTAATCTGATTTTTTTCCCTTGAAAATTAGTTGTTTTTGCCTGAATACCCAACGATTTTCCTTTTTCTTGTTCTTTAGTATCCAGTGATTTCACTAGACTGTGTGTTGGTGTTTGTCATTGGGTCAGTATTCTCAGGTATGGGGTAGAAGCTTTCAATATCTAGTTTCACAATTTTTTTTTAAACTTCAGGAAATTTTTCTGTTATACTTTTTACTATTTTGTGTGTCCTTTTGTTTTATTCTTTAGGAACTTCTTATATCTTTCTTTACATAATTCTTTTTACCCATTTTCAGTGTTTATCACTTTCTTTTTAATCATTTTTTTCTCTCTCTTTTTTCTTTTTCTTTTTTTGAGAAGGGGTCTTGCTGTGTCACACTGGCTGGAGTGCAGTGGCACGATCTTGGCTCACTGCAGCCTTGACTTCCTGGGCTGAAGTGATGCTCCCACCTCAGCCACCCAAGTAGTGGGGACAACAGGCACATGCCACCACACCTGGCTAATTGTTTTGATTTTTAGTAGAGATGATGTCTCACTATTTTGCCCAGGCTGGTCTCAAACTCCTGGGCTCAAGCAATCCTTCCACCTCAGCCTCCCAAAGTGCTGATATTACGTGCATCAGCCACCATGCCTGGCCTCTTCTTTTTATTTTAATTTTTTCTTCTCTTTTGTCTTCTGTGTCTTTTAATTATCTGTTTATTTCTGAAATGACTTTTTATTTTATTTCTAGTTGCTACTTGACTTCTCTACCTCATCTGAGTTTGTGGATTCTGATTTATTTTGTTCTCTCTTGCATCATTTTCTTCATGCCATTTACCTCATTTTTTAAATTTTTATTTTTTGAGACAGAGTCTGGCTCTGTCACCAAGGCTAGAGTGCGGTGTGCAATCTTGGCTCACTGTACCCTCCACCTACTGGGCTCAAGCAATTCTCCTGCCCCATCCTCCTGAGTAGCTGGGATTACAGGGGCCCGCCACCACGCCCGGCTAATGTTTTGTATTTTTTAACAGAGACAGGGTTTTGTCATGTTGCTCAGACTGGTCTCGATCTCCTGAGTTCAGGTGATCCATCTGCCTTGGCCTCCCAAAGTGCTAGGATTACAGACATGAGCCACCATGCCCGGCCTACCTCATTTTAAAACACCATGTTGTGATTTTTTTTTTTTTTTGAGCATTTCTTCCTGACTGCATTTGTTATTCATAAGGATGTTGTTCTGCTGCTTCTTCTCTTACTTCTTATAGAAATTTGGATTGCATTTGAGCTTGAGTCTTTTCTGTTGCTCATTTGCATTTGAACTCAGTTTTTCTGAACTTTTAGAAAGAGACATGGTTCAGGGTAGCTTTGTAACTTCACTGAACTCCCTCTTAGTTGTTCTCAACATAGTGTTTAAACGATGGCCTCCTGTCTTCTGAGATGTCCTGGATTTCTTCCCCTCCTCCACTACTTCTCTTTCCTTTTTCTCTCTCTTTTTTTTTTTTTTCCTTTTTCTCTCTTGTCCCTCTATTTCAGGAGTTTGGTTTTGTCTCTTGAGATTTCTCCTTGGTGTGAGGCTCTATTCTGGAAGGGAACCCTGGCAGGTCAGTTTCAAGAGTTCATGGTGGGGAGGCCGAGGCGGGCGGATCACGAGGTCAGGAGATCGAGACCATCCCGGCTAAAACGGTGAAACCCCGTCTCTACTAAAAATACAAAAAAAAAATTAGCCGGGCGTGGTGTTGGGCGCCTGTAGTCCCAGCTACTCGGGAGGCTGAGGCAGGAGAATGGCGTGAACCCGGGAGGCGGAGCTTGCAGTGAGCCGAGATCGCGCCACCGCACTCCAGCCTGGGCGACAGAGCGAGACTCCGTCTCAAAAAAAAAAAAAAAAGAGTTCATGGTGCACAACTGTTTGAGTGCCTTCACACGTTCTTACCATGGGCCCCTTAAACCTACTCCTTATTGGAGTGGGCAAAATTCCTTCCAGTGTGAGCTACTGTTGTCAAACTGTCCCTCCATGCTTTCCAGTAATGCCTGTTGGCTCTTTTGGGATTTTCCTTTTCACAGGTCTGATTTCCTGTTGCTTTCTTTTCTTTCTCCTGCCCAACCACTGCCCAGCCACAGACACCATGCAGGTTGTATGGCCGTTGGCGGTTTTTCTTCACCTGTTTGCGTTCTGGGTTTGGTGAGGATACTTTGTCACATGGATTTGCTGTGCACATTGTTCCTGGGTTTTGGGTATTGCTCTCTAGTTGTTCTGTCTGGTTTTATACGTAGAGAGGCGAGATTCAAAAGCTTTGCTGATGCTGTTGCCATCTCAGCTAGTTTTCTTTTTATGTAGTTTTGAGGTAAAACATTGAGCTAGCTTTCAGAGTTTGTGTGTAAAAATATCTTAAACTGGTGAATTTAATGGTTTAAAACAGAGTATTATTATCGAAGTAATAATCATGAATTAATCATGAATTACTCATGATTATTATTTGGACGTTTAATTTGAGACAAGAATCTTAAAAGGTATAGATATTAAGTCCCAGAAGGGATTAAGGCAAGTTTTGCTATTGTAGCAGTGTTTGTTTTTTGGGGGGATATTATACTACAGATCAGCAGTCCCCAACCTTTTTGGCACAAGGGACTGGTTTTGTGGAAGACAGTTTTTCCTCGGATGTGGGGCAGGGGAGGGGATGGTTTTGGGATGTTTGAAGCAAATTATATTTATTGTGTACTTTATTTATATTATTATTACATTGCAATATATAATGAAATAATGATACAACTCACCATAATGTAGAATCAGTGGGAGCCCAGAGCTTGTTTTCTTGCAACTATGCAGTCCCATCTGGGGGTGATGGGAGACAGTGAGAGATCATCAGGCATTAGATTCTTACAAGGAGCCAGCAACCCAGATCCCTCACATGAGCTCTTCACAACAGGATTCACACTCCTATGAGGATCTAATGCCGCTACTGATCTGACAGGAGGCAGAGCTCAGGTGGTAACGCAAACAACGAGGAGCGGGCTGTAAATACAGATGAAGCTTTGCTTGCTCGCCTGCCACTCACCTCCTGCTGTTTGGCCCGGTTCCCAATAGGCCACAGACCAGTACTGGTTTGTGGTCCAGGGGTTGGGGACCCTTGCTATAGATAACCCTCCTTTCTTGAAAAAAAGGATAGTATTTAAGATATACTTCCAGTATTTAAGATAAAGACTGTTTTGATTTCATAATTGTGTTATTAATATGACTCGTAAAACTTTGACACAAGGGATAGCCATAGGCTGGGTAGAAAACAGTTGCTGTTGGTGGGAGCTTGAGGAACAAGGATTCTCTCTTCATTTGTAGCTTGGCACTTTCTGGATCAACAGTTTAAGGAAACAAATTCCTGACTAAGTATCCTTGACAAATGAGAGGAGTAGGCTATTTTAAGTTCTTTCAACTGAAAGTCACTTTCATTGAAGGATGAGAATTACCAAGCATCTTTTTTCCCCCTGCAGTAAAAACTAATTTCTAGGCAGTCATATCCTGCCCAAGTGGTGCTGGGTGCTTTGTTATTTGGATGACACTGGACTGGGACAGAAGGCAAAGAATAATGCAGTCTGACCCGCTGTTATTTAATCACAACTGCACGACAACTCTAAACTAGAAAGAGAACTGTTAATAAGGATGCGATCCAGTTACCTGAATGTGTGTGGGTTGTAATGAGAAATGCCTTGAGGTCCAGCGGAATTCTAAGGTCACACTCCCCAAAATAATTTTTAGAAAAGCTTTACTAAGTTAACTTCAATGTAAACTAAGCCAGAAAGTATTCAGAAGGGCAAGTTTCAGTACATAGGAAAAGTAAATTAAAATAACTCAAAACACATGTAAGTCAGATAAATAGCTCAGTATCTTTTTTTTTTTTTTTTTTTTTGAGACAGAGTCTCGCTCTTGTTGCCCAGGCTGGAGTGCAGTGGTGTGATGATCTCAGCTCACTGCAACCAACCTCTGCCTCCTGGGTTCAAGTGATTCTCCTGCCTCAGCCTCCCAAGTAGCTGGGATTATAGGCTCCCGCCACCAAGCCCAGCTAATTTTTTTGTATTTTTAGTAGAGACGGGGTTTCACCATGTTGGCTAGGCTGGTCTCGAATTTCTGACCTCACGTGATCCACCCGCCTCGGCCTCCCAAAGTGCTGGGATTACAAGCATGAGCCACCATGCCCAGCCTGCTCAGCATCATTTTGAATGTTTGAACTTTTAGTTTTCTAGTAGTTTAAGCAACACCATCTTGAAAACTTCAATTCTGCTTTAAGAGTTTTTTTTCTTGGCTGGGTGCAGTGGCTTCTGCCAGCCCTTTGGGAGGTTGACGTCGGAGGATTGCTTGAGGCCAGGAGTTTGAGACCAGTTTGAGACATACTGAAAGCTCATCTCTAATATTAAAAAAAAAATAAAAATTAAAAAATAAAAAGAAATTTAAGAAAGATTTTTTTTTCTCTTATGAGACCACTAAGACTTTTCTTGCCCAAACCCACTTGTTTATTTGGAAAAGTCATAAGGAAAAGATAGCCTTTGAGTGAGAGAGATTTGGTTTTGAATCTCAGCTCTGCCATTTATCAAATGATTTTGGGAAAAGCCACTTAACTTTTTTTTTTTGAGACAGGGTTTGGCTCTGTCACCCAGGCTGGAGTTCAGTGGTGTAATCTCTGCTCACAGCATCCTTGACCTCCTGGGCTCAAGCCATCCTCCCACCTCTGCCTCTCGAGTAGCTGGGACTATAGGAGTGCGCCCACCACACCCGGCTAATTTTTGTATTTTTTTGTAGAGATGGAGTTTTGCTGTGTTGCCCAGGCTGTTCCCAAACTCCTGAGTTCAAGCGATCCGCCTGCCTCAGCCTCCTAAAGTGCTGGCATTACAGGCGTTGAGCCACCACACCCGGCCTCACTTAACTTCTTTGCTATTCTTTTTTTGACTTCTTAAGTTTAATACATAGTTTAAAATTGTTGAGTCTTCTTTGCTAATGTAAACATTTTAGTCTGCATATGTCTAAGTGACCACTTTAGTTCCACAAGTGTTATAGTAGTTTTGTAATTGTTTATTTCTAAATGTTTTCTAATGTCCATTATCATTTCTTCTTTAACACATAGTTTATAAGATTTTTACTTTTTAGCGTGCAGCTATTTTGCTATCATTTGGTCCTGAGATCTAACTCAATGAGGCTGTAATCAGAGAATGTGGCCCTTATGATATTGGTCCCTGAAATGTGTTGGGGCTGTCTTTAGCACCTACCAGGGGTCAACTTTCATAAATAAATCGTGTATTTGAAAATAATTTTTTATATTAATTGGGTGCAATATTCTATACATATCCATTATAGGAAGTTGTTAATTTTGCTGTGCAAATTTTCTATATCCTTACTAATTTTTCCCTTCTGCTTGATCTTAGTAATTGCTGAGAGTGTTGTTAAAATCTCCATTTAAGATGATAGATTTGATAATTTCTCTTAGTGATTCTGTCAAGTTTTGCTTTATATATATTAAAGCTATGTTACTAAGCGTATGTAAGTTTGGAAGTATGTCTTCCTCAGATGAAAAATTACTAAGAGGAAACATCAGAGGTAAGTAGGGGTTCTGGCTCAACTGGCCTAACAGGATTCTTGCTGAAGGCAGGTCAGTGTGATCAGACATCACCTGGGGGACTGGGAAGGATGAGGAGTTTGATCAGATATCAAGGGTGATCACACATTTGAGGGTAGGCAAACTGACTTAGCAGGATTCTTGGTGCAGCTGGACAATGCAGAGATGAGCTTGGAAGCCCAAAACTCAGGGCCTAGTTGAAAGGAGAGTTCAGAGGAGCCTCATTAGAGTTTAGTCAAGGAGAGAATCTTTGTCATTAATGAGGTGCATCTTTCTTTTTAATCTATGTATTTCTATGAGATCTTTTTTTTTTTTTGCTCTTATAGCTATTGAAATTAATATTGAAATATTTTTATGAGAAAAAAGTTTTTATGCTATTTATAAAATGAAATAATTAAAATAGTAAGAAAAGCATGTCTTACCATTGAATTGAACATTTTATTATATAGAGATTCTCTTTTACTTTGATAATGATTTTTATCTTAAAGTCTATTTTGTCTGGTATCTACTATATAGGTGTACAAGCTTTCTTTTGGTTAGTATTTGTCTAATATATACTTTTTCTTTTTTTCACTTTCATTTTATTTTTTTATTTTATTTTTGTGTTTTGAGACAGTCTTGCCCTGTTGCCCAGGCTGGAGCGCAGTGGCACGATCTCAGCTCACTGCAATCTCTGCCTCCAGGGTTTAAGAGATTCTCCTGCCTCAGTCTCCCAAGTAGCTAGAATTACAGGAGTGCACCACCACGCCCAGCTAATTTTTGTATTTTTAGTAGAAATGGGGTTTCACCATGATGGCCAGGCTGATCTCGAACTCCTGAACTCAAGTGATCCCCCTACCTCAGCCTCCCAAAGTGCTGAGATTACAGGTGTGAGCCACCGTGCCCAGCCTTCTTTTCACTTTTAATTTGTATCTTTATGTTTTTGGGTATATCATTGTAAATAATATATAGCTGCATTTGAAAGTAATGCATTCTTTGTCTTTCAGTTAAGACTTTAGTTCTTTTATATTTATTGTGGCTATTGACATTTTTGGATTTAATTCTACCATCTTATTCTTTGCCTTCTGCTTATTCTGTTTTTGTCTCTTCTTTTTCCTCAATTTCTGGCCTGTGTTTTATTTTTCTTATTCCAACTGTGCTTGTCTTCTTAGAAGTCATATACTTTATATCTCCTCATTTAGTAGTTAATCAATTTTAATACTTGAGTATAAAGTTTAACATTTATTATTCCATTAACTTTTCTGTTGAATAATCCCATGACCTTACTCTAGTCATCGTTATCCAACTTACGTATTACTGGTGTCCACTCTTTCATTCTAATTTGTTTTCTTCCTCCACTAATTAGACATGGTTAATACTTTTTTATGTAGTCAGTATTTCTTTACTCCTATAATTACTAATATCTGTACTCTCCATTCCTTTCTGCGTCTCAGGGATTCTGTCTGAGATCAATTTCTCTTCTGCCTAAAGGATATCCGTTGGTAGTAAACTTTCTTGTTATTTGAAATATCTTTAAGTACCTCATTTTTGAAAGATACTTTCACTAAGTAAAAATTTTAGGTTGGAAGTTATTTTCTTTGGCACACTAAAGGCATTATTTCACTGTCTTCTGGTATTTATTATTGCCTTTAAGAAGTCAGTCATTAGTCAGTTGGGTTTTTTTTGTTTTTTGTTTTTTGTATTTTTTTTTTTTTAGGTGATGCAGCTCTGGCTGATTTTAAGGTTATCTCCTGTCTTTATTATTCTAGGTGTTGATTTCTTGTATTTATCCTGCTTGAGTTTCACTGGGTTTCCAGGATCTGTAGCATGTTAATCTCCTTCATGAGTTCTGCAAGTGTTTGTGGAGCTACAGTTAATAGTTTTGCAATTGCTTATTGCTAAATATTTTCTAATGTCCATTATAATTTCTTCTTTAACCCATACATTGGGAAGTTTTTTTTTTTTTAATTAACAACTCTGCTCTACTCTTAACCATTATTTTTTTGAATATTGCCCTTTCTCTATTCTCACTTATTTTCCTCTGAAACTCCAATTAGATGTTGGCTAGACCTCCTCACTCCATCTTCCAATGTCTCTTAACCTCACTTTTGAATGTTTTTGTTTATATCTATATCTATGTCTATATGTATTCAGTATTCCATTGTAATTCTGTTGTCTATTTGGCTATATCTTTAGTATTATTTTTAGTGGTAGCTCTAAGGATTACAATATAATATACGTACATAACAACTGACATTATAGTGTTAACATTTTAACACTTTAAGTAAATGTGTCCTATAACCATATAGACTCTACTACCCCATCCCCTGTGTTAGAGTTGTCATATATTACATGTACATACATTGGAAAAAACCTAGACTATGTTCTGCTGTTTTTCTTGCAATACTCATACATATTTAATTTAATTTATTTATTTACTTTTTAAAAATAGAGATGGGGTTTCGCCATGTTGCCCAGGCTGGTCTCAAACTCCTGGCCTCAAGTGATCCTCCCACCTTGGCCTCCCAAACTGCTGGGATTATCGATGTGCATCACTGCACCCCGCCTCGTACATATTTTAAAGAAGAAAAATAGTCTGTTATATTTATCCAAACCATTTCTGTTGCTCTTCCTTCATTCCTAAAGTTCCATGTTTCCTTCTGGTATCATTTCTCTTCAGCCTAAAATAAAACTTCCTGTAGTACTTTTTTTAGAGTAAGCCTTATGGTAATGAATTCTCTTAGTTTTTCTTCATCTGATGTTTTTATTTCACCTTCATTCCTGAAGGGAATTTTCTGAGCTGGCAGGTCCTTTCTTTCATCACTTTACAAATGTTGATTCACAATCTTTTCTGGTCTACATGATTGCTGATGACAGTCATTTCAAACACTTCTCTTACATGTATTGTGGCATTATTTTATGTCTTCCTTCAAGTTTAAAAAATTTTTTATCTTCAACAGTTTGATGATGATGCATTTGGACATGTTTTCTTAGGGATTATCCTATTTGGGGTTTCTTGAGATTCTTGTATGTGTCCATTTATGTTTTTAATCATATTTGGGATTTTTTCAGATATTATTTCACTTTTTTTAAACACCAATCTCTCCTCTCTTTTTGGGACTCCAGTGCATAAATGTTAGACCTTTTGATAGTATCCCAGAGGTTCCTTAGGCTTGTTCATTATTTTAAAGTAGTCTTTTCTCTGTGTTCTTCAGATTGTGTACCTTCTGTTGATATGTCTTCAGGTTCCCTATTTTCTCTGAGAGCTCTTATCTTTCCATTCGAGACCATTCACCTTTGCTTCATAGCCGATGATTGTAATAGCTCCTTTAAAGTCTTTGTCTGGGCCCGGTGGCTCAAGCCTGTAGTCCCAGCACTTTGGGCGGCCGAGGTGGGCGGATCACCTGAGGTTAGGAGTTCAAGACCAGCCTGGCTAACGTGGTGAAACCCCATCTCTACTAAAAATACAAAAATCAGCCGGGTGTGGTGGTGCAGCCTGTAATCCCAGCTACTTGGGAGGCTGAGACATAAGAATCACTTGAACCTGGGTGGCGGAGGTTGCAGTGAGCTGAGATCACGCCACTGCACTCCAACCTGGGCAACAGAGTGAAAGTGTGTCTCAAGAAAATTTAAAAAATAAAGTCTTTGATAATTCCAACTTCTGGGTCATCTTGGGGTTGGCATCTGTTCATATTCTTTTCCCTCCAGTATCGGGTCTCTGGGGCTTGTTACAATTCTCTAGGGAATTTTTTTTTCCAGCAAAATCAACCTGGTTAGGAACAGACTGTAAGTTTTGTCTCACCTAAAGCTCGTGATCATTCTGCAACTCTGTTCATTCATTTTTTTCATGCCAGCACAACATTGTAGTTTTTTATTCACTAGTATTTTACTTGTTTTAATCAATCTCTTATAATAATGCTACCCCATAGAGCTGTTACAAAGACCAAATCAAGTAATGTATACAGTACCACCTGGTACAGTACCTAGCACATAGAAGGCCTTTTAGTAAATGACATTGTTCTAGTTTCTTCCAGTGGACTATCTCTTTGCTTGATATAATTGAAAATTAAGTTAAATTTCCTTTACTGTTGCGCATTTATAAGATTTGGTAATGCCTCATATAGCATTCTGCCAAGCTACAATGATGTTTTGAAAAGATTTACTATTGTGGAATACCAAATTGTGAAATTTACTATGAAATAAATCCTCTTAGATTATCTTAGAAGCCTTGGCTGGAGGAATATACTAATAACATACTTTGTATGTGTGTGTATGGTACACTATACATAACATAAAATTTACCATTTTAACCATTTTTAAGCATAAAATTCAGTGGCACTAAGTACATTAACAGTGTTATACAACCATCAACATTATGCATTTCCAGAACTTTTTCATCATTATAAACAGAAGCTGTATGCTCATTAAACAATAACTCTTCAGCCTCTGGTGACCTCCATTGTACTTTGAGCCTCTGTGAATTCTCCTATTCTAAGTACCTCACGTAAGTGGAATCCTTGTCCTTTTGTGCCTGACTTACTTCACTCAGCATCACGTCCTCAAGGTTCATCCATGTTGTAGTATGTATCAGAATGTCCTTCCTTCGAACCCCTGCTTTCACTTGTTCTGGATATGTATGGTGACATATCTCTTGACCTGTCATTTGTATTCATGCCTTCTTGAGGTCTGTTATCCATCAGTGGGGTGTGTTCTTTGACTTCTAGTGATGGAAGTGAGTCTAATTCCTTCTGTGACAATTTGCTTTCTGGCTTAAGATGTGGTCTGTGTGTTCAGCATACAACTCTAGATGTCCCACTGTCTTCCAGGTACTATGCCAAAATGTGAAAGAATGCCATTTGAATATCATCTATGGGAGCATTTAGTTTTTGAAAGCAGCAGGGCTCAGACCTGGTATGACCCATTTCATGTTGTAAAGTCAGCTTTTCCTTGGGGAGAGAACACTGGCCCCGTCAACAGGGTGAAGGTGGGTTCACGGTAACTGAGTTATTCGGGAAGGGCAGGCCAGGGCTGGCTGACTAGATGAGATAAGAAGGTAACACTGTCTTTTGTGTCTTTTTTTGAAAAGAGTAGTTGTTCACTTGACTTAGGAGCCAGTGTGTGGCATAAGCTCAGGAAGCAAAACATGATAACCCTGGAAGGTGAGAACCTAATATAATAGGATAACAGGGCACACAATATTTTTTTCTAACCTGCTCCAAGACACCTGATCTGAATGAGTGTGTGTGAGGCATGCTGGGGTCCCAGAGGTGCAGATTTGAAATACCTGTTTAATGTGACCTTAAATTTCTTTTCATGTCTTGGTTCTTTTGAGGCCTAACTTAGATTAAGAGGTAACAATGATTCTGATGTTCCCTGCCCCTCGAATATTGGACTCTGTATCGTCGGCCTCTGTGGGAAAACAAAGGTAAACTGTTGAGTAGAGAGTCATGCTGAGGGATGTCTAGCTTTAAGAGAAACTTATGCAAAAATAAGAATTTGGAATGGATGAAACTTTCAGAATTATCTGGCAAAAAATCTTATAGATGAGGCAACAATGGCCCACGAAGTGGCACAAAAGGATATCCCACTGAAAGACTATTTAAAATTGATGTTTATGCGGAAGAGGGTCACCCAGGGGTGGGGTGGGGTTTGGAAATCATGCAAACCTAAGGAACAGAGGACTTTTTTCATGAAAAATAATGTTTATCCAGTATGTACTAGGGGCTAGGTTGTGTTTTAAGTGCCATAGATACAACAGATAACTAGATCTAAATCCTTATTCTCATGGAGGTTATAATTCTAATAAGGAACAGACTCTAAACAGGTAAATTTATAACTGACTGTGATGACGGACTGCGATTCAAATAAAACAGAATAATGGATAGAAAATGATTAGAGTATAATGCAGTTGTGCTCTTGGGTCTTTTATTTATAGGATTGGTGATGGTCTCTCTGAGGTGATGACATCTGAGCTGAAATCTAAACAATGAGCAAGGCTAGCATGACCAGTAGGGAGGGATTGAGGAACAAGGGGGACTGTGATGTAGGGTCAGGGTTAGGTTGGAGAAGTAGGCAGGGTTGGATTACATAGAGCTTTGTAGGCCTCAAAGGTGTTTGGTTTTCATCTGAAACACAGTTAGAAGCCATTGGATCTAATTAACATTTTAAAGAGACCACTCTGGTTCTGTATGGGGTTTTGTGATAGTCCTGGTGAGAGATGATGGGTCTGAGGAACCAGGTGGTAGGAAGAGAGAAGCTAAGAAGTGATCTGATATTTGGAAGTACCTCTGAAAGCATAGAGAGAAAAGAAAAGACAGGAATCTAGTATGACTCCTGGGTTTTGGGGAGATGGTGATGCCCTTAATTTGAGATTGGAGTTCCTGGGAAAGGTTGAATAAATTACTGAACCTAAAGACTAAGAGGTGAATGAGTTATGATTATTCTACAAATGTCTGAAAGATGATGGAAAAAGAACTTGATCTATTCCATCTGATCCCTGGGAACCTAGAAAGGGACAGCAGAGGGAAGGTCTCCAGGAGACAGATTTCAGTTTAGCTATAGATTGGGAACTCTGTTAGAATGATCTGAACATGACAGGGACTGCCTACCAGGAAGTGATATCTGTCACCCAAATTGTTCAAGCTGAGACTGTGGGACCATCTATTCATAGACTGACTTCATAATTTATTGTCCAAATCAAGACACTTTTGACAGCGAAATGGGATGCTCTTAATTATGCTTGGATAATACTGACTTAGGACTTTTCTCAATCACTTTTGCCAGCCGGAGATACCTTGCTAGCAATGCCCTTGCCCCACCTTGGTCTGTGACTTCAGGGCTAGCTTGGCCTCACCACCATTTCTGTCATGTGGGGTGGCTGCTCTGTGCCGGTGAAGGGCAGAGGGCCATGATGTTACAGCCTTTTCTGCTCCAATATTCAGTGGGTCCCAAGCTCTTGTCTCACATCCAAGAAGAATGAGGATATGCTGACAATCAAAGAGTGAGGAGGGCGGAGAAAAATTTTATTGAGCGACGCAACAGCTCTCAGTGGAGAGGGGACATGGGGGTGGTCCCCCATTCCCACAGTTGGGTGGTTTCTCTCTCAGTGTGGCTGAGTGCAGGGCTTTTATGGGCTCAGAATAGGGGAATGCATGCTGATTGGTTTGTGTGTATGCAAAGAAAGGCTAAAGCAAAGACACCACTCAAAGGTGGGCATGGCAGTGTAGAAAACCAATTAGGAAAGGGTAGGTATATGTAAAATTAGTGAAGGATGGGGATCAATCAGAGGAAAGTGTGCCAAATGGGAAGGCAGGTTCTCAATCCGGTCTGTGGCTTTGACTTAAAGCTTGGCTTTCAGGCTTTAAACTGTCTTCCACTTGGAGGTGGGGTTTCACCATTGACCCATCTCTATTTGCCTAGGCATTTGTCTGCCTCCTCCCACTATCAACAGGTATAAATCTGGACTTCCCTTGTCAAATAGGGAATGGTATTCATCCTACCTTATTTCTGTTCATCCTAGAGACACTATAGAGGGGATGCTTTTAGGTACAGGTTAAAATCAAGTAACTTTTTGGCATCCTTCCAGATCTAAGGTTCTGAAGATCTTTGGTACATTTTATTTAACAAAAAATGTTGATGCCCAAGTTTTCTGGATTAGTTCAAGTACACCTGTAATACAGGTGGCCTCCTGTGTGGAATGCCCTTCCCACTCCTGCCCTGCCTTACTTGCTCCTCCTTCTTACCTCCCGCAGGAAGCACTGTCAGGGCATCACCCCCCTGACTTTGATTGGGTGCCCCACCTTTGGCTCCCATAGCTCATTGAGCTTCTCTTGGCCACAGTACTTAGAACAGGCTTGAAATCATCTGCTTGTTTGTCTTCCCTTCTCAATGATGTACTTTGGTTCTGTATCCCCGGGGGCTAGCACAGGAGTGGCATAGAGAAGATGCTCACCAAGTATTTGCGGAATGCGTAGATAGCATCATGAACCTATTCTATAGATTCGTAGTCATGTGCCATTACCCACATATACCTAACTACATGTTGAGTGCTTGTTATGGTATATCCTCCTAGCGAGCCTATATGAGAAATTTTCATAGTATACTAATTTTACTGATTGAGGAAACTGAGGCTCAGAGAGGAAAGTCACTTGTCCAACCAACATTACATGGCTAGTGATGTAATAGGAGAGCCAAAATTGGCACCCAGAATTAGCCACTTGGCTCAAGTGCCTACTATCTGTCCCGTTACTCAAGACTTACCATACACTTGATAAGATTCTCAGAAGTCCTGCAATTAAAAATTAGTTTAACTTTGAGTAACCCAGTGCTTTCCTAACTACTGTGACTCCTTTGATGGTGGGAACCTTTTATTCTCCGTACCTACTACCATCTTATGGAAAACTGTCAGGAAACAGCTGTTGGGAAGTGCTTGAATAGTGGAAAAAGTTCTGAATTGTAACCCTGCAGCCGTGGGTTATTTTCCTGGCTCTGCCACTATCTGCCGCTTTTCAGGGCCTATTTTCCCATTTATAAAATGAGGGAATTTCAGTAGATATCTTCTCAGATCCTTCCCACCTTTAAAGTCCTTTAAAAGCATACTTTTAAAATCCTTTAAAAGTATGCAAATGTTCCCTGCATAGTTTGCCTCCACCAGCAGGAGAATCAGCAGTCACCACCTTGCCACTGGTGCAGTGTTCTGCTGCCCGGTGAGATGAGATGTGCCAGGCTGGCAGCCTGAGGAATTAGCTCTGCAGAATGTTCAGAATTTGTTCTGTGTTCTTGTGGCTGTGGGCTGAGATTGGCTGGTACAGTACCAGCCTGTCGTTTGAAGGGCCAGCAACAGAGCCATGATGTTATATGGTCATCTGCATGTGTATGTCTCTTACTGTTAATATAAGTAGGAAGTAGATCATCTCAGGCTGTGACCCTGTGCTGCCTTTGCAACAAGAGCCCCTGTCCCTTGAGGATGCTCTTTTTCCTGTCTTTTACAAATAATAAATGAGATTATTTATATTGTTGTTTACCTCCAAGACAACGTGTGTGGGAGAATTTCCTGTTCTTAAAATGCCTTTTCTATGTTCTGTCTTCTCTTTGACCTCTCTTCTCAGAAGCTTGAGAGCTTGTAAGGCGTGAAAAAATAACATAGAAGCAATCAGATGGCATTCCAACTTTCTGTAATTTCCCTGTTTTAGACACTGGAAAAGACCTGTAAAGATCTATAAGTAAGCTACTAGCAATGTAAGGAACCTAAGTGGAGCCTTCTTACAGAGTTGAAATAAATACCTTCATCTTGGGTGTACACGCAGATGTCTTTCCAGAGGGAAACTAACCGTACCATCTAATAATATTGAGGATTTTTGTAAATGATTTTTAGCAAGGGCTATAAAGACACGCTCTCAGGTTACAGTGATGCTACTTGTGGAAATTTAGCAGAAGCAAAAAATGTACATGAAGGTGTTTGAACATGTTCACTGTAGTGTTATCTATAATAGCAAAAAAACAACAACAGACAAACTTGAACATAACCTGAATGGTTCAATGTTAGGAGACCGGAAATTATAGTGTATTGACAAGACAAAAATATTGGTAGCCACTGAAAGTGATCGTTATGAAGTTCAGATAAAACATAGAAAAATATTCAATAAAATCAATGAAAACATTCAATATAAAATTTGGAAAAACTGTAAAAATGTGTATGCTTACTGATGAAGCTGGAAGATGAATATAAAAATAAAATTTGTAATGGAATGATGAATATAAGTAATTTTTAATGAACATTAATTTGATATTGCTTTTGTTTTTTCAATGTAAAATTAAGTCTTAGCTCCATTAAAAGAAAAAACTAAAACTAAAATGAAAATATGAATAAAAAATATGTTCGCTGTAGACGTTTCAGACATTAAAAATGGAACAGGGCCTAGAGAGGTGGCTCATGCCTGTAATCCCAGCACTTTGGGAGGCTGAGTTGGGAGGATTGCTTGAGGACAGGAGTTCAAGACCAGCCTAGGCAATGTAGCGAGACTCCATCTGTACAAAAATTGAAAAAATTAGCCAAGTGTGGTGGCATGTGCCTGTAGTCTTAACTACTTGTAAGGCTGAGGTGGGAGGATTGCTTGAGCTCAGGAGTTCAAGGTTACAGTGAGCTATGATAGTGCCACTGCACTCCAACCTGGGTGACAGAGCAAGACCCTCTCTCCAGAAAAAAAAAGGCACAAGAAGAACATTAGATATACCCATAATCTCACCACCCAGAAATAATCATCACAAACATTTAAATATATGTTCTGCTAATATTTTCTTGGGATATGTGGGTATGTGGGTGGGTGTCTCTATATATTGATGTATTTTTAATTGAATTTGTACAAACATTTTTGTAACTGGCTTTTTTCACTTTCAGTAAAGGGCAGACATTTATTCAAATTTTATTTTTTCAGCATATAATTTTTAATGACTATGATGTATTCGTTCAAATGGTATGAAATAAATGATTCTGAATATTGTCACATTGCTTTCAAGATAGGTTATACCAATTTACAGTTACTTATTTGATGAAAATGAGTAAAAATTGTTTTTAAATAATAAGAAATATTTCTCTCATTTTTGTTAATTTTTTTTACAAGCCCCAAATCAGTTCCCCCTGCCCTGATAATTATGCAGATCTTAACTGAAAATGAGTAAACTAGATCACTTTTAAGGCTTCTTTGAGTCCATAGATTCCTTGGGCCATTTTTTGCACATTCTCAATAGTGCCTAGAAATTCTGCCTAGAATTTCCACTCCTTTCTTAAGGACATGAAATGTTTTGAGTGTACTGATTACTGATTGTGTGCCTTGGGAATGCAATGTATTATAGCATGAGGGATTTCACTAAGAACTGAACCAAAAAGTATTGAAAAGTTCAAGTCTGCCTGAAGTTTCATAAATATTTTTACCCTGTTTGAAAAAGCAGGCATTTTTCTCTCCCATGCAGTCTATTAAGTCATCAGGGTACCTGATTTAGGATTTAATTTGAAGTAAGCTGTCAGACTTGACTACCTACTTTCATGATGAATTTGTTTTTAGCCTTTATTCAAGCCTCATTCTTAGCTTTCCATACTTGTGTTGGGTACTGAGGAAATATTTTTACTGTGTGCTCTTTACTCCATTTAATTCCTTCAGTTGCTAAATTCTCCTCTGGTTTTATTTATACTTCATGAATTTGAGCAGATCTGTAATTTCTCATTGTTCACTGATGCCAGTTGAAAAATTCTCCCGGGTTGTTTTTATAGGGGTAGCTGTCATGTTTATACTACGTTTCAAGAAACGTCCATCTTTTAAATTTGCTTGTCTAAATGCATTTAATTTTTAAGAGAGCAGTTGTAAAGTTGTGCACTTGACATCTTTACACTTGAGTATGCATAATTATACAGAGCTTTCTTTTTCCTGTGCTGATTTTATTCTGGGCTGTGTGTGTATAAGAAGCATAATTTGCCACCTCTGGCAAGAATAAAGGCACCTTTGCTGTCTTGTTTCCTTTTCTTTAAGCTGCTACTACAAGTCTGGTTATGTCCCCAGGGAGAGGTGGGAAACATGTCTTTGCTCTCTGAAGTCCATTTCTCAAGGGGACCTCAAAACTCACGTGGGTCCTATTTACATTGTAATTGGTCACTGGCTGGCTCATACAGCTGTTTCAACTTAAACCCTAGACAGTTGCTATGGAGATGGTTGACTAGAAATAGGTCATGTTAAAGTCCTTTTTCCTCTGGATATAAGGGAGTGCTGTAACTCTGGAAATTGTCTCAGTTGAGCAGAGAATGTGTAGGTGGACAACCACATCCAAAAAAAATTGTCTCTTTTTAGGTTGAGGTTTATCATAGATGCCAGTCCACTCATGCTGCTGCTTCTGCTCTGTAAACAACACACCTGAACACTATTCCTGTTAAAAGGAATTATAGATGTCACAATCTGCAGTATAGCCTTGATGAAATGCCTAATATATGACTCTTAAAAGTTGTTTGTTTTGTTAAGTTCCTAAACCTAGTAGAATAGCACTTATTTTCAAGACAGAATCAGGAGTTCAAGAACAAGTTATTTGAAATGTTTAGAAACAGTGACACTTGGAAAAGGAAAACGTCTAGTGAGTTTGGATGGGATTTGCCCTAAATTTGACCAGAAAATATTTGACATTCCAAGGGAAACTTGCGCAGGATGAATAAGGCCCTACCTCTGATTTCGTCAGTCCTCAGTTGTGGGGTGACTTTGATTACTTGTCTCTCCTTCTTCATGTGTGAAATGGGAAAATGGTTTCTGACTCTGCATCTGACCATCACAGTGGTGACTTATGATCTGTCTTACAGACAGACAAGTGTGTAGTTTGGTTCCCTTACAGGGGCCCAAGCTTTCTGAAGTTTGGAGGTTGAGGAATGTGGATACCTCCTGTATTCTGTTTACCCCTCACACCCTCCCTGATATGGTTTGGCTGTGTCCCCAACTAAATCTCATCTTGAATGAATTGTAGCTCCCATAATCTTTACGTGTCATGGGAGGGACCCGGTGGTAGGTGATTGAATCATGGGGCTGGGTTTTTCCCACACTGTTCTTGTGAGAGTGAAGTCTCATGAGATCTGATGTGATCTCTGAGATCACATGGTGATGGTTTTATAAAAGGGAGTTCCCCTGCACATGCTCTCTTGCCCTCTTGCCTGCTGCCATGTAAGGCGTGCCTTTGCTGCCCCTTTACCTTCCACCACGCCATGATTGTGAGACCTCCACAGTCATGTGGAATGTGAGACAATTAAACTTCTTTCCTTTATAAATTACCCAGTTTCAGGTATGTCTTTATTAGCAGCATGAGAATGGACTAATACACTCCCCTTGCCCTACCCTCATGGTGCTGCTTGCTTTAGAGAGTGGGTTAGTTTATGTGTAGATGGTTCTCACATCATGACTGTGATGGAAGATGGTACATCTTCTTGAGAAGTCTTTGGAAGTGACACATGTTCCAATACTTCCTTCACCCCTTAGCTCTTGGTCACTTTTCTCAGTTGATCAGTACTCTGAAAAGGGTGAACTGGTGGGTGGAGGGGGCTCAAGCTGAACAGATATGGGGGTAGATTTTCACTAATTAGAATATATGTTCTCTGAAAGCTCTAAGAGAATATTGTAACATGTAATAACATAAATGAATAGTAGTAATAATGACAGCTAATACTCTGTACCAGGTACTTTTCTAAGCACTTTACATGTATTTTTAAATTTAATCCTTATAACATCCCCAGGAAGTAGATAGTATTATTTTATCCCCACTTTGCAGATGAGTAAGCTGAGGCCTGAAGGGGTTAAATAAGCAGCTGAAGATCTTGTAGCTTGTAAAAGGTGATACTGTTGTTCAAGCTTAGGCAGCTTGACTCCAGGGTCAGATACTCTTACCACTATGCTACTATAAACTGTGTATTAATATTTAAGAAGAGTAATCTTTTTTTCCCTAATTATCATAATACAGTAGATAATTTGCTCTCCTCAGAGGACATTTAGCAATGTCTGGAGACATTTTTGTCTGCCGCAGTTGGCATGGGAGAAGAAGGATGCAACTGGCATCTGGTGGGTAGAGGTCAGAGACACTGCTAAACATCCTGCAATACATAAGACAGTCTCCCATAACAAGGTATTTGGCCTAAAATAGCAGCAGTGCTGAGGTTGAGAAAACCTGTGATAGTGACATACACTCATTCTAAAAATGTCTAATAGTACTCTCCTGATCCTTCGCTTATGTTAAGTTTATGTATATTCTTCCAGACATTTTTTTCCTGATGATACTAACAAACATTGTTATGCATACATTTTATAGAAACGGAATCAAATGTGTATTCTATAGGTTACCTTTATGACAGTATATTATTTTCATATTTCCATGTCAGAGTGTATTTTGATAACTAGCCGTATAGTATTCCTTTTTTCATGGACACCAAGGACAGTTGGGTTATTTTGTAATTTTAAGTTAGAAACTATATTATGTCTAGATTTACTATACATATATCTTTGCATACTTGCTTCAGGTCTTACTATTTTGGACCAAAACACTAGGTTGCGGCCTTTGGTCAAGGATAGTGTTGTCGTGGTGTCCTCTTTCTCATGCTTTGGCCACAGTGTGTTCACGTGTTTTTTCCATCTTACCGTGCACCTCATTGAGATTGGTGATCATCATATAGCTCCATGACGTTAAGTAAGTAGTGTGTTTTGGGTTGCTAGGGTAGCATGAAAGATTTCAGAAAGAATAGTTGCTGGGAAAAAAGAAAAGCGGGTGTCTAGAATGAGAGAAAGTGTGAGTGAGTAGGTGTGTGTATAGCAGAGGGTGGGGTAGCGGGTGGAAGGAGATAAAAAAACTATAGTACTAATATGTGTAGGGTGATATCTGGACCCATCAATTTGAATTTTAGAGACATTTATCAAGGAAAATGAGATGACTAATTGCACATTTTCTATGCCAATTATTGCAACTGAGGAATTAATTTTTGTATTAAGCTGTTCCTGCAATTGCTATAAAGAAATACCTGAGGCTGGGTAGTTCATAAAGAAAGAGGTCTGTTTGGCTCATGGTTTTGCAGGCTATACAGGAAACGTAGCTCTGGTATCAGCTTTTGGGGAGGCCTCAGGCCTTTCGATCATGGCAGAAGACGAAGTGGGAGCAGGCGCTTCACATGGTGAAAGCAGGAGCAAGAGAGTGAGGTGGAGGGAGGCGCCATACACTTTTGACCAGATCTCCTGTGACACAGTGAGAGCTCACTCATCACCAAGGGGACGGCCCAAGCAATTCATAAGGGTTCTGCCCCAGTGATCCAAAGACCTCCCACCAGGCGCCACCTCCAATATTGGGGATTATATTAATATTTCAACATGAGATTTGAGTGGGGATAAATATATAAACTATATCAATTATTATATGTAAAATAAATACTTTTAAAACTATTTAATATACCAATTGTCTTCAGTCATACTCTGAGGATTCCTGGGACTTGTAGATCCCCTCCAAGAATCAGGTTCAGTGCTAGCCATACAGTCGGTGCTCAATAAACATTTGTAACCAGATTGAATTGAGAGGAAAAGGAGAGTAGAAGAGTATGGGCTGAGAGGTCACTAGAGAGAAGCCCTAGGGACTTCTATACATAAACTGACTTGAGGGAAAGCTCCCCTTTGAAAAAGGGGTAGGCTCCAATCCCATCCAGGTTGCTGTGAATGCCGTTAATTCATTCTTTTATGGCTGAGTAGTATTCCATTGTGTGTGTGTGTGTGTGTGTGTGTGTGTGTGTGTGTATCACAGTTTCTTTATTCACTTGTTGATTGGTGGGCATTTGGGTTGGTTCCACATTTTTGCAATTGTGAATTATGCTGCTATAAACATGTGTGTGCAAGTATCTTTTTCATGTAATGACTTCCTCTGGGTAGATACCCAGTAGTGGGATTGCTGGATCAAGTGGTAGTTCTACTTTTAGTTCCTTAGGGAATCTCCACGCTCTTTCCATTATTCTAAGTGAAGTAACTCAGGAATGGAAAACCAAACAACATATGTTCTCACTTATAAGTGGGAGCTAAGCTATGAGGATGCAAAGGCATAAGAATGGCACAACGGACTTTGGGGACTCAGGGGAAGTGATAAAAGACTACAAATTGGGTTCAGTGTATACTGCTTAGGAGATGGGTGCACCAAAATCTCACAAATCACCACCAAAGCACTTACACATGTAACCAAATACCACCTGTTCCTCAGAAACCTATGGAAATAAAAAGTTAAAAAATAAATACATAATTTTTTTTAAAAAAAAAAAGGAAGAAAAGAGGGTAGGAAATGGCAGGGGCCTTCTCCTGTTTAAGGCTTGTGTTTGCCTCTACTAAAGCTGTGCACATGTGTATTCTAGGACTCAGCTGTTCCACTCCACCATGTACTGTCGGCAGAAATGCGTACATATATTTGCCAAAAGCCACAAACTCTTTTAAGAATATTGATAGAAGCAGTACTATTCATAATAGCCCCAAACTGGAAACTACCCAAATACCCATTAGTAGTAGAATGGACAAACAAATCATGTTTTTTTTTTTTTTTAAATCACTAATGATGAAATATTTTAAGACACAAAAGGGTATGAGAAGAAAAGTCATTCATGGAGGTTAACATATTGCTATATTTTGTCATTCTTTTAAGCTTTTTTATTTTTATTTTTTAATTTAAGAACTAGAACCTTCTGGTGGTGGTGCTTAGTGTTGGGGACAGGGTAGAGTTGGAAGAATGATCTGAGGATCCTCCTGAAACACAAGTGTGGGCTGACCTGAGCTTTCACTGCAGCTCCTCCCTTGACACTGAATGAATTACCTGTCATGGGCACCTAAACCTGCACAGCCCAGTCAGTGAGAACAGCCCCCAGAGGAACTTCTACAGCGCCACAAATGAAATAGAAAGAAGCCATGCCTCTTCACTCCCCTGTTCTCTGTAAAATAAAACACCTTGCTATAGTGTCATTTAAGGACCTAATGCCTTCTTTTGTTGAAATATTTTAAAAATTGGGTTTTCCCATCAAATTGTGATTGAGATATCATGAATGTTCTGATTGTGTTGATGTGAAAAGAGAATGAACAAGAATGGGGCTTGGTGTTTTCAGTGATTGCTGTAATTGTTAGCAGGGACATATTCTCCCTTAACTTCTACTCAGACAAGCTCAAAAGGATGAAAACAATCAAAGAGTAACATTGTTGTGGGGATAACCTTGAGTCACTTTCTTTTGTATTTGTATTTGTATTAGAAGAATCATTTGCAGGCCAGGTGCAGTAGCTTACACCTGTAATCCCAGCACCTTGGGAGGCCAAGTTGGGCAGGGATCACTGGAGCCCAGTAGTTCAAGACCAGCCTGGGCAACATGGCAAAACCCCATCTCTACAAAAAAATACAAAAAATTTAGCTGGGCATTGTGGCGCACACCTGTGGTCCCAGGTACTTGGGATGGTGAGGCGGGAGGATCACTTGAGCTGAGGAGGTCAAGGCTGCAGTGAGCCATGACCGTGCCACTGTTCTCCAGCCTAGGGGACAGGGTGAGACCCTGTCTCAAAAAGAATCATTTGCAACATCTGTTCTTTAGCTAGTATTAGCAACAATGATTAGTTTTTGTGGCTCTCCTTGTGACTGAGTGTCATGGGGCCATAGTGAGACTGGTTCCCTTTACTGAGTGCTTGCTGAGTCATTAACCTCAGTTGCTAAGGGCATAGTCATAAGTCCTGTATGCGTATTATATTTCCTCCTTGTAATAACCCAAGATATAGGTGCTGTTACTATCTGTATCCCCACATGAGAAAACAGGCTTGGGGAAAGAGGTTAAATAAGTTGCCTAGGGTCACACCGTGAACAGCAGAGCCATGATTCAAATCTCATTTTGACTGGCTCCAAAGCCTGTGTTCCTAACTAAACCACTCACTAAATGAGGACTCCTGACTGTTGTTATTTTGGTTAACAGAACCATAAAGTAGGAGTTAAGGTTCTAGTTACTGTTTGCTGAGCATTTTCCAATCTTACCTCACTTGACCTCTGTATTCTGAGTTAGGTGAGGCAGGTGGGTGTGCTCCCATTTCACAGACAAGGACTAGGAGGGTCCAGACAAGTAGTGAACTTGCCCAGGGTCACCCAGCTAATGTTGGGTTGGAAGTTGAATCGGGGTCTTTTGAAAATACACCCCATTTTTTCTTCTGTGCTTCAGCTTGATCTCTGACCACCATGGTTGACCTTTAGCCTCACATTTAATTGTAGGGTTAACTCTGTTTCCTCATCTTTTAAATAGGAGCAGCACTACCTGTCTCACTTGTTAGAGATTATAGAGGATTGGCTAGCCATGCACTTTTTAAAAATTCTTACAGAGGCCGGGTGTGGTGGCTCACTCCTGTAATCCCAGCACTTTGGGAGGCCGAGGCGGGCGGATCACAAGGTCAGGAGATCGAGACCATCCTGGCTAACAGAGTGAAACCCTGTCTCTAGTAAAAATACAAAAAATTCGCTGGGCTTGCTGGCACGTGCCTGTAGTCCCAGCTACTCGGGAAGCTGAGGCAGGAGAATCGGTTGAACCTGGGAGGCGGAGGTTGCAGTGAGCCAAGATTGCAACCCCTGCACTCCAGCCTGGGCGACAGAGCGAGACTCCATCTCAAAAAAAAAAAAAAAATTCTTATAGATATACACCATTTAAATACATATGTATTTGTTTGCTGTGAGGCTTTATGATATGAAGTAATACTTTTTTTGTTAAAGATTTATTTACATATAAGTCTTTATTTTGGTATTCTGGCAAATGTATTTGTTTGGTAATCCAAATGGAAGTTGAAGACATTGAGATTTTTGCTGCATGTACTGAGTTGATATTTTTCTAGAGTTGATGTTAGTAGCTAACATCAGCCTGTTCTGGGTTGCTTTGAGGTTGCAGCTGCTCCCTGGTGGTTACCTGTGAAAGGCGCTAACTGGAGACACCCAGAAGGGCCTGACTCTACTATTCTGCACAGGTGAGGCTGGTCCCTCTTTCCCCAGTTGACAAGTTCCATTGCAAAATAGGTACCCTTTGCTCTTGCAAAAGAACTCAGTGGGCATCTTCATCTATAAAATGATAAGAATGACAAACTGTAATTGATTGGTAGGAAAATAAGATGGTGGGAAATAACGTATGTAAAGACCCAAACACTGCACCTTGCTCATAAGAAAGCTCTTAATTAGTGGCCTCTTTCTCTCCTCATTTGGCTTGTCAAAGAGTTGCCTCTTCCCAGTTTCCCTGCTCCTTTTGAGAGGCCTATTCCAAACCTCATGACATGTTTAATCTTTACATTCTGTTTCCATTATTAGCGGGTCTATGAGGAAGAAGACGTCTGTCTTATGGATAAGTAATTGTGTCCTCCCAGGTTGCCACTGTGGAAGCCCAGGCCTTGGGTATAGGATTCACATGATCTTGAGTTCCAGATTGGAATTCTTTGAAGCCACCATCTAACTGGAAAACCACAGAGAGCCAAGTCGGTCAGCAAGTCTCCAGGGTGGCAAGGAAATAATTATCTCAAGCAAAAATAGAGTAACACTTTAAACCCTGGAGATTGAGCAAGGTTTGGGTTAGGACTCAGCATCTCAGCAGCCCAAGAAACCTGCTCTCCTAACCTAATTTTTCAGATGCAGTTTTTAAGTCTCTATTTTTAACAACATTCCTGGTTATTGCCCTTATTGTCGGGGAGCTGCGAGTATAGGAAGTTCAGCTTTAGGGATATAGCCCCTTGACAAATGTCAAACATCTTTCAAAGCCTCAATTGGAAGCCGCTGTGCTGCAATTAGGCTTCGAGGTGGAAAGTCATAGGATTCCTGGGTTTCTCAGGTGGACTTGGCTTCTTAGCTCCCAGTTAATATCTGCTTTCCTGAATTTAGTAACAGAGGAAAATGCTAAGGGAGGAAGGAAAACCCAAAAGGGGAATGTATGTTATCCATGCAGTCAACACCGATGGATCTTCTGAGAAGAGTACCTCTGTTGTCTGTGCTGGAAACAGTGACTGGCACATGATAGGTACTCAGTAGATGTTTGTTGAAAGAATAAATGAAAGGCCTGGTGTAATTACTGTGGGGAATTCAAAGGTGTATAAGGAATGGACTAGGAATTTGTAGCCCACTTTTAAAAAAGTGAGCAGGGAATTCAGCCAAAGCCATCTAGTGCTGGGTGAATGAGTCTATCCCCTTTTTCTCAGTTTTTTTTCCCCAAACTTCCACACCCTTTATACCCTCAGGAAAAAAAGACCGGCCTCTTGTAGAGGAAAAGTAGAAAGACACAGAATTGAAAGCCAAGGGTCACAGGTTGGGTTCTCTGGAAACAGAGGCTGAAACAGAGTTTAGGATGCAGAATGTTAGGGCCCCACACCTGTAGAAAGCAGGGGCCAGAGCAGGACTGGGCAGAGGGAGAAGTCAAAGCCACAATGCAGGTCCAACCAAGCTCCACCCAACACAGGGGCCTCTAGGGTGTATATGGCCCATAGGTTGAGCCACTGTAGGCTGAAATGGCTGGCTCTGTATGCCCCTGCTGTGGTTGGTTAGTCACTGGTTTCTCTGAGATGGCTGTCAGCTCTGCTGAACCCCAAAGGAGCTGAAAGCTCCTGCTGGCCCTCCTAGCAGCTGGAGTATCTCCGCATCTGCCATACCAATGACATTCTGTGGGAATCCGAGCCTACAAAGTGAAGAAATGTTTTGAGTCTAGTTCCCAGTGGAACTGTAACCCATTTGGGAGCCTGGGTTGTCAGAAACCGTTGGTGGAGCATGACAGATGTAGCATGGCTGGGGTTTGACTTAAGGACCAGGATGACCTCAGTGTCACAGATTGAACTGAGGGGGATTATGGGCGCTTTGCTGAAGCCAGCTCCTGCTTCTTGTTCTGATTGGTGTCACTTTTCATTCTACTTTTGCTCTTCCCCAGGCCGGATCATCCAGTTCTCCATGTGTCCTGGAATGATGCGGTTGCCTACTGCACTTGGGCAGGGAAGCGGCTGCCCACGGAAGCTGAGTGGGAATACAGCTGTCGAGGAGGCCTGCATAATAGGTATTTAGAGGATCTCATTTTGCCTGACAATATGTTGGTCATTTGAACAAACAAACAACAACAAAAAACTCCATGGAACTTACTTTGGTTAGAAAGTTAATAACGACAATAATTCTTTTTCTTATTTTTCCACGAAATTACTTAGAAGACACTGGAGAATGGGTCACAAATCTTTTATCACCCCTAAACCAAGTGTCTGGCCAAGTGGGCTCCCTCCAGCCCCAAAGCAAGTCTTAGCAATTCAACCCCCTTGAGTTACATATCACTGCTTAGAACTTCTTGGCAGACTGCCCTGCTTTTAGCATTTTCTTATTTTAGGCATCTCCTGAAGCAGCGGTATGTCTCTGCTTCTAGAGCCATGAGACAGAAAACTCATGTTGGGTTCACATCTTCTAGGAAAGGCTCCTTAAAATAGCCCAGGCTTTATAAAAAAGTGTGGTGTGGTGGTGCCTGATCACACTACCATATAAGTCCAAAATGAGGTCTACTCTCCCAGCTTTCTATAAGTCCTTCTTTTAGTTTTGTGATTTATTTCAGGCCTCCTGAGTACCTGGGCAAGACTGAGGCTGTTGTGGACGTGACATGAGAAGTTATAAGGAAATTGAAAATAAATCCTGATTAAAAGCTTTATTTATTTATATATATATTTTAACTGGCTCACTCAGAACAAGCAAGCAATGTTCTCTTTTTCATTGCATCCCTTCTCTTGACTTTCATCCAAAACCTGTGCCTGTTTGACAGGCTGATGCCTGTGTCTCTTCTGACAGACTTTTCCCCTGGGGCAACAAACTGCAGCCCAAAGGCCAGCATTATGCCAACATTTGGCAGGGCGAGTTTCCGGTGACCAACACTGGTGAGGATGGCTTCCAAGGAACTGCGCCTGTGAGTAATGAGACCTCTGCAGGAGGGTGGCAGCTGCTGAGAACTGAGGCTCCCAGTAGACATGGGGTGAAAGGCATTGCTCACTTTGTGACTCACACGGTGTTCCCTTCGTGTATGCATTCACTGTTGCACGTAGCAAATACTAATAATTAAACAGATTTTCTTTTTGTATAATGGATTTCCCTTTCTGATTCCATAATACTTACTGTAGATTATTTGGAAAAATGAGAAGACTATAAAGGAGAAAGCTAAACTGTCCTGGAATTCTACCACCCAGAAATAATACCTGTTAGCATATTGGTGCATTTCTTCCCCATTTGTTCTCTGTGTTGATGATGCTAATAATGGCGTGTAGTTATTGAGTGCTTGCAATGTGCTGGGCATTGTGCGCCAAGGCATTTGCATGAATTGTCTCATTTACTGTCCATTCAACTCTGTAAGGTAGGTACTATTATCCCCATTTTCCAGGTGAGCATTCTGAGGCACAGAGAGGTTAACTAACTTGCTCAAGGTTACACAGCTGGAAAGCGGCACAGCTGGAATTTGAACCAGGTCGGTTTATTTCCAAAGCCCATGCTCTTAACTACCGTATTTGCCAGCATATGTGTTTCTGGTGTATATGTATCATATTTTTTTACATATTGCATTTAGGTAAGACTGGATACAGTATTTAAAATCCTACTATTTTTTCCTGCCTATATCAGAAACGTTTCATCTGTCATTAGCAGTATGCCACAAATACATTGTCTTTCAGCAGCTGGATAACCTGTCATAAATAAACCCCAATGTATTTACTGGAAACAGGTTATTTCTGTTTTTTTTTTCTACAGTGAACATCTTGTACATAAATATTAACCTACGTCTTTGATGATTTTTGAAAGATAGATTAGATTCCCAGCAGTGAAATAATTCAAAGTCTAGAAAACTTTCTGGGTAAGAGTTTCAGATATATGGCCAAACTGTTTTCCAGAATGCTTGGGGCATGTTTTCCTCTATTGGTGTATAAGAAATCTTTTCTCACCGTTCTTTTGCTGGCATAATCATATACTCATAAAGCCATGTCTTAGTCTTAGTCCCTTTGTGCTACTGTAAGAAAATACTACAGACTGGATAATTTGTAAACAACAGAAATTTATTTCTTGCAATTCTGGAGGCTGGGAAGTCTAAGACCAAGGCAGCAGCATGATTGATGTCGGCTGCATCCACCAGAAGGGACTAATGCTGTGTCCTCCCCTGGCAGAAGGCAGAAGGCGGGCAAAAGAGCACTCACTTCAACCTTGAGCCATTTTATTTACTTATTTATTTATTTATTTTTGAGATGGAGTCTCACTCTGTCACTCAGGCTGTAGTGCAGTGGTGTAATCTTGGCTCACTGCAACCTCTGTCTCCTGGGTTCAACCAATTCTCCCATTTCAACCTCCCGAGTAGCTGGGACTACAGGTGCACACCACCACACCTGGCTAATTTTTGTATTTTTAGTAGAGACAGGGTTTTACCATGTTGGCCAGGCTGGTCTTGAACTCCTGACTTCAGGCGATCCTCCCGCCTCAGCCTCCCAAAGTGTTGGGATTATAGGCATGAGCCACCGCACCTGGCCCTTTGATGATTTTTTAAAGATAGATTCCCAGCAGTGAAATGATTGAGTCAAAGGTTAGAAAACTTTTCTTGGTAAGAGTTTCAGATATATGGTTGAATTATTTTCCAGAACACTTGGGGCATGTTTTCCTTTATGGGTGTACAAGAGTTCCTTTCTCACCATTCTTTTGTTGGCATAATCATATGCTCATTTGAAATGAGCTCCATTCCAAAGACACAGGTGATGGCTTTTGTGGCCCTCATTTGGACAAGACCGTGATAATCATTTCTTTTATTTTTCTGTCTGTTTTTTTTTTTTTTTTTTTGAGATGGAGTCTTACTCTGTTGCCGAGGCTGGAGTGCAGTGGCGTGATCGTGGCTCACTCCAACCTCCGCCTCCTGGGTTCAAGTGATTCTCCTGCCTCAGCCTCCTTAGTAGCTAGGATTATAGCTGTGCACCACAATATCTGACTAACTTTTGTATTTTTAGTAGAGACAGGATTTCGCCATGTTGGCCAGGCTGGTAGGTGATCCTCCCGCCTTGACCTCCCAAAATGCTGGGATTACAGGCATGAGCCACTGCGCCTGGCCTGTGATAAGCATTTTTGATGAACCAAACGAATGATATAAGTGCCTGTTCATTTTAACAAAAGGCCATGACAGGGTTTTCTTGGACAGTTATGCATATTTGACAGCACTTGCAGCTACAGTTTCTTTTCTATTTAATTACATGAGCTACCAAGGAATATAGAGCCATTTACTCTTCTAAAATCAGTGTACCTTTTCAAAAAATACAATGTTCAATATGAAATAAGGACACTCTACAGATGTTTAGAATTGGAATATTTGACTGAAAGTTCAGCATATGTGTGGGAAATTGACCTGAAGAAGTTGCCATGGAAGTTACTAAAACAGATTAGAACATTTACTGGGAGTCCTAAAGGAACCAATTTGACAAACAGGACTAGAGGAGAAAGCAAGCAAGCCAGCCAGAGAGAGACAGCTGCCATCTGTGTTTAGAATGAGTCTTAATGAGATCTCTATCTTATGGCAATCGTTTACACGTAGTATCTCAAGTCCACCTAAGCTGCTCTTTTGTGTCCACATGCTCTGGTCAACTGGAGCAGGAATTTAACTTTGATAATGAGATGGACTACAGGGAAATAGCTCCCTGACCTGATATTTCATGTATTTATTATTTCAGGTCTCATTTTATTTATTTGAGACAGGGTCCTGCTCTGTTGCCCAGGCTGGAGTGCAGTGGCATGATCACAGCTTACTGCAACCTCAGCCTCCTGGGCTCAAGTGATTTTTCCACCCCAGCCTTCCAAGTAGCTGGGACTACAGGTGCACACCATCATGCCCAGCTAATTTAAAAATTTGTTTGGGGCCAGGTGCGGTGGCTCATGCCTGTAATCCCAGCACTTTGGGAGTCTGAGGCAGGTGGATTGCCTGAGCTCAGGATTTTGAGACCAGACTGGGAAACACAGTGAAACCCCGTCTCTACTAAAATACAGAAAAATTAGCCGGGCGTGGCAGCATGCACCTGTAATCCCAGCTACTCAGGAGGCTGAGGCAGGAGAATTGCTTGAACCCAGGAGGCAGAGATTGCAGTGAGCCAAGATCAGGCCACTGCACTCCAGCCTGGGTGACAGAGTGAGACTCTATCTTAAAAAAAAATTTTTTTTTTGTGGAGGTGAGGTCTCATTGTGTTTCCCAGATTGGTCTTGAACTCCTGTCCTCAAGCTATCCTTTTTCCTCAGCCTCCCAAAGTGCTGGGATTACTGGCATGAACCACCACACCCAGCTAGACCTGATTTTATACTGAGCAAACTATTTTGACCACAGTGAGACTAAAGAATTTACATTTTGCCATTCTGCTTGTTACACAATGATTAATTTTGGCTTTAACGCATATCAGCTTATTCATCTGAAAATGTGCCAGGAGTATTCTCATATACATTTGTTTGCTTTTGAGGTTCCTGAGAGGAAGCTTTAGTTAGTAGATTGGTTTAATAGCAGGCAGTTAACATTTTTATTTTCCTTAGTGGCATACTCACCTATGGTAATTTTAGGGGTGGTGACCTCCACATTCTACTTCACTTAAACATCAAATTATTTAAGGTGGGTAAAGAAAAAAATACCCAAACCCTTGAGTAGGTACTATTATTTTTCCCATTTTACAGACAAAATAGCACCCATATAGGTTAAGTTGCTTGCCTAGTGTTAGCTGTTAACTGTTGGTGTCACTGGGTCTGGTGCCTCATGCTTATAATCCCAGCACTTCGGAAGGCTGAGACAAGAGGTTTGTTTGAGCCTAAGAGTTCAAGACCAGCCTGGGCAACATGAGGAGACCCCATGTCTACAAAAAATTCCAAAAATTAGTCGGTTGTGGTGGTGCACACCTGTGGTCCCAGCTACTCGGGAGGCTGAGCTGAGAGGATCGCTTGAGCCTGGGACGTTGAGGTTGCAGTGAGCTGTGATTGCATCACTGTACTCCAGTCTGGGTGACAGAGCAAGACCCTGTCTAAAAAAAAAATAGTATTGATGCACACATAGGACCTCAGGCAGACTGATTTGAGAGCACCTCCACCTGTGCTCTATAAGTCTGGAAAATGATTCCTTCCTCCAGTGTTTGTTTCATCTGTTTTTGTTTGTTTGTTTGAGACGTAATCTCGCTGTGTCACCCAGCCTGGAGTGCAGTGGTGCCATCTTGGCTCACTGCAACCTCTGCCTCCTGGGTTTAGCAATTCTCCTACCTCAGCCTCCTGAGTAGCTGGGATTACAGGCGTGCACCATGCACCTGCCTGGCTAATTTTTTTGGTATTTTTAGTAGAGACAGGGTTTGACCATGTTGGCCAGGCTAGTCTTGAACTCTTGACCCCAGGTGATCTGCTCACCTTGGCCTCCCAAAGTGCTAGGATTACAGGCATGAGCCACGGCACCTGGCCTGTTTCATCTTTTAACCGCACTTGCTCCTCTGGCTCCTTTCCTTGTATTCCTGAAATAACTGAATTTCTTCTTTTCCTTCCTACCTCTCCCAGCTATTACTCTACCATGCTCTTTTTGATCATCTCCAAATTGTTGAAAAAGTTGTTTATGCCTGTGGCCTCTTCGTTCTCTTTTGAACTCTGAGCCCTATTTGAAATCTGCCCAGACAACTCTACTTTTGTAAAGGAGAATGCCTTCAGCCAGAAGCTTCTCTCTCTTGCGAGTTTCTCTGACATTTTATTTCCCTCTCTTACCCTACTCATCCCATTCTGCATTTCAGAGTTGGATTTTGAGTTTTGGGTATATTCTTTTTTTCTCCCTCATTAAACTAGTTGAGGTCATTCATTATTTGTTATTGAAGCCCTCACTGTCTTTAGTCACTGTGCATGGAATTACTGAATGAATCAATGAATAAATACTGCTGTTTCCATAATGATTGCTGATTTTGGAAGCAGTGTGGTGAGAATTTTCAGCTTTCCAACTCATCCAGATTAAGTTCTTTTCACACTAGCTTCGTGACTTTGATTGGAGTGCTCTGAATTGCCCAAGCATCAGATGCTTCCATATTCATGGGTAGATGTGAAACCATCTGAAGCCACAGGGAATGAATTTTAGTTTATTCATTCCTTCCATTCTACTTCATTTAGTCTGGAAAAAGCATGGATTTACAAAAAGATTTTTAAACCCCCAAGGATTACTTGATATACATATATATTTTTTTCATTTTAAAAATGAAATTTTTCTTTATGTTTGAGAATTTCCATTTTAAAATGTTGGGAAAAATGTTAAGCCATTAAGCCAGCAAAACTATTCTGCATTTATTATTGTTCAGTTAAAGTTTTTTTTTTTTTTTTTTCCTCCTGCTCTCCCCCCTTTTATAAAAACTCTGCACTTTGGTCCTGTGTTTGTGACAGTATTATGTGGCAGACTGTCTGACCTGCCTTTGAAATGTATAATTTTCTGCTGAAGAATGCATACTGTTTGCCTCAGACTCAGGTTTCAGAGACTGAAAACCCTGTATTACCAATACACTTGATAATGGATTCACATTTTCTTTATAAAAAGAAATCCCCTTAAGTTTTGAGGCTTAAGGTAAGATGATGAGTTGGCAGAAACTTGTGGAGAGGACAGAGCTAACTGACTTGGGGTCGCTCAGTGCTGAAAGACATTGTGTGGCCAGGAAAGCTGAGCTGTGATGACAAGACTCATATTGGGTCCAATGGGATTTTCCTGTGAATGATTTTGAAAGTCTAAGTATCATCTATCCTCTCCCTACTCACCCAATGTTTGACACAAATTTTTGATTGATGATAATATTAGTAACTCTATTAGGAATAATTTCTCTGACTTTCATACCATTTAATATGAACTCTCTTTAGGTTTCTGAATTCCTCTAAGAGCTCAAAGCCAAAAAAAAAATGCCCCTTTCTTTGTCTTTATGTTGGTCAAATTGTACTTTGACTGTTGGAATAAAACCCAACATTCATACTCTGAAATTAAAGCTCTTGCTGCATTTCTGCACTGAAGATGTTTTTTAAACCAGGTGAATAGTTTGACAGCATTTTTCCTGTCTTTGTTTTTAGGTTGATGCCTTCCCTCCCAATGGTTATGGCTTATACAACATAGTGGGGAACGCATGGGAATGGACTTCAGACTGGTGGACTGTTCATCATTCTGTTGAAGAAACGCTTAACCCAGTGAGTATTATTCACAGAGCATGTGTCTTGGAATGGTGGCATCTGTCCTCTGGGCAGTCTGCAGCCAGGCTGTCATGTGTTTCCGAGGGGTATTTACATACTCTGGAAATTAATCTTGGGATTTCCCTAAAGGCACATTAAGCGCATGTTTCTTATTTCAACCTCAGAGCATTTTGTAAAAATGTCTGTGAGCATGTTATCTTTTCCTGGATTGTGATGGTGATAACTATTTGAGGAAATCTGCCTATAACTTTAGAAATTGTATTCAGTCTCGTAAATTTGATCAAAGCATGCATGATATATAAATAACTATAAAGTTTATTACTGTTTTATTATGAACTATTAAGATCTGCTAGGTGGTATTTATCATGCCTCTAGTTGCCTGAGTTCTGATGGGTTGAAATTTTGATTCAGCAGCATTGTTTGGAGAGAAAGAGAAAGGGTGTTTTCTGGTTAAATGTTGAAGCAGGAAGTTGTGTCATTTAGTGATTAATTCCTGAACCTCTTAGTATGTCAGACCGATGCACCTTATAACTTAGGAACAGAAGGCAACCATGTTTGTCCAAGTTTTACTTATTCTGGCATGTGAAAAATGTTGAATGCAAATAGTATACTACCCTGCCTCTAAAACCAAGCTACCCCAGCAGAATGTATACAAATTGAGACACTACATGGACATGTGTGTGGAAAGTGCTTCCTTTAAAAAGAACATCTCTGAATATTTTTTATGGTGTGAACAGATTGGGGGGGAGAATATCATGCAAAATCCCATCTCTAGCAAAGTAGTCATTCATAAGTCAGTTCCAAGAATGTATATTTATAACCAAACTAGCTAGACTGGTTACTTGATGTGCTTAATTTTAAACCTGAACTTTTTGAAAAGGCTCAAAGGGTAATGATAAAGAAAATTAATTCTTCAATATCTTCTCAATATAGGATTACAGAGCAATTGAAGAAATAGACTCTGCCTGAGGCTCATTTTTCAGAATACGGGAATAAAGTTGTTGGATATGCTTAATTTTTCTTCACAGAATAACACATGGGCTGCTCATGAATAATCTAGAGAAAACAGATCTACTTTTTGAGGGCTGCAGATAAAAAAGCTGAGTTCTTTAGAAGCCGTCATCCCTCCTCAGTTTCTTTTACTTTCCAGCGGGGCTGGTGGAAGTAGTGGTCAAAATGAGAATAAGGTTGTAAAATTCTAGGTGGGTTTGTGGTTGGGAGATGTCATTCTCTACCGGCAAGATGTGACTTGGCATTTGCTGTCAGAA
This sequence comes from Homo sapiens, assembly GCF_000001405.40. Taxonomy (NCBI): domain Eukaryota; kingdom Metazoa; phylum Chordata; class Mammalia; order Primates; family Hominidae; genus Homo; species Homo sapiens. The sequence continues at coordinate 4,409,593 of NC_000003.12, read as the reverse complement.
TCAGAAATAGAATTTTTTTCATCTCAGATAAAAGCATCTGCATGCTTGGAAGGGGGTGCACAAGGCCTTAGAATGCTGGCAAGTTGTGAATGTATCTATCTGACCATCTGGTGTGGAGCTGAGCGCTTGTTAGCTTTCAGTTTTAGAGCTACTTGTGTTTCTTCTAAGGATTTACAGAAAAATTCACATTTTTCTTTTCACCAATCCCAGGCTTTATCCTGGATGTTGCCCTTGCTCTAATGAAATTGTTCTCATTTTAGGTTTCTCTTTGTCCCAGTGGCCTCCTTTGCTTCCTCATTTGACTGGGATATAATTTAACAGTTTTGAGAACTAAACCCCAAATCCTTAGACAATTCATACTCCATAATTCAGGTCTTTATAGCTTTTCTTCATTGCCAGCAGAAAAGCCATGATCATCCCTCATCTGGGTTACTGCAGCAGCCTCCCAGAGGGCTCCCTGCCTTCCCTCTCTTTGCCACATTGTGACTAGACTGATCTATATAGAGAGCAAGTCACATGAGGTCACTCCCCTGTTTAAAATCCTTTAATGCCTTCTTATTATCCAAAGAATAAAGTGTAAAATATTTTTTAAAAACTTAATTACTTTTATCTTTTTTTTTAATTTTTATTTTTTGAGAGAGTCTCGCTCTATCCCTCAGGCTGGAGTGCAGTGGCGTGATCTCAGCTCACTGCAGCCTCTGCCTCCCGTGTTCAATCGATTCTCATGCCTCAGCCTCCCAAGTAGCTGGGATTACAGGTGCCCCCCAGCTAATTTTTGTATTTTTAGTAGAAACGGGGTTTCGCCATTTTGGCCAGACTGGTCTCAAACACCTGACCTCAGGTGATCTACCCGCCTTGTCCCCCCAAAGTTCTGGGATTACAGGTGTGAGCCACCACGCCAGGTCTTGTTACTTTTATTTTTAATTTTTGTGGAGATGGGGTCTTGCTCTGTTACACAGGCTGGTCTCGAACTCCTCGCCTCAAGCAATCCTCACACCTTGGCCTCCTAAAGTGCTGGGAGTACAGATGTGGGACACTGCACCTGGCTGATTAAGTATAAATTCTTGCACATGACTTCTGAAGGCTAACATAATTTAACCCTTGCTGATCCCTCTAGCCACATCTTTTTTTTCTTTTTTAAACAGTTAATTATGAAGTGTTACAAAAATTCAGAATAGTACAGAAAATAGTGTAATAGATAACTGTGTACCTACTACATAATGTTAACAGTTTACTGTGTTTACTTTCTCTTTTAGCCAAAGAAAAAGAACAAAAACTGTTCTTCTCATCAATGCTTGATATCGTCAATATGTTTTATTTAAGGTGCTCTGGTCAGTGTGCAGGGCTGTTTCACTGTGTTTTTCAGTCATCATTTTTAAACGTTTGTCTGATAACTCTAATATCTGGCCACCATGTTGATCTGTTTCTGTTGTTCTTGGCTTTCAGTCATGTCTTGTTTTCTCACATGCCTGGTTAGTTTTGGCTGACTAGCAGACATTTTATGTGAAAAATTGTGGAGGTTGAGATCTAGATAGTGTGATGTGTCTCTGGAAAGGATTTACCTTTGCTTCTAGAAACTTCTATTTCAGATTAGCTTTAATCTAGTCAGGAATTGAGATGATTTGAAGCAGAGCTTCAGTCCCTGTAATGGCCAGTCTATTTCCAGTTCCCCCTGGGTATAGTTCTTCAGGGTGCCAACCAAAAGTCTAGGGGTTTTACCATAGATCCTCCACCTTGGAGGGCCTTAAACTCCAATTTTTTATATCCTCAGGCCATGAGTCTATTGAAAGTTCTGCTCAGCTTCTCAGCCTTACATCTGCCATTTGAGGCAATAGATCTCTAAGGAAAACAGTTTCACCTCTCTAGGATTTGAGCCCTGCAATTCTTCACAGCTGTGGTAGTTCTCATCTGGTCTGGTTAAGTCCTATTTCTCTTTGAGATCTTAATTTATTTGCTTTTCTTCCCTAATGGACTGTGTATCTCTAGTGCTTAGCAAAGAACCTGTATATAATTATTGACCCTACAATAATACCAATTCCAGATATATGGAATTGGGGGAGTTTGGTGACTGTCCAGACTCCATGTGTTCCATAAGCAGAGGCTGGTTAGAAGAGACATTTTCAGGGAACGTTTACAACCAAAATATCCACGTGGTTAGTAAATATTTCAATTCAGGAACTGACCTCTTCTGTGTTATGTATTTATGTTAGTTCTGTGACTAACTCATAATGGCAAATAATTTTAAAGCTTCTTCAGAGAGCTTGGGAATAGTCAGTGCCCTGTATGCAAAGGCTATTCAGGAAATATATTTTTCTTTTTCAGTGATTTCCAGGGAGCAAAAGTTAATCATTAGTTTTTATTTTATTGGGCAGTCATTTATGGCAAAAGCAGGTTGTGGAAACAGCCATGTGTGCTTTGTACACATCTGAGAGAAGATGAGGTATTTGGCCATGGGAAAAAAAGGTCAGCTTGGTGTTAACGTGTGTGTGTGTGTGTGTGTGTGTGTGTCCCATGTGTGTGTCCTGTGGAGGTGCCACATTTAGATGGCCTCATTCCCCTCCTCACAGATACAACCTAGTAAATGGCCAGTGCTGTGATGTATCTTAACCCAATCATAATGTGGTTTTTGAAAATGTAGTTTGTGGTTATTTGCTTTTCAGTTGCCTAAGTCTGAGACGGATATTAATCTGTGGTGCTATGTAGTGCTTTCAGTTAAAGAAATATGTAGAGGTTATATAACATTCTAATTTCCCACATCTGCATACTCACTTTCAGTACCAAGGTACCATGCTGACTTGTTCAGTTGATGATGTGACAGGATGGGGTGATCTGTGATATCTTTCCCTCTCTGTGAGGGACACAATTGCATTTAGGTGGCTTCTTTTTCTCAGAGAAAGAACTCTCCTTTTGTTTTTGTTTTATTTTGTTTTATTTGAGATGGAGGCTTGCTCTGTCACCCAGGATGGAGTGCAGTGGCACAGTCTTGGCTCACTGCAACCTCCGCCTCCCAGGTACAGGCAATTCTTCAGCCTCAGCCTCCCGAATAGCTGGGATTACAGGTGCCCGTGCTACCACACCCAGCTAATTTTTTTGTATTTTTAGTAGAGACGGGGCTTTACCATGTTGGCTAGGCTGGTCTTGAACTCCTGACCTCTGGTGATCCACCTGCCTCCGCCTCCCGAAGTGCTGGGATTACAGGTGTGAGCCATCACACTTGGCTGTCAGGAAAAGAACTCTAATTTTGGAATAAACCAAAGTAACTTGGATTACAGCTCTGCCACTTAATATTAAAGGACTACTGCTAAATGTAGAATATATCTTCAGTTTCCTTGTCTACAAATTAGAAATAATTATACTGGATGAAATTGTGTGACATTTAATTTGTCATTGTATGTGCAAACTTTATATCACTTTCAGAGGAATGTTGTTATTTTACTGTTTTTGTTTATATTATGTTTTGGCTATCTAATTATAATATTGCTTACTTCCATCAGCCGAGTTAATGAGAAACGCTGGCCTTTAGAAGCATGGGGCGGGCGGTGTGGGGCGAGGCAGGGAAAAAAGAAAAAAAGAAGCAGAGGGAAAGAAAACAATATTTATAAATAGTGATTGCTGATATTCCTCTTACCCTTACCTTTTGTTGGCTTATCACATACTCATTCTCTCCATGAAAACTTTGCTTATGCTTCCTGGATCATCAAAGCCCAGTCAGATCAAAGTTTCCAAAATGTATTCCTCCTCTGAATGAATCTCTGCTACTTACCACATTTTAGCCAGAGATTCAGTTTGTTTTGCTTCTGTTAATGTGGAATTTGATTGTCTAATAGATTGTATAGCTCTAGACACATTTTGGAAAGTGTCCTCTGTTTCTCAGGGTTGTTTGATGTATGGAATTGACCTCGGATATGCTGGGTGCAGTGGCTCATGCCTGTAATCCCAGCACTCTGGGAGGCTGAGGTGGGAGGATCGCTTGAGCTCAGGAGTTTGAGACCAGCCTGGGCAACATGGCAAAATCTCATCTTTACAAAAAACACAAAAAGTTAGCTGGGCATGGTGGCACATGCCTGTAGTCCCAGCTACCCGGCAGATTGAGGTGGGAGAATGGCTTGAGCCTGGGAGGCAGAGGTTGCAGTGAGCTGAGATCACACCACTGCCCTCTAGCCTTGGTGACAGAGCCAGACCCAGTCTCAAAAAATAAAACAAACAAAATACACACAAAAAATAGAATTGACCTGGGATAAGCCCTCCTTGTCTGTCTCCTGTGGTGTGCAGAGGCCACCCCTCTGAGCTCTTGCCTATCCACACATAGCACATTAAGTACATTTGGGGCACATACCAGTTCTCTGGCCAGAGATTAGCATGTATACTCATGCTTGCAGATGCCACACTTGTTGACCCCACTCAGATACTTCTTTGCCATTGCATGATAGGACTTAGGGCATGGACTCACAGTAGTTTTTTAGATCCTCTAAACTCCACACTTGATTGTTCCCCTTCCCTGTGATCCTCTGGCCTCCCACCACTGTGTCTCAGTGTGCAACAGAAACATGAGACTGTTACTTAGCTTGCCTCCTGATCCTCCTCTGCCCAGGCGATGAGACTGCCATTTTCTCAGTCTGGCAAAAACCGGTAAATATCATATCATCTTTCTCCTTAGTTAAGACTTTCATACCCATTGATGGTCCCATCAACAGCCTCATCATTTCAAGCAAGCATTCATTGAGTACCTAGTATGTGCTGGGGGCTGGGGGAGGAAGTTGATTGAGAATTTTTCGCTGCTATAAGACCTTCACTCATGTGTTTTTTGTTTTGTTTTGTTTTGAGTTTTTGAGACGGAGTTTCGTTCTTGTTGCCCAGACTGGAGTGCAATGGCACTATCTCAGCTCACTGCAACCTCCACCTCCTGGGTTCAAGCGATTCTCCTGCCTCAGCCTCGCAAGTAGCTGGGATTACGGGCATGTGCCATGTGTCACCACGCCTGGCTAATTTTGTATTTTCAGTCGAGACGGGGTTTCGCCATGTTGGTCAGGTTGGTCTCGAACTCCTGACATCAGGTGATTCACCCGCCTCAGCCTTCCAAAGTACTAGGATTACAGGCATGAGCCACTGCACCTGGCCCACTCACATGTTTTTAATCAGGACATTCTGAGGACATGAATAAATCAGTTTGATAGAGAACTAACCTAATGTTCAAAATGAAAAAAAGCACGAAAGTGATAATGAAGTTCACCTGATAATAAATTTAATACAGCTACAAGTTATACAGAGTAAGTGCCAAGGGGAAAGCAAGGTGATCAAAATATCAGCCTTTTGGGACTATGCTTGGGAAAATAATTTTATCTCCTTCTCCCTAGTGGAAGATGAATGTCTTCTGGAGGAAGTACTAATGTTTACTCATTGTAATTTTTCACTGTGGATCAGTTGCAAGGTTCTTCATCCAGTAAAATAGAACTATTGAGAAATAGAAATAAACTCAAATGTATGGTTCAGATATTTAGATCCTGCAGACACATTTCAAACACGTTATCCAGACATATGCTTCTTGCTTGAAAAGAGCGAATTCTAATTCCAGTTACCATTTGGACAATGTTAGAAATACCGTTTGTTTCCACTTCAGGACAAAATGACCCTCAGAGCCTCATGTTACAACTACTGATTCTTCCTGAGCAAAGAGAGCAGAACACCAAAATGTACCATGGCCTCCTTAGTTTGGAGGGTCAGTGGATCTGAAAGGTGGGAAATGGAAACCTCCTCTAACCTCTCCCCCTGTGGGAATTCCTTCTTTGATACCCCTGACAGCTGTGGTCCTGCAGCCTCTTGCTAAAAGCTTCTTGGTGAACAGTAACTCTCCAACACTTGGGGCAACTTACTGCATTGTCAGATGTTCTCACTGAAGTTTCCTCTGTCCAACTCAAATCCTCCTTGAAGTGTCAACTCAGTGGCCCTCATTCTGCTGTTGCTGAGAATAAGAATGTATCTTCCTTCTGCCTTGTACAGACAAGCTCTTCAGATACCTAAGAACAGTTGTCGCGTCTCCCCTGCCCCACCCATCTTTCTGTTTCTAGATAAGCATTCCCATTCTTCTGCTGCACCTGGGATAACTGGGTTTGCAATTCAGGGCAACCCAGTTACATTCCTCTGAATAACATGAATTGGGGGAAAATGTCCTTTTTTATAAATGGACACCCAGAATTATACACAGCATTCTAGATGTTGTCTGATAGATGCAAATAATAGTGGAGCTATCCTTTTTTTATTCGTTCTTTCTCATCAGGTCTCAGATTACATCCGCAGTTAAGAGTTTGGTTAGTGGATGCCAATCAGGCTGGGTTTGAATCTTGTCACTGTAACTGTGGCTTCCCAGATGTGTGACCCTGTGCAAGTCACTTAACTGCTCAGAGACTCAGTTTACTTTCTTCTTAAATGGGGATGAAGATTTCTACTTCATAGAGTTGTAAGGAAGTGAGAGAGTGTAGTATGGGACTTAGCACCATGTTTGGCAGATAGCATGGGATACATGGTAGCTTCCATCCTAATTGCTGTCAGTGCTATCCTACTGGTACTACAGGCACGCCTACTGTTACTGTGAGTAGCAGCTGCAGTAGTAATGAAGAACAGTATCTCACTGATGGTTCCCGTTAAGCTTGTAGCCAAATAAAACTTGCATTTTTCTCCCGTGTTGATCTCAGGCTAGGTCTCCCCAAATGTTGTTACACAGCGATTTTTTTTATGTAGCTATTTTTTACATGCAGTTATTTTTTACAAAATGATTTTAAAAATTTGGAATCTTTTCTGTTTTGTATGTGCATTTTGAAACTTCATGCAATGCCTATCTCAACTCTCCATGAGATTTTATTTTGTTTATGGGTTTCAACCTTGAGAGACAGCTTATAGAAATCATTCTGGCTATCAGTGCTGTCTTTGATGGTGGTCGCTTTCCCTTCCAATTTATTATCACCAACAGATTTGGTTGTTTTAAAGTCATTGATATAGTATGAATGGGACAGGGCCCAAGGCAAAGCCCTGTAGCACTGGAGTCAGCCTACATTTCCTGAGTATCCACTGTAGTATCGGGCTATATCTACTCTTGGGATACAGGTATGTGAAACACCAGTCTTGCTGTTAAGAAGCTCCTAGTTTGTTGAGGAAAGATTGAGTGCCAATCAGATGAATCAAGATGCACTATGCTAAGATTTGTTATGGATATGATTGAGGTAGAGCCTTGGTGACCTCTGTTCTCTACCAGTTGGAGCTGTGAAGGCTTCTTGGAGGAGGTACCTTTAGAAAGGATGGCAGCAATTGGTGAGGTAACTATGATAGGTCCATGGGATCCAAAGATGAAGAAGACAGGGTCCAGCCTTTTGAGGAATTCAGGGTAAGTGGTGAAAGGATTTTCTTCTTTCTTTCCCCACTTCTTTTAGTTTCTTAAGTAAATGCCTAATCGGTGCCCTGAGCCATAGCTGCCCTCCACTTGCCCTTAGCCCTGAAGTGTGATGACTTTTCCATACCCAAAGTAAATGCAGTGAGGGGAGCATGTGTGTGTGCGCACTTCTTTCTTCTTGTTTTTCTGCAACATATTTTCCTACTTCTTATGGAGCAGTAGAGCTGTTTCAAGAATTTCCTTAAGCTTACCAGCTAGGGGCTTTGGAGAGTGACTTGTAAACTGTCTTCCTTACTTCAGTGTGCTCAAGAAAGGGGCTTTTATTGGTTACCTTTTCACAGTGTATCACGCTCCTGGGAAGGGAGAGCCATATGCTATAAGATTGGGATGGCAGCAGTTCAGCAGGATGGGTTGGGCTTATCACAGAACCATTAAAAGAAAAGAGCAGAGAGTTTGCTAGTGTGGTTATTTGTCATTCTCAGTAAAGTTCTTTCTGCTGTGCTGAATAACAGAGCCATGGTTAAGTGATGAAAGTGAGGTCAGTCGCCTGGGTTTCCATCTGAGATTTAGCTTTAAAATGTCGTGGGGCCCTAGGTGAGTCATGTCACCCTTGTAGGCTTAGTGCTTCATCTGTAAGTTGTGCTGAGGATGTAGCAAGCCATTCCCACGGGTACAGTAAATCCGGGGAACTGCCCTTGGGTCTGCTGCTTGCTTGGAAAGTAGGCAGTGATGGAGGCTGCAGCTGACAGTAACATGGTTAAGAGGGTGTTTTTAAAATGATTTCCACCGAGTGTAAACTAGTTCAACCATTGTGGAAGACAGTGTGGCAATTCCTCAAGGATCTAGAACTAGAAATACCATTTGACCCAGCGATCCCATTACTGGGTATATACCCAAAGGCTTATAAATCATGCTACTATAAAGACATATGCACACGTATGTTTATTGTGGCACTATTCACAAGAGCAAAGACTTGGAACCAACCCAAATGTCCATCAGTGATAAACTAGATTAAGAAAATGTGGCACATATACACCATGGAATACTGTGCAGCCATGAAAAATGATGAGTTCATGTCCTTTGTAGGGACATGGATGAAGCTGGAAACCATCATTCTTAGCAAACTATCACAAGGACAGAAAACCAGACACCTCATGTTCTCACTCATGGGTGGGAGTTGAACAATGAGAACACTTGGACACCGGGTGAGGAACATCACACACCAGGGCCTGTTGTGGGGTGGGGGGAGGGGGGAGGGATAGCATTAGGAGAAATACCTAATGTAAATGACAAGTTAATGGATGCAGCACACCAACATGGCACATGTATACATATGTAACAAAACTGCACGTTGTGCACATGTACCCTAGAACTTAAAGTATAATAAAAATAAAATAAAATGATTTCCATCTAGGTCCACATCCCAGCTCTGCTATCTTGGGGCCAGGGGGTGAAATCCTTTGCTTCTGTTTCCTTGTCTATAAAATGGAGTAATAGTAAGATTCAACAATATTGAACTGTTCTGAGGATTAAAAAGAGAGGTTAACTCACTGTGCCCACCACACAGCAAGCACTTGGTAAATGAGAGCAGATTACGGTTTCTAAGCGCCTCTTGGTTGGAACATCTCCCTTTGGAAAATCCTTTCCCCTTCAGCATTGCCTCTTGTTGTTTAGTAGACCAGATTATGTTATTTTTCTTTCATTTGTTTAATAGCATTTTTGAGCACCTGCTGTGTGATAGTGGCAAACATAAACATCACGCAGTCCTTGCCTCCAGAGAATTTGAATCTCAGAATTCCTAATGGTGGTTTCTTATCATTTCCATGGTAATAGGCACTTTTGCTCCACTGATGCTTAGGAAGCCAGAACCAAAGCCCGGGTTTTTTGGATTTCTTTCAATCAAAAGATTGTTTATTCCTTTCCTATACTTTTCTTCACCTGGAAAGGCCATGGGGAAATTTCAGGGTGAGGGCTTGAAAGCCTGTCTTTCTTGGCTCCCTTAGTTGCATCCACAGCTGGCAGGCCATGTCTGAGCAGCTTTTCTGGGCAGAGGAGGGGTACTCTGGGAATTCAGGTAGAATTCGGCCCCCAGTTTGGGTCGGTTGCTTGAGGAATTTTATCTCTTGTCTTGGTGTGGTTTGAGGTATGAATCGAGAACAGAAATTTAGGCTCTCGGCTGGGTGCAGTGGCTCACGCCTGTAATCCCAGCATCTTGGGAAGGTGAAGTGGGCGGATCACGTAGCCTGGCTAACATGGTGAAACTCCATCCCTACTAAAACATACAAAAATTAGCTGGGTGTGGTGGCACGGGCCTGTAGTCCCAGCTACTTGGGAGGCTAAGGCACAAGAATCACTTGAACCTAGGAGGCAGAGGTTACAGTGAGCCGAGATCGCGCTACTGCACTTCAGGCTAGATGGCAGAGCGAGACTCTGTCTCAAAAAAAGAAAAACAAGAAAAGAAAAGAAAGGAAATTTACGCACTGTTTTGAGGGCCAGACTCTGCCAGAGTTGGCATCCTGTCTTCCACTTCCGTGGGCCTTCCTTTCCATCTTTTTCATGACCTGGGCTCTCCCTGGACAGATTGTTTTTTCTTGGCAGTGAATTACAGTTAACCCTAAATGTTCCCGCACTGTCTCAGCCTGTGATTGCTGCTTAATATTTTCAGATAGGGCTCTGTCTCATCACTCTTGGCTGTAAGCAAAGATTAATAAACATATATATTCCAACTCAATAATTCTCTTCTTTACATTTTCTCACATAGAGTAGTCCATGTTCATAAAGAGTTTTCCCACAGTACTCCTGAGTCATCACAAATGGTTTGGGGGGGAAGAGTGGTCTCCGTCAACTTAAAGATGGCCCCCAAGCCCTTCCCCACTGTAGCTTTATAGATTTTTAGGGTGAAATGTGTTTCGGGTTAAAAGAAGATATATGCCTCAGACCCTGCATCCCTGTATAATATAGTCCTGACTTTACTCCAGACTGCTGTGCTTCTGGGGTGAACAAAACGAGGAGTGAGGAGTAAAGTCAATGTCTTAAAGCTTTGCATTTGTATGGGACTTTTCTCCCCTGAAGAGCTCGAAGTGTTCACGCATGCGTTTTCCCCATCCCTCCGCCCCCTCTCGTTCTCATATCCTCAAAATATTCCTGATTATGCAAAAAAGAAGATGTGGTCTTGGACTCATTTTTTATGGTGTGGAGCTCTAGAGGTTTTGACTTTGGCCCGGATTTTGAACTTGATTTGCAGTCAAGATTAAATCCCAGATCTTCTGATCCCCAGACTTGTTAATGTTTACTGGATTCCAGATGTTATTTCAAATACAAAACATGAAAAGCTACTTATTTCCTTGTAGTAGTATTTTGTCACAAGCCACATATGTTAAATCAGGCATCTCAAGACTTGTTATAAATATAAAGATAATTTAAGAGATGGGAATCGCTATGTCATACAGTGGCTTCTTCCAAAAGCAAGTGGGAGGCAGTGAATTTTTCCTATGGTTTTTGATCTCTTGAGATTTTAAATCAGTTTCTTGTCCTTCTTACCTTCCTAACCTCTTATTTCCATTAAATTATTTTTAAAAATTATTGATTTGGCAAGCTAGTTTTTGTATCTGACGTCTGACTTGTTAATGAGCTGTAAAGTAATATAGTGCCATTTCCCATTCCTATAGCTTACTTTTAGTGACTTCCCCATGTCATAGTATGACTCATTTGTTCTTTCTCTAAGGATCTGGAAATAAAACCAGGTTATTAAGAAGAGAAAATATATAGTTAAGTTATCTTTTTTTGTTACCAAATTATGCTGTGATTTTTTTCATGTGGATGTGTGGATGCCTTTTTAATATAGGAATATGCATATCCACACGTAGAAGTTTTATGTAAGGGTATACTTCTGTCCATTCAGCAAAATTTACTGGCAAGCTACTGAATGCCAGATTTGTATGCTGGGTTCTGGGAATCTAACAGACACAATCCTCTTTTCTTAAGGAGCTTGCAGATGTTAAAAGAGCAAGCAAACCCACCTCGGTGGGTTTACATACATATACATTTATTGCTATAAAAGTATAAAATTAAGGAGGAAGTATAGCATGATGGTTAAAAGCATGCAGTTTTGGAGTGGGACCTGGATTTAAGTCATAGCTCAGCCACCTACTAGCTGAATAACCTGGAGCAAGTTAGTTAACCTTTCACCCAGCTTCCTCATCTGTAAGTGAGGAAATAGTAATACCCTTTATGGGATTATTGGAGGTTTCAAGGAGATGCTACAGAGAAAATGTCTAGGGTAGAGGCTGTCATGTAGTAAACATTTGATATATGTTAATTATGAGTATTATGTTTTACGTGTAATGAAAATTCAAATGAAATAAGCTAGCAAGCTATGAAATTATACCTTACTCTGAAATCTAATCCATGGAAGACATTTTTTTGGACCTTTTTAGGGATGTGGAAAGGAGATAGGCCATCTGGTAGCATGCAATTATAAATAACACTTCTTTCCATGGACAGTCTCCACTTTATACTCAGTAAAGGAAGTAAACATGGCATCTAATCAAGCAGCAGAACATACAGAATTGGGCACTTAGCACTTATCCACTTTCAAAACGTCCAAATAAAATCATGGAAGTCTTCAAGTGGTTCTCTGAAAATAATGGTTAAGTGAAAATGCCATTTGGTATAAGCTAATTGCTTTATTCTCTCATAACTTGCTAATGAATTGTCACTGAAGAACACAGAAGATTGTGAGAATAAAAGAATGTGATAGATCCCTAGTGAGACTAAACCGTGTCTACTTTTCTCACTTCAAGTAATACTTAGAACCATATGCGGCCCTGCACTCAGGACTGACAGTTTTATACAGTTATTCTAAGCAATATAAGTGATTGATTCTGGAGCAAATCTTTCAGTGAATGTAGTCTGTACCCTGTGTTGGTGGTGGTTTGGTTTTAGTTGACCTAGAAGTTGCCTTTGCATTTAGGATGATGCTGCTGTATAACATGCATTGCTTAGGATAAAACAAACGGATTTCTCTATAATTTAGATCTAATCCATCTGAAATTGGATAGAGCAGGCATGTTCCTTTGTGTTGCATATTAGTGTGTTACACTTTCTGAAGTTAAAGAACCACCTGCATTATTAGGAGGCTAATTCCATCTAGCAGTCTACTGCATTCCATCTGGCAGTCTACCACTACCAGTAGATGATGAGAAAGTTTCTTCTTTGTTGCAGAAATCTAATGTGATATGTGTTTTCTCTTAATAGTTGCTTCTTCTGTGTTTAGGTTGACTGGTTTTCAGCACATAGATGCTTTATAGCCTTGTGTTTCACAGCTATAATAATTCATGCTTCTTAAACAGAGCATATGTATCTACTGTTATATAGGTCAGAGAATTAATCATTCTCCTGGGGCCTCACTCTTTTTTCTACTCTCTCTCCTTCCTGTCTCTCAGTGGGGAGAGAGGCTGTAAAACTTGAGGCCCTCGAATGAGGCACCTCAAAGAAGATTGTAGTTGCTTATCTCACACCTCAGCAAGAAACCATGGGAAGTTCCTTGAAGGAAGTGAAACAATTTGGGATGGAGAAGCTCCAAGATAAAAGGATTTGGACATGTGTCCACCAGCTCACATCAAATGGTTGGTGGGGAAGGACCCTATAAGGTCTCTAGAGGAGCACAAGTGAGGGAACTCAGGCCAGAAGGGAAAGGATAGAGCCCAGACTAGATACTGGTTCTCCCAACTACCTGGCCTGTGCGGTAGGTCCCGTGGTGATGCCTCCTGCCTGGGCTCATCCTGTGGAGTCTCTGCAGGTTATTTTGCAGACACTTTCTATTTGCAATCTCTTGTAAGACTTTTTATTGTGTGCTTTTATGGCCTTGTGGAACTCGTGAACTATAGAGAGGTTTGTGTGTCTGAAACTAGAATAGTCGAATGATTTATTCGAAAAATGTTACAGTCTATGAGTTAGTTCAGAAGGGGCACATGGCAGAATGGCCGACTATGATGCTGAAGCCAGACATCCTGGCCTTCAGCCCAGCTCCTCTGCTTTCTAGCTGCGTGACCTTGGGCACACTATTCAACTTTTCTGTTCCTTAGTTCTTTAGCTGTAAAATAAGGCCAATGAGTGGGTGTCCAAACATTCCTGGTTTATATCTGTGCCTAGCACAAGTGTTAATAGTTCCACCTTTCAATCTCTAAAGTATCCTTATTTGGATGGTCAATTATATGTCTGCCATACCAATAAGAGAATCTGTATCAAAAATTTGTTTGGAAGACTAAAAATATAGAAAACAATATCCAACTGTAATGTGCTTGGTAAATATTAGCTGCTATTGTTTATTTATGTGCTATTTATTTTACAAGTAGACTGGTATTTTAAATACCTGATTTCATGTATTACTCCAGGAGCAAGAACGGTTACCATAGACTTTGGGGTCTGAAAGTGACTTATATTATTGGAAAATCAGGAGCCACCGTGGTATAAGCAAGTGTAATACAATTTCAAAAATTCTCTTCGTTTCTAATCTGGTGTGGGTGAAACAAGTAGCATGGAGGAAATGACTGTTTTCATTCATTTCACTAAAATGGTAATCACCACAATGGCATGCTGGTTTTACAGAGAAAATACAGTGGAGGTTGTTAATTTGATTCGTGTGTTTTACTGCGCTCTTCTTTCCAATTTGATCTCTAGTTTTCTTTCTTTGACCTTTCTTTGGGCGTCACCTTTTCCTCTCATGCAGGAGAGGCTAATGCTAATTGCAGTCCCTTCTTCATTGGTCCTTGTCCCCAGAGATAAATAAAATTAAACATAATTCAAAAAGCTTTATTTGAAGTAATGGTTTCATCTGCTCACTCTTAAAATATTTTTTCACGTTGGACATTAGGTAAAAAAAAATACAAATTATTGGTATTTTGACTGTATTTTTCACAAATATGTACTTTGGGTAGAGATGCTGCTGAACCTAGAAGATACTCTATCTGGTTAGGCACGGGGGTGAGATAAGCCTGCAGGTGCCACAGTGTGATGGACTTTGACTCCTGGTTCTCTCGCTTGCTACCTGTGTGATCTTGGGGATGCCATTTATTTCATCTCTCTGAGCTTCAGTATTTTCATCCTTAAAATGAAAAGAATGATACTTCCTGCTTTACAGGGTGATTATGAGGATGAAATACGATGATAAGGATTAGTATACTCTCAACAAATGGATGGTATGGTAATTAACAGAGACGTCAGTCATTTTAAATTCTAGAATATTTGAAAACAAAGAGTTCCTTTCTCGAAAGATGGTTGAGGTGATTGAAAGAGGCTTCTTTTAGGAGGAAGATGTGCAGAGGCTGTGTCTCTGATGATAAAAATACTTTGATGATGTGGATTTCATACAGGAGAAGCTAGTGCTCTTCATCACAGAGCTAAATACAGACCTGCCCAGGACCCAGAGAAACTAAAGGAGGATATAGGGTCAGTGAGAAACAGCTGCAGCCTTGCCTGGATCCCTTGTATCAGTCTTCTGAGAATAAAAACACTATGGCTATTGCTACTCTTCTGTCTTCTAGGTTGCTTAGTAAATGTCTTCTGTAGCACATCCTAACGAGAAACATAAAGGGAAGAGAATTCTGGGAAATGAGGTTCAGTCTAGCCAAGGTGACACATTACAAAGCTGGGACATTAACAGTTATCCAATCTAGTTTAATCTAACACCTTTGAATTACTTTAAAACCAACCCCAAATACTATGTACTTTTTTCCCTAGAAAACTTCAGTATGTGGCTGGGTGCTGTGGCTCATGCCTATAATCCCAACACTTTGGGAGAGCGAGATGGGCAGATCACTTGAGCCCAGGACTTTGAGACCAGCCTGGGCAACATAGTGAAACACCGTCTTTACCCAAAAATTTAAAATGGTGCATGTGTCTGTGGTCCCAGCTACTCAGGAAGCTGAGGTGGTAGGATTGCTTGAGTCCAGGAAATTGAGGCTGCAGTGAGTCATGATCACGCCACTGCACTCTACCCTGGGTAACAGAGTAAGACCCTGTCTCAAAACACACAAAAAAAGCACTTCAGTATGTGACTGTAAAAGCTAAACACTCTTTTAAAAAAATAATAATAAAAACAAAACTATAATGGTATTATCAAATCTCAAAAAAAACCTAAAAATAATTCCTTAATATTATCAAATACTCAGTCAGCATTTACATGTCCTTAATTATCTCATGAACATTTTTCTGTAATTGGCTTGTTGAGAATCAGGATCCTAAGAAATTCCATTCTTGTTGTGATCCTAATTACATTTGGTTGAGTTCTTATTTTGGTAATTGCAATGTAAGAGGTCAAGTGATTCACTAATACAGAAAACAAGTACAAAACTGAACAAAATTGTAAAGAAAAAACACACACCCAACCACTGGAAACTGAAAATCCACCAAAGGGAGGTGATAAATTGAGAAGTGTTGATTCTTGAGAAACTTCTATAGCTTTGGCCAAGAATGGGTGAGAATATGTGGCGTTCTTGCTTGGAACTGATTCCATATCCTCTTTCTGCCACACTCTATTATTAAAAATAATAATAATAATAAATAAATAAATAAATAAAAGGCCAGTCATGGTGGCTCACTTCTGTAATACCAGTGCTTTGGGAGACTGAGGTGGGATGATCTCTTGAGGCCAGGATTTCAAGACCAGCCTGGTCAATATAGTGAGATGTTGTCTCTATAAAAAAATAAAATATTAGGCGAGTGTGGTGGCATATGCCTGTAGTCCCAGCTATTCAGGAGGCTGAGATGGGAGGATCACTTGACCCCAGGAGGTCGAGGCTATGGTGAGCTATGATTGCACCACTGCATTGTGGCCTGGGTGACACAGGGAGACCCTGTCTCTAAAACTAAAATAAAAATGTAACTGTCAGTTCAGGACTGGTGGCGAAAACCAAAGCCTTACAGCCAAAGATTGACTTGATTCAGGGTGGAGGATGGGGGCACTGAAAGCCTGTGGCTTTGTCAGCTAAAAAAGCAGACTCACGTTAGAATATTTTGGGAAATCCTGCAGCATGACTAGCCCACGGTAGCAGTTGTGATGGGTGGTAGACCAGCCAGAAATTTAACAGGGAGATCGCGCAAGTAACAGAGACATTAAAGGTGTGAAATAAGCTTTTCTAGGCTTTCTGGGAAACTAAACATAAGCAGGGAAGACCCAAGAGAGCCCAGCAAAAAGTGAAAGCCAGGGAGACTTGAGATGACTGCCACTTTGAATGCCATTTCTCAATCCATACACCTTGGTTCATGAAAGGTGAAAGCCCAGTGGGTTCAAAGTATCTGAGATAGCCTCTGTCTAAATTATTGGTCAGCTGTTCAAGTATGCAACACAAATATGACCTCAATGGAATTGAAAAAAAAAATCTGAACAGAGACATCAGTGGGTACAGACCATGGGGAATGAGATTCTACAGTTTATATTCAGGTAAGTTACCAAAACAAAACAAAACAAAACAGAACAAAAACCTTCAGGAAAATAGGGTAATCAAGAGTTGCTGTTACATATACATGTGCTCTCTCTCTCGCTCTCTTTCTCTCTTTATATATATAGGTAGATATATATATATATATATATATATACACACACACACACACACACACATATATATCTGAACATATAAACATTTAAGATTATTTAAGATTATATATGTAATCTTAAATTATGCATATTATGTATAATCTTAAATGTCTAGTTTTCAGCTAAAATGTAATAAACATGCAGACTAACAAGAAAGTGTGACCCATACTAAAGAAGATGAGTATTTAAGTTAAAACTAACTCCCAAGTAGGCCCAGATGCTAGATTTAACAAAGACTTAAAAATAGCTATTATGATTATATTTAAAGAACTAAAGTATATTTGAATAGTTGCTATAAAATACGCCAACTGTGAGTCAACAAATAGAGAATCAAATAGAAATTTTAAAAAAAGAACCAAGTAGAATTTCTAGAATTGAAAAGTATACTACTAACTGAAATGAAAAATTCCCTAGTTGAACACAAGAGCAGATAAGAAATGGTAGAAGAAAGATTCAGTGATCCTGAAGGTAGATCAAGAGAAAGTATCCAGGACAGGTGCAGTGGCTCACACCTATAATCCTAGCACTTTGGGAGGCTGAGGCGAGTGGATCGCTTGAGCCTGGGAGTTTGAGACCAACCCTGGTAACATGGAGAAACCATGTCTCTACAAGAAATAAAAAATTAGCCAGGTATGGTGGTGCACATCTGTAGTCCTAACTACTTGGGACGCTGAGGTGGCAGGATCACCTGAACCTAGGGAGGTTGAGGCTGTGGTGAACCAAGATTGCACCAATGCACTCCAGCCTGTGTGACAGAGCAAGACTCTATCTCAAAAAAAAAAAAAAGAAAAGAAAAGAAAAGAAAAAGGAATTATCCAAACCAATGAGCAGAGAGGGCTGGGCATGGTGGCCCATGCCTGTAATCCCAATACTTTTGGAGGCTGTGGCAGGTAGATCACTGGAGCCCAGGAGTTCGAGACCAGCCTGGGCAACATGGCAAAACCCTATATCCACAAAAATTACAAAAATTAGTCAGGTATCATGGTATGCACCTGTAATCCCAGCTACTCAGGAAGCTTAGGTGGAAAGATCTCCTGGGCCCACGAAGTCAAGGCTGCAGTGAGCCAGATCATGGCAATACACTCCAGCCTGGGTGACAGAGTGAGACCCTGTCTCAAAATAAATACATAAAAATTTAAAAAGCAGAAAAAATTTCAGAGAAAAATCAAGACAGCCCTGTGCAACAACATCATGTGTTCCAACATAATTTTAACACATGTGTAAAGGGAATCTCAAATGGAGAGGAGCAAAAGGGACAAAAATTTGAAAGAAAAATCTGAAAATTTCCCAAATTTGATGAAGATTATCTATAAATCCAAGAAGCTCAGTGAACCTCAATTAGGATAAACTGCAAAAACAAAAACAAAAACAAAAACAAAAAACCACACCTGGACAAATCATATTGACACTGTTGAAAGACAAAATCTTGAAAATAACAAGAGGAAAACAGTTCATCACATACAGGGCAACAATAATGTGATTAATAGCTGATTTCTGATCAGAAACAGTGGAGACCAGAGGATGATGGTGTGACATAATCAAAGAGTAGAAAGGAAAACAAACAAACCTGTCAACTAAGAATTCTATATCCAGGAGAACAATCCTTCAAAAATGAAGGTGAAGGAGGTTTGACTCCTGGTTCTAGAAAGATGGAGAGATGGAGTAGAT
Organism: Homo sapiens; assembly: GCF_000001405.40. NCBI lineage: Eukaryota > Metazoa > Chordata > Mammalia > Primates > Hominidae > Homo > Homo sapiens. Next base: position 4,390,949 of record NC_000003.12, on the reverse strand, counting down.
GTACATTTTTCTATTCCTCTTACTAAATACAACTAAAACTCTGGACACTGCACATAAAAGAATTATAAGCAGACCATGGAAAGTTAAAGCAGAGTGGCTGAAGACCTCAGAGTCCTAGAAATGACATTATGGTGAGCCCAGGAGTTCAAGACCAGCCTAGGCAACATGACAAAACCTGGTCTCTATAAAAAATACAAAAATTAGCCAGGTATCATGGTATGTGCTTGTAGTCCCAGATACTCAGGAGGCTTAGGTGGAAAGATCCCCTGGGCCCAGGAAGTTGAGGCTGCAGTGAGCCAAGATCGTGCCACTGTACTCCAGCCTGGGTGACAGAGTGAGACCCTGTCTCTTTTATTTCCTTTTTGCTGCATATATCCCTGACTTGGAGCTAGGGAAGCAAGCAACCCAGAAATGCTAACAGGTGTAGACAAAGGAAGTCTCAACAAAAGCCTGTTCTCTCTAGCCAAAGGAGCAAGTAGGAAATGGGCAGTCTAACAATACAGAAAGCTTTTAGACAGTAACCACTCTACTCTTTCTAAACACCAAAGAAAAAACTGTCCAGCAAAGGCTGAGTGGGGAGTCTAGGCTTGTACCCTCATGCAGCTGTATTTAGGTGCCAGAGAAGGCCTAGCCAGGTCTTTCTTATTGTCTATTAGTAAAGTGGTTACCCCTACCTTGCTGTATACAACCAGGTGGGGAGCCAAAACTCCTACCCACATCTAGTAGTAATGAGGGGTCCCTTCTGAATCGTTAATAGAGGCTGAGCAAGGAACCTGAACTTCTGATTCTGCCTGGCAGTAACAGGATCACACCTTCTCTCTTCCCCTGCCAGGGTGGTATCAGAGAAAGACAGCTAAAACAGGGTGTTAATAAGATCCAGAGTCTTTTAACATAATAAGAACATGTCCACGTTTAAGTTGAAAAGTCACTTGCCATCCCAAGAACCAGGAAGATATCAAAGTGAATTTAAGTAGATAGCAGATGCCCACACTGAGATGACAGAGATGTTAGACTTACCCAGCAAAGATTTTAAAGAAACCATGGGAGAAAAAAGAAATCAGTGAGCAACTATGATCGCACTTGAAACAAATGAAAAAATTGAAAGCTTCAGCAAAGAAATAGAAAATATAAGAAGAACCAAATGCAAATTTTAGAACTGAAAATTGAAAAATCAAACTAAAAAGCTCAGTGTATGGGCTCAACAGCAGAATGGAGGGCACAGAGGGGGGAAAAATCAGTGAACTGTCAACTAGAACAAAAGAAATTACCCAGTCTGAGCAGTGGAAAGAAAACAGTAAATGAAGAAATGTTGAGAGCCACAAGGATCTACGTGATTATAACAAAAGTTCTCACATTTACGTATTGAGAATCCCAGAGGAGAAAACAAAGAAGACAGCATGAGAAGAGTCCTTCACAAAATAATGGCTGAAAGCACCTCCAGTTTGGTAAGAGACTTAAACCCACAGATTCAAGGAGCTAAGCAAACCCCAATGAGGGTAATTCTGAAGAAATCTACAAGAAGACACCGTTATAATTAAACTTCTGAACACTAAAGACAAAACTTTTAAAAGCAGCCAGAAAAAATGACACCTTACCTATAGGGAAAAAAAAAAAAAACAATTTGAATGACAATGGATTTCCCATTGGTGACCATGAAGGCCAGAGGAAATGGCATGATGTTTTTTAAGTGCTGAAAGAAAAGTATTGTTAACCCAGAATCCTTATCCAGTGAAGTATCTTTTTGGAATAAGGAGAAATCAAGATATTCTCAGATAAAGGCAGACTGAGAGAATTTGTTGCTAGCCAGCCTATCCTAAAAGGATGGCTAAAGGAATGTTCTTAAACAGAAAGAAAATGATTAAAGAAGGAACTTTTGAATATCGGACTGGAAGGAAGAACATGGTAAGCCCAAATATGAGTATATACAATAGGCTTTCCTTCCTCTGTGGAGTTTTCTAAATTTTATTTGACAGTTGAAACAAATTATAACATTGTCTGATATGGTTCTAAATGTATTTAAAGGAAATATTTAATATGATTATATTATACACAAGAGAAGCTAAAGGGATTTAAAGAGAGTTACGGTTTTGATGCTTCACTGGAACTGTTAAAATGACATGAGTAGACTGATACATTTATGACTATATGTACACACACAAGTAGAGTGATATGTTTATGAATATGCATACACCTTTTAGCAGCCACTAAAAAAGCTACACAAAGAGGTATGCTCAAAAGCACAATAGTTACATAAAAATGGAATTCTTTTTTAAAAGTTTGGGTAACCCACAGGAAGTCAGAAAAAGGAAAACAGAGACAAAAAAATAGAGAACAGACAGAAAACAAAAAATAAAATGACAGACTTAAGTCTTTGACATACCAATAATTATATTAAAAGTACATTGCTTAAATATATCAGTTAAAAAGACAGATTGGCATAGTAGATTAAAAAAACAACCTAATTATATGCTGTGTACAAGAAACTTCAAATATTATGATATATAAGCAAGTTGACAACAAAATGATGGGAAAATATATATTATGTAAACATTAATCAAAGGAAAGTCAGAGTGGCTATATTCATATCATGTAAAGCAGACTTCAAAGCAAAGAAATTTACCAGAGTTGAGGAAGAACGTATATAATGATAAAATGGTTAATCCTTCAAGAGGACATAGTAATACTGTGTATGCCCCAGAGAATGGAGCTGAAACATGTGAAGCAAAAAGTAATAAAATTGAAAGGAGAAGTAGACTAATCCACAATTTTAGTTGGGGACCTTACCACTCCTTTCTCAATAATTGATAGTACAATTAGACAGAAGTTCAGCAAGGATATAGAAGAACTCAACAATACCATCAACCAAAGGATCTGATAGAGATTTCTAGCACTGTCTACCCTATAACTGCAGAATACCCCTTTTCAGTTATGCATGGAACATATACCAAGTTAGACCATATCCTGTGCCATCAGATGAACCTCAACAAATTTTTAAAAATTGAAGACATACAGAATGTGTTCTCCAACCACAATAGAATCAAACTAGAAATCAGTAACAGAAATATAATAGGAAAATCTCCAAACACATGGAAACTATGAAACACGCTTCTAAATAATCCTTAGGTCACAGGGGAAGTCCCAAGGTGAATCAAACAGTGCACTGAACTGAATGAAAATGAAACATATCAAAATTTGTGGGATAGAGTGAAAACAGTGCTAAGAGGGAAATTTGCAGAACTGCATGTGTGCATTAGAAAAGAGAAAAAGTCTAAAATCAATATGTTTCAGCTTGACCCAGAAGAAAAAGGAGAAAACTAAACCCAAAGCAAGCAAAAGTAAGGAAATAATAAAAACAGAAATCAATGAAATAGACAACAGAAAAACAGAGAAAAATCAGTTAAATGAAGAACTGGGTCTTTGAAAAGATTTATAAAATTGACAAACCTCTAGCAAGTCTGACAAAGCAAAAAGAGAATACCCAGATTACTAATATGAGAAATGAAACAAGATATCAGTGCAAACTCTGTAGACATCAAAAGGATAATGAGGGAATACTGTGAACATCTGTATACCCATAAATGTGACAACTTAGGCGAGAAACAACACTTCCTCAAAAAACTCCAAATACCACAGTTTACCCAATATGAAATAGATAATTTGAATAGTCCTATAACTATTAAGGAAGTAGAATTAGAAATTTTAAAACTTCTCAAAAAACAAATCTCCAGGCCCAAATGGATTCATTGAAGAATTTTACTAGACATTTAAAGAAGAATCAACACCAATTCTACACAATTTGTTTTAGAAAATGAAAAGAAGGGAACACTTTCTAATCATTTTACGAAGCTAGTATTGCCTTGATCCCCAAACCAAAAGCAGTAAAAAAATAGAAGGTTACTACAGGTGAACATCCCTCATAAATAGAGACACAAAAATCCTTAACAAAATGTTAGCAAATAGAATTCATCAGTGTATTTTTTAAAACATGATAATTGAGGTTTATTCCAGGAGTGCAGTCTGGTTAAATATTTAAAAATCAGTCAGTGTAATCTACCATAATAAGAAGCAAAAGAAGAAAAAAAAAAACCACATGATTATATCAGTGCAGAAGAAGCATTTAACAAACTTCAACACTCATTTATAACAAAAATTCTCAGGAAAATAGGAATACAAAGATTTTCTCAAACTTAGTAAAGAGCATCTACAAAGAAACTGTATACCTACCATTATACTTAATGGTAAAAGACCAAGTGCTTTCCCACTAATATTGGGAAAAAGGTAACTATGTCTGTTTCCAGAACTCTTATTCAACATAGTGCTGGGATTTCTAGCCAGTAGAATAAGGTAAGAAATGGAAATAAGAGGTATACAGATCAGCAAGGAAGAAATAAAACAGTCCCTATTTGCAGATATATGAGTGTTTGTTTACATAGAGAAAGTCCCAAGGAATCTACCAAAATCTTCTTAAAACTAATATTTCAGTTTATAAAGTTTATAAGACACAAGATGAACATGTTTATTTTTGTAAGACTAACAACAAACACATGGACATTGAAATTTAAAATACAATACATTTACAGTCACCAAAACCAAATGAAATGTTTATGTGTAAATCTAATAAAATGTGTTTAGTACATGTGTGCTAAAAGCTATGCAACACTAATGAAAGAAATATCTGAATAAATGAAGAGACAATGCTCATGAATTGGAAAATTCAGCCTAGTAGAGATATCAGTTCTTCCCCCAATTGTTTAATGTAATTCCTATCAAAATCCCAGCAAGATTTTTTGTAGATATTGACATGATTATTCTGAAATATATATGGAAAGGCAAAGGAACTAGAATTGCTAAAACAATTTTGAAAAATAATAATGTGAGAGGAACCAATCTACCCAATTTGAAGACTTACTACTTAGCTACAGTAATCAAGACTGTTTGATATTGGTGGAGGGATATGCTTATAGATCAGTGGAACAAAATAGAGAATCCAGAAATAGGCCCACACATATATGATGCCCAACTGATTTTTGACAAAGTTGCCAAAGCAATTTAATGAAGGAAAGAAAGGCTTTTCAACATATGGTGCTGGAACAATTGGACATCCGTGGGCAGAAAATGAACCTCTACCTTAGTCTCACACCTTACATAAAAATTGACTCCAAATGAATCACAGAGTTAAAATTTAAACTGCAAAACTCTAAAACCTTTAGAAAAAAACACAGGAGAAAATCTGAGATCTAGGCCTAGGCAAAGAGTGTAGAGACTTGACACCAAAAAGCATGATCACCCACATATGGAAAAATAAATAAACTGGACTTTATAAAAACTAGAACTTCTTTTCTGTGAAAGAGCCTGTTAAGAGGATATAAAGGCAGGCTACAGAGTGGGAGAAAATATTCGCAACCCATATATCTGACAAAAGCCACATATATTTACAATACATAAAAAACTCAACACTCAGCAGTAAAAAACCGAACAATCCAATTAGAACACGTGCAGAAGACATGAAGAGACACCACAGAAGAAGATACACAGATGGCATGGAAGCACATGAAAAGATGCTCAACGTCATTAGCACTGGAGAAATACAAATTAAAACCATAAGGAGATACAACTACACACGTATCAGAATGGCTAAAATTAAAAAGTAGTGACTGGCTAGGATACAGAGAAACTGGATCATTTATCCATTGCTGGTGGTTGTGTGACAGAGTACAGCCATTCTGGAAAACAATTTGACGTTTTCTTTAAAACCTAAACATTCAGCTGGGCACAGCGGCTCACTCCTGTAATCCTAGCACTTTGGGAGGCAAAGGCAGGCTGATCTCATGAGGTCAGGAGTTCGAGACCAGCCTGGCTAACATGGTGAAACCCTGTCTGTGCTAAAAATACAGAAATTAGCTGGGCCTGGTGGTGCGTGCCTGTAATCCCAGCTACTCGGGTGGCTGAGGCAGGAGAATCGCTTGAACCTGGGAGGTGGAGGTTGGAATGACCCAAGCTTACTCCACTGCGCTCCAGCCTGGGCGACAGAGCGAGAGACCCTCTCAAAAAAAAAAAGAAAAAAGAAAAAAGAAAATGAAGTAAACATTCGACCACTATATTCCCTCCTTTGGCATTGATTCCAAAGGGATGAAAACTTATGTTCATACAAAAACCTGTACATAGCATCTTTATTCGTAATAGCCAAAAAAACTAGAAACAGCCGAAATGTCCTTCAGTGGGTGAATATTTAAACAAACCGATACATCCACACCATGGAATACTACTCAATAGTAATAAGGGATAGATTGTTGGTATGCAGAGCAACCTGGATGAATCTCCGGAGAATTATGCTGAGTGGAAAAAAAGCCAGTTCCAAAAGTTTACATACTGTATGATTCCACTTATATTAATATAACATTCTTGAAATGACAAAATTATAGGAGTGGGAAGGGGTTAGTGTTTTCCAGGGGTTAAGAAGGGGTTGGGGTTGGGAAGGAAGTGGTCGTAACTATAAAAGGGCAACGTAAGGGATCCTTGTGATGGAAATGTTCTGTGTCTTGACTGTGTCAGTGTCAACATCCTGGTTGAGATACAGTACAGAGTTTTGGAAGATGTTGCCATTGGGGAAAACTGGATATAGAGTACACCAATTCCTCTGTTACCTTTTACAGCTTCATGTGAATCAACGGTTACCCATAATAAAGGTTTAATATTTTAAAATGAAGGAGAAATAAAGTCATTGTAGATTAACAAAGACAGTGAATCTGCTAGCAGATCTGCCATACTAAGAAATACTAAGCAGTTTTTCTAGACTGAAAGGGACTGGAACTAGCTGATACCTCAGATAGATACACAGGCAGAACTGACAAGCAGGAAATATGGTAAATAGGTAAGTAGAAAAGACTGCATTTATTTTTTCACTTCATTCCTTTTAAAAACGTAAGATTGTTTAAAGCAATAATGGTCACACTGTGTTGTTAAGTTTTTCACATATATAACTGTAATATGTATGACAGTAATACTATGCATTTTGTTTGTTGATATGTCTTTGTCAAGACTATGAAGAGTCTGAAATTTTATTCTGTTTGCAAGCTCATGAGTTAGGCCACTACAGTGTCATGGATGCTGGCAGAAGACATGAAGTTTCTGTGTCAGAGTTACAGATTTTTCTAGTCACAGCACAGCAGGCAACATGCACTTCATGTTCACATCGCTTCCCCTTGTCTCCCAAATCCCATAAGGATGACACAGTAGGTCTTTGTCACAGCCGGAGAATCCTGAGCTTAGGAGACTCCAGTCTTATAAAGAGGTTTATAATAAACATACCCAACCTTTGACATTATTGTTCTGGCCAGGAAACAAACCTGCCTTCTGTCATCTTCTGAGACTGTTGGTTACACAAACATCCTTCAAAAGATAATCCAGGACAAAAACTGCCACAAGGCATATAGAATTGCCCCGTGCCACCACCACGACCAGAGGATATTTTAAGCCTCTCAATTTATAACTTCTCTCTTTTTCCTCCCTTGCTATTTATTTGTTGAAAAGATGTCTGATCTCTTTTTATTTTTATTTATTTATTTATTTTTGAGTTGGAATCTTGCTCTGTCGCCCAGGCTGGAGTGCAGTGGCACAATCTTGGCTCACTGCAGCCTCCGCCTCCCGGGTTCAAGCAATTCTCCTGCCTCAGCATCCCTAAAAGCTGGAATTATAGGTGTGTACCACCACGACTGGCTAATTTTTGTATTTTTAATAGAGACAAGGTTTCACCATGTTGGCCAGGATGGTCTTGAGCTCCTGACCTCCAGTGATCCGTCTGCCTTGGCCTCCCAAAGTGCTGGGATTATAGGCATGAGCCACTGCGCCCGGCCCTGATCTCTTTTTTTTTTTCTTTTTATTATACTTTTTAAGTTCTGGGGTACACGTGCAGAATGTGCAGGTTTGTTACTTAGGTATACACGTGCCATGGTGGTGTGCTGCACCCATCAACCCGTCACCTACATTAGGTATTTCTCCTAATGCTATCCCTCCCCTAGTCTCTGACCCCCTGACAGGCCCCAGTGTGTGATGTTCCCCTCCCTGTGTCCATGTGTTCTCATTGTTCAACTCCCTCCTGTGAGTGAGAACATGCGGTGTTTGGTTTTCTGTTCTATTGTTAGTTTGTTGAGAATGATGGTTTCCAGCTTCATCCATGTCCCTGCAAAGGACATGAGCTCATCCTTTTTTATGGCTACGTAGTATCCCATGGTGTATATGTGCCACATTTTCTTTATCCAGTCCATCATTGGTGGGCGTTTGGGTTGGTTCCAAGTCTTTGCTATCATGAGCAGTGCCACAATAAACATATGTGTGCATGTGTCTTTATAGCAGAATGATTTATAATCCTTTGGGTACATACCCAATAATGGGATTGCTGGGTCAAATGGTATTTCTGGTTCTAGATCATTGAGGAATCACCACAAATGATCTATTTTTAAAAGAATTTCCCATGGCCTGGGTTTTGTTCATTGCATCTTCGTGGAATCATTTTAGTATATTCTTCTACCCCTTGTATTTCCTACAATCTTTGTTTAGATTTAAAGTCTTGATTATATTTAGGCTTTAGGTAGGATGTGTGTGTGTGTGTGTGTGCATGTATGTGTGTGTGTATGTATAAGAGTAATTAAAAATACTTCATAGGGCTGTGTATATTCTTTATATCATATCAGGAGGCATAGTATGCATGGCTTTTATCGTGACACCGATAAGATTATTTTTGTTAATAAGATTGATCAGTATTTAAGTAGGCATTGTCAGTCTGAACCATCCGTTACGAGGATCTTCATTAGCCTTTCACTCACTGATTTTAGCAGCCATTGATACTCATTGCCTAGATTCAGTTCTTGAGGAAGGTTTTTTTGTTTGTTTGTTTGTTTTCCTGAGACAGAGTTTCTCATTCCTGTTGTCTAGGCTGTAGTGCTGTGGCGCAGTCACTGCTCACTGCAACCTTTGCCTCCCAAGCTCAAATGGTTCTCCTGCCTCGGCCTCTTGAGTAGCTGAGACTACAGGCGTGCCCCACCACGCCCGGCTAATTTTTGTATTTTTTGTAGAGATGAGGTTTCACCATGTTGCCCAAGGCCGGTCTTGAACTCCTGGGCTCAAGCAATCTTCCCATACTGGCCTCCCAAAGTGCTGGGATTACAGGCATGAGCCATTGCACCTGGCCAAGATTTTTGACATAGTGATATTCTATTACTCTTTCTGCATTAATTATCTGGAATTCCTCTATAAAGAACATTCACTCATAACTCTTCTATTTTCCTGAGGCATAGTTTGTGTGAGGAAGTCAGAATAAATGCTTGATGCTGTTATTTTCTTAGTAAAAAGTGATAGTAAAGTGTACACATACAGAAGTGCCTCATTCTTTGTAGTGGGTGCTTAGCATTTCATTACTATGGATTGTGTCAAATGACATGTTTATTATTTGTTTTAATTTTTTTAATTTCCGTTGGTTATTGGGGAACAGGTGGTGTTTGGTTACATGGGTAAGTTCTTTAGTGGTGATCTGTGAGATTTTGGTGCACCCCCACCCGAGCAGTGCACACTGCACCCGATTTGTAGCCTTTTATCCGTCACCCCCTTCCCACCCTTTCCCCGAGTCCCCAAAGTCCATTGTGTCATTCTTATGCCTTTGCATCCTCGTAGCTTAGCTCCCACTTATGAGTGAGAACATATGATGTTTGGTTTTCCATTCCTGAGTTACTACACTTAGAATAATAGTCTCTAGTCCCATCCAGGTCGCTAGTGGTGCCTTTTGACTGTTTGCTGAGTGATGGAAATTTGTCACACTCTCCATCCCTTCTGTTGCTTTCCTTGTCAATGTATTGGGCATGACGAGGGAAAGGGAAATGTCTCTTGACTACACAGAGTGCAGTCGTTGTGCTGTGAAAAATGTCCTGGTAGCCGTGAGCAGGCTGGCTACCCCTCTTCCTTACAGACTCATTCCTCCTCCAAACAAGCCAGTCTCACTGATACGTGGTTCTGTGGCATCTCCAGTGGATTCAACTCATCCTTAAAGACTTACATGCCCTCCCAGGTGTTTTAAACAGGGGTAGATTTCTCTGCACTAATGCTGAGTGTTGCTTCTTCATCACTTTTCCCGAGAACTTTAGCTGTACCTTGGCCTTTTGAGATTATTGGGACTGTTATGTAGAAACCTGTGTGTTTTGCTGTTCTTGCGACCATGCAAGCATTGGAGACATGTTGATATTTTCGTGTCTATGGGACTAGAGCAGTTACGGGCAGTAGTACCTTTGGAGACAGGATTCACGATGGTTCCTGCCTGGTTGTAGGCGGAGTCCCTATGTTCCATATGTTTTTCCACTGAGACTTTGTTTTTCTTTCCAACTTTCATTTTAAGTGCAAAGGATGGATGTGCAGGTTTGTTACATGGGTAAATTGTGGGCCGTGGGGGTTTGGTGTAGATAATTTTGTCACCCAGGTAATCAGCATAATATTCAGTATGTAGTTTTTCAGTCCGCATCCTTCTCTCACCCTCCACCTTGCCCAAATAGGTCCCAGTGTCTATTGTTCTCTTCTTTGTCTCCATGTATATCCAATGTTTAGCTCCCATTTATAAGTGAGAACATGCGGTATTTGGTTTTCTGTTCCTGCGTTAATTCACATAGGATAATAATGGCCTGCAGCACCATTCATGTTGCTGCAAAGGACATGAGTCATTCTTTTTTATGGCTGTGTAGTATTCCATGGTGTATATGTACCACGTTTTCTTTATCCAGTCCACTGCTGATGGATATCTAGGTTAATTCCAAGTGGATTCTTATGCATCCCCAAGACTCTTGAGCACAGGAGGTGGAGGTGGTAGGGCCCTGCAGCCGCTCTTCCTGCTGTGGTATACAGGCAAACAGATGAGGTGTTTAAACACCACCACCAATAGCCACTTAAGTTGTTTTAGCCTGCAGTCATAAACTTGATCATGAGAGACACTGTTAATTTTGATTTATTAATGTTTTCTTTCACAAATGGGAATGGAGATACCCCTCTTCCCCAACTCTCTGGATTAATCTGCTAGGGCTGCATAGCAAATTACCACACTTAGTATCTTTTTTTTTTTTTTTTTTTTTTTTTGAGATGGAGGCTCGCTCTGTTGCCAGGCTGGAGTGCGGTGGCACGATCTCGGCTCACTGCAACCTCCGCCTCGCGGATTCAAGTGATTCTCCTGCCTCAGCCTCCCAAGTAGCTGGGACTATAGGTGTGTGCCACCACGACCAGTTAATTTTTGTATTTTTAGCTGAGATGGGGTTTCACCATATTGGCCAGGGTGGGCTCCATCTCTTGACCTTGATCTCTTGACCTCCATCTCTTGACCATCTCTTGGCCTCAGCCTCCCACTCTTAGTGTCTTGAAACAACAGAAATTTATCCTCTCACAGTTCTGGAGGCTAGCAGTCTGAAATCAAGGTGCTGGCTGTGCCACACCCCATCTGGAGTCTCTAAGGGAAGATCCTTCCTGGTGACTTCCAGGAATCCTTCTCATTCCTTGGCTTGTAGCCGCCTCACTCCAGTCCCTGCCTCCATCACCACATAGACTTCTCTGTGTTCCTCTGTGCATCCTCTCCTCATCTTATAAGGACACCAGTCATTGGATTTAGGGCCCGCCCTAATCCAATATGATCTTATATTAATTACAAAAATTACAAGTCTGCAAAGTTCCTATTTCCGAATCAGGTCAGACACTAGGGCTGTGAATGAGCATTAATTTTGGGAACACTCTTCAACCCACTACACCCTCCTAGTAATTTTTCTGTTTTTTGGCAAAGTGGCAAGCATTTCAAACAGTTTTAGTTAATTATCATGTTGTTTGCTAGCAAAAATAGTTTTATTTATAAGAAGCAGCTGAGCAGTCACCTAAATTGAGGACTGTGTTAGGTGCCACAGTTGTGTCAGCCTGGGATGACTGTCATTACTACTTGCGTCACTGTGATAAGTGTCGTAGTTATTGATTGCAGACTTAGTTCATTGAAGTTGATGATGAAAGGCAACTATTTTGTTCCCATGCCTTCCCATTGGCAAATCAACTCCTTCTTGTTCCTAGATCTACTTGAGGAGTCTAAATTGCACGCTAGCAGATACTGGGAGAGACTTGAATCACAATTTGATACATTGTAACAGAGCATGCAGAGAACCACCTAAAGCAGTGTAATGCAAGAATTGTTAAGCGAGAAACAGTGTAGGAGAGTGTGGCCATTACATGGGAGAGTTCCACAATTATAAATGCTTTCATTGCTGCTACAGTGAATTCTTGGTAATTGTCTTATAGAGTAATAAACTGACTCAGAGTGTTTGTCAGATTCTAGATATTCCTGGGAAGAAAACTGCTGCCAGCCATTATTTTGACACGTAGCTTTTCACGTTTGCAGTGTGCCTGTTTGTAATTAACAAAAGTTTATTAATGTGACATTAAGCATTTAAGGCCTTGGAAATATTGTAGCCCTGCAGTTGAAGGAGGAATAGCCAATGGCTTTGTCTGTGATAGTTTCTAAGCACAGACAGTCCCCTACTTACAATGGTTTGACTTAAGATTTTTTTTGAGTTTACAATTGTGCAAAAGTGATATGCCTTTGGTAGAAACTGTGGTTTAAGTATCCATACAACCATTCTGTTTTCCACTTTCAGTTCAGTATTCAGCAATTTACATGATATATTCCACAATTTATTATAAAATAGGCTTTGTGTTCTTAGATGATTTGCCCAACTACAGACTAACATGAGTGTTCTGAACATGTTTAAGGTAGGCTAGGCTAAGCTGTGATGTTGGGTAGGTTAGGAGTATTAAATGCATTTTTGACTTAATAATATTTTCAACTTATGATGGATTTATCAGGACAGGACCTAATCCCATGCTAAGGAGCATCTGTACCTGGAAATGCTTAGAAGGTAATGTGCACTTCTGCCCACATGGTTTACATTTGCAAGAAAGTACATTAGCCATGCTTGGAGAAAACGTGATTCTTTTAATTTCTGCCACTTAAGTAAGGGTGCTTTTGGGTCACAGGAGAAGGAAAAACTAAGATAGGAGTGGGGTTGTCCCGGCCTCTTGCGTTTTTGGAGCAAATAGTAGACAGGTGTGTGATTAATTGTCTTTTTGAACAAAAAAAGGAGATAAATCCCTTTCCCCATAGACTCCCCTGATACGGTTCTGGCTTATTAGAGCCTATTTATTGGTACCTCTCAGATGCTGTGTATGCCTTACCTGATGTTGAGGCTTTTATCTTGGCAACTGATGCTTTAGGATTTTCATTTCCTTTGAACTTTTATCTGAAGCCCTTCCTAGAAAAAAGTCTTGCCATTATACTGGCTCTGTGTAGATGTTAATTCTTATTACAGTGGTAGACGCTGCTCTTCCTTGCCTCCTTTTAAGCATTGCCTAATTTCCTACACTTCTTGTCTCTAAGTGGGAGCGCAGTGGAGTGCCTCAGAGCATGGACTCTGGAGCAAGGCTGCCTGACTGTGCCACTTATTTTACCAGTAACTTAACCTACCTCCAAGGTTGGATGGAGAATACCTGAGTTAATATTTGTAAAGTGCTCAAACTGTGCCTGGTTCATAGTACGTATATGTGTCTTTTTTTTTTTCTTCAAGATAAACCATGTTGTATGTCTTGATTGTGGTAGCGGTTACATGACTATATATGTTTGTCAAAACTCACTGGAACTGTGCACTTAAAAAGGATGAATTTTACTGTATATTAATTATATCTTAATAAAGCACACCTAAATTTTTTTAAGGCTAACAAGCAAACTCTTTCATTCAATCAGCAAACTATTTATTAAGTATTACACAGCGGGATTATAAAAACATATAATTCTGGCTTGGCATGGTGTTGCATGCCTGTAATCCCAGCACTTTGGGAGGCTGAGGTAGGAGGGTCACTTGAGCTCAGTAGTTCAAGACCAGCCTGGGCAATATAGCGAGACCCTGTCTCTACAAATAATAATTTTTAAAAATTAGCTGGGCATGGTGGTTCATGCCTGTGGTTCTAGCTACTTGGGAGGCTGAGGAGGGAGGATTGCTTGAGCCCAGGTGGTCAAGGCTGTAGTGAGCTATGATCACAGCACTGCACTCCAGCCTGGGTGACAGAAGGAGACCCTGTCTCAAGAAAAATTTTTGTTTCAAAAAATACCATGCAATTCAAAGAGGCTTGCCAGTGTAGATGAGTAAACCAGTTATAACACAGGATAAATTTGCATCATGACATGGTAAGAGGTGCAGCCAAGCAGCTTATTAGTCATCTAGGCAAGAAATGCTGTAGGGACTTAGAGACAGGATTGCTTCCTGTAGTTACGAAGACTTCACCAAAGAGTGGAAACTTGAGGTGGGCCTTAGAAGATGGGTAGGATTTGGGGAGGTGAGCATTTGGGAGAGCCCACGAATACAGATACAAAGCCTAGGGGTGGAAATGCATGTGGAGAGTTTAGGCAACCATGAGAGAGCTGGTTGGATCAAAGTGGATTCTCTCCCACTGTGTAAGGGGCAGCTTTGCCTTCTGGTCTAACATAGCCTTTTTTCTTCATCTGTAGAAAGGTCCCCCTTCTGGGAAAGACCGAGTGAAGAAAGGTGGATCCTACATGTGCCATAGGGTAAGTCATGTCACTAAACTGTTTTGCCGTTCTTGTTCTGATAGCAGTTTTATGGATCCATTGTAAATGATAGCCCCAAATGTCTCATTCACTTCTGCAAATGCCTACCTAACCCCACTGAAACCAGAAAAAAAGGAGGACAGTCATCTCAAATTTGGTTACAAGCATGGAGAAAAGTAACACAAGTAACAAAGGTTGTGAATGACCTATTGTCAACCAAATTTCATCTATTGAATCTTGCCCCTTTGAGAGACCTTTGTTGTCCCACGAACTGCACAGGGGTGGGTGTATATAACTTTTCCAGCATGTAAGTCTGAAAGCACACCCTTAATTTATTTGAGAATCCTGTACATTTCTGGATTTTCTGTTGAGATTCAGGTGAGAGTTATGTATGGAGGGCAGATTGTGATATACTGAAATGGAAGCATCCCGTGTTCTAGGTACAAAGTGTGCCTTGTGAAATAAGCATCATTCCCAGAGAGTGTTTCTTCTCTT
Organism: Homo sapiens; assembly: GCF_000001405.40. Taxonomy (NCBI): domain Eukaryota; kingdom Metazoa; phylum Chordata; class Mammalia; order Primates; family Hominidae; genus Homo; species Homo sapiens. The sequence goes on along the minus strand of NC_000003.12, from coordinate 4,375,834 downwards.
TGGGCTATGATTTTAGTGTCTGAGCTGGCTTTCTTCATCAGTTAGAGTGACTTGGTGTTTCCTAAATAACCTTTATAAGGAATTTGGAAATAGAATACCATCCCTTCCCTTTTTTCTTTGAGTCATATATTTTTCACGTCTCCTGAACTCCAGCTTTCTATCCCTGTGCAGAGATGGCATTTTGCAGATTGTTATTGCCTCAAAGCTTCCCCTAGGAATTTATTCAGTCCAGGTGGTTAGAGACTTAAAACCACCTATAATGGCTCCAAATTAAGTTACTAATTTGATAATGATGGCATTATCAAATTTTGTCTTAAACAGTGGTTCTCAAACTTTATTCCACATTGTAATCATCTGGGATCTATATAAAATACTGATGTCTGGCTCCTCACTCACCCCCATTCTGATTTGATTTTTCTTCAGTGTGAGCTGGGCATTGCATTTTTTAAAGCTCTCCAGGTGATGAAAACATACAGCCAAGTTCGGGAATCACTAGCCTAAAGCAAATCTCTCTAGATTTTATGTATATATGTGAGTTTGTATGTATGTGTATCTTCTGTATTTCTTAGAATTTTTAATCCAGTGATTCAGGTTGAAGTTCATAGAGCAGAGCTCAATTGATGCTTTAGACCTACATTGGTAATAAGATGTAGACCAATTTATTTTCATGAAATCTTTTTTTTTTTTTTTTTTTTTTTTTGAGACAGAGTCTCACTCTTCACCCAGACTGAGGTGCAGTGGCACAATCACAGCTCACTACAGCCCCGACCTCCTGGGCTCAAGCGATCCTCCCATCTCAGCCTCCTAAGTAACTTGGCTAATTTTTAAATTTTTTTTAGAGATGGGGTCTTGCCATGTTGCCTAGGCTGGTCTTGAACATTTGGGCTCAGGAAATTCTTCCTGCCTTTGCTTCCCAAAGTGTTGGGATTACAGGCATCAGCCACTGTGCCCGGCCTAAAATCCTAGTTTTAATTTTAAATTAAAAGCATTGTCCCAGGTCTTCCCAATATATTTACATGTTCACGTATACATCAGAGTCTTTAATCCCAGATTGCTTCTCTATTTGAAGTTATTGCTACAAATGTACCTGGATCTTCTTGCCAGGAAACCAGACTTCCATGGAAAACAGGTGAATCTCTCTTTGTACAGTAGTATCTCAAAATCCTAATTGTCACCAGTTATGTCTCTGGCATATGGCACTTTTCTAAATTCAGAATCCATTTACTTTCTAAGTAATTGAGGACCAGAAGATTTTTCATCAAGAATAAATGGGGTAACAGAAGCTTGTAAAAAACATTTTAAGCAAGTAAAGGACATTAACTGTCCTAATTCCATGCGTATGAATGTATCTACTTTCATGTTTTATAACTTTTAGCTTATTTGTAATCTACATTTTTATAAGCTTCCCAGTAGATTCTTTAAAAATATCTTTTAAACTCCTACATACTTTATTAAGTACACTTACATGGTACTGATTTTTTATGTTCATCTTGAGTCTTGCAACCTTGCAAAACTCATTTATTAGTTCTAGTAATGTTTTTGTAAATTGTATCATATTTTCTACATAGCTGATCATATGATCTGTGAATATCGACAGTTCTTCCTTTTTAATCTAGATCCCTTTTATAACTTTTTCTTGCTGTATGTCATTGGCTAGAACCTTCAGTATAGGGTTGAATAGGAATGGTAAGAGTAGACCTTCATACCTCATTCTTGATCTTAGGGAATAAACATTCAGTTTTTCAAAATTGGATATGTATTAGCAATAGCTTTTTCATAGATGCATGCCCTTTACAGCTTGAGAAAGTTTTTTTCCATTGCTAATTTTTTAGAGTTTTTTATCAGCAATGGATGTAGATTTTGCTGGGAGCTTTTTCTGCATCTATTGAGATGATAATATGATTTTGCTTTTTCTATCTGTTCATATGGTGAATTACATTGATTTTCAAATATTAAGCTATCCTTGCATTCCTGGGATATGTATCATTCCACTTAGTCATGATGTATTATCTTTTTTATACATTTTTGGATTTGATTTGCAAAAATTATGAGTATTTTTGAATCTAGTTTATTCTGTGTTTTCTTGTAATGTCTTTATCTGATTTTGGTTTCAGGGTATTGCTGACTTCATAGATTGAGTTGTTAAATATTAACTTATTTTAAATTTTTTTGCAAGAGTTTATGTAGAATTAGTGTTATTATTGAAATGTTTGATAGGATTCCTTGGTGAATGCATTTGGGCCGAGAGTTTTAACTATTAATTAATTAATTTAGAGACAGGGTCGAATTTCTGAACTCAAGCAATTGTCCTGCCTCAGCCTCCTGAGTGGCTGGGACTACAGGTGTGAGCCAGTATGCCCATTTTTTTTTTCTTTTACTGTAGGCCTAATTTTTTAAATAGATGTAGGACTATACAGCTTATCTGCTTCTTCTTGAGTACATTCTAGTAGTTTGTATCTTTTAAGGAATTTGTCCATTTCATTTGAGTTATTGTATTTATTGGCATAATCTCTGCCTTTCATTGGGTGTTTAGACCATTTATTTTTAATGTGGTTTTTAATATGGTTGGGTTGAAATGTGCCATCTTGATTTTTTTTCTCTTTGTCTCACCTGTTGTTGTTCTCTGTTTGTCTTCTTTTCGATTACATACTTTTTATCACCCCATTTTCTCTCCTTATGCTTATTAGTTGTAACTCTATGTTTTATAATCTTAGTGGTTGATTTAAAGTCTATATTATGCATTTTTATCTTTTCTTAGCTTACTTGAAGGATTTGTTTTAATTTAGTCAGGTTCCATGTGATGGGGATAACATTTTAGAAGAGGAGAATAGCAGATTGACAGAACTGAGTGGGATCCACAGGATTTTCCATAGAAAAATGGCACTTCCAGGATCTTGGTCAAATGAATTGTTTATTAGGTTGGTCTTTATCATCAGTCTGGTTATATCTGTAAGGTTAGGAAAATAGCATAGTGTCGGTTGTGAATTATTTTCAGAGTGCTTAGCCTTTCCAGTAGATGAAGAGTAACAGCTTTTACTAAATTATTGAGATGTGGATTAGGGAATTACATCTGGATTGGAGTTCTATATCTGTTTCTTGCCAGGTATGTGACCTTGGGCAAATTACTTAATCTTTCTAAGCCTCAGTTTTTACATTTGTAACATAATATAATTGTACCCATTATAAGGTTCTGATGAGGAGTAAATGAACCAACATATATAAGTTCTTGGTACAGTGCTTAGCTTATGGTAAAGGCTCAGTAAAAGTTAGTTGCTCCTATCAGCATCATCTTTATTATAATTAGATTATTTCCCCTCTTCTCTTTTGAAGAAGGAACCAACTAATAAACTCCCAACTAGACAGGCAAAAGCAATGTTCATGGCATAGGTGAAAATCAATAAAAGGAAAAAAATCAATAAAAAGAAAGAATAATGTTATAATTCATTTTTTAAAAAATTTTCTTTTTTAGATGATGACTTATTTTTGATCATGGGCCAACACCAGTTTGCCTGGCTAAAGTAAATTCTTTTTTTTGAGACAGAATCTTACTCTGTGACCCAGGCTGGAGTGCAGTGACATGATCTAGGCTCACTGCAATGTCCGCCTCCCAGGTTCAAGCATTTCTCCTGCCTCAGCTTCCTGAGTAGCCGGGATTACAGGCTTGTGCCACCACGCCCAGCTAATTTTTGTGTAGAGATGGGGTTTCACCAAATTGGCCAGGCTGGTCTCGAACTCCTGACCTTAAGTGATCCTCCCGCCTTGGCCTCCCAAAGTGCTGAGATAACAGACATGAGCCACCATGCCCGGCCTGCCTGGCTAAAGTAAATTCTGATGATCATTCATAATTTTTTGAAAATCTATCCAAAGTATAGCTTCAATAAGGAGATGGGGGCACAGAAAGAAAAACTATGAGGCAACATGTCATCTGGTTAAGGGTGCAGACTTTGGAATCAGATTGAATAGGCTAGAACCTTGGATCCACCATTTATAAACCATGTGACCTTAGGCACACTATTAACATCTGTGTGCCTCAATTTTTCCTCATGTATACAGTGCAGATACTAATGATGCCTATCTCATAGGATTGCTGAGAGGATTAAGTGAATTAATACGTAGTAATACAGTTCACATAGTAAGTACTCAAGAAATACTCATTGTTGTTGATGTTGTTAGATTAATCCCTCTGGGTCTTTAGCTCAGCCTACAACATTAAGGAAATCCTCACCATCCTACCAAGATGAAGAGCAAAAGGAGTTGGTCTAGTGTTAGTGGCAAGAGCAACGGACGGGAAATTGAGACCTCTGTTCTGTTGTGGCATTCTCTATAATGATTTCGTTTAACATGAGTTACAATTATCTTTAAAATGCCCTTTGTACCAAAAAGTCTCCCTCTCATAAAAACCATATTGCTGCTCCCCTTTACTTTGAAGCCCCAAGGCTGGTAAGTCATTATCTTAAATGGATTGTTCCCAAGTCCAGGATCTCATTCTTAGCACAGACATGGAGATCAATTTCACACAGTAATTAGCCATCTTAATGAAATAGGACTAAAACAGGTCCTTCCCACTTTCCCTGTTCTTAATTAATAGAATGACCCATTTTTCAGCCACCTAAAGACCTCACATCCTTAAGAACCACTTTTGCTGCTAAAAATAAAGTTGGTAAAAAAGAAAGAGCAATGAGGACATTTATAATGAGGCCATTTACCTCTTTAATTATGTGCTTTATTAGTTGGAATTTAAAATAAACGACTTATTAATAAATGTTTGCTGAGTGAATGAGTGCATTTGAAATGGAATGATGTGTGAATTGACTGTTTTCTCAAGTGATGGCCCTGACCTCGCAACACTAACTTTTGTAGTGAGTCTTGCTTTTTAGGGTTTAATTCTTTATTGTCATTTTGGTTAATGGACAGTCTCAGGGATTGCTGTGATCTAATAAAGAACTAAATTTTGGTGGTGGGGAAGGGAGAGGCACTGATTTTAAACTTTTCATTATTCAAAGAAAACATTTTCATAGCATAAAATTTAGAAAATACATAGTAAAGATCAAAATGAAAATAAGATCATCATGCTTTCTAAAGAAAACAATTGATAGTATTCCAGCAAACTTTTTGTGTACTTAATTTTTGTCTTTCAAGAATGGAATTATTCTGTATATACCGGGGTCTTCAGATATGGCCCTGGGAATAATCTCTTGTATATGTCTTTTCACTATCCTGTGTCGCAGCTGTAGAATCCTCAACCCAGTGCTTTGGGCAGATCCCAACAGTTCATTTGAGTGGTTATATGCTAGGTTTTGTGGCATATGAATATCATCTTATTTTAAAATAGTTTCTGATATAATTTAAGAGATAAGTGACAGGTAGAAATATGCCATTCAACAAAAACCTAAGTCCTATGCCCTATCACCAGAGAGATTTCTTAACTTTCCCATTTATGTAGCAAATGTATATCCACATTCAGATGCTGGCAGGGCTATTACCATCTTCCTGCAGTTGAACACAAGGTTTCTAAGACCTGCTTAGAAGCTGGCTAATACCTTTGTTGTTTTAGTGAGGAAGCCAGTTACCCCAAAGACATCATTAACCACCTTTGTGCCAGTCATTACTCTTGCCTGGAATTCTCATGCTCCAGATCTTTGGGCAACTCAGCCCACATGTGATCTTCTCAGAGAGGCCTTTCCAGACCACCACCCTATCGAAAGTAGCCACCCAGTCACTCTCAGTCCTCTTTCCCTATTTTCCTTCCTGCAGAGGTGACTGCTCCTGGAAACCATCTTGAATGTATCGGTTTATTTATTGTCTGACAATTCCCTTTTGAATGTCAGCTCCCTGATAACAGCTATCTTGTTTGTCTTGTTCTGATTGTATCCGTCATACCTAAAATAGCATCTGGCATATTGTAAGCTCTCATATATTCAGTGAATAATTAAACCATGCCCTGATATGATCAGGCTCTGGCCTTGCTATCCTCTCAACTTCCCCTCTAAATCCTATAAACTAGTGTTACTCAAAGTGTGGCCCATGGGCCTGTAGCATCAGCAGCACCTAGAAGCTTGTTAGAAGTAGGTTCTTGGGCCCCATACTAGACTTCCTGAATCAGAGTTTCTGGATGTATGGCCTAGGAACATGGATTTAAGCAACCTGTATTGGCCATTCTTATGTATGCTGAGGTCCGAGGACCACTGCCATGATCATGGAAATCTCATCCACATCAATTTTTGCCTTCTAAAAAAGCGTGTACGTTTATGGGACAAGAATGACATGTCATCTGTGTAGCTCCCCCTGAACCTGATCTTTGTTGCAGTGTGGAGTTTGCTACACATGCTTGGCTGCATGGGGCCCTGGATTATCCACAGGAACTTGATTCTAGAAATACCAAAGCACTGTTGTTTCACAGCAGCCCGACGAGTAGGCCCTGCATGGAATGAGGCTTTTGCTATGTCTTCCTGCATGGTCACCTCTAGTCATTTGAGAGCTTCCATTGCATGCAGATCACACATAGTAGGAGATGCCATCAATTTATCAATTATTTCAAGCACACTTTAAATTCATCTTCCTTTTGTCTACCTGAGAATTGCTAATGTTATATTATTCACTGACCACAAGGAAAATGAGAAAATTGGTTGCTATCATTTCACTATCTATAGAAGACAAAGCACTGTCTTTATTTTTACAGTAGAAGTGCTCTAAAGAATTTCTGTGTCAACTTGAGATACTTTTCACAAAGACAAGAAGCATTTTACTTTTCTGAGAGAAAAGAGAATAATTTAAAAAAAAAAAAAAACCTTTTGCATGCCAACTTATCTTCCCCCTGAGTCCAAATTATCGCTTCTGCACAGATTCTAAAGTTATTCCACATGTTGCTTTGTGAAACTTCTTTAACCAGTTTGCAGGGACTTGAGCTGTACTGGGCCAACTCAGAGTTTATGCTCATGGCACACAGGATGACTAGTTTATTTTTATTCTCCGTTTTTTTGGATCGGAGAACAATCCTAGGGCACAAGAGTTTCAAGCGTGGTTATTTTTGGCATGTGGAGGCTTTTGAAGTAATCTGTGGTTAATCACTGAATACCTGCTAGGTAGTCAGGGATATGTGCGTTAGGCTCTCTTATGTTTATGCAAGTGTACAAGTGCATGCAGGGCTTGTGTATTGGGCAGTGGGAAAGAAGACATGAGTCGTGATACTCTTCCATGGTGTATATGTGCCACATTTTCTTAATCCAGTCTGTCATGGTTGGACATTTGGGTTGGTTCCAAGTCTTTGCTATTGTGAGTAGTGCCGCAATAAACATACGTGTGCATGTGTCTTTATAGCAGCATGATTTATAGTCCTTTGGGTATATACCCAGTAATGGGATGGCTGGGTCAAATGGTATTTCTAGTTCTAGATCCCTGAGGAATCGCCACACTGACTTCCACAATGGTTGAACTAGTTTACAGTCCCACCAACAGTGCAAAAGTGTCTCTATTTCTCCACATCCTCTCCAGCACCTGTTGTTTCCTGACTTTTTAATGATTGCCATTCTAACTGGTGTGAGATGATATCTCATTGTGGTTTTGATTTGCATTTCTCTGATGGCCAGTGATGGTGAGCATTTTTTCATGTGTCTTTTGGCTGCACAAATGTCTTCTTCTGAGAAGTGTCTGTTCATGTCCTTCGCCCACTTTTTCATGGGGTTGTTTGTTTTTTTCTTGTAAATTTGTTAGACTTCATTGTAGATTCTAAATATTAGCCCTTTGTCAGATGAGTAGGTTGCGAAAATTTTCTCCCATTTTGTAGGTTGCCTGTTCACTCTGATGGTAGTTTCTTTTGCTGTGCAGAAGCTCTTTAGTTTAATTAGATCCCATTTGTCAATTTTGGCTTTTGTTGCCATTACTTTTGGTGTTTTAGACATGAAGTCCTTGCCCATGCCTATGTCCTGAATGGTAATGCCTAGGTTTTCTTCTAGAGTTTTTATGGCTTTAGGTCTAACGTTTAAGTCTTTAATCCATCTTGAATTAATTTTTGTATAAGGTGTAAGGAAGGGATCCAGTTTCAGCTTTCTACATATGGCTAGCCAGGTTTCCCAGCACCATTTATTAAATAGGGAATCCTTTCCCCATTGCTTGTTTTTGTCAGGTTTGTCAAAGATCAGACAGTTGTAGACATGCGGCGTTATTTCTGAGGGCTCTGTTCTGTTCCATTGATCTATATCTCTGTTTTGGTACCAGTACCATGTTGTTTTGGTTACTGTAGCCTTGTAGTATAGTTTGAAGTCAGGTAGTGTGATGCCTCCAGCTTTGTTCTTTTGGCTTAGGATTGACTTGGTGATGCGGGCTCTTTTTTAGTTCCATATGAACTTTAAAGTAGTTTTTTCCAATTCTGTGAAGAAAGTCATTGGTAGCTTGATGGGGATGGCATTGAATCTATAAATTACCTTGGGCAGTATAACCTAAGCAGCTGGGAAGCTCGAAATGGGTGGAGCCCACCACAGCTCAAGGAGGCCTGGCTGCCTCTGTAGGCTCCACCTCTGGGGGCAGGGCACAGACAAACAAAAAGATAGCAGTAACCTCTGCAGACTTAAATGTCCCTGTCTGACAGCTTTGAAGAGAGCAGTGGTTCTCCCAGCACGCAGCTGGAGATCTGAGAATGGGCAGACTGCCTCCTCAAGTGGGTCCCTGACCCCTGACCCCCGAGCAGCCTAACTGTGAGGCACCCCCCCAGTAGGGGCAGACTGACACCTCACACGGCCGGGTACTCCTCTGAGACAAAACTTCCAGAGGAACAATCAGACAGCAGCATTCGCGGTTCACAAAAATCTGCTGTTCTGCAGCCACCGCCGCTGACACCCAGGCAAACAGGGTCTGGAGTGGACCTCTAGCAAACTCCAACAGACCTGCAGCTGAGGGTCCTGTCTGTTAGAAGGAAAACTAACAAACAGAAAGGACGTCCACACCAAAAACCCATCTGTACATCACCATCATCAAACACCAAAAGTAGATAAAACCCCAAAGATGGGGAAAAAACAGAGCAGAAAAACTGGAAACTCTTAAAAAGCAGAGCGCCTCTCCTCCTCCAAAGGAACGCAGTTCCTCACCAGCAATGGAACAAAGCTGGATGGAGAATGACTTTGACGAGTTGAGAGAAGAAGGCTTCAGACGATTGAACTACTCCGAGCTACAGGAGGAAATTCAAACCAAAGGCAAAGAAGTTAAAAACTTTGAAAAAAATTTAGACGAATGTATAACTAGAATAACCAATACAGAGAAGTGCATAAAGGAGCTGATGGAGCTGAAAGCCAAGGCTCGAGAACTACGTGAAGAATACAAAAGCCTCAGGAGTCGATGCAATCAACTGGAAGAAAGGGTATCAGTGATGGAAGATGAAATGAATGAAATGAAGCGAGAAGGGAAGTTTAGAGAAAAAAGAATAAAAAGAAATGAACAAAGCCTCCAAGAAATATGGGACTATGTGAAAAGACCAAATCTACGTCTGATGGGTGTACCTGAAAGTGACGGGGAGAATGGAACCAAGTTGGAAACACTCTGCAGGTTATTATCCAGGAGAACTTCCCCAATCTAACAAGGCAGGCCAACATTCAGATTCAGGAAATACAGAGAACACCACAAAGATACTCCTCGAGAAGAGCAACTCCAAGACACATAATTATCAGATTCACCAAAGTTGAAATGAAGGAAAAAATGCTAAGGGCAGCCAGAGAGAAAGGTCGGGTTACCCACGAAGGGAAGCCCATCAGACTAACAGCGGATCTCTCGGCAGAAACTCTACAAGCCAGAAGAGAGTGGGGGCCAATATTCAACATTCTTAAAGAAAAGAATTTTCAACCCAGAATTTCATATCCAGCCAAACTAAGCTTCATAAGTGAAGGAGAAATAAGATACTTTACAGACAAGCAAATGCTGAGAGATTTTGTTGCTACCAGGCCTGCCCTAAAAGAGCTCCTGAAGGAAACACTAAATATGGAAAGGAACAACCGGTACCAGCCACTGCAAAATCATGCCAAATTGTAAAGACCATCGAGACTAGGAAGAAACTGCATCAACTAACGAGCAAAATCACCAGCTAACATCATAATGACAGGATCAAATTCACACATAACAATATTAACTTTAAATGTAAATGGACTAAATGCTCCAATTAAAAGACACAGACTGGCAAATTGGATAAAGAGTCAAGACCCATCAGTGTGCTGTATTCAGGAAACCCATCTCACGTGCAGAGACACACATAGGCTCAAAATAAAAGGATGGAGGAAGATCTACCAAGCAAACGGAAAACAAAAAAAGGCAGGGGTTGCAATCCTAGTCTCTGATAAAACAGACTTTAAACCAACAAAGATCAAAAGAGACAAAGAAGGCCATTACATAATGATAAAGGGATCAATTCAACAACAAGAGCTAACTATCCTAAATATATATGCACCCAATACAGAAGCACCCAGATTCATAAAGCAAATCCTGAGTGACCTACAAAGAGACTTAGACTCCCACACAATAATAATGGGAGACTTTAACACCCCACTGTCAACATTAGACAGATCAACGAGACAGAAAGTTAACAAGGATATCCAGGAATTGAACTCAGCTCTGCACCAAGCAGACCTAATAGACATCTACAGAACTCTCCACCCCAAATCAACAGAATATACATTTTTTTCAGCACCACACCACACCTATTCCAAAATTGACCACATAGTTGGAAGTAAAGCTCTCCTCAGCAAATGTAAAAGAACAGAAATTATAACAAACTGTCTCTCAGACCACAGTGCAATCAAACTAGAACTCAGGATTAAGAAACTCACTCAAAACCGCTCAACTACATGGAAACTGAACAAAAATGACTACTGGGTACATAATGAAATGAAGGCAGAAATAAAGATGTTCTTTGAAACCAACAAGAACAAAGACACAACATACCAGAATCTCTGGGACACATTCAAAGCAGTGTGTAGAGGGAAATTTATAGCACTAAATGCCCACAAGAGAAAGCAGGAAAGATCCAAAATTGATACCCTAACATCACAATTAAAAGAACCAGAAAAGCAAGAGCAAACACATTCAAAAGCTAGCAGAAGGCAAGAAATAACTAAAATCAGAGCAGAACTGAAGGAAATAGAGACACAAAAAACCCTTCAAAAAATTAATGAATCCAGGAGCTGGTTTTTTGAAAGGATCAACAAAATTGATAGACCGCTAGCAAGACTAATAAAGAAGAAAAGAGAGAAGAATCAAATAGACCCAATAAAAAATGATAAAGGGGATATCACCACCGATCCCACAGAAATACAAACTACCATCAGAGAATACTACAAACACCTCTACACAAATAAACTAGAAAATCTAGAAGAAATGGATAAATTCCTCGACACATACACTCTCCCAAGACTAAACCAGGAAGAAGTTGAATCTCTGAATAGACCAATAACAGGCTCTGAAATTGTGGCAATAATCAATAGCTTACCAACCAAAAAGAGTCCAGGACCAGATGGATTCACAGCCGAATTCTACCACAGGTACAAGGAGGAACTGGTACCATTCCTTCTGAAACTATTCCAATCAATAGAAAAAGAGGGAATCCTCCCTAACTCATTTGATGAGGCCAGCATCATCCTGATACCAAAGCCGGGCAGAGACTCAACCAAGAAAGAGAATTTTAGACCAATATCCTTGATGAACATTGATGCAAAAATCCTCAATAAAATACTGGCAAACCGAATCCAGCAGCACATCAAAAAGCTTATCCACCATGATCAAGTGGGCTTCATCCCTGGGATGCAAGTCTGGTTCAATATACGCAAATGAATAAATGTAATCCAGCATATAAACAGAACCAAAGACAAAAACCACATGATTATCTCAATAGATGCAGAAAAGGCCTTTGACACAATTCAACAACCCTTCATGCTAAAAACTCTCAATAAATTAGGTATTGATGGGATGTATCTCAAAATAATAAGAGCTATCTATGACAGACCCACAGCCAATATCACACTGAATGGGCAAAAACTGGAAGCATTCCCTTTGAAAACTGGCACAAGACAGGGATGCCCTCTCTCACCACTCCTATTCAACATAGTGTTGGAAGTTCTGGCCAGGGCGATTAGGCAGGAGAAGGAAATAAAGGGTATTCAATTAGGAAAAGAGGAAGTCAAATTGTCCCTGTTTGCAGATGACATGATTGTATATCTAGAAAACCCCATTGTGTCAGCCCAAAGTCTCCTTAAGCTGATAAGCAACTTCAGCAACGTCTCAGGATACGAAATCAATGTACAAAAATCACAAGCAATCTTATACACCAATAACAGACAAACAGAGAGCCAAATCATGAGTGAACTCCCATTCACAATTACTTCAAAGAGAATAAAATACCTAGGAATCCACCTTACAAGGGACGTGAAGGACCTCTTCAAGGAGAACTACAAACCACTGCTCAATGAAATAAAAGAGGATACAAAGAAATGGAAGAGCAATGTATTTTTAAAAAGCAATGTTGTCCCACAGCCTTTCCTATGTTTGATGTTCCTAGACTTGTTGTTTAATTTTTTGCCGATCTACTGGCATTAAATGATATCATAAATATGATTTAGATAATAAATAATATCATAAATATTATTTAGGTATTAAATGGTGTCTTAGTGTTGTTCTTAGTATTTTTTCAGTGGCCATCTATCACTTATTACTTGGTTTAATTTCAAAAATTAATATATATTCTTATTGTATTGGAATACTGAATAGGTTTCATATAGGAAACATGAAACTCAGATTGCTTGAGGGATAACTACTGTGCACATTGTGGTGCATTCGGAATCTTCCAGTCTTTTCTTCTTGGCACATGTAGTTATCTACACTGTGGTCATACCACATATACACCTTTATATTCTGCCTTTTTCATTTTAACTGTTTTTTTTTCTTTTTTTGGACACAAGATCTTGCTCTGTCACCCAGGCTTTAGTACAGTGGCTCAGTGATGGTGTACTGCAGCCTCAAACACCCAGGCTCAAGAGATCTTCCCACTTCAACCTCTAGAGTAGCTGTGACTACAAGTGCACACCACCATGCTCAGCTAATTTTTTGTAGAGATGGGATCTTGCTGTGTTGCCCAGGCTGGCCTCGAGCTCCTGGCCTCAAACAGTTCTCCCATTTCAGCCTCCCAAAATGTTGGGATTACAGGTGTGAGCCAGTGCGCCTGGCCTCATTTAACATTTTATCATGAAAACTTCCTGTGTCATTAAATACTATGTAAAGACATGACTTTCAATGGCTGCTTACTTTTCTATTATATGGATGTGCCTAAACTTAGGCAATCATTGGTTGTTACATTTTTCTTTTTTGCTGTTATATCTAATGCTGAACATCTTTGTACTATATCCGTGTTACATTTATAAGGTGAAGGACGTTGGAAAATATGTGGTTAGTTCTTGAATGTGCTGCCCTTTTTAAAGCATACATGTTAAGTATCCATACAGGCAGGGTTGTGGGGAAGCACTGTCTACAGCCGGTGCAATATGCATCTGATGGGTTAGAGCCTTCAGCTGAGAGTCCCAGTAGCACTTACCTTGCTCTTTCTCTCTACACAGTCTTATTGTTACAGGTATCGCTGTGCTGCTCGGAGCCAGAACACACCTGATAGCTCTGCTTCGAATCTGGGATTCCGCTGTGCAGCCGACCGCCTGCCCACTATGGACTGACAACCAAGGAAAGTCTTCCCCAGTCCAAGGAGCAGTCGTGTCTGACCTACATTGGGCTTTTCTCAGAACTTTGAACGATCCCATGCAAAGAATTCCCACCCTGAGGTGGGTTACATACCTGCCCAATGGCCAAAGGAACCGCCTTGTGAGACCAAATTGCTGACCTGGGTCAGTGCATGTGCTTTATGGTGTGGTGCATCTTTGGAGATCATCACCATATTTTACTTTTGAGAGTCTTTAAAGAGGAAGGGGAGTGGAGGGAACCCTGAGCTAGGCTTCAGGAGGCCCGCGTCCTACGCAGGCTCTGCCACAGGGGTTAGACCCCAGGTCCGACGCTTGACCTTCCTGGGCCTCAAGTGCCCTCCCCTATCAAATGAAGGGATGGACAGCATGACCTCTGGGTGTCTCTCCAACTCACCAGTTCTAAAAAGGGTATCAGATTCTATTGTGACTTCATAGTGAGAATTTATTATAGATTATTTTTTAGCTATTTTTTCCATGTGTGAACCTTGAGTGATACTAATCATGTAAAGTAAGAGTTCTCTTATGTATTATTTTCGGAAGAGGGGTGTGGTGACTCCTTTATATTCGTACTGCACTTTGTTTTTCCAAGGAAATCAGTGTCTTTTACGTTGTTATGATGAATCCCACATGGGGCCGGTGATGGTATGCTGAAGTTCAGCCGTTGAACACATAGGAATGTCTGTGGGGTGACTCTACTGTGCTTTATCTTTTAACATTAAGTGCCTTTGGTTCAGAGGGGCAGTCATAAGCTCTGTTTCCCCCTCTCCCCAAAGCCTTCAGCGAACGTGAAATGTGCGCTAAACGGGGAAACCTGTTTAATTCTAGATATAGGGAAAAAGGAACGAGGACCTTGAATGAGCTATATTCAGGGTATCCGGTATTTTGTAATAGGGAATAGGAAACCTTGTTGGCTGTGGAATATCCGATGCTTTGAATCATGCACTGTGTTGAATAAACGTATCTGCTAAATCAGGCTTCACCGTCATCAGCTTCTTTTCTCTTTCTCTTCTTTATGTTTTCTTTTAAAGAGAGGACTTTGTGATATGCGTGTTTTATTTGCTAGAAAACGTTCATGTTTGTTAGCTAATGGATAACTTTGATATGTGGGTAATTTGTGGGAATTTTTGTTCCAAAAAGCAAGGCTATTCCACCAGTAACCCTATCATGACCTTGCTGCTTGTTGCCACAGTAGATAATGCCAAGTCAAAGGCACTGCCTCACTTGTGGTCTTGTAAAACCCAGCATTTGCTTCCCATGCCGGGAAAGCACCTTGTTTTAGAACAATAGCTTTCAACCTAAGGTCCCTGTTATCAAGTTCCCATCCTGATTCCTCAGTCCTGAGAACCCCTAAGCCATTTCTTGCATGCCATTTGAAAGAAATGTTTAAATCAAATAATATTCAAAAGTGTCTAACCAACACTTGAATGCTACTTTTGTGCTTAGCCTCTTAACATGTTAAAACAATTCCCTTGAAAAGCAGTCATGTAGGCCAGGCCCAGTGGCTCACACCTGTAACCCCAGCACTTTGGGAGGCCAAGGTGGGTAGATCACTCAAGGTCAGGAGTTCGAGATTAGCTTGGCCAACATGCCAAAACCCTATTTCTACTAAAAATACAAAAAATAAAATTTAGCCAGGAGTGGTGACACTTGCCTGTAGTCCCAGCTACTCAGGACTGAGCCAGGAGAATTGCTTGAACCTGGAAGGCGGAGGTTGCAGTGAGCCGAGATCGCGCCATTGCATTCCAGCCTGGATAAGAGAACAAGACTTTGTCTCAGGAAAAAAAGAAAAAAAAAAAAAAGTCATGTAGCTGGCACGTTTAGCCACATTTGTGGTTCATTTTGTAGATATCAAATGTTTCTCTACAAACTTCCACCTACTGATGATTAATCCCAGGCAAAAAAAAAAAAAAAAAAGAACAAACATTGGTAGCAAATAATTAATGTAGGAAATAAGAGATTTTATTTTTAAAGTCACCCTACTCCAGTACAGTTTGTTTTTACTTGTTACCTCCCGCCTGCATATATTTTTTACATTGTTATATTTATGGTGTGTCTATTTTGAATTCTTGTCTTGTTAATGTTACATTGCGTAAGTATTTTTGGTGTTTTGGGTGTACTTTTTAGAATTGCATTTCTAGCAGCAGCATAATACTGGAAGGCATTTAAAATGAATTCCTAAGTTGGGGACGGTGGCTCATACCTATAATCCCAGCACTTTGGGAAGTCGAGGCGAGAGGATCGTTTGAGGCCAGGAACTTGAGACCAGCCTGGGCAACTGAGATGGTTTGACTGCGTCCCCACCCAAATCTCATCTTGAATTGTAGTTCCCATAATCCCCAGGTGTTGTGTGAGGGACCTGGTGGGAGTAATTGAATCATGGGGGCAGTAACCCCCATGCTCTTCTTGTGATAGTGAGTGAGTTCTCACTAGTTCTGATGGTTTTACAAGGGGCTTTTCCCCCATTGCTCAGCACTCACTGTCTCTCCTGCCACCCTGTGAAGAGGTGCCTTCCACCATGATTGTAAGTTTCCCCAGCCATGTGGAACTGTGAGTCAATTAAACCTCTTTTCTTTATAAATTACCCAGTCTGGGGTATTCCTTCATAGCAGTGTGAACACGGAGTTATAACAGCAACAAAGCGAGACCCCATCTTTACAAAAAATGAAAAATCAAAATTAGTTGGGCATGGCAGTGTGTACCTGTAGTCCCAGCTACTTGAGAGGCTGAGGTGGGAGGTTCGCTTGTGCCCAAGAGCTCAAGGCTGCAGTGAACTATGATTGTGCCACTGTACTCCAGCCTGGGCAACAGAGCAAGACCCTGTCTCTAAAAATGAATACAATAAAATGACATCCTAACAAGCCGTTTATTTAAGAACTACATGTCTGGGTTACCAACTAAAGAGTACCCTAAACTATGGATAGCTATAGTCACTACACTTTATAATGTTGGATAGTGACATACGAGCAGACCAGCAAAATGGGACTAAGAAAAGTTCGGTTTGAATGCCATAGGTGTAGTCCTGAAAAGCCTCACTTTCTGTGACATTGTACACAAAACATAGAGGCATACGGGGAAAATTGGGGTAGAGGCAGATTACTCAAAACTTAAGGAACTTTGTACATTGTACCACAGCACTAACAAAATAACTATCCTAACAAAACCAGTAGCCTAATTCAATCTCCACTGGCATTTGCAGCCAGCATTACAGCCAGTTGATCCTTTGCAGCCTTAAGTTTTGAGGCACCTTCTTTCTTCTCCAAGGTGTAAGACCTTCAGGACATATGCTTCTAATGGAGATCACGTCCATCAAAAGTAAAAAATCTGATCTGGGATGTAGATTTCTCCATCAGTCGACTTTAAGGTGGGCAGTGTCTTTGCAGCATCTTTATCTGCACTGTCAGTTTTTCAGAGCTTAACACACTGGAAAGTGTAGCAGTTCTTGAAGCCACTAAATAAATCACTAGATGCACTAAAAGAAGGCACTTTCATGGTATTAAATTTTTTTTTCCTGAAGGTCTTCATATATTGCTAAGGTTTTCTTTAAAATTATGAGAAGGTTTGTGCCTGCTTGTTTCAAAACATGTTTTAAACCACATGTGATCCAACATGACTTCCACATTCTACTGTCCTCCATTCTCTGTTTATTAATCACTTGTGAGCTATTTCTGCTTTAGATAAACAGTTGGAGCCGAGCAGACCGTTTGGTCGATGTGCCAGTTGCAGTATTAAAAAACTGTTTTGTTTTTTGTTGTTGTTGTTTTAGGAACTCTTACATCTAGAGTTGGTTTCGAATTCTCATTTCTTGCCCCATTGAAGCATGGAAGGAATTTGGGGTTTGTTTTCAAGTCTGCTTTAGTCCTGAATCCTGGACGGTCTTTATTTTTGGACTGTACATGACAGTTGAGTGAGAAGCAAGGTGTATCTCTTTTTTTTTAAAGCTGTAAACGTGATTAGAAGAAGGCAGGGGCTGGGGGAAATACGGGTGGTAATCAGGAGGGACCTTTTCTTCATGGAAAATGGGCTGCATAGATGCTTCAAACTACATGGTTCAACCTACAGCTTAAAATGCAGTACAGATCTGTGTCAATATGGGCATTTTCTTTTCACCCCCACCTTTTACTTTTTTTTGAACAGAGCATCTCAATTGTCGATATGACCCTTGAGGAAAAAAAGAAATGGAAGCTACCATTTATTTTAGTAAGAGTTGGTCGGGGCCAGGCACGGTGGCTCATGCCTGTAATCCCTGCACTTTGGGAGGCCGAGGCGGGTGGATCAGCTGAGGTCAGGAGTTCATGACTAACCTGGCCAACATGGTGAAACCCCGTCTCTACTAAAAATACAAAACTTAGCTGGGCTTGTTGGTGCATGCCTGTAATCCCAGCTACTTGGAGGCTGAGGCAGGAGAATCAATTGAAGTCGGGAGGCAGAGGTTGCAGTGAGCCGAGATCGCGCCATTGCACTCCAGCTTGGGTGACAAGAGCGAAACTCCGTCTCAAAATAAATAAATAAATAAATAAATAAATAAATAAATAAATAAATAAAAGTTGGTTGGGGCAGGGGTGTGGTGGGGGTGGTGGCTTCAAAGTAGTGCATGGGTAAATTCTATTTTTCAGGGACTATATTTACTGAGAATTCTATTGACAAAAAATAATGACTGAAATTTCATCCATGAGAATCCAGTATTCTAATTCTCTTGCTAATCACCTTTTCCAAATAGATCACATTTTTGTCCTCAGTATTCAAGCTGCAAACAGAATTTTTGCATGTGGTAAAATCCATATTCAGGAATATCTTGAAAAAAAAAAACCACCGTAAACATAGTGCTTTCTGGAACACCGTAAACATAGTGCTTTCTGTTCTGAAACTTCAGGAATTTTATGCAAGGGATTAGTGTGGGCTTATTTTTTCTTTTTTAAATATTTAGCATATCTGTCTCCCTCCTTCCCTCCTTCCTTCCAACAAATATTAACATTCCATTAGCAGTATTTCTCATAAGGGAGTTAACCTGCAGGCTGGCTATGGAGGAACAAAGGAAGTAAAAAATCTGATCTGGGATGTAGATTTCTCCATCAGTCGACTTTAAGGTGGGCAGTGTCTTTGCAGCATCTTTATCTGCACTCAGTTTTTCAGAGCTTAACACACTGGAAAGTGTAGCAGTTCTTGAAGCCACTAAATAAATCACTAGATTTAGGAAGTGCAGAGCCAGGCAAGACGTGTGAACAGGTGAAGCAGGCTGGGCATGAGCGAGGCCTGTTCTAAGCGTGCTGCCACTGCTCTGTTCTCGTCCATGGCTGCCCTGCAGAAATGTCAGCCTGGAGTTGCTCAGTTATCCAGTTTCCAGGACTGGCTGGATGTTTGCATTTTTGTGTGAAGCCTTCTGAGTTTTTAATGTTGGCAACCAACTAATATTTTTAAAAAGCAAACACTGTGAAGACCTAATAAATTGCTTCTGCAGCCCCGTTTCATCTGCGGGGTGCCAGTTTGCATTTGCAGCCTAGATTATGAAGAGTTGATACGTTTCACAGAGCAAAAAAAAAAAATTGTATGTATTTATTTCTGAAGAGTGACTGATCAAGTAAGTAATGTACTAGCAAGAAATGTATAAATGTAAGAAAGGGTCGTGGCTTGCCCAGGGACCTCATCTCGCCTAGAAATGCCTTATGAGACTCCTGTCCTCTGTCCCCACGCTGTCCCCACGCTGTCCCCACGGAAAACCATTTAACAGCCATCGGTGATCTCAGCAGAGCCACTGGCAGCCCATTTTCATTAACTTGAGCACTTATGGCTAAGTTTGCAGATTAGTATCAGAGAATAGCAAAATTTTAATTTATTGACTGTTGATTTAATTTTATTTGTTAAAACTTAATTCTCTGGATACAAACCACCCTAGAGCAGGCCTCATTTTTATAGGTTTTCCAGAATCAGTTGTGCTATTAGTGAAAGCTAGCCTTTGTTGTTTCAAATGCTTAAAACACCATGGAAATTATTAACTCCGAGAGCCTCAGATGGAGCTTTGGCACGTGGCCAGAACTTCCTTCCTCTGACTTGTGTTTAGACCATTAGAGCAAGAGTTTAATTAATTTTTTGATTAAGCAAAATCATTACAGACAATATTCAGGTAGGCTGTAAAATGAGAAATGCTCTTTCCTGAAACTTGCCCTATTTAGGATTGGAAAGTTCAAGGGATTAGTACCAAGGGGGCGGAATTTTTCAGCTTCAGATCAGATTCTAATCTGCCCCCAAAGTAATTGACCCCAGAGTCATCATTATGAGAAGGCTGGTTGGGCCTTTGGAATTAGTCACAGTTGTCAGGGAAGAAGGCGATTCCAGTTCAGAGTAATTGAAGGTCAGATAGGATTGCTCTCCCGCCCTTGGGTCTGGGCCATATTTGACAAACCCCTTGTTTTCTTTGCCGAGGGGAATGGAAGACTGATCAGAGCAACTCTTTTCTAGCATATTAGCTTGGACCTCAACAGGGTAATGCTAGAAGCTGTGAATGAACACTTAGGGGAAAAGTGAAACCACTAACAGACTATCAGAAGAGCAGAGATAAGGCTTTCCTTGTCAGGTGGCACTGATAAAAGGTTCACCTACATTTACTTTGGTGCCTGTGGTGAAGAGCCATTGGTTGCATTTTCAAAGTCCACAATTTTTCTCTGCTCTACACCTTTGCCAAATAAGATTTTATTTATTTACCTTTAAATGACATGGGAAGGATGTCGTTTTAATCTCTTCAATCACTGTCTTTTATTTTTATTTTTCTGAGACAGAATCTTCCTCTGTCATCCAGGCCCGAGGGCAGTGGTGCAATCATGGCTCACTACAGCCTCTACCTCCTAGGCTCAGGTGATCCCCCCCACCTCAGCCTTCTGAGTATCTGGGACTACAGGCACATGCCACCATGCCCAGCTAGTTTTTTTTATTTTTTATTTTGTAGAGATGGAGTTTTTCCATGTTGCCTAGGCTGGTCTTGAACTCCAGGGCTCAAGCAATCCACTTGCCTCAGCATCCCAAAATGCTGGGATTACAGGCGTGAGCCACTGTGTCCGGCGTCACTGTCTTTAAAAGGCAGTTTAGCATCGTGGGTAGAGAGCCTTGGGATAAGATTGTCTGGGATCATATCCCTGCACCACCACATACGTAACTGTGCCACTGTAAGGCAAGCAATGTCCTCTAAGGTAAAATGGGAATAATAATACCTACCTTGTGGGGTTGTGGGGAGATATGAGAAAATGCAAAAATAAAGTGCTTAGCACAAAGTACTTGGATAAGTGCTTCCCAGATACTGGGATAAGTGCTTCCTAGGTACTTGTTCCTGTTATAAATATGACTATTAGAAGCAAAGGAGCAGGAAGGTACTACCAGATGGTCCTGGGCAGCCATGGAGTTACAGCCACAGAGAAGAGGACAAAATGGGCTAAGAGTAAGAAAGAACAAAGAGACTGCATAGAAAAGCTTAACCTTGACCCCCATATCAAACATTAAAAAAGAAAAAAGCTGGCATGATTAATCCCCAAACTTGTGTTAGTACTTGAATTTGGAAATACCTGATCCTGCGCGGTCGGTCTGTCCCACGAAGTTCTCACGGAAGGGGAAAGTGAGACCTGGTTATCGCTACCTATATTGTGAAACTCTGGGTATTTTCTTCTTGAATCCACCTCACAAAGAACCTCTAGCAGGTTTAATACCAATGGAAAAGTCATTTGTGGACATAACAATAATTAAAAAGAAGGAAAAACGAAAAGGGAGGATAGTCTGTTGGCCCATACTGTGTTGATCTGCCTGTTCAAGGTTTTCTGTGGTGTCTTCAGTGCTAATTTGCATTTCAGTTTTAGAGAATAGTTGTTTGGGTAGTTCTGCCTCATTGTTTACATTCTTACTTCTTATTTAATCCTTCTTTGATATTACTGGTTCAGGATTTTAATTCTAACTACATAAATTACCAGACTTAAAAATCAAGATGGGGGCTGGGCAGGGTGGCTTATGCCAGTAATCCTAGCACTTTGGGAGGCCAAGGCAGGAGGATCACTTGAGGCCAGGAGTTCATGATCAGCCTAGGCAACATAGTGAGACCCCATCTCTACAAAAAATAGAAAAATTAGCTGGGCATGGTAGCATAGTCCTATAGTCCTAGCAACTCAGGAGTAAGACTGAGGTGGCAGGATTGCTTGACCTCAGGAGTTTGCTATGATCACACTGCTGCACTCCAGCCTGGGTGACAGAGCCATACCCTGTCCCTAAAAATCATAAAAATGAAAATAAACAAATGAAAATCAATATGATGTCCAAGTAGAAGGGTTCAGGATGTGGCAGACAGAACTCACTACAACCTGTTGTAGGAGGTTTTATCTAGCTCAGCAGTTCTCCAAGTGTGGTCTGGAGACCCCAGAGACCTCCAGCCCCCTTTCAGGGGGCCTGTGAGTCAAACTGATTTTCATAATAATATTAAGATGTTGTTTGTTTTTTAAATTATCTAAGAGTATACAGTAGAGTTTTCTAGAGACTGTATGATATGTAGCCTGAGGGCTCACAGAATATGAGCTTGTATATTTTTATGTTAAAAAATTAGGCCGGGCGCAGTGACTCACGCCTGTAATCCCGGCACTTTGGGAGGCCGAGGTGGGCGGATCACGAGGTCAGGAGATCGAGACCATCCTGGCTAACACGGTGAAACCCCGTCTCTACTAAAAATACAAAAAATTAGCCGGGCGTGGTGGCGGGTGCCTGTAGTCCCAGCTACTCGGGAGGCTGAGGCAGGAGAATGGTGTGAACCTGGGAGGCGGAGTTTGCAGTGAGCGGAGATCACGCCACTGTACTCCAGCCTGGGCGACAGAGTGAGATTCCGTCTCAAAAAAATTCCTAATCTTAATTTTTTCTTAAAATGTAAAGATGAGGGTCTCACTATGTTGCCCAAGCTGGTCTTAAGCTCCCGGCCTCAAGCCATCCTCCTGCCTCCAGCTCTTGAAGTTCTGGGATACAGGTGTAAGCCACCATACTTGGGTCAATCTTTTAATATGTTCAATGTCTGTAGATATATTGCACATTACAGAAATTCTGTGGGGTCCTCAATGATTTCTAGGAGTGTAAAGGGATCCTGAAACCAAAAAACCTGAGAGCTGTTCATCTAGGAGAAGAGCAAGGTCTGACAGTGACTGAATCTGTCTTGGGAGAAAATGACAGCCTTTCTCCATCTCTTCTAAGGACGGTCAAAAAGAATTGGGTTTAAATGACCTCAAGAGCAAGTTAAATTAACTGTTCAGAAGCACTTCCTTCCTGTTTGTTTTGGGAGACCTCTTAAATGTAGAGGTGAATTTGCTTCCCTGGCCCCTTCACAGACAGATGGCCCTGCCATGGGGTTGTCACCCTTTTTTTTTTTTTTTTTTTTTTTACACGCAGCAATAATGGACCTACATCCTTTGGAACATAATTCTATGCATGGACTACCCTCAACAATCCTGTAGTTGGAATCACTTTGTATAAAATGTCTCCCAAAAAGGGCTTTGCAAGTATTCGGTGCAAGTCATGGAAGATTCCCTGACTATTGCAGCCTCCACTCAAGGTGACATTGTGGTGGGACCCTGCCATGTCCCCAGCCATCTTTCCCCAGATGGTGGCTGTATTATAAAGCCATTGAGGAAGGTGAAAGTGTTACTTTCTGAAACAGCTCACTTTCTCCTGGTAGACTGTGTTCATTGTGCGGTAAATTGTGGTTGTTCTATGTCTTCTCTTGTCTTGGCTGGTTTGCTTTCCAGGGCCAGGCACTGTACTGGAGGCTTTGTGTACATGACCTAATTTAATTTGCAGAGTAGTTTTTGGGGGGGAACTGGTTATTTTTGGTTAATATTCCCAATGTGCACTTAGAAAACTAGGACTCAAGATGCCCCAGGTGACACGGTTGAGTGAGGCAGAACCAGGACTCACGCCATTTTTGTGACTTCCGTTCTCTCTACTGTATCATTGAGTCCATTGTTTTATTGTGAGTTTGGGGTGGGGAGTGGTGGACTGAAGACGGGAGATTACTGGGGCAAGGGATAGCTTGCAGGAGTAAAAAGGCAAAGAGTGAGGAGGTGGAATGGATTAGTGGTTAAGAACATGGGCTCTGGAGCCAGACTGTCTGGGCTTAAATTCTTCTCCTACCACTTACTAGATTTGTGACTTTGGACAAGTTACTAAATCTATTTCTTCTTCAGATTTTGAAAATTATGTGCAAGTACTTCTAGAAAAGGTACAATCAAGGCAGGAGGGTTAAAGCAGTCAGTATAGAGGGATCTGAGTGTAAACCTTTGACCTGCTTTAAATCCACTCCAAACTTGAAGGGTTGATGCTTAGTCACACTGCAGAAATTATTCTCAATGTGGTAATGAAGTGGCCGAGGCTACGACTACACATTTTTGAAAGACGTGTTTCCATCACACCTCCCTCCCCACCCATGTGTCACTTCTTTTTTAAAATGATGATGTTACCCTAAAGAAATGGACTTTTTTTTAGGGGCGGCGTGGAAGAAGGCTTGGGTGCATGGAACACATTCATCCACTGGAAAACATGATCAAAAGGTGCATTATCAGCTCATTCGTTCCAGGCACAAATACATAAAAAGAATGTGGCTGATAAAGACGACTGAGATCAGTGTGTGAAGAATGAAAGGAAAAGTGTGCTGCGTCATCCTCATGAAATAGCGGTCTGAAAAAGTATATGAGAGGACTTCCTTGATAAGATTAAATCCCCTGCTCTTTGTAAAACGAGGCTAAAGTTTCTTACTTGCTTCTCCTAACTCTGTGGCTGGGCTCAAAAATGGGTATTGTTTCGTTAAGACTCAGTTTCAGGGCAGCTTCCAACTCAACATTTGCTTCTGTTCCAGAACATTTGTAAAAATTTGATTCAGAGCAGGGAGGGTGGGGAGACCTCACTAATATGGGAAACATATTCACATTTGTAATTTTATATTTATTAATAAAACTATTTGCTTCAGGACATATTAGGCAAGCCAAAGGCTGAATCACATTGATGATTGCCTGTGAGCTTTTACCTTTGAACAATCTCTTGTGGAGCCAACCCTTGTACCTCCGTCTGTGGGTATGGTTTTCCGTGGAGTGGTAGCTCAAAGTGGTTTTATGTGTGATGTTCTCCCTCTAGTGGCCAGTTTGGGTTTGTTGTATTGGTTTGATTTTTTTTTTTCTTTTTTTGTTGTACAAATGATCTCTAGAGTTGGCAAACCTTTTATTTAGGGGTAGTGTGGATTTGGGAAGGCTAGGAGGTATGAGCAAAAAGGGAGGGGGTGCAAAATTTTATTCCATAGGTGAAACAGTTATTCTAAAGTGTTTGTTCCAATTGCTAGCTTTTTAAAGAGGAGGAAGAGAAGGAGATAGAGAATGTGACCTGCAGAGGTGAAGAGAGCTCTGGAATAATTTGTCATCTTTTTACTGTAATCATTTTCTGAACTTCTACTGCTTTAATTAAGAATTATCTCATTTTTAACTATTTATCAAGTTTCTTTGAAAATTTATTATTTTTTAGTTATCAGAGCTTTAATATACCTAGGTAAAATTAGAAACTCAAAGCATAAATAAAATTTGTATAGAAGCTCCTCATTCTGTGAGTTTCTGGTCTTCTCCCATATCCATGCCAATAGGTGACTACTATCAACAGTCTATCTTTCCAGACTTTTAAAAACGTATTTACAAACATTTATACTACATGTATATATGGATATATATTGAATATATATACACACAATTATACACACACAATTATACACACACAATTATACACACACACACACACACACACGCATATACACACACAGAAAGTGGTGGCTCAAGCCTGTAATCCCAGAACTTTGGGAGGCCAAGGTGGGCAGATCACGAGGTCAGGAGTTTGAAAACACCCTGAACAACATGGTGATTTTATATACTAAAAAATGGTGATTTTTTAATACTAAAAAAAATACAAAAATTAGCCTGGCGTGGTGGTGCATGCCTGTAATCCCAGCTACTCGGGAGGCTGAGGCAGGAGAATTGCTCAAACACGGAAGGCAGAGGTTGCAGTGACCCAAGATCGTGCCACTGCGCTCCAGCCTGGGCGACAGAGCGAGACTCCATCTCAGAAAAAAAAAAAAAAGAAAATAATACGTAATATATACAACTTATTTTTTTTATTTCTTCTAAAAAAAAAAACCGGATGCATGTACAGAACGTGCAGGTTTGTTACATAGGAATACATGTGCCGTGTTGGTTTGCTGCGCCTATTGACCCATCCTCCAACTTCCTTCCCTTCACCTCCTACCCCGCAACTGGCCCTGGTGTGTGTTGTTCCCCTCTCTGTGTGGATGTGTTCTCAATGTTCAACTCTCACTTGTGAGTGAGAACATGTGGTGTTTGTTTTTCTGTTCCTATGTTAGTTTGCTGAGGATAATGGCTTCCAGCTTCATCCATGTCCCTGCAAAGGGCATGATCTCATTCCTTTTTATGACTGCATAGTATTCCATGGTGTATATGTACCACATTTTCTTTATCCAGTCTACCATTGATGGGCATTTGGGTTGGTTCCATGTCTTTGCTATCGTAAATAGTGCTGCAAGGAGCATACATGTGCGTGTGTCTTTATAGTAGAATGATTTATATTCCTTTGGGTATATATCCAGGAATGGTATTGCTGAGTCAAATGGTATTTCTGGTTCTAGATCCTTGGGGAATCACCATACTGTCTTCCACAATGTTTGAACTAATTTACATTCCCACCAACAATGTAAACACGTTCCTACTTCTCCACAGCCTCACTAGCCTCTATTGTTTCTTGATTTTTTAATAATCGCCATTCTGACTGGCGTGAAATGGTATCTCATTGTATTTCTCTGATGATCAGTGATGTTGAGCTTTTTTTCATATGTCCATTGGCTGCATAAATGTCTTGAGAAGTGTTTGTTCATATCCTTCACCCACTCTTTGATAAGGTTGTTTGTTTTTTTCTTGTAAATATGTTTAAATTCCTTGTAAATTCTAGATATTAGACCTTTGTCAGATGGGTAGATTGCAAAAATTGTCTCCTGTTCTGTAGATTGCTTGTTCACTCTGATGACAGTTTCATTTGCTGTGCAGAAGATCTTTAGTTTAATTAGATTCCATTTGTCAATTTTGGCTTTTGTTGCAATTTCTTTTCACATTTTTGTCATGAAGTCTTTCCCCATGCCTATGTCCTTAATGGTATTGCCTAGGTTTTCTTCTAGGGTTTTGTTTGTTTGTTTGTTTGAGACGGCGCTTCGCTCTTGTTGCCCAGGCTGGAGTGCAATGGCGTGATCTTGGCTCACCGCAACCTCTGCCTTCTGGGTTCAAGTGATTCTCCAGCCTCAGCCTCCCGAGTAGCTGGGATTACAGGCATGTGCCACCACACCTGGCTAATTTTTTTTTTTTTTTGTATTTTTAGTAGAGACAGCATTTCTGCATGTTGGTCAGGCTGGCCTCAAACTCCTGATCTCAGGTGGTCAACCCGCCTCAGCCTCCTAAAGTGTTGGGATTACAGGCTTGAGCCACTGTGCCTGGCCTCTTCTGAGGTTTTTATGGTTTTGGGTTTTACATTTAAGTCTTTAATCCATCTTGAGTTAATGTTTGTACAAGGTGTAAGGAAGGGGTCCACTTTCAGTTTTCTGCATATGGCTAGCCAGTTTTCCCAACACCATTTATTAAATAGGGAATCCTTTCCCTATTGCTTGTTTTTGTCAGATTTGTGAAAGATCAGATGGTTGTAGATGTGTGGTATTGCTTCCGAGGTCTCTGTTCTGCTCCATTGGTCTATATGTCTGTTTTGGTACCAGTACCATGCTGTTTTGGTTACTGTAGCCTTGTAGTATAGTTTGAAGTCAGGTAGTGTGATGCCTCCAGCTTTGTTCTTTTCGCTCAGAATTGTCTTGGCTATCCAGGCTCTTTTTTGGTTCCATATGAAATTTAAAATAGTTTTTTCTAATTCTGTGAAGAATGTCAACAGTAGTTTGATGGGAATAGCATTGAATCTATAAATTACTTTGGGCACTATGGCCATTTTCATGGTATTGATTCTTCCCATCCATGAGGATGGAATGTTTTTCCATTTGTTTGTGTCCTCTCTTATTTCCTTGAGCAGTGCTTTGTAGTTGGAGAGGTCCTTCACATCTCTTGTTAGCTGTATTCCTAGGTATTTTAATCTCTTTGTAGCAATTGTGAATGGGAGTTCATTCATGATTTGGCTCTCTGTTAGCCTGTTGTTGGTGTAAACGAATGCTTGTGATTTTTGCACGTTGACTTTTGTACCCTGAGACTTTGCTGAAGTTTCTTATCAGTTCAAGAAGTTTTGGGGCTGAGATGATGCAGTTTTCTAAACGTGAAATCATGTCACCTGCAAACAGAGACAATCTGACTTCCTCTCTTCCTATTGAATACCCTTTATTTCTTTCTCTTGCCTGATTGCCATGGCCAGAACTTCCAATACAATGTTGAATAAGAGTGGTGAGAGAGGGCATCCTTGTCTTGTACTGGTTTTCAAAGGGAATGCTTCTAGCTTTTGCCCATTCAATAAGATATTGGCTGTGGGTTTGACATAAATAGCTCTTATTATTTTGAAATATGTTCCATCAATACCTAGTTTATTGAGAGTTTTTAACATGAAGGGATGTTGAATTTTATCAAAGGCCTTTTCTGCATCTATTGAGATAATCATGTGGTTTTGTCATTGGTTCTGTTTATGTAATGGATTATGTTTATTGATTTGTGTATGTTGAACCACCCTTGCATCCCAGTGATGAAGCCCACTTGATTGTGGTGGGTAAGTTGTTTGATGTGCTGCTGGATTCGGTTTGCCACTCTTTTATTGAGGATTTTTGCATTGATGTTCATGAGGGATGTTAGGCTGAAAGTTTCTTTTTTTGTAGTGTCTCTTCCCGGTTTTGGTATCAGGATGATATTGGCTTCATAAAATGAGTTAGGGAAGAGTTCCTTCTTTTCAATTGTTTGGAATAGTTTCAGAAGGAATGGTACCAGCTCCTCTTTGTATTTCTGGTAAAATCCAGCTGTGAATCTGTCTGGTCCTGGGCTTTTTTTAGTTGGTAGGCTATTAATTACTGCCTCAATTTCAGAGCTTGTTATCGGTCTATTCAGGGATTCAACTTCTTCCTGGTTTAGTTTTGGTTGGGTGTATGTGTCCAGGAATTTATCCATTTCTTCTAGATTTTCTAGTTTATTTGTGTAGAGGTGTTTATAGTATTCTCTGATGGTAGTTTGTAATTCTGAGGGATCAGTGGTGATATCCCCTTTATCATTTTTTTATTGCATCTATTTGATTCTTCTCTCTCTTCTTCTTTATTAGCCTAGCTAGCGGTCTATCTTTCTATTAATTTTTTCAAAAAACCAGCTCATGGATTTGGTGATTTTTTTTGAGGGTTTTTTTGTGTCTCTATCTCATCTTCAGTTCTTCTCTGATCTCGGTTATTTCTTGTCTTCTGCTGGTTTTTGGATTAGCTTGCTCTTGCCTCTCTAGCTCTTTTAATTGTGATGTTAGGGTATCGATTTGAGATCTTTCTAGCTTTCTGATGTGGGCATTTAGTGCTATAAATTTCCCTCTTAACTCTGTTTTAGCTGTGTCCCAGAGATTCTGGTACATTGTCTCTTTGTTCTCATTGGTTTCAAAGAACTTCCTGATATCTGCCTTAATTACATTATTTACCCAGGAGTCATTCAGGAACAGGTTGTTCAATTTCCATGAAATTGTGTGGTTTTGAGTGAGTTTCTTAATCCTGAGTTCTAGTTTGATTGCACTGTGGTCTGAGAGACTGTTTGTTATGATTTCAGTTCTTTTGCATTTACTGAGGAGTGTTTTACTTCCAATTATGTGGCCGATTTTAGAATAAGTGCCATGTGGCACTGAGAAGAATGTATATTCTGTTAATTTGGGGTAGAGAGTTCTGTAGATGTCTACTAGATCCACTTGATCCAGAGCTGCGTTCAAGTCCTGAATATCCTTGTTAATCTTCTGTCTTGTTGATCTGTCTAATACTGATAGTGGAGTGTTGAAGTCTCCCACTATTATTGTGTGGGAGTCTAAGTCTCTTTGTAGATCTCTAAAAATTTGTTTTATGAATCTGGGTGCTCCTGTATTGGGTGCATATACATTCAGGATAGTTAGCTCTTCTTGTTGCATTGATCCCTTTACCATTCCCTTCTTTGTCTTTTTTGGTCTTTGTTGGTTTAAAGTCTCTTTTGTCAGAGCCTAGGATTGCAACCCCTGCTTTTTTTTTGCTTTCCATTTGCTTGGTAAATTTTCCTCCATCCCTTTATTTTGAGCCTATGTGTGTCTTTGCATGTAAGATGGGTCTCCTGAATACAGCATGCTGATGGGTCTTGACTCCTTATCCAATTTGCCAGCCTGTGTCTTTTAACTGGGGTATTTAGCCCATTTATATTTAAGGTTAGTATTGTTGTGTGTGAATTTGATCCTGTCATCATGATACTATGTGGTTATTTTGTGCACTAGTTGATGCAGTTTCTTCGTAGTGTCATTGGTCTTTATAGTTTGGTGTGTTTTTGCAGTGGCTGCTACCAGTTTTTCTTTTCCATATTTAATGCTTCTTTCAGGAGCTCTTGCAGGGCAGGCCTGTTGGTAATGAAATCCCTCAGCATTTGCTTGTCTGGAAAGGATTTTATTTCTCCTTCGCTTTTGAAGCTTAGTTTGGCTGGATATGAGATTCTGGGTTGAAAATTCTTTTCTTTAAGAATGTTGAATATTGGCCCCCACTGTCTTCTGGCTTGTAGAGTTTCTGCCAAGAGATCCGCTGTTAGTCTGATGGGCTTCCCTTTGTGGGTAACCTGACCTTTCTGTCTGGCTGCCCTTAACATTTTTTCCTTCATTTCGACCTTGGAGAATCTGACGATTATGTGTCTTGGGTTGATCTTCTCATGGAGTATCTTAATAGTGTTCTCTGTATTTCTTGAATTTGCGTGTTGGCCTGTCTTGCTAGGTTGGGGACGTTCTCCTGGATAATACCCTGAAGTGTGTTTTCCCACTTGTTTCCATTCTCCCTGTCTCCTTCTGGTACTCCAATCAATCATAGGTTTGGTCTTTTTAAGAGGTCCCATATTTCTTGGAGGCTTTGTTCATTCCTTTTCACTCTTTTTTTCTCTATTCTTGTCTGTGTGTCTTATTTCAGTAAGGTGGTCTTCGAATTCTTATATCCTTTCTTCCGCTTGCTGTATTTGGCTATTGACACTTGTGTATGCTTCACGAAGTACTTGTGCTGTGTTTTTCAGCTCCATCAAGTTGTTTATGTTCCTCTCTAAAGTGGTTATTCTAGTTATCAATTCCTCTAACCTCTTATCAAGGTTCTTAGCTTCTTTGCATTGGGTTAGAACATGTTCCTTTAGCTCATCGTAATTTTTTATTACCCATCTTTTGAAGCCTACTGTCAATTCATCCGTCTGATCCTCCATTCAGTTCTGCGCCCTTGATGGAGAGACATTGCAATCATTTGGAGGAGAAGAGGCAAGCACTCTGGCCTTTTGGATTTTCAGCATTTTTCATTGATTCTCATCTTCGTGAGTTTGTCTAGTTTTGGTCTTTGAGGCTGCTGACCCTTGGATGGGGCTTTTGTGGGGGCCTTGTTGTTGTTGATGCTGTTGTTGTCACTTTCTGCTTGTTTTTCTTTCAAAAGTCAGGTCCCTCTTCTGTAGGGATGCTGCAATTTGGTGGGGGTTCATTTCAGGCCTTATTCGTCTGATTTGCTCCTGTGCCTGGAGATGTCACTCAAGGAGGCTGGAGAGCAGCAAAGATGGTTGCCTACTCCTTCTGGGAGCTCTGCCCTCGAGGGGCACTGACCTGATGCCAATGGGGGTTCCCCTTCCCCGTGTGGCTCTCAGGGTGGCCGCCACACCACACTGCTCTTCCTTCTCTCCGTGGGTCACGACAGCCTTCTAGTCAATTTTGATGAGAGAACCTGGATACCTTGGTTGCCGGTGAAGGATTCTCATGCTTATTATAGTTTTCTTCTATGGGAGCCTCAGAATGCTGCTGCTTCTAGTCAGTCATCTTGGCCTGTCAATCACAACTTATATATGGTTTTTATAAAACAAAATTGAGTCATACTATAAAGGCTATTCATTTAATTTATTTTGTATATCTTGTGAAAGTTCTATAAAGGTCTAGGTCTTTTTAAAATAGCTGAATTAATTTATTTAAGCATTTCCCTACTGATGAATATGTGAGTTATTCCCAGTTTTCATTGTTAAAATTTTTTCCAATAAACCTATTTGTACCTATTTATATCTTTGCCAATTTGTGCAGATATTTCTGTGAGATAAATTCCTGGGAGTCTAGCTGCTGCATCAAAACATATGGTTATTTCAAATTGTGTTGGATATTGACAGCCCTCCAAAAAGGTCGTACTAGTTTACCAATTTACATCCATGCACAGTGAATTTGCAGCATTTCAATTCTTCTTTATTCTAAAACTAATTTGAGAACAGCCAAGGTAGCTCAGCATAGGAGAAATTCTTCTGTAGGGTGCAGGCATAGTTGTCAGGGGAGAGGAATGAAATCAAACTGAGGTCTTCATCTGGCCTGAGTTCTAGAGCATTCTCTGCTTTCTGTGGCTGAAATACAACCCTGGGGTATGCTAATTGGTCCAACTGTAGATGCAAATGACTCCAGTCTGCAAAAGTGACTCACTGTTAATGAAATCAGTCTTCAGGAATAAATTGTTTGCACTCCCCTCTCTGCCCACAATCTACAGTGACCTCTTAACTGTGTGTAATTGCCATGCTCTTTTTATCCCTGTGGTTTGGTGATCTGGAGCTCCTCACTGAGTTAATAATTTTGACCTTTCCTACATACGGCTTGTTTGAGAATGCTTCTGACCTCACTTACTCGTGAAAGTTAAAAAATCGTGTTCTGTAGGCCAAGGACCTTATGTATTATCCAGTCTCATCAGCCTCCTCTCTCCCATCTCCCATCTCCATGTTATAGTCCTCAGAGCTGGTCCTTGGCCTAGGCCTGGCTTGTGTTAGAAGCAGGGGAAATTGTTCAAAATGTACCTATTTGAGCTCTCCCTCTAAAAGACTGGGTTCATAGGACTAAACTGAGACTGGAGATTATATACTTTTAAAGTCCCCATTCACATCCCCTGAGCCGTGGGGCTTTTTTATCCCTTGGGAGCTTTAGTTACATTATCTGTAAAATGAGGACTTGAATAATGTTGAGCTCTCCTGTAGGAGAAAGAGGAAAGAGGTTGCCAGGAAAATTCTGCCTGGAGACTTTAGGACAGCTGCTCCTGAGGGTCACTAGTGAGTCTACCTTGATGGTTCTGTGACTGCAGATATTGGTAGGGTGCTGCTTCTGTGTTAGGCTCTATTTCTCGAGTAATAGTAAGCCAGTTGGTGAGAAAACAAGACTGAAAAAATGCTCCCTTGACATAAACCTGTTGTAGAACTCTCACTGCACATTCTTTGAGGACCTTCCACTGTGGAATTCTGTAACTGAAGTCCAGGAGTAAAGGAAGGTCAAATGTGAAACCAGCCATATAAAACTGAGGAGTGACTTTTGTTTTATAATTATTATTGTTATTATATATTTTTTGAGACAGAGTCTCACTCTGTTGCCCAGGCTGGAGTGCAGGGGCATGATATCAGCTCACTGAAACCTTTGTCTTCTGGGTTCAAGCTATTCTTATGCCTCAGCCTCCCAAGTAGCTGGGACTACAGGCATGTGCCATCACATCTAGCTAATTTTTGTATTTTTAGTAGAGATGGGGTTTCACCATGTTGCTCAGCCTGGTCTCGAACTCCTGACCTCAAGTGATCCACCTGCCTTGGCCTCCCAAAGTGCTGAGATTACAGGTGTGAGCCACTGCGCCTGGCCAACTTTTAAAAACAACAACGATGATAACAGAAAGCTTTACCATGATGTTGAAGCACCTCAAAATAGCTGGTATGTAGTAAGTGCTTAATAAATGTTGGCTAAATGACCTGAGTTTTGACATTTGTTGGAATTGAAGACCTAAAGTTAGCCTGCTAGATTACATCTGGCATGTGCTTTCTTTGTTGGAACCTGTGGGTTTTTCAATATAAACTTGGAGCTTTAGAACTTTCATGTCCCATAATCTCTGTAAGATCCTTATAATCAAATTGGATTCGTGCTAAAGTATAAATTATTACTTATTGCCTTGTATGTCCTTAGAGTGGCACTATTTATAAACAAATAAGCTGCAACTGGAATTGGAGTATTTTCAAATGAATGACTTCTTAGTTAAAAAACACACACACACATAAATAGCGTTTGATATTTTGTGACAGTGTCTAGGTGAGCAAGGCAAGAAGTCTAATAGCTACAAAAGCCACAAGCCACTTATAGGTGTCTTGGTAAAGAAATAGGGGTTTTTAAATGTAAATAAGAAATACAAATTTTTTTAAATGGGGAGTGAATCCATTTGATCTTTGTTCAATAGCAAATGACTTATAAATGCTTGTCACACCTTAAACTATTTCAAATGACAAGTGTCAAAAAATCTCTCTTGCATGTAGCCTTGTAAGTCTCTTAAAATTCTGGAATTTTTTTAAAAAAAGATGTCTATTGGATATAACACTATTGTATTCTGGAAACAAAAAACCCTTTGTCCATTTGGCAGATTAAAAAAAAATAAAGAAAAGCTATGTATTCATTCACAGCAGAACTAAAGAAAGAGTCCTAAATCTTACAAGTTAAAGCCTGAAAATTCCTTTTAAAAAAACCAAAATGCCCTTAGTTTACCAGGGTCATTATTTTCTAAGAGCCACTCCGGCATGGTAGGAGGTATGTGAATTGTATCATGATGTCTACACTGTTTGATCATATTCTTCTTTATGCCAACTCTCCTATTTTTCTTTTTCTTTTTTTTTAATGTTGTCATCATAATGGCCAGAACTTGTGACTGAGGAGAACAAATCTGGCAAGATGCTGATGTACTTTCTGGCAATAATGCCAGCTCATGTGATGTTTTTTGTTACTTTTTGGGGGATACAGACAGTTCAGGAGAAAATGTTCTCTTAGGAGACTTTAAATTAGTTTTTGACAATCAAATCTTCAAAGATGCACTCCCTGATGGCAAAAGCTACAGCACGTATATCTCCTAACACAAAGGATATTGTGTGGAAAAGTCAATGTTTGTGTAGAAGAAGAAAAAAGAAAAAAAATTGAAGCAATTAGCAAGTTAATCTTTTTAAAACATTTGCAACTTGATACTTTCAGGAATAAAAAAACAAAAAAGTTGTAAAAGCCCTGTAGATGAGGCCCTCATATTCTACAAGCTGTTTCTCTTCCAGTGTTCAGGAAATGGCGCTTCAACACACATTCAGCTGCATGAGCAGAAACTGCAGAGTCATTCTTGCTCTCACACGATCTCTCTTCCCCGACAACTGATCCATCTCCAGGTCCTGTCACTGTTGCCTCTTAAATATCCCTTGAATCTCTCTGTTTTTCTCCATCTTCATTAGTGCAAGCTCCTCCTATTTATTAACTCTCCCCTGGACTACTAGAATCAAACTCCTAACTCCACCTGAGTCCTCTCTGGCAACATCCCTTTGCACCCCCATCGCAAGTCACTTCTCTTCACTGTAGTGAAAGTGATCTTTTTGAAATATACATGTGACCCTATCCCATGCAGCTCAGATTCCAGCAGTGGCTTTCCATTTACTTTCATGAAGACCATAAACTATTACACAGTCTGTAGAGCTCTGCATTCACAAAAGGATGCAGCTCAGGAAAAGACGACACAAATAACATGGCACCAAGCAGCAAGTGGTAAGCACAATGTGAATGGTCAGAAGTTATGTGGGTTGAGGCTTTGTGTGGGTACAGTGTGTGGTAAGTGGTTCTCAAAGTGTGGTCCCGGATTCAGCAGCATCAGCATCATCTGGAAACTTGTTTCAAATGCAGATACTCAGGCTCTACTCCAGATCTACTACATTAACAACTCCGGAGTTGGGGCCAAGCAGTGCGTGTGTGTGTTTGTGTGTGTGTGTGTGTGTGCACATTGGTGCCTGTGTGTGTGTGTTTTGAGACAAGGTCTCACTCTGTTGCCCAGGCTGGAGTGCAGTGGTGCGATCTTGGCTCACTACAACCTCGACCTTCTGGCTTCAAGTGATCCTCCTGGTCTCAGCCTCCCGAGTGGCTGGGACCACAGGTATGTGTAACCACACCCGGTTAATTTTTGCATTTTTTGTAGAGGTGGGGTTTTGCCATGTTGCCTAGGCTGTTCTTGAACTCCTGGGCTGAAGCAATCTGCCTGCCTCGGCCTCCCAAAGTGTTAGGATTACAGGCGTGAGCCACCATGCCTGGCCCAGTCAGTGTTTCAAAAAGCCTCTGGGTGATTTGGATGGGTGCAAAAATGTGGGAATATTTGTACAGCAGTTGTTGTGTGCATTGCCCAGATGTCCTAGAAGGACTGAAAGATGTATTCATCTAATTGCTGAGAGTGCTATCAGCCTTCCTACCCAAGACCTCTTTCCAGGGGGCAGTCTACATCCACTGACTGGTTGATGCAGAAATCTAAAGACCCTGTCCGCAGCTACAACAGACTGGTTGATGCAGAAATCTAAAGACCCTGTCCGCAGCTACAACATGGAGCCACCCTAAAAAGCTGCCTTGGCTTCAGAGCTACCTGCGGGTTGGCTGAGGTCTTCGTTGAGATTTCATTGCAGCCCAACTCCTCCTTTGCCCAGCCTGCTTCCTTTCCTTCCATTCCACAGGTGGGAATCCTAGCAGCAGCTCTTGATCTTCCTGTGCTCCAATTTTCCTCCCAGAGACTGCTTCCTTGGGTACCCCCTGAGCTGTGGGGCATACCTCACAAGGAAAATGGGACAAGTTGAGACTTTAAAGAGGATGGGGAAGAAGTCAATCAGTGATGAAGGGAGGGGCGGAAGGATTGGACATGGGAGGTGTCCCAAGAGAGGAAAGCAGCATGAGTGAAACATAGCCTAAGGCCCATTAGGAACAGGAGAGCCACAGAAATGGGCTACGTCACAGAATGAGGAGGGAGTAGTGGGATATTGCTGAGGAAGTAGTTTGTGGAAGGTATTAAGGTCCCCAAATAAAGAGTTTGAACTTGGTTGGAAAGTTAACGTCAGGCTCATCACACTAACATTAGTTGGCTCAGTCAGCAATACCCATTCAGCACTGGCGAGGCTCTGGTGAGCAAAGACAGACCTGGTCCCAGTCCGCCAGGATCTTACAGTCTCATAGAGTAGCTAGACATAACTCAATCACACGAATGCCAAATTTGCACACACACACTAAATTATAGGGGCTCAAAGACCCAATGAAAGACTCTGTGTACTAGGTATACATATGTACTAGGTATACCTGTGAGAGACTCTGTACTAGGTATACATATGAGACTCTACGTACTAGATATACATAGGTACTAGGTAGACCTAGTACATAGACTCTGTCATTCAAATTTTGTTTTGGTTTTTCCCTTATGAGACCATGAATTCTTTGAGAATGAAAATTGCTTTGCGTCCTGATTTCTCCAGAATGTAACAGTAGATGCTCGAAAACATTGGTTGAATGAATTATGAGCTCAGGGACTCAACTTCCCACCACTTAGCATGTACTAGATTCTTGACAAACGTTTGTGAATGAATGAATGAATTGTTTTGGTGTCAAGGTGGTTCAACCAGAACTACTTCCAAAGTGCTGATAAGGTGTCATGTTGTTCATAAAGCCACACTGACTTTATTTTAAGAACTGCTGAGAGATTTTAAGAGACCTTCCCTGTGTCAAGATGCCTTTTCTTTTTGAATGGATGACGATAGTAAATATTACTTTAAAGTATCTTTTTTTTTTTTCTTTTTAATAAAGAGACAGGGTCTCACTTTGTCTGCCAGGCTGGAGTGCATGGTGTGATTGTAGCTCCCTGCAGATTGTAGCTCCCAGAGACTGGGCTCAAGCCATCCTCCGCCTGCTTCACCTTCCTGAGTAGTGAGGATTATAGGGATGCACCACTGTGCCAAGCTCTAAAATATTCTTACTACTCAAAATAGTCAATAATTTAGTTGTCAAAATTAATTTTTGAACTAGTCAAAAATTTGGAAGCAATTTCTGCAAAGCAAGTTGGGATAGAGGGGAGGCCTGGTGTCTGTTGAAGATAAAGGATTAATCTTTGAGCTGCCCTTGATTTTTTATCCTTGAAAAAGTTGAGGATGTCTATGATTGGGGGTTTACTGGGAGGGAGGTGAGGTGATTACTGAGAGGAAAGGGAAACAAGGTTATTTTCAAGAGTTGGGTAGGAGATACAGATTGGCAAGAAAACACTTCCAAAATAAGCAACAAAAACAAACCCACTTTGTAAAACTGTTTGAGGGCAGATGAAAATTTTAATTGAAGAGATGCAATTATGTTCAATGCAGGATAGGAGAAATGGGTTTTAGATTTGTTTGAAAGCACTTTTCTGTATCCACCTACTATGCACAAATGCTTTGATGTAGTGGCAAGTTAGGAAAGAGGAGGGAAGTGGTCAAGGGATGGAGGGAGGGTAGAGTGTGGGCTGCTCAGGTAGGTACCATGGTGAGCAGAGGTTGTGGGCATGTGGGGTTGGAATTAGTGGGATTAGCAGTTTGTAACTGGCTGCCCTTATAAATCCGGGAGCATTAAATATGTCTGGACGAGAGGACTAACAAAAGTTGGCAAAGTGATACATGGTAGAGATGGTCATCCAGTAATGAAGTAATTTGTGTTTTCCCAGGGGTGTAGCAGTGAGGATGAGGCTGGGCAGCTGGCTGCAGGAAGATGAATGACAAGGGGACAGTAGGGTGATGGAGGTGATGGATAGCTGGTTGACAGCAAACAGGAAGAAACAAAAGGAGGGGGAGTGAGGGAGAGAGGGAAGGAGGGAAGGAAGTAAGGAAGGAAGGAAGGAAGAAAGGAGGGAGGGAGGGAGGGAGGGAGGGACAGAAAAGAGACAGAGAAATAGAACATATTGCTGGCTCTCTTGTTGTTTTAGCTGCCTAGTGGCTATGTAAACAAGAATCATAAGAGATGGAATATGGGAAATGCCAGCAATATCTAAAAGAGAAACCAGGACAAAGAAAATCCAGAGTGTTTTGCAAAGAAGGCAAGGGTAAGAGCATGTAGAGTTGGAATTCGTGGGATCAGCAGTTTGCAATTGGCTGCCCTTACAAATTAGGGAACATTGAATATATCTGGACCAGAGGACTAAGAAAAGTTAGCAAAGTGGTACATGGTAGAGATAGTTATTCAGTACATCAAGTAATTTGTATTTTCCCAGATTGATGAAAGTGTCTTCATAACCACAAGAATGAAAAACATGTATGAAACTATGGTTTTTATGTGACTAAAAGTTGACAGAATATCAAATGTATCTAAATTGAATTATCTTTGATCATGCCTGGGCATTCAGCTGAGCTGGTGATATTTGGATGAGTAATAAAATAATGACCTGATTAATAAATTATCATATATTTTTCCATATAATTTGTTCTTCTTGGCTTCCTTTCAGCAAAATCATAAATTGTGTTGTTATTGTAAAAGAAAAGTAGACTATCGGGACCTCAAACTCACTATGCCAAAGGGAAAGTTAAACTTGGGAATCAAGCCACCAATACTTTTTTCCTTTTGTACCCAAATAGATAACTGTAATTTCACAACCCGTGTCATAGCCTCATTTGCTCTACTCCCTCTTTTCACATGCTTACTTTATCTTATGTAAAATGTAGATTTACTGAGCACGAGACAATACACAATGGACTCTTCCACACTCCCTCTTTTCACATGTAAAATGTAGATTCAGTGAAGCTAATCAGACCCTCACAAGACTGTAACCATCTGCCTCACTGCCTACCCTTCCTCCCATCTCCTTTTTTCCCCTTTTTGCTTGCTCTTTCCCCTTTAAATACTAAAGTTCACAAAATCTCCCTTGGAAAAATCATAGGTCAAAGATGCTCCTGGGATTTGTGTTTCTTCCTGGGCACATCCTCAACCTTGGCCAAATCAACCTTGAATCGTTTGAGACCTCCCTCAGTCACTTTTTGGCTTCCGTTTTGGTAGCTACAGAGGGATTCTCCGGGTAGATTTGGCCCTTGGCCAGCAACAACTCTCCTATCAATGCCTGGTACTGGCTGGGGGTTTTTTCTGTTTTTTTTTTTTTTTTTTTTGAGTTGGAATCTCACTCAGTTGTCCAGGCTGGAGTGCAATGGCATGATCTTCAGTTCATTGCAACCTCTGCCTCCTGGATTCAAGCAATTCTCCTGCCTCAGCCTCCTGAGTAGCTGGGATTACATGTGCCCGCCACCACACTGGGCTAATTTTTGTATTTTTAGTAGAGATGGGGTTTCACCATATTGACTAGGCTGGTCTCTTGGCCAGGCTGGTCTTGTACTCCTGACCTCGTGATCTGTCCGCCTTGGCCTCCCAAAGTGCTGGGATTACAGGTGTGAGCCACTGTGCCTGGCCAGCTGGGGCTATTTTTATTTCTATGACTATTGGGATGATTTGCTGAGGTCTGGGAGCTTCTCCCTTCAGAGGTCCCTGACCTCGCCCAAATTTTCAGTTGAGATGAGGTTAATTCTGCTGCAGAACTCCTTTATGGGAGTTTAGTTTACTTTCAGCAAGGAAGATGAGTTTCCCACTTCCGTGATGGTGGAGAGTAGCCTTTAGCTTAGACCCCATCTCCAGGTAAGAGGCTGATTTGGGGATTCATTTTGGTATTTGGTAGCTGTAGGTCAAAGTTAATTGTCAGCTGGCTATCACTTCTCCTTATAATCAGAGATCTAGGCTATATGTAAATTTTAAGAGATGAGGTGAAGAGGTAGGTAGGGTGGTCTGGTCTTGTTAAGTTTGGGCATCATCTTTCATCCTGAGAGTGATGAGAAGTCATTGAAGAGTTTAAAGGTGGAAAATGCATTGTGAGGAATGGGTGGGAGGATGGCTAGGCTGCAGGCAGAGATCACTTTTTTCTGTTTTTGTTTGTTTGTTTCAGTCCATCTTTTGTTAGATTTGACCAACTTCTGGTCCCCTCTTATGTCAACTGAAATCCCTGCAGCTGCCGAAAGACAAATTTTACCTCTAAAATCCCTGGCTGGTTAAGAAAAATCAAAATTTGACTACCTGAGAGGTTTTATTTACGTAAGACTGCCTTCCCAGCCTCTCTCTCTGTGCTGTTAAAGATTTTAGTGATCTCTTATATTAAGCAATTAATGAAAAAGATAAACTGTTTTACAGGACAAAGGCTAGCCTAAAAAAGTTCTCTTGACTAAAATAGGTGCAAAAAAGTCTGACCTAAAATAGTTCTGGTAGTTAAAATTCCCATCAGGGCTTGAGTTCGTTTCCTAATCTGGGAACAACAAAGGCTACTCCACCTTGTGGCCTAATAGTTAAAATTCTGCAGTTTTACCTCCACTGCATGGGTTTGATTCCTGGTCAGGGAACCCACCCCTCTTGGTTTGATACTTGTGTGAATGTCTTTTAGGGTACCAACTTATTATTGATCCATTCCCTTTCCTTGGGAAGCTTTTGATTTCCTGTTTTCTTCTGTCTGTTTGGGGTCACACAAGGCTTTTGAGCCTTTGTGTGTGGACAGTCAGTTGAGAAGCTAAGATCCTAGAGAACATGTCCTGAAAGAAATGTGGTCTATACCCTCTTTATGGATAGTGAAATTTTCCTTCTCTGAGCTGTCTTTGGGGTGATTCTAGATCTTGTAAAAAACTGCTTGCCACCTCTTTGGAGACATCTCATGTGTCTGTGGTTGTTATAACCTTGGTTGAAACACTGGGGAAGATACCTTTGCAAAAGAAGTTCAAAAGCAAAAAAATCAACCGTTTGTCCCAGCTAAAATCTGGTAACAAAAGATCTGAAAGGATTTTTTTAGAGAGCTCTATGGTTAGAAGTCAATTTAATTAGAAGCTGATATCTAGCCTTTATGCTTTCAACACCTTTTGTTTCCTGTTTTTTGGAATTTTTTTTTTTAGTTGACTTAAACTTTTTTTTTTAAAGATGGGTCTTGCTTTGTTGCCCAGGTTAGAGTGCAGTGGCACAACCAGGGCTCACTGTAGCCATGCTCTTCTGGGCTCAAGTGATCTGCCCACCTCAGCTCCTCAGTAGCTGATACTACAGGTGTGCACCACCACATCTGGCTACTTTTTAAATATTTTTGTAGAGATGGGGTCTCACTGTATTGTTCAGGTTGGTTCTAAACTTCTGGTCTCAAGCAGTCCCCCCACCCCAGCCTCTAAAAGTGCTGGGATTACAAGTGTGAGCCACTATGCCTGGCTGGCTAAAACTTAAAAAAAAAAAAAATTATGTGCTTAGTATCTTTGTTGGCTTTCTTTAAAAAAAAATTGTTCTCCTGTTTATATTTACTCCACACTATTCCTCCTTCTTCTTTGCGATCTTCATTGCTCTGAGTCCTCATCCCATAGGATATGGGCCGATCACAAAATGGGCTGATTGGGGTTGAGTTGTCCATCAGACTTGAAGGAATGTCCTTGCAGTGAGGTGCACTGTGGAAGCATTGTACTGTCTTGTCCCATGGCTTTTGCTTCTTTTTGGGGACCCAGTATTTGGTATAAAAAATGGGATCCTTGAAATTTTGGGGGACCTGTGTTTTGCTTTCCAGCTATACCTGCTTCTCACATATTTAAATATTAGGCCCTAAAAATTGCATGCTTTCCTTTCTGTATTCACTAAATGGTTCCACCCGATGAGGCGGGAGAGTGAGTTCCCTGACACCCCCCTGAGGATGTGTAACATGGATGTGGCATGCCTGTTTGGTCACCACCGCTGCTCGAAGCCCCCTTATGGGAGGGGGAACATGCAGACAGACAGGTGCAGGAGCTGAAATGGGCATATGTTACAGTGTGCTCTTTTAGCCTTGCCATCTGTGGATGGCTTAAATGTTAACCAGCTCAGTGGACCCTCTGCCTTTCTGCAAGGGCAGAGGGCAAGTGTGACAGCTTCCTGTATCCCGAGCTCTTGTCCAGTGTCCTGGAAGAATCAGGTCACACACAAACTTGAAGGATGGTGAATGTGGGGTTTTATTAGGGTTGGAGGTGGCTCTCAGCAGGATGGATGGGGAGCTGGATAGGGGATGGAGTGTGAAGATAATCTTCCCCTGGAGTTTGGCCATCCAGTGGCCGATTCTCCCCAGCCAAACTCCTCCCAATGTTTCTTTTCTTCTCTGCTGCACTGTTCTACCATTTGTCTGCTTGTTGCCTCCTGGAGCCAGGGGTTTAGGGTTTATATGGGTACAGGATAGGCGGCATGGTGGGCCAAAAGGCAACTTTTCGAGTACTAAAACAGGAATGCCTGTTCTCACTTAGGGCCGCAGGTATCCAGGCTTGAGGGTGGGACCTTTACCAGGGAACTGCTCTCTTCTACCCAGTATTTCCCTGTCTTCTGTCTGTATCACCATGAAGCCAGTAATCTAATTAAGAAAACAAGCTAAGCCAAAATTCCAAAATACAACTTTCAGGCATTTAGCTGGCTATCTTTAAACTCCTTTGTAAAAGAAACATCTTTAAGAAAATTCCCATTTTGTAAGGGTGTCTGCCGGTATACACTAGAAACATTTACCATTGTTTTAATGTGACAAGTCATACTTTGCTTAAGGTGGTTTTCCTGGTCTCTTAATTGAACTTTTACTTACACCCTTTAAAACCCCTTTGGTTTGAGCAAATGATGTTACAAT
Source organism: Homo sapiens (assembly GCF_000001405.40). NCBI lineage: Eukaryota > Metazoa > Chordata > Mammalia > Primates > Hominidae > Homo > Homo sapiens. The sequence continues at coordinate 4,332,430 of NC_000003.12, read as the reverse complement.
ATTTAGGCCTAATGCCTTAGCTCTGTGCTTTGAGATATAAATTTTCTACCTTGTTTCACATAAGAGCTGTCCCTTTAGAAATGTAAATTTAGGGTTGCCTAGCTGACAATTGTTTAGGGCAGGAAACAGGTAATCAAGAGACTGATAGTCTAAAGTGGAGGTGAGATTTTGAGAACTGGCAAATGAAGAATCTTATAAATATATAAGATCTGCTACTGTCTATGGGTCTGTGTGTTTATACGTGTTGTGTGTATGTGATGTTTCACTACCAAAATATGTAAAAGGGCTCTAATTAATTGGCTTAAAGAAAAAAGGAAGTGCTTAAATCAAATGTGTTATCACAAAAATAGAAACTTTAATTCAAATGCCTTGTAGTTCACATGACTTTATTAATCTTTAGTAAATTAAGACAATTTAAAAATTATTGGTAAAATAAAAAAAGTCTTCAGAATTTAATTTAGACATTTTGTCTGAGTCTATTGATTAGATACTATCTCTACCAGATGTTTTAAGGCATAAAACTTGCTTCTATGATTTGTTTTGATACCTAACTTGTCTATAAACTTATGTCTTTAGATTTATTTATTTATTTAATTTTTTGGAGATGGAGTCTTGCTCTGTTACCTAGGCTAGAGTGCAGTGGCGCGATCTTGGCTCACTGCAACCTCCGCCTCTTGAGTTCACGCAATTCTCCTGCCTCAGACTCCTGAGTGGCTGGGATTACAGGTGTGTGCCACCACGCCAAGCTAATATTTTGTATTTTTAGTAGAGACAGGGTTTCACCATGTTGGCATAGTCTGGACTTGAACTCCTGACCTCAGGTGATCCACCCACTTCAGCCTCCCAAACTACTGGGATTACAGGCGTGAGCCACTGTGCCCAGCCTTTTATCTTTAGATTTAAGTTTTTAGGCTATGACTAGGCCTAGCTCCAGGCATTGTCCTTTGTTCTGGACTTTGCATCTGGTACATAATTAAAACGGCTTACCTCCAAGGTTTTTCACTAAAAATAAGAGTTACTAAAAGTTAACATTGTAATAAATGTATATAATTGAAATTACTAAATACAAGAGAAAAAATTCTCCATCGAAAGTGTATAAGGGAAGTAGGACATGTTTTTGGTTTAAGAAAAGTTATCAGAAGGCATGAAAATGTGGTTTTTGTTAAAAGGAAAGTAATTTTGCCTAGTTTAAAGGTTTTTTTTTTTTAAATTAAAGGAATAAAAAAAGGACAGATAAAACTACACAAATATAAAAAGTTGGAAAAGAAGGTAAATTTTTGTCCTAAAGTAAGATGACAGGACAAAACTGAAGGTTTAAGCAAATTGTAGAAGGTTTGTAGAAGACTGACCTTGTGAAAGGAATTGTATGTGCAGTTAAGTTGTCTAAAATTTAAAATGATTATTTACTTTTTCTATACAGTAAATATTAATATCAAAAGCACATTGATATTAGAGTCTGGGCCCTTGAATTGGAATAACAGAGTTTTACAGGAGCATTGATTTGTTCTTTAATAGAAAACTGTAAAAAGGTTATAAAAAGACTTATGGAAATCTTACTTTGTGATCAAACTGATTGAGATTGAGATGGATTTGTTGACAATGTTTTACTAAAAATTGGCTTCAGCATTAGTAATACACTAATGTAATGGTAAAATTTGCTTTTCTCTTTTAAAAAGATTTTTGTGAAATACTAAGAGATAAGAAAACATTTATCTTTTGAATGAGCTGGAAAAAAAGACAGTTGAGTGACAAATTCATCTGGCCTCATGCTGTCTGATTTGGTTTGGCTGTGTCCCCACCCAAATCTCACCTTGAATTGTAATAATCCCATGTGTCAAGGGCGGGGCCAAGTGGAGAAAACTGATTCATGGTGGCAGTTTCCCCCATACTGTTCTTGTGGCAATGAATAAGTCTCGTGAGATCTGATGGTTTTATAAATGGGAGTTCCCCTGCACAAGCTCTCTTGCCTGCCACCATGTAAGACGTGCATGGTCCTCCTTTGCCTTCAGCCATGATTGTGAGGCTTCCCCAGCCATGTGGAACTGTGAATCCATTAAACCTCTTTTTTCTGTATAAATTATGCAGTCTCAGGCATGTCTTTATTAGCAGCATGAGAACTGACTAATACAGTAAATTGGTACTGGTAGAGTGGGGTGCTGCTGTAAAGATACCCAAAAAATGTGGAAGAGACTTTGGAACTGGGTAACAGGCAGAGGTTGGAACAGTTTGGAGAGGTCAGAAGAAAGGAAGTTGTGGGAAAGTTTGGAACTTCCTAGAGACTTGTTGAATGGCTTTGACCAAAATGCTGATAGTGATATGAACAATAAAGTCCAGGCTGAGGTGGTCTCAGATGGAGATGAGGAACTTGTTGGGAACTGGAGCAAAGGTAACTCTTGTTACACATTAGCAAAGAGACTAGTGGCATTTTGACCCTGCATTAGATTTGCAGAACTTTGAACTTGAGAGAGATAATTTAGGGCATCTAGTAGAAGTAATTTCTAAGAAATACAAAGTGTTCAAGAGGTGACTTGGGTATTGTTAAAAGCATTCAGTTTTATATATTCACAAAATTATGGTTTGGAATTGCAACTATGTTTAGAAGGAAAGCAGAGTATAAAAGTTTGGAAAATTAGCAGCCTGATGATGTGATAGGAAAAAAAAAAAACATTTTCTAAGGAGAAATTCAAGCTGGTTGCAAAAATTTGCATAAGTAATGAGGAGCCAAGTGTTAATTGCCAAGACAATGGGGAAAATGTCTCCAGGGCATATCAGAAGTCCTCAGGGCAGCCCCTCCCATCAGAAACCTGGAGGCATAGGAGGGAAAAATGGTTTTGTGGGCTGGGCCCAGGGCCTTGCTGCTGTGTGCAGCCTAGAGACTTGGTGCCCTGTGTCCCAACCACTCCAGCCATGGCTAAAAGGGGCCAACATAGAGCTCAGGCCATTGTTTCAGAGGGTGCAAACCGTAAGCATTGGCAGCTTTCACGTGGTTTTGAGCCTGTGGGTACACAGAAGTCAAGAATTGAGGTTTGGGAACCTCCACCTATATTTCAGAGGATGTACGGAAATGCCTGGATGTCCAGGCAGAAGTATGCTGCAGGGGCAGAGCCCTCATGGAGAACCTCTGATAAGGCAGTGTGGAAAGGAAATGTGGGGTTGGAGCCACCACACAGAGTCCCCACTGGGGCACTGCCTAGTGGAGCTGTGAGAAGAGGGCCACCGTCCTCCAGACCCCAGAATGGTAGATCCACCAACAGCTTGCACCATGCACCTGGAAAAGCCACAGACAATACCAGCCTGTTAAAGCAGCCAGGAGAAGGGCTGTACCCTGCAAAGCCACAGAGGCAGAGATGCCCAAGACCATGTGAACCCACCTCTTGCATCAGCATGACCTGGATGTGAGACATGAAGTCAAATGAGATCATTTTGGAGCTTTAAGATTTGGCTGCCCTGCTGGATTTCAGACTTGCATGGAGCCTGTAGCCCCTTCATTTTGGCCAATCTCTCCCATTTGGAATGAGTGTATTTACCCAATGCCTGTACCCCCATTGTATCTAGGAAGTAGCTATCTTGCTTTTAATTTTACAGGCTCATAGGTGAAAGGGACTTGCCTTGTCTCAGATGAGACTTTGGATTTGGACTTTTGGGTTAATGCTGGAATGATTAAAGACTTTGGGGAACTGTTGGGAAGGCATGACTGGTTTTGAAATGTGAGGACGTGAGATTTGGTAGGGGTGAGGGGCAGAATGATATGGTTTGACTATGTCCCCACCCAAATCTCACCTTGAATTATAATAATCCCAATGTGTTAAGGGCGGGACCAAGTGGAGAAAATTGAATCATGGAGGCAGTTTCCCCCATACTGTTCTCGTGGTAGTGAACAAGTCTCATGAGATCTGATGATTTTATTTGCACAAGTTCTCTTGCCTGCCACCATGTAAGATGTGCATGCTCCTCCTTTGCCTTCAGCCATGATTGTGAGGCCTCCCCAGCCATGTGGAACTGTGAGTCCATTAAACCTCTTTTTCTTTATAAATTATTTAGTCTCAGGCATGTCTTTATTAGCAGCATGAGAACTGACTAATACGCTATCTTATTTTGATTGTATTGTTTGGGAAACTGAGTCTCCTCTCCATAAAACAGTAAAAGTTTTTGCTTAATTTATTTAATAAATATTTTTATTCATTTATTTTTTAAATTTATATTTATTTATTTTGAGACAGGGTCTTGTTGGTCACCCAGGCTGGAATGTACAGTGTCACAATCATGGCTGATCACAGCCTGAACCTACAGACTCACACAATCCTCCCACCTCAGCCTCCTAAGTACCTTGGACTACAGGCACCCGCCATCACACCCAGCTAATTTTTAATTTTTTTTTGTACAGGGAGGGCCTCACTATGTAGCACAAGCTGGTCTTGAATTCCTAGACTCGAGTGATCCTCTGACTTTGGCTTCCCAAAGTGTTGAGATTACAAGTGTGAGCTGCTGAGTGCAGTGGTTTTTGCTTTTAAAATCCTTGAATTATCATTTGGCTAAACTAATGACTTATTTTACAGTGACCTGTGTACCTATTTTGTGATATCAAGTGTTTTAAATCTTTGATATTTAACACATTTTCCAAAATCAAAATTTCAAGTTCTAAATTCTTTTTTATCTCATTAACTTTTTTAGATATTAGGTCCCCTTAAGTCCAAAGGAGACATATTGAGCTTATTTGCTATGTTAAAAATTATACAAGAGATGTCAAATATGAAATGGTGTTTAACTTTCTTTGGGTTATATTTTATATGTTATTAATATGTGTTCCAAAATTGTATAAGATTCCTATAATTCTGCTGTCTTAATGTTATCAGCTATAATTATATTATGTTAAATTGTTACATACCAAAAAGATAACCAAATTTCCTTGACAATTGTGTTTTTAACCATGACTGTCCTACGACTTTTGTCATCCACAGACAATTATTGTTTTACTTTGATTCTTCCCAAAAAGCTGTTTATAGTCGGCTACAGAAAACAACAACAACAACAACTTGCTTTTTTTGGGAAATTTATGGAAAAGACTCTTCTGGGTGCTATTAAAGGCAGATTTCAGATAATTTTAGACATTGTGCCATTAGGCTAGAGAGAAAATTTCCAGGATTCTCACTGGAGAGCTAATGTGTTCATGAGGCTTGCTAACCCCAATCAAATGGAATGAGTTAATTGCATGGGACTGAACTAATAGAGGACTGAAATAATGTTTCTATGACTTTTTTGTTTGAAACATTGCTGATATTTTTGTGTTTTTTTGGTCAAGAAAAAAATCGATCTATTTTTAGCTTTTAACAGTTTTGTAAAGTATACCCTTGTGAGCCAAATTTGAAGCATATTTCCTTTTCTCTACCTGATTTCTCCAGAATTTAGAAACTATTTGTAAGTATTCTTAACTTATAACAATATAGTTATTTGCATAAGTTCAGCAAGAATCTGTTTTCTTTTGGAATAGGCTATAATTGGAGACACTGGTTATTTTACCAAAGCTTTGACTGGCATGGCATATTTTCAGATATGACCAGAATGCTTTGAGAAATTGAGATGATGTTAGAGAGCCAATAAAAGCCCCTTGGAGGCTGGGCATGGTGGCTTATGTCTGTAATCCCAGCAGTTTGGGAGGATGAGGCAGGCAGATCACCTGAGCTCAGGAGTTTGAGACCAGCCTGGGCAACATGGCAAAACCACATCTCTACTAAAAATACAAAAAAAATTATCTGGTTATGGTGGCATGCATCTGTAGTCCGAGCTACTCAGGAAGCTGAGGCATGAGTATTGCTTGAATCCAGGAGGTAGCAGTTGCAGTGAGCTGAGATCATGTCACTTCATTCCAGCCTGGGCAACAGAGTGAGGATCTATCTCAAAAAAAAAAAAACCCTTGGAAAAACTGGCCTTGTACATTGTTTATGAAATTCCTTTATAGGGTTATTGACCTGTGGTAAGTAGAGAATGTCATTTTCTGACAGGCCCAGGAATCTCATTTATTTTGGGACCTCAAGAAGAGAGGAATTGAGACAGGTATCTGCAGGCACAGACAAATTCTTGGCTGTGCTTGAGAAAGCTTTAAAAGTCTAATCTGAGATTCCTTATGAAAAAGTTCCAGCAAAGCCAATTTAAAAAAAGCCTATTGGCCAATAATTATTCTTGCTGTACTTTATGCAACTAATCAGGCCAAGTATAATGAGACTAAAACTTTTTGCAAATAAATTGGTCTTTCTGTGACTTGTCTTTGGTAAAAATAAAGGATTGAGAGAAAAAAGTTATGTTTCAAAAGATAGCTGGGCACTGTGGCTCACGCCTGTAATCCCAGCACTTTGGGAGGCCAAAGTGGGAGGATCACCTGAGGTCAGGAGTTCAAGACCAGCCTAGCCAACATGGTGAAACCCTGTTTCAACTAAAAATACAGAAATCAGCCAGGCATGGTGGTGCATGCCTGTAGTCTCCGCTACTTTGGAGGCTGAGGCAGGAAAATTGCTTGAACCCAGGAGGAGGAGGTTGTAGTGAGCTGAGTTCACTATAGTATACCTGTTAGATTCTAGCTTTATTCATTTTTTTTTCAGTTTTTATTATTTGTCTACAATTTATTTGGACTGGATTCTGAATTCTTTCTTGACTACATGTTTCCAAACTAACATTAATCAATTTTTTTATCCCATTTTTCTGAGTTGGAATCACTAGAAACTAAAACTGTGCTTTCCTTAAAGCCCTCCAGACTGCACTTAGACACCTTAAAATTCAGTAGAAATAACAGCAACCTATGCATATATGTGTGTGTGTGTGTGTGTGTGTACACATATATACACACAGATATATACATACATATATATATATATACACACACAGACACACACATATATACACACACACACACATACATATATGCCACCTTCGTGCCTGCCACTGATGTATGGACTTCTCAGTAGTACAGGCTGAATTGGTTTTCCAGAATTGCTTTCCCTTTGCTGCTACAATTTGTCCTTGGTCCCTTTTCTCTTTCTGTTTTTGGTCTTTTTTTTCTTTCTTCCTTTCTCCCCCTATCTTTCTCTGTGGGGTATGAGACTTCATGACATCTTAGAAATGAGCCTTCCTAGCCATGTGGATACTAGCCTTCTAGGAATAAATCATTCTAGTGATGATTTATTTTCTTCTACAGTACTTTCTTTGAAATATTTTGAAGAACAGGGGTGATATGGTTTGGCTGTGTCCCTACCCAAATCTCATTTTGAATTTTAGCACCCACAATTCCCATTTGTCATGGGAGGGACCTGGTGGGAGGTAATTGAATTATGGGGCTGGGTCTTTTCCATGCTGATCTTGTGATAGTCAATAAGTTTCATGAGATCTGATGGTTTTGTAAGGGAGAGTTTTCCTGCACAAACTCTTTCTTGTCTGCTGCTGTGTAAGGTGTGCCTTTCACCTTTCAACATGATTGTGAAGCCTTCCCAGCCAAGTGAAATTGTGAGTCCATTAAACCTCTTTTTCTTTATAAATTACCCAGTTTTGGGTATGTCTTTATCAGCAGCATGAAAATGGGATAATACAGGGGGGAAATGTAAAAGAAAAATAGAATTGCAGGGCCCCCAAACTCACTATGCCAAAGGCAAAGTTGAGCTTGGGAAATTAACTTGGTAATCGATCAATACTGTATTTCTTTTGAGCCCAAACAGATAACTGTAATTTCACAACCCCATGTCAGCCTTATTTCCTCTACTCCCTCTTTTCACATGTTTACTTCATCTGATGTAAAAATGTAGATTTACTGAGCATGAGACAATGCATAATCGACTTTTTCCTCTCCTCCCACTTTTCACATGTAAAATGTAGATTTAGTGAAGCTAATCAGAGCCTCACAAGAATCTAACCATCTACCTCACTGCTCATGCTCACTCCCACCTCTTTTTGTCCCCTCTCCTGCTTACGTTTTCCCCTTTAAATATTCAAGTTCACGAAATCCTCTTTAGAAAACTCATAGGTCACAGATGCTCTTGTGATTTATGGTTTTCCTTGGCACATCCTCAACCTTGGCAAAATAAACCTCTCATTGATTGAGACCTGCCTCAGTCACTTTTTGGTCTATATTATAAAAAAGATTTTCACATAGTTGGTATTCTATTAACAATGATACCAAATGAGGCCATCTTTCTTCAGTCAGTGTAGGTCTTTGACATTTTTTTTTTAATTAATTTCAATTTGAGAAAGCGTCACTCTGCTGAGACAGAGTTGAAAACAAACCATGAAATGTATGTATCATGTTCAAACATTCTAATGGGGCCACATTTGGTAAATTATTATTGCAGAAAACAAAAAATCTTAATTTCATCACATAAGCTATCACTTATGCTGTCTTTTTCATCATCTGCTAAATCTATACAGTAATATAAAGAACCAGTATCAAATTTCTAGACTTACACGTACACAGATTTAAAAGTAATAGGAATTGGAATTCTAAGTAATAGGAATTGAAAACTGTACATTGTTATTCATGAATCTGTTACATTTATGCTGAGAGGAAGAGCTGTCAGGTTAATTAATCTATCTCTTATCTATCTGACTGAGCACTTCTGTCCACATTCTCCCTGCACCCCAAAGCTGTGTCACTCTCTGATGGTGGTAATGGCCCAACCCAGAGCATTAGGCACAGTTATGTTTTGTTTTTGAGGACAGAAAGTAAGTGGAGTAGCATTTTCCTGGGGCCTAAAGCATTCTTCCCAGAAACAAATGTTCAGAGTCACAAGTTACCAGTTTCTAAACCAGAGGTACCAGGTGGTTGTTGTCCTCCTCCTCATTCTTCTGCTGCTCCTCCTTCTCTTTCTCCTCTTCCTTCCTTTTCTTCTTTTTCTTATAATATCTTTAAGGAGATACAATTCACATACCATAAAATCCACCTAATTAAAATGCTTTTTAGTGTAGTCACAAGTTGTGCAACCATCACAACTAATTCTAGAATGTTGCATTACCCCCAAAAGAAACCATGTACTTGTTGGTGTTAGCAGTCAATCCCTATACTCCTTCCTGCTCCCGGCCCTGGCAACCACTAATCTACTTTGTATCTGTATGGAGTTGCCTATTCCAGATAGTTCATGTAAACAGAATACCACAAATGTGACCTGTTGTGTCCGGTTTCTGTCACTTAACATAATGTTTTCAAGGGTCATCCATATCAAGGGCATTTTTTGGTATTTCATTCCTTTTTATGGAATGGCCAAATAATATTATGACCAAACAATATTCCATTGCATGGATACTACATGTTGTTTATTCATCCATCAGCTAATGGATATTTGGGTTGTGCCTACTTTTTTTTGCTATTATGAATAACGTTATATGAATATTTGTGCATACTTTTATGGCTAAATAATATTTCACTGTATGGATACTATATTTTGTTTATTCATTCATCGGCTAATGAATATTTGGGTTGTGTCCACTTTTTTGTTGTTATGAATAATGCTATATGAACATTTGTGCATACTTTTTTTTAAGACAGCATCTTGCTGTGTCATCCAGGCTGGATGTGCATACACTTTTTGTAGACATGTTTTCAATTCTATTGGATCCATGCCAGGGGAGTTACTGGGACATGTGGTAATTGTATGTGAGCTTTGAGAAACTGCCAAACTGCTTTAGAGTAGTTGCACAATTTTGCAACCAACCAACCAATATATGAGGCTTCCACTTTCTCCACATCCTTGTCAATGCTTATAATTGTCTGTCTTTTTTCTTTCTTTTTTTTTTTTTATAGGCAGGTCTCCCTCTTTCACCCAGGCTGAAGTGCAGTGGTAGGATCATAGCTCACTGCAGCCTTGAGCTCCTAGGGTCAAGGGATCCTCCTGCTTCAGACCCCTAAGTAGCTTGGACTGAAGGCATGCAGGCATGCACCACCATTTCTGGCATTGGCACATTTTCATTTACCGTAGACTTTCATGGAATAGTTTTAGATTTTCATAAAAATTGAGAAGATAATACAGAAAGGTCCTATATATCCCATAGCCAGTTTCCCCTATTACTAACATTAGTTATGGTACATTTATATTACATTATTATACATATCAATATATATTATTATGTATTGATACATACCTATGATATTATACATATCATTACATTATGATACATTTGTTACAATTAAGAACCAATATTGATACATCATTAACTAAAGACCATAGTTGATTCAGATTTTTAGTTTTACCTGTCTGTTTTGGTTCTAGTATCTCATCCAGGACACCACATTACAGTTACATATCATGTCTTCTTTGACTCCTCTTGGTTGTGACAATTTCTTAGACTTTTCTTGTTTTCCAAGACCTTGAGGAATAATGTTCAAGTATTTTGTAGATGACCCTGTATTTAAATTTATCTGATTCTTTTCCTCATGATTAGTCTTGGGTTATGGGTTTGGGGAGCAAGACCACAGAGTTAATGTACCATCTTTATCACATCCTGTCAATGGCATATACTACCAACATGATTTATGACTGTTCATATTGACCTTGATCACCTAGCTGAGGTCATTTGTCAAGTTTCCCCAGAGTAAAGTTACTCTGCTCCCCTCCCTTTCCTCCACCCTCAACTTTCCATTCTACACTCTTTGGGAGGAAGTCACTATGTATAGCTTACACTAAAGGAGTAGGAATTTATGGTCCCCCTTTTCGTGGGCAGAAATAGCTACATAAGTTATTTAGAATTCTTATGCAAAGTTAGATTTGTCTTTACCCCATTTATTTATTGATTCAATCATTTATTTATATCAGTATGGACTCAGATTTTTATATTTTGTTTTATAATCCAGTACTACTTTATTTATTATCTTGCTCAAATTATTCCAGATTTGGTCACTGGGAGCTTTTACAATTTGTTTCTATACTCCTTTGACACCCCCATCAATGTAGGTTTCTTTCTTTTTCTTTTTTTTTTTTTTTTTTTTTTTAGCATTTCCTTACTTTCTGGCACTACAAGATGCTCCAGTCTCAGCTTGTTGATTTCCTTCTTTAGTAGCAGAATTAGCCATTTCTCCAAAGAACCCTGTTTTTTTGTTGTTGGAGAATGGTATAAAAATCAAGATCTGGGTGCTAAATGTGCTCCTTGCTACTGGAGCATCATTGCTTCTAGGCTGTCTGAGCTGACAAAGAAAGGAAATATATGTGTGCATACTAACTGTAATATACTAACTGTAATCTAGAAATATTTCTATATGTAACCTTCTGTATCTATACTAAGCTAAATGTGAGTTCATGCTGATGTCTCCAATTGATCCATTACCACATGGATCATCCTTCCTTTGCTTAAATGTAAATTCCCAATCCAACAGTGAGAAACCTGGCTCCCACGATCTGCCATCAATTTGTTTAATTCCAGTATACATGTAAGGCAATAGCAGAGTTGTTAATATCAGAATTATATCCTGTTAAGGCTCAGAAAATGATACCCCAACGTATGGTCCTTTAACATGCTGAGCACTTAGAATTAAAGGAAATTGAAAGGCCTTAGAAGCTGCCCCCATGGAGGCCTGTCTGGCTTTCTCTTGTTTCTCACCCTACTCCCATAAGTGCAGGGAGGGGCTCTCCTGAAGTTCCCTTCTCTGACTGAGGGAAGTTCTTCCAAAAGGAATACATTTGTGTTGAGACTCCTCCCTAGGAATTTCATCAAACAACCAGGAAAGATTTATCACCAGAGGAGATTAAAAGTTGTCACCACACCAAAACAGGCTATTGCCTATTCTTCAGCAGCAATAAAAAACTCCTAAACAACTTTTATGACCTGAGAGACTTTATTTACATAAGACAATCTTTGTTCACCATGCAGTTCCTCTCCTTTTCCTCTCATAACTGTCATCACCTCCCCTTCAAGCCCCTATTCATTTTATGCTATGAAACCTTCAACCATCTGCCTCCTCCTTTGAGTCTCATATTTTTCTGAGGCTTCCATTTGCATGTATGTAATTAAAATGGTCTTTCTCTTCTTAATCTGTTTATTGTCAGTTCATTTCAGCAGACTTAATTATCAAACCTCCAGAGGGAATGTTTAAGCTTCCCTATAACCCCCATGGGAAACAACTTGTATCAACTAGGAACTGCTTACTTGCAGTTCCTTTTGCCTTTAGTCTTACAAACTTCAGTAATTTCCAAAGTTACTTAGATCAGCACCTTTCACCCCTACTCTTTTGAGTTTGTTTCCTACATTTGTACTAATAGTTATGTTCTCTTGTCACAGTCTGCATTCCTGTGATTCCCTGACTTCTTAAATGATTAAAATTGTTTACATAAAATTTTGACCCTTTGTGCAGTAAAGTTCTATATGTTTTCACAAATACACAATGTCATGTATACACCATCACAGTATCATACAGAATTGTTTCATTGCCCTAAAAAACTCCTGTGCTTCACCTATTCATTCCTCCCTCTCCTCAAACTCTGGCAACCACTGACATTTTTATTCTCTATTGTTTTGTCTTTTCCAGAGTGTCATATAGTTGGACTCATATAGTATGCAGCCTGTTCAGAATGACTTCTCTCACTTAACAGTATGCATTTAAGGTTCATACAGGACTTTCTGTGGCTCGATAGCTCATTTCTTTATTGTTGAATAGTATTCCATCATATGGATGTACCAGTTTGTTTATCCATTCACTTATTGAAGAAATGTGTGTTGCTTCAAGTTTTAACCAATTATAACCTTGTTATGAACACGTGTGTGCTGTTTTTATGTGGACAAGTTTTCAAATCAGTAAATACCTAGAAGTGAAACTGTTCCAACTGTCCCATAGAAATGACATTTAAAAGTTTTGGAACACACATGGAAATTGACCCTTCAGGTCTTAAAACTTGAAATTTACATTTGTCTCATCTGAGTTCCTCCCTCAGGGAACTGATCCTCAGGCAAGGGACTTAAACTCACCAGATCACCACATCGAAATAAGATGCCAGACCCCCTCATTCATCATAATTGCTTCTTTACCCCCCTTAATTCCTTCCCTCACTATGTAAGCCTCCCCAGTTGTAGTTGGTCAGGGATTTGAGACTTTATCTCCCATTCTCCTTGGCTGCAGCACCCAGTGAAATACTTCTTTCATGGCAACATTCATTGTCTCAGTGATTGACATTCTGTGTGGTGAGCAGCAGGACTGAACCCCCTGTCATTTTGGTAACAGGAGCATGATTGCTGGATCAATGCTAAGGCTATGCCTAGCTCTTTTAAGAGCCCACCAAACTGTCTTCTAAAGAGGCTGTACCATGTCACATTTCAATGAACAATGAAGAGTTCCTGTTGCTCCACATCCTTGCCATCTTTTGGCATTTTTAGTGTTTTCGCTTTCTACCATCCTAGTGGGTGCTAAGGGATAACTTATAGTTTTAAATTGCAATTCCCTGATGACAAATGATGTTGAGCACATTTTCACATTCATGTTTATTTTTGATGTCTATTCAGACCTTTTGCCCATGTTTAAATTGGGTCATTTGTCTTATTATTTTTACGGCTTTTTTTGTGTTTTTTTGAGAGGCAGTCTCACTCTGTCACCTGGACTGGAGTGCAGTGGTGTAATCTCAGCTCGCTGTAACCTCCACCCCAGGTTCAAATGATTCTCCTGCCTCAGCCTCAGGAGTAGCTGGGATTACAGGTGTGTGCCACTATGCCCAGCTTATTTTTGTAGTTTTAGTATGGACAGGGTTTTGCCATATTGGCCAGGCTGGTCTTGAACTCCTGACCTCAGGTGATCTGTCTGCTTTGGCCTCCCAAAGTGCTGGGATTACAGGCATGAGCCACTGAACCCGGCCCTGAGTTTTAAGTTCTTACCTGCCTAATTGTCCTGGCTAGAACCTCCAGTACAATGCTGAATAGAAGTGGTGAGCTTGGAGATCATTTTCTTGTTCCATATCTTAGGATAAGAGCTTTCAGTCTTTCATCATTATGTATGATGTTAGCTGTGGGTCTTCATAGATATCCTTTCTCAGGTTGAAGAAGTTCCTGTTTACTTCTAGTCTGTTCACTGCTTTTATCATGAAAGGCTACTGGAGGTTGTCAAATGCTTTGTGTCTATGGAAATGATTATGTATTTATCTTTTGTGAATTATCCCATTAATATACTGGATTTACTGATTTTCGTATGTTAAACCAATCTTGCTTTCCTGGGATAAATCCCAATGGATCACAGTGTATAATTCTTTTGATATCTTGCTGGATTTCATTTGCTAGTACTTTTTTTTTTTGCCTCTGTATTCAAAAGGGATATTGGTATTAGTTTTCTTTCCTAGTAATGTCTTTGGTTATGGTATCCATGTCTTCTTTAACTCATGTGTCTGGTTATGGTATCCATGTCTTCTTTAACTCGTGTGTGTGTGTATGTATGTAACCTTAGGCACTCTAAAATGCAGGGCTCAGGGCAGGAACCTCTCTTGCTCAGCTCTAACCCTTCTGGTCACCTCTTAGTGACTTTTTCCCCCTTTAAGTCTGCCATTTGAAGGACATTATATCCTAATTACACCTGAATAGAAGGGAGAACTTTGGGTCACATCCTACAGACAGTTCTCAAGACTAATAATTTACATTTATTGAATACTTTCTATATACTCAGGCATTGCTCTAACCCCTTTGCATGTGTTAACTCAATCTTCCCAACTAAGGAAACTTTGACTTGGAAAGGTTCAGTGATTTGTTCAATGGTAACACACTGGAGAGTGACTACATTTTAATTAGGGCAAAATTTTCCATTTGGCCAAGAACAAAATCTAACAGCCACTGCTATTTTGTGAATAGTAATTTGAAAATTAAAGGAAAATTTTTTTAAAGAAAAGCTTTGTTCTTCAAGTGTGATCGTTATTATTCTTGGGCCAAAATGCTTTTCAAGGTACATGTTTTAATCTTTTTTTAAAAAATTATTTTATTAGAGTCAGGGTCTCACTATGTTGCCCAGGCTGGTCCTGAACAATTGGACTCAAGTGATCTGCCCGCCTGGGCCTCCCAAAGTGCTGGGATTACAGTTGTAAGCCACCATGCCAGGCCACATTTCTACATTCTTAATAAAGTCCGTGGAATCTACTTCAAATGCAATTTTAATTTATATTTCAATCTATGAAGATATTGGGTTGGTGCAAAACTAACTGCGGTTTTGGACTGTGAATTTTAAATCATTATAACTAGGCTCAACGCATTTTTATTAATCAAAATAGGAACCATTACAATCAACACATTTTTGCCAACGAGAAATAAGTTGGTTTATTCCTGTAGCGTAAAAATCCGTGCTTTGGGATTCGACGAACTCTTGGAAAGCATTTTCTGCATCCTGCTGGTTGTGGAAGCGTTTTCCCTGCAAAAAGTTGTTGAGATGCTTAAAGACGTGGTAGTTGGTTGGCAAGAGGTCAGGTGAATACGGTGGATGAGGCAAAACTTCATAGCCCAATTCATTCAACTTTTGAAGTGTGGGTTGTGCAACATGCGGTCGGGCATTGTCGTGGAGAAGAATTGGGCCCTTTCTGTTGACCAATGCCAGCTGCAGGCGTTGCAGTTTTTGGTTCATCTCATCGATTTCCTGAGCATACTTCTCAGATGTAATGGTTTCACCGGGATTCAGAAAGCTGTAGTGGATCAGACCAGCAGCAGACCACCAAATAGTGACCATGACCTTTTTTGGGTGCAAGATTGGCTTTGGGAAGTGCTTTGGAGCTTCTTCTTGATCCAACCACTGAGCTGATCGTCGCCGGTTGTCATATAAAATCCACTTTTCATCACACGTCACAATCCGATCGAGAAATGGTTCGTTGTGGTTGCGTAGAATAAGAGAAGATGACACTTCAAAACGACGATTTTTTTGATTTTCAGTCAGCTCATGAGGCACCCACTTATCGAGCTTTTTCACCTTTCCAATTTGCTTCAAATGTCGAACGACCGTAGAATGGTTGACATTGAGTTCTTCAGCAACTTCTCGTGTAGTTGTAAGGGGATCAGCTTCGATGATTGCTCTCAACTGGTCGTTGTCAACTTCTGATGGCCGGCCACTACGCTCCTCATCTTCAAGGCTCTCATCTCCTTTGCAAAACTTCTTGAACCACCACTGCACTGTACGTTCGTTAGCAGTTCCTGGGCCAAATGCATTGTTGATGTTGCGAGTTGTTTCTGCTGCTTTACGACCCATTTTGAACTCGAATAAGAAAATTGCTCGAATTTGCTTTTTGTCTAACATCATTTTCATAGTCTAAAATAAACATAAACAGCAAGTAAGATGTCATTAGCAAAAAAACATAAAGAAATGCTCATTAAAATGGTGTATAACATGACCACATTTAAGAATGTATTCCAATATCAAATACCAAATTCCAACAATGCAAAAACTGTTACTTTTTTTTTTTTTTTTTTTTTTGAGACAGAGTCTCGCTCTGTCACCCAAGCTGGAGTGCAGTGGTACAGTCTTGGCTCACTGCAACCTCTGCCTCCTGGGCTCAAGTGATTCTCGTACCTCAGCCTCCTGAGTAGCTGGGACTACAGACATGTGCCACCACATCTAACTAATTTTTGTATTTTTAGTAGAGATGGGGTTTCACCATGTTGGCCAGGGTGGTCTCAAACTCCCAAGCTCAAGTGTTCTGCCTGCCTCAGCCTCCCAAAGTGCTGGGATTACAGGTGTGAGCCACTGCACCCAGCCCCATCTTTTAAAATTTGAATCTTATAATTTATAAAAATGTTATTTTATCATGGGATAATAGTCAAGTGGAAGTATATTTTTAAATGTTTTCTCTCAAAAGAAGTGTCAACATTCTCAAAAATATGGCAATGAAGCAAACAAATGCAGTTAACTTGCTGCTTAGAAAAGACTTGGAATAAAGACTCTTTGACTCTTACCTTAGGAATCTGGTTTCTAGGATTAAGTGCTATATAATAAACTAGTGCCTGAGGACAAAAAATTTCCAGGGGTCCATATTCAGTCAGTTGTCTCTGGCAGAGGCACTGAGTTGGAGGGGGCTGTTTGTGTCCTTGTCTCTGAATGGAAGATTGTCCTCTGGGAATATCTCTGCTGTTCAATATAGAAAGGCAAAAGGACATAGAAAAGGGTATCTGCAGAATCAAATGGTGAGCCAATCATTTTCCTTCTAACCACTTCCATATTGCGTCTGAAGCAGCTCAGTTATTAGGTGAGCTTGTGAGCAAGAAAAAGCACATTTTGGAGTGAGGGATACAAGCTGCCTTATTAAAAGCAGGACTGCTTCAGAGGCATTGAAGTAATAGAGGACAGTTGGCATGGAGAAATGATTAATTTGGAGGAAAATTTTTGATACTATGTATTTGTAATTTGGGGCATTTTATGTGTACTCTAGTACCATTTGTTCACAGGGAACCATTCCATGTAATGTTATATGAACATTATAAACCCTAAGATACTTAAAAACGACCTAGCTTTATTGAGATATAATTCACACGCTGTATATTTCACTCATTTAAAGTGTACAATGTACTTATATTACAGAGGAATAGTGTTATATATAACATGGATTCCTATAATGTTGAAAGTGCAGGGCCTCCTAGTGGTAGGGTTTAAATGTACTAGAGAAGAAATTAAATTACTTAATAATATCATAGGGGCTCTAGTAATTATTTTAGCTTTCAAAATGTCTGATAAACCTCCACAGTAACTGTATTTTTGCAACATCCCTGCTTTAAGGAAGGTAGTTAGAGATGTTTGCTGCTCTAGAAGTTTAAACGGGATCATAAAACTCCCGTCTCCTTCTGTGGTGTGGACAGGGTTATTTTTCTGTTATTTATACATGAAGTGAGGCTGTTTGAAGTTTTGAAGCATAACTTCACAAGATTTGGAGTACAGCCAAGTATATAATGAAAATGAAAAATTTACAATGTGTCTCTTTTTCTGACTTTTGGTTACAACATGTAAGTCATTTTCATAGTTATATTTTTCACTACTGGTAGTACTTATTAGGGTTTTAGCAGGTGATAGTTAATAATGCCTTTTTCCTTGATCCATGCTTAGAAACAATTAAGTAGGACGCAGGAGTCAGACAGAAATCAAAAAGTCAGCTTTATTACTGTTAAAATTGGTTGGCAAGCAGGGTTTAGGTATGCAGCCACAAGGGTTTCTTGGATCATTATTAGGTTCGATGTTAGTGCTAGAAAACTTACAATAACAGTGACTTAAGCAAGGGAGAGACTATTTCTCACCTGAAAGTACAAAGGTGTCAGATCACGACTGACAGGATGTTCTACAGTACCAGACACCTAGACTCCTTTTAACCTTGTTGATTTTTCTATGCAATGGCTTCCTTTCCCAGGGTCATCCTGGGGTCTAGGATGACTGCTCCAGTTCCAGTCATCATGTATACATTCCAGCCAGCAGGAAGAAAGAGGAGGTGAAGGGCAGGATATCTCCATTTAAGGACTTGTCATTTTTGCTTATATCCTATTAACTAGAACAGTCACTAAGACAAATCTAACTAGGAAAGTGAGTATTCTGGGTAGTCATGTACTTTTGTTAAATGGAGAATTCTATTACAGAAAGGGGAAAGGATACTGATGGACAACTTGCAGTCTCTGCCACATTCCTGAGTTAAACTTATGTAACTAGGCAGAGGTAAAGCTAGCCAACCACTGTCTTCCACTATAGGGAGGGGCAAGCTGCTTATCACTGAACAGACTCACCTCAAGGGTCAATCGCTTGCAGGAGGGGAACACAGAAGGGGCTGAGCCACACATGCTGGGTTCCTTCTCATTTCCACAACTGATGTTCGACTTTTCTACGGGGCAGTACAGAGAACTGTCAAAAGGCAGGAAAGCAGTACATGATTTGGCACCACAGTAACAAGGTTTCCTTAGTTTCCCATGATCTAGCCTTTCTTTGTCTTCACTGACTGTTAGATTAAGATATCTTCCTGAATAATCATAAGAGAGTTCTTCTTCTGGCACAATATCTTTGGCTGCAAAAAGTGCCAACTTAGGTACCATTGAGTCAATTCGGACAGGAATCATCAAAAGGTTTGGCTCACAAGAATGATTAAGGAATCTTCCAATATTTCCTATATAAGTAGGGTCAACAAATGTTTCCATTACCTGCCCATTATAAACATGTTCCCTGATGGCTATAATGTAATTGGAGTCGGATTTTGTTTGTAAGTGAATTCTTCTCTGAACTTCAGAGAATCCTAAAACCTCACCAGCATATTCACAGACAAACCTTCCTTTCGGTATAAATTCCAAGGTACGAAGTCCCCAGCCTTTTTTATGCGTCTTGAACACTTGGAAGTGGAACTGTAGACCTTTCTGGACCACTCTGTTTCTGCAGTGGTCACTGCATCGGCACAGGACATTGCATTCAAAAACAGGCTCTGCATACTTTCCTCCAGATCCTATATCTCTAAGGCATGAGTTATCATCATAGTTCTCTCCATGGCGGAGACAGGAGCAAGTGCCAGGGAGGCAGGGAGTTTTGACACAAATGCATCCGGGAAAGGTTATTTGAGTGGGATCAATGTCTGCTCCAGGTCCAACTACATGATCAGGAGTGTACTGTAAAAAATATACACACTGTAAGTCAGCACGGCATGTCATATATTTCCTATATATTCCAAGTAGCTTCTGACTGGGACCCATTCTAATTCTAACATATATAAAAACAGGACAAAACTGTCAAAACACAGCATACTAAGATATTGTCCAAAAACATCTCTCTTCAATAAAACAAGTTTTTTTTTTTTTTTTTTAAGAGACAGGGTCTTGCTCTGTTGCACAGGCTGGAGTGCAGTGCTGTGATCACAGTTCACTGTAACCTGGGCTCAAGCGATTCTCCTGCCTCAGCTTCCTTAGCTGCTACAGCTACAAGTGGGAACCACCATGTCCAGCTAAGATTAATTTTTAGAATTTGTGGTTTTATTTTAGGTATGTATAAGGATGAGTTGGGCATTATAATACTTAATGTATATAATAGTATGTTATATATAGGTACACATAAGGACATATATATGTATTATTATGTATGTATAAGGACAATAAGAAAAATACTATTTTTTTCTCTTATCAGAAATAGAAAGCTTTGTAACTTCTTTTGTTTCCCTCTTATCTTTGGATGTCAGAAAACTCAGTGCTGAATTTAGTGTCTGAGTACAGTTAAGCATTTTATCCTTAGCTTTTGATCTCTTTTACCTTTACCTGATAATATACATGCATATATGTATTTTAATTGTGGGTTACCTCAGATACTGGTTGGGGATAAGAAAGTCATAGATGACAAGTCAATTGCACACAGAATTCCAAAAATGCTATTTCTTAAATAGATATTACTAGATATTTAAATTTATTAAAGATATACACTTGTAAAGAAATTCTAATTAAATAAGAAAGGAATATGAAAAAAATCTGTCATTTAAATGTACCTGTATTTTCAAAACATTACATTTGTAAAATGTTATATAAAAAGAAGACAATCCTCAATCTAAACTCTATGTGAAGCCTGATCTCTGGTTAGATCCTCATTAGCATCGTGAAGCATATTTTCAAACTGATTTCAGATTAAAGTATCTCTCATGAACCCAGCAGATTTTTTTATGTATATAGTAATTCTTGCTTACATAGAACTCAAACCATTTTATACCTGCTTTATTCCTAAAAGGATTTAATGAGACTTATAAACAGGTAAGATAAATGAACAAGTAAGGAGAGTAAGGTGAAAGGGAAATAGAACAAACAGGTCTAGTGAGCTTAGACACACAGTATGTGGTAGAAGTAGACTGGATATTTGGCTCTGCCTGAGAGCTGCCAATTCAGAGAAGGATATATGATTAGATACATAGCTTGCCCTGCCTGTAAGGAATAATCTCATTGTTCAGAAGTGGCATTGACTTTTTTCAGTACTGATACCAGGAAGGAATTCCACCAATGTGTTCTTCTAAACCATTCTTTTCCAGGAAGCAGTTTCATGGGCTGTTTTTTATTCTGGTCCCCAGTAAAGGCTGCTGGGATCCCACAACAGCACAGTCGGGTAAGAGCAGTTCTGCAAGGAACCAGTTGCACGGCCTTTCATTGGGGATAGATTTTAAAGCACCTGAAGGAATGTTTGCACCACGTCTTCCAGTCAATCCTCCATTATTATTTTGTCTCCAGGCCAGGCTTTAGAAAGGTATTGAACAGCAGATAGTTATACTCCCTGTGGAGGCCTCGGGTGGAGCTATGTAGTTAAGTGCAAAACCCTACACTAAAAAAAACTCTGAGCTGGGGAGGATTGACATCCTCTTGTGAAAGATGAGGAGGACAACCAGTGGGAGGACCTGTGGGAGAAGGCTAACATTCTGCTTAAAAAGTCATTTGGGGGTGGAGAGAGGAAATAGCTTTTGTTTGTGTTGTTTCTTACAGCTTTAGCTTAGCAGGAATATCCTAAATGGATAAAGGATAGGTTAGAAAATGATGCTCTATCAGTCAAACTCAACGACTGCTGTTTTATAGAGAATCTACTTTCAGCTTTTTAAAGGTTCAGTGTTCAAATGTAAATGGTTACTGAGACATTTTAAAAAGTACTTGTAAAATGAAGATCTCTTTGTTAAACTTTTCATGTTAAACTTTTAAGTTGATTTGTCATTAAAGGTGCACATATTTTTAAGGTACTATATAAATCACTAAACGCTAAAGTTTTTTTTTTGACATGGATAACTTCTTTTAAAATCAACTGCAGTTTTCTAATCAGGAAAGCAGGTGAAAAACAGTTTTATTTCGTTATTTTTACTTACAAATTTAAAAAGATTTTGAAGAATCTCATGATATATTTTTTAAAATTCTGCAATTAAACTTGCTGCACAAGCTATAATCCTTCAGGGACTTATAGACAGTAGCTAATTCCGAATGAACTGCAGATATCTTCCAAAAGAAAACAGAGACTTCTGGGAAAATTTCCTGTTTAAATAAATTTTTTCCCCGTGATGGATATAATCACTGATCCTGATACCAATAATTGCTTTGAGTCATTTTGTCTTCATGTTTCCATTTCTCCTCCATAAAAGGTCAATAAAATATCATTTCAGATGATAATGACTTAAAAAATGACTACACTCAAGAATAATCTTTTGAAAACTTTTAGTCTAATTTAACATCTGATTATGTAATTACCCATCTTTTCAGGTATTTACATATTGAAAAGCTATTTATTATTTTCAGAAATAATGTGAGGTCATTGTCCTAACATTCTATTCAAATATTTACATGCCACGCGGTTAAACTTCGAGTAGTCATGTGCTGCATAATGACTTTTTGGTCAGACCACATATATGCATATACAATGGTAGTCCTGTAAGATTAGAATACAGTATTTTTGCTGTATGTTTTCTATGTTTAGATACACAAACACCACTGCGTTACAAGTATCTACAGTATTCAGTGTAGCAACATTCTGTGCAGGTTTGTAGCCTAGGAGTGATAGGGCATTATCATATTGCCTAAGTGTGTAGTAGGCTATACCATCTAGGTTTCTGTAAGTACTGTGCACTCTATGACTTTTGCATAATGACGAAATTGTCTAATGATGCATTTCTCAGACTGTTTCCCCATAGTTAAATAATAACTGTATCTGAAGTATAATTGTATCTGAAAGCTAATGTAAAGTGGGTTACAAACTGGGAGTCAGCTGATATGACCTAAGCCAGACTTCTGCTGAAACAATTAGGGAAGAAGCATTCTCTTTCTACTAGAATTATTCAACTGTAGTGTTTGCCTGGCATTTCCAAGTTCTGCCACGTAGATGAGGCCTACTGAGTGTGTAGCCTACCACAGAAATGGGAAGCAGGGGTGTGAAGGGGGAAGGTGGTGGGAAGAAGTATCTGACAATACTTTTAGAATTACTGGGTCCAGACATGCCTATAGTTACCACTTGGACTTTTCTGATTTGAGGCAATTCCTTCCCTTTTTTGTTGGAGCCAGTTTGTGTTATGTTTCTTGCAAACAAATGAGTCCTGACTGATACACCCTGGGTAGAAGCTGAGAATGGTTTCAGGAAATGGCTAGAAAATGTACTCTGTTAACCAAAAATAAAATTCTAAATCCCCTGATCATCTGAAGGGACCCCTCCTCTCAGCAAGGGCATTCCAAAGCTAACCTGAAAAACTAGTTCAGGTCATGATGGGAAGGGGGCAGGGGTCAGACATGCCTCATTATACCCTCTTCCCTTTTGGAATTACTGATAGAACAGACTCTTTAAGTCTGATAAAAAACATTTACAATCTATTCTCTCTGAAGCCTGCTACCTGGAGGCTTCACCTGCATGATAATAAACCCCTGGTCTCCACAACCCTTTATCTTACCCAAGGCATTCCTAAGTTTTTAGACAATAACAATTCCTTCAAGCAAACTGTTAATCAGAAACTGGAAGCCTCTGCTTCCAACTGTCCTGTCTTTCTGGACTGAACCAATGTACGTTTTACATGTATTTGACTGTTGTCTCATGTCTCCCTAAAATGTATAAAACTAAGCCATATCCCAACCACTTCGGATACATGTTCTCAGGATCTCCTGATGGCTGTGTCATGGTCCATGCTCACTCATATTTGGCTCAGAATAAATCTCTTCAAATATTTTGCAGAGTTTGACTCTTTTCATAGACAAGTCAAAGGCGTAAATGGTCAATGAACAAAGATGTCTTCAATTAGGAGGTTAGACTAGAGCAAAGTGTGCAGACCAGGCAGGAAAACTCTGTGACTATGGTCTTGAACTGTGAGGAAGCAGTGGAGAGCTTCCTAGTGCAGAACATGGAATGCTCTAAAGGAGACACAAACCACAGCCAGGCTCTTATTAGCATTGTGATTCTGGACAAGTGACTGGCTAGGCTTCAGATTAGTAGCTATAAGACAAGGATAATACCCACATTTGGGGTGGCTATCATGAAATTTTAATGAAATAATGCTGTACTCCATGTCAGGCACTTTATAAAAATATTGGCTTCTTTCAATTCTTCTAGATATTACTTTTAGATGTTATATTTAAAACAACATATGTTTCTGGCAAATTACTTTACATTACTAAACATCTTATTTATTTCATAGGTTTCTGTGAAAGAAAACATGACAGAACTGGCTTAAAAAGCTTACTCTAGGGATTAGCATGTACGTGTTCAATAAAAATTTTGCAGGTAGTGCATAGTAGGGTAGTGAAGAAAATAAGTTCTGGAGTTAAACTTTCCAGGTTCAAACATATTCAAACCAAAATTGTGTCTAGGAAGCCATCGGACTGTATACCTTTCCTCCATTACTTCTCCATTTGAGTGGAGAAAAGCTAAGAGCTGATCCAGACTAGACTTCTTTCAGTTATCAAGTATTACCTTACTGTCTGCAATATGCACATACTGGGATTTAGAAACAGTCAGAAAAGTATAAAGGACACGGAGAATGGGATTTTTTTTTTTTAAGACGTTGCTGCCCAGTCTGGAGTGCAATGGCATGATCATAGCTCACTGCAGGCTCCAACTGCTGGGCTCAAGGTCAGCCTCCCAAGTAGGTGGGACTACAGGCATGCACCACCATGTCTGGTTAATTTAAAATAAAATGTTTTTGTAGAGATGGGGTCTCACTTTGTTGCCCTTTGTTAAGGGTGGTCTTAAACTCCTGACTTCAAGTGATTCTCCCGCCTTGGCCTCCAAAAGGGTTGGGATTATGGGAGTGAGCCACCATGCCTGGCTGGGATTTTTTAAATTTCCTGCATTGTTACAATGTAAGTTTTACTTTTTCTTCGTATGTATCAAAGCACAGAATTACTCATGCAAGAGCTAGGAATAAATGCAAAACAATCACGGCAAAATGATATACTGGAAATCAGATCCTTGAAGCACTGGGTGAAGATTTCAAGTTTTTTGACAGAAAACTTAAGAGAAAATACACTCTTGTCTTGGCTATTCCTGTCTGCAACAATTTCTTTCTTCTCTGAACTAGACTTACATTTACTGTTAATAGCATGAACTTCAGGGTCTAAATGACACAGATTGTAGGGCTCTCTAATTGTGTTAAATGTGTAGGTCTTACCTTTCTAACAGATACGTGTCTCAGGGAAAAGCATGGTTATGAGGTTTCGAGTGTGGCATGGTGATGGGGGTGGGGTTCCTATCCATAGGACAAGGCACACAGCAGGTGCTCAAGAAGCATTTTTCGATTGCCAGATTGCAGCTCTTGATACTTGTTAACGAGAAGTTTGACTTTTCTGAATCACATTCCGTACTGAAGACCCAGAAACTGAAGTATGATACTGTAACATTCTAGGCTTAAAACCTGGGCCTCTGAATTATAAAGAAGTGTTGTGAAAATCTTCATTCCTTTTTTGGTTGTGTTGAAACCCCAGCTACAAGAATCTTTGTACTTGGCCTCTAGCCTCATAAGTTTGTTTTTCCTCCAAGCAGCTATTAGAAGACTGTGAGCCAGATAATTCTTGTCAAGGCCTGTTGAGATCTAAAAATAATGTTTGAAGCTGGTTTCAGAGACCTGAAAAATGGTTAGATCCAACTGTTAGCTCAATAAAATCAATTAGTTTATTTTCTACTTGGCTTTCAACACTGATGACATTATGATATGCTTGTTTCCAATATGAACATTTGAATTTCTTTTTGCCTTTTCACACAGTAGCCAAAGGCAAAACAGACACAAAGTTATTTTTATCTTGAAAGTTTTTCATGCCTTAATTCTTATGTGTGCATATGCCTGTGAAGGCAGGGTTTGGAGCAAGCAAGCTGTTTTGACCTTTTATAAGACTGGTTTTGTGTTCCATGAATACATGGAAGAAAACGAGTTGAATGCACTTTTAGGCTTGTCACTTAAATGTTTCAAGCATGTTTGATCTTCTTGGTAAGAAAGACAATAAGCTCTCTTAGGAAGGCATCCTGTCTTATTTTTGTAACTCTAACTTTATTGGGAGCTGTGCATATACAGAGATAGTTAGAACACTGTGGGACTGGGTTTTAATCTCCCAATTTTCATTTATGCCCACCAACTGTAGATGTAACAATCAATCACAAAGCTTCCTCTTGTCACTCCTTTCTCCCCTTTTAAAAATAGACGTATTTATTTTAATATACACTTTGAGAAATAGAAAACCTCATGATTTTATGGACATTAATGATTACAATGATTCTAAGGGAGATACTTATATAATTTATTTTTAAATAATTTAACGCTTAAAGTGAGTTAATTAAAAAAATACGTCGGGCACATAGTTTTACAGATTGTTCTTGGATATGGCAAAGAAAAATATGACTCAAGATTGGAAACAGATTTATAGAATAGTCTCAAACGCACACACACACGCACGGCAGGAATATTGAAGCTAATCGTGACAGTTGTAAACACCTTGAGGGTAGAGTGCGTTTTTCTGTTTGTTGTATTCTTTGCAGCCCAACCCACCACCTTGCATATATTTAGCTCTCAATAAATATTTGTTGAATTAAGAATGGACTAGAACAGTGGTTTTTTAAATCAGTGTTTTTGACCAGGAACTCAGCAATGCTTAGTCCTAAGTTTTCAGGGACCACTGTTTAATATTGGGCCAGCTAACTGTATTATTAACTATAAATTGCCAAAGGTAGTCTGGGGAACAATAATAATTTCTGACATTAATATCTTATTCTACTCTTTGAGGACTAAACTCTGATTTTTTCTTATCTTGCCCAAATTCCTACCCAAGGCACCTGGGGAGTCATGCCTTACAAACCATAAAGTCTCATCAGAGGAGTTTTAATTTTAACCCTATATAGCATGGTCTGCTTTCTACCTGACTCTGGCATAACATCAAATAACAAATAAGGGAAGAAATCAAAATATTTTAACCCCAAATATATTTCCTTGCCATATCTTGAAATTGCCCTGGAGGGTTGTCTCTTGTGGGAAAAATCCACATTCTATAGAGAATCCCCTTTCCCCCTCTTTTTCTTTCTTTCCACAACAAGGAGATAATCAACTAAGACCGAGGCACCTTTTTAAGTTAGATAAGAAACATTTTACAACCTGCTCCCTCTGAAGTCAGCTGGGAGTCTCCTCCCCACAATTAAAACTTGGGTCTCTACATGGCCGGGTGCGGTGGCTCACGTCTGTAATCCCAGCACTTTGGGAGGCCCAGGTGGGTGGATCACTTGAGGTCAGGAGTTTGAGACCAGCCTGGGCAACATGGTAAAACCCTGTCTCTACTAAAAATACAAAAATCAGCTGGGCGTGGTTGTAGGCGCCTGTAATTCCAGCTACTCGGGAAGCTGAGGTGGAAGAATCGCTTGAACCTGGGAGGCGGAGGTTGCAGTGAGCTGATCGCACCACCACACTCTAGCCTGGGTGATGGAGTCAAGCTCCGTCTCAAAAAAAAACCCTTTATCTTAACCTAAACATTTCTATTGATCCCAGGTCTTCAGACAAACTCAACCAATTGTTAACCAGAAAAATTGTTAACCAGAAAAATTAAAATCTACCTATAGTCTGGAAGCCCCCCCCACCACTTTGAGTTGCCCCGCCTTCTGAACCAAACCCATGTACATGTTAAATGTATTTGATTGACGTCTCCTCTCTCCCAAACATGTATAAAACCAGGCTGTGCCCTAACCACCTGGGACACATGTTCTCAGCATCTCCTGAGGGCTGTGTCACAGGCCATGGTCACTCATATTTGGCTCAGAATAAATCTCTTCAAATATTTTAGAGTTTGATTCTTTTCCTTGACATCTTTGAAAGCTGCTATTGAATCTCTTATCTTATCTGATCCTCACAAAAACCCCTAGGAAAAAGAAAGGGCAGATAGGGTTCATTGTTGATAATGGATGTTAAAGGGGCTATGCATTTTTAAATTATTATTTTCATTTTGCAGATGAAGAAACTCAGGCTCTGGGAAGTAGCTAAGATGTCTAAGCTCCGAACCATACTCTCCAACTTCCACGTCCAGCGCTCTTTCCACTTCAAAATCTTTGGTCATTCCTTATTCCTTGGGTAACGCTCAGGCCAAGGTCGGAGGGATAAGAAAGTCAGTAGAGGCTGGGAGCGTGGCTCATGCCTGTAATCCCAGCATTTTGGGAGGCCGAGGCGGGCGGATCACCTGAGGTTGGGAGTTCGAGACCAGCCTGACCAACATGGAGAAACCCTGTCTCTACTAAAAATACAAAAATTAGCCGGGCGTGGTGGCCCATGCCTGTAATCCCAGCTACTCGGGAGGCTGAGGCAGGAGAATCGCTTGAACCCGGGAGGTGGAGGTTGCGGTGGGCCGAGATCGCGCCAGTGCACTCCAGCCTGGGCGACAGAGCGAGACTCAGTCTCAAAAAGAAAAAGGAGAGTAGAAAGGGCTTTGAGGTAGTTAATAGAAGCAAACATTTACTGAGTTCTTACAGCAAACCGGAAAGTGTATTTTCCTTGCCATTTTCAAAGCACTCCGGAAGAGAGGTACTGTTCCACTGTACGCTGGAAGACTCTAAGGCTGAGCCACAGCTAATTTACACTCGCCCAAGAGCCCACAGCGTGAGGGAGACCACAGCTAAGGCTGACTCGAGGGGCTGTTTTTATGCACGACACCGGCTGCGATCCATTAATAGGCCCCACGGCTTATCCTACCTGTGAGAGACACCTGAGACCAGGGAGGTAAATGACTCCCCCCGTGATGCCTCCTTGAGTTCTGAGGACAGGACTGGACAAAAAGCCAGGTTCTCACAAGGCCTCCGGTTCTGCGCTTCAGGGAATGGACTGAAAAGGACAACACCCTTGCTAAGGTGATGCCGTGGGTCAACAGAAAAAGGCCCAGGCCGGGGCATGCACACCTATTCCCGCGCACCAACGGGTGCGCTGTAAGAGAAGACAAAAGGTCGCGACTGGGAGGCCGTCCCAGCGAGGCGGCTTGAGGAGACCACGTGGGGGAGCCGCGCGCCCGCCTCCCGCGCCGCCTGGCCCCGCCCCTACCTGGAAGGGCGCCGGCGCGGCCCCCGGGGGCCACGCGCCCACCGGCAAGTTTTCCTGGCCGCACGCGACATCCAGCTGCTCAGTCGGGGCCTCAGGCTTCTCCTTAAACTCCGCCATCCCACAAGGCCGTGTCGTCTTTGCCGCTTCCGCGAACATTTACCCGCCTCACGCAACGCCCACTACCCTGACAGTCCTGGGCCGCGCGGTGGATGCTGGGACTTGTGGTCCCGTGGCCCCACCGCCTCATGGGAATTGTAGTTCGTTTCTTCTCAGGAGTGGCCTGGAAGGCGCTTCCCTTCCTTGACTTTTTGGGTCTGGCTCCCGTTTTGATTTCAGCCAGAGGCACCACAGATAATTACAAAACCATGTAAGGTACGGACGAAACAAAGTGAGGTGCTTTAGTTTTTCCTGGGAGCATCAGAGAGGGGGCTTTCGAGGTGAGGTCATTTGTCCAGGTTTTTGAGGGCTCACTGCACGTTTGTGGAGTGGAGGCAGGGGTGCGTTCTAAACCGAGCGGGGAAACGCACACCAAGGTTTCTAAAGGTCTGCGGCTTGCCGGGAAGTTGACTGACATGTGATAGGGTTTGTGCCAAGGCGATAGCCTCACAGGGTGCCTTAAGGAATTTGTGTGGGGGCATGCTCACTCCCTGATGGAGGTATCCGTGCCCCTTTGCCTGTCCTTTTCCCTCCTCTCCATCCCTCTACCCTCACCCCTCCAAACCCCTGCCCTGCCAAAGGATTCTGATAGCCTCAAGACTGCTGAATCCGGTGGAGCATTTTCAACCTCACTGAAGCTCTCTGACATGATTGTCCTGCTTCTCCTTGAAACTGTAAACCAAAAATAAAATTCCAATCCTCCAAACCATCTGAAGGGACCCCTCCTCTCTGCCAAGGTTAACCTGAGAAAGTGGTTCAGGCCATGATGGGAAGGGGGGTCCAACATGCCTCATTATGCCCTTCTTCCTTTTGGAATTCAGGAAAAGCCAGCCAGCATCAACATCAACACACACCTTAAGTCTGATAAGAAACATTTACAATCTGTTCTCTGAAATTTACCTCTTGGAGGCTTCATCTCCACGATCAAATTTGGTATCCACAACCTCTTATTGCAACCCAGACATTCGTTTCTATTGATTTTAGGTCTTTAGATAATAACCAGTTGCCAATCAGAAAATCTTTAAATCTACCTATGACCTGGAAGCCACCCCTCACCCGCTTCTCGTTGTCTGCCTTTCCAGATCCAACCAATCTTACATGTATTGATTGATGTATTATGTCTCCCTAAAATGTGTGAGAGTAAGCTGTATCCCAACCACCTTGGGCACATGTCATCAGGACTGCCTGAGGCTATGTTGGGGGCGCATTCTTAAGCTTGGGAAAATAAACTTTCTAAATTGAGACCTGTCTCAGATAATTTTGGGTTCACAAACCCTTCTGACCTTGCAGCTTCTGAGGTCCCATTGGCCTAAATGTGTTTCCATCTTGCAGACCTTTCCTTGTTAGTATCCTCTTGTTGTTTTCCTGCCTGACTGTTTCTGAAAAGTGGGTGTGATTCAGGGTTCTGCCCTTGACCTTTTTCTTTGCTCCCCTTCCCTGAACTTTCTCATTAATAACATCCACTCCCATGGCTTCAAATATAAAGGATTAGGTCACCAGTCTCCAACCCAGATCAGACGTTTCTCCTCAAATCCAGTTACGCATATTCAGCTAATGATTGAGCATTTCTGTTTTCTGTCCTACAGGCTCCTCAAACTCAAAATAATCTGAATTGACTTCTTCTGCCAGTCTTGCTTTTTCTTCTTTAAAGTTAACTGGGAAAATAATTTGTGATCTACAGAGCCACTAAAGCAACAAACCAGTTACTCTGTATTCCTTCACTTCACTAGACTCATATAGCTAAGGACGTGGTGGGTAAGTCTTGTTGATTCTGCCTTCATGTTCTCATTTTTGCCTCTTCTCACTTAGTCCTAGGCTCTCTCATTTCTTGCTTGGACTTTGGAAGTTCTTTGCTTTAAGTCTGTCATTCTCCATATCCCCAAATCACCCTTACTGCCGCTGCTACAATGACCTTTGAAGATCCTTGTCCAGTTATTATATTTTGCTGCTTAGATTCTTATTTGCTCCATTTTCTCTCAAAGTTTACCTTCTATATTCTGTCTTATGAGCCTTTGAGGACCCAGACTTTACCTATTTCCTTGGTCTCTTTTGCTGCTGTTCTCTGTTGGAACCCCTTGTTCTGTTGACATTCCCTCAAAAAGCCATTCTACTTGGGCCTCTGGGCCTTTGTCCACATTGTTCTTGTATCTCCAGTGCCTTTACCCAGGACTGTCTGTCTGCTCAGCTCAAGTAGTCCCTTCTCTGTATCTTTCTTTACCCTGTTTCCCTTAGCATTGGTTACCCTCTTTACATTAGTTCTCCTACTTTATAAGCCATTTCTTATGTTCCCTGCAACTATTTAATGTAAGCACAGGCAAAACCATCTTATTGAACTCATAAAAATTATATATATATATATTGGTGGAGGGTGGGGAGATAGATAGATAGAGAAACATTTTGTTTTAACTTAAATGATTTTGGTACATTTATATGCTAGTCTTTTGATGTAGGGCCAAAAGAGAAGGAGAGCTAGAGTGTGTGTGTGTGTGTGTCTCTGTATGTTTGTTTTCTACTGATTAGAGCTCCAGGTCAAGCTTACTCTGAGTTCCAGTTTTGGTGTCTTTAAAGTGGGGTGGGAACTAAAGGATAGTGAAGCAATGGGATATCATGATCTGTTTTCTTTCCCTAGTCTTTTATACTTTTCTCACTCACACCCACTTCAAGGGCAAAACATTTTTTAGTGACTTGCTTTTTTTTCTCCAAGTCTTTACAGAATGTTCTACTTAGTTATCCCAGAAGGGAGAAACTCTTTGCACTCATAGTTCATCATCCTTTTTTCATAAAATTATAATAACAGTTATACCTGGCATTAATAGGTTTGAGAACAGAAATTAAAGATCAGCCTTATAAATGTGCTATTCATGAGCATGTATAAAATCACATAATTTTGCACTGCAGTACACATCTGATATAAAAACTTTTTTGAGTACACATCTGATATAAAAACTTTCTTGTGTTGCTGTAAAGAAATACTTGAGGCTAGGTAATTTATAAAGAAAAGAGGTTTAATTGGCTCATGGCTCTGCAGGCTGTACAGGTAGTATGGTGCTGGCATTTGTTCGGTTCCTGGGCAGGCCTCAGGAAGCTTTGAGTCATAGTAGAAGGTGAAGAGGAAGCAGGCATCTCACATGGTCAAAGCAGGAGCAGTGAGAGAGAGTGGGGGTTGGGGCAGGTGCCACACACACTTTTAAATGACCGGATCTTGTGAGAATTAACTCACTGTTGTGATGACAGCACCGAGGGGATGGTGCTTTAGCACCCATGGGTTTAATGAGAAACCCGCCCCCATGATCCAGTCTTCTCCTACTATGCCCCACCTCCAACACTGGGGATTAGATTTCAACATGAGGCTTGGATGAGGACAAATATCCAAATTATATCAATAGGGAATTGATTCTATGTAGAAAAGAATCAAAATGTAAGAGTTAGGGGCACAGTATCTGAAATCAGCCATGACTAAATTTATATTCCTACTCTGCAAATTTCTGACCATGGGAAATAATAGCTAACATTTATTGACTTATTATGTACCAGATACTGTTTTTTTATTTTTTATTTTTTGAGGTGGAGTCTCACTCTGTCACCCAGGCTGGAGTGCAGTGGCGCCATCCTGGCTCACTGCAACCTCCACCTCTTGGGTTCAAGCAGTCTTCCTGCCTCAGCCTCTTGAGGAGCTGGGATTACAGGTGTGTGCCACCACACCCAGCTACTTTTTTGTATTTTTAGTAGAGCTGGGGTTTCACCGAATTGACCATACTGGTCTCAAACTCCTGACCTCAAGTGATCCACCCATCTCCACCTCCCAAAGTGCTGAGATTACAGGCATAAGCGACGACATCTGGCCCAGATATTGTTTAAACATTTGATATGTATAAATTCATTAATACCCATAATATGGTACTTGAAACATCTACCACAGGGTCATTTCAGGTTCAACTAAACATTCGGGTTCACAGGACTGTCACTGGCCACACTTGGCATTAGCTTCACTTGAGATTATAGGACAAGAGCCAAAGCCTACCAGCAGAGAGGCCTCAGGTGTACCCCTTCTGTGGGAATAGTGCTTGCAGTCCACACAGCAGGTCACAGAGCTGCCTGGGAGCTGTTTGTTCTCCCAGAGGGTGGCTCAAATGCAAGGAGAATATATCCCATTAATAGGGTGTGGGGGAATCCTGAATTAGAAGCCTTGCCTCTCAGAAGCTATAGATTTTAAGGTAGCTGCCTAGTAAATATTTTATCAGATATAGTTGTGTACCTATCCTTCCTTAAAAGAAGAGATAGTCATGTATATGATACAATTAGCTGCTTATAGTATAATTAAGAAACATAAGAAGGTTTAGGTAAAGTGCTATGGATCTTTAGAACTGGTAAAGATTACTTTTAGCAGGGGAGATCATGAATGATGGATAGGATTTAGGCATTCCAGGTGGAAGGAACAGGAGAAGCAAAGTAATAAAAAGAAAGATGTGGATAGGAAAGAGTAATTTCAGATTGGCTGGAGATAAGGTTTGTTTCACCCTTCAGGAATTTTGAATAGTATGGGAATTTCTCAGATATTCAGAGAACATGCTGTTCATTCATTTTAAGAAAAGTTTGACCACTGATTACATGCATGGTCCAGTTTACCAATTAGGGGAATGTATACATGAAGAAGACATGGTACCCTAGAAAAGCTTGCAGTGTAACAGACAAATAACTATATACTTACAGAATGTGATAGAAATTGTAAGAATGTTGTGAGAAAAGAATTATAAGAGCCATGAGGAGAACCACACTCCTATATTTGCTGTTATGCCATTTTTAGTTTTTGACTCTTTCTTGGTAATACTGTCTGCTATTTGGAAAATTTTTTTGAAGGATCCACTTTATTTTATTTTTTCGGAAGCTGTCAGCAGTGGTGCTTCCAGAATAAGATATTTTGTGCATGCTGGCCCTTTGGTTTAATTTGTTTTTATCTTGCTGGCAGAGGATCCAAAAGTATTTTATA
Source organism: Homo sapiens (assembly GCF_000001405.40). Classification (NCBI taxonomy): domain Eukaryota; kingdom Metazoa; phylum Chordata; class Mammalia; order Primates; family Hominidae; genus Homo; species Homo sapiens. The sequence goes on along the minus strand of NC_000003.12, from coordinate 4,298,383 downwards.
GAGTATGAGATTAAAATAATGAGAGGATGTTTGCAGGCTGATATAACCAATCTTCAGAATGCCAAGCTGTCAGTCTTTCATCTTTTCGGGGTCTAGAAACCTGTCTTATTTTCTCTAGACAACTGCTTTTCATTGACCAGGAACCTTGATCTTCAGAATTTGTTCTGCAAACCATTATAGCTAGATGGTGGGGAAAAATGTATTTCTGGACATTAATGAATTGCCCTAATAGATTTCCATAAACAGGTTTTGGAACTGAATATTGCATTGATTATTCAGATTTCTTTTGGATTTTTCACTGGCAGAAGAGAAACTAATCTGATCAGTAATAAAAAAATAAAAAGAAAACAATACAATATAATAAAACTCTGACATTTCATAGGTTCAGTTATCCTTGGCTAAATTATGAGGTATGACTATTTGAGCTTTACATTTATTAACAAAAGTGGTCTTTAATTGGGGTGTTTTTATGCTTTTTTGTTCAGGGTTTTTATGAAGTTCTGCATGGCTTTGTATTCAGAAGCCATTCTTTTATCAAAGTTTCACTAGCATTATCTGAGCTTAATATTCTGGGATGTACTTTGTAGCCAGTGATGAAAGGAGGAAAGTCAGCAGAAATTACTTACATATTTGTTAGCATTTGAAACATCTTAGCCTTCTAATAAGAACTATCACGGCCAGGCACAGTGGCTTATGTCTGTAATCCCAGTGCCTTGGGAAGCTGAGGTAGGAGGATGGAGGATGGCTCAAGGCCAGGAGTTCCAGGCAAGCTTGGGCAACGTAGCCAGACTCCATCTCAAAAAAAAAAAAAAAAAAAAATTCAGGTGTAGTGGCTTGTGGCTGTAATTCTAGGGAGGCTGAGGTGGGAGGATTGCTTGAGCCCAGCAATCCAAGGCTTCAGTTAGCTATGATTGTGCCACCGTACTGCAGCCTGGATTGGGCGACGGAGAGAGACCTTCTCTCTAAAACAAACCCAAAACACCTGACACCAGTAGATACCAAGTAGGCATAGTACAGGCACTGGATCCTCTCATGAAAAAAGATTGTTGCATGAAGTCATTTTAAAAAGAAGCATGGTAATTGATCCTTTTGGGGATTTCTGTCCAATTTGGTGACCATTTCCCTTGTGAGAACATGCCATCCCTCACCCAGCCCGTCTAACGGGGTGGGCTCACAGACAGTTATGTTTATATTACACAGTGATCTCCTAAAAAGCCTCGGCCCAAGTTTTTAGCTTACAGGTGCACACCTTTTTCAATCTAGGACAATTAGGTTCTCTTGGTCAGGAGCTGAGACCAAATCACAGCTAAAACTATTATTTATAATTCAGGAGCTGAGAGGTAGGTTTATTTGGTATATAGATGGAGAAGCAGGGGAAAGTCCGTCTTCCAAGAGAAAAATAAAGCAGATGAGTGATAAGGAGAGAGGACAGCTGTCTATTTCTGGTTTCAGTCTCTTTTTCGATTCACATTACATAACTATATTATTATAATAAATTCTTCCTTTGGGTTTAGGTTAAGTCAGAGTGGTTTCTGTTACTTTAAACAATTTTAGCCAGGAAAGGTACTGTGAACATTTATAATGACATTATTATTACCATTATTATCATTAGACAGTGTGGGTTGGATAATTAGCTACTTTGCTCTTGATATGGTTTCGCTGTGTTCCCATCCAAATCTCATCTTGAATTGTAGCTCCTGTAATCCGCACGTGTCGTGGGAGGGACCCAGTGGGAGGTAATTGAATCAGGGGGTTGGGCTTTTCTCCTGATAGTGAGTAAGTCTCATGAGATCTGATGGTTTTATAAAAGGGCAGTTCCCCTGCACACGCTTATCTTGCCTGCTGCCAGGTAAGATGTACCTTTGCTCCTCCTTCACCTTCCACCATGATTGTGAGGCCTCCCCAGCCATGTGAAACTGTGAGTCCATTAAACCTCTTTTCCTTTATAAATTACCCAGTCTCAGGTATGTCTTTATTAGCAGCCTGAGAACAGACTCATACAGCTCTGTATAGAAGTTATATGATCTTTATGAATTTTTGTTCACTTTAAAAGATGGGTAAGCTTTTTTTTTTTTTTAACTATTTTGCCTTTCTGATGTGTCTTCACTAAAGAGTGCCTTCCCAAAATAATATTAATAGAATTTTATAACATCAAACAGTAGTACAAAATAAGAAATTTCTATCTGGTGGAAGGGATAATAATACAGTAATAATGGCTAATACTTCTATAGCACATAAGTCATACCCAGTATTGTTTTTTTTTTAAAAAAGCAAAGGCATATGGGTCATTTTTCTATAAGAAAAAATGTGGCAATTTATTAAAATAACTTGAAACTTTTATCTTACAAAATTGTGACCCTGTGTTATGTTTTCCAAAAGACAGCAGTTTACATTTTTGTGTTTAGACTGCTATTAAATATGTTTTCAGCAGAATAAAAAAACTTCCATCTTGTCCTATGTTTTTATCATTGCATTATGGTTTCATGAAACCCATAATTTCCCTTGTTGATATGATAAAAAACATAAAGATAAAATCACAATCAGAATATTGTTAGTGTAAGTACTTTAGCTGTGAAGTAATATCCAGGATTGATGATTGTAGACTGTCTCAAAATGTTATGAAGTCAAATGTGGATTGTTTGATAATATGCGAAGAGGTGAAAGAAGAGTATTATGTATTTATATAACCTGCAATATCACCAGCAAGAAATTAATTTCACTCACGGAAAACATATGAACAAATTTATTATCATGCGTATTCAAATACTGTTACCAAGGCTATGAGAGCAGACTTGCTTTGTTTGCAGTTTGACCTTGAAAAGCACAGCCCGCGGTTCGTTCATTTCACGTTCCAGGTAGTAAGCTTTGCATACCACCTATAAACAGAATTTTTTCTAGAGTACTAGATCTTCCTTCTCATCTATAATAAGGCACACCACCAGCCTTTTCTGCTTGCAGTTTTGAAAGCAAAGATGAAGTTTAGTTCCACAAGCGTCCTATTTTAGAGCAATCTACCAAAAACATTCTAAGCCCAGATCTACAAGTATCTACAGGATAATTTCGCTGGATACCACCAAATATCATCTGAGACTGGAATCCTTCTTAGAGACTATATTAATTTTCTGCTTCTTATAATGCAACGTTCCTGCAACTATATAGGCCCCTGGCATTCTCACTCTGGTAGCTTCCCAGCCCCAGTTCTAGCATTTGAGTGGAGAAAGGAAACCATGGAAACGAAAAACCAAATGCAAAAAATTTTACTCAGTTGCCCAAGACTAACTTGTCTAAAGCATCTCTTGGAAAAATGTTGATGATTTATAATTATTTTTAGATATTTCAACCAGGAAAAGTTTGTCGTAAAAAGAATTCCACAGAGGAAAAAGCTCTTTTCTTTTTCATTATCTCAGTAAGTGTGAATGTGTTAAAGTCAGCGTCGCTGCAGACGGATCTCTACGTAGGAATTGAAGAGGACTGTGGAAACTCCTTTTTACTCTCCTCACACATATAGTTAGTCCAAAAAGACCTCGCTCAGTGTCTGACTACAGTGCCTGAAATCCTCATCATTAGAACTTCTCCCATTTGCGATAAACATTGCTGTTTCCATGTCATGTTTTTTTTTAGAACTCCAGTATTCTCGGGAGTGAAAAAAATGGTAAACACAGATATGTTTTACATATTGCTTTCTTTCCAGACAAGAAGAAACCTGGGCAGCCTGACAACTTAGAGGAATTGGTGAAGAGGAGGAAAAAAATGTCAGACACACCAAATTAACATTTGTTGTTGTTGTTGTTGAGACAGGTTCTTGCTCTGTTGCCCAGGCTGGAGTGCAGTGGTACACTCTCTACAACTCAGAGGCTCATTGTACCTCAGAGGCTCACTGCAGCCTCGATCTCTCAGCCTAAAGAAATCCTCCTGCCTCAGCGTCCTTTGCAGCTGAGACTACAGGCACACACTATGATGCCTGGCTAATTTTTTAAATTTTTTGTAGAGATAGGGTCTTGCAGTGTTGCCTGGGCTCGTCTTGAACTCCAGGGCTCAGATGATCCCTCTGCCTTGGCCTCCCAAAGTGCTGAGAATGAATGGACGTGGCCACGTGTAACTACTGAATAGTTGAAATATGGCTAGTGTGACCGAAGAGCTGAATTTCAAATTTATCAATTTTAATTAAATTTGATTTAAATAGCTACGTATAGCTATGGACAGCACATTCCTAGATACTATACTTAAACATTACACATATTTTAAATTTGATCCTCACAACAATTCCACGAAGTAGGCAGTATTAATATCTCCACTGCCCAAGATCTGAGAACTGAAATTCCAATAGATTAGGTATTTTAAAAAATGTATTTCACATGTATGAGTGGTAGGGGTGAATGTGGGCCTAGGTCTGAAACTCTGCCTCTCTGAAGATAAAGTTTCTCACCATTTATGTTTCTAAGCCTTTCCCATATTCAGAGACTACTTTTCTTCTGGCTGCTGTGCAGGAATGAAAGGATTAGAAATCTTGAAATTAGAAAACATAAACAGTTTTTCATCCCATTGGAAAGTATAGTGATTTATATAGTGAAGGGCATTATGTAGCTTGAGAGATGTTTTTACTAAGGGTTGTGCTCTTGGGCTTTGAAAATATAATCACATTAATTAATCTGCCTCAAAGGAAACCTTGATCTCACTGCTGAATATGCTAGTCTTACAGCCTGACTACTTAGAACAGTCTATTAGGCTACTGAAATTTCTGCTTTGTGACATTCGAATGTTATTACTATAATTTTACTAATTGTGAGTTACCTGAGTGAGGGAACTGAATAATAGAAATCTGTTGCATATAAGATTATGTCTCTCTTGGTAGTAATAAAAATGCCGAGGAAATAACCAATTTATAAATGGTCATAGAAGTGATTTCTAATTCTATTCTCTTTATCTTTTCGGGCTTTTAAAAATAAGTGAATGGAGGCAACAAACTGCTCTATGCCTGTGCCACTCAGGAGAGGCAAAATAGGTGGCTCTTTGAACTCCAAAACCTTTTAGCTTCAGAATAGAAAGTCAAGGAAGTTGTGTTTTGGGAAATTGAGCTTTCTTTGCAACAGTGGAATGGATTTTTTCAGTGTCATTCTAATCTAATCATTAGGATTAGAACATATTACATATAATATGTAACTCTTCCACTTCCAGTTACATATTATAACTGCACTATGTGGTTGATGAATGATTGGTCATAACAGGCAGCTCTGAATTCCTTTATCCTGAACCCTGACTCTAGCTTTAATCCCTCAGTTTGAAAGTCTTTCATTTAGTTGTTCATTTAGCTGTTCTCTTATCATTTTAATTTGCAGTTTTTAAAAAAGTCAAGTATTTTCAAACATCTTTGCTTTGTTAGTTTGAGCTCTGGAAGATTAAATTTCACGTTCTGGAACTCACCCATGAGCTTAGCTTAGAAGAACATTGAATATAATTTGTTTTTTACAGAGCCTGGAAATTACAGGGTTAATGACACAGGAAACCACTTCTCACTGCAGATGAAATATGTGTGTCTTTTTTCATCTCTTAGCAAATTAGGTAAAGTTTTCCCCCAAAGAGCATTTTTGTTTTTAGTTGGTAAATTAAACAAGCAGTTCAGATTGCACTTTCCAGACCCTAGATTTTGTAGGTATTTGTTGCTGGGGCTTTTGTCTTAATGAAGTCTGGCAGTACCTGTTCAGATGAAATAGCCAATTTTACCTTTGCTCTGGCACTTAATCCAGCCATCTGCTCTAGCTTTGGCTTTCAAGCACAAAGGGAAAGTACAAAGTATAGCTAACTTGTTGGTGACAGCTGGTGGGTAAAAGAATCATTGTGTTTGACAGTGTCCTTTGGAATAGACCACGAGGTGAATAAAATACAATATATTGCCTCATCTTATAGCTGCCTTTAGGTTAGTTGAAATTTAAATTTCTGACTCACCCACCTTATTTTCACTTCTTAGGCAAAGCCCCTTCTTGTCATGTACTGCATCAGCCATATGTTCTTGGGTAAGGGTATTGTGTAGACCAACACTGAAGTAGAAATTCCACTAAACAAAACGCCTTGCGTTTAATCAATGACTTAAGACATGCTATTCGTTTTAGCCTATGTGTATTTTTAAACTAGAAATGATCATGGACAGTATTTATATATTCTAGGGCAAATGTTCATCTTAGAGAAAAGCCAATACTTTTAATTTTTTTCCTGCATTAAAAAACTGTGCTAATTAATAATTGATAAATAAGGAAAATTTTATTTTTGATCAATAGATTTACATTTGAACAACTGGAGTTTTATTCCAAACATGTTTTTGCAAATAATTAGTTGTTTCAATCTTTGGTTGTACTTTTTAGTGAGCGAATGAAGCTATTGGCTGATCCTCAAACATAGTTAGCTACTGGAAGCAACCTTGTATCTAAAACACCATGTTAGCATTGGGATGAGGTAGCTGAAGTGAGGTGAGAGGAAGAGAAGCTCACAGAAGAGAGTTGGCAAAAGACGTTTGGTGGAAGGTTATTTAAGATAGAATTTATTCTAATCCAGATCAGAGAAGCAGCGAGAGATTATATAGTTGGAAATGTGGCCCACATCAACCCTAAAAGATAAGGACATTTTTTTGCTTCCCTGTTGGAAAGTATTTGGAATTCATGGCAATTTAGTTTTCCACTTTGCACTTGGAAACTTAATTTCGTCTTTCCCCAAAGGTCTATATAAAGAACCCATTTTCTGCCAAGGACCAATCAAACAGGATCATGGAATCACTGATAGAAGTGGTAAAAAGCGACTTCAATTCCTTCCCTTGGAGAAGTATAAAATCCTTATTCACTAAACATGAAACCAAGTTATCTATTATTCACTGCAAACCTTTTCTGGAACAAAGTGAGGCATAAATTATTTATTTTGCATTATGAAATAAAGTGGTAAAAAGAAGGAGAGAGGAAGGCACTTTAGAGTGAGTAAAAATGGAAGAGAAATGCAGGAGACAAGGAGAGAGAGCAGAGATGAGGGGGAGAGAGAGATGGATTTCAAGCAGGAATAAGATGGGAGTCAGGGCAAGCGAAAATATCTGGATTATTTATAATTAAAGAGTTTATGTCTCCTATAATGATCTGGCCTATTGTTAAGCTGGGACTACCATCAGTGTTAACATATCTGAAAATTTCTCATTGAAATTCTTGATTGTCATTTAACAATTGAATGTTTTGAGGATCTGCTACTTGCAGTGCACCATGATAGAGTTATCGGGAATAGTTATTATAATATTTGGCGGACACATACTATGTGCCCGACATTAGACAAAACATTTTATGTGGGTTCTTTTATCCTTAAAAGAGTCCTGTGAGGTAGGCAGTATCACTACCTCTCCTCACTACATATTACTGTAGAGACAATGAGATATGAAGAAGTTAAAGTTGGTCAACAAAGTTTTACAAGTGTTCGGATTTACAGTTGTTTTTTTTCCTGACTTCCATTTTGTAAATGCACCTACCATGGCTAATTTCAAGCTACCAACACTTTAACAACCAGCTTGCAAGCTTTCTGAATGTTAAGCTATTGATGAGAGTAGGTATGAACTGGCTTCAGTACACGTCTGAAGGTGACTGTCCACATATCCTCAAAATACCTACAGTCTAGCAGGGGAGATAAGACTATACAATATGAAGTAGAAAATAAGAAGAACCAGATAAGGCAGCATGGAAATTTAGAGAAGAGATAAGTTTGATTTAGAAGGTTCTATGAGGGGGACATTTAAACTGTATTTTGAGGAGCGGGTAGTATTTGAAGATGTAGATTTGGGGCAGAAGACCTGGAGGGGAAGGGAAAAGCATGAACAGCTGATGTTCCATGTTACCTTCTCGTTCTTAAAATGTGCTTTGGCTCTGTAGCAGCAATACCCTTACGGTCCACAAGGTGGTGTGATAACCCTATCCTTTTGTCCATTTAATTACAAATGATAAAATACCCATTTTGCATAAACTGGACAAGAAGTTTTTACTCTGTTGAAAATGAGGAAAGAGTTAAAAAATGTTTGTAGCAAATTGTGATGAGAAAATTCAGATAAACGTTTTCCTTTGCTGTGATTTGTTTAGACTCACATTTACACAATCTAAGAGAAATTTATGTTCAAGTTATAACGAGTACATAGGCAGTTGTAAAATGACTGAGTGAATATGTTTGACAAAAGATGGAAAATACTGTCTAAAGATGCTAAACTTGGGAATGTGTTTTATTTGTCTGAGAGTTAAAAATTGGGTATGTCTTTTAAGTTTCATTGTGATTAAAAAACCAACCCAGCATAATTTAAATTCATTCACCAGATTGAATGGCTACAGTGTGCCACTCATTATGCCATGTGTGATTTGCCTATTATGCCTTATACCTGGATCTCATATCTAGATCTGCCAATAGTTGCAAAAATGCAACTTAATCAATTATGGAAGACGTTTTGAAATGTTTTGTTGTTTTTGTTGATAACACAATTTATTTGATGCTAGAGTCATTCATAATAAAGAAAGGTTTATTTTTAGCATTTGTTCATGTAGTTATTCAGCGTGTTTATTAAGTACCAACTGTGTGTTGGCCATTGTGCTAGGTGCTATTTTAAATGGTCGTTTAGTTTACAGAGTGCTCTAGCTAGAAACCCTACAACCAGATGCTTTACCCCTTCTGGATGATAGCAACAAAGAAAATGGGTTTAAATTAAGAGAAGGTAGATCCAGTTGACAAAAGGAAAAGAGTACTGTAATGGGTGATGGAGGGTGAGTATGGAGGGGGTTCCTTGTAGGAAATCTATAAGAACAGAATTGATATAATTAAGATATATACTTGCTTGAAGGCAAGGGCTTAAGCTCTGACTCATAGAGCTTCCTATCTTATTTTAGGTCTCTAATTGCTAGTGTAGTAATGTAAGAACACCCTTCAACAGACAGTCTATGTGTGACCGATTTACACCACACTGGCCCAGTGCGGTTCCTTGCTCTTTGGAGCCTCTTTCCTCACCCATAAAATGAGGTTGATAATGCCAGTCTCATAGGATTGTCCTGGAGATTTAACTGAGCAGGAAATACAGGATTTATTTTGGAGTCAGCTTTGTAAGTGCTAAGAGAAGGAGGAGATCCTTGGATTCTTGCTCCTCCCCAAGTGGGACTATCTTGGCCTCCAGCTGCTCTTTCACCTCCAGTCTGAGTTTCTCAGGCTTCCTTTCTGTCACTATCTTCCCCATTTTCCCGAAACCTCGTAGTTGCTTTCAGTGTTGTTCAGTTCTGGTTTGGCTGGGATAGGGTTTAAAATAGCCCTCACTCTGAATGTGATGGCATTACTGCCCACCAGGAGCAAATTATGCTATGTACTGTAGCAGAAAAGGTTGTGTGATAATGAATAAAGAGATGGAGTTGGTAGAAAGAACAACACCACTGTGGGCTTGAGGTCCTTCTTGATTTTCATGGATAAAACAGTAAATAATAAGGAAGTTTAAGAGAACGTTGTGAAGTTCCGAAACCATCTTCCTTTGGGGGCAGAAATTAAATTGTATTTAGAAACAATGGAGGGCTTTGTAGGTTCAATTTTTTTTTTTTTCTAGACAGAGTCTCGCTCTGTTGTTCAGGCTGGAGTGCAAATGACACGATCTTGGCTCACTGCAACCTCCACCTCCCAGGTTTCAAGCAATTCTCCTGCCTCAGCCTCCACTCTGAGTAGCTGGGATTACAGGTGCATGCCACCATGCCCAGCTAATTTTTGTATTTTTGGTAGAGATGGGGTTTCACCATGTTGGTCAGGCTGGTCTCAAACTCCTGACTTTGTGATCTGCCAGCCTTGTAGCTTCTAATTTTTGAGTGGGGTGATTGTATGGCAATACTAAGCTAGGTTAGCGGGTATTCAATTTTTCATACCACTGTAGAGTTAGGAAAGGGAGCTCAACGGGAAGAGCTGTTTCAGGGACAGAGACCCATGATAGTAATTCTTTCAGAATGCTTTTACATCTATCCAAAAGCTTTGGAATATTAATTTTTTTAAAGTAGAAAGACACAGAAAATAATAATTTCTGGTTCTTAATCTTTGCCTAAAGCTGATGACATTTTTGTGCTGTGCCAACAGGGAGATTCTGTCCATGCATAGTTTTTTCCCTTGTCAGTACGTTTGCTTACTGCTCAGATGTATTAACAGAAATTAGGAAACTGGTATCTATGTACCAGTGATGAAGCAATTAAGAACTTCATTTGTATTATTGTATATTCCTCACCTTCCCTAGGTGTTGTCTGGTGAGGTAGTTCTAAATGGTCATAGACCTAGATTGCAGATAGCAGGTGCCTGAACTCTCTGGGGTCATTATTTTGCCTTTGCATGGGATCATCTTTAAATTTTTCATACCACTGTAGAGTTAGGAAAGGGAGCTAAAAAGATGAGCAGAAGAGAAGTATGGATGTCAGAGCAGTAGCATTAATTATCCAAATCTGTGAATTATCAGAAAGCTTACAAAATATTCTATTTCCCTATATTGGAAGATTTACTAATTTACTTTAAGCTTTGCTTGGTTGATAATAATAGAATTTTCTAAGCACAAACAACTAGCTAATGCAGAACTAACAAGATGACAAGGAAAAGCACTATATTCTTTGAATCTGTTGTTCCTAAACTGCACTGAGGCACCTTGGGACTCCAAAGGGAATACTGTAGTATATTTTAAATATTCAAGGGAAACAGTGATATTCAATGTCTGTGCAAATTACTAGCTCTAGGTAGGTCATGGTTTCAACATTAGATTGTGCCACGTTCCTTTTGGTGAGGTCCTATCTTTGTGAAGCTGTGTTTTTGGTAATTGCTGTAATACTAAGCAAATACCAGTGAAAATCAATGTGGAATGAGAAATGAGAGTGACAGCATCCAATCTGATTCCAAAGTTAGAAGGTTGTGCGGTGACCAACAAGCACACACATCCCATTAGTAAGGAAATGTGTGAAAGATTTTTTTTTTTTACAATTTATGTTCATTATTCTTCTAAATGGCTATTTGGAAAATAAATGTTTATTAAGTTTTTTGAATCTTTACTGTGAACAACTGATGTTTTACTGCCTCAATTTCTGAAAGGTTATTTTCTTATTTTGTTAAGTTGCTGGTTCTGAACTTTTTGGTCTCAGGTTCCCTTTATATTCTTAACAATAGTTGAGGACCCCCTGAAAGCTTTGCATTGTGTTGTTCTGTCTACCAGTATTTAACATATTAGGAATTAAAACTGAAAACATACAAGAACTCAGGAACATATAGCACACATTCCATTAGCTGTGAGAAACATGATGTCATGTAGCCTCTGGAAAACACATACACTTGTGAGAGAATGACAGTTACAAGGCAAATGACACTTAAGTATTATTATGAAAATAATTTTGACATTGCAGACCACCTGTAATGATCTCGGGTATCCCAGGCATCCCTGGACCACACTTTGAGAACATTGCAATAGATGGTTTTACAATAACCTAAAACATAAATCCAGGCTGCAGTGATACACCCATTGCATTGTTCTGCAAGTTCTGTGTAAATATTTCATGTCTAAAATGCTTCATAATTTTTATCTATAGTACATAGTTTTACAAGTGTACGTTAGGTGTTCTGTGCTACGATGGTGTTATGATGGATCTTAATGTTTTACATTTGCCTTATTGACACTGATAAAACATCTTTGAACTTATTATTTTATAAGCTTTAACTTGCGAAACTTATTTGTAATATTCTTTTATATTTTCCTCATTAATGATTGCATTTTCTCTTGGAATCATGGGCTTTAACAGAACATGACTGCTGGTGTGATGAAAATGAAATTTAAACAATAAAACCTTCAGCACCATTTTACTCATCATTTTGTTCAGAAAATAAACCAATCATATTCTTTCTTCAAATAAGTTGTTTTTCATTCCAGAGCTAAAATTAGTTTTACTGTGCGCTGATTGTTGCACAGCATAAAAAGACTTTCTAGACTTTTACTGCTTTTGTGCTGTATTAGAAGATGTTCCCAGCCTTGCTTCTTTGTTAATACGGTTTTTGCTTTGTTTTCCTATAGATGCAGAAAACTCATGTTTATAACATGCAAAAGGAACAATAAGAAACTTGCCCTAACTTTATAGTATTTTTATTCTGATAATTTGTTTTTAATATTTTATTATAAATTTTTCCATTTATAAATGTTAAAAAGCTACATACTTATTACTTACACAAGAATTGTAGTGCACTGACAATAAAAACCAGAGAAAAAACTAAACAATTTGAAAATAGAGGTAACTATATAATTTAAGCATATAACAAATGAGTGATACTCTTAAGGAGTCTTGTAAAGAATGTGCAATACATTCTTACTGCATACTTTGCTCTGGGCCAAACAGGTGGATATTTCTGCAAGTATTTCTAATTTCTTGCTTGGTGGGGGACCTAGTTAGGATTTATTTGACAACATGCTCCGACTATTAGCTTGAATTAATGAATTTAAATTATAATTTATACTTTTAGTTAACTTTTTTTGCTTATTGCATTGCTATTATAGTGTTTATCCATTAGTATGGAAGTATTTCAACATTTTGGCAGTTGTGTGCATTTGGATGAATATATCAACTTTAACCTTTGTTATTGAAAGTATCATTCATCCCTCATACAGTACTGATCACTTAGCAAATATGAGGCATTATGAGGTACTGTATGAGGTGACAAATATGTGTAAGGCCCAAAATGCATCCTCAGAGAGCTTGTAATCTATTACATACCTATACAAGGAAATAGAATATATGGAAGAAAGTACTAAGTACTAGAGAAGAATTGTTAATATTACATACAAGTTGTATTCATGTAGAGAGATTAATCTTGTTTGGGAAATTTCATTGTCAAAGTTTAGGAATAACCATATACATTTTTTCCTTATAAGAATCATACATTCTCATTGTGAAAATTCATAAACTCTAGAGAGTCACAAAAAAAGAAAAATCACCTGTAGCTTTTTATGACCATTACCATCATTAATATTTTGGTATTTAGCTTTAGCCACTTTATTATTTTGAGTAGACTCTTCAGAAAAGTGCTTTGTAAAGATACTCATTCTAAGCATAGTCCTAGGAGTAATGCAAGTATTATATACAGCCCTTGCTATTAGTAATTTCGAAAGAGGAGATACTATTAAGTCAAACTACTTTAAGCATAAGTTATTTTATGGAGAATAGTGATTTGGCTATAGTTATGCCTATTATAATTATAATTGTACCCAAGAATTATGAAAGAGATAATGCAGCTGCCTTATTCGGTGGCTTAGAGACAGGAGAACAGCACTCATGGAATTCTAGGAATGTGATAGTTTCTACTGAGAAACAGAAGAAAGCCTCATCTTACTTGTGAGACGAAGATGATCAGCGGTTATTAGAGACTTTATTATAAATGGGGGTGAAAGCTTAGCAAATCTTCCATAAAGTAAGTTCATATCAAAGTTAACAGCTAAATCTTTGTATTGGAAGTAACATTTGATTACTAAGATATTCAGTTTACAGGAAAAATAATGTATTAAATAATCCCTTTATCTTAGCTTTTCTCATTTACAAGCACCACAGATAATCCCAAATAACAAATTACCCCCCATGCTTCTTTATATTTTGGGTTGGAATCTATGGTACTATTTTTTTTTTCAGGAGTTTTTTTGCCTTTCCTGATTTGAAGTAATTGTTGACGCTAGTGTGACTGCCTAGGAAGAGCCAGCTTAAAGACATTTTTGGTGGCAAGAAAATATCACACTGGAGTAAAATATATATCAAAGATAGTTTTTAAAGTGGATCAATCACATGTGGGAAATGCAGACTTGATGCCAGGGTCACCTGTAGCAGAATGGAAAAGCAAGGCAAGCCCCTTCTTTTGTACTTTCTCTCCTCCTCCTCCTCCTTCTCCTCCTCCTCCTCCTCCTCCTCCTCCTCCTTTCATTTTTTATTTACTTATTTTTTTTTTGGGACAGAGTCTCATTTTGTCATCCAGGCTGGAGTGCAGTTGCTTGATCACAGCTCACTGCAGCCTCAACCTCCCAGGGCTCAGGAAATCCTCCCACCTCAGCCCCCCGGGTAGCTGGCACTACTGGCACGTGCCACCATGCATGACTAATTTTTTTTTTTGTAGAAATGGGATTTTGCCATGTTGCCTAGGCTGGTCTTGTATTCCTGGGCTCAAGCTATCTGCCTGCCTCAGCTCCCAAAGTGCTAGCGTTCTAAGCATAAGCCTCTGCTCCTGGCCTCCCACCTTCTTTGTTAGCACTTCGCGTTCTTAGCTCCTCCTTGATATTTTCTCTAGGGTTCTTGCTATGGTCTGAATGTTTGTATCCTCCCAAAATTCATATGTTGAAATCCTAACCCCCAAGGTGATGATAATGGGGAGTGAGACATTTGGAAGATGATTAGGTGATGAGAGCAGATCTCTCGTGAATGGGACTAGGGCCCTTAAGAAAGAGGCCCCTGAGAGATCCCATACCTCTTCTACCATGTGAAGACACAGCAAAAAGGCACTGTCTTTTTGAAAGTGATCCCTTACCAGACGCCAAATATGCTGGCACCTTGATGGTGTACTCCCCAGCCTCCAGAACTGTGAAAAATTAATTTCTGTTCTTTATAAGCTACCCAGTCTACAGTATTCTATTATAGCAGCTTGAATGGACTAAGTCAATCCCTTTCTGGTGAATAACACCATCCTCTTAAGGTAGTGGCAAATACTTAGACTTCTATTATGCTTTTTTCCTTTATTAAAGCCTATATATACTGTTGGCCATTTTCTCTGTTACCATGTGGGAAAATAAGGCATGCACTGATCCCTCCAAAGGTATTCGTTACTTAGGTTATTGTAATTTGTTAATCTTTTGCTCTTATTTGAATTTTAACAAAGGGTTCCTGGAGTCAAAGCTTTAACCAAGAAAAGGCAAATACTTAATGAAATTTAATGAAATTTCACATGGGTTGGAGAACGTATTAATATTTGGAGACAGGCTAACATTAAGGACCCCTAAGTTTATCCCACAGACTGCCAAATAGTTCTAGTTGAACGTATAGTTCTTTTTTAACAACAATAAAAGGATGAAATGATACTTGTTTCTTTTAATACAAATGGGCATTTGAAAATTCCTTTTCACAAGGTTTTCTGTGCTTCATTGTTGCCTCTAGAAGTTGAAAGTGGGGGTGGTTTTCTTCAAGAGATTGGAACGAAAAGGAACAAACTTGTAGCAGGTTTGCAAGCCTTCTCTCCTTAGCTATTTCTCTATCTCTAAGAGTCTAAAGATCCTCAAGGGAGAGGCACCAAATGCAGGTCATCAATTCCATTCAGGTCCACAGTCTGAGCTCCTAAAATGGCATAATATGCAGTCTGAAAAAGAGAGGCAGTCATCTAATTCATTTTGTTCTCAGAGTAGAGAAGTGTAGTACATGATTACAGATTGAGCCTTTAGGAGAGCAATAAAAATAGCTCTGACAGCCATTTCCAATAAAAAAATAATTTTTCACTGAGCAGAGTAGTCAATCAATGAAGACATTTTTGGAGTTCTTGTTTGGTAGTATGTTTGGAGATATTAAGTCTCCAAAGGCAGTCATGGGAGAAAGGAACATGTGATTGACGCAGGACAAAAACAAGATACCTTCTTTTAAGAGAGTGTTTTATGACTTTTAAGTTTCAAAATAAGATTTTCTTTTAAAATCTTTCTCTAAATAAGAATTGACTGAGCAACAGTTCTCCCACTTTCCACTCTTGCGCTGGTATCGTTATTTTCACTGAAAGTGCCATTTAGTGTAAAAGGGTTGAAATTGTAATAACTGTGGTCTAAGAGCCATTCATGTTACCATAAGGATTTTTCCCCACTCGCAGTACCAAGTAGTTACTTCTTTGCTCTGATAAGGCAAGAATTAGGGAGTACAGAAATTGTAGAAGGTATGTGTGAATTGATTTTTATTCTAACTAATTATTGTAGAAATTAAGAAGAGCAGTGTATTAACTCCACATCCTTTCCCTCTGTATATTTCTTCCCTTTAAAAGGCAAAATTCAAAATTCTTAGTACTGTATTTTATTAGCAACCAGGTATTTCTTCTGGTAAAACTGCAATAAAGCTTTTTCCCTTGTATTCATCTGAATGTGATTTCTTTCTGCAGCTGGATAAGTACATTGATTTTATGTTTCATGGAGATTAGACGTTTAACAAAATGATAATAGGGATTACTGATTCTAATTTTTCCTACATTGTTACTGGATTTAACTGTCTTTTCAACCCACACAGAGTCTTTAAAGATGTTTTCTCTTTGCTCTAGACAACATTAAATGTATCACGATAATGACAAATCAGTCATGTTAAATAAAATTAAGGTTGTAAGTTTTTACCAAAAGACTTAAGCCAGCTTCTAAATACCTATACAATCTTCTTCATTCTGGCTTGTCTTTGCTATTTTACTGAATTTGTCTTTCTTTCTGAAATCTTTTTTGTTGTTTTTTTGAAGAGGAAGTATGTTCACATGGATTAAAAACTCAAAAGAATATAAAAATATGTGTTAAGGAGTCTCATTTCCACTCCTGTTCCCACTTTTCTTCTTCTTTCTGTACTCCTTCCACTCTACCCTCCAGGTAATAACTTTTATTGGTTTATTGTAAACTCTTCCAATTGTTTCATGTAAATACATATATTTATTTTCCTTTCCCCCTGTTTTTTCCCCCAAAAGTTTGTTTAATATGTAAATTATTCTAAACCTTTCTAATTGTTACTTCTTCTAATTATTTTCTCTCATCCCTGAACTGTAAACATCTCTCTGAGATTTTTTGGCTTTTTTGGTCAGGCAAGTCTCAGAGCGCTGGTTCTGCTACTTATTAAGTGTGTGGCCTTGGATTAAACTTGAGAATCTCAGTTACTTTACCTGTAAAAATGGAATTATCAATATCTATGGCATAGGATTGTTATGAGGACTAAATGAGGTAACTTACAGCTAGTAGCCAATGTGGATGATCAATATATCTCAGTTACTCTTTCCTTTTCTCTGGCTTTTTCTCTCTCTCTCACAGTGAAATCAACCCTCTCCACCATCCCTTCCCTGAATCAAAGCTATAATAACATCACAAAGAGTCTCCTTGTCTGTAATATAGCTCCTGTACATCTCTTCTTCACAGTGCAAGTAGAGTGGTCTTTCTGTGGCTTGTATCAGCTGCACAGAGGAGCTCCGTCAAAGGGCATGTTATACTCTTCACCATGCTCTTCTTATCTGTGCAGTTTCATTGTATATGGTTTTCTCCTCGCCCAGAAGTCCCAGTCCCTGCTTTTCCATTTGACAAGCTGTTATGGATTGATTTGTGGCCCCCCGACCCCCACTGTTACCCCACTCAAAGATGTTGAAGTCCTAACTCCTAGTACTTGTGAATGTGACCTTATTTGGAAATAGGGTCTTTGCAGGTGATCAGGTTAAGATGAAATTATTAGGATGGGCCCTAATCCAACATGACTGTGCCCTTATCAAAAAAAGAAGTTTGGACACAGAACACACACACACACACACACACACACACACACACACACACACACACACACACACACACGGTGAATGCCATTTGAAGATTGGAGTTATACTGCCATAATCCAAGGAACTACCAGACACTAGGAGGGAGGCCTGGAACAGGCTCTTCTCTAGCCACCCTCAGAGGGAACAGAGCCCAGCACGCACCTTGATGTTGGACTTCTAACCTCCAGAATAGTTAGACGGTAAATTTCTGTTGTTTAAACTTCTCAGTTTGTGGCGTGTTGTTAGGACAGCCCCAGGAAACTGATACGCAAACCTTTTAAATTTTCATCTCAAAGCTACCTTCTCTATAAAGCCTTCCTCTCACATAAGGGGTTCCTGCCTCTGTGTTTTTTTTTTCCTCTATTAGATTATCTGGCTTTATAAAAAAAATTTTAAGTCAAGGTACTTCAAGTTCAGTACCTCTAGACCGTGAGCTACTTGAAGAGAGCCATTGCACTTTTCATCTTTGAATTCCCAGTGGTCCACAACATACA
The DNA here is from genome assembly GCF_000001405.40 of Homo sapiens. Classification (NCBI taxonomy): domain Eukaryota; kingdom Metazoa; phylum Chordata; class Mammalia; order Primates; family Hominidae; genus Homo; species Homo sapiens. The sequence continues at coordinate 4,280,357 of NC_000003.12, read as the reverse complement.
GTATGCACCAAGCAAACCTAAGTTAAATGGAGTAGGCTAAAGCTTTTTAGGACCCCGGGGTGTTCTTGATTACATCTTTGGTTACATTTGTAGTGCATTTATAAAATGCCTCTTGGAATTTTTTAAAACATTTTAATTTTTAATTGACAAAAATTCTATATATTATGTACAACATGATGCTTTAAGATATGTATACATTGTGGAATGGCTTAAGAGAACTAATTAACATCTGTACTACCTCACATAACATCTTTTTTGTGTGTGGTAAGAACACTTAAAATCTACTGTCTTAGTGGTTTTCAAAACTGGAATTGTTGTCTTCTTACAGATGGCTAGTGTCATCTCTTATGTATATGTTTTTACTAAAGTTGAGTCACATCCTTTAAAGAATACAGCTTTAAGGATTCTTTAAAGTTAGCTTGACTATATAGCCAAAATTAAATTTAAAAATCTTTAAAAAGTGTCTCATAAGATATAGTACATGCAGTTTTTTGGTGTGTATGCCATCTGGTACACTAATTTTTATGCATCCTAAAGTTGATAATTTTAGGAAATGGGTTCCCTAAATAAAGCCAGGAACTGGGAAAAAGTGGTTCCATTTAAAAAATTATCTTCCAGCCTGCTGAGGTGGCATATGTAACTTGGTTCGTATTATGAGTCTCTTGTCAGAGTATAAACACAACATGGCTTTATTTTTTTTTTGCATTTATTGCTTCCAGCTCTGCTGTGATGAACCTTCACCTCCCACAGAGAATGCATTCCCAGCTCAATGGCATCTCCTCAGATTGGTTCTCATATAAGTTGGATCATAGCGCCTACTATTTGTAACTTGCTTCTCTACTTTCCAGTATATCTTGGAGAGAGTTGTGAATCAGCACACACTAAGCTACCTCATTCTTCATGGCTTTATACTATTTTGTTGTATGATTGTGTGTCATAATGTATTTAATTGTTGATGGGCATGCAGGCTGTTTTCATTCTTTTAGCTAGTAAAAACCCATATATGACTTCTTAGAGGCCCTTGATTGTTTTGTTTCTACATTGTGAGATTATAAATTGACAATAAAAGGTTAAAGGTATTTACATGATTTTCTTCACATATCTGACTTTTAATGAACTATTTTAGGTTACCATGACTTTCATATAGTACTTCAGTGTAATACTAATAATCTGTCAAATGAAGTGGCTGGTGTTAGACTAGAAATGTCTAACTTAGTCATGCAGGGTTGCATTAGAGCAATTCTTCTCAAACTACATGTGGCAAAAGTGTCAAGTTTTGTTTTGTTTAAAAAAAATTTTCCAATCCTTTGTAGACCAATACTTTTGTAAAATACAGTAAACACAAATTATCATAAAAATAAAATTAGAAATGCATACAAACTACAAAGCCTAGATGATAAACACAGAGCAGTGGTTCTTAAAGGGTACTCTGGTATCCTCAATCATTTGTCTGATGTAAAAGGCATGAAAAAATTTGAGAATAGCTACTATGGGGAATTTTTATTATTTTTAGAAGTTTTTATTGTTCCACCATTATAAATAAATACAATGTTAAAAGTGAACCCGGGGTTTCTTTTATTATATACCTATAACCCATTTTGAAAGAATACCATGTATATCAAGACTCACTGCCATCGATGTGACAAATAAGCTTGCTTTTTGCTTGTTAATTTATCTAATCTTGGTTCGACTGATGACAGTGCCACTTGAGGGAGATAACGTATGTCTAAACGGTTTCTGTTGTCTGTTTTAATAACACTCCTAGTAGAGAAACCAGTCTCATAGACGTATTTGATTGTTATATATGAAGAGATTTTTAGAAAAGTTTAGCAAGCTTAGGATGTTCTTTTTAAAATTTTGCTCAGAATTAAGCAAGTCATCCTGTATTTTCAAAATTCATCTTCAATTTTTTATCAGTAGTTAATTCTAACAATTTCTCCTTTAAAATTATAGCCAAATTTAAATGACCTTTCATTAAAGGTAATAGGTTTGAGATTAATGCATGTCCTATGATTTGATCTCCTTTAATGGAAAACAAAATTCAGAAGTTTCATCAAATTAATAAGGTAGTTGGTACAATATATCAAGATTATTACCTACTTCACTGATAATTATTGATAAATTATAGAACATGCCATAATATTTTTCCAAGGTTTTAAAATTTGCTTTTGTCCTTTGATCTCATATGCCATCCAAAAAGATGTTGCAGTCCTTTTGTTCTATTGAAATATTAAGAAAATAAACGTGCCAAAAATATCAGCCAAACAAATCTGGGTGTTCAATTAACATGTTAAAATACTTGGGACCAAACTCCTCTCTTGTGTTGTAGCGAAAAAAGAAATTCATTTTGTAGTTCAAACATTCTCTACATAATTTTTTCCTTTGATAACTGCTGTACTTTAACTGCATACATTTTTTTAATTGATGATGATAATTTGATGATAATGATAGTGATGATTAGATTACCACGTCAATACCTTAAAACTTTGGATGGGCCCTGTTTAAAGGTACTTGTGGAAATGGGAGACCCCAGAGGAAGCTCTTCCTAGGCTGTGGTGACCTCGTTATTGGCCTATTATTTAATGGAGGTACTCTAACACTGCTGATAGTGGTCTGTTGCAATCTGTCCATCCACAGATTATTATGCTGATTGAGAAAGTGTAATCCAGAAATGGAACATATAAAGTCATTCTCATTTATGCCAGTTCTTCTGAGCCTCCTAGATGTAAAGATTATAAACGTTTTTCATTTTGAGTTTAATTCAAGGTCCTACTGTGTCTATTTTCCCTCACTAATTTGCATAGCATCCCTGTCTTTCCTGTCTCCTGCTTCTTTTCCTCCAGTTCCCTCTGTTCTTCTTATTAGGTCTGGATCTCTCTATGTGATGTTAAGTTTTCCTCTAGTTGACCCTCATTTTCTTGTACTGTCCTGGGTAATCTTTCTCCTTTGATCCAAATAGTTGTAAGTGGTTTTTAATTTAATGTTAGACATATTATTTATATGTAATTATAATTTATGTTGATAAGGTAATGGAAAGAACACCAGGCTTTTGGGAAAGGAGACCTGGGTATTTTCATTTTGTCTTCATTCTTTATTTGAATTTTATTTTTCTCCTTTGTTAAATAATGTGATTAGACTATATCAATGGTTCCTAGACCTGCCTGTGCTTCAGAATACCTGATGAACTTGATAAAAATACAGACGTTCAGTTTGTTTAGGGATTGGGGGATTGGGAGTGAGGAGGATAGTTTATTAAGCAGGTTCCGCGTATAATAGACTGCCTAACAAGGTTTGGGAACCACTGGATTAGATTATCTCCAAAGTCTTCCAGATCTAAAATGATGTGTTTGATATTTTACCTCATCTTTCTTTCCTTTCCACCATCCCCATCTTCCCTCAGAACATCCTGAAGGCTGAAAGTGTGAACTTATTTAAGACAGTGGGAGATTATTGTGTCCAGATCTATATACTTATTTTGTCAAGGTTTTTAAACATTGCTGTATTTTACAAAATTATGGTTTAAATGACTAATAATAAAATGCACAGTATGGGAATTTACCTAGAAAATAAAAAGCCACTAAAGAAAGACATACATTACAGGCATAAAGCCTATGAAGCCATATTTGGAAAACAGGAAAACAAAAAGAAATACCGTAGCTTGTTGTTCCCAAGAACCATAGAAAATTTATGATATGGCACAATATGACTGATTCCTGGAATCAATTATATCTTGCAATAATAAATTGTGGGGTTGAGAAGGAACTGATAAATCATGTGCATTTTATAAAGGAAGGAATGAGGAGACCCCAAGAACTTAAGACCACCATCCAATGAGTGGTGGAGCTGGTGGTACAAATGATTTTCAAAGAAATAATTTCTTCTTTTAATGGAAACAAGGCTACTTCTACAACAGAGTATTGGAATATTCTGCTGATTTTTAATTACGCTCAAAACTTGTACTTTGTCATAGTAAAAGATAGTTATATTTTGAATATAACAAAGCATTTTGAGAAATCAGTTAAACATATTATGTCTTTTTAGGCTATTTCTTCATTTAAATCAACATGCATATTCATAATGTGCTGCCTTATAGCCTCAGTTTTAGGAAATGCAATAAATATTATTATCTGTCCATTCCCACAGCAGTTAATCATGCCTGTTGTCCCCTGTAAAATATCCCTTCAAATCTCTTATCAGAGAATGATGCTGGGCCATGGGGGTGGATTTCTGGACAATAAATTTCCCCAGGGAAGATGGAATCTGAGAAAAATTAATGTCTTGTGCTTGAACTCATGAACTTGGAACCACACAGATCAGGGCTTGAGTATTTTATTTCTTATGGATAGGTTAACCAGAACTACAGAGAAATGAAACTGATTTGGGAAATTAGCCTTCTAGGAGTTAAAAAAATATTTTTTAATGATCCAGGTTTTCTTAGGATTCTAGTATGTGAGCAGAAACAGGCCAATATGATTATTTTCTGCTACTGTTCTAAAGCTCGTGCTTCTGCTAGTTCTGACGCTTGTACCATAGTTGCTTGGCTAAGTGACATTTACTGACTTCAGCAATAGTGTCCTTATGTAGAGAACATTGTAGGTTACCTACTCAACTAACTTTTTGCTTTTGTCTTCTTCCCGAGAGAATTCTGATTTTGTCCAAACATCCATCTCTTCTCCCCAGAGCTAAGTACTTTGGGAGAAGTTGGCCTCATCCCCAGTTACAGCAGATAGGTCCTGAATAGACTAAGCTGGTGTTGACTATTCCAAAGGGATCACCAGTGATTGGTTTAGGAGTGACATGTGTCTTGTTCTGACAAATAAGATGTGAGGGAAGGTCTGCTGGGATGGAGGTGGGGAGTTCTGGGAAAGGTTTTCTTGGTCTTATGAAGAATGCACCAGAAGAGACCATCCCTCTTCTGCCTCTTGACATTGCCCTGTTGAATGTTATATCTGGAAGTAGTCCATTTTACTGCCATCCTAAGGATGAAGCCAACACAGAGGAGAGAACCCATATCACAGAGGGAAGTGGTGCCCCAATCATGCCAACTCTGCAATTTCTCTGCCTGTGAACATCTCATATTGTATATGAGACAATACATATTATTTCAACAAACTAAAACTGTGTTTAGAGCTGAAGTCGTTCTAACTACTTCATTTCTTGCTTCTATTATTCTACCACGATCAGGTCTTTTTCTAATTTCTCATAGCGCAACCAAGGGCAGACTATAAAGAAAAGAATGTACAGTCTGGAGGCTAATTTTCAACTGCTCAAAAACCCAGACCAACCCTAGGGTCTGTTCCTAGGTTTGGGAGACACGGAGATGCATCACAGAACACTTCTGATGGGTAATGCTTGCTCTGGAGATGCCCTCTGGTGTGATCAGGGCTTCATCAGGCCTGTTTGACATTTGGACTTTTTCCTTTGTCCAGTTCTGCTTCCTTGACCCTCCTTTCATTGGTGTTATTCCGTAATAAATATTTTGACCCTAAACACTGTCTTGACAGCTGCTTCTGCAGAATTCAACCTGTGATTCCAGACCAGCTTCCTATTACCTGGTCTAGTTTTTTCTGTCAGTCTAGATTTTTATGAATTTTCGTCTCCTAAGCAGGGTGACCAGAGAGAAGCTTTTTATTTCCAGAGATTCATTTTCAGCTGCAGGAAAAACTTCTTCCCAGGATGTTTTACAGTGGGATATTCAGTTTTTTCAGGGGAAAACCTATCCCTATTCATAGGGGCAGAGTCTGGCTGCCTAACTCCAAAAAGACAATTGCAAAGTAGTCTGATATTTTTGTATTATCTTGTTTATATAGTCTTACCTATGTTTATCTTATTACCATCCTGGCTGATTTCAGATGAATGGCTTAATCCTCTTAGCCTCTGCTTTCTTATTCATTAAATAAGAATAATGTCCCTCCACAGAATTGTAGTTAGACTAAGTGACATAATATATAACAAGTACAGTGCCGAATATAGTATGCTTTCAGTAGAGCTTAGATACCTAGGTCTTTTCCCTCCCCATCCTCACTTCTCCCTTTGCCCCCTACAAATTTAGTTTCTTGGTGAAATTGGGTAAAAGTGAACATCAAGGGCAATCTTGAAAAGGGAAGTTGGTCAAACATGGTATTATTATTAAGCCTAGGTATATGTGTAGAAGGGAGGAAGAATAGTTTTGTCAGACTGATGAAGATGGAGATTTTAGACATACATTGAAAGTGTATATCTTAGAGTGGTTTGTTTGTTTGTTTGTTTTTAGTATGACTGGGCAGTCTCCTACCAGCTGCTTTAGGGAGGTAACTATCATACTGTTTATGGGCCCTGTTTATATTGAGTTTTCCCCAAAGTGAATTTAGATGCTAAACATTGAGGTCCAGGGACCTGCTGATATGACGTATTCTGACAGATGCAGACTAGGCTATTATTTTAACCCCATATCCTATGTTTAGATTAAAAAAAAGAAACAACACTGATCAGAGTCGGCCACCAGGAACATCATGACCTGCCCTGCCTTCCCATGCCCTCCCTTGCCATGCCCTCCCCTCCCATGCCCTCCCCTCCCATGCCCTCCCCTCCCGTATCCTCCCCTCCCGTATCCTCCCCTCCCGTATCCTCCCTCCCGTATCCTCCCTCCCGTATCCTCCCTCCCGTATCCTCCCTCCCGTATCCTCCCTCCCTTCCTTCTTTCTGCTTTATTGAGTATAATTTACTTAATGTAAAATTTACTCATTTTAAGTATATAGTTAAAAGATTTTTAGTACATTCACAGAGTGGTGCCATCACAATTCAATGTTGGAACATTTCTATGATCTCCAAAGATTGCTCATGACATTTTCAGTCATCCTCTGTTTCCGCCTTCAGCCTCAGGCAGTCGTTGATCTACTTTCTGTTTCTATAGATATTTTTCTAGACATTTCATATAAATGGAATCATATAATATGTAGTCTGTTGCTTTAGGGTTTTAAAGCATATTTTGAAGTTCATTCATGTTGTAGCATGTATCAGTACTTTGTTCCTTTTTATTGCCAAATACTATTTCATTCTATAGGCATAACACATTTTGTTTGTCCATTCACAAATTGATAGAACTTGGAATGTTTCCATTTTTTGCCCATTATGAAAAATGCTATTATGAACATTCCTGTGTATGTGTTTGTGTGGACAAACATGTTTTTACTTCTCTTCCATCTAGGAGTGGAATTACTGGACCATATGGTAAATTCTATATATATATATATGTGTGTGTATATATATATGTATATATATATGTGTGTATATATATTTATATATATGTATATATTTTGGAGACAGAGCCTCACTCTGTCACCCAGGCTGGAGTTGCAGTGGCATGATCATAGCTCACAGTAGCCTCGAATTCCTCCTGCCTTGGCCTCCTGTGTAGCCAGGACTACAGGTGCGTAACACGATGCCTCGCTAATTTTTAAACTTTTCTGTAGAGATGCTGTCTGGCTATATTGCCCAGGTTGGTCTCAAACTCCTGGCCTCAAGTGATCCTCCTACTTTGGGCTCCCACAGTGCTGGGATTACAAGTATGAGCCACAGTACTTGGCCCATATGGTAAATTTAATTTTTAAAGAAACTGCCAAATTGCTTTCCACCGTGGCTGCATCATTTCGTATATTTATTACCTTTGATTTTTGTAATCATTGCAAGATTAGTTACACTTTTTGCCACTGTGTTTTTTAAGAAACAGTTATTAACGGCAGTATAGAATAATTATGTAGCAGACACTGTGATGCCACACCCAGGTTCTCCCTCAGGTCTGAAAGGTCTGCTCCTCCCGCTTCCAGGTCTGCTGCTACCTGATAGTTTCCTTGTGTCAGCCCCCGTCAGAAACTGTTCTTAGAGGAAGAGTCACCTTGCTCAGGGTCATAGCTCCTTGTCCAGGGCCATGGACAGCCTGTATCCAACGGCTGGTTGATGTGAGGATGTGAAGGCCTAGTCTTCTTGTCCCAACTCAGAACAATTCCGAAGGTCCAGCCAGTTTCAGAATTCTCTGTCGGGTCGATTAAAGCCCTTGTTGGAACCACATTACAGCCCAGCCTCTGCGTTTTCCTCCAGTCCGCCAGAGAAAGGGTTGATCCCGAGCTTTTCCTAATGTTTCCTGCACAGTATTGTTCATCTCTCAGGAAACCAACCTTGAAAACAACAAATCGCTATCTTTTAAATATTACAGATTACATTTACACTTGCCTTATTAAGTAGATTTCCCTACTGGCAAGAATCAAGAATATTTTCTTGAAACCTGAAGCCAAATTCCAGTCCGGGTCAGGAAATCAGCTTCTGTTATCTCAGTATCTACCAAGAGAGGGCAGTCATGTAGTGAGATAAAGAAGAATTTAATTATGACAGAGATTCCCAGCACTTTGTTCTTAAGAAAAAATATTTTTTCTTGGCTTATCTTACATCAACCAGAGGCTATGTAGGAATAGTCTTCATTTGCGTGCTCTAAGAGAAGCAGAATTCCGAGGAACTCCTTTTTAGGGACACTTCTGAGCACAAGCTATGATTTTAGTTTTTAATTAATGTTTAAATTGATGGCATAGACCAGGTTGGCTCATTCTTGTAATCCCAGCACTTTGGGAGACCAAGGTAGGAGGATAGCTTGAGGCTAGGAGTTTGAGAGTAGCCTGGGCAACAGAGTGAGACCCCTGTCTCTACAAAATAAAATTAATTAGCTGGGCATGCTGGCATGCTCCTGGAGTCCCAGCTACTTGGGAGACTGAGGCGGGAGAATCACTTGAGCCTGGGATTTCAAGACTGCAGTGAGATGCCATCACGCCACTGCATTCCAGCCTGGGCAATGTTGAGATCCTCTCTGTATCTATCTATCTATCTATCTATCTATCTATCTATCTATCTATCTATCTATCTATAGATAGTATAAAACATTTGAATAGAGTAGATTTTTAAACATTCAGTCAAGGATACCTCATGAAATCAGAGAATGTTAGACTCCAGAGTTTATCTGGCTTGACCTCCTTATTTGGTAGGTAAAAATATATGGTGCATAAGACATGGAGTGGTTGGCCCAAGAACACCAAGGAGAAACAAGTCTGAAATTTGGTCAAATGCCTTTTTATTATACCTTGCTCCTTTTCTTGTATTTTAGGACTTTGGTTATTTCTAGTTTTTCAGGAGTTAAAAACTTTTCCTCATAAAGAAAATCACTGTTGAGATCCTGATGAAATGTGATTGGTGGTGGGTATTAGCACAATCGATCAGACTGACTATAGCACTTTCAGTGACTTTGAGTTTGATGTATTCTAGGACTTAGTTTTTATCCTTTGCGTTTCAGTTATTTCTAATACTACCATTAACAAACGTTTGTGAGACATGTAAGTATTCAGACTTAAGTGTTTTCTCTTTGTTGCCTTCACAAATAGCATACTGCAGTCAGAGCTAATTGACCAGTTTCCGTTTTACATGATTTGGTTTCACTTTGTGGTCTCTAAAACTCTTCTCCTGGGTGAAATGCTATTTAAGAATACCAAGCCCTTTAGGGAAGTTCCTAACAAAGTGAAAACCAAATAACCATTCCCTTCATCTTTGTTAATATCAATATTAAATTACCTAACTTTTTTGCTTGGCAAAGCCAGGAAATATCCCATTCCAGACCTGATTAATTTTTAATACCAGTTATACTTAGGGAGCACCCCACATGCTGGTATCCTTTGTTGAAATCTGAGGCAAAGTTTAATGCTATTTTTTGACGACCTTCTTCTTCCCATAAATTGAAGTTCCCCTTACACTCAATTCCTTTTGTCTCTGTAAATATATACCCTTGTTATGGCAGAATCCTTAAGAATTAGGAGTTGTAATTATAAATTCATTGCTTATTAAATGATTTAAGCTTTCTATTTACCTGTATCCTTTGAATTTAAGTGGGTGGTGTGTGTGTGCGTGTATGTGTGTGAGAGAGAGAGAGAGAGAAAGAGAGAGAGAGCAAAGAGAGAAGAGAAGTGAAAATAAGGGAAGGGAAAGGAAGAGAGAAGAAGGAAGAGACTTTCCCTCTCTTGATCTCCCTGTTTGTTTTCTTGCAGATGGAGACCTGGGACCACTTTATCACCTATAGTCAGTATTACTTCAGTGCTTACTTCAGTGCTTAATTATTTCAATACTGAGGCTCCTTTATAAGGAGCCCAAGGTCATTGACTCAGCATCAGTGTATCATCAATTTAGTTTCCCTGATAGTCCGGCTCTGACCCCAGTTTCTTCGTTTGTTCCTCCTGAACCGTGGGTAAATGACCTACCTCTTCTGGGCCTTGGCTTTCTTATACATAAAATGTGATTAAAAATACCTTATTTGTAGTACTTCTGTGGGGACTAAATGAGATGGTAGCTGTAAAAAGCTTAGGACATAAGTCACTTAATACATGGTATCATTACTTCATCATCAGCTCTTCACCTTCAAAAAGTTCCCTCTTGTAGACTGTCCTTACACAGAGTGCAGGTAGCTAAGAGCAGCTTGTATTGTATACCCTACATTTTCTAGTCTGTCCAGAGAAGGATGAGAATTTAATAGGGCCAGATCCTCAGAGGGATGCATTTCTGGTAGAATTTTGTGCATTAGTAGTTGAATGGAAGTGCCATTGTGAGCTTCATGGCTTCCAATATTATTCCACTTAAGGAATTGGCCTGTCTTGCCTTTGGACTGTTGGGTTTTGGGAAATGTGAATTTTTGATTATCAGGATAACAACTCACCCATTCATTCTTTCTTTCCCCCGCTTCTGGTCTTTGTTAACTCTCCTCTGTCCTGTAGTGCTGCCTTATCTTCTGCAAATACCAAGTAATTTGGAATATGGCACTTTGGTTAAGATTGTTTGATATTTGCATGTATCTGCTAAACACGCTTTAATTATGATTCATGACTAGCTCTGGATTAAAATTGTATTTCTGAATTTAAGGTTTAAAAAATTGGAATGCTATTATAGGCCTTTGGTAAGTTTGTGTTGCTAATAGTGAATTATGAAGCGCAAACATTTCTGAGATACAATCCTGTAATTCTTTCATTCTTTGGGATGGGGGGAGTGGGGAGGGATAGCATTAACATGTTAAATGACGAGTTAATGGGTGCAGCACAGCAACATGGCACATGTATACATATGTAACTAACCTGCACATTGTGCACATGTACCCTAAAACTTAAAGTATAATAAAAAAATGATTCTGTGTGTATAAAGATCAAAAGACAGCCAAAACACATCTATGGCAGTGATTATTTTTGCTGTACAGCAGTATGAGGCAAGGATCATCACTGATCTGGGTGGTGTTTCCAGAGGTATGTTCACTTCCCTTTCTGTATGGTTAAAAAGTTACTTTAAAAATTAACACTTAAAAATATGTTTAAGACCATATTTTAGACCTATGAACAGTTTCCTTATACTACCGGAGCATGCTATGATTTGCAACTTAAGTGAAAGCATATATATATGTATATATACACACACGCACACACACACACATTCACTCTAAATGTCTTTTTTAAAGGTATTTTTTTTCTGTCCTGTGATGCTAAAATTAACTAGAAGAATGCATTAAGTAGCTAAGTGGAGAGTGGTTGAGTAGAAAATGCACATGATTTAAAGTTAATTAGATACGGGTTCAAGTTCAGTCTTTGCCATTTATTGGCTACTTAGCACTGGATAGATTTTTTTTTTAATCTGAGTTTCTGTGTATGTAAACAGGGGAAGTAATATTAAACCTGGTTGCTATTGTGATCATGGGAAGTAATAGAAGTATGTTTCTGAGTATGTAGTAGTGTTTCCTGTGCCAACAGAAGCTATCACACAACTGTGTAAACCTATCATTAAACATTGATCTGAAAAAAAAAAAAAAAAAAGAAAAACATTTTATTTTACTATGTAAAAGCAAATTGCGGGGTTTTATTATTATTTTTTCTTTTTTTATTATACTTTAAGTTTTAGGCTACATGTGCACAATGTGCAGGTTAGTTACATATGTATACATGTGACATGCTGGTGCGCTGCACCCACTAACTTGTCATCTAGCATTAGGTATATCTCCCAATGCTATCCCTCCCCGCCTCGTCATCTAGCATTAGGTATATCTCCCAATGCTATCCCTCCCCTCTCCCCCAACCCCACAACAGTCCCCAGAGTGTGATGTTCCCCCTCCTGTGTCCATGTGTTCCCATTGTTCAGTTCCCACCTGTGAGTGAGAATATGCGGTGTTTGGTTTTTTGTTCTTGACATAGTTTACTGAGAATGATGATTTCCAATTTCATCCATGTCCCTACAAAGAACATGAACTCATCATTTTTTATGGCTGCATAGTATTCCATGTTGTATATGTACCACATTTTCTTAATCCAGTCTATCATTGTTGGACATTTGGGTTGGTTCCAAGTCTTTGCTATTGTGAATAGTGCCACAATAAACATACGTGTGCATGTGTCTTTATAGCAGCATGATTTATAGTCCTTTGGGTATATACCCAGTAATGGGATGGCTGGGTCAAATGGTATTTCTAGTTCTAGATCCCTGAGGAATCGCCACACTGACTTCCACAATGGTTGAACTAGTTTACAGTCCCACCAACAGTGTAAAAGTGTTCCTATTTCTCCACATCCTCTCCAGCACCTGTTGTTTCCTGACTTTTTAATGATTGCCATTCTAACTGGTGTGAGATGATATCTCATTGTGGTTTTGATTTGCATTTCTCTGATGGCCAGTTATGGTGAGCATTTTTTCATGTGTTTTTTGGCTGCATAAATGTCTTCTTTTGAGAAGTGTCTGTTCATGTCCTTCGCCCACCACCGATCCCACAGAAATACAAACTACCATCAGAGAATACTACAAACACCTCTATGCAAATAAACTAGAAAATCTAGAAGAAATGGATAAATTCCTCGACACATACACTCTCCCAAGACTAAACCAGGAAGAAGTTGAATCTCTGAATAGACCAATAACAGGAGCTGAAATTGCGGTAATAATCAATACTTTACCAACCAAATAGAGTCCAGGACCAGATGGATTCACAGCCGAATTCTACCAGAGGTACAGGGAGGAACTGGTACCATTCCTTCTGAAACTACTCCAATCAATAGAAAAAGAGGGAAACCTCCCTAACTCATTTTATGAGGCCAGCATCATTCTGATACCAAAGCCGGGCAGAGACACAACCAAAAAAGAGAATTTTAGACCAATATCCTTGATGAACATTGATGCAGAAATCCTCAATAAAATACTGGCAAACTGAATCCAGCAGCACATCAAAAAGCTTATCCACCATGATCAAGTGGGCTTCATCCCTGGGATGCAAGGCTGGTTCAATATGCACAAATCAATAAATGTAATCCAGCATATAAACAGAACCAAAGACAAAAACCACATGATTATCTCAACAGATGCAGAAAAGGCCTTTGACAAAATTCAACAACCCTTCATGCTAAAAACTCTCAATAAATTAGGTATTGATGGGACGTATCTCAAAATAATAAGAGCTATCTATGACAAACCCACAGCCAATATCATACTGAATGGGCAAAAACTGGAAGCATTCCCTTTGAAAACTGGCACAAGACAGGGATGCCCTCTCTCACCACTCCTATTCAACATAGTGTTGGAAGTTCTGGCCAGGGCAATTAGGCAGGAGAAGGAAATAAAGGGTATTCAATTAGGAAAAGAGGAAGTCCAATTGTCCCTGTTTGCAGATGACATGATTGTATATCTAGAAAACCCCATTGTCTCAGCCCAAAATCTCCTTAAGCTGATAAGCAACTTCAGCAAAGTCTCAGGATACAAAGTCAATGTACAAAAATCACAAGCATTCTTATACACCAATAAGACAAACAGCCAAATCATGAGTGAACTCCCATTCACAATTGCTTCAAAGAGAATAAAATACCTAGGAATCCAACTTACAAGGGATGTGAAGGACCTCTTCAAGGAGAACTACAAACCACTGCTCAATGAGATAAAAGAGGATACAAACAAATGGAAGAACATTCCATGCTCATGGGTAGGAAGAATCAATATCGTGAAAATGGCCATACTGCCCAAGGTAATTTATAGATTCATTGCCATCCCCATCAAGCTACCAATGACTTTCTTCACAGAATTGGAAAAAACTACTTTAAAGTTCATACGGAACCAAAAAAGAGCCCGTGTGGCCAAGTCAATCCTAAGCCAAAAGAACAAAGCTGGAGGCATCACGCTACCTGACTTCAAACTATACTACAAGGCTACAGTAACCAAAACAGCATGGTACTGGTATCAAAACAGAGATCTAGATCAATGGAACAGAACAGAGCCCTCAGAAATAACGCCGCATGTCTACAACTATCTGATCTTTGACAAACCTGAGAAAAACAAGCAATGGGGAAAGGATTCCCTATTTAATAAATGGTGCTGGGAAAACTGGCTAGCCATATGTAGAAAGCTGAAACTGGATCCCTTCCTTACACCTTATACAAAAATCAATTCAAGATGGATTAAAGATTTAAACGTTAGACCTAAAACCATAAAAACCCTAGGAGAAAACCTAGGCATTACCATTGAGGACATAGGCACAGGCAAGGACTTCATGTCTAAAACACTAAAAGCAATGGCAACAAAAGCCAAAATTGACAAATGGGTTCTAATTAAACTAAAGAGCTTCTACACAGCAAAAGAAACTACCATCAGAGTGAACAGGCAACCCAGAAAATGGGAGAAAATTTTCGCAACCTACTCATCTGACAAAGGGCTAATATCCAGAATCTACAATGAGCTCAAACAAATTTACAAGAAATTGTGGGGTTTTAAAATATTTTTGTGCCTTTGTAAAATAGTATAGTTTGAGGGGTAGCTAGGTAAGCTTGGAACAATTAGCAGAGACACTGAGAATTTAAATAATAATGTGTGAAAAAGTGTTTTGTAAGCTATAAAGTGTTATTTATATATGAAAAATCATGATCATTGTTGCCAAAAAAATGGACAAATCACACTTGAAATTACTGTTGTAAATAACTATAGGAATTTTAAAGGAGCAAAAAATGTGGACTACAAGTTTGTGATCTCTAAGCTAAAGGTTTGGCTACATTATCTTTAAGATACTCAACATTGAGATTCTTAGAAAACATGAGCAGAAATAGAATAGTAGCAAAAATATTCACACAACCAGGGATCTTCCTGCTCCTGCCAGATGCATAGAACATATTTGTGTCCTAAGTGTTCTTTTTTTTTTTTTTTTTTTTTTTGAGATGGAGTCTCGCTCTGTCACCCAGTCTGGAGTGCAGTGGCGCAATCTTGGCTCACTGCAGCCTCCACCTCCCGGGTTCAAGCGATTCTCCTGTCTCACTCAGCCTCCTGAGCAGCTGGGATTACAGGCATGCGCCACCACACACAGCTAATTTTGTATTTTTAGTAGAGATAGGGTCTCACAATGTTGGCCATGATGGTCTAGATCTCCTGATCTCAGATGATCCACCTGCCTTGGCCTGCCAAAGTGCTGGGATTACAGGCGTGAGCCACTGCTCCTGGCTGTGTCCAAAATGTTCTTAACTGATGAGAGTTGGGGTCAGACTTGTTAGCAATTGCTGCTGTTAACAATGTCTGATATTAGGTAGTTAAATGTCACTTTTATAGCCTGAGAGAGTCCAGGCTATCCTCCCCTGACATATCTCACATTTACAATGAGTCCACTTTCTGATGTGAAAGTACCCATTTTATCACCCAGACTTGATGGAAAACCTAAATGGGTGTTATTTCTCTCAGAAGAAAAGCACTTTAAAAGTACTGAAAGGGCAGGTGAGTTAGACGTTTACAAGTCATATCTATGGAAAAATAAAATGTGTGCCTTTCCCTGCTGTTTGTCGTGTATAAAAAAAAAGTGTTCTGATGCTGAGAATTACAGAAACATCCCATGGCTCATGAAATGTTCATCACTCCAACCTCCCCTGTTTGTCAGTGTGGTGATACTTGACGGTGAGAAAGGAACTGGGACATTTTGAAGAGGCATAATATGAACGCGATGGCTTGTGGGGCTCTTTTGTTAAAAGTCTCACTGCTCCTTCCCAGATTCCCTCATTAGCTCCAGGCTCTGGCCCAGAGGACTGTGCACGGCTATATCTAACTGCCTGGGAAGTGTCTCTAGAAAGATGCTGACTCAGCGTAACTGGGTTGTATCCTGGCTGCCTTTGGGTGGGAGCTTTATTTTTAACTCTACTCCCAATTTCAGATGATTGCTGAAGTCAGATTATAGCGAGGAGAGCTCAGTTTCATTCTTAGACCTTCTTTTCTTACTTAGTAGGGATCATAACCATTTTCCTCTTCTCTTTTGTCACTAGGAGAAGGAAATAAAATGATAAACTTCTTCAGAAAATGTTATGTGCGTAATAGTAAAGATTTGCTATTAATATGTATTTTCCTGTCTAGTTTATAGAGGAACAAGTCTATCTTCTTATCTTTGGGCCCTCTGTCACTCAATGAAACAATAAATAAAATAAAATAAGCAACTCAATTGCAATCGTCAGGGTAGGAAAGAGATTATAAATATGTAGAAATGGCCTTGCCCACTTGGAGCACAAGACTACTATAATTTAAGGCAGAATGGAATAAGGGTCAGAGAGGAGTATTCATAATATGCCTTCAGTATTAAGAGAACTTAATAAGGGGGCAAGGGAATATTTCCTAGAAAATGTGGTGTTTGAATTGGGCCTTTAAAGATGAGAAGGATTTTATAGGCAAAGAATAGTCTGAGGGCATTTCCCAGTGAACTGGGTGAAAGAAGACAGGAATCATGAGAATGCTTGGTGGGTTGCTGGAATAGAAATGGACCAGTGTTGATGAGTGTGGCATTCTTGGTTCGGTATACTAGGAGACAAAACTAGAGAGACAGATTGGGGCTGGATCAAGGAGGGTCTTGGATCTGCTAGGCTAAGGAATCTTTATAGTACTAGATGTTTCCTCATAGCATTTAGAACCAGTTAAAATATCTTTTTCTTGGATTTTTTGAAAACATCACACACCTTTACCTTGAATTGTTTTGGAATCATGCTCGTGGATTTAGAACGAGACAATTTCATGAAGCAGAAATCATTTGGAAGGCAGTTCATGATGCCATTTGTCTTATTAGGTCATCTTCAGAAGGAGTGACTTTTAAAACTGACCACATGAGATTATACACATGGAGAGGCATTAAAAAGGATAACCTAATATTACAGATTGGAGATTTTCTTATTCTGCAGGAAACCCTTGACCTTTACATGATCATATCTCCATTTATTTAGAACTAAGCATTGCTTTTCTTTTTCTTTACCCCATGCCCTACACCCCCATTTAAAAAATAAAGACAATATAATAACATTACAGAAAGTTTGGAAACAGAGGAGAAAACACACATGAATTGCCCCCTCTCATAGAGCTAGTGCCATCATTCTGGCCCTAGGTTAGGGCATAGTTGTGCTTTGGTTGTTTCTGCCAGCCCAGCATTAATTTCCTTTTCTTCTTTACGTAGCACTTTGATTTTCCTTAGACAAACAAACTACTCTTGGACCATGTGGTTGGGGTGGACCTCGCCTATTGACACATCTAGGAGGATCCTCTCATGGCCTCATGGACAGTTGCATCACCCTGGCTATGGTGATTGGTTTAGGGCATGTGGTCAGCCAGGCTTTTGGGAGCCAGAGATTCACTTCTGTGACTTTTGTTGGAACTTTTGGGAAAGAGGCATGCCTTTCTGCTGGGGCTGCTGAGAAAATAGAATGTAAAGCCTAAAGCTGCTGGTAGCCATTGTGCTATGTCTTGGGTAAGAATGGAGCCACATGGGGGAAAGCGGAGCCAGGAGCCAGAGAGGGATCACATTCTGATGATCTTGCTTGTGCACCAGCCATGCCAGAATTTGGCACCTTAGTCATGGATTTTTTGGTTTTGTCTATCAATAATTGTCTTTTTTGTTGTTGTTGCTTTGACCACTTTGGCACATAGAGAAATATTAGAGGTGTTAGGGTTTGCACTCAGAGGAAAGAGGCAGTTTCTGGGAGCAGAAGTGAATTGGGAAGTCATAATGTTGAAGATGGAATTTATAATAAGCCTTGCAGTGTGGCTAGGATTGCTTTGTTATGTTAGGCCCAGCTCTCTCCATCACACTTCGGAGGTTGTGCTGAGCAATGTGCTTCCTCCTACCTGGCCCAAGGAAAGGGCACTTTCAGGTACCCTCCAGGTCTGTTTTTATGACAAGGAGGGGCAGTTACACTACCCTTTAGCTCTTTGCTTGGGTTGAGGCCGGGCATAGACATATTTTGGCTTATAGCAGCTCTGAGTGCACAGAGAATATCAGAGATGTGGTCAGTTTTGGCCATTTTGAAAAGAAGAGGGCCAGACCTTGTTATACGTTTGGTTTCCTTCCCTTTATTCTCATTCAGAATATTTATTTCTTAGTGAAATCTGGCTAAAATGCACATCAAGGGTAGCCCCTGAAAGGATAACTTGTAGGTTGCTTGTAGAAGTAGAATGGAATGCTTGCTGTGGTCCTGCCACCTGACTCCGTACATCAGTACTCAGGTGCCAGCAGCGCAGGCACTAGTTGTGGGGCCTTTGGGAGAAATCTGTACGTGGCACTGATGCTGGTCTTCTACTGAACACCGGAAGGGGAAGCAGAAGTGAACATGGATAGATTTTTCAAGCAGGCTTGAGATCTGATGTCCTTCACGCTCCTGACTCTGGCATTGCTGCGACCATTGAGCTGTGATTGTAATCATGATCTCGGCAGGCATATCACAGCTCCAGTTACACTGCAGATGGTTGACACCTAAGCCAACAGAAAATGTGCATAATCCCTGGGATAACAGATCCTTATAAATCCTCCAGAGACGGCAGGACAAGCAACCCATGCCCAGGCTGTTTTAATTTCTGCAAATTCCAAACTAGACAGCAAATTCAGTTCCCAGTTAGACAGCAAAGCATCAAAGGCAGACATTTAAGTAAAAGTAACAAGGTAGACCGATTTCATATATTGGAGGAGCTTTGTGTTTTTGAACTGAATGTATCTTCTTCTTCCTTTTACTTACTTGTCCTCTCTATCCTAAACCAAATGTTACTGTTCAAGTAAGTCCCAGTTAAACTGAATGTTTCTCTCCCCTTCTCTCTCTGCATGTTATTTATTCTGCCCTTATGAAAAAATTACATAAAGCAAACACAAGGTCAATCAAGGCAGGCTCATACAGTGGGAAGATCACTGGATGGGGACTCTTGAGATGTGTTTGTTTCCTTGCTTTGTCTTTATACTCTGTGGACCTCAGTTTTCCAATCTGTACAGTGTCAAACTAGGGTGAGTATTAGTTATTGTTGGTGTAACAACTTATCACACATCTACTGGCTTAGTGACAAAAACTTTTATGGTTCTATTGATCAGAAGACCAACACAGTTCTCACTGGGCTAAAATCAAGGTATCACCAGGGCTTCCTGGGAGGTCTGCAGGAGAATTCGTTACCTTGCCTTTTCTAGCTTCTAGAGGTGGCTGCATTCCTTGGCTAGTGGCCCCTTCTTCCATCTGGGGATTAGGACACGCACATATGGAGGGTTGGGTGTGGCATTAATCTGCCTACTGGTTACTGAACTCCTAAGTCTCTGCCAGTATTAAATTTTTCTTTTTTTTTTCTTAGACATATTCTCGCTCTGTCACCCAGGATGGAGTGCAGTGGCGAGATCTCAGCTCACTGCAACCTCTGCCTCCTGGGTTCAGGCGATTCTCATGCCTTAGCCTTCTGAGTAGCTGGGACCACAGGTGTCACCATAGCCAGCATCTGTTCAGAATTCTTCTACAAATAAGACAATGATCTACGTTATGCCCAGGTTTATCCCAATCTCTGATAATCAGGGCTGGAAACTGGTAACCAACAGGCCAAATTAGGCTCAAAGTCATGTAGATTGGCTTACATATTTTAAACATTTCTGTTTATTTGAAAATTTTAAAATGTAGAAATTTCACATAAAGACACAGATTTTTGGTTTCTCTTTAAGAAACAACAGCAACAACAAGTAGGAGAATATAGAACACTAGGCTGTTTTATTGCCTGGTATCAATTAGCCAGAACTGACTACTAGTACCTGTTGGTTGTCTTTTATAGAACGGATATTTGTACCTGCTTTTAAATATTGCCAATATATTTTATATCAGTCCCTGTGCGAGCATTTGCATATTCAGGCCCTCTTCTATTCCCTTTATGACTTCAGCCCTGGCATAAAAATTGATTTTCACCCTGATGATCTAGAAGTATTAGAAGTTCCTGAGTCATAAATGAGATTCTAGATTTCACTAATTCATTATTCCTGAATTATTGAACTAGATCATTACTCTTTTTTTTTTTTTATCCTTTTTCTGGTTTCAGAGTCAACACATATGTTATGATATTTGAGAGGACTTTCTAACTCACGACAACTATAACTTCTCCTCTGAGCATTCCAGTTAGTTGAGGAAGTCAATATTATCTCCGTTGGTTAAAAAAAAATTTAAACAAATGGTAATAGTTTCTAAGTAGTAAATTATGGGTTGTTTTAATAGCCTTCCCTTTGGAAATATATGTTCTACCTATCCTTGGTGCAAATGATACTTTTGTAATCTGAAAAAATGTAATATATTTATTTTAAAAATTGCCTTTTGCCATTAGGCTTTGTGCTTTCACTACTGAGCTCTAGGCAAAGAGAGTTGAATACAGAATTATTCATTGCTTGGTATTTTGAGACATGTAATTCCCTTCTTAGATTGTTCCAAGCTGTTTGTAACCCAAAAGGCAAGGTACTGAGATGTATTGATAGAAAAAACAAATAAAATAAAAATAAAAACCAAACTACAATCCCCAAAAGCCTTATATCCCACATCGAATCCAAATATTTTGTCAAAAAGACAGAAATATGTAAATAATTCACATTTGAGATTTTCATACTATGTTGAATGATCATATGATCTTATATAACTGCAGATTCCCTAAATGCTGTCCTTTTGCCTTACGTAACATGTAGGTCAAATCAGGTAATATTAATGTAAGCTAAAATTGCAATAGCCATGAAAGTACAGGAACAATGAAAAGAAACTGTTTATTTCCATTTTTATTTATTTATTTATTTATTTTTATTATACTTTAAGTTTTAGGGTACATGTGCACATTGTGCAGGTTACTTACATATGTATACATGTGCCATGCTGGTGCGCTGCACCCACTAACTCGTCATCTAGCATTAGGTATATCTCCCAATGCTATCCCTCCACCCTCCCCCCACCCCACCACAGTCCCCAGAGTGTGATATCCCCCTTCCTGGGTCCATGTGATCTCATTGTTCAATTCCCACCTATGAGTGAGAATATGCGGTGTTTGGTTTTTTGTTCTTGCGATAGTTTACTGAGAATGATGATCTCCAATTTCATCCATGTCCCTACAAAGGACATGAACTCATCCTTTTTTATGGCTGCATAGTATTCCATGGTGTATATGTGCGACATTTTCTTAATCCAGTCTATCATTGTTGGACATTTGGGTTGGTTCCAAGTCTTTGCTATTGTGAATAATGCCGCAATAAACATATGTGTGCATGTGTCTTTATAACAGCATGATTTATAGTCCTTTGGGTATATACCCAGTAATGGGATGGCTGGGTCAAATGGTATTTCTAGTTCTAGATCCCTGAGGAATCACCACACTGACTTCCACAATGGTTGAACCAGTTTACAGTCCCACCAACAGTGTAAAAGTGTTCCTATTTCTCCACATCCTCTCAAGCACCTGTTGTTTCCTGATTTTTTAGTGATTGCCATTCTAACTGGTGTGAGATGGTATCTCATAGTGGTTTTGATTTGCATTTCTCTGATGGCTAGTGATGATGAGCATTTTTTCATGTGTTTTTTGGCTGCATAAATGTCTTCTTTTGAGAAGTGTCTGCTCATGTCCTTTGCCCACTTTTTGATGGGGTTGTTTGTTTTTTTCTTGTAAATTTGTTTGAGTTCATTGTAGATTCTGGATATTAGCCCTTTGTCAGATGAGTAGGTTGTGAAAATTTTCTCCCATTTTGTAGGTTGCCTGTTCACTCTGATGGTAGTTTCTTTTGCTGTGCAGAAGCTCTTTAGTTTAATTAGATCCCATTTGTCAATTTTGTCTTTTGTTGCCATTGCTTTTGGTGTTTTGGACATGAAGTCCTTGCCCGTGCCTATGTCCTGAATGGTAATGCCTAGGTTTTCTTCTAGGGTTTTTATGGTTTTAGGTCTAACGTTTAAATCTTTAATCCATCTTGAATTGATTTTTGTATAAGGTGTAAGGAAGGGATCCAGTTTCAGCTTTCTGCATATGGCTAGCCAGTTTTCCCAGCACCATTTATTAAATAGGGAATCCTTTCCCCATTGCTTGTTTTTGTCAGGTTTGTCAAAGATCAGATAGTTGTAGACATGCGGCGTTATTTCTGAGGGCTCTGTTCTGTTCCATTGATCTATATCTCTGTTTTGGTACCAGTACCATGCTGTTTTGGTTACTGTAGCCTTGTAGTATAGTTTGAAGTCAGGTAGCGTGATGCTTCCAGCTTTGTTCTTTTGGCTTAGGATTGACTTGGCCACACGGGCTCTTTTTTGGTTCCGTATGAACTTTAAAGTAGTTTTTTCCAATTCTGTGAAGAAAGTCATTGGTAGCTTGATGGGGATGGCATTGAATCTGTAAATTACCTTGGGCAGTATGGCCATTTTCATGATATTGATTCTTCCTACCCATGAGCATGGAATGTTCTTCCATTTGTTTGTATCCTCTTTTATTTCCTTGAGCAGTGGTTTGTAGTTCTCCTTGAAGAGGTCCTTCACATCCCTTGTAAGTTGGATTCCTAGGTATTTTATTCTCTTTGAAGCAATTTTGAATGGGAGTTCACTCATGATTTGGTTCTCTGTTTGTCTGTTGTTGGTGTATAAGAATGCTTGTGATTTTTGTACATTGATTTTGTATCCTGAGACTTTGCTGAAGTTGCTTATCAGCTTAAGGAGATTTTGGGCTGAGACAATGGGGTTTTCTAGATATACAATCATGTCATCTGCAAACAGGGACAATTGGACTTCCTCTTTTCCTAATTGAATACCCTTTATTTCCTTCTCCTGCCTAATTGCCCTGGCCAGAACTTCCAACACTATGTTGAATAGGAGTGGTGAGAGAGGGCATCCCTGTCTTGTGCCAGTTTTCAAAGGGAATGCTTCCAGTTTTTGCCCATTCAGTATGATATTGGCTGTGGGTTTGTCATAGATAGCTCTTATTATTTTGAGATACGTCCCATCAATACCTAATTTATTGAGAGTTTTTAGCATGAAGGGTTGTTGAATTTTGTCAAAGGCTTTTTCTGCCTCTATTGAGATAATCATGTGGTTTTTGTCTTTGGCTCTGTTTATATGCTGGATTACATTTATTGATTTGTGTATATTGAACCAGCCTTGCATCCCAGGGATGAAGCCCACTTGATCATGGTGGATAAGCTTTTTGATGTGCTGCTGGATTCGGTTTGCCAGTATTTTATTGAGGATTTTTGCATCAATGTTCATCAAGGATATTGGTCTAAAATTCTCTTTTTTGGTTGTGTCTCTGCCCGGCTTTGGTATCAGAATGATGCTGGCCTCATCAAATGAGTTAGGGAGGATTCCCTCTATTGATTGGAATAGTTTCAGAAGGAATGGTACCAGTTCCTCCTTGTACCTCTGGTAGAATTTGGCTGTGAATCCATCTGGTCCTGGACTCTATTTGGTTGGTAAACTATTGATTATTGCCACAATTTCAGCTCCTGTTATTGGTCTATTCAGAGATTCAACTTCTTCCTGGTTTAGTCTTGGGAGAGTGTATGTGTCGAGGAATTTATCCATTTCTTCTAGATTTTCTAGTTTATTTGCATAGAGGTGTTTGTAGTATTCTCTGATGGTAGTTTGTATTTCTGTGGGATCGGTAGTGATATCCCCTTTATCATTTTTTATTGTGTCTATTTGATTCTTCTCTCTTTTTTTCTTTATCAGTCTTGCTAGTGGTCTATCAATTTTGTTGATCCTTTCAAAAAACCAGCTCCTGGATTCATTGATTTTTTGAAGGGTTTTTTGTGTCTCTATTTCCTTCAGTTCTGCTCTGATTTTAGTTATTTCTTGCCTTCTGCTAGCTTTTGAATGTGTTTGCTCTTGCTTTTCTAGTTCTTTTAATTGTGATGTTAGGGTGTCAATTTTGGATCTTTCCTGCTTTCTCTTGTGGGCATTTAGTGCTATAAATTTCCCTCTACACACTGCTTTGAATGCGTCCCAGAGATTCTGGTATGTTGTGTCTTTGTTCTCATTGGTTTCAAAGAACATCTTTATTTCTGCCTTCATTTTATTATGTACCCAGTAGTCATTCAGGAGCAGGTTGTTCAGTTTGCATGTAGTTGAGCGGCTTTGAGTGACATTCTTAATCCTGAGTTCTAGTTTGATTGCACTGTGGTCTGAGAGATAGTTTGTTATAATTTCTGTTCTTTTACATTTGCTGAGGAGAGCTTTACTTCCAACTATGTGGTCAATTTTGGAATAGGTGTGGTGTGGTGCTGAAAAAAATGTATATTCTGTTGATTTGGGGTGGAGAGTTCTGTAGATGTCTATTAGGTCCGCTTGGTGCAGAGCTGAGTTCAATTCCTGGGTATCCTTGTTGACTTTCTGTCTCGTTGATCTGTCTAATGTTGACAATGGGGTGTTAAAGTCTCCCATTATTAATGTGTGGTAGTCTAAGTCTCTTTGTAGGTCACTCAGGACTTGCTTTATGA
The DNA here is from genome assembly GCF_000001405.40 of Homo sapiens. NCBI lineage: Eukaryota > Metazoa > Chordata > Mammalia > Primates > Hominidae > Homo > Homo sapiens. The sequence continues at coordinate 4,255,606 of NC_000003.12, read as the reverse complement.
ATCTGGGTGCTCCTGTGTTGGGTGCATATATATTTAGGATAGTTAGCTCTTCTTGTTGAATTGATCCCTTTACCATTATGTAATGGCCTTCTTTGTCTCTTTTGATCTTTGTTGGTTTAAAGTCTGTTTTATCAGAGACTAGGATTGCAACCCCTGCCTTTTTTTGTTTTCCGTTTGCTTGGTAGATCTTCCTCCATCCTTTTATTTTGAGCCTATGTGTGTCTCTGCACATGAGATGGGTTTCCTGAATACAGCACACTGATGGGTCTTGACTCTTTATCCAATTTGCCAGTCTGTGTCTTTTAATTGGAGCATTTAGTCCATTTACATTTAAAGTTAATATTGTTATGTGTGAATTTGATCCTGTCATTATGATGTTAGCTGGTGATTTTGCTCGTTAGTTGATGCAGTTTCTTCCTAGTCTCGATGGTCTTTACAATTTGGCATGATTTTGCAGCGGCTGGTACCGATTGTTCCTTTCCATGTTTAGTGCTTCCTTCAGGAGCTCTTTTAGGGCAGGCCTGGTGGTGACAAAATCTCTCAGCATTTGCTTGTCTGTAAAGGATTTTATTTCTCCTTCACTTATGAAGCTTAGTTTGGCTGGATATGAAATTCTGGGTTGAAAATTGTTTTCTTTAAGAATGTTGAATACTGGCCCCCCCTCTCTTCTGGCTTGTAGGGTTTCTGCCAAGAGATCCGCTGTAAGTCTGATGGGCTTCCCTTTGAGGGTAACCCGACCTTTCTCTCTGGCTGCCCTTAATATTTTTTCCTTCATTTCAACTTTGGTGAATCTGACAATTATGTGTCTTGGAGTTGCTCTTCTCGAGGAGTATCTTTGTGGCGTTCTCTGTATTTCCTGAATCTGAACGTTGGCCTGCCTTGCTAGATTGGGGAAGTTCTCCTGGATAATTTCCTGCAGAGTGTTTTCCAACTTGGTTCCATTCTCCCCATCACTTTCAGGTACACCAATCAGACGTAGATTTGGTCTTTTCACATAGTCCCATATTTCTTGGAGGCTTTGCTCATTTCTTTTTATTCTTTTTTCTCTAAACTTCCCTTCTCACTTCATTTCATTCATTTCATCTTCCATTGCTGATACCCTTTCTTCCAGTTGATGGCATCGGCTCCTGAGGCTTCTGCATTCTTCACGTAGTTCTCGAGCCTTGGTTTTCAGCTCCATCAGCTCCTTTAAGCACTTCTCTGTATTGGTTATTCTAGTTATACATTCTTCTAAATTTTTTTTCAAAGTTTTCAACTTCTTTGCCTTTGGTTTGAATGTCCTCCCATAGCTCAGAGTAATTTGATCGTCTGAAGCCTTCTTCTCTCAGCTCGTCAAAGTCATTCTCCATCCAGCTTTGTTCCGTTGCTGTTGAGGAACTGTGTTCCTTTGGAGGAGGAGAGGCGCTCTGCTTTTTAGAGTTTCCAGTTTTTCTGTTCTGTTTTTTCCCCATCTTTGTGGTTTTTTTTGCTTTTGGTCTTTGATGATGGTGATGTACAGATGGGTTTTCGGTGTGGATGTCCTTTCTGTTTGTTAGTTTTCCTTCTAACAGACAGGACCCTCAGCTGCAGGTCTGTTGGAATACCCTGCTGTGTGTGGTGTCAGTGTGCCCTTGCTGGGGGGTGCCTCCCAGTTAGGCTGCTCGGGGGTCAGGGGTCAGGGACCCACTTGAGGAGGCAGTCTGCCAGTTCTCAGATCTCCAGCTGCGTGCTGGGAGAACCACTGCTCTCTTCAAAGCTGTCAGACAGGGACATTTAAGTCTGCAGAGGTTACTGCTGTCTTTTTGTTTGTCTGTGCCCTGCCCCCCAGAGGTGGAGCCTACAGAGGCAGGCAGGCCTCCTTGAGCTGTGGTGGGTTCCACCCAATTCGAGCTTCCTGGCTGCTTTGTTTACCTAATCAAGCCTGGCCAATGGCGGGCGCCCCTCCCCCAGCCTCGCTGCCGCCTTGCAGTTTGATCACAGACTGCTGTGCTAGCAATCAGCGAGATTCCTTGGGCGTAGGACCCTCTGAGCCAGGTGTGGGATATAGTCTCATGGTGCGCCGTTTTTTAAGCCGGTCTGAAAAGCGCAATATTCAGGTGGGAGTGACCCGATTTTCCAGGTGCGTCCGTCACCCCTTTCTTTTACTCGGAAAGGGAACTCCCTGACCCCTTGTGCTTCCCAGGTGAGGCAATGCCTCGCCCTGCTTCCGCTCGTGCACGGTGCACGCACCCACTGGCCTGCGCCCACTGTCTGGCACTCCCTAGTGAGATGAACCCGGTACCTCAGATGGAAATGCAGAAATCACCTGTCTTCTGCGTCACTCACGCTGGGAGCTGTAGACCGGAGCTGTTCCTATTCGGCCATCTTGGCTCCTCCCCCTATTTCCATTTTTTTTCCAATGGAGAGAAAAAAGCAAGGTTCATCCTCAAATTATGATCCCTTCTTGAGAGGAATACAAGAGATGGAAAGTGAACCAAACTGAGCTTGTGTCATAACCCAAAAGCCTTTTCACAGTGCCTTTTTTCTTTCATTACACTACATGTTGTACATATAACATATAGCTAGATTTTTAAAAAATTTAAAACTCTTATGGAAAAACACATAATAAAGTGTAATTGGTGATAAACTGCATTGAAAGCTAGATGATCTAAGTCAAATGTTCCAATGCTGGTTTGATGAGAGTAATGAGTTAGTGGAGAACTTAATATTTTAGATACGAATACACCAGGATCACATTTGTTTTAGGGTGCATTTTTGTGTTTAAATATTAAAAACAGGTGCAAATTTAGATTATCTATTGACTGCCTGAATATTCACTGAGTCAGACCATTTGCAGTTTTTTTTTTCTTGGAGGTAAAGTTCTTTGCTTTGCTACTATTTTTCACTGTACTTGGTGAAAGAATGGATTTTCCCCTTCATTAAAGGGGTTGGCCCGGTGCATGTAGCACATTGGGAAGAAAGTGGTTTGATGGAAACTGCTTGAGCTTGTAACTTTCAACTTTCCTAGTTTTTTGTTCTCTCTCTGAGACCTTTAAGTTCATTGTACGTGTAAAAATGGCAAAAAGGCAGGCTGGTAATGAGCTTGGTTGCCTTCATTCCCTACTTTTGCCACTCAGGGTTTGATTTTTCAATATTTGAAAGTTCAGCAGTCTCAAACGGTGAATCTATTTAGAGATTATTTTATTTTTATATTTTGGGATAATAGACAATGTAGGCAAGTTGTACAAATGTTTTAAACAGCCAGTGGGGTGTGTGTGTGTGTGTGTGTGTGTGTGCGCATGTGTGTATTTGGAGCGAATCCAAAATGTCCCTCAGAACTATTTGCTACTTTCTTGTTGACTTTTCAGAAGATTTGGTTGTCCTAGAAATGACACTTATGTAGCTCATGGAGAAGAGGACATGGGGCAACCATTAATTCTGTCATCATTTGTAGCTACAGTATATTTTGTAGATTAGAATTGTTCTCAGAAACCATTGCTGATTTGTGCAGTGTTACTCATTTCTTTATTTACTTAGGTCAGTGGGGTGAGGACCATGAGGAAATTAAGATGGAAACTACCACTATCTACAGGCATACCTTGCAGATATTGCAGGTTTGGTTTCAGACCAGCACAACAAATTGAATATTGTCATAAAGTGAGTCACATGAAAATTTGGTTTTCCCGTGCATATAGAATTTATGTTTACACTACTGTAGGTCTGTTAAGTGTGAAATAGCATTATCTCTAAAAATGTAGATAGCTTACTAAAATACTTCATTGCTAAAAAAAATTCTAATAATTAACTGAGCCTTCAGTGAGTTATCTTTTTGCCATTGTAGGGTCTTGCCTTGATATTGATGGTCCCTGACTGATGAAGGTGGTTACACTAAACAACAGATTTTCAATGTAGGTAAAACAGCCTTATAATAGAAGAAGATGCTATCTGGCATTTTCAAAGCTAGAGAGAAGCCTAGCTTCAAACCTTCAAAGGATTGACTGTCTGAATATTCACCAGGATGGAGGTCACTGAAAGTTGGGGTGGCTGTGGTAATTTCTTAAGACAACAATGAAGCTTGCCACATCAATGGACTTTCTCTTTCAGAAAAGATTTCTCTGTAAAGCATGTGATGATGTGCATTTTACACACAGAACTTCTTTCAAAATTTGAGTCAATCCTCTCAAACCCTGCTGCTGCTTTATTGACTAAATTGATGTAATATTACAAATCCTTTGTTGTCATTTCAACAATGTTGACAGCATCTTCACCAGGAGTAGATTCCATCTCAAGAAATCACTTTCTTCACTCATCCATAAGAAGCAACTCCTCATCAGTGAAAGTTTTATAATGAGATTGCAGCAATTCAGGCTCCACTTCTAATTCTAGTTCATTTGCTATTTCTACCACATAGGCAGTTACTTCCTCCACTGAAGTCTTGGACTTCACAAAATCATCCACGAAGTTTGGAATCAGCTTTTTCCAAACTCCTATTAGTGCTGATATTTTGACTTCCATGCATCATGAATGTTCTTAATGGTATCTAGAATGGTGAATCCTTTCCAGAAGGCTTTCAATTTGCTTTGCCTAGGACCATCAGAGGAATCATTATCTATGGCAGCTATAGCCTTATGAAATTTATTTCTTAAATAAAAGGACTTGAAAGTCAAGATTACTCCTTGATCTATGGAATGCAGAATGAATATCGTTAGGAGGTGTGAAAACAACATTCATCTCCTTGTTTATAAGCTCCATTTGAACCCGTGGGTAAACAGGTACATTATCAATGAGCAGTACTATTTTGAAAGTAATCTTTTTTTCTGATTAGCAAGTCTCAACAGTGGGCTTAAATATCCAGTAAATCATGCTGTAAACAGACATGATTGCATCTCGGCTTTGTTATTCCATTTAAGCAGATTAGAATTAGCATAATTCTTAAGGGCCCTAAGATTTTCAGAATGGTCAATGAGCACTGGCTCCAACTTTAAGTCACCGGTTGTGTTAGCCTCTAACAAGAGAGTCTGCCTATTCTTTGAAGTGTTGAACCCAGGCATTGACTTTTCCTCTCTAGCTATGAAAATACTAGATGGCCTCTACTTCCAGTATAAGGCTGTTTCATCTACATTGAAAATCTGTTGTTCAGTGTCGCTACCTTTATGAATTATCTTGGCTATATCTTCTGGATAGCTTGCTGCAGCTTCTCCATCCGCTCTTGCTTCTTCACCTTGCACTTTCATGTTCAGGAAATGGCTTTTCTCAAACCTCATGAGCCAACGTCTGCTAGATTACTTTCTTTCCTTTCTTTCCCTTCCCTTCCTTCCCTCCCTCCCTTCTTCTCTCCCTCCTTCCCTCCTTCCCTCTTCCCTTCCTTCCCCCTTTCCCCCTCTTTCCCTTTTCCTTTCCCTCTCCCTCACCCTCTCCCTTTCTTTCTTTCCTTTCTTTTCTCTCCCTTCACTCCCTCCCCCTTCCCCCTCCGTTTCTTGTCTTGATCTGTTGGCTGGAGGGCAATGGCACAATCTTGGCTTCCACTAACCTCTGCCTCCTGTGTTCAAGCGATTCTTGTGCCTCATGTCCTGAGTAGTTGGGATTACAGGTGTGTGCCACTATGCCTGGCTAATTTTTGTATTTTTAGTAGAGACAGCATTTTACTATGTTGGCCAGGCTGGTCTCAAACTCCTGGCCTCAAGTGATCTACCTGCCTCGGCCTCCCCCAAGTGCTGGGATTAGAGGCATGAGCCACTGCCCCTGGCCCAATGAGACTCTTTTGCATTCTTATCATTTGTGTGTTGACTGGAGGAGCACTTTTAATTTCCTCGGAGAAGTTTTCCTTTGCATTCACAACTTAGGTAACTGGTACAAGAGGCCTAGCTTTCAGCCTTTGTTGACTTTCAATGTGCCTTTTTCACTAAGATTCATAATTTCTAACTCTCTTGATTTAAAGTGAGAGACGTGTTTTTACTTAAAAACTTAGAGGCCATTTTAGGGTTATTAGTTGGCATAATTTCAATATTGCTGTGTCTCAGGGAATTGGGAGGCCTGGAGGAGAGGGTAAAGAAGGGAATGACCAGTTGGTAGAGCAGTCAGAACACAAACATTTATTAAGTTTGCCATCTTATATGGACGTGATTTGTGGTGCCCCCAAACAGTTACAATAGTAACATCAAAGATTACTGATTATAGACCACCATGACAGATAAAATAATAATAAAAATTTGAAATATTGCGAGAATTACCAAAACGTGACACAGAGACATGAAGTGAGCATATGCTGTTGGAGAAAATGAGGCCAATAGACTTAGACTCAGAGTTGCTATAAACTTTCAATTTGTAAACAATGAAATATCTGTGAAACACAATAAAGTGAAGCAGAATAAAATAAGACTGTCTGTATATTATATTTGGTTTTGGCACTCAGTAGAATGCATAGTTCATAGCAGACTAAAATTCCTTTGATATTTGATTTGCTGAATGCCAAATTATACCCACTCTGCTAGAGAACACAGAACTTATTTTCTCTACTGATTTTGAAGCCAATGCATTAAGAAGATACCTTCTGAGTTAGGAGCAGGTGACCCCATGTGCCTCATGGGCCAAGTGGCTCCAGGCACACCAGCAAGGCCACTCAGTGAGAAGTGAAGGAGAAGGGGACGAAAGATCATGCAGATGCACATGCACATGAACTGCCACGGCCACTGGTGGTCTGTTTGTGTTCTTGATCCCATGTCAGGGCTCTTTGAGTCAGCTGATCCTCTCAGCAAGTCTGCAGGCCACAGTGTGGGTAGGTGGGAATGTCCGGTTTTCCTCCATACCACATGCAGGCTCTAGGAACATGTTGCTCTCATCAACACTTTCTTTTCCTATACTTGTTTCCTTCTGTCTATAGTTCTCTTTTTCTTCAATAGCCACCCCATGTTGCTAGATTATACACTGAATGATTGCATTTCCCTGGGATTCCAGGTGGAAGCAGGAAAAAAGTCCCTTTTGCTTTTGGATTCTAAAGTGTAGCTGAGGGGTGGGATGTTTCTTATATCAATTCTCCCATTCCAGAAATGAAATCTCAGGTATGTGGTGATGCAAGGGGGGATGTGGCAGAAGCCCTCAATTATGTCTAAAGCTTCTCTTTTTATCTTGCCACTCATTAATCCAGACTAGGAATGGTTTTGAGGGCCGTTCTTTTTAGTGGGAAATTGCTTTTGCCTTGTGTCTTGTATCTTTTCTTCTCTACTGCTTACAGGAAAACAAAAAAGTGATGTCTTGAATTAATGAGGTACTGGTTTTTAATATACAGCAAAGCTTCTGGAATTCAGAAAACCTTTTCTCCCCCTCCTTAAGTGTGTGGTTCTTGTAGTTAAAACAAGTTCCTTTCATGACTGGCATGCTTTTTATGACTTAAAACAGTCTATTCTGAATGTTGAGGTTGAGCAATGACTCCTTTGTTTTCAGGCTGATTTTGCTCTTCAGCAGTGGACACTTCAGCCTCAATGGCTAGAGCATCACTGGGCAATGAGACTTACCCAGGACAAAAATATATCAGTTAATCTTTAAAATATTATCCCATTAAATTAATACTAGTAATATCAAAAGCCATGATAATGCCATCACCATCACTAAACATTTGTGTCAATTTGCATTTTACAAAATATTTTCTGATGAAATAGGTAATTTTCCCCATGCCTTTGCAAAGTAGTTTGAAAACAATTCCCATTTTGTATGAGGGGATTGAGACTCAGAGAGATCAAGGGACTATCTCCTAAGATCATATATGTTGTGAGTTTTCAATTTTAGACTGGAACTGAGACATTTTGTTTTCAAGCACTTTTTGTACTTCATCGAAATCTTGGTTGCTGGATCAGTGGGCTTTGTAAGGACTTGTCTGGATCATTACATTTTTCTGCTTGTATTCTTCTATGCCTAGTGGACTGCTATTCTTCCTTGGGTTCTCAACTGACTCCCTCTGTCTATATTGAAATTTGTGCCTCCAGTTTTAGTCTAGAAGTCAGCTGCTTGCTCTAACTCATGTCTTAATTAGTCTCCAATAAATCTAAGCCAGTCTTCTTCCCCCGCTAGCACTACAAATCTCCAGCTGGGCTTCTTACCCCCTCTTTCCCTTCTTTGTAGTACTAATCTACTGTAGTAGGTTATAATCAGATTTCCTGAATGATTCATGCAGAGAATAGTGAACATTGCCACTTTACAAAATCCTGAATTCTAATTTCAGAACTTAATATTGAATTTAATAGCTTTACATAGAAATGTTTATTGGTAATATGGGGCCTGTTGATTTGACTGTAGCACAGAGTTGAATTGAATTAATGGTTTTTGCTGTTCTTGGAAATATCAGGAACATTTAGCTCAGAGTAGACTGGGCCAAGAATGGATATTATAGAACACATGTTCCAAAATACTACTATATTTTTGCAATGGAAGTTGCATAGTGAATTAATTACTTGGCCTTGACTCTGGTTTTGCTTCTGTTGCTGACACACTGTTTCACCATCTGGGCAATGGGGCAGTGAAAAAATATGCCTCCTTTGCCTTGTATTGCCATAGTGTTTTAATATTTCCAGAGAATCTATTTAAGTGACAGGGTAGAAATTAATACTGAAAACATGAAGTCACCTCATGCATATGCCTTGAAACCAGTTGTACAGGATATATACTTAAAGCTGCGTAGTTTCTAGGCACTCATGAGCCCTGAAAAAAACTGGCTAAACATACCCAAAACCAAATTATGTGTTAAGGAAATATATAATTAAAACTGGGTCCATGACTTATAGAATTAGCGCTGAATTTCCTCAGGTTACTGTTGTATTTGCCCTTATTCTCATGTCATAGGGAAACATAGAAAGGTCAAGATTTGAAGGGAACTTGGTTAGAGCTGCTAACTCAACCACTTCTCTTGGTGGTTAGTGAAGTATCTTCAACTAAAAGACATCAAGAAACAGAGAAAAAGGCTGGGTGCGGTAGCTCACGCCTGTAATCCCAGCACTTTGGGATGCTGAGGCAGGTGGATCACGAGGTCAGGAGTTTGACACCAGCCTGGCCAACATAGTGAAACCCTGTCTCTACTAAAAATACAATAATTAGCCGGGCATGGTGGCGTGCGCCTGTAGTCCCAGCTGCTCAGGAGGCTGAGACAGGAGAATCACTTGAACCTGGGAGGCAGAGGTTATGGTGAGCCGAGATTGTGCCACTGTACTCCAGCCTGGGCAACAGAGTGAGACTCTGTCAAAAACAAAAACAAAAACAAACAAAAACTCCAAGATGGCCGAATAGGAACAGCTCCAGTCTACGGCTCCCAGCGAGATTGACACAGAAAACGGGTGATTTCTGCATTTCCAACTGAGGTACCTGGTTCATCTCATTGGGTCTGGTTGGACAGTGGGTGCAGCCCACGGAGGGTGAGCAGAAGCAGGGCGGGGTGTCACCTCACCCGGGAAGCACAAGGGATCAGAGGATTTCCCTTTCCTAGCCAAGGGAAGCCATGAGTGACTGTAACTGGGGGAACGGTGCACTTCTGCCCAAATACGGCACTTTTCTCATGTTCTTCACAACCGGAAGACCAGGAGATTCCCTCCCGTACCTGGCTTGGCGGTTCCCACACCCACGGAGCCTTGCTCGCTGCTAGTGCAGCAGTCTGAGATTGACCTGGGACGCTGGAGCTTGGCAGGGAAAGGGGCATCCACGATTGCTGAGGCTTCAGTAGGCAGTTCTATGCTCAGTGTAAACAAAGTGGCAGGGAAGCTCGAACTGGGTGGAGCACATTACAGCTCAGCAAGGGCTACTGCCTCTCTAGATTCCACCTCTAGGGGCAGGGCATATCTGAACCAAAGGCAGCAGACAGCTTCTGCAGACTTAAACGTCCCTGCCTGACAGCTCTGAAGAGAGCAGTCATTCTACCGGCATGGCATTCAAGCTCTGATAATGGACAGACTACCTACTCAAGTGGGTCCCTGACCCTTGCGTAGCCTGACTGGGAGACACCTCCCAGTAGGGGCTGACAGACACCTCATACAGGTGGGTGACCCTCTGGAAGGAAGCTTCCAGAGGAAGGATGAGGCAGCAATATATGCTGTTCTGCAGCCTCTGCTGGTGATAGTCAGGCAAACAGGATTGGGAGTGGACCTCCAGCAAACTCCAACAGACCTGCAGCTGAGGGGCCTGTCTGTTAGAAGGAAAACTAACAAACAGAAAGGAATAGCATCAACATCAACAAAAAGGACATCCACACTAAAACCCCATCTGTAGGTCCCAACATTAAAGACCAAAGGTAGATAAAACTGCAAAGATGGGGAGAGACCAGAGCAGAAAGGCTTAAAATTTCAAAAACCAGAAAGCCTCTTCTCCTCCAAAGGAATACAACTCCTCGCTAGCAAGGGAACAAAACTGGATGGAGAATGAGTTTGAGTTGACAGAAGTAGGCTTCAGAAAGTCAGTAATAACAAACTTCTCCGAGCTAAAGGAGGATGTTCCAACCCATAGCAAGGAAGCTAAAAACCTTGAAAAAAGGTTAGATGAATGGCTAGCTAGAATAACCAGTGTAGAGAAGAGCTTGAATGACTTAATGGAGCTGAAAACCACAGTACAAGAACTTTTTGAAGCATACACAAGCTTCAGTAGCCAACACCATCAAGCGGAAGAAAGGATATCAGTGATTGAAGATCAAATTAATGAAATAAAGCAAGAAGACAAGAGAAAAAAGAGTGAAAAAAACCCAAAAACGAACGAAGCCTCCAAGAAATATGGGACTATGTGAAAAGACCAAATCTATGTTTGACTGGTGTATGGGGAGAATGGAATCAGTTGGAAAACACCCTTCAGGATATTATCCAGGAGAACTTCCCCAACCTAGCAAGGCAGGCCAACATTCAAATTCAGAGAACACCAGAGAGATACTCCACGAGAATAGGAACCTGAAGACACATAATTGTCAGATTCACCAAGGTTGAAATGAAGGAAAAAATGTTAAGGGCAGCCAGAGAGAAAGGTCGGGTTACACACAAAGGGAAGCCCATCAGACGAACAGCAAATCTCTCTGCAGAAACCCTACAAGCCAGAAGAGAGTGGGGGCCAGTATTCAATATTCTTAAAGAAAAGAATTTTCAACCCAGAATTTCATATCCAGCCAACTAAGCTTCATAAGCCAAGGAGAAATAAAATCCTTTAAGACAAGCAAATGCTGAGAGATTTTGTCACCACCAGGCCTGCCTTACAAGTGCTCCTGAAGGATGCAGTAAACATGGGAAGGAACAACTGATACCAGCCACTGCAGAAACATGCCAAATTGTAAAGACCATTGATGCTATGAAGAAACTGCATCAATTAACAGGTGAAATAACTAGCTAGCATCATAATGACAGGATCAAATTCACACATAACAATATTAACCTTTAATGTAAATGGGCTAAATGCCCCAATTAAAAGACACAGACTGGCAAGTTGGATAGAGTAAAGACTCATTGGTGGAGTATTCAGGAGACCCATCTCACATGCAAAGACACACATAGGCTCAAAATAAAGGGATGGAGGAAGATCCACCAAGCAAATGGAAAGGAAAAACAAAAAGCAGGGATTGCAATCCTAGTCTCTCATAAAACAGACTTTAAAACAACAAAGATCAAAAGAGATAAAGAAGGCCATTACATAATGGTAAAGGGATCAATTCAACAAGAAGAGCTAACTATCCTAAATATATATGCACCCAATACAGGAGCACCCCGATTCATAAAGCAAGGTCTTAGAGACCTACAAAGAGACTTAGATTCCTACATAATAACCGGAGACTGTAACACTCCACTGTCAATATTAGACAGATCAAGGAGACAGAAAATTAACAAGGCTACCCAGGACTTGAACTCAGCTCTGGATCATGCGAACCTTAGATATCTTCAGAACTCTTCAACCCAAATCAACAGAATATACATTCTTCTCAGCACCACATCATACTTACTCTAAAACTGACCACATAATTGGAAGTAAAACACTCCTCAGCAAATGTAAAAGAACAGAAATCACAACAAACTCTCTCTCAGACCACAGTGGAATCAAACTAGAACTCAGAATTAAGAAACTTTACTCAAAACCATGCAACTACATGGAAACTGAACAACTGGCTCCCAAATGACTAATGGGTAAATAACGAAATGAAGGCAGAAATAAAGATGTTCTTTGAAACCAATGAGAACAAAGACACAACATACCATAATCTCTGGGACACATTTAAAGCAGTGTATAGAGGGAAATTTATAGCACTAAATGCCCACAAGAGAAAGCAAGAAAGATCTAAAATCGACAGCCTAACACTACAATTAAAAGAACTGAGAAGCAAGAGCAAACAAATTCAAAAGCTAGCAGAAGGCAAGAAATAACTAAGATCAGAGCAAAACTGAAGGAGGTAGAGACCCAAAAAACCTTTCAGAAAATCAATGAATCCAGGAGCTGGTTTATTGAAAAGATCAACAAAATAGATAGACCACTAGCAAGACTAATAAAGAACAAAAGAGGGAAGAATCAAATAGACGCAATAAAAAATGATAAACGGCATATCACCATCAATCCCACAGAAATACAAACTACCATCAGAGAATACTATAAACACCTCTACACAAATCACCTAGAAAATCTAGAAGAAATGGATACATACACCCTCCCAAGACTAAACAAGGAAGAAGTTGAATCTCTGAATAGACCAATAACAGGCTCTGAAATTGAGGCAATAATTAACAGCCTACCAACCAAAGAAAGTCCAGGACCAGATGGATTCACACCCGAATTCTACCAGAGGTACAAAGAGGAGCTGGTACCATTCTTTCAGAAAACTATTCCAATCAATAGAAAAGGAGGGAATCCTCCCTAACTCATTTTATAAGGCCAACATCATCCTGATCCCAAAGCCTGGCAGAGACACAGCAAAAAGAGAAAAATTTAGGCCAATATCCCTGATGAACATCGATGCAAAAGTCCTCAATAAAATACTGGCAAACTGAATCCAGCAGCACATCAAAAAGCTTATCCACCATGATCAAGTGGGCTTTATCCCTGGGATGCAAAGCTGGTTCAACATATATAAATCAATAAACATAATCTATCACATAAACAGAACCAATGACAAAAACCACATGATTATCTCAATAGATGCAGAAATGGCCTTTGACAAAATTCAACAGTGTTTCATGCTAAAAATTCTCAATAAACTAGGTGTTGATGGAACGTATCTCAAAATAAGAGCTATCTATGACAAACCCACAGCCAGTATCATACTGAATGGGCAAAAGCTGGAAGCATTCCCTCTGAAAACTGGCACACGAGAGGGTTGCCCTCTCTCACCACTCCTATTCAACTTAATATTGGAAGTTCTGACCAGGGCAATCAGGCAAGAGAAAGAAATAAAGTGTATTCAATTAGGAAAAGAGGAAGTCAAATTGTCCCTGTTTGCAGATGACATGATTGTATATTTAGAAAACCCCATCTTCTCGGCCCCAAATCTCCTTAAGCTGATAAGCAACTTCAGCAAAGTCTTAGCATACAAAGTCAATGTGCAAATATCACAAGCATTCCTATACACCAAGAACAGGCAAACAGAGGGCAAGGATCATACCCCTAGACCAACGAGCCAGCTATCTTCCCTTTTCCTTTCCAAGCACGTGTGCAGTAGGGAACGGACTACATGGTGCCAGCCAAGTGGAAAGCCCATTTGCATAGTAAGAAGATTAGGGTGACGTAGTCAACTTCCCTGTGTGTTATGTAAATGTCACAACTGGTCCAACCAATCTCTAGGCCCTATGTAAATCAGACACTGCCTCCTCAAGCCTGTATATAAAATCTGATGAACTCCACTGTGGGCCGGAAGTCCCATTTGGTTGCTGTTCTCCTGCCTCTTTCTTTTGCCTATTAAACTGCTGCTCCTAAACCCACTTCTCGTGGTATCTGTTTCCTCAATTCCCTTGGTGTGAGACAACGAACCTTGGGTATTTACCCCAGACAACGCTGCTGCTTCATTTTTAAGTGGCTATGGAGGCCAAACAAATAATTGTTGATAGAAAGAAAATTTTATTATAAAATACATTGTTTAGCACTTCTTAGCTCTCATATATATGATCTCATTTGGTTCTCATGATAACTCTGTGTTAAGAGACACAGCTGGTATTATGAACAGATGAGATAACTTCCATATTGGTTACATGACTTAGCCAAGTCATGCCATAAATAACCAGTTGAGCTGGGACTTAAACTTGGGCCTTCAGACTTCAATCCAGGACCTATCCCACAAATACCAAGGTTCTTACCTAAGCATACATATTATTTGGGTATGAAGGGTAAGAAAAGTTTTATTTGGTAGCCCCTTATCCTGAACTGAAGATACATGAGAAGCATCAGATAGTCTGGATGTATTAATCATTTATATCACAGGGTTTTAGAAGTTGAAGATCCTTTGCACTCTGTGGAAATGTTCTATTACACAGATATATTTGGAGAGCCTTTTCAGGTTCCTGACTATAATTCTGTCATTTATCCTTACCTTGTAGTTCCTAACCCCCAAATCTTCTCTCTAATTATCTAAATTCTATCTCTAATAAACCAACCACTACTAATTACTTTCTACTGATATAAATGTGCTTTCTACACATATAAATGTGCTTTGGGTGCCAAAATCTACTTCATAATATTAGGAAAGGATATCGTATCTTTGGTTTGGCCTAGTGTCCTGAAAAATATGTCATTTGTCATTTAAGTCTTTATAAAGGTCTTTATAAAGGGTCACTTGACACTTCAGTTCCGTAGGAAAAAAATCTTAATTTTTTTCTGATTATAAAATGAATACATATTATATAAAAACATATAAAAATAAAATATAACCTACATTCTATATTTTAATGATGACATTTGGTATAATTTCTTCCAGGAAAGTAAAAAATATTTAAAAACAATACTTAAAAGAGCTTTATAACATTTTATGAAATGGGTATAATATACTTTAATTTTTCTTGTAATTTTTGATACTTGGGTTGCTTATAATATCTCACTATCATAAATAGTGTTGGATGAATATCTTTGTCTAAGCCTCTGGTTATTTTCTTAGGATAATTGCTTAGAATTTGAATTATCAAGTTTATGGGTAATTTTAAAAAATCATCTAAAAGCAAAGCATGCAATTGAAAACAAAATAAAATAGTACCAAAGGTTTCAAAATGAAAATTAAAAGCTCTTTATTACCATCACAAACTTTAACTAAAATATAGGCTATAATCCAAGAAACGCCCAGGACCAGATGGATTCACACCTGAATTCTACCAGAGGTACAAAGAGGAGTTTCCTTCTGAAACTATTCCAAACAATAGAAAAAGAGGGAATCCTCCCTAACTTATTTTATGAGGCTAGCTTCATCCTGATACCAAAACCTGGCAGAGACACAACAAAAAAAAGAATATTTCAGGACAATATCCCTGATGAACATCAATGCAAAAATCCTCAATAAAATACTGGCAAACCAAATCCAGCAGCACATCAAAAAGTTTATCCTCCACCATCAAGTCAGCTTCATCCCTGGGATACAAGGCTGGTTCAACATATACAAATCAATAAACATAATCCATCACATAAACAGAACTAATGACAAAAACCACATGATTATTTCAATAGATGGAGAAAGGGCCTTCAACAAAATTCAACACCTCTTCATGCTAAAAACTCTCAATAAACTAGGTATGGATGGAATGCGTCTCAAAATACTAGCTATTTATGACAAACCCACAGCCAATATCATACTGAATGGGCAAAAACTGGAAGCATTCCTTTTGAAAACCAGCATAAGACAAGGATGCCCTCTCTCACCACTCCTATTCAACATAGAATTGGAAGTTCTGGCCAGGGCAATCAGGCAAGAGAAAGAAATAAAGGGTATTCAATTAGGAAAAGAGGAAGTCCAATTGTCTCTGTTTGCAGATGATATGATTGTATATTTACAAAACCCCATCATCTCAGCCCAAAATCTCCTTAAGCTAATAAGCAACTTCAGCAAAGTCTCAGGATACAAAATCAATGTGCAGAAATCACAAGCATTCCTATACACCAATAACAGACAGAGAGCCAAATCATGAGTGAACTCCCATTCACAATTGCTACAAGGAGAATAGAATATCTAGGAATCCAACTTACAAGGGATGTGAAGGACCTCCTCGAGGAGAACTGCAAACCACTGCTCAAGAAAATAAGAGAGAACACAAACAAATGGGAAAACATTCCATGCTTATGGATAGGAGTAATCAATATCATGAAAATGGCCATACTGCCCAAAGTAATCTATAGATTCAATGCTATCCCCGTCAAGCCACCATTGACTTTCTTTACAGATTTAGAAAATCTACTTTAAATTTCACATGGAACCAAAAAAGAACCCATATAGCCAAGACAATCTTAAGCAAAAAGAACAAAGCTGGAGGCATCACACTACCTGGCTTCAAACTATATTAAAAGGCTACAGTAACCAAAATAGCATGGTACGGGTACCAAAACAGATATATAGACCAATGGAACAGAACAGAGCCCTCAGAAATAATGCGACACATCTACAACCATCTGATCTTTGACAAACCTGGCAAAAACAAGCAATAGGGAAAGGATTCCCTATTTAATAAATGGTGTTGGGAAAGCTGGCTAGCCATATGCAGAAAGCTGAAACTGGATCCCTTCCTTACACCTTATAGAAAAATTAACCCAAGATGGATTAAAGGCTTAAGTGTAAGACCTAAAACCATAAAAGCCCTGGAAGAAAACCTGGGCAATACCATTCAGGACATAGGCATGGGCAAATACTTCATGACTAAAACACCAAAAGCAACGGCAACAAAAGCCAAAATAGACAAATGGGATCTTATTAAACTAAAGAGCTTCTGCACAGCAAAAGAAACTACCATCAGAGTGAACAGGCAACCTACAGAATGGGAGAAAATTTTTGCAATCTATCCATCTGACAAAGGGCTAATATCCAGAATCTACAAATGACTTAAACAAATTTATGAGAAAAAAAGAAACAACCCCATCAAAAAGTAGGTGAAGGATATGAACAGACACTTCTCAAAAGAAGGCATTTATGCAGCCAACAGACATATGAAAAACTCATCGTCACTGGTCGTTAGAGAAATGCAAATTAAAACCACAATGAGATACCATCTCATGCCAGTTAGAATGATGATCATTGAAAAGTCAGGAAACAACAGATGCTGGAGAGGATTTGGAGAAATAGGAATGCTTTTACACTGTTGGTGGGAGTGTAAATTAGTTCAACCACTGTGGAAAACAGTATGGCAATTCCTCAAGGATCTAGAACCAGAAATAACATTTGACCCAGCAATCCCGTTACTGGGTATATACCCAAAGGAATATAAATCATTCTATAAAGACACATGCACACGTATGTTTATTGCAGCACTGTTCACAAAAGCAAAGACTTGGAACCCACCCAAATGCCCATCAATGATAGACTGGATAAAGAAAATATGGCACATATGCACCATGGAATACTATGCAGCCATAAAAAGGATGAGTTTCTGTCCTTTGCAGGGACATGGATGAAGCTGGAAACCACCATTCTCAGCAAACTAACACAGGAACAGAAAACCAAACACCACATGTTCTCACTCATAAGTGGGAGTTGAACAATGAGAACACATGGAAACAGGGAGGGGAACATTACACACTGGGGCCTGTTGGGGGTTGTGGGGCTAGGGGAGGGATAGCATTAGGACCAATACCTAATGTAGATGATGAGTTGATGGGTGCAGCAAATCACCATGGCACATGTATACCTATGTAACAAACATGCACTTTCTGTACATGTATCCCAGCACTTAAAGTATTTAAAAAATGGGCTATAGATCTATGTGTAAAATGCAAAATTACAAAAATCCTAAAATATGACTGAAAATTTAGATGATCTTGGGCTTGGCAATGACTTCTTAGATCTTTCTAGATGCAACACAAAAGGCACAATTCATGAAAGGAACAATTGATAAGTTGTACTGCATTAAAATTTAATATTTCTGCTCTGCAAAAGACACTGTCAAGAGAATGATAAGTGACAGACTGGGAGAAAAATATTTGCAAAAGACATGTATGATAAAGGACTATTATCTAAAATATTTAAAAACTTTTAAAACTCAGGAATAAGAAAATGAACAACCCAATTAAAAAATGGGCAAAAGATCTGAACACACACACATAATCAAAGAAGGTATACAAGTGACAAATAAGCATAAGAAAATATGTTCAACATCATATGTCATTATGGAATTGCAAATTTAAAAAAATGAGATACCAGTACACATTGATTAGGATTGTAAAAATCCAAAACACTGACAACATCAAATGCTGGTGAGTACATGGAGCAACAGGAACTCCTTCACTGCTGGTAGAAATGCAAAATGGTACAGCCACTGTGCAAAACAGTTTGGCAGCTTCTTGTAAAACTAGATTTACTCTTACCATGCACTCCACCAAAGATGTTCTTCACTGGGTGAATGAATAAATAAACTATGATATATCCCTATGATGTGATATTATTTAGCTGTATAAGGAAATAAGCTACCCAGTTATGAAAAGACATGGAGGAAACTTAAACTCATATTTCTAAGTGAAAGAAGCCAATTTAAAAAGGGTATATACAGTATAATTTCTATTATATGACATTCTGGAAAAGGGAAAAGTATGAAGACAGTAAAAGATCAGTGACTGACAGGGGTCAGTGGGGTAACAGGGATGAATAGGTGGAACACAGAGTTTTTGGAACGCTTAAACCATTCTGTATGATATAATGGTTTGTCATTATACGTTTGTCAAAACCCATAGAATGTACAACACTAAGGGTGAACCTTAATATAAATGATGGACTTTAGGTGATAATGGTGTATCAATGTTGGTTCATTGATTGTTACAAACATACTGCTCTAGCACAGGATGTTGATAGGTGACAAGGGATATATGAGAACTCTGTACTTTCTGCACAATTTTGCTGTGAACCTAAAACTGCTCTAGAGAACAAAGTTTGTTTATTTATTTATTTATTTAGAGATGGGGGGTCTCACTATGTTGCCCATGCTGAACTTGAACTTCTGGGTTCAAGTGATCCTCCTGCTTCGGCCTCCTGAGTAGCTGGGACTATAGGCAGGTGCCTGCGAGCCTGGCTAAAGTCTATTTTTTTAAAAATGTATTTTCCCCCTTTTCCTAATGGCCCAGTCATTAGAAAAAGCATTTATCTTTGACCATTTCTCATTTTTCTTTTTAGTTCCTTTGGTAGTTGTAAGGTGCTTATATCTCTTGTCCTTGATTTCTTAGCTTTGGGAAATTTACAACTTATCAATATGAATATGAGAAAGTTAGCTCACATTTATTATCCCTTGCCAATTTCTGTTAGATATGTGGTTTTTCTATTAGTTTCCTTTGTAGCTTTTAAACTGAATTTTTACTATCTAGGTGGAAGGATCACTTTAGCCCAGAAGTTCAAGACCAGCCTGGGCAACATGGCAAAACCCCATCTATACAAAAAATTAGCAAGATGTGGTGATGCATGCCTGGTTATCCCAGCTATCTGGGGGGCTAAGGTAGGGGAATGGCTTGAGACAGGTAGGTAGAGGTTATGGTGAGCCAAAATCCTATCGCTGAACTCCAACCTGTATGACAGAGCCAGACCCTGTCTCAAAAAAATTATTGTACACATTGGTATAGACATGTGCTTGTATTTCCTCTTTAATGCTTCATCACTGCCATGGAAACCACCTCAGAGACGAGTAGCATGGCAGGTGGGGAGGGAAGCAGTGATTCAGGGCAGCGTTGAATGAAAAGAAGGGGAGGGAGATGGTACTTGCATCTAATGATTTTAGATGCTTATGCATAAAAAATATCAGCAGATAGTTTTCCTGACTCCTTGTCCCAACCTTCCACTGCCATAAGAAATATGAGGGCATGAGGTTCTCTAGGAATGTCCAGAGAAGGGCCTAGGATGTTCCCTTGTAAGTACATAGAGGTAATACATTTGGTTTTATGATATATCTCTTAAATGCAACAGAATATCGTAAAGCATTTTTCCTAATTATAATTTTTAGCACTTGCGTAATTTAGAGTTGTATAATGGTTAATTTAGTCATTTACTAATTGGTTATCCTAAGGGCTTTCTTCTATGCTGTATTTTCTTCTTAGTACTTTCTCCCTACTTGATTTTGCCTTTGATATGCTGGTGACTCCCAAATCTGTATCTCTGGTCTAGCCTAGTATTATTCTCCTGAACAGGTGCCTCAAATTTATGAAATTCAAAACTGTATTTATCCTTACCCCTAGAACTTGTTAATCTGCCACATGACAATGGATGGCACCACCCTCAGATAATTGCTCAGGCAAGAAAATAAGGTGTTAATCTTGACTCCTTCCTCTCCCTTATCCCCCTTTATCCAGCCAGTCATAAAGTTCTGTTGATGCTTTCTGCTACATTTTAGATATTTCCATCCACTTTCCTTTGTCTCTACTGCTGTTGCTCTTGTCCAGCCCACTGTTGTTTCTCAGCTAGGTTACTGCAGCTGTTTCCTGCCTGGTTTCTCTGCCTCTGGTGTTACTGTCTTCAAATTTATTCACCCAACTGCAGCCGGAGTGATCTTTTTAAAATACAAATTCAGTCAATGTTACGTTCCTGTTAAACCTCTGATATGTATTATACATATATGGATATGTGGATACACACACACATCTACATACAAATGCCCTTGATAATGCATCTTCAGACCTTGTTAGCCCACTTCTTGCTAAACGAATTTATTTTCCTTGACGATGCCATGCTCTCTTTTGCTTCTGGAATGTCATGTAGGCTTTTTTCTTTTTTTGGCCTGGAATAGTTCCCCCATCCCTCTTTAACTGGTAGCCCATTCTCATCTTCTGCATCTGAAGTTGGCTGAGATATTCCCTTCTCCCCAAATACTTCCTTAACACTAAAGTCTGGAATAGGAACCACTAATAGGTGTTTGCAGGGAAATTTTTACTTCTTCTTTTGGAGCATATATCATGCTGTACAGTAATTCTTGCTTGCACAAATGATCCTACTAGGCTGTGAGTTCTGTATATATATGAATACACATAAACAGTCATATACATGTTAGTTGAATGGATACGTGAATGAGCAGGAGAAACGAAAAGATACCATCCAGCATCTACATAGGGAGTTAGCATTATAAAGTCTGAGGGAGGATAAAACAAAAGCAGAAACATGAAAGAAAACATTTAATACCTGAAGGTAAAGTTTCCAATTGCTGCTTGTGCTTAGAAGTTGAAAGACCTGTAACAATTCATATTCCCTTTGACTTTTGATAAATCAGTTCCTTTTCTTGCATGCGAATTTATTTCTATAAAATATAAATATTTAATTATAAAAATTATATAATTATTCAACCTCTGACTTTAAAAGTGAGGAAACAGAGGGTCAGAAAGGTTAAGCAACTTGTAGAAACAAGAGTCAGGACCAGATCCCAGTTCTTTTGACTATCTGTAACTATGGGTAAATTAAACACCCGTACAATTGTTAGCATTGTGCATCTTTTGAAAAATTATCCAAGTTCCCAGTTTAGGCGCCTTTAGAAAAATGGCCATAATTCTTTCAGGCCAGGAGGTCATTGCTTCAGTACATATGGGACACTAATGAACAATAAGAGTTAATTGCTAATTAGGTAAGTGTGACCTAGTCCCTGGGGGAATCTGGTCAATGTTGGAGCATCTCTGGGTACAAATGAATATTTATTGGTGCATCGGTGCAAACCCTGGTGCTGTTACTTTGAGGAAGGGAAGAGCAGTACTCTGCTTTTAACCACATACCCTTTTTTCTGAAGCTTATTTAGTATTGACTTCGTTTTAAACTCATGTCCTTACCTAACTCACATAGGTTCAGGGACTCCCTTAAGAAACTTCTGTAATAGCATTTCACATCTGCTCATCTGTGCCCAAACAGTCTTTCATGACTCAGACATTTTGAAACTGCAGTGTGGTATTTTAAGGCCTTTCTAAATTGAATACTTTATTTTAAACAATTCAAATTGGTTGTCTGTTCTGTCAGTATAACAGGGAAGCCTTTTGTTTATGTTAAAAAACCACACACACCAAATTAGCTTGGTACTTATTTTATAGCTTAGTAATTGCTCACTGAAAGCATCTAAGTTGACTACTTTCTCATGGAATAGGAAGAAGAGCTTGTGAGAAATTTATATTAAAAATGAAAACGGCTCATAAAAAAAGAAAATGGCCCACTGTAGGTCAAAACTCCCTACAAGAAATGTTATTGCTATAACATATACCTCATTGTTCAGTGAAGTAGGAAGGTTTGGAATAGATAGATTTTTAAACACATCAACTAACATTGACCTGCTAGGCCATAATGACATCTCTCATAATGCCATCTGCGGATCTCAGAATAAATGCTGACCAAGCTCCCACAGAAGGTGTAGCAGTGATCTGTAAAGCGTCTGCTGCTGCCAAACATCCCATTTGTTTTTGGGATCTGAGGATGAGGCTTCCTAAGTCCAGATCATTTGTTTTGCATTCACTATTGAAAACCTGGCTTAGGAGTGGGTACAGATGTTTGCTTTACTTAACACCAGAGGCTTTTGTTAACTGCAGCTGCACATATTTAAATTTGAAAGTTAGGGACTCCTGGTGAGACCCGTGGATTCACCTGCATTTTTTATCCTTCTTCAGATGAGGGAGGAAAAGGAGGACTGTAACCCAATGACTCTGTGGGGATTTGTCTGGCAACCTGGTGCTTGGACATTTTTGCTTTGAGTACAGGCATAACACCTGCATTGGAATCCCATTCTTTCTTAACGCACAACAGCTACGGACATCTAAGGTGCTGAGAATGTATTAGATATTGAATTTTTATTTTTGATAGTGAGATCTTCTATACCCCGGACTGCCTTTTAAAAAAAAATACCATATGGCCTTGAATAATTTATTAAATGATAACCAAACAAATACAGATACAACTCTGTTGGTTATAGCTTTCTTTCATTTTTTTTTGTTTTCTTTTGGCGGCAAGCAAGCATAAATTCTTCCTTTTGAATAATTCCCTGATTTCCTTTGAGGGACCATTCTCCACTGTTTCATGTAGTATTGCTGGGAGGGTAAATTTTCAGGTGCTTGTCTCTCTATGGAATCTGAAGAGCACAGAGCCTCCTTCTCTTGGCTCACAGGGGACTGACGTGATGAACCCTGGCAGTCATATTCTTCCTCAGAATTTTGAATCTTGACTGAGTGATTTAAGGACACAAAGTACAGTTGGATATTATTCATCGCGGGGAACAGCTGCAGTGACATTTTGGTTTGACTGTTCTGGCAACAACGTGCTTGCTGTCTTTCCCTCATCTTGGCCTCTTGGAGTTCCTTGGTTGCTGCATGGTTCTAAGCCTGCTCTTCCAGGCTCCTATTGGGTCTGACACTCTCCTGCCCCAGTATGGTTGCTTTTGATAAAATTAGTCAATGTCAGTTTTGCTGCTTACAAATAAGAACTTTGATGCATATGCTGAGTCTGGTTACCTAAGATGGACTCCATTTACATTTATCAATGAAGCACCAGGAGGAATTTACATGAGACACTCACTAGTTTCAGTTACTTGTTCTGATCATTCCCATTAAAATAATTCTCTTCAATACCACCTATACTCTTTGCCACTTGACAAATTAAGAAATGCATCTTTTTCCTAGACTTAATAAAACATGTAATGAATTTATCTGTAATGAGTTCACTCTGAGAGTTGATACATTCTTTATGTGATAAAATTCTTTATGACTGTGACATAAAGGTAGGATGATTTTTGTTTTCCGGATACCCATGTAGCATACATATTTACCTCCCATTGCCAAGATTCTTCTCAACATGCAGCTGTTGACACACTTCTCAGATAAATGCAGTGATTTTTCCAACATGAAGGGCTATGTGTTATTAAGGAACAGTGATTTCTTAACAGAAGGCTGTTCTGCCTGCCCCTGATTTTTGAAGAGGATGTCCCCTTCTTTGCATGCAAAGCAGGAAAGGGCATATCATTGGGGCAATTAGGATAGCAGATACCTCTGTGACCTGCTCTTCAAAATAATCAATTCAAGTTTCATTTCTTACAGATTAAATTGTTAACTTGTTTGGGTAACAGCAAGGGACAAGGTTAGAGATTGAAATAATGTATTAGTAGCATGCTTTCTATTTGAAGTGTGGTGTTATTTGAGAAAAGTTCTCTGTATTATCTTCTGCAGGCAATGGTAGGCTTTCTAAGGTCGTTGCATTTAAAAACCAAAATGGGCCTGAAAAATCATTTATGTACAATGATCTCATTTCATTAACAGGGAAACTGAAGTCCTAAAGGTTATGTGACCTGGCTAAGATTACATAGTTGGTTGCATCACAGTCCTCTTCCTCATTTTCTTGTAATAAATGCGTTCCCACCTCTCAAAACTCGATTGTGCCTAGCTATTAGCAGGCCAGCTCTGTAGTCAGTTCCAGGCTGGAAAATTTCGCTTTTTGTCATTCTCTGGCATGGTGAATTGTTCAGGAATATCTGTTAGCTGGTGTTCTTTCTCTAGAAATGGGCAGATCTTTCTGATAATATTCTTATCCCTTCTATAAATCTTTTGTAGACATAGGGTTATGAAACCCTGTAATTCACATGTACCTCCCTTTAAAGCATAGACTTTTTTCAAAGTTGTGGTAAGGTAACTTTTGGGAACCCATATGTGATAAAATAAAAAATATGTGTTTGGTCCCCAGTTTCTTGTACACAGGTCCTAAAGCCCTTGGAATCTCCGGAGTGATAGGAGTGTCTTTTGTTTACCAATGGGATGACTGGTGGCTGGAGGCCCCCAGACAGCTTCAGAATGGGGGCTGGTCACCAGAAAGACGAAGGCACGATTAGAGGATTGGGAATTTCGGCCCCACCACTGGGGAAGAGAGAGGGGCTGAAGATTGAGCTAATCACCAGCGGGCAATGATTTAATCAGTCATACCTAGGTTATGAATCCTCTGGAGAACTTCCAGTTTGGTGAACATGTTGAGGTGCTGGGAAGGTGGCGTATCCGGAGAGGGCACGGAAGCTCCACACACCTGTCTCCTCCTTTCTTGCCCCATGTGCCTTTTCCGTCTGGCTTTCCTGAGTTGTATCCTTTATAATAAACCAATAAATATAAGTCAAGTGTTGCCCTGGGTTCTGTAAGCCATTTTACCAAATTATCAAAACAGAAAGGTGGGTTGTAGGAACTCTTCTTCTTTTGTTGCCAAGACAGACCAAACTGTTGGCACTTATGATTGTGGGCACAATACTTATGATTGGCATCTGAAATGAGGGCAGTCTTGTGGGACTGAACCTTTAAACCTGCGAAGTTTAACTCTGAGTAGTTAGTGTCAGAATTGAGTTGGACTGCAGGACAACTGGTTGGTGTCTGGAGAGTTGGAGAATTGGTTGCTGTAAGGAAAGAAAGGACACATTTGGTTTTGGAAGTGCTGTGAGTAGAAACAGCACAGACCAAGTCACATTTGTAATGCTCTAGGGAAACTTCTATCTAAAAAAAAAAAACTATCGTAAATTCTCACAAAATGAAGTTTCTTTTTCTTTTCTTTTCTTTTTTTTTGGTGACAAGGTCTCACTCTGTCACCCAAGCTGGAGTGCAATGGAGCAATTATAGCTGACTGCAGTGTTAAACTCCTGGGCTCAAGGGATCCTCCCGCCTCAGCCTCCAGAGTAGCTGGAACTCTAGGTGCATGCCACCTTGCCCAGCTAATTAATTTTTTTTTGTAGAGATAGGGTCTTGCTATGTTGCCCAGGCTGGTCTCAAACTCTTTGTCTCAAGCAGTTCTCCTACCTTGGCTACCCAAAGTGCTGGGATTAGAGACATGAGCCACTGTGCCTGGCTCTGAAGTTTCTTTTAGTGTTGTTAATAATTTTTAATGTATCTATTTGGAAATTCTGATTTTCAGACTTCTTATTTTCTTGGAGCAGATCATACTTGATGATATGGCCCATAATAATTGGAATTTATTAAATGTTTACTGTGTGTCAGGCATTATGCTAAATGCCAAACATTATGTATGAATTATTTCATGTAGTCCTCACAGCAACCTCCTAAGCAAGGTAATTTCATAGATGAGAGAACTAAGGCCTGGAGAGGTGCAATAGTTTTTCTCAAATTACCTGGTTAGTAAGGAATGGTGCTGAAAGTCTTAGGAGAAATGACATGGCTAAGACATGCTCTTGTGGTTTCTCTTCTTGGCTTTTGGGGCTGTGGACATTTATAAGAAAGGTGGATTATCAAAGGCTCACCAGAGGATTTCACAGGAATGGAACATACACACCTAGTTGCTAGCATATGAAGGAGGATGATTGTCCGGGTGGGCAGTGGATTCTTGTGACAACCAGGGAAGGATGCTTCTCTTGAGTCCTAAGTTTAGACCAGCCAGTGAGAGATTGGCCACACAGAGTGTGTTTATTTGTTCAACATTTTACTTATCTGTATGTATGTCCTTGTTTTATTTCACTTGGAGTTTATATTCCTGGAGGCTAGTTGCCGTTTTCATCTAAATTGCTTCGTACATCACTCAGCACAGTTTCTTGATAATGAAGGTCACATAACACTGTGGTTATTGGCACACACTTTGGCATTTGGGTTTGACTCTCATTTCTTACCTTTACCTTCTAGCCACCCTTAGTTACAATAATTCACCTTTTTGAGCTTCAATTTCTGTATTCGCAATTTGGAAAAAATTGTAGGTTTATGAGACAAAGGATGGAGGGGCTCCTCTTGGTGCCTGACATCTAGTAATGGCTGTAAGAGGCATCTCTTTCTAGTGCTGCTGCCACTGGGTACTTTTATTACTAACTAAAATGGTCCATTTAAAAGAATTGATATGTCAGGGTTCTAAGAATTTACAGTGTGGTTTTTAGGATTTGGGACCTTGGAAAGCTGGAGGAAAGAATATTGAATGTCCTTTTATTTAAAGAGAGCAGGTGTTTGAACTTCTCAGTAACCACATTTTCTATCACCCTTAAATTCCCCATACATCAGACCTAGGGAAGCAGTGAAGCAGAGCCGCATAAAGGTGAGGGCAGATCAGAGAATGTGGCTGCTATTAGTCAGAGTTGGTTCTAATTGGCCCCACGGGGGCTGCTTTCCATAAACTTAGTTATTGGAACAGCAGTGCTACCCTGAGTATTCTGTCACTTGCCATCTGCTACCAGAGGATGTGTGCTTTTTTTTCTAATCTAGGATGAGGGGAATTGGGGCCCAGAGTTAGCTGAATGCAGCAAGAGATGTGTATATACAAAGGGTGAAGGAGACATAGTAGGGTGGCTTGGTATGTGGATAACTATGTTTTGAGTTAGAGCAGGTGTCTAGGAAAATTAATTTTGACTTAAATAAAGTTATTTTCACTGAAATCATAAGATAAACTGAAGATTCATAGTTATAAATGATATATTGAAAATGACTTACAAAGTCATCCACATAGTCTGCATGGTCCAACCCCAACTACCTCTCTCCCCTCCTCTCCCACCACACTGGTCCACCACACCCCTTCTGCTTTTAGTTCCTGCAGGAAACTCTTTCCCATTGCAGGGCCTTTGCATACATTGTGTTCTCTTTCTGTAACCTCCAACTGTCCCTATGGCTACTCCAACTCATTCTTTAGGTCTTAACCTAAGTATTACTTCTTCAAAGAAGCATCACACTCAAATATAAATTAGGTCTCTGTATTCATAATGATTATTTGCAATAAAGTAATGAAAATTAGAAAAAGGAATGTGTTGGCTCCTGAAACAGGGAGCCCAGGGATGGAGCTGACCTCAAGCATGACTGGCTCTAGGGACTAAAAGCAATGCCTCCTGCATTTTAGCTCTGCTGTGCTCCTCCCACCTCTTAACTCCATGGCTCACTGTTGTTCTCATTCTTCCCACCTGAGGACTGACTTCCACCACATAGCAGGGGGAAAAGGAGCAATGGCTAGAGACCATTAAGGTTTCTCTTTTCTGGTCTGGCTAGGCCTGGATTAGGGAGAGTGTGGAGCCCTGTGTTTGAGGTTAATCTCCCAAGGTAGTGTGGAGAACATGTCTATCTGTGTGAGGGAGGGGTGACTCAGGAAGTCCGGCGGGGAGGAACAGGGAAGAATGGCTACTGGATAGATGAAAGCCGATGGATCTCCACTACAGTTTCCCTTGTGGTTTTCTGTTGTAGAAGCAGTTATTTTTCTTCATAGCACTTGACCAATTTGAAATGTAGTGTATTTTGTGTGTTCATTTGGTTAACACCTACTGTGTGCTTCTGCAGGGTGGCGATCCATTCTGCAGTGTTCATGGCTGTATCCCCAGTGCCTGTTGCAGGCACATAGTAGGAGCTTGGTAATCATGTGTGGAATGAATGACTTGAATGGTCAAGGAAATGAGAGTGTGTGAAAAGGAAGGAGACGGATGTGTTGTAACCATATCGTTATACCCAAAGAAGCTCTAGAATGCTTCTTGGAGAACTTGGCCATTTGAATGATTGGTAGAATCATGAGTTGAGGGCTAGAATGGGGCAGGGGTTGTTTGAGTGTAGTGTCTGTACCAGCAGGACCAGCATTATTAGGGAAAGTGCCAGAAATGGAAACTCCCAAGTTCCACCCCATGCCTCCTGAATCAGAAACTCTGAGGATGGGACCCAGAAATCTGTGTTTTAGCCCCCAGAGTGATTTTAATGTATGTAATGTTTGAGAACCACTGGAGTAGGGGACGGGAGAAGTGAGAAGGTCATGCTTACATAGTCATAGCATATAAAAGTTACTGGCAGGAGGCAGTTCCTTGGGTTTTTTGAAACTCCTTTTTGATTTGAAGTGAGGCAGTAGAGCATAATTGTTAAGAGCACTTGAGCCAGGTTGTCTCGTTTAGAATTGAAGCTCCTCTGCTTATAGAGTAACTTTGTACAGCTCACACTATCTCTCTAAGCATCCAATTCCATATAAAATATGGAAATGAATATATTAATAAAATAACCATAGCAAATAGTAGCTAATTCATATAAGTGCTGCGGAGATTAAAAACAATAATCATGGCCAGGCACAGTGGCTCATGCTTGTAATCCCAGCACTTTGGTAGGCCGAGGTGGGCAAATCATGAGGTCAAGGGATCGAGAACATCCTGGCCACCATGGTGAAACCCCGTCTCTACTAAAAAGACAAAAATTAGCTGGGCATGGTGGGGTGCACCTGTAGTCCCAGCTACTCAGGAGGCTGAGGCAGGAGAATCGTTTTAACCCAGGAGGCAGAGGTTGCAGTGAGCCAAGATCATGCTACTGCACTCCAGCCTGGGTGAAAGAGTGAGACTCTGTCTCAAAAAAAAAAAAAAAAAAAAAAAGAAACAAAAAAAAAACAATAATCATGATGGTGGTAATAGCTAACAGTTATAAGGCCCTTATTAAGTGTCTAAACACTGTTGAAGCTCTTTCCAAGTGCTAGCTTATTCAGCGCATACAATTTATTGAATGCTTACTATTATTGCTTATAAATGGCGAGCGGGTAGATCCTATGTATTTGGAGTGGGCCAGAAGTTTCTCCAGTTGAGGGAATCATGGTAGAGGTTAATCAGTCATCTTTATGACCTGGAAGAGTGTGAGGCTGGTGTCCTCCTCCTATTCTGTTTCTGCTCCCACCATCCTGCCCTCTGATGGGCTCTCCATCCTACATCTTCCTGTTTTATTGGCATCACTTGATGCATAGCCTTATAGTAAGCCATAAGTACTTGTAAGCCTAGTCATGTCTGACTGGGGTTATTCAACCATTTTGATGTACTTTTCTAAGTGGGATAAACTGAAGGTATTCTTTGTACAGGCCTTTACTAAGCTCTGCATTTTTGAGTATTTGCACTTCAGGGATTTTTCTTAATTGTAAAGAACCTACAGAGACTTTTATAACCTCAGGTGACTTCTACTCTCTGCTCATGATTCAGGTCACTGAGACGTGGATTGATCTGACAAAGCCATGGGTTTTGGTCATTTGAGTTCCTGTCACCAGCGATTTGGACTATTCACCAGTGCTGTTTGTCTGCATGTGTGTTAGCTGGGTTTATTTACCATAGACTGAAGCTGCTGTTCTATCTGGTCAAGTTGGAGGCTGAGAAGTTTGTGTTGTGGTGCATGGTTATTCTTTTATGACACAAGCATTCATTGGGTGCTTACTGTATGTGAAGCCCAGAGACTTCATTCCTGATGAATGCTTAAACAGTAATAGTTTGTCATAGTGGAACTTGCTTGCTCAAAACAACCTGGGGCTGGTGATATCTCAGCCCAGGAAAAGGTGTGTATTAACTTGAAGCTGACTGAGCTCCTGAGGCCTGTGGGGTACTTAGTATAGACAGGGATGCTGTGACAAGGAGAGGCACTGTGAGCCTTCAAGGCTCAATTGTCAGCAGATGTTTTTCTAAGATTAACTATCTCCAGTGGCCAAATGTGCTGTGGGTGGAGATGTTTTTCTCCCAAGGGTGAATCCTCAGATTCAGGGCCTTTCCTTTTTTCTCCTTCAAATGCTCCCTTGTCTTTCTACTGTAATTAATTTGGTACATGGCCACTTCTTGTGCACAGCTAAAGTTTGACATTGTGAGTGGAGGAGTTTTTGTCAGAACCCTTGATTGTCCAAGACAAACCCAATTTGAACTAGCTTAAGAAAAAATGAGTTGATTGGCTCAGGCAACTGGGAAGGATGGTGGTGCAGACCATAGAATTAAGGAGAGAACTGTAGGATCAGGGACTTGAGAATCAGGACACAACTTCACCAGGGTTTTTTCCCTGCTTATCTCTCATTCCTGCTTGTCTGATTGTTTTCATTTTCCTCTCTTATCTCAGGTTTTACATCTTAACTCTCCTAATGTAAAGAGCTTTCCTTCTTTCCAAGGTCCATTTTTTTTTCATGCCCAGAGAAAGATCTGATTGGCCCCATGTGGTCTTGGGTCCACCACTAGACTCATCCTATGCCTAGAGGAGTGGGCAGGGCTGACATTCAGCAGGTGTATACCATTGTGGCAGGAGCCCATCCTGAATCTTGGCCCCCTTGCTGTGCTAGTTGTGAACTATTTTGAGTAGGATCCCTGGAAATGGGATATTCTGATTGGCTGATTTGGGTCATCTGTCTATCTCTGTGAGCTCTGGGTGAGGGTAATGGTGCACATGGCAGGGTTTGTTATAAAAATAAGAGATGGGGAAAATATGCTAGGGAGCCAAAAACTTGCCACCAAAATATGCCTTGAACACTGTGTAGCTGAATTCAATAAAAAACAGTTACTCATTACACACCTTGTCACGGAGCATCCCAGCTAGGCCATCTGTTGACACTTTGAAGGATAAGTTGTTGCCTTTTTCTCCCCTTTCCAGGTCTTTTCCTAAGTAATGCGAAACTAACCTACCTTGCTTTTCTGATAGAAACTTTATCTGCACCAATCTGCTGTCATGAGGCCCACTGGGCTCTGCTCATAGGAATCATGACTGATTTTTCTGCTAATGACAGACATGAGGTCCTTGCACTGTTCCCCTCAATTGGGTTTTGTCCATCTTCATCACACTCCACCCCCGGCCCCTGGTTCTTTTGCCTGCCCTTGATTCTTTTTCCCTCCTGTTCCTTCTTGCTTACTCTTATCCTTAATGCTGTTGTCTATTGGACTGTTTCTGTCAGAAGAGATAGCTAGGGGGATTATGAGGCTTATTTAACAGATGAAGAAATGAAGGCTCAGAGAGTTTAAAGTGATTTGTTCCAGGTCGCACAGTTGGTATTTGGCAGATGAGCAATTTTTAGTCAGAGCCTTTTGATGCCAAAGCTCAGACTCTTTCCTCTTTGCTGTGTTGTCTCACTGTGTTTGCTCAGACCTTTAAACATTACCACCACCTTCCCAACACATAATCACCATTTGGAGAGAGGGAGACTTTTGACAGTGATTTAGGGATAATTTTGGAGGGTGAATCTTGAGTTGAGTATAGAAGAAAATTCAGGCTTTTGATGGGCTGGAAGAAGAGAGGAGGCCATTCTAGGGAACAAGAGCAACCTGAGTAAAGCAGCTGAATGAGAAGTGGCCTCTGTCTCATGTCACGAAACCAGTGTGGAAGTAGTGGTAGCGATAACAGTATCCTCAAGGAAAGTGATGAAAAACCAAGGTGGCAAAGTGAGCAGCTGCTATGCTCCAGGCACTGTTCTGAGCACCATCATGCTTTACCTTGTTTAAGTCTTAAGGTAACTCTGTGAGCTATGTAATACCATTATCTCCATCCTCCACTGCTGAGGAAACAGAGGCACAAGGAGGTCATTAACTCACCCAAATCACATAGCTGGTAAGAAATCAAGTTTACATTCAAACTTGAACCTGTCTGATCCTGAAGTCTATTCTTTCTCTTAACCACGTACTTTGCAGCTGGAGGGTGCTGCATGAATTTGAGAAGAAGCCAGACAAGCAGTCCCAGAAATCTGTCCAGAGAGCTGATGCTATTAGTAAAAGCTATTCTATTTGTCAGGTATTTTTTTTTAAAAAGGTATATCTTTGTTGAACATTAATCATCAATTCATAAATATCTTGCAGTCTCCTTGTGCAAGATGCAAACAGCACAGAGAAAAACGTGGAAGTTTCCCCTTTACCACACTGTCACACCCTCATCCTATGCAGATTACTTTGTATTCTAATTTATCTCTCAGGCTTCTGCAGTGGAAGAAACCACTCTGCCATCAACTTGTTGTAGGACTCGGGGCACATCACTCGTTATCTGTGTACCTGGCTTCTCCATTGGTAAACTTGAGCCTCTTGCTTGCCTCCCTTCCAGGCTCAACATTCTCTGAATCTCTTTCCTCACCCAGCGGCAATGACTCAGGAATCCTGTGGGTAATAAATTATGTTCTGTAATAATGAACCCTTTCCTTCTGTTCCATCTGCTGGTTTCACTTTTCACAGTGAACCTTGATGGGTTGAGGCAGAAAAACTCTCAGTTTAGAAATGAGCTTCTAACCCTTGGAAGTGCACTTGGTGTCAGGAGATGATGATGACAGGCCCTCCGGGTAGAGAGCTAGGAACAAGGTGTGGGGGCTGCTGAGGGGAGTAACTCACAAACCAACCCTACACACAGCACTGGTACATCCAGGTTGGATTTGAGGGTACCAGCGATTGAATGGAGACACCCGTATTTATTGACCATGATAAAATGGTTGTGTGAGTGAAAGAACTCAAACATCTGGTACCTCCCTCACAGAGCTCACAGAAAAATAATGATGAGAACCGTATCTTGTGCTTGGTGTTAATGTGGCAACAAGTTGTACAGGCGTTCAGTAGAGGAAGATCAGGTGATCACAGTATGGTGCTGGCCAAAGGCAGCTTCCTTGAGGTGGTGAGATTCTAAGGCTAAAATAAATAAAAAGTTATATGCTCAGTATAGAAATCTTGGATAATTTTTAAAAAGCCTAAAAGAAAAAATGGAGTATTATCCCACCAAAGATAACTGCTACTAGTATTTTGGTACATGCTCTTCCAGTTACTTTTTACTGTATTATATAATCAAAATGAAATCTTATTATATATTTGTTGTTTTGAAACTTTTGTTTTTAGCAATATGATATTTTCCTGTCAATAAATCTTCAAAAGCATAAATTTTTTTACAATGAAAATTGCTTTTTTTCTCATTATAAAAGTGTAGTGCTTGCAAAAAAAAATCAGAGGATATACAAAACGTTATAAGGAAAAGAAAAAAAATCACAATTCTACCCCCCAGCAATTATTACTATTAACATTTGAGTATATATACATCCCAACTTTTTCCAAATGTGTGTGTGTGTATGTGAAACATATATGTATACTATATATTACATTTTATTCTTTTAAATATTTGATTACTATCTCTCATCCACCTTCCTCTCACAGATTTTTACACATCATGAGGGCAGAGACTGTGTCTGTCCCATTCACTAGAGAATTCTGATTTCCTTGCACAGTGCCTGGCACATAATTGGCATTCATTTAGTAAACATTTATCAAATAACTGAATGAGTGAATGATAGGTCCACATTGTAATGGATCTTGAATTAGATGATGATAAGAATGTTGTCTAATCACTGGGAAATGGGACAGGGCTTTCAGAACTATGGACATCAGGTTATGGATCTTTGCTTATATATGTTTAGCATCTGTGCATTAAGAAAACACAAAACACACACACACACACACACACACACACACACACACACCCCAAAAAACCAAACCCAAAGCATTTGCTGCTTTTAAGTACATGAAAAGTTGCACTTTTGGCTACATTATGACTGTTAAGATTCATGGCAACTTAAAACACCTCCATCCATCAGTGTCCACATGTCTCTAACTAGCTCTAAGAAGGCAAGGAACATGTGTTGTTCATCTTAGTACTGCTGCTGCATTGGCATATGTGTCTATGGCATCAGCACATGTTTCTTGGTGAGTGTAATGGTAGGAGGATGAAAGAGGTGGAAAATTATTTATAGAGAGGCCCTGTGGTGAATAAAAGGCATGCGACACTTCTCTGATGTGACCAGATGCTAAGGTGACTACTTATTATTTTAACATGTCTCTCCCTTACCTAGTTGCACTGGACCTGATTAAAGAAGTCATAGTGAGAAATATGTGTGGGCAGACAGTTAAGTAGCTAAGCCAATTTATAGTTCCACTGCTGTAGCATGAGACTCTGGTGCACACTCTTAGAGACATTTTATATACTCTGAACTCAAATGAACCAAGTAATAATTCGGACCTGGAGATTTTAAACTTTCATGTTGCTGGAAGGGATCCAGAGAAGTCAACTTAGAAATTAAGAATATTTGGATTGGAGTGACCTTGGATACAAGCTAGTTCAGTCTTCTCGTTTTACAGATGAAGAAACTGAGCCCCAGAAGGAAGAGTGGAATTACTCAAGGTCCTATAGCAAGTCTGTGGTAAAACTGGAACTAGAACTCAGGCATTCTAAATTCTAGGGTGATATGATTTTAGCATCTGCTATGAGAAAGATAAAAACCTAAAACATCATCCAAGAACACTTGACCACCATTTAAGGGAGGGAAGGAGGGAGGGAGAGAGAGATGGAAAGAGAGAGAAGAGAGGAAGTGAGGACAAAGGAAACAAATGAAAATGAAAACCGTCCTAGATAATACATTCTGTGGTTTCACAGAATGACCTGGAAAGCAATGCTCCTATGAACTTCTCCATCACACATGAAAAACCTGGAGGGTTGTAGTTTTAGAAAGGAATTTGAAATGCTTTGGACATCGCTACTGGAAGTTTACCACCTTTTCTTCTGATCTAAATGAATTTAGCAAAGGAACTCAATTTTAGTCCCAGGAGACTAATTAAGCAGTCTAGCATGAACCGTAGCTAAATCCCCTCGTATGAAGTGCAGCACACACACAGAGAGATGAGCTGAACTGTGGCCCTGATGAAATATGCTCACAGAATTAACTTGGCCTCTTACTAATGTCTAATGGAGCCTGGGTGAAGTGAAATTTTTGTAGAAAACAAAGAGAAGAAATTGTAGTGACTTATGTAATGCTCTTTAGAATTTTTCTTTCTATTTCCATGTTTACTCTTTCCCTCCCATCCTGTTTCTCAAGTTGGGCTACTGCAGTAATCTCAGACAGTTCTCCTAGACGCCAGTCTTTCTACTCCAGCTCATGTGAAACATTACTTCCAAGTTTATCACCTTAAAATAACCCTTTGGTGATTCTAGTCTCTGGCTTAAAACATCCCAGGATTTTCATTGCTGAAAGCTGTGCTTCTTAACTTTAAGGCTGGATTCAGCTTGGGAGAGCTTGTTAAAAATGCAAATTCCTAAACACACCCCCAAAAGATTCTGATTCCATGGATTTGGGATGATGCCCAGGAATTTATATTTTTAACATATTCCCAGTGTATTTCTTATGGAGGTACCTCAGAAACAATATTGAGAAAAACTGGCCTGCATGGTAAATTCCAGCTTGTTAGGTGGAGAAGTAAACTCAAATGGTGGAAATACAGATCCATGGCAGGCCAGAGGGTGAGGAAAGAGAGATTTTGGGTCCAAAACATCTAGAGGAATTGAATACATTAGACAACCATGACTGTGGGAGACTTTGCAACTTACAGGTAGATATAAGGGAATTTGAAAAGTTATGTCACCAGTTTTTTTGAGTTGAGTGTGCAAACATCTGGCACAGCAGAAAGAACTCTGCAATAGAGTCAGAAGATATGAGTGTGGGTTCCATCCACTTATGAGCTATATAACTTTTTGGTTAGCCACTTCACTTCCCTGAGCCTCAGCTTTCCTCATCTGTAAAATGGGATCAGCAATACCTCCTCTGCCTCTTCATTGATTTGTAAGGATCAAATATGTGAAAACGTTTGAAATGTGGAAAGTGTCGAATAACATAAGGTACTTTGTATTTATTTATATGAATAGTCTGTGCTCTTTACCCTCTCTTCTTTTCATCTTTGCCAAGTGGCAACAAGAATCTTGTTCAGGAGAGTAATTGCAGTTAAACAGGCTAAGCCTGTGTGGGGGTGGTATGGGGGAGTGTGTGTTGACATTAATCCTGCTACTGCTGTTTGCGGGAGGAAAGAAAAAAGTCATACAGCAGCTTACGGAATGTTTTTGATTACCCAGTGGATTTGGGTAGCTTGGAGATCTGCTGTTGAGCTGCCTACTAGAATCTGACTTCCTCTGTGAGCACGAATTTGGCTGCGTTTAATAGTGAGAAAAGCTTAAGAAAAACCCACACATGCTGAAACCCAAAAGGCTAATGAGGAGAATAAACAGCTTGTGTAATTAGACCTTGTGCATTTCCCTAAAAAGAAATCATGAAATATGTACAAAATGTTGTCTCTGAAGGCGTCATAGTTAGTCTAGTTTTCAATTTGGAAACTATGCTCATTGCCTGTAGTAATTACAAGAACAATAGGCTTCTGGTTTGTCTATAAACTGATGCTCTCACACGAAGTCTGACATTTGAAGCTCTGGCCTGGCCCGCATTCACAGCAGCAGGCATTCACGCAGATCCAGATTTGCTCTGCGCTGAATGCCCACAGTTTAGTGCGACCTTAGGTGGCTCTAGAGTGACTTCTTGATGAGCCAAAGTCTTGTAAATGTACTGTGTTGTTTTGGCTTCACACATGTTTATTCTTCCTTATACTGCTTGTCCACACAAAAAACACAATGAAATGCTTTATCTTAAAAAAATCAATTATTATTCCCGGAGGCCTGTGGTGTCTTCAATAAAAAGGAAACAATTTAACTTTTCCCCCACCACCTAAATTTGTCAAATCTTTGCATTTTGCCATTTTTGCTTCATTTTTTTATTACATATTATTATTATTTTGTATGTGGCTTAAACAACAGAATTTTATTCTCTCACAATTCAGGAGGCTAGAAGCATGAGGTCAAGGTGTTCGGTTGACAGGGTTGATTTCTCGTAAGGTCTCTCTCTTTGGCTTATAAATGGCCTTCTTCCAGTGTCTTCACCCGATCTTCCCTGCGTGTCTATTTTTTTTTTTAAAGAAGTAAAATAAAGATACAGTTAAAGCCTCTGAGAAATCCTTCCCTCCTCATTCTTGTTTCTCTCCTTCGCTTTCGAGAAGTGACCACTATGTCGAATTAAGCGAATAACATGATATTAAACTGAATGTTTTGACTGAAGTAACAGGATTTCAAGGTGAGATTCTCATCCACTTGTGGACGTGAAAGTAGGTGTCCCAAATCAGACCTTACCTATCTTTCAAAGACCATATGAAGTCCTGTTTCTCCTGCAAATTGTTTCTCAGCTGGTATACAACTTAATTTTTTCCCTGGTGAATTTTAGTTGCAGTTCCTGTGGATATATCTTATTCTTTTCTTGTGTTTTAAAAAAAAATAGCTAAGAAATTTTGTGGTTCAAAGATAAAAAATATTTTTTAATTTTTTTAATAAAAAAATAAAACCTACACATGCTGAAACCCAAAAGGCTAATAAGGAGAATAAACAGCTTGTGTAATTAGACCTTGTACATTTCCCTAAAAAGAAATCGTGAAATATATACAAAATGTTGTCTCTGAAGGTGTCACAGTTAGTCTAGTTTTCTTTTTCTTCATATATATATATATATATATATATAAAAAATACTTTAAGTTCTGGGATACATGTGTACAACGTGAAGTTTTGTTACATAGGTATACATGTGCCATGGTGGTTTGCTGCACCCATCAACCTGTCACCTACATTAGGTATTTCTCCTAATGTTATCCCTCCCCTAACCCCTCACCCCCTGACAGGCCCTTGTGTGTGATGTTCCCCTCCCTATGTCCATGTGTTCTCATTGTTCAACTCCCATTTATGAGTGAGAACATGTGGTGTTTGGTTTTCTGTTCTTGTGATAGTTTGCTGAGAGTGATGGTTTCCAGCTTCATCCATGTCCCTGCAAAGGACATGAACTCATCCTTTTTTATGGCTGCATAGTATTCCATGGTGTGTATGTGCCACATGTTTTTAATCCAGTCTATCATCGATGGGCATTTGGGTTGGTTCCAAGTCTTTGCTATTGTGAATAGTGCCACAATAAACATACGTGTGCATGTGTCTTTATAGTAGAATGATTTATAATCCTTTGGGTATATTCCCAGTAATGGGATTGCTGGGTCAACTGGTATTT
Source organism: Homo sapiens (assembly GCF_000001405.40). Taxonomy (NCBI): domain Eukaryota; kingdom Metazoa; phylum Chordata; class Mammalia; order Primates; family Hominidae; genus Homo; species Homo sapiens. The sequence goes on along the minus strand of NC_000003.12, from coordinate 4,216,980 downwards.
CTGGTTCTAGATCCTTGAGGGATTGCCACACTGTCTTCCACAATGGTTGAACTAATTTATACTCCCACCAACAGTGTAACAGCATTCCTATTTCTCCACATCCTTTCCAACATCTGTTGTTTCCTGACTTTTTGACGATCCCCATTCTAACTGGCATGAGATGATAGCTCATTGTGGTTTTGATTTGCGTTTCTCTGATGATCAGTGATGATGAGCATTTTTTCATATGTTTGTTGACTGCATAAATGTCTTCTTTTGAGAATTGCTTGTTCATATCCTTTGCCCACTTTTTGATGGGGTTGTTTTTTTCTTGTAAATTTGTTTGAGTTCTTTGTAGATTCTGGATATTGGCCCTTTTTTCTCCCATTCTGTAGGTTGCCTGTTTACTCTGATGATAGTTTCTTTTGCTGTGCAGAAGCTCTTTAATTTAGTTAGATCCCATTTGTTTATTTTGGCTTTTGTCGCCATTGCTTTTGGTGCTTTAGTCATGAAGTCTTTGCCCATGCCTATGTCCTGAATGGTACTGCCCAGGTTTTCTTCTAGGATTTTTATGGTTTTAGGTCTTATGTTTAACTCTGTAATACATCTTGAGTTAATTTTTGTAGAAGGTGTAAGGAAGGGTTCCAGTTTCAGTTTATTGCATATGGCTAGCCAATTTTCCCAACACCATTCATTAAATAGGGAATCTTTTCCCCATTGCTTGTTTGTGTCAGGTTTCTCAAAGATCAGATGGTTGTAGATGTGTGGTGTTATTTCTGAGGCCTCTGTTCTGTTCCATTGATCTATATGTCTGTTTTGATACCAGTACCATGCTGTTTTTGTTACTGTAGCCTTGTAATATAGTTTGAAGTCAGGCAACATGATGCCTCCAGCTTTGTTCTTTTTGCTTAGGATTGTCTTGGCTATGTGGGCTCTTTTTTGGTTCCATATGAAGTTTAAGGTAGTTTTTTCCAATTCTGTGAAGAAAGTCAGTGGTAGCTTGATGGGGATAGCATTGAATCTATAAATTACTTTGGGCAGTATGACCATTGTCACAGTATTGATTCTTCCTATCCATGAGCATGGAATGTTTTTCCATTTGTTTGTGACCTCTCTTATTTCCTTAAACAGTGGTTTGTAGTTCTCCTGGAAGAGGTCCTTCACATTCCTTATGAGTTGTATTCCTAGGTATTTTTTTCTCTTAGTAGCAATTGTGAACGGGAATTGACTCATGATTTGGCTCTCTGTCTGTTATTGGTGTATAGGAATGCTTGTGATTTTTGCACATTGATTTTGTATCCTGAGACTTTTCTGAAGTTGCTTATCAGCTTAAGGAGATTTTGGGCTGAGACTATGGGGTTTTCTAAATATACAATCATGTCATCTGCAAACAGAGACGATTTGACTTCCTGTCTTCCTATTTGAATACCTTTATTTCTTTCTCTTGCCTGATTGCCCTGGCCAGAACTTTCAATACTATGTTGAATAGGGGTGGTGAGAGAGGGCATCCTTGCCTTGTGCTGGTTTTCAAAAGGAATGCTTTCAGCTTTTGCCCATTCAGTATGATATTGGCTGTGGGTTTGTCATAAATAGCTCTTATTATTTTGCGATGCATCCCACCAATACCTAGTTAATTTAGTTTTTAGCATGAAGGGATGTTGAATTTTATTGAAGACCTTTTCTGCATCTATTGAGATAATCATGTTGTTTTTGGCATTGGTTCTGTTTATGTGATGGATTATGTTTATTGATTTGCATATGTTGAACCAGCCTTGCATCCCAGAGATGAAGCCGACTTGATCGTGGTGGATAAGCATTTCATGTGCTGCTGGATTTGGTTTGCCAGTATTTTATTGAGGATTTTTGCATCGATGTTCGTCAGGGATATTGGCCTGAAATTTTCCTTTTTTGTTGTGTCTCTGCCAGATTTTGGTATCAGGATGATGTTGGCCTCATAAAATGAGTTAGGGAGGATTCCCTCTTTTTCTATTGTTTGAAATCATTGCAGAATGAATGGTACCAGCTCCTCTTTGTACCTCTGATAGAATTTGGCTGTGAATCCATATGGTCCCGGAACTTTTTTTGGTTGGTGGGCTATTAATTACTGCCTCAATTTTAGAACTTGTTATTGGTCTATTCAGGGATTTGATGTCTTCCTGGTTTAGGGTTGGGAGGGTGTATGTGTCCAGGAATTTATTCATTTTTTCTAGGTTTTTTAGCTTATTTTCGCAGAGGTGTTTATAGTAATCTCTGATGGTGGTTTGGATTTCTGTGGGATCAGTGGTAATATCCCCTATATGATTTTTTATTGCATATATTTGGTTCTTCTCTCTATTAGTCTTGCTAGTGGTCTATCTATTTAGTTGATCTTTTCAAAAAACAGCTCCTGGGTTCATTGATTTTTTGAAGGGTTTTTCGTGTCTCTGTCTCCTTCAGTTCTGCTCTGATCTTAGTTATTTCTTGTCTTCTGCTCGCTTTTGAATTTGTTTGCTGTTGCTTCTCGAGTTCTTTTCATTGCGATGTTAGGGTGTCAATTTTAGATCTTTCCTGCTTTCTCTTGTGGGCATTTAGTGCTATAAATTTCCCTTACACAGTGCTTTAAATGTGTCCCAGATATTCTAGTACATTGTGTCTTCATTCTCATTGGTTTCAAAGAACATCTATTTGTGCCTTCATTTTGTTATTTACTGAGTAGTCATTTGGGAGCAGGTTGTTAAGTTTCCATGTGGTTGTTCAGTTTTGAGTGAGTTTCTTAATCCTGAGTTCTAATGTGATTGCACTGTGGTCTGAGAGACTGTTTGTTATGATTTCCGTTCTTTTGCATTTGCTGAGGAGTGTTTTCCTTCCAATTATGTGGTCAATTTTAGAATAAGTGTGATGTGGTTCTGAGAAGAATGTATATTCTGTTGATTTGTATGGAGAGTTCTGTAGATATCTATTAGGTCTGCTTGGTCCAGAGCTGAGTTCAAGTCCTGAATATCCTTGTTAATTTTCTGTCTCATCGATCTGTCTAATATTGACAGTGGGATGTTTAAGTCTCCCATCATTATCGTGTGGAAGTCTGAGTCTCTTTGTAGGTCTCTAAGAACTTGCTTTATGAATCTGGATCCTCCTGTATTGGGTGCATATATATTTAGGGTAGTTAGCTGTTCTTGCTGCATTGATCCTTTTACCATTATGTAATGGCCTTCTTTGTCTCTTTTGATCTTTGTTGGTTTAAAGTCTGTTTTATCAGAGACTGGGATTGCAACTCCTGCTTTTTTTGCTTTCCATTTGCTTGGTAAATATTCCTCCATCCCTTTATTTTGAGCCTATGTGTGTCTTTGAACATGAGATGAGCCTCCTGAATACAGCACACTGATGGGTCTTGACTCTATCCAATTTGCCAGTCTGTGCCTTTTAATTGGGGCATTTAGCCCATTTACATTTATGGTTAATATTGTTATATGTGAATTTGGTCTTACCATTATGATGCTAGCTGGTTGTTTTGCCTGTTAGTTGATGCAGTTTCTTCATAGTGTTGATGGTCTTTATATTTTGGTTTGTTTTTGCAGTGGCTGGAACTGGTTGTTCCTTTCCATGTTTAGTGCTTCCTTTAGGAGCTCTTGTAACGCAGGCCTGGTGGTGACAAAATCTTAAAGCATTTGCTTGTCTGTAAAGGATTTTATTTCTCCTTGGCTTATGAAGCTTAGTTTGACTGGATATGAAATTCTCGGTTGAAAATTCTTTTCTTTAAGAATGTTGAATATTGGCCCCCACTCTCTTCTGGCTTGTAGGGTTTCTGCAGAGAGATTTGCTGTTAGTCTGATGGGCTCTCCTTTGTGTGTAACCCGACCTTTCTCTCTGGCTGCCCTTAACATTTTTTCCTTAATTTCAACCTTGGTGAATCTGATGATTATGCGTCTTGGGGTTGCTCTTCTTGAGGAGTATCTTTGTGGTGTTCTCTGTATTTCCTGAATTTGAATGTTGGCCTGTCTTGCTGGGTTGGGGAAGTTCTCCTGGATAATATCCTGAAGAGTGTTTTCCAACTTGGTTCCATTCTCCCTGTCACTTTCAGGTACACCAATCAAACACAGGTTTGGTCTTTACACATAGTCCCATATTTCTTGGAGGCTTTGTTTGTTCGTTTTTATAATTTTTTCTCTAATTTTGTCTTCTCGCTTTATTTCATTAATTTGATCTTGAATAACCGATATCCTTTCTTCCACTTGATCAATTCGGCTATTGATACTTGTGTATGCTTCCCAAAGTTCTTGTGCTGTGTTTTTCAGCTCCATTAGATCATTTATGTTCTTCTGTAAACTGGTTATTCTAGTTAACAATTCGTGTAACCTTTTTTCAATGTTCTTAGCTTTCTTGCATTGAGTTACAGCATGCTCCTTTAGCTCAGAGGAGTTTGTTATTTACCACCTTCTAAAGCTTACTTCTGTCAATTCATCAAACTCATTCTCTGTCCATTTTTGCTCCCTTGTTGGCGAGTAGTTGTGATCCTTTGGAGAAGAGGCATTCTGGTTTTTGGAATTTTCAGACTTTTTGTGCTTGTTTCTCCCCATTTTTGTAGATTTATCTACCTTTGGTCTTTGATGTTGGTGACCGTCGGATAGGGTCTTTGAGTGGACGTGCTATTCCTTTCTTTTTGTTAGCTTTCCTTCTAACAATCAGGCCCCTCTGCCGCAGGTCTGCTGGAGTTTGCTGGAGGTCCACTCCCGATGCTGTTTGCCTGGGTATCACCAGTGGAGGCTGCAGAACAGCAAAGATTGCTGACTGTTCTTTCCTCTGGAAGTTTTGTCCCAGAGGGGCATCTGCCAGATGCCAGCCAGAGCTCTCCTGTATGAGCTGTCTGTCGGCCCCTACTGGGAGGTGTCTCCCAGTCAGGATACACGGCGGTCAGGGACCCACTTGAAGAGACAATCTGACCCTTAGCAGAGCTCGAATGCTGTGCTGGGAGGTCTGCTCCTCTCTTCAGAGCCATCAGGCAGGGACGTTTACATCTGCTGAAGCTGTGCCCACAGCCACCCCTTCCCCAGGTGCTCTGTCCCTGGGAGATGGGGGTTTTATCTGTAAGTCCCTGACTGGGGTTGCTGCCTTTTTTTCAGAGATGCCCTGCCCAGAGAGGAGAACTCTGGCAGTTTGGCTGCGGAGGCCTTGCTGAACTGCAGTGGGCTCCTCCCAGTTCGAACTTCCTGGCTGCTTTGTTTACACTATGAGCATAAAACCACCTACTCCTTGCTAAGACTTGATGTATTATCAGTTCTTATAATTTTAGCCAATCTGGTGAGGATGAAGTGATATTTAATTGTGGTTTTACCTTATAGTACCAATACCTTGTAGTTTATAGTCTAATGGCATCTTTTGGAGAATTGAAGATCTTAATTTAAATGAAGTTGAACTTGTCTATGTTTTTTAAATGATTGGAGTTTTCTGTGTCCGGTTTAAGTAATCTTCCTTACCTCAAGGTCATGAAGATATTCTCTTATATTTTCCTCTGGAAGCTTTATTATTTTCTCTTTCATGTTTACCTCTTTCAAAAGCTGGAGGCCATTATCTTAGCAAACTAATGCAGGAATAGAAAATAAAATACTGCATGTTCTCACTTATTAATTGGAGCTAAATGATGAGAACACATGGACACAGAGAGGGGAACAACACATACTAGGGCCAACTGGAGGGTGGAGGTTAGAGGAAGGAGAGGATCAGGAAAAATAACTAATGGGTACTAGGCTTAGTACCTGGGTATATTAGTCAGGGTTCTCTAGAGAAACAGAACTAATAGGATATATATATATATATATATATATGTATGTATGTATATGTATATGTATATATATGTGTGTATATATATGTATATATATGTATATGTATATATGTGTGTGTGTGTGTATATATATATATATATATGGGAGTTTATTAAGGAGTATTAACTCACACAATCACACGGTCCTGCAACAGGCCATCTGCAGGCTGAGGAGCAAGGAAACCAGTCTGAGTCCCAAAGCTGAAGAACTTGGAGTTGATGTTTGAGGACAGGAAGCCTCCATCACAGGAGAAAGATGTATGCTGGGAGGCTATGCCAGTCTAGCCTTTTTATGATTTTCTGCCTGCTTTATATCCTGGCTGTATTGGCAGCTGATTAGGTGGTGCCCACCCAGATCAAGGGTGGGTCTGCCTTTCCCAGCCCAGCGACACAAATGTTAATCTCCTTTGGGAACACCCTCACAGACACACTCAGGATCAATACTTTGCATCCTTCAACCCAATCCAGTTGACACTCAGTGTTAACCATCACATGGGGTGATGAAATAATCTGTATAATAAATGCCCATGTTACAAGTTTACCTGTGTAAAAAACATGCACATATACCCCTGAACTTAAAAGTTAAAAAAAAATTTTTGTGCATTGTGGAATTTAAGAGTCAAGGTTCCTCTTTCTCCATATAGTTTTCCAATGATCCAGCACCATTTATGGGGACTGGGAAAGGGTCGTTCTTTCCCCTTTGAACTTCAGTGGTATGTAAATTGGTGACAATATGTGTGGGTCTAATTCTGGGCTGTCTTTATTCTGTTCCATTGGTGTATATACCACATTGCCTTAGTTATTGTAGCTTTTTTCTAAGTATTAACATTTGGTTGTGTAAATCCTCAAGTTTTGTTCTTTTTCAAGATTGTATTGGCTTTTCTAGGTCATCTGTGTTTTCATGTACATTTTCCAATAAATGTAGAAAATGTCTGCTGGAATTTTTATTTGGATTGCATTGAATTTATGGATACATTTTGAGGAGAATTGACATGTTAATATTTCTAAGTTTTGGCCGGGCACAGTGGCTCACACCTGTAATCCCAGCACTTTGGGAGGCTGAGGCAGGCAGATCACTTGAGGTCAGGAGTTCAAGACCAGCCTGGCTAACATGGTGAAACCTTGTCTCTACTAAAAATACAAAAATTAGCCAGGTGTGGTGGAACACACCTGTAATCTCAGCTACTCGGGAGGCTGAGGCAGGAGAATTGCTTGAACCCAGGAGGTGGAGGTTACAGTGAGCTGAGATCGTGCCACTGCACTCCAGCCTGGGTGACAGAGTGAGACTCTGCCTCAAAAAAAATTTTTTTTTCTAAATTTTAAAATCCATGAATATTTATTTTGGCCTTCTTTAATTTCTCTCAGCAATCTGTGGTAGTCTTTAGCGTAGTGATCTTATACATAGTTTGATAAATGTATTCCCAAGTATTTGATGTCTTTTATTGCAATTTAAATGCTTATCTTTCTAAAATTATATTTTCCAGTTACTTGTTAGCATATAGTTGATTTTGATGTTCAGTAATTTTCATGTGTTTAAGGATCATTTGGTGTTTCTTTTTCTGAATGTTATTTTTCTATTATATTGTTGTTTTTTTCTTCTTGATCTCTAAGATCTAATAAATTTGGAATAATATTTTGTCTGGGCTTTTAATTATAAACATTTTTCTTAGATTGTCATTTGTGATAAAGTTTAATTTTAAACTTTCCTTATAGATTAAATAATTTAAATACTGGAAGGATCTTAGAAGTATTCTCATCGAACTTTATTATTTTACAATGAGGAGACTGCAACTTAGGATGTTTAAGTGATTAAGGTTCAACTACCAGGTAATGACAGAAACTGAATTTGAATAAAGTTTCAGTTAGTGTTTTGTTCTCCATGATGTTTGCACATAATTAAACAGTACCTTGTATTATGGCATGGTTGATTTTTGTATGTAGGATTTTAAAAATCTTTATAGTAGAGTGTAAAATTTATACATATTGGAAATTGTAGGTCCTTAAAGTCAACTGCAGCAGCACGTATATAATAGGTACCCAATAAAATTTTATTGAATTGAATCATTAAAAGGATAATATCCCATAAAGTGGCCAGGTCTAGATGTTTTAACTGGAGAATCTTGTGAAGTATTTAAGGAAGAAATCATACTGATTCTACACAAACTTTTTCAGAAAACAGATAGGAGAGAACTTCTACCCAACTCATTTTAATGAAGCCAGACAAAGCTGACAAAGACATCACAAGAAAACTATAGACCAATATCCTTCATGGACACAGATGCAAAAATCCTTAACAAAATATTAATCTGAGTCTAGCAACAGATCTCTTTCTTCTCTTTCTGATATTCCCATTGTGCATATGTTACCTCTTTGGTTTCCTCTTTGGTTGTTGTCCAGCAGTTCTTGGATTTTATGTTAGTCTTTTTTCTTTTCAGTTTGGAAAGTTTCTATTGTCACATACTCAAGCTTGGGGTTTTTTTCCTTAGTCACGTCCAGTCTACTAATGAGCCCATTAAAGACGTTCTTCATTTCTACTACAGTGTTTTTGATGTCTGGCATGTCTTTTGGTTCTTTCTTAGAATTTTCGTCTCTCCGCTTGTTACTCATCTTTTCTGCCATTAACCTTAGCATATTAATTGCAGTTAAAAAAATCCTAGTCTGATAATTTTAACATTTCTACCATATCTATCTCTGGTTATGATGCTTGTTTTGTCTCCTCACAGTTTTTTTTTTTTTTTGCCTTCTAGAATGTCCTATAAATTTTCTGTAGAAAGGTTGACATGATATACTGGGTAACTGGAACTGCAGTAAATAGGCCTTTAGTAAAGTAGCGGTAAGTTTTATAGGGAGGGAAAACATTAGTCCTATGAGTAGGTTTCAGTCTTTTTATGAGACTGTGTCCCTGGACCATGACAGTTGCAAATACTTCTTAGTCCTCTCCTTACCCTTTAGGTGGGACAGGATGGCTAGAGGGGGCTGGAGTTGGGTATTTCTTTTCCCCTTGTGGAAGGCTAGAATTGGCTGGAGTTGGGTATTTCCTTTTTCTGAAGTAGGCTCTGGTAAAACCCCAGCAATTTAGGCTATAATAAAATTGTTTCTCTTGAGGGTATTCCTTATTAAGAAGAGAGTGATCTGGCATACTTCAGAATGCTTACTTTTCCCCAACCCCTGCCAGAAGCATGAAAAGATTTTCCTAGATATTCACCATGAGAGTTTTGTAGAGCTCCTGCAGGTAGAACTCATAAAAACATGGGGGCCTCCTATGACTCATTCTCCCTGGAGTTTTTAACTCTCAGACGTGTTCACGCTGAGTCTCCAGCAATTGTCAATTACATTTCAACATTTCCTATCTGGGCACTGGTTCTGCACAGAATTTCTTCTTGTGAGTTTCTGTTCTAGTAAGTTGTGGTTTTCTGTATCTCCTTGTCTGTCGCTATGTTTTTGGGGCAGAGGTTTGCCCTGCTACCTCACTTCTTTGATGAATTTAAGAATAGTTATTGATTTTTCAGTTTGTTTAGTTTTTTGTTTGTTGTTTGGATGGAGTAGTGATTCTTGAGCTCCTCACATGGCAAGGTTAACTTATTAACCCAAAATCAGTTAGTGTAATACATCATCTTAATAGAATAAAGGACAAAGTCCATATAATGATCTCAATAGAAATATAAAAACGTTTGAAAATATCCAACATACATTCATGGTAAAAATTTTCAACAAACTAGAAATAAACATTTCTTCAACCTGAGCTGCAGGTAATTTCATGGTTAATATTAAAAGCCTGAATGCTTTCTCACCCTAAGATTTGAAAGGATACAAAAATGTCTCTTCTCATCACTTTTATTTAACATTGCACTGGACATTCGAGGCAGTGCAATGAGGTAAGAATAAGAAATTAAAGATATGCATATTGAAAGGTAAGAAGTAAAATTGTCTTTATTCATGGACGATATGATTTGTATGTAGGAAATCTTAAGGAATCTGCCTTAATAAGCAAGTTTAACAAGGTCATAAGGTAAAAGATAAATATACAAAAATCAATTGTATTTCTGTTTATTAGCAATCAACAATCTAAAAATAAAATTAAGATAATATCATTTACTATGAAAGTAAAAAGAATAAAATATATGGGAATAAATTTTTTAAAGTACAAGAACTATATAATAAAAACTATAAAACATTGCTAAGAGAAATTAATGAGACGTAAGTAGGTGGAAAGATATACTATGTTTGTGGATTAGAAGACTTAGTTTAGTTAAAATGGCAATTCTCTTCAAATTGATTTATAGATTCAACATAATCATTATCAAAATTCCAGCAGGCTTTTCATAGAAATTGACAACTAGTTCCTAAATTTAAGTGGAAATGCAGAGTACCTAGAATAAACAAAATTTAAAAAAAAAAGAATGGGGGAGAGGTGGAGCAAGATGGCTGAATAGAACCCTCCAGTAATTATTCCCCCACAATAGTTGTTCAGTCACCAAACTTGAACAACTGTTGACAAAAGAAAGCACCCCCATGAGAACCAAAGAATCAGGTGAGTGATCATAGTACCTGATTTTAAAATCATTTCGAGGAAGGAGGCACTGAAGAGGTAGGAAATACAGTTTTGAATTGCCTCCAACACCCTTGCCACATCTTCTGGCAGTGCCACGTGACACAGAGAAAGAATCTGTGTTTGGGAGAGGGAGAACACAGTGACTGTTGAACTTGCATTGGAACTCAGTGCTGCCCAGTAACAGTGAAGGGCAGAATTCACCTGGTGCCCACAGAGGCAGTATTTAGACCAGCCCTCACTGGAGGGGAATGGTCCAGCTAAAGTGCTCTAGGGTACTAAATAAATTTGAAAGGCAGTCTAGGCCACAAAGACTGTGATTCCTGAGCAAGTTCTGGTGCTTTGCTGGGCTTGGAACCAGTGGACTTGGGGTGCACATGACTCAGTGAGATACAGCTGGGGCAGCCAAAGGAGTGTTTGTGTCACCCTTCCCCAAGGCCAGTCAACACAGCTTGCAGCTCCTGGAGAGACTTCTTCTGCTTGAGGAAAGGAGAGGTGAGAGGAAAGAGGACTTTGTCCTGCACCTTGGATACTGGCTTAGCCATATTAAATAAAGCACCAAGCAGAGTCCTGAAGCCCTCATTTCAGGCCCTAGTTCCTAGATGACAGTTCTAGACCCACCCTGAACCAGAAGGAAACTTGCTGCCCTGAAGAGAAAGACTCAGTCCTTGCAAGATTCATCATCTGCTGACTAAAGAGTCTTTGGGACTTGAATAAACATTAGTGGTAGCCAGGCAGTAGTTAACATGGGTCTTGGGCAGAACCCAGTACCATGGTGGCTTCAGATGTGACCCAGCACATCCCCAGTGGTAGTGGCCATAGGGATGCTTGCATCACCTTTCCCCCAACTCCAGGTAGGTCAGCGTGAAGAGAGAGACTCTGTGGGAGAAAGTAAGAGAAGAGAACAAGAGACTCTGCCTGGTAATCTAGGGAATTCTCCCAGATCTTGCCCAAGACCACCAAGGCAGTACCTCTATGAGTTGGCAAAAGTCACAGTGTTACTGGACTTGGGTTGCCCCCAAAGCAGATAATGGCTGCAGTCATCAAAGACTTAAATTACAACACTCGATGCCCTTTGAATACTTAGAAAGCTTTCTTAAGAAGGATGGGTACAAACAAGCCCAGAGTGTGAAGAATAGAATAAATCCCTAGCTCTTTAATGCACAGACATCATTGAATATCTGCAAGCACCAAGACCATCCAGAAAACATAACTGTCTCATGTGTCCGTGTGAAGAGACCACCAGACAAGCTTTGTGTGAGCAACATGGCTGTTTATTTCACCTGGGTGCAGGCGGGCTGAGTCCAAAAAGACAGTCAGCAAAAGGTGGTGGATTATCATTAGTTCTTATAGGTTTTGGGGATAGGTGGTGGAGTTTGGAGCAATGTTTTGCGGGCAGGGGGTGGATCTCACAAAGTACATTCTCAAGGGTGGGGAGAATTACAAAGAACCTTCTTAAGGGTTGGGGAAGATTGCAAAGTACATTGATCAGTTAGGTGGGGCAGTAACAAATCACAATGGTGGAATGTCATCAGTTAAGGCTATTTTCACTTCTGTGGATCTTCAGTTGCTTCAGGCCATCTGGATGTATATGTGCAGGTCACTGGGGATATGGTGGCTTAGCTTGGGCTCAGAGGCCTGACAATAACCTCACCAAATGAACTAAATAAGGCACAAATGACCAATCCTCATGTGACAGAGATATGTGACCTTTCAGAGAATTCAAAATAGCTGTTTTGAGGAAGCTCAACAAAATTCAAGAAAACACAGAGAAGGAATTCTGAATTTTATAAGATAAACTTAACAAAGTAATTGAAATAATAAAAAAAATCAAGCAGAGATCCTGGAGCTGAAAAAGTCAATTGACAAACTGAAAAAATACATCAGTGTGTCTTAACAGCTGAATGGATCAAGCGGAAGAAAGAATTAATGAGCTTGAAGACAGGCTATCTGAAAATACACAAGCAGAGGAAACAAAAGTAAAAAAAGAAAAGGCATGAAGCATGCCTATAAGATCAAGAAAAGAGCCTCAAAAGGGCAAATCTAAGAGTTACTGGCCTTAAAGAGGAGGTAGAGAGAAAGATTGGACCATAAAATTTATTCAAAGAGATAATAACAATAACTTACCAAACCTAGAGAGAGATAACAATATTCAAGCACAAGAAGGTTATAGAACACCAAGCAGATTTAACCCAAGTAAGACTACCTCAAGACATTTAATAGTATAACTCCCAAAGGTTAAGAATAAAGAATGGATCCTAAAAGCAGCAAGAGAAAACAAACAACATATAAAGGAGCTCCAATATGTCTGGCAGCAGACTTCTCAGTGGCAATTTTGTAGACCAGGAGACAGTAGCTAACATATTTAAAGTGCTAAAGATAAAAAAATTATCCTAGAACATTGTATGTATTTGAATATCCTTCAAACATGAAGGAGAAATAGATACTTTCCCAGGTGAACAAAAGCCAAGAAGTTTTGTCAACACCAGGCCTGTCCTACAAGAAGAAATGTTAAAAGGAATTCTTCAGTCTGAAGGAAAAGACCATTAATGAGCACTAAGAAATCATCTGAAGGCACAAAACTCATGGATAATAGTAAGTATACAGATAAATACAGAATATTACAACACTGTAATTGTGGTATATAAACTACTTATGTCTTGAGTAGTAAGACTAAAGGATGGACTTATCAAAAATAATAACTACAACAACTTTTTAAGACATCAAAAGTATAAGATAGAGATATCAAAAAGTTAAAAAGCAGGGGGTTGAAATTAAATTGTGAGTTTTTTTTAGTCTTCTGTTTGCTTGTTTTTGTAATCAATGTTGTTATCAATTTAAAATAATGAGTTACAAGATGTTATTTTCAAGCCTCATGGTAACCTCAAATAAAAAAAACCTACAACAGATATACTAAAAATGAAAAGAGAAATTAAAATACATGACCAGAGAAAACCACTTCCACAAAAAGGAAGACAGGAAGAAAGGAAGGAAGGAAGAGAAGACCACAAAACAACCAGAAAACAAATAACAACATGACAGGAGAAAGTCCTTACTTATCAATAGTAACATTGAATGTAACTGGACTAAACTTTCCAATTAAAAGACATTGCAGGGCTGAATGGATGTAAAAAACAGGACCAATAATCTGTTGCCTACAAGAAAAACACTTCACTTACATGAAGACACACAAAGGCTGAAAATAAAGGGATGGAAAAGTATGTTCCATGCAAATGAAAACCAAGAAAGAGCAGGAGTAGCTATATTTATATTACATAAAATGGATTTAAAGGCAAAAAACAGAAAAAGAAACAAAGAAAGTCATTAATGATAAAGAAGTGAATTCTGCAAGAAGATATAATAATTGCAAATATATATCATCCAACACTGAAGCACCCAAATATATAAAGCAAATATTATTAGAGCTAAAGAGAAAGATAGACCCCAATACAATAGGTGGGAACATCAATACTCCACTTTTGGCATTGGAGAGACCTTTAGACAGAAAACCAACAAAGAAGAACTATCACACTTAATTGGCATTACAGACCAAATGGTCTATTTGATACTTGATATTTACAGAACATTTCATCCAATGGTGGCTGCTGCTTCTCAGTACATTTTTCTCCTCAGTACATGGATAATTCTCAAGAATAGAGAATATGTTAGACCCCAAAATCAGTCTTAAAACATTAAAAAAAATGGAAATAATATCAAGTATCTTTCCTGACCACAATGGAATAAAACTAGAAATCAATAGGAAGAGGAACTTTGGAAACTATACAAACACATGGAAATTAACAATATGCTCCTGAATGACCAATGGGCCAATGAAGAAATTAAGAAGGATATTGAAAAATTCATTAAAACAAATGAAAATGGAAATACAACATACCAAAACTGATGGGTTACAGTAAAAGTTCATGGACTGGAAGAACCAATATGGTTAAAACATCCATACTATTCAAAGCAATCTACAGATTCAATGCAATCCCTATCAAAGTACCAATGACATTCTTCACAGAAATAGAAAAAATAATCATAAAATTCATATAGAACCACAAAAGACCCAAAATAGCCAAAGCCATTTGGAACAAAAGGAACAAAACTAGAGGAATAACATTACCTGAGTTCAAATTATACTACAGAGCTATAGTAATCAGAACAACATAGTACTGGCATAAAAACAGACACATAGACCAATGGAACAGGGTAGAGAACTCATAAATACAACCATAAACATCTACAATGAATTCATTTTTGACAGAGGTGCCAAGAACATACACTGAGGGAAGGACAGTCTCTTCAATAAATGGCACTAGGAAAACTGGATATGCATATGCAGAAAAATGAAATGAGACCCCTATCTGTTGCCATATACAAAAATCAAATAAAAATAGATTAAAGATTTAAGTCTAAGACTTCAAACTATGAAACAATGAAAAGAAAAAATTGGAGAAACTGTCCAGGACATTGGTCTGGGCAAAGATTTCTTTGGTAATATCCCACAAGCATGGAGAACCAAAGCAAAAATGGACAAATGAGATCTCATAAAGTTAAAAAGCTTCTGTACAGCAAAGGAAACAATCAACAGTGTGAAGAGACAACCCACAGAATGGGAGTATATTTGCAAACTATCCATCTGACAAGCAATTAATAACCAGAATATGTAAGGAGCTGAAACAACTCAATAGGAAAAAAATCCAATAATCAGATTAAAAAAATGGGCAAAAGATCTCAATAGACATTGCTCAAATGGCAAACAGGTATTTGAAAAGGTGCTTAACATCAGAAAAGTGCAAATTAAAATTACAATGGGATATCATCTCACCCCAATTAAAATGGCTTTCATCGAAAAGACATGGCAAGGATGTGGAGAAAAGGGAACCCTCGTACTGTTGGTTGGAATGTAAGTTAGTACAGTCACTATGAAAAACAGTATGGAAGTTCCTCAAAAAACTAAAAATAGAACTACCACATGATCCAGCAGTATTGCTCCTAGGTATTTGCCCAAAAGAAAGGAAATCAGTGTATTGAAGCAATATCTACACTCCCATGTTTATTGCAGCACTATTCACAATTGTCAATATTTGCAATCAACCTGTTTCCATCAACCAATAAATGGATAAAGAAAATGTGATTCATACATACAATGGAGTACTATTCAGCCATAGAAAAGAATGAAATCCTGTCATTTACAACAAGATGGGTGGAAGTGGAGGACATAATGTCAAGTGAAATAAGACAGGCATGGAAAAACCAACTTCACATATTCTCACTTATTTATGAGAACTAAAAATTAAAGCAATTGAACTCATGGAGATAGAGAGTAGTAGAATGATGGTTACCAGAAGCTAGGAAGGGTAGTGTGTGGGGGTTGGAAGTGGCGATGGTTAATGAGTACAAAAATATAGTTATATAGAATAAATAAGATCTAGTATTTGATAGCACAATAGGGTGACTATAGACAGCAGTTTGTTGTACATTTTAGAATAAGTGAGGGAGTAAAATTGGAATGTTTGTAATGCAAAGGAATGATAAATGCATGAGGTGATGGATACCCCATTTACTCTGATGTGATTATTGCACATTGTATGCCTATACCAATATATCTCATATACCTTATAAATATATACATTTACTAGGTACCTATAAAAAATTACAAACAAAGAACAAAGTTGGAGGGTTTATGCTATATAGTTTTCAAAACTTTACTATAAAGTTATAGTAAGACAATGTGGTATTAGCTAATATAAACTATAGATCAGTGGAACAGGATAGTCTAGAAATGAATCCACACATTTATGGCCACTTGATTTTTGACAAAGTTGAAAGGTAATTCAGCAGAAAAACATGCTGGAACAATTTGGTATCTGCATTAGTCAGGGTTCTCCAGAGAGACAGAATCCTGTATGGATAGTATGGATAGACAGATAGATAGGTACATAAGAGGAGATCCATAAAGGAAATTGCCTCATGCAATTATTGAGGCTGAGAACTCCCATGATAGGCCATCTGCACGCTAGGGAATCAAGGAAAGCAGTAGCATGGCTTGGTCCAAGTCCAGAGGTCTCAGAACTAGAGAAACTCATGGTGTAACTCTAAGTTTGAGCGTGAAAACCTTAGAACCCAGAGAGCTGCTGGTGCAAGTCCCATAGTTCAAAGGCTGGAAAACCTGCAGTTCTGATGATCAAGGGTAGGAGAAGGGTGTCCCAGCTCCAGGAGAGAGAGAACAAATTCACCATTCCTCTGCCTTTTTGTTTTATCTGGGCTCCCAGCAGAGTGGGGAGTGCCCTGCCCACATTGAAGGCAGATTTTGCCCACTGAATTCACTGACTCACACACCAGTCTCCTCTGGAAACACTGTAACAGACACACCCAGAAATAATGCTTCACCAGCTATCTAGGTATCCCTTAATCCCGTCAAGTTGACACCTACAAGTAACCATCACAGTAGCCATACGCAAAAAAAAAAAAAAAAAAATCTTGATGCTTACCTCACACCATATGCAAAATACGACTCAAAGTGGATCATAGATCTAAATGTAAGAGCTCAAAGTATAACAGTTCCAGAATTAAAGATGAGAGAAAAAATTTGTGACCTTGGGCTAGGCACAAAACACATGAACCTTTATGTTGTGACCTTTAGATAGGATGCAAAACACATGAACAATAAAAGATAAATGAAAACTTGTGTTCTACAAAAGATGACATTAAGAAAATGAAAAAACAGATAAGCAAAAAGGAATGGATGCAAATACTTGAAAATTATATGTTTGATAAAAGACTTATGTCCAGGTACGAAAAGACCTCTTACAATTAAATAACCTGAAGATTCATAATCCAATTAAAAAATAGGCAAAAACTTGACTAGACACTTCACCAGAAAAGATCAATAAATAGCAAATAAGCACATGAAACAATGTTCAACATTGTTAGTCATTAGGGAAATGAGAATTGAAACACCGGAGAGATATTACTACACACTTATTAAAATATACATAATAAGAAAGACAGAATGCTATGTGTTATTTAGATTTATGAAGAAACTGGAGCCCTCATACATTGCTGATGGAAATGGAAAATGATATAGCCACTTTGAAAAATTACCCGCCAGTTTCCTAAAAAGTTGAACACGTAATTACCATACAACCCAGAAATTTCTCTCCTATGTATTTGCCCAAGAGGAATGAAATCATATGTGCACACAAAGACTTGTATCTGAATGTTCATCTTACTTATAATACCTCAAAGTTGGACAACGTAAATATCCTTCAGCTGGGGAATAGATAACTAAAATGTGGTCTAAGTAATGGAATACCATTCAGCAATAAGAAGGAGCAAACTACTTATACATGTAACAACATGAATGAACTTCAAAAGTGAAAGAAGCAATACACAAAAGAATACATATAGTATGATTCCATTTATATAAAATTTCTGGAAAAGACAGAACTATAGAGACAGAAGATCAGGTTTCTGTGGAGCTGTGAGTAGGAACAGGGATTGAAGGCAATTGGATACAAGGCAACTTTTTGAGTGATAGAAAGTTCTAAAGCTTGATTGTGGTGATGGCTGCACAACTGCATACATTTACCTAAACTCATTTGATCTGTAAACTTCAAGTGGTCGAATTTTATGGTATTATAAATTGCACTTTAAAAAGTTGTTAAATGAGAAAAAATAGTGGAAGAGGAAGCATTTCAGAGGGATAATAGCTTGGAAGGGTATCTTTCTTAAATGATTATTTCTTTTTCTTATTTTTAAAGTGAGTAGACTCTTTTTTTTTCTTTTTGGACAGAATACTTCATGGTGGTTCTTGAAAGGGATTATTCCCCAGAGCAGATGTACATTACAGCATATGCTGAGTCTCTTCTTCAGTGGAGACAGTTGCCAGCGAAGGGTGAGACTCAGCGGGAGAGGGTTGAGTGAGGCTTCTGAGGTAGGCTCCCCTCAGATCTTCCTCTAATTACTCCAGCTGAGCACACCAGAAGAAAGGCAAAGCTACAGGGAGGCATATTAATTAAAATGTCTTCTTTTTGTCGGGCCATTGTCAGTCTTTTCACTTTTAGAAGGCTACAGTTGTGGGTTTACAATTTGTTATTTCCTGCCATTTCCAAGATGGTTGCATAATGAAAGCATACCACATTTTAATTTTCAGGAACAGTCACTTAGGTAGATTAATAAGCAGGAATATCTAATTGTCAACTTGGGGCTGGGAGGAAGGAGTATCTACTTTCAAACTGAGACTGTTGGGAACCATCTTGAAAGGCAGCTTTTAGTAAATCAAGAGATAACTTCCTTCAGAATGATCTCTGCAGAGTTCCCATTTCCTTCTGGTGTCACACACTTAGACATGGCAGGAGAGATCTTGGCCCTTGAGCTTTTTTGTGTCTAACTGCATGTTACTCCATAGGAGGTATAACAAGAGACATGAAAGAATCCCACTCACTGGTTTTATTTCCACTCTTTGTTTATACCTTCACTGCCAATGAGTAAGGAATAGGAGAGAAACATACCTCTTAGGTAATATAGAGAAAATATTGCTTTGATTTTATCTACTGCAATTATTGAATACATTTTTCATTTGACCAATAAGAATCTCTCTTTCCGAAAAAAAAAAAAAAAGCCTAAAACAAACACAAAAACCCATCAACTTAAACTCATTGTTATTCGGGAACATTTTTGATCTGATATTTTAATTTAAAGATTACCCTGTTCATTGTAAGATCAGAGGCTGATATTTTCAGAGCCATATGCTGCTTTGATTCCATGAATGGATACCCCATGGATCACAGTTGGAGTTGAAGCAGCGATAGTGGCAGAATGGCACTTTCTTCATTATATTGCACAAGGCGCGTTTTGCTTGGTTTTTCTGAAGAGTGTAATCTGCATGTATTAAGGTTAGTCGTTTGACATAAATGTTTACTGACATGTTTGGATAGACAATAGAGTATCTTTTATAGGCATTTCCTAGTTTACTTGTCAGAACAGACTTGCTAAAGATTATTCTATAAAAGTAGCATCCTCCGCCATTCCTTGGGGGACCAACTGTATTCTATTACCTTAATCAAAACATTCTTTCTCCTGTTCTTTTCCAGAGAAGCAGGGTAATTTCTTCTCTGTCTCAGAAGTTTATTCCTTCCTCAAAACCTTTCCTTAGACTATTTCTTCCGTCTGTCATGCCCTCTCATCTCTAAACCTTACCTATCTTTTAGAGCATGGTGTAAGTTTAATCTTTCCGTGAAACCATCTCCTTACTGGGTGCACTGGCTCACACCTGTAATCCCAGCACTTTGGGAGGCTGAGGTGGGTGGATCACTTGAGCCCATACTGGGCAACACGGTGAAACATTGTCTGTACAAAAAATACAAAAATTAGTTAGGCATGGTGGCGTGCATTTGTAGTCCCCAATATTCGGGAGACTGAGGTGGGAGGATCACTTGAGCCTGGGGAGGTCGAGGCTGCAGTGAGCTGTGATCGTGCCACTGTACTCCAGGTCCATGATACCATCTCCTGATAGTTCAGCCAAACTGCTCTCTTTTCTGAACTCCTAAGCCTATATTCTCCTTATAGAATTCATTTCCAAATTATGACAGTCACTGATGGTTGTCTTTGTAGACAGTTTCGTCTAGGAGTGTCCATGTGTATCTCAGTTGAGGCCAGTAGGGTTAGAATGGAAGGTTGCTGTAGTGTCCCTGGTAAGGTTTGTCATCCTGTCAAGATGCCTGGTGTTGAGGTGGCCAATTAGGACAATGAGCCAAATGAAAGTAACAAACAAGGCTTTTATTGATTTATTGCAACACAGCAAGCAAGAAGCAAAAAGTGGCACTGGTTCCCTAGTATTTAATCTCTAGTACTTTTCCCATGAAACAGCACTTTGCAAGGGTGAGATGGATACATTGCAGGTGAGGAAATATTTTATTGCTTAGAGCCCTGAACAGAAGAATCCTGCCTTTTTATGGACCCAGGAGGCCAGAGAGAGGGAAAAGGGTTAGAGGTAGAAAAGCATTAAGTCAGAGTGTAGAATAGTACTTTAGCCAAGGTCTCTGACAAGGAGAGCTCAATGCAGATGTCTGGGAAGTGCCTCAGCCAAGGCCTCTGATAAGGAGGCCTCTGAATGGAGGTGCCAGGGCTAGGAATGCAGATATCCATATTAGTATGGCTGGCTTCGGAGAGGATGTTTCAGTCCTTGACTGCAACTCCTTCCAGAAAATTGCAGTGCACTCACTGTGTACCAAGTCTGGTATAGGGAGGAAAGCTTCCCCCCATGAAGCCTGCCACACAAAGCCTGGAAACTGTCTGTGTTTGGGTCTGAATGGTCACTTGTAGGATTTTGGTTTAGAGATAGACTCCTCAATAAGTACCACCTCTTCTCTTTCTTCCTTCATTAAGCTGAGATGGGACCTTATGATTGGAGTTGCAAAACCTGGTTCCATGAAGGAAATATCAAGGGAATTCAGAGGCTCTGGAGCTAACTAAACCAGAACTAACAACTGCATGCTTCTGGACTTCCCCTTATGTGAGAAGAAATAAGTTACTAATATTTAAGTCACCATAGGCATGTGTTCTGCTCCATGTAGCCTAAAGTATTCCTAATGCTATACCATTTAATCATATAGTGCTTTTTACTGTTGTATAATTGATATGATCTAAATTATTATATATAATTTCTGGTATCCAAAGGGACCAGTCAGCCATTCTTTCCCACCATACTGTTTCCTTGTAATCTTAGTGCAATTCAGAGTTGATGACAAGCATGTTTTGAAGCTATCTATTTTGGTGTTTTTTCATAGATAAGATATGGGAGATGAAAGCTATAGGATTCTTAGTTTATTTCTTAGTGTTCAAGAAGAGTGAAACTGAAAAAAAAAGTCCTAGCTTTAAAAACCATGATCAATTGCCTTGAAATGAAAAACTTTAGTCTGAGTCCTAGTGTCTCTGATTAAATAAAGAACAGATAAACTTCATCTGCTTTTTGAATATTCAGCACTGCTCTCCATGATATGCTTAGATCCTTGCCTATTCATAATTCCTACTACCTGGGAGTCAACAAATACCTGAAATAATACCTAGAATGATTCTAATAAAAAATTCTTTCTGCTCTCTCTACATTTTCCCATTTAAATGTAGGCCAGTTTCCTTTTTGTTAAACGGCAAGTCTGGATTTTTTAGGACAATATTTTGTAGGAGGAATATCAGGGCTTTAGGTACAGCTCTTGCCTTGTTGACCAACATTGTATAAGTATCATCAGTTTGTGAATAAGTTCTTTGAGAACCTTGAAAATGTTGATTTTATTGCTCTTCCCTTGGCTTATGTACAGGAATTGGTTATGACCCACATGCATACTCCTAGCTACTGATACTTATATGGGACTTGTAGCTTGTCTCCTAACACCACTGCCAGAATCTAGGTCATTAGACACAGTTTCTTGGCAGATTAGATAACTTCAAGGAAGACAAAATATGATATGTTTCAAATTTTCCTTTGTAATGTGTATCTTAATGACTTGTTATTATTCCTAAATGAGCCAAATTTGTGTTTCCTTGCTATAGAGAACAGACAGATAAGCACTTGAGTAAAAGCTGATGATACAGTTTTATTTTCTTGAATTTAAGCCTCCACAGACAAGGGCTCTGTGACCTAATTGCTTTACTTTAAATAAGTGACTTCAAAACCTAAATCATCAGTTTTGGCAGACAGCCTTTAGCATTTAATTGGTCAAGAACTAAAAATCCTTTACAGAAGTGTTAACTCTTTTACTTTCTATAGCTTATATTTTACCGCTAGCTTATCTTCAAGGGGTCATCAGTAAATAACATTGTTCGAAATTCTGTATTATATGGGAACTGTATTGACCGTATTAATGGGTGCTTACATAGTTTTACAGGTTGAAATTATTACAGTATATTTTATAGCATAGAATAATTCTGGTAATGATGATAACAAGAGCTAAAATTTATTGACTGTTTGCTGTGCAAGGCAATGTGCCAAGCAATTATAAGCATTTTCTCCTGTAATTCTCACCACAACTTGAAAAGTTAGGTAGAACTTTTGAGTCTGTTATTATTATACATTATAGTAAATTCTGGACTGTTTAGACTAAAGAAAGCCTTATCCATATCTGTAAATATTATCTTGGCCCATCTCTATGTGGCAGACGGTGGGCTTTTCTCCAGGCTCCTGCCTGAGGGGTAGGCTTCTTGAGTTTCAAAGCAAAATGTTAATCCTACTCTCTACTCAGATGCACATAACACATGATTCCGCCCCTAACTAGCCACTTAGAATTAAGCGGACTTGAACTCCTGCCTGCCCAGTCATTGCCAGAAGCTTGGTTATAAGAAATATTGTTCATGAGAGAGCACCCAAAGGGCATGTGGCCTGTGTAGTATACACTTGCATTCTCTATTTTCCAGTATATGGTAGTATCTAGTCTCATGTGGCTATTTAAATCTAAATAAAAGAAAGTAAAAAAACTCAGTTCTTCAGTTGCAACACCCATATTTCAAGTGCTCAGTATCTATAAGTGCCTAGTGGCTTCCAGATTGGACATCACAGGTATAGAATATTTTGATCATGGTGGTCATCTATTGGACAGTGTTGCAATAGACAATTGTAGAACTTCATATCTGGACTGCATTAAAAATTACTTTCATTGAATTGTTTTTTGGCATACTTACGTTGGCCTGTATTGTGGCCTATTCCAATAATAGTAGCTAATGTTTATTGAATATTCATTCTTACATGTCATATACTGTTTTACGTACTTTTTATGAATTGGCTAATTCTTAATTTCATGAAGTAGGCATTATTATCAACTCCATTTTCTACATAAGGGAGTGGCAGCTCAGAGAGGTTAAGACTTGCCTGTGGTCACCCAGATGGTAAAATAGTGGAGGTGAAATTTGAGTCCTATAAGTTTAACTCAAACCACATCATGCTACTTCTGAAATCCCTATGAAACTGCTTTGGAATTATTCTCAGGGTATGAATAGTAACTGCATTACTTTTATGACACTATTTGTGTACCCCTGCTCCTCCTGGCTATAGCTGTTTATTTATTTTATTTTTATTACCATAATGCTGTAATACAATTCTGATGCTGAGTACATGGAGTTGGCACAGACTCTACAAGTTAAGGGCACAGTCTCCCACAAAAGACTGCCCACAATTAAAATGCCAGCCACAAATTCGGGTGTCCCCAGTCCACCTGCACTTCTGATCAACTGGCTGCAAATTCAGGCATTCTTATGATCCCCTCAAGTCTGATAAATTTGCTAGAATGATTCACAAATTCAGGAAAGTGCTACACTTACAGTCTTATTATAAAGGCCATCAATCAGGACTAGCTAAATGAAGAGACACAAAGGGTGATGGCTGGGAGGGTTTTGGATGTGGAACTTTCATTATTCATTTAATTTAAATAAATTAAAAATAAAATAAAATTTCAGTTCTTCATGTATAATACCCATATTTCAAGTGCTCACTATCTACATATGCCTAGTAGCTTCCAGATTGGACATCACAGATATAGAACATTATGATCATTGCAGAAATGATTATTGGACAGTGCTGCAATAGACAATTATATGGCTTCATATCTGGACTGCATTTAAAAAACATTAATTGAATTATGTTTTGACATGCTGACATTGGCCTGGATTGAGGCCTATTCTAATAATAATAGCTAATGTGTATTAAATATTCTTACGTGGCAGACATTGTTCTTACATGTCAGACTCTCCTTTTGGAAGCAGGGCCCATCATCCTCTTGACACGTTGATCTATCCACCAACCATGAAGCTTACCTGAGCCTTGGCATCCAGAGTTTTTATTGGAGTTTCATTACAAAGGCATGATTAATTAAATTATTGGTCACATGATTGAACTCAGTCTTCAGCCTTCCTGGAGGTTGGCCTAACTCAAAGCCCCAACCCTTTAATCTCCTGGTTGGTCTTTCTTTGACCCATCCTGAGTTACCTCATTAGCATAAAACATGTATTATGCAAGGAACCTATCAAGAGTAACAAAGACACTTCTATCTCAGGAAATTCCAAGGATTTAGAAGTTCCTAGGAACCAGGAACAAAACCAGACAAATTCTTTATTATACAATAGTATGTATTTTTTTAAGGTGGCCTCAAATCCTTCTTGAAATAAGGTAGAGGATTTATGTATGTTTGTGTGTATATATATAAATAAAAATATAAACATTATATGTTTATACTAAAGGACTATTAACCATTGTCATATGGATTTCTAGAACTAAAGGTTGCCTTAGAAATAATTTGGCTTTATATTCTTATTTTATAAATGGAGAAATAGGCCAAGAGAAGGGAAGTGGCTTGCTTAGCTTCTTAGTGGCAGAGTTGGAACTGGAAGTTTAGGACTTTAAACCTTACATTTAATGCTCTTATCATCTTCATAGCCTCAAGCTCCTCCTATAACACTGGTCATGAACTGACTATCTCATACTTTTCTCCCTGCCTTACTGTGCCTAGAAACCTCAGGCCACTTTCAGGAGACAGCTGTGACCCAATGGGCAAAGCTCAGCCCAGACTGTATTTGTGTACCTCCTGCCTTTCACATATGCCATTCTGTCAGTCTCTAATGCCATTTTTGTCCACTGGCCATTTCTTAATTGTTTTTAAATATACAAGCTAAACATCACCTCCTCTCTGAAGCCTTCTCTGATGTCAGTTAAAATAACACTCTTCTCACAGAATTAATCTCTCTTTCCTCTGTGTTATTACATTATTTAGAATATGCCTCTACCTCAGCAGTAATTATCACACTGTATTGTAATTCTTTTTCACCTTGTTGAATAGACATTTCAAGCCTTTACAGAATTCTTGATTCACTCTTAACTACCAATAAATCTGTTCCTCTTTTTGTCTTTCCTATCCTGATGTAGCATTATTACTGACCCAGATGTTCAATCCAAAAATCTAGAAATCATCTTGCTTTCTCTCTTGTCCTCATCTTACACATCTAATTAACACCAAGTCCTTTGATTCTACAGCCTAAATATATCCCAAAGCTTTCATCTCTCACTGCCTACCCAGTCTACCTGCCTCTACTCCTGCTTTCTTTCAATTCATTCCCCATGCCATAGCCTGAATTATCCTTTCAATATATAAAACAGATTATGTCACTTCTAGGTCAAAATCTTCCATTGGTTTCTCCTTTCAGTGAGATTAAATCTTAACTTTTTGTCGTGGCCAGCAAGGACCTACATGATGTAACCTTTTACTTCTTCATTTGGTACCAGGCTTGCTAGACTTTGCCTAAATTTCTTCCTTAAACACACCTCGTTTGTTTCTTTGTCGAAGCTGCACCAAAGTGTGGCTTGCTGTGTGAGTATGGTGGGAAGAGGAATATTTGCCCTCTCTCCAACCCACATATTCTCCTTAGCTTCCCCTACAGCCACTCTAAATGAACATAAAATCCAAGTAAAAACAGTTGGCTTGCTATACAAAGGCAGCCTCAAGATGAGTTTCCTGGTCCCTCCCTTCCAACCAGATTGCTGCCAGAATGTTCAGGCTTGATTCTTTACCAGACTTGGTTAAGATGTCATCTCCTCAGAGGGGCTTTCCTTGATCCATGATAGCACCCTCCCAGCTCTGTGATCTCACCTTGTTTATAGAGTTGGTAGAACTCAATAACCTGTCTTATTTGTCTGTTTGCCTACTGTCTGGCTTCACTAGAATGCACACTCCTCAATAGCAGGAACCTGGTGTGTTTTGTGTATTGCTTATTTCCTAGCACCCCGATTATAGTGGGGACATAGTAGACCCTCAATATGTAGTTTTCAAGTGAATGAATACCCATCTGTGGTCTTCAGTAGGCTGTGAACTCCCTGAAAGCAGGCATGGTGGCTTATTTTTTGGTATCCCCAGTGCTTAGTACAGGGTATGAAAGTCAGTAAAAATTCATTGAGTAATATTGAATTAAATTTGTCCTCTATGATAGTCTATGTGACCTTGGGAAAGTTCCTTAATCTCTTTGAACCTCATTTATAATACCTTTTTCTCAGGGTTGTCAAGATGAAAGGTGATCAATGGATGCAGAGTTCTACAAATGTAGGGGATTGTTATTTTTATCATGGGTCACTTTTCTGCTAAACAGGCCCACAGAGCTCGTATTAATAATGCATTCCTCAGTCTTGCCAAAGATACTTCTTATTGGCCTTCATAAGACTGAGATGCCCCATGTGATAAGTTCTCAAGAGGCTGAAAGGATGTTATAATAATTCTTTTGCTTCTGTACTCTTTATAGTAATGCAAGCCTACGTGGTAATGTGGAGCTGCCTACAGACACGTTGCTGTCGCCAACACACAGTTCTTACTTCCCCTGTGCTTCCCTCGTGTTTCCATTAGCCATGTAATATAGTTTTCACGAGCTAAATGATTAGCGTCCAGCTGCTCCTGTGTTAATGCTTGTGTTCAGTTCATTAAAAAAAAAAAAAACTCTCCATAAGTCTTCTTAGTTCATTTAAAAACTGTTTAAAGCTCAGAGAATACTGTTTCTTAATTTTTTTAAAAAAGTAATCATTCAGCTCAGGGAATTTTTTTCTATGGCAGAACTAAAAGTCTTTATAGATATCAATGGTTATTTGGAAAAGTTAAATTGGAGTCAATTCACTGATGTTGTTAAGCACAACAGCTACTGGAGCTATATTTAAAAATGCGTTTCGAAGTGGAGGGCAAGGAAAATTGATTTTGCAGATGCTCAGATGAAAGCAGACACTTTACATGAGGCAGAAAAGGCAGTTTGAGCTAATCTGTTGGAGGAACATTTTAGACCAGCAAAAGAATAGGCACATAGTCAGGGAGTGTGGGGCTGGAAATGTGAAAGGTGTCAGCAGTGATCCAAAGGGTACAGAGGATTTTGGGGGAGCAGGAGGAGATGGTGCCAGCCCAGGTGAGATTGGGTCATTTAGTTTTCTTCTCCTTCCTTTAGTTCTTCAAAATCTTGAGGCTTTAATCTAGGATCTCTTGTTCTCTTGCCCTACTTTTTATATTTTAACTTTCTCCACCATTTGCCTTGTCACAGCATCTGTATCCTCTTGCCTAACCCATCAGCAGTCTCTTAGCTGAACTGAAACCCTATTTAGTAGGTATTAAATAGGTTAAGCATGATCTTGTTCAGGTATCATGTTTGTACATTTATCAGGAATCTTGTAGGAAAATTATTGCTGACCCCAAAATGAATATGACTATGAACTTGGATTTTAGACATTTTAATTTAATTAACATGCCTGTCTTTTAAAAATTTCCCTGGAATCACTTAAAGGCATTCACCAACTTTGCCATAATGGACAAA
Source organism: Homo sapiens (assembly GCF_000001405.40). Taxonomy (NCBI): domain Eukaryota; kingdom Metazoa; phylum Chordata; class Mammalia; order Primates; family Hominidae; genus Homo; species Homo sapiens. Next base: position 4,189,333 of record NC_000003.12, on the reverse strand, counting down.
GTTAGCCTTGAGTTGGACCACTGGGTAGTGAATTGTGGGTGATAGCAAAATGCAGAAGTCTGCTGGTATGGAGTATTCAGGGTCCTCTCCCAATTTTGGACCCCTCCCCGCAAATAGGCTTTCCTGTTCTGTCCTGAGCCAGGAGATACAAATACAAAAAATCCCCAGCTTATTATATTAAGATAATATTACTGGTGGATTAATATTTTGGACTTGATGTACAAGCAACTAGATTATATCATTCTACCATGTTCTGATTTAACAGAACTGATTGACTTGACCAAATCACTTATGTATCTTAAACTATAGAATATGAGCTAGAACCCATGTGAAATTGTTTTTGTCGGTCAAAATGGTGAAATATTAGGAATCTTATACAGTTAAAGCTAATAACAATAGCTAATAACTAAGATTTATTACATATAACATGTATTAATTGTAGTGTTTACTCAAATTAATATAAGCAAAACACTTATGATAGCCCTTGGCATAATAGGGATACCATGTACAAGGCACTATTCAAAATGTTTTACATGGATGAGCTCACTTAATTCTCACACTTTTTGAGGTAATTGTTCTTATTATCCCCATTTTATAGACAAGGAAAATGAGGCTCACAGAGGTTAAGCAAATTATCCACAGTAAGTCAGCACTAAAAGATGAGCCAAAATATGACCCTGAGTAGTTTGTCTCCCAGCTGCACTCTTAGACACTAGGCTACACTGCCTTATATAGTCCCAGGCCATGTCTATTGCCACCTCATTAAACTCATGTTTTGTGGAAAACCTAGTGCCCAGAGTTCTGCCCTGGATGAGGTTATCTGGAGAGAGAGAACATGTGTATGAAAACGTTTCATCATGGATTGGGGTAAGTTAGGGCTGAATAGGTGGAACACAGAGGATTTTTAGGACAGTGAAAATATTCTGTATGATGCTATAATGTTGGATACATGCCATTATATTAGACATTTTTCCAAACCCATAGAATGTATAATACCAAGAGTGAACCCTGCCTCCTGTAGTCCCAGCTACTTGGGAGGCTGAGGCAGGAGAATTGCTTGAACCTGGGAGGCGGAGATTGCAGTGAGCCAAGATTACCCCGTTGCACTCCAGCCTGCGTAACAGAGTGAGACTCTGTCTCAAAAAAAAAAAAAAGTGAACCCTAATGTAAACTATGGACTTTGGGAGATTATGATGTGTCTGTGTAGGTTCATCAGTTGTACACATGTGCTACTCTGGTGAGGGATGTTGATAATGCGGGAAGCTAAGAGCATGTGTGTAGGGGGTATATGAGAAATTTCCATACTGTCCTTCTAATTTTGCTGTGAACCCAAAAGTGCTCTAAAAAAATAAAGTCTTTTAAAAAACAGTTTTATCATGAGGGGTCAAAATCAATGTCATTACGAAACAGTAACATTGGGCTATCACAATGAAGTGCATGTTAAGGTCCGGGTGTATGGTCAGAAAATACTGTTAAATTAAAAACATTATTTTGGCAATATGAGGTCCAAAGGAAGTTTAAGACAAACCATCAGCTTAGGACACAATATTCAAAATTGGAAGAAATTTACTAATCAATAGGTTTCAATTATTATTGACACACATATGCAAACATAGTCACTCCTCTACACACATGCTATTAACATACTACCTGTAGTTAGTGAGAATAGATGCAGGATTATTTATACTTGCTGCACTGGAACAACTTTGATTTTTCACTTATTGGGAAACCCTCAATAAAATTCGTCTTCTCCAATTTTAATTCCTCAATTTTGTTCATTTGTTCATTAAACACTTACTGAGCATCTATATTGTGCTATGCACTGGGAATTATATACCACTAAACAAGACATAGTCCCTGGCATTAAGAAGCCCACAGTCCTCTGAAGGAAAAAAAAAATCAAATGTTTGAACAAGAATTCAAATGTCTACACAAGACCTTGTCTCTAATTTTTTCTTTTTTTTATAGACAGGGTCTCACTCTGTCTCCCAGGCTGGGGTGCAGTGGCACGATACTAGCTCACTGCAACCTCAAGCTCCTGTGCTCAAGCAGTCCTCCCACCTTTGCCTCCTGAGTAGCTGGGACTGCAGGTACCTGACATTGCGCTGGCTAATGTTTTTATTTTTTGTAGAGATGGGGTCTTGCTTTGTTGCCCAGGCTGGTCTCATACTCCTGGCTTCAAGCAGTCCTCCCACCTCAGCCTCTCAAAGTGCTGGGATTATAGGCATGAGCCATTGTGCCTGGCCTATGACTTAATTCTTTTGGCAGCTCAGAAGATACATGGTCCACCATCCAGTTGTATAGTCCCAACACATCAGGTCCTGAATGTATTGCATAACTAGCAATATGTTATGCTAGTAACATATTGGTTTGTACGTGTTACGTAAAGAATGATATTTAGTAGATGTCTGGTTTTGGGGTATATCTAAACTTTTACTGGAACCAGATAAAATTATATCAAAGGAACACAGAGAAGAAAGAGAAGATTGTGGCTCATTACATCTTCATTGCTAACCTCATGAATATCTGGCATCACACAAAAGGGCAATTGAACTTCTCACATTTTCTTGGAGGAGAAAATTTTCGTCAATATTTAAATAGTGAATTTGCATTTTACATTCAGGTTACCTTCTGTAGTTAGTATGCAAGCCAAAATTTGGGTATAATAAATACTGCTTATGAACACCCAGTAAAATTGGTCATAGGGACAATTTTATTTTTCAGCACAAATGAACTGAGATTGGCTAAGGGAGAGTAGAGTAATGCATTCTATTTCAGCTTCCACTTACTCTAGGCCATATACTTATTGACAAAAATGGTGGGCTGAATTCCCCCTATTACTTAAATTATTTCTTACCAAGCAACATATATTTGAATTTGTGTAGGGTTAAAGAGCATATTATGATAAGCCACTGTATGGGTTATGTCTCTACTCCTCTGTATATAATTATCTTCCAATGCAGCTCACCTCCCCCCATTACCATAGCAACCGACATGGGTGGAGTCTTAATGGAAAAATAGTAGGATTGAACCTCCAAATACAAACATTATGCCCAATTTGGGGGTGTTGGCCTTCAGGTTCTGATTCTCTTCTTGTGGATCTTTGTATTTTGTGACATACAGCATCTGCCCATTAGCATGAGCCTCTAGGTTAATTCAGACCATCTTTATGTCTTGGTACCAAGGATATAAACTCTCTATGTAGAGTAAACATAGAACTTGTAACATCTTGGGTGTATTTGAAATGACTCTATCCCCAGTGATGACTGGAATAGAAACACAATTGGTCATCTTGAAGATACTGTCCATAGGAAAGGGAAAAGTAAAGGATCTTAGGTCAAAGTGAGTTTGAGATATCCAAGGCAAGACATTTGCTTCTGGTACTTCCAGTGTGGCTCCATCTCAGAGCCATGAGAGAATGCCCCTTTTTAATCCTGCCACTATAAGGAAGTTTTTCCATGGAGGAACATTCCTGAAAAAACAAGAACAAAAATATCCTTGTTCAAGCCAGTATTATCTATCATTCCAGTAATTCACATGTGTCTGCAGTTACCCATGTATGTATAAACACTTTCCTTCTCTTTATTAATCTTTTATAAAATTATACTCTCACTATCTCAGCATTTATTACAATTGATCTATTAATTTATAATCATTATAAACATTGCGGTAATTAACTGTGGCATCTCTTGATATCATTGTTTGGGGTTCCAAATATTAACTTTCAACTGCTACAGTTCGCATTAGTATTAACTTTGGAAGTGTGCTATCCCAGTTTAGAGAAAGGAAACATTTCTGTCTGCTAGATCCAAGGCTTAGAACATTGTAGACTCTCATATATCTGTTGAGGACAGAAAGCATAAAAGCATTCATAGTAGTTATTGGACTGGAGCAGGATAATGTATCTTACATTAAATAATTCACCAACATCTTAGTTGTTAGATTCAAAAAAACAATGAAAAGTAAAATAAGTCTGTTATCTCCTGGAGCTGGAAAATCACTTTTCACCCATTATTGGTTATTTTGGTGTACTGGCCAACATTTTGAACACATAGAAATCTTTCTCTATATTAAGATGGGATTATATATGATGTTCAATCATCTCTTTGAAGCTTCAGTTATGGATTGTTCAGTAACGAAGGACTATGCCTCTGAAGCCTGCATACAGTATGATTTCTTTAGGGAAATTCATAGACATGAGAAGATGATATGTAAACAATCTTTACTTTTTGTTATGAAGCCATAGACTACTTCATAGGTCTAATCATCTCATAAAATTTTACCAACAAAATCTCCTTGTATAGGAAATAGGATGATTTTACCTTATTTTAAATCGGAGAGGAGTACACAGAGCATTTTGGAGACCTTTTTAAAAGCATATGGAGGCCAGGTGCGGTGGCTCACGCCTGTAATCCTAGCTCTTTGGGAGGCCCAGGCAGGTGGATCACCTGAGATTAGGAGTTCCAGACCAGCCTGGCCAACAAGGCAAAACCCCCATCTCTACTAAAAATCTGAAAATTAGCTGAGCATGGTGGCAGGTGCCTGTAATCCCAGCTACTCAAGAGGCTGAGGCAGGAGGATCGCTTGAACCCGGGAGGCGGAGGTTGCAGTGAGCCGAGATCACACCACTATACTCTAGCCTGGGCAGCAGAGCAAGACTGTCTCAAAAAAAAAAAAAAAAATCCAGGGAAATTGTTTTCTGTAAATATATAGACAGATGGTATTGGATTTAATTTATTAATTATGATCTGAATCTGAGGTCATAAAACATTAAAGTTGAAATGACCTTCAAGATCGTTGTGAGACCAAGTCCCTCACTCAGTGTAAGAATCGACTCTTTTGCATTTTTTTCTTTCTTTTTTTCTTTTTTTTCTTTTTGAGACCCAGTTTCACTTTGTCGCCCAGGCTGGAGTGCAGCAGCATGATCTTGGCTCCCTGCAACTTCCGTCTCCTGGGTTCAAGCGATTCTCATACCTCAGCCCCTGGAGTAGCTAGGATTACAGGCGCACAACACCATGCCCGGCTAATTTTTGTATTTTTAGTAGAGACAGGGTTTTGCCATGTTGGCCAGGCTGGTCTCAGATTCTTGACCTCAAGTGATCTGCCCACCTCAGCCTCCAAAAGTGTTGGGAATACAGGCATGAGCCACCACACTTGGGCTCTTTTGCCTTTTTTCTTTTTTTTTTTTAATTTTTTTTCGAGACAGGGTCACATGGCATCACCCAGGCTGGAGAGCAGTGGCATGATTTCAACTTATTGCAACCTCCTCTTCCCAGGTTCAAGAGATTCTCATACTTCAGCCTCCCGAGTAGGTGGGACTGCAGGCATGTGCCACAATGCCCGACTAATTTTTGTATATTTTTTTAAAGTAGAGACGGGATTTCACCATGTTGGCCAGGATGGTCTTGAACTCCTGGCCTCAAGTGACCACCCACCTCCCTAATTGCCATTTTTCTTTAATGCCTCTTTTGATGGTTTAACACTACTTATAAAGTAGCCCATTACCTTGTGAACCAACTTCCAGTTCTTTGTTTTAATTAATGAGAATCCTATTTCCTTTTAGCCACCTTCCATTGGTTTTGCATATCCAAGAATCATATAGGCAGGCTTAAAGTAGATAAGAAAATCATACTGATATTGATTTTCAGTGTTGTTCAGTTTTTCCATGAATCATTTTTGTCTTTAACATCATGAGTTATTTAGGTGTAGATCCTGCCAAAGAAGTGAGCCTGTAATGCTTTTCTCTGTAATTAGTTAACTCTCAAATTAAATTAGGTCTGAATCAGCAATCTGCAATAAATACATCAAGATTATTATCTGATGAGCGCTATCAATTTTCCTCCTGTCTCCAAATTATTAGTCTCCTATTTGTTTACATTACAAATTCAGTAGGAGTAATTATATAATAAGAAAATGATACTGTCACTTTAAATAAACTGCTCAGCAACTAAAGCATCAGGACTATAATTAAAGGCATCATTCACAGCTTCACATTTTAATACATAAAGGAGAAGGACATGATTAGATTTCAATGAACTTGCTTTTGTTTTAACTATTTTTTGTTTTACTTTAATCTAGATGTGATTTCAAAATTCCCCAAATATTACTAAACATTCTTAATTTTATACAATGGAATTGTAGTAAATTAACTGTCTTTGCCTCTGACACCAAGCTTTTAGTTTCTAATCTCTTTCTTAGATGTAAGCTCAATACCTGCTAGCACTTGGAATGGAACAGTTATCCAAGGCAGTTCAGACAAGTTCCCACACCTATAAACTTTCTTATTCCCAGTTGGCCGATAGCAGAAAGTATATGGTCACACATTAAACCCTCAAGCCAACCTCAGTGTCTACTGGGGCCCCGAGTCCAAGATAATTGGCTGGGTTTTTTCTGTCTGAGGAATAATGGAAGGATACCCATGACCTGAGCTGAGTGTCCAACTTACCCTCTTTCCCCATAGGTAAAATAGAATATAATTTACCTCTAGGATTATTGTGATGAGTCTCTCAGATTCAGGATGTGAGCCTGTTTTAACTCTAAAGCATAGTACTAATATTAACCATGATGACTCTCCACTAGTGTAACCGCAAGTGTTCCAAAACTATACCTGAAGTCCAATAAGATCTTCCCATTGTCCTGCCATCATGCCTGAAATTTGCATTATAAAAATCATGAGAAACCACAGCGAGAAAGGGAGAGAGAATGAACACCAGCATTTGGAGAATTGGGGTGGAATATATAGCAGAACAAAGCCTATTGAACTATTCTAGCTCTTTGGGACCCTTAAGATTTCCTTTTCATTTAATGGAAGTATATGTCTGAAGTTCTACGTTTTACCCGCTGAATACAAGTTTCTTTTTTCCTTAAGGCAAAGGGGGAAGAAAAGAGGGGAAGTAATATAATAAAAAATATAATAATAAAATAATATAAATAAATTATAATATAATTTATTAATAGATATAACTTGGAAGTTGGATTTATCATGCACAGATTACTGGTTTACAGTGCTCTATAAATGCCAATAGAATAACCTAGGGGCTTTAACGTATTTAGGAATAGGCATAATATTTTATTTTTGAGAGAATGACAATTCATTTGACACTCTGGATTAATGTAGACATATTCCATCTACCCCATGCTTACCCATACCCTGTATCATTATTTACACCTTGTATTAAGTAAAACTTATAAAGCTCTGAAGACCTAGACTCTTGAATAGGAATCTCTAGGGCAGCCTTTGAGATTTTCAGGGCCCAGGGCAAGAATGTAAATAGAATCTCTATCACAGTATGCCTTGTATTTCGAAGTTACAAATCGAACTATAACAAACAATGAAATTATGTATATTTTAGTCTCTTACATTAACAAATATTATAATGACTTGGAAGGCCAGGTTCTGGAGTCTTCAGAGCTCAGTGCCAGAATGCAGTAGCACAGACAGCCAATCAGCAGCCTGTGTTCCCCAGCCTCAGGTCCATGTAGTGCTATATGAGGCCCTCACACACACATGCATGTGATACATACGTCAGCCTGCACAGCCAGAGAATTCTGTGGTCCTGGGTTCTTGGAGCCAGGTCCAAGGGTAGGCTCATGCCTTTAGACCCTGAGACTATGTAAATTGTGGGTTCCAGGACAGGGGACACTCTTTCTTGGGCATAAGGGAGGTTTTGGGAAGCTCAAAAAATCATGGCATTATAAAATTGGAAGGAAACATGGAACTCATTTGATCCAAGGCCTTCACTTTACAAGCAAAGCAACTGAGATACAGAGAAGTTGTGTGACTAGCCCAAGGTCAAACCCCAAGCCAATGGCAGAGCTAAGAAGATTAGAGCTCAGATCTTCTTTCATCCTTTTCTCTCTGTCCAGCCTCTTTACGTAGACTGAAATCCCCAAGAAGATATATTTTTCTATTGCTTCTTCAGCTTCAGAATGTTTTTCAAGCAGTCTTTTAAATAAGAATGCTCCCTAGGGTGGCCAGTGATTTAAGCTTCGAACCATAATCACTGAGCTGGCAGAGGGTTCATCCGGGTGTTGTACAAACTAGGAATGAGGAAGGAGGTAGACGTGAGGAGGTGAAGGCTCCCCTGAGCAAAAGCTGTAACTGACAACAGAGCGAAGGAAAACATGAATTAAAAAATGTTCCCTTTACCAAACATAAGTCAGAGAACCACCATCATGAGGAAGCACAATGGGAGACACCCTTGATGGCACACTAGTCTTTTCTTCCACTATCCTCTATGTGGAAAGAAATTCCTGTGATTATCCATTTCTGATATGGATAGCAATTACATAAGATACATTTTTACTCCAGCTACTTGATTCACTAACCCCCAGAGTTAACCAAATGTATTGTTATTATTTTGGTTAGTAAATGAATTGTAAGCATGTTTTTCCTTGTGTTCTCAAAGAGAAGTGTATTTTAGTAGTAGAATTCTTACCAACCATGTGGGGACTCCAAGTTTATTTATTTATTTTTTTGTTGAGACAGGGTTTCACTCTGTCACCAAGGCTGGAGTGCAGTGGTGTGATCTCAGCTCACTGTAACCTCAACCTCCCAGGCTAAGGTGATCTTTCCACCTCAGCCTCCCAAATAGCTGGGACCATAGGAGTGCGCCACCATGCCTGGCTAATTTTGTGTGTGTGTGTGTGTTAAGTTCTAGGGTACATGTGCACAATGTGCAGGTTTGATACATAGGTATACATGTGCCATGTTGGCTTGCTGCACCCATCAACTCATCACTTACATTAGATATTTCTCCTAATGCTATCCCTCCCCCAGCCCCCCACCCCATGACAGGCCCTGGTGTGTGATGTTCCTCGCCCTGTGTCCAAGTGATCTCATTGTTCAATTCCCACCTATGAGTGAGAACATGTGGTGTTGGTTTTCTGTCCTTGTGATGGTTTGCTGAGAATGATGGTTTCCAGTTTCATTCATGTTCCTGCAAAGGACATGAACTCATCCTTTTTTATGGCTGCATAGTATGCCATGGTGTATATGTGCCACATTTTCTTAATCCAGTCTATCATTGATGGACATTTGGGTTGGTTCCAAGCCTTTGCTATTGTGAATAGTGCCGCAATAAACATACGTGTGCATATGTCTTTATAGCAGCATGATTTATAATCCTTTGGGTATGTACCCAGTAATGGGATTGCTGGGTTAAATGGTAATTCTAGTTCTAGATCCTTGAGGAATTACCACACTGTCTTCCACAATGGTGGAACTAATTTACACTCCCACCAACAGTGTAAAAGCGTTCCTATTTCTCCACATCCTCTCAAGCACCTGTTGTTTCCTGACTTTTTAATGATTGCCATTCTAACTGGTGTGAGATGGTATCTCATTGTGGTTTTCATTTGTGTTTCTCTAATGACCAGTGATGATGTGAATTTTTTCATGTGTCTTTTGGCTGCATAGATGTCTTCTTTTGAGAAGTGTGTGTTCATATCCTTTGCCCACTTTTTGATGGGGTTGTTTGTTTTTTTCTTGTAAATTTGTTTGAGTTCATTGTAGATTCTGGATCTTAGCCCTTTGTCAGATGGATAGATTACAAAAATTTTCTCCCATTCTGTAGGTTGCCAGTTCACGCTGATGATAGTTTCTCTTGCCGTGCAGAAGCTCTTTAGTTTAATTAGATCCCATTTGTCAATTTTGGCTTTTGTTGCCATTGCTTTTGGTGTTTTAGTCATGAAGTCCTTGCCCATGCCTATGTCCTGAATGGTATTGCCTAGGTTTTCTTCTCGGGTTTTTTTCTTCTTGGGTTTTAGGTCTAATATTTAAGTCTTTAATCCATCTTGAATTAATTTTTGTATAAGGTGTGAGGAAGGGATCCAGTTTCAGCTTTCTACGTATAGCTAGCCAGTTTTCCCAGCACCATTTATTAAATAGGGAATCCTTTCCCCATTGCTTATTTTTGTCAGGTTTATCAAAGATCAGATGGTTGTAGATGTGTTGTGGTATTTCTGAAGCCTCTGTTCTGTTCCATTGGCCTATATCTCTGTTTTGGTACCAGTAGCATGCTGTTTTGGTTACTGAAGCCTTGTAGTATAGTTTGAAGTCAGGTAGCGTGATGCCTCCAGCTTTGTTCTTTTTGCTTAGGCTTGTCTTGGCAATTTGGGCTCTTTTTTGGATCCATATGAACTTTAAAGTAGTTTTTTGCAATTCTGTGAAGAAAGTCAGCGGTAGCTTGATGGGGATGGCACTGAATCTGTAAATTACTTTGGGCAGTGTTTTCATGATATTGATTCTTCCTATCCATGAGCATAGAACATTCTTCCATTTGTTTGTGTCCTCTTTTATTTCCTTGAGCAGTAGTTTGTAGTTCTCCTTGAAGAGGTCCATCACATCCCTTGTAAGTTGGATTCCTGGGTATTTTATTCTCTTTGTAGCAATTGTGAATGGGAGTTCATTCATGATTTGGCTCTTTGTTTGTCTGTTAATGGTTTACTGGAATGCTTGTGATTTTTGCACATTGATTTTGTATCCTGAGACTTTGCTGAAGTTGCTTATCAGCTTAAGGAGATTTTGGGCTGAGACTGTGGGGTTTTCTAAATATACAATTATGTCATCTGCAAACAGAGACAATTTGGCTTCCTCATTTCCTAATTGAATACCCTTTATTTCTTTCTCTTGCCTGATTGCCCTGGCCAGAACTTCCAACACTATGTTGAATAGGAGTGGTGAGAGAGCGCAGCCCTGTCTTGTGCCAGTTTTCAAAGGGAATGCTTCCAGTTTTTGCCCATTCAGTATGATATTGGCTGTGGGTTTGTCATAAATAGCTCTTATTGTTTTGAGATACATTCCATCCATGCCTAGTTAATTGAGAGTTTTTAGCATGAAGGGCTGTTGAATTTTGTCAAAGGCCTTTTCTGCATCTATTGAGATAATCATGTGGTTTTTGTCATTGGTTCTGTTTATTGATGGATTACATTTATTCATTTGTGTATGTTGAACCAGACTTGCATCCCAGGGATGAAGCCAAATTGATTGTGGTGGATAAGCTTTTTGATATGCTGCTGGATTCGGTTTGCCAGTATTTTATTGAGGATTTTTGCATCAATGTTCATCGGGGATATTGGCCTAACATTCTCTTTTTTTGTTGTGTCTCTGCCAGGCTTTGGTATCAGGATGATGCTGGCCTCATCAAATGAGTTAGGGAGGATTCCCTCTTTTTCTATTGATTGGAATAGTTCCAGAAGAAATGGTACTAACTCCTCTTTGTACCTCTGGTAGAATTACACTGTGAATCTGTCTGGTCCTGGACTTTTTTTGGCTGGTAGGCTCTTAACTATTCCCTCAATTTCAGAGCCTGTTATTGGTCTATTCAGAGATTTTACTTCTTCCTGGTTTAGTCTTCAGCAGGTGTATGTGTCCAGGAATTTATCCATTTCTTCTAGATTTTCTAGTTTATTTGCGTAGAGGTGTTTATAGTATTCTCTGATGGTAGATTGTATTTCTGTGGGATTGGTGGTGATATCTCCTTTATCATTTTTTATTTCATCTATTTGATTCTTCTCTCTTTTCTTCTTTATCATTCTTGCTAGTGGTCTATCAATTTTGTTGATCTTTTCAAAAAACCAGCTCCTGGATTCACTGATTTTTTTGAATGGTTTTTTGTGTCTCTATCTCCTTCACTTCTGCTCTGATCTTAGTTATTTCTTGTCTTCTGCTAGCTTTTGAATGTGTTTGCTCTTGCTTCTCTAGTTCTTTTAATTGTGATATTAGGGTGTTGATTTTAGATCTTTCCTGCTTTCTCTTGTGGGCATTTAGTGCTATAAATTTCCCTCTACACACTTCTTTAAATGTGTCCCAGAGATTCTGGTACGTTATGTCTTTGTTCTCATTGGTTTCAAAGAACATCTTTATTTGTGCCTTCATTTCATTATTTACCCAGTAGTCATTCAGGAGCGAGTTGTTCAATTTCCATGTAGTTGTGCGGTTTTGAGTGAGTTTCTTAATCCTGAGTTCTAATTTGATTGCACTGTAGTCTGAGAGACAGTTTTTTGTGATTTCTTTTCTTTTACATTTGCTGAGGAGTGCTTTACTTCCAATTATGTGGTCAATTTTAGAATAACTGTGATGTGGTACTGAGAAGAATATATATTCTGTTGATTTGGTCTTTAGAGTTCTGTAGATGTCTATTGGGTCTGCTTGTTGCAGAGCTGAGTTGAGGTCCTGGGTATCCTTGTTAACCTTCTGTCCCACTGATCTGTCTAATATTGACAGTGGGGTATTAAAGTCTCCCATTTTTATTGTGTGGGAGTCTGAGTCTCTTTGTAGGTCTCTAAAGACTTGCTTTATGAATATGGATGCTCCTGTATTGGGTGCATATATATTTAGGATAGTTAGCTCTTCTTGTTGAATTGATCCCTTTACCATTATGTAATGGCCTTCTTTGTCTCTTTTGATCTTTGTTGGTTTAAAGTCTGTTTTATCAGAGATGAGGATTGCAACCCCTGCTTTTTTATGCTTTCCATTTGTTCGGTAAATCTTCCTCTATCCCTTCATTTTGAACCTATGTGTGTCTTTGCATATGAGATGGGTCTCCTGAATACAGCACTCTGATGGGTCTTGACTCTTTATCCAATTTGCCAGTCTGTGTCTTTTAATGGGGGCATTTAGCCCATTTACATTTAAGGTTAATGTTGTTATGTGTGAATTTGATCATCTCATTATGAAGTTGACTGGTTATTTTGCCTGTTAATTGATGTAGTTTCTTTCTATCATCGATGGTCTTTACAATTTGGCCTGTTTTTTCAGTAGCTGGTACTGGTTGTTCCTTTCCATGTTTAGTGCTTCCTTCAGCAGCTATTGTAAGGCAGGCCTGGTGGTGACAAAATCTCTCAGCATTTGCTTTTCTGTAAAGGATTTTATTTCTCCTTCAATTATGAAGCTTAGTATAGCTGGATATGAAATTCTGTTTTGGAAATTCTTTTCTTTAAGAACGTTGAATATTGGCCCCCACTCTCTTCTAGCTTGTAGGGTTTCTGCCAAGAGATCTGCTGTTAGTCTGATGGGCTTCCCTTTGTGAGTAACTCGACCTTTCTCTCTGGCTGCCCTTAATACTTTTTCCTTCATTTCAACCTTGGTGAATCTGATGATTATGTGTCTTGGGGTTGCTCTTCTTGAGGAGTATCTTTGTGGTGTTCTCTGTATTTCCTGAATTTGAATGTTGGCCTGTCTTCTTAGGTTGGGAAAGTTCTCCTGGATAATATCCTGAAGAGTGTTTTCCATCTTGGTTCCACTCTCCCCATCACTTTCAGGTACAACAATCAAATGTAGATTTGGTCTTTTCACATAGTCCCATATTTCTTGGAGGCTTTGTTCATTTCTTTTTACTCTTCTTTCTCTAACCTTGTTTTCTTGCTTATTTCATTAATTTAATCTTCATTCACTGATACCCTTTCTTCCGCTTTATCAAATCGGCTATTGAAGCTTGTGCATGTGTCATGAAGTTCTCGTGCCATGGTTTTCAGCTCCACCAGGTCATTTAAGGTCTTCTCTACACTGTTTATTCTAGTTAGCCATTTGTCTAATGTGTTTTCAAGGCTTTTAGCTTCCTTGTGATGGGTTTGAACATCCTCCTTTAGCTCGGAGAAGTTTGTTATTACTGACCTTCTGAAGCCTACTTCTGTCATCCTGTCAAAGTCATTCTCTGTCCACCTTTTTCCACTGCTGGCAAGGAGCTGCGATTCTTTGGAGAAGAAAACTGCTCGATTTTTAGAATTTTGAGCTTTTCTGCTGTGGTTTCTCCCCATCTTTGTGGTTTTATCTACCTTTGGTCTTTGATGTTGGTCACCTACAGATGGGGTTTTGGTGTAGATGACCTTTTTGTTGATGTTGATGCTATTGCTTTTTGTTTGTTAGTTTTCCTTCTAACAGTCAGGTCCCTCAGCTGCAGGTCTGTTGGAGTTTGCTGGAGTTCCACTCCAGACCCTGTTTGCCTGGGTATCACCAGCAGAGGCAGCAGAATGCAAATATTGCTGCCTGATCCTTCCTCTGGAAGTTTCATCTCAGAGGGGCAGCTGGCTGTATGAGGTGACTGTCGACCCCAACTGGGAGGTGTCTCCCAGTTAGGCTACACGGGGGTCAGGGGCCCACTTGAGGAGGCAGTCTGTCCATTCTCAGAGCTCAAACGCCATGCTGGGAGAAACACTGCTGTCTTTGGAACTGTCAGACAGGGACGTTTAAATCTGCAGAAGTTGTCTGCTTTCTTTTGTTCAGCTATGCCCTGCCCAGAGAGGTGGAGTCTAGAGGCAGTAGGCCTTGTTGAGCTGTGGTGGGTCCCACCCAGTTTGAGCTTCCAGGCTGCTTTGTTTACCTACTGAAGCTTTGGCAATGGCAGACGCCCCTCCCCCAGCCCGGCTGCCTTCTGGCAGATTGATCTCAGACTGCTGCAATAGCAGTGAGCAAGGCTTCGTGGGTGTGGGAGCTGCCGAGCCAGGCACAGGAGAGAATCACCTTGTCTGCTGGTTGCTAAGACCTTGGGAATAGCACAGTATTTGAGTGGGAGTGTCCCTTTTTTCCAGGTAGTCTGTCACGGCTTCCCTTGGCTAGGAAAGAGAAATCTCCTGACCCCTTGTGCTTCCTGGGTGAGGTGATGCCCCATCCTGCTTTGGCTCACCCTCCATGGGCTGCACCCACTGTCCAACCAGTCCCAATGAGATGAACCAGGTACCTCAGTGGAAATGCAGAAATCACCTGTCTTCTGCGTTGATCATGCTGGGAGCTGCAGATTGGAGCTGTTCCTATTCGGCCATCTTGGAACGCCCCCCATGTGTGTGTGTTTTTAGTAGAGATGGGGGTTTTGCCATGTTGCCCAGGCTGGCTTTGAACTCCTGAGCTGAAGTGATTTGCTTGCCTTGGCCTCCCAAAGTGTTATCCCCTGGGATAACAGGCATGAGCCACTGTCCCTGGCTGGATTCCAGGTTTAATTTCCAAACTGGGTAACCATAATTTTTTTTTTTTTTTTTTTTTGGAGACGGAGTCTCGCTCTGTCACCCAGGCTGGAGTGCAGTGGTGTGATCTTGGCTCACTGCAAGCTCCGCCTCCTGGGGTCATGCCATTCTTCTGCCTCAGCCTCCCGAGTAGCTGGGACTACAGGTGCCTGCCACCATGCCTGGCTAATTTTTTGTATTTTTAGTAGAGACGGGGTTTCACCATGTTAGCCAGGATGCTCTCGATCTCCTGACCTCATGATCCACCTGCCTCAGCCTCCTGAAGTGCTGGGATTACAGGCGTGAGCCACCGTGCCTGGCCTGGGTAACCATAATTTAATCCTAGCTAATACTAGCTAATTACATGATTCTGGGTAAATCATGTGCAGATACATGTGCAGAATGTGCAGGTTTGTTACATAGGTATACTCCTGCCATGGTGGTTTGCCACACCCATCAACCTGTCACTTACATTAGGTATTTCTCCTAATGTTATCCCTCCCCTAGCACCCCACCTCCGACAGGCCCTCGTGTGTGATGTTCCCCTCCCTGTGTCCATGTGTTCTTATTGTTCAACTCCCACTTATGAGTGGGGACATGCGGTGTTTGATTTTCTCTTCCTGTGTTAGTTTGCTGAAAATGATGGTTTCCAGCTTCATCCATGTCCATGTAAAGCACATGAACTCATCCTTTCTTATGGCTGCATAGTATTCTATGGTGTATATGTGCCACATTTTTTTAATCCAGTCTATCATTGATGGGCATTTGGATTGGTTCCAAATCTTTACTATTGTGAATAGTGCTTCAATAAACATACGTATGCATATGTCTTTATAGCAGAATGATTTATAACCCTTTGGGTGTATACCCATTAATGGGATTGCTGGGTCAAATGGTATTTCTGTTCTAGATCCTTGAGGAATTGCCACACTGTCTTCCACAATGGTTGAACTAATTTACACTCCCACCCACAGTGTAAAAGTGTTCCTATTTCTCTACATCCTCTCCAGCATCTGTTGTTTCCTGACATTTTAACGATCACCATTCTAACTGGCATGAGATGGTGTCTCATTGTGGTTTTGATTTGCATTTCTCTAATGACCTGTGATGTGACTTCAAACTATACTACAAGGCTACAGTAATCAAAACAGTGTGGTAGTGTGGTACTGGTACCAAAAGAGATATATAGAGCAATGGAACAGAAGAGAGGCCTCAGAAATAACACCACACATATACAACCATCTCATCTTTGAGAAATCTGACAATAATAAGCAATGGAGAAATGATTCCCTATTTAATAAATTGTGCTGGGAAAACCAGCTAGCCCTATGTAGAAAACTGAAACTGGACCCCTTCCTTACACCTTATACAGAAATTAACTCAAGATGGATTAAAGACTTAAACTAAGACTTAAAACCATAGAAACCGTAGAAGAAAACCGAGGCAATACCATTCAAAACATAGGCATGGGCAAAGACTTCATGACTAAAATGCCAAAAGCAATGGCAACAGAAGCCAAAATTGACAAATGGGATCTAATTAAACTAAAGAGCACAGCAGAAGAAACATCATCAGAGTGAACAGGCAACCTACAGAATGGGAGAAAATTTTTGAAATCTATCAATCTGACAAAGGGCTAATATCCGGAATCTATAAGGAAGTTAAACAAATTTACAAGAAAAAACCCCAAAAAACAAAAAAAACAACCCCATCAAAAAGTGGGCAAAGGATATAAGCAGACCCTTCTCAAAAGAAGACATTTCTGCAGCCAACAAACATATGAAACTTATTCTTAGCTGTGTGATCTTAGGCAAGTAACTTAACCCCATCTGAACCTCACTTTCCTCATCTGTAAAGCAGAGCTAATAATCTTACCTTTCTTATAGAGTTGCTATAAAGATTTAAATGAGTTGTATAAGGAAAGTTCTCAGAAGAATGCCTGGGACTCAAAAAGTGTGCTGCTATTATCAGGTGGATTTTAGGTCCTAGTTTTTAGTGAATACCTGGAAAGCACATGTGTAAATTTTATAGACATTAAAAACTCAACGTGTCTAAAATCAAGCTTATCATATTTCCTGCATGTCTCTCCTTGTATTTTTAATTGTGGGACTGACACCACTATTCACTCAGTTTCCCCAAAACGGAAATCTGGGAGTCATCTTTAATAACGTCTCTTTCCCTTTGTCTGCAAAGTTCAATCAACTTCTATGTATTGCTAATTGAATTTTCTAAATATTTGAAATCAAATCAAGATTTCATTTAAGTATTTTTCGTTCCATCCCCCTACTTGCATTGGCTACTGTCTTATTTGAAGTCTGTTTCCTACAGAAACTTTCTAACCAGTCTCTGCCTCAGTTCTTGCCACATTCAACCCGTCATATTGCCTTCAATGTGATCTTTCTAAAACATACATTTGATAGCATCACTTCTTAAAAGTGATTTAAGGTGCCTCAAAGGGTGGAGTATGCTTTCCTCTGACTGGCACAGAAGGATATCGTGGTTGGACTACTGTCTCATTCCTCTCTACACCTTCTGGTACCTGATGTTTCAGGTATATGGAAGAACTTGCTTTTTCCTGAACTTAGCTTGTGCTTTTTCTTACCTCTGAACATGCTGTTCCTGTGTGTAGCATGTGCTTCCCAGCCTACAACTCCATCTCCTCCCCACCTCACAAGCCCATTTATCTGGAACATCAGTCATTCTTTAAAACTTGCTGTTAGTTTGAAGCCTTTTGGGCCAGGGCAATGTTGAGTACTGCCTCTTTGTGCTTCCATATCAGAGGGTTATCTATTTTCTCATCTACATTCAGATTCTCCTAAGAATAGAGACA
The DNA here is from genome assembly GCF_000001405.40 of Homo sapiens. NCBI lineage: Eukaryota > Metazoa > Chordata > Mammalia > Primates > Hominidae > Homo > Homo sapiens. The sequence continues at coordinate 4,171,566 of NC_000003.12, read as the reverse complement.
CTTGTATTTCAGTGTCCAGGCAAGTAAACAATAAAAAATATTAATTTATTTTTGACATAATTGTCTGGTCTAATTTAGATGTAATCATTTGGCCTGAATGATTCAGATGACCCTTGGGTTTCTTTGGCCCATGTAAACACATCTATGAAACTCAAGTCTAACTGTTAGCTAACCACCACCTCAAAAAGTTAATTTACCCTTTCCTTTTTGATTTATCGCCTGTTCTGGAGACCTACTTATAGACTCATGTGTGCTGACCATCATTTTGTCAAATGCATGATGAGGGGATTTCCTTGTGTATTAGAGAATCCTGGTATAGATCGCAGAGCATCTGCAATACTCCTTGCTGCTGATGGTGGCAAAATCCTTAGTAGTTAGCAAAATTCTGCATGATGGGGGTGAAAAACTGTTATAAGGAGCAAGGTGTTTATTCAGCCATAAAGTATCCTCTCTCCTTAAGGGCATCGAATAATTCTTTTTAACAAAATTTGAATTTGAGATTAAGATTCTGTTGAAGTCTTCGTGTTAGAGTCTCAGCAGTATTCTTCTGATGCAAATGCAGAGTTTGGGTGAATGGCATAGAGCACTACATTGCCACCTTCTTCAAACTTTTTCAACTTTTCCATCTTATAAAAATGTTGACATGTAGTTCATGCAACAGTGACTGACTTCATCTGCTTCTGGGTTTATTTTTCCTACAAACCATGAAGAGAAAGCTGGCTATTCTCCTTTTTGTACTAAATATAAGGTGTAAGGAATGAATCAAAGTTCGTTTTTTTGTTGTTGTTAATGGATATCCAACTGTTCCATCATCATTTGTTGAAAAGACAATTCTTTTTTCACTGAATTATCTTTTCACCTTGTCAAAGTTTAGTTCACTATATATGTGATGGTTTAATCCCAGACTCTCTACTCTGTTTCATCGATCTATTGTCTGTTATTGGTGACAATACTACACTGTCTTGATTACTGTTGCTTACTAGGAAGTTTTAAATCAATAGTGTAAATCTTCCAACTGTGTTCATTTTTCAAAATCAAATGCAATTTTAAAATTAACTGCCCTTCCTTATTCCCCACTCCTGTCTTACATCACGCTTAAATTGGTGCATTGGTCAGCATAAACTTAAAGCGGCAGTTCTCAAAGTGTGGCCATTGGAACTTGTTAGAAATACAAATGCTCAGGCCCTACCCCCAGATATTTTTAGTCAGAAAATCTAGGGCACTCAGCAATCTGAATTTTAACAAGGCCTCCAGGTGATTCTGGTACCCACTAAAGTTTGAGAACCATTGATATAGATCATTTTCCCACTCTAGGGTTCAGTCAACTTTTTATGTAACTAGCCAGATAGTAAATATTTTAGGCTTTGCAGGCCCTGTGGTCTCTGTAAGGATGACTTGACTTTACTGTTGTAGCACAAAAACAGCCATAGACAATATATAAATAAATGAGCATATTGTGTTCCATTGAACTTTACAAAAACAGATGGGGTGGGGGGCAGATTTGGTCTGCAGGCCATAGTTTGCCAATCCCTATTGTATTCCATTCTCACCTCTCCCACATCTAAATGCTTGGCATTTGTCTCATTCTTATTGAAAATCTATGTTCTACATCATTTTAGAACCTCTTTAATTTAGAACCTTTTAGTTAAAAACCTCTCAAGGAAAACTCTCTTGCTGAGTAGTTCTTTTAACGAGGCTTTTGCAGTGCTGAAGTTTGATAGTTCATCTCTCTCCAGCTAGTCCTTAATGCCTGATACTATACTGTTTATTTAAAAAGCACACAGTTTATCATTTAGCCTCACTCTTGAGCATGCCGTTTGCACAAGCCCTACATGATGGCCATATGCTACAGGAGCTTTTAAATCACTGCAGATTGTCAGCCCCAAACGGGGTATTGGTAACGGTGATTGCATTAGTTTGTTAGGGCTTCAGTAAAAAGGTACGCAAACTGGTTAAAACAAAAGAGATTCACCCCATAGTTCTGGAGGCTAGAAGTCTGAAATATAGGTGTCTGCAAGGGCATGCTTCTTCTAAAGGCTCTAGTGGATCCTTTTTTCCTCTCTGGGATTCTGGTGTTGTTGGCAATCCTTGGTGTTCTTTGTCTTGTAGATGCCTCGTTCCAGTCACATGGCCCCTTTTCTCTGTGTCTTCACATTGTCTTTTCTCTTTGTGTCCAAATTTCCCCTTTTTATAAAGATACTAGTCATATTGGATGAGGAGCCACTCTAATGACCTCATCTTAATTTGATCATTGTTAACTCCTATTTCTGTAAAGTCAGATTCATAGATACTGGGGATTAGGACTTCAACATTTTATTGAGGAACACAATTCAACCTATAATAGTGATTAAGGTGGAAGCTGAAGTTTAATAGCAGCTGTTGTAGATAGAATCTTCACATGTGAATTTGCCAGCATTATCTGTTCCATCTGTTATACAATGCAATATTTACCTCTGGGAAAGCTGCATAGAGACATCTTTGCCTTACTTCAGGAAAAGAGACAACAATTACAGTTTTCTATCTACTTTTTCCCGAGAGAGAAAAATATTATTACTTGTACAGCAGATGTTAGAAGGGACTCAAGCTATCAGCAGGGGTTTAACCAATACGTTGCTGGAACAATATCTACCATGGTTATTGAATATAGCATGTGCTCAATTAGTGGAAGAAATGTCCAGAGTTTAGATGGAAATTGATATTCATTCATTTATATCAACTGTAACCAGTATTTGTTAAGCTCTTATTGGGTGTTCAGCACTGTGCTAAGTGCTTCACATGTATCTCATGAAATCCTCACCACAATACTGGGTAATATAATGTCTCCTCTTTACAGATGAATCTTAGAGAGATAAAGTATGAAATGACTTGCTCAATATAATTACCAGAAAGTGGCAAAATAGAGATTTTTACCCAAAGTTGCTTGAGAACTCATTAAAAAAACTTTTTGAATTGAAATGTAATATGTACACATAAAAGTATACATTCTGTAAGTGAAGAGGAAGCCCATGTTTTTAACCACTGTGCTAATTTTATCCCACTCTGCAATTCATTTGCATAAAATATTTATTGACCACCTACTAATAGTTTAATGATTAGTGATGTGAAGACCAACCTTGCTTCTGAGCAGAGCTGGAGCTGGAGATGGCAGATCTGTTCATCTCTCATCACATTATTAAAGGCTCAGAACTCAAGGCTAAAGAGTTTTATATTTATCCTTGGGCAAATCTGTGTCATCGAAAGTTTTTAGGCAGGGTAGAGACACAATTAAATTGAAATTTTGCATATGTTTTTGGGCAGGTTGAGTCAGTAATAAATGTAGAGTTTGTCCACGAGTTCCAAAGTGTAGTCCTTAAGGTTCAGACCACATGGGGGTTGTGATCATGTTTGGAAAGAGAGGAGTTCTTTAATTCCTATTAACAAATATCTAGTTCTGATTGAAGGGATATAGTGTGCCACACTGTAAACTCCCTGAAAATAGAGGCTCTGTATTGGGTAATGGTCAGTGCCAAGTGCCCAAGGGAGTTTTAAACTTTTATGAGCACAATAAATATGCATGTATAAGACTCTGGACAGAACTGGATAAGACTATGGCTCTCTATCATTGGAATACTGTACTTCATGCTGGGCTTTCCAAGAAGCAAGTGACAAAGAGATGCCTGCTTTATCTTCCTCCTATATCTAAAAAGTAGTTAGCAAGTGACAAAGAGATGCCTGCTCTATCTTCCTCCTGTATCTAAAAAGTAGTTAGCAAGAGATATATTACCTCATCATTCTCAGATAAATATAAGTCAAATCTTAGCGCTTGCTTCTTTGACCTTTCTGCTGTGCTCCTTGCAGAAGAAATAGGCAGGGTGTATTGTCTGAGTTGCCACTGCTACTGATAGGTGAAGAGCCAGCCGGACTTCCTGGGTCGAGTGGGGACTTGGAGAACTTTTCTGTCTTACAAGGGGATTGTAAAATGCACCAATCAGCGCTCTGTAGCTAGCAAGAGGTTTGTAAAATGCACCAATCTGCACTCTGTAAAAACACACCTATCAGTGCTCTGTAGGGAGTGAGAGGTTTGTAAAATGTACCAATCAGCACTGTGTAAGATGTACCAATCAGCACCCTGTAAAATGGACCAATCAGCACTCTGTAAAATGGACCAATCAGCACTTTATAAAATGGACCATTCAGCAGGAGTCTAAGAGTAGCCAGTCACAGGGAGGATTGGAAAAAAGGCATTCTGATAGGACAGAAACAGACATGGGAGGGGACAAATAAGGGAATAAAAGCTGGCCACCCCAGCCAGCAGCAGCAACCCACCTGGGTCCCCTTCCATGCTGTGGAAGCTTTGTTCTTTCGCTCTTCACAATAAATCTTGCGGCTGCTCACTCTTTGGGTCTGTGCCACCTTTAAGAGCTGTAACACTCACCACAGAGGCCCGTGGCTTCATTCTTGAAGTTAGTGAGATCATGAACCCACCAGAAGGAACCAACTCCAGACACATCTTGGGGGCTTATCCGGGGTATCGCCACGTGGTGAGTACCATCAGAACCCTTTTGCTTGCTGTTCTGTCCTATTTTTCCTTAGAATTCGGAGGCTAAACATCAGACACCTGTTGGCCAGTTAAAAGTGACTAGTGCAGCCGCTGGACTAAACACATGGGTGTCAGCCTTTCTGGGAAAGGGCTCTCTAACCACCCCCGACTCTTCAGAGTTGGAAGCATTGGTTTGCCTGGAACCAGCTTCTGCTTTTCCTATACTTCTGGACTGAGCTGAGGGTCAACAGAGAGGGAAGCCATTCAGCTCTCGGGTCCCGAAAAAAAGTTGGTTGGCCCTGCAGCCATAAGTGGAACTCTTAAAGTTACATCACCCAAGTGAGACTCGCCCATCTGTCCTATCTGTTCTGACCCTTGCCTCCTGGGTCCTAATGCCTGTCAGACAAACTTCCTTCTGCCTCTCTTCTCTGAGGCTAGTCATGCTTCTAAAAACCACTCCTGTCTCTGGTGCTCTTCTAGTTTCTCCTATAAGAATGATTTCTAGTATAAATTTTGGGACTCTGTTCCCTTCTTTAGGCACCTGGGATCACCAATTAGAAAGATATAATTTTTGCCCAAGGCCCTGTTGCTGGGGACTATCTGGAATTTTAGGATCCCTTCTCAGACTAGCAGGCCTAACAAAGGCTATTCATGAAGCTAGGATATGGGAATTCTCAGAAATTATATCCTTCCTATTCATATGATGAGAAGTGTGGACAAAAGGCATCACTCCTCCAACCCTGGAGATCCCTTCCCTCCCTCATGGTATGGTCCTCTGCTCCATTTTGAGGCATATCATCTTATAGGAGAAAGGTAAGGTCCCAGTACTAACAGGGGAAAATGCTTAGGACTCTAACAGGTTTTGAGAATTCATCAGTAAGGGTCACTAAATCCGATTTTTCTGTCCTGTTTGTGGTCTAAGAGGAAAGACAAGGGTGCAGGTCTTCGAGAATGTGTTGGTAAGGGCCACTAAATCTGACCTTCATTGGTCCTCTTTGTGGTCTAGGAGGAAAACTAGCATTTCTGCTGCTGCATTGGTGAGCTCAACTATTCTGATCAGCAGGGTCCAGGGACTGTTATGGGTTCTTGGGCAAGAGGGGGATCTGCTACTGCATCAGTGAGCACAACTATTCTGATCAGCAGGGTCCAGGGACCATTGCAGGTTCTTGCTCGGGGGGGGGGGGGAAACAAACAAATCAAAACCACGGGCATTTTTTTTTTCAGCTGGGAAACACTCAGGCATCAACAGGTTCACCCTTGAAATGCATCCTAAGCCATTGGGGCCAATTTGACCCACAAACTTTGAAAAAGAAGTGGCTCATTTTTTTCTGCACCATGGTCTGGCCCCAATATTCTCTCTCTGATGGGGAAAAATGGCCACCTGAGGGAAGTATAAATTACAATACTATCCTGCAGCTTGACCTTTTCTGTAAGAGGGAAGGCAAATGGAGTGAAATACCTTATGTCCAACCCTTCTTTTCATTGAAAGATAATCCACAACTATGCAAAGTTTGCAATCTACATCCCACAGGAGGACCTCTCAGCTTACCTCCATATCCTAGCCTTCCTACAGCTCCCCTTCCTGTTAATGATAAGCCTCCTTTAATCTCCCCCACCCAGAAGGAAATAAGTAAAGAAATCTCCAAGGGACCACAAAAATCCCTGGGCTATTGGTTGTGTCCTCTTCAAGCTGTAAGGGGAAGGGAATTTAGCCCAACCCGGGTATATGTCCCCTTCTCTCTCTCTGATTTAAAGCAGATCAAGGTAGACCTGATCTTGCCAAGGTAGACCTAGGGCAAATCTTCGACTTCACTTGGAGAGACGTCATGCTATTGTTAGATCAAACCATGGCCTTTAATGAAAAGAATGCGGCTTTAGCTGCAGCCTGAGAATTTGGAGATACCTGGTATCTTAGTCAAGTAAATGATAGAATGACAGCTGAAGAAAGGGACAAATTCCCTACCAGTGAGCAAGCTGTTCCCAGTATGCATCCCCACTGGGACCTAGACTCAGATCACGGGGACTGGATTCATAAACATCTGCTGACCTGTGTTCTAGAAGGACTAAGGAGAATTAGGAAAAAGCCCATGAATTATTCGATGATGTCCGCGATAACTTAGGGAAAGGAAGAAAATCCTTCTGCCTTCCTCGAGTGGCTATGGGAGGCCTTAGGAAAATATACTCCCCTGTCACCTGACTCACTCAAGGGTCAATTTATCCTAAAAGATAAGTTTATTATCCAATCTGGCACAGATATCAGGAGAAAGTTCCAAAAGCAAGCCCTGGGCCCTGAAAAAAATCTGGAGGCATTATTAAACCTGGCAACCTCAGTGTTCTATAATAGGGACCAAGAGGAGCAGGCAAAAAGGAAAAGTGAAATCAGAGAAAGGCTGCAGCCTTAGTCATGGCCCTCAGACAAACAAACCTTGGTGGTTCAGAGAGGACAGAAAATGGAGCAGGCCAATAACCTGGTAGGGCTTGTTATCATTGTGGTTTGCAAGGACACCTTAAAAAACATTGTCCAAAGAGAAACAAGCTGCCCCCTCGCCCATGTCCACTATGCCAAGGCAATCACTGGAAGGCGCACTGCCCCAGAGGGCAAAGTTTCTTTGGGCCAGAAGCCCCCAACCGGATGATCCAACAACAGAACTGAGGGTGCCTGGGGTAAGCGCCAGCTCATGTCATCACCCTCACTGAGCCCCGGGTACGTTTAACCATTGAGGGCCAGGAAATTGACTTCCTCCTGGACACTGGCATGGCCTTCTCAGTGTTAATCTCCTGCCCTGGACAGCTGTCCTCAAGGTCCATTACCATCCTAGGAATCCTGGGACAGCTTGTAACCAGGTATTTCTCCCACCTCCTCAGTTGTAATTGGGAGACTTTGGTCTTTTCACATGCCTTTCTTGTTATGCCTGAAAGTCCCACACCGTTATTAGGGAGGGACATATTAGCCAAAGCTGGAGCTATTATCTATATGAATATGGGGAACAAGTTACCCATTTGTTGTTCCCTACTTGAGGAGGGAATCAGTACCATCAAGCTATTCATCAAATAGCCAGTGGTTCTAACAGTTTTGCTGACTTTCTGTTTGGCTTCTCACAGGTGATTCTCAGTACAGGCTTGTGTGTGTTCCAGGGCAGGGCTGTAGAAATGGAAAATATATGGTCTTCCCCACTCCTTTCCAAGGTAATTCATAGAAAAATATAAGATGATGGCTGTCTATTAGAAGACTGATGTTGGAAATTAAGAAACAGGTTCAAACCTAACAATACATCTTGATCTCCCTTTATGATGTGGACTGGTAAAATTGAAAGAACAGGGAGTGGCAGTTAGGAAACCCAGATGTTGTTTTAACTCTGCCCCACTCACTCTAGACCTTGAGCATGGCACTTACCTTTCATAGGCTTCAATTTCCTCTCATACAAAGGAGCTGGAAGACTGTTCCTTTACAGAAATGTCTGAGAAAGTGGGTCCAAGGACAGTATCCTGGATGTCAGTACAAGAAAACCAGAATATCAACAAAGAGATAGAAGAAAGATCCTGTAATAGGTCTTTGAGAGATACATTGGAGAGATTTTCTTACATCTTTATAAAGTCTTTATAAATTCCCATCCTCCCTCCCTCCCTCCCTCCCTCCCTCCCTCCCTCCCTCCCTCCCTCCCTCCCTTCCTTCCTTCCTTCCTTTCTCTCTCTCTCTGTCTCTCTCTCTCTCTCATCTGCATGAAAAGGAAGGTTAAAAAGGGGCAAGGAGATTAAGTCTGCTTTGGTACAATAAAAACAAGGAGAGATAATTGGTTGTTGGAGTGTTTTTGTTTCTCTTCTCTTCAATAGGCAAAGTGCAGTGACCCGGAAACCCTAGCAGTCTACCGGGAGAAGAGTGGAGGCTACATTTCCTAGGTGTAGCAGTAGACAGTGATTTTTTTTTTCAGGCTGCTGCTTAGTTCAACACCCAATGACTTTACATCAGACATTTGTACATTTTTGATCCATACTGGGCATTTTTCTTCCTTCAGTTGGGCTAAATAAGAACTTTACATTTTTAGGGTGCCAGCAATGGGCACTAACGTGATGAGTTTGTAGTTCTGTGAAGCATTCCACATTTTTCATTTTTCTTTCATTACTTTCAAAACCTTTTTTTTTTTATGAGGGAGGCACAGTGAGATGGCTGAGTAGAAGCCTCCACTGATTGTCCCCGCAACAGGAACACCAAACTTAACAACTATCCACACAAAAAAGCACCTTCATAAGAACAAAAAATCAGGTGAGTGATCACAGTACCTGGTTTTAACTTCATATCACTGAAAGAGGCATTGAAGAGGGCAGGAAAGACACCCTTGAATTACTGACACCACCTCACTCCCATCCTTCTGGCAACAGCCGCATGGCATGAAGACAGAATATGTATGCTTGTGGGAGGACAATGCAGTGACTGAAGGACTTTACATTGAAACTCAGTGCTGTGCTGTCACAGTAGAAAGCAACACCAAGCTGAACTCAGCTGATGTCCACGGAGGAAGCATAGACAGGCCCTAGCAAGAGGGGCATTACCCATCTCAGCAATCAGAACTTGAGTTTTGGTAAGCCTTGCCACTGCTGGGTAAAGGGCTCTGGGTTCCTAAATAAACTTGAAAGGCAGTCTAGGCCACAAGGACTGCAAGTCCTAGTCAAGTCCTAGTCATGTGCTGGGCTCAGAGCCAGTGGATCTGGGGGACATGCAACCTAGTGAGACACCAGACAGGGCAGCCAAGAGAGTGCTTTACCACTCCTCCCCCAACCTCAGGTAGCGCAGCTTGCTGCTCCAAAAGAAACTCCTTTCTTCCACTTGAGGAGAGGAGAGGGAGGAGTAAAGAGGACTTTGTCTTGCAACTTGGATATCAGCTCAGCCACAACAGGATAGGGCATTAGACAGAGTTGTGAGGCCCCCATTCCAGGCCCTAGCTCTCAAATGATATTGCTAGGTACACCCTGCACCAGAAGGGAAACTGCTGCCTTGAAAGAAAGGACCCAGTCCTGGGCAGGATTAATCACCTGCTGACTAAAGAGCCCTTGGGCCCTGAAAAATCAGCAGTGGTAGCCCGGTAATACATGCTGTGGGCCTTGGGTGAAACTCTGAGATGTGCTGGCTTCCAGTGTGACCCAGCACATTTCCAGCAGTGATGGCTATGAGAAGAGACTCATTCTGCTTGAGAAAAAGCATAGGGAAGAGTAAAGGGGACTTTGTCCTGCAACCCAGGTGCCAGCTCAGCCACAGTGGGGTAGGGCACCAAATAGGCTTTGAGGGAGTCCCTGATTCTAGGTCTTGGCTCTTAGATGGCATTTCTGGACCTGCCCTAGATCAGAGGGGAGCCCACTGCCCTGAAGGGTGAGTGTCAGGCCTGGCAGCATTCACCAGAAGCTGACTGAAGAGCTGTTGGGCCCTAAGTGAACATTGGTGGTAGTCTGGCAGTACTCTCTGTGGGCCTATAATGGTGACAGCTATGGAGAGAGACTCCACTCCCCATGGAAAGGGGAGGGAAAGTGGGAAGGACTTTGTCTTACGATTTGTGTGCCAACTCAGTTGGTAGAATAGAGCACCAGGTAGATTTCTAAGGTTTCCAACTCCAGGCCCTGGCTACCAGACTGCATCTCTGGACCCACCGAGGGCCTGGGAGAACTCACTGACCTGAAAGGAAGGACACAAGCCTTGCTGGCTTTCCCACCTGCTGATTGTAGAGGGCCTTGAACAAACATAGGTGGTAGCCAGGTAGTAGTTACTGGGCAAGATCCAGTGCTGTGTCTGACCCAGTGTAGTTTCAGTGTTGGTACCCACAGGGGTGCTTGTGTCACCCTCCCCTAGCTCCAGGCAGCACAGCACAAAGAGAGAGACTCCGTTTGTCTGGGAGAAAGTAAGGGAAGAGAACAAGAGTCTCTGTCTGGTAATCCACAGAACACTTCTGGATCTTACCTAAGACCATCAAGGTGGTATCTCTATGAATCTGAGCATTACTGGGCTTGGGGTGTTCCCTGAAGCAGATACAGCTGCAATGACTAAAAATTTAGATCACAATACCCAATTTCTTTTGAATACCTGGAAAGCCTTCCCAAGAAGGATGGGTACATCTGTGAAGCCCAAACTGTGAAGACTACAATAAATAACTCTTCAATGTCCAGACACTAAACAACATCCACAAGCATCAAGGCCATGTAGGAAAACATGACCTCACCAAACAAACTAAATAAGAGACTAAGGACTAATTCCAAGGAGACAGAAATATGTGACCTTTCAGACAGAGAAGTCAAAATAGCTGTTTTGAAGAAACACAAAGAAATTAGAGATAACACAGAGAAGGAATTCAGAATCCTATCAGATAAATTTAACAAAGAGATGGAAATAGTGAAAAAGAATCAAGCAGAAATTTTGGAGTTGAAAATGCAATTGACATACTGAAGAATGCATCAGGGTCTCTTAATAGCAGAAGTGATCAAACAGAAGACAGAATTAGTGAGCTTGAAGAGAGAGTATTTGAAAATACACAGCAGAGGAGATGCAAGAAATAAGAATAAAAGAGAATGGACCAAAGCGGGCAGATCACTTGAGGTCAGGAGTTCGAGATCAGCCTGGCCAACATGGTGAAATCCCATCTCTACTAAAAATACAAAAATTAGCTGGGTGTGGTGGCTCATACTTGTAGTCCCAGCTACTTGGGAGGCTGAGGCAGGAGAATTGCTTGAACCTGGGAGGCGGAGATTGCAATGAGTCAAGATTGTACCACTGCACCCCAGCCTGGGTGACAGAGTGAGACTCTGTCTCAAAAAAGAAAGAAAAAGAATAGAGCATGCCTATAAAATCTAGAAAATAGATTCAAAAGGGCAAATCTAAGAGTTATTGGCCTTAAAGAGGAGGTAGAGAAAGAGATAGGGGTAGAAAGTTTATTTGAAGCAGTGATAACAGAGAGTTTTCCAAACCTAGAGAGATATCGATATTTAACTATAAGAAGGTTAAAGAATACCAAACAGATTTGAACTAAAGAAGGCTACCCCAAGGCATTTAATAATCAAACTCCCAAATGTCAAGGATAAAGAAAGGATTCTAAAATAAGCAAGAGAAAAGAAACAAATAACATACAATTGTGCTCCAATGTGTTTGGCAGCAGACTTTTCAGTGGAAACTGTATAGGCCAGGATAGAATGGCATGACATATTTAAAGTGCTCTGGGAAAAAAACTTTTACCCTAGAATAGTATGTCCAGTGAAAATATCCTTCAAACATAAAAGAGAAATTAAGACTTTCTCAGGCAAACAAAAGCTGAGGGATTTCATCAACACCAGGTCTGTCCTATAAGAAATGCTAAAACGCAGTTCCTTAATCTGAAAAGGGTTAAGAAAAGGATGTTATTTAACAATAAGAAGTCATCTGAAGGTACAAACCTTACTGGTAGTAGTAAGTACACACAGAACCACAGAATAGTATTACACTGTAATTGTGGTGTATGAACTATTCATATCTAAGTAGAAAGATGAAAAGATGAACTGATCAAAAAAAAACTACAACTTTTTGAGACATAGTACAGTAAGATATAAATAGAAAAAACAAAAGGTTTAAAACTGGGCAAAATGAAGTTAAAATGTAGAGTTTGTATTATGGTTTTTTTGCTGGTTTGTTAGTTTGTTTATGCAATCAGTGTTAAGTTGTCCTCAGTTTAAAATAATGGATTATAAGATATTATTTGCAAGCTTCATGGTAACCTCAAATAAAAAAAACATGCAATGGATGCACAAAAAATAAAAAAAAAAATACCACCAGAGAAAATCACCTTCACTAAAAGGAAGACAGGAAGAAAAGAAAGAAGGAAGAGGAGACTGCAAAACAACCAGCAAACGGATAACAACATGACGGGAGTAAGTCATCTGAAGGTACAAACCTTACTGGTAATAGTAAGTACACAGAGAAACACAGAATATTATTACACTGTAATTGTGGTGTATGAACTATTCATATCGAAGTAGAAAGATGAAAAGATGAACTGATAAAAAAACTGCAACAACTTTTCAAGACACAGACAGTACAATACTTATCAATAATAACATTGAATGTAAGTAGACTAAATTCTCCAATCAAAAAATGTAGAGTAGCTGAGTGGATAAAAAAAGAGACTCAACGATCTGTTGCCTACAAGAAACACACTTCACATATAAAGGCACACACAGACTGAAAATAAAGGGATGGAAAAGGATACTCTGTGTAAATGGAAACCAAAAAAGAGCAGAAGTACCTATGCTTATATCAGATAAAATGGATTTCAAGACAAAAACTATAAAAAGAGACAAAGAAGATCTTTATATAGTAATAAAGTGGTGAATTCAGCAAGAGGATATAACAATTGTAAATATATATGCAGCCAACACTGGAGCACCCAGATATATATGAGCACATATCTATCTGTGAGTCTGAGTGAATAAAGGAAACATTATTAGAGGTAAAGAGAGAGATAGACCCCAATACAACAATAGCTAGAGACTTCAACACCCCACTTTCAGCACTGGACAGATCCAGACAGAAAATCAACAAAAACATTGTACTTAATTTGTACTTATAGAACAAATGGACCTAATAGATATTTATATAACATTTTATCCAATGACTGCAGAATATACATTCTTCTCCTCAGCACATGGATCATTCTCGGGATAGACCACGTTAGCTCACAAAACAAGCAAACATTCAAAAAAAATTCAAAACAATTGAAATCATATCAAGTATCTTCTCTGAACACAATGAAATAAAACTAGAAGTCAATAACAAGAGGAACTTTGGAAACTATACAAAACATTTGTTTATATCTCCATTGTAACTTACTGCATACTGCCTTGTATTTTATGTTTATCTTTTAATCATCTAGACCATAATAAGTTCCTTGAAGGCAGAGACTGTGTTTGTGGCCTCTTGGTAATTGCAAAGGATGCCAAGTACAACACCTGGCACAGGGCAGATGCTCTTTGAATTGAACTCAATTGGACTGAATTATCTTGGGTTGTCTAGCAATTAAGGCACTAGTTTAAATGAAATAAATGCTTTTCTGTGATATATTAAACTTCCTCATACCAGATATTGGGCAGCGCTGCCAGACCCAGAGACTGAAAATACAAAGTACAATATGGGATATATGACTTGAGTACAGAAGTATCATTCTTGTGGGATTAGCATCCAGAGGCTAAATAGTTTTTAACTCGGTGACAGGGTAGAAGTAGTCACTTCTACAGCCTATGTCTGTTGTAATAAAAGTAATTACTAATAGATGCCTGTCTGTCTCATTTCTGTGGGAAGAACTTAAAGTCTTAATTGCCTTATGCTGGAAAAAGGAATAAATAAAGAAGCGTATAGAGATAAGCAGAGCTATAAGGGAAACAAAATGTAAATCACTCTGATGATTAGAGAGAAGAACACAGGGAAGAAGAAATCCATGGACTCATTACAGCAGGATGACCTAGAAGTCAACTCTTGCCCTTCCAGTGATATGTGATTCTGAGAAAGTGATCCTGAGGGTAAAATATTGTGATATAAAACTAAGAAGAGAACTATTGATTTAAAAATATTTTGGGGAAAGAAGTAAATCACTTTCTACATGAAATGGAACAGAATAAAATACCTGTAATGTTGATAAATATTCCATCATAAACTTATGGATAATGACAGCCACTTGGAAAGCAACCTCAAGTGACTGTCAAGGGCTAATACTATATGAAGTGAGGAGGGAAGGTAAAGGCCTCTTCCCTGAAGTGGTTACTAGCTTAAGGAACATGACCAGCACATCTAAAAAACTGGCCCAGCAGTGAGTGAGCTAGAGAAGTAAGAATTCTGAATTGGAGATGTCTGTGATGCTAAATAACCTATTCTGTGAATTATCCCTGTGATAAGACCAAACACCAAGAAATTAAATGGGGTAGACACATCTGAGGGTAAGGGGATTATTGATTAACTTCATAGCCAGGAGGATGAAGGGTAAGAAGTTAGTCTCCAGACACTGAATGATCCTATAGGTACTCAAAGATGCAGACAGATGTGTCCAAGTCTTCTCTCTGGATCAACTTTGAACAAAATGAAAGGCTGTGAAAATGTTTTAATGATGGCATACATTTGCATATGAAGACACATGCATTTTATAATCAGCAGCATTACTCATTCAAGTTTGCACTTAGTCAACTGGGAACTAGAAAAAAAGTATTAATTTATTTAAAATATTCACTGAGATACACTCTTTGAGTTGAACTCAAATGGATTGAATTCGCTTGGGTTGTCTAGCAATTAGGGCAATAGATTAAATGAAATAAATGCTTTTCTATAGTCTATTAAATTTCCTTACTCCAGGTATTGGGCAGGGCTGCCAGGCCCAGAGAGTGCAAATACAAAATACAGCATGGGATATATGACTTAAATATAGAAATATCATTCTTGTGGGATTAACACCCAGAAAACTAAACAGTTTTTAGCTTGGTGACAAGGTAGAAGTGGTCAATTCTAGAGTCTACTTCTGTTTGAATAAAACCAATTATTGATAGATGCCTTTCTGTTCCAGTTGTGTAGGAAGAACTGTATTGGATACTGTTTTATACATTGAAGATATAGTGGGGAACAAACCAGAAAACCCCTGCTCTCATAGAGCCTTCATTCTAGCAAATATAGATAACGTTAGATTAGGTACTAATTAGTTCTACAAAGTTGAAACATGGTAGGAGATAGAAAGAGTACAGGAGTGTTGGCAGGAGATGGAGAGAATTTTCATTCCAGTTTATAAAAGTTGTGTGACCTGTTGCAAGTTGTTTCCCTTCTGCAGGCCTTGTGTT
Source organism: Homo sapiens (assembly GCF_000001405.40). Taxonomy (NCBI): domain Eukaryota; kingdom Metazoa; phylum Chordata; class Mammalia; order Primates; family Hominidae; genus Homo; species Homo sapiens. Next base: position 4,156,226 of record NC_000003.12, on the reverse strand, counting down.
TTTCATTTGTCAAATTTGAGAGACAGGCTAGATTAAAATTCCTATGACTCCTTTCTTCTGTTCTGCAGGAACCCTTAAGTCAGATGTACAGGACCAGGCTACTTTATGGTGGTGGGAAGGCAATGGCATTTTGCTGTTTTATACTTTAAATTTCATAAGCCAAGTTACTTTTGTACTCTGGTGTGCAAGGTTTCTTTCTTACTTTCAGATGAAAAACAAAATTCCTAACTAGACTGCTGGGCCCAGCTTTGGTCAAGTGTTATACCTGGGGTAATTACTGTGTTCAGGGGAAAGGGACACCATGATTAGCTTGGTGTTTGATTATGAAGAGTATCTGTGGAGGGGAAGGTCTTGGGGAGCCTCTTTGATGGGCAAATTGATTTTTGGTCCTGGGTTTAATTTGATGTTAGGGCATTTCCCCTCTGGAAATGGTGTGATGTTACAAGAAGAAGAGGTTCAGGGATGCTTCGGACTGACAGGGTTCATATCTGTAATCAACAGAGGCTGATTCTGGCTGCTTAAGCATGAAAGAGTTTACTAAATTAATGTTGGGAAACAGATTTGTTGTGAAGGCTAGGAGCCAGGTTTAAAGCTGAGCCCCAAATCACATCATAGAACTGATCTGAAGAGAAAATTGCTGCTGCCACCACTAAATCTTGGAAGTTTGTACTGCCGCTATTTTCTCACCATGAATGTGGTTTTTCTGTAACTTACTGCTGCCAGGAGGGAAGGAGCCGTCCCTTATCTCCTTCCTTTTGCTTCAAAGCTCCTACGTCCGTGTTTGACATGAGAACATCGCATGCCTAAAGGAGCTGGGAAAAGCAAGTACGTAGCATTTTCCATTCATATGAAGAAGGAATTTTTGCTCCCCTTCCCTCATTAGGACTCATTAAGTGGAGATTCCTCAAACATGGAAAGAGTGTCTGAATCTAGGCAGCAAATATCTACCATACCTGTTTCATGTCATTAATACCACAGGGCTTCCTTCCTCTGCACATGAACCTAAGCACAGTACCTTAATTGGCATAGGACTGGCCTGCAGGGGTGAGAAAGTCAGCCCTCCATCACAAAAGCATGCCTCATGTCAGGAGCTATAGAAAGAAGGTTGATGTCTCAACAAGATGATAGGTCCCTAATGTCTTCCTCAGCAAACCCTGTGCACCCCTTTGAATGAATGTCACCTATGTTCCTTTCAAATTGCCTTTTTGAAGTCTGCCAACATAAAACTAAAAGGTACATCTCCTTTCTCTGCTGAGCCCCAGCAGTTTTCCCTTACCTGAGTTTACAGTGATCTCCTTCCTTGCTGACCATATGACAATTTTCAGAGAGGGTCTTACTTCAAGTTGCAGTCATATATCAAAAAAAGCTGTAATTTTGATGTATTCTGGAAGTGGGATGCGGTGGTTGCCCAGATATTGGCTGGTGAGCATCCTCATCTTTCCTCCTACAATGCAGTTCTTAGAAAAACTCTTATTTAAAAATTATCAGTCTATGGACCTGTTTTCTTCAGCAGAGGGCACACAGTAGGCAATCAAGAAATATTTTTTTGAATAGATGAATGAGGCAGTGTGGATGCCTCAAAAGAGCCCAGGTTTGGGGGACAGATCAACGAGAGGTTGAATTCTGTTTCAGTTACTTCATAGCTATGTGACCTTTGATAACTCACTTAATGGCAATGAAACTCATTTATTCATCTATAAAACAGAGATAATAGTCCCCAGCTTGTAGGTTTGTGGCAAGGATCAGATGAAATAATGTATGCAAAGTGACTGGAACATAGTTGGTGCCCAATAAGTGTTAACTATCTTATTATTCATGCTGGAGTGGTAATTCTTTAAATTTTAAGTGAATAAATGAAAAATGAATGAAATTCCATTGATGGGTGGAAAGCTTCCTAGTGGGTTCCTGGTGAGGTTAGTTTCCCCAGGATTAGAGTCACTTTATGTGATGGTTGTGAAGGAGAATAAAAACACTGTAATTCAGACCCAGAATCCACCATCATGCCTTTCTCCATGCTGCCAGTTCTTTCTGGAGTAGCTCTGCCCCACTTCCTGGATACCTCCACACATTCTACCACATGTAGCTCAGGAGTCACCTCCTCCTCTGAGAAACCTTTCTGGACATCTCAGTCTAGGTTTGGTGCCATGCCATTCCATTTAATTCTGCCATAGTCCATGTTACAGTGTTCAACTAGACTTGGGTCACTAGCCCCAACTGCCTGACTCTTTGCAAGTTGAAGGAATGAATGGGTGGATTGTTGTCCAAATTGTGCAAACAGATCTGATGCCTTAGGCGGGAGTCCTAACCTAAGCTCCAATTTCCTCAGTAAGATAAAGATGGAACTTGACCTCCCTGCCTCCTAACAGACTTAAAAATATATTTCTTTAAAAAATTTTATATTAAATTATTCTAAAAGCAATTGTAGGCAACAATAATTTCTATACAATCATGTTGCTGAATACAACATACAGAAATGGAATATGTTTTACAATAACTATACAAAGGAGGTGAATGGTAATGTAGTTATGTTGAAATAAGGAAATAACACCAGTTTTTAACTGAAATCCATAGGCAAAAAGTGAAAATGAAAATGGTAAATAAGAAAGTTAATATTTTTTAGGGCTTGAATATATTTTTTATTTATAAGGAGTTCCTCTGTCATTGAACAGTGGAAAAACTGGAAATACAGTAAAAAAAAAAAAAACCTACAAGGCGGGGCATTGTGGCTCACACCTGTAATCTCAGCACTTTGGGAAGCCAACATGGGAGGATTGCTTGAGGCCAGGCATTCAAGACCAGCTGGGGCAATATAGGAAGATCCTAACTCTACAAAAAATAAAAATAAAAAATTAGCTCGGCATAGTGGCATGTGCCTGTAGTTCTAGCTACTTGAGAGGTTAAAGTGGCAGAATTGCTGATTCCAGGAGTTCGAGGCTGCAGTGAGCTATGATTGCTTACTGCATTCCAGCCTGGGCAACAGAGTTACATCCTGTCTCTAAAAAAGAAAAAAAAGAAAATCCTCAAGTAATTGATCAAATATATGTTTCTGCTCAATTTTTTAAAAATTTTATTGTATGTATTTACGGTGTACAACATGATGTTTTGATATATGTATCCATTAAACTTTTTGAGGATCAGAAGTGATTGTAGCTGTAACTTTGCAGGGTTCTGAGAGCTCGCTTGCAGTTCTCAGAAGAATAGGGCTTGGTTTAGGACCAGGCTTTTTGCTTAGCTTATGCCAAACAACTAGCTTTTATTGTGTTGGGTGGAGACTGCAAGCTGACCAGATACCAAATATCTCTGCCAGGGAGAGAGACTAGGGATGTATAAGGTATTCTGAAAATGTTTTCTTCTGTCTATCCATGAGTCCATCAGTAACAATGATATTACTCAATAGCGCTTTTGGAGTTAAGTGTCTGGGGTTTTGTTTGAGAGGTGGGGTTGGGTGCAGAAGGTGGGCTGAATTAATGGTTGTTACTAGCCTCAGGACAGCCTTGGGCTGCATGAAGCATTGGTCTAGCCAAGTGTAGACAGTTTGATTTATAGAAGTAAGTTATTTGTATTGAAGCTCATGTATGAGATAAGTTATGGAGCTGATCCACATACTGTCACTTCTGTTTTAGAAACCACACTGGGCCAGGCACGGTGGCTCATGCCTGTAATCCCAGCACTGTGGGAGGCTGAGGAGGGAGGATCACTTGAGCCCAGGAGTTTGAGACCAGCCTGGACACTATGACGAGACATCAGAAAAAGAAAAAGAAAAAAAAAAAGCAAATCCGGGTGTTGGGGCCTGTGCCTGTAGTTCTAGCTACTCGGGTGGCTGAGGTGGGAGGATTGCTTCAGCCTGGGAGGTGGAGGTTGCAGTGAGCTGAGATTGCACCACTGCTCTCCAGCTTGGGCAACAGAGCGAGACCCTGTTTCAAAAAACAAATAAACAAACAAAATCCAGACTGCTCTTCTAGACTGTCCAGAAAGTGACTTCTTGAATAAACCCTTTCCTATCTCTCACTGCTTTGTGCCAGGCAAATTTCTAAGTTCATTTCAAACATTAAAATTTTTCCAGTTCTGTGTTCTTTGCACTGCTCCCTTCCCCAGTGTAGTGCTTCTGTATGATCCTAATCTTTATTAACCTTTATGGCCCATAGTCTGGTCTCGGGAATATTGGTTATTTAGATATTGATGTGAGGTTACATTATGAATGCTTGTATTTTCATCATATTAATACTTGAACTGAATTGGGGAACAAAGGTCATTGTTTCCCATTAGCAGGATTTCAGAAACCATCCAGCAAGTACAGGAGAATTTTGAGATGATAGAAATGGCTATTTACCATGCTTACATGGGAAGGTCAGTTATGCCTGGAGTTGTCGTACCTGTCCCAGTGCATCTTTTCTCTATATCAAGCTTGTCTAACCCATGGCCCACAGGCTGCATATAGCCCAGGTTGGCTTTGAATGTGGCCCAACACAGATTCATAAACTTTCTTAAAACATTATGAGATTTTTTTGTGATTTTTTTTTTTTTTAGCTCATCAGCTATTATTAGCATATTTTGTGTGTGGCCCAAATCAATTCTTCTTCTTCCAGTGTGGTCCAGGGAAGCCAAAAGTTTCGACACCTCTGCTCTATATACTTGCATGTGTGTGTGTGTGTGTGTGTGTGTGTGTGTGTATATACACACACATATATATACACATATATACATATATACGTATACATATACACATATATACGTATATATACACATATATACATATATACATATATACACATGTATACATATATACATATATACACATGTATACACATATATACATATATACATATACATATATATACATATATATACACACATGTATATATATATATTGTGTATGTATATTTATGTTTTTCTTCTTCCCTGTAGGGAGAAGCACCCCAGACTAGCAGCAGCACTCCATATTTACATGTATAAATATCTATATTTTAATGTTTATCTATTATATGTTGATATATATATTTATATTCATTATACATTTCCTTATATGTGTTTAAATATATATTTGCATGTATGTGTGTGTGTATAGTCATGTGTTTGCTTGTTCTCTGTTGCATGAAACCCCTAGACTGACAGACTGTGCTACACTGTTTCTTGAGAACAGCGATTCTAAAAGATGAGGCCCCCACCAGACGTTAATCCTCTGTTGAAGTGTGACGAAGCAGGCTGTACATTGGACTTCAGGTGTGAAGGCCATTTGTCCCCTTGGTGTTCCAGAGGAAATAGTCTGTCACTTTCGAAGAGAGCAGAAAGAGTTTGCTGGCCGTTTTGGGGCACAGGGAGACAGCTAAAGCCTATGGAACCTGATAATATCAGGGGTCTCCTCCTATCTGGTTGCTACCTCCCTGAGCTCCTAAGAACAGAAGAGATGGAGCTCTTTTTGTCTGGGGCAGCAATATACTCCTCAGCCCAGCTATGATGATACAAAAGCATGCCCAAACTTCCCAGTGCATCTTTTCATAGTGGTATCACTGTTGCTTCTTTTTCTTATTAAAAATAAAGTTGAAGCCTGGCATAGTGGCTCATGCCTATAATTACAGCACTTTAGGAGGATGAAGTGGTAGAATTACTTGAGCCCAGGAGTTTGAGACCAGCCTGGGCAACATAGCAAGACCCTGCCTCTACACATTTTTTTTTTTTTGAGACGGAGTCTCACTCTGGAGTGCAGTGGCACAATCTCAGCTCACTGCAACCTCCGCCTCCCCGGTTCAAGCAATTATCCTGCCTTAGCCTCCCAAGTAGCTGGGACTACAGGCACCTGCCTCTACACCTGGCTAATTTTTTGTGTTTTAGTAGAGACGGGATTTCACCGTGTTGCCCAGGCTGGTCGCAAACTCCTGAGCTCAGGCAATCCACCTGCCTCGGCCTCCCAAAGTGCTGGGATTATAGATGTGAGCCACTGAGCCTGGCCTACAAAATTTTTTTAAAAAATTAGCTAGTATGGTGGCACACCCCTGCAGTCCCAGCTACTTGGGAGGCTGAGGCAAGACAATTGGTTGAGCCCAGGAGATCAAGGCTGCAGTGAGCTATAATACGCCAGTGCACTCCAGCCTGGGAGACACAGACCTTGACCCCTGCAAAATAAATAAATAAATAAAAATAAAGTTGAGATAATTATCAGAACAATTACTAATCTTAAGATATTTGTTTAGCAGCAGAATTCACTAAACTTTGTTTTTCATATTTAAACCTATAAATCAGTAAACCAAATCTCCAGAGGCTAAAATTTAAATATGGAAGATATGCAAATGAAATCAACTGTTATAAATATGTACCCATTGAGGTGATGCATTTCTTATAACAAGTAAATCAGTGGCTCAGACATGGCATCAACTGAAACAAGCAGAACTTCGTTGGCCCCTATTCATCACCACTCTGCTTTACCTCTAGGCACCTCTAGGACTACACGTCCACAGGCCAGGGAGCAAGCCCATGTGTAGGAAACTACCAGTCTTCCTCACCCCAAATTGCAATATCAGTGAATTTTCGAGATAGTAGTATATGGCCATAGATTTTAATTGTGCCAAGTGGGGATGGTTGCTTCCTGTTTGGGGATTATCTATAGTACATGCAAAATTTTGGAAGGACAGATATATTGGCGCAGTCTGAGGAAGAAATTCCTAATGACGTGGTTCAAAGAGGAACATGTTGCCTCCAGAAGTCATTAGCTTCCTATTATGGTGACTGTGTCATTATGTTGGCTCAGTGACCATGTGGGGATGTGGTAGAGGTGTTGCAAGCATTGAGTAGATTGAGTAGGGCTGGGCTAGGTATACTGGCATTGAATCCTATGCTGAATAAGGTTTTGAAGTGCATGTTTAAGGAGAAAATGGTGTATAGTCAGAATTACCTTTGAAAAATCCCTCAAGAAGACTCCATTATGGGGCTGTAAATGCTCTCAGTAGGTTCAGTGATTCTTCTTTCCCCTCCAGGGCTGGACATGATTGCTGTTAATTTATTTGAGCACCAGATGAAGTAGTTTATGAGTCCCATAGTAAGAAAGTAATACAGCATCTTTAAACACTACAACAAGAACACCTCTCTGTAGGGCAAAACGCTCATGTGAGGAAAGTTCCAGAGAGTTCCAGAGCTCTTAAGGAACTCCAGAGAATCCAGCGTTAGGAACTGTGAATGATTGTTGAAACGTGAGATTTCACTCCTCTAACTTCAGGTCTCTCTCGTACCAGGGCATAAATTCAACTAAATGGGATGATAGGTTAATGTCCTATGCTCTTTAAATTGTTAAGTTTTTTTCTCTTTCCCTTTCTCTTTTTGAACTTACAGCATGTAGAATTGAATTTGGGTAAGTAAACGCACAGTTGATATGACCCTTGTGTAAAGGTCCTTCCAAATGTGAGATTTGGTGATTTCTGCCTTATGGGTCTATAGAGATCTAGTTTAGGAAGTTGCTAATGTTTTTAGGCCAGGATTAGTAAACTGTGTTCTAGTTTGTGGATCAAATGTGGTCCATTGACTGTTTTTGTAAAGAAAATTTCACTGGAACATAGCCATTACCATTTGTTTGTATACTGTGGCTGCTTTTGAACTACAATGTCAGAGATGAGTTGTAGTAAGAAGGAGTGCATGGCTTGCAAAGGCTAAAATATTTATTGTCCTGTCCATCACAGGAAACTTTGCTCATTTCTGCACTAGCCCTTTTGTGTGGGAGGGATAGGAAGGGGAATAAGAAAATAACCACTTGCACATATGGACATAAAATGACTTCTTGTGAGGTAGGAGTTTTCTAGGTGATTCTGAGGAAATAGCTCATCTGCCTAAGCACTTTGACCCAGAAGATTACTATTGCTTATTTTCCACCTACTAAACTGAAGCAAAGAACTTCTATAAAACAATCCATGAAACACTACTTGTAACTATATGAAAACTGCCAATAAAAAAATCAACCCCCATCTCTTGGGTGAGAAATTCTGCAAATGATGATGGCTTATGAGAAAGATATTTATCTTATCCCTTTTCTCAACAGCAGCTTTTCTTCGCCTGATTAGCTAGGGTGAAATTTAATTCTGCATTCAAAGATTTCAGATTAGATTAAAAGAAATGTTTGTTCAAAGGAGTGGGTAGGAGCTATACCTATGTACGGAAATGCTGATATTCAACATTGTGATTAAACTTAGTTAAAAATGCTTCATTTTTTTAAAATGTGCCAAAGGAAGCTTATATTTCATGCACCCTCAATTTCCCTGAATAGAGCTAAATGTGATTTCCTAGCATAGTGCGGAGCTGCTTATCTTCAGGTGGAAAAAAAAGGGTCATTAGCTGATTCCTGCTGAGCCATCATATTTAGAAGGCCTAATGGCTAGCTGACTAACTTAAGATCAGGGAAGGGGAAATTATTGCTTATTATAGGACTATTTCCATCTCCGATTGATATGATCATTCTGCTGGGTTAGGTATACAGGAAAAGAGGGTGGTGGTGGTAGGTAGTTCTTTTTATCTGCATCCTGTATCATGACTGTTATAAGGAAGCATCTGGTTCTGTACAATAAGTTAGTCACTGTATGTGGCAATAGTTTATTTTCTAAAATAATTTTTATGTAGGTGTGGCACATAGCTTTTGTCATTTTCAAAATGGCTAGAAAAAGACCATAAATTCTGTCAAACAGCTTTTTAGGTGAGACATTTATTATCTCGGCTCTGGTACCAAGCATCTGCTAGCAGAGTTAAAAACTTTGCCTTTTCTAAGATTCAGATTTCTCACCTATAAAAAAATGAAAGATTAGGTAGATGATTTATGTGGGCCTTGATTTTTGATCAAGAAATTCCAAGAGTCTTTGCTATTGTGAATAGTGCCACAATAAACATACGTGTGCATGTGTCTTTATAGCAGCATGTTTTATAATCCTTTGGGTATATACCCAGTAATGGGATGGCTGGGTCAAATGGTATTTCTAGTTCTAGATCCCTGAGGAATCGCCACACTGACTTCCACAATGGTTGAACTAGTTTACAGTCCCACCAACAGTGTAAAAGTGTTCCTATTTCCCCACATCCTCTCCAGCACCTGTTGTTTCCTGACTTTTTAATGATCGCCATTCTAACTGGTGTGAGATGGTATCTCATTGTGGTTTTGATTTGCATTTCTCTGATGGCCAGTGATGATGAGCATTTTTTCATGTGTCTTTTGGCTGCATAAATGTCTTGAGAAGTGTCTGTTCATATCCTTCGCCCACTTTTTGATGGGGTTGTTTGTATTCACAATAGCAAAGACTTGGAACCAAGCCAAATGTCCAACAACGATAGCCTGGATTAAGAAAATGTGGCACATATACACCATGGAATACTATGCAGCCATAAAAAATGATGAGTTCATGTCCTTTTTAGGGACATGGATGAATCTGGAAACCATCATTCTCAGCAAACTATTGCAAGGACAAAAAACCAAACACTGCATGTTCTCACTCATAGGTGGGAATTGAACAGTGAGAACACATAGACACAGGAAGGGGAACATCACACACTGGGGCCTGTTGTGGGGTGGGGGGAAGGGGGAGGGATAACATTAGGAGATATACCTAATGTTAAATGACGAGTTACTGGGTGCAGCACACCAACATGGCACATGTATACATATGTAACTAACCAGCACGTTGTGCACATGTACCCTAGAACTTAAAGTATAATTAGAAAAAAAAAAGAAATTCCAAGAGTCTTGGTGCTATCTATAACTACCGACTTTTTGTTCTACTTTTTCATATGCTGACAGTGTTGATTTCATGTGGAAGGTTGGAAAGTACTAAAGACTTCTCCATTCACCTTTCCCCCCCTCGCCTCTCTCTACTGGAGGCTCCATCACTCTCCATCTTTTTTTAGACTGTGGCTCCCTCTTTTTCCTTTACCTCCATAGTCTCTGAAAGCTCCCCATTTTTGTGCTGCTCCCTCTTCTGTTCTTACCATCTCCCTTCATTTCTGCACGTTTTAATCATTGCCTTCCCTCTCTGCCTTGTTTCCTTTCCTCTTTCATCCACCCCTCTTTTCCCCAGGTTTTCTTTGAAATCCTCCCAGAACACACGTGCGATTCTTTTCTCTCAGCAGTAATGATATTCTCAGGTGAAATGCTTTGCTGGCGGTTTTGGGCAGAATGCTAAGTGTGCTAAAGATCTGTGAAGGTCAAGTACTTGCCTGCTGGAATAAATGGGGCTTCACAGTGAGACCAAGTCGACACAACAGGGAGACCCAGTGGATTTTCCCTCTCTGTTAGCTCATGGTGAAATCAATCATAATATACCGCCCTAAAAATTGAACTCAGGGAATTGGAATCGCTGAGGTTCTTTGTAACAGGGCCTAAAGCTGTAGACGGGGGGAAAAGGAAGAGATGAATGGGGCTGGGAAGCCTTTTGACAGAAGTATCTTAAAATACTTATCCCCTGCTGATTTATGTTTATCCTTTGCCTCAACTGTCTTGAATACAAAACAACTAGAAACCATTCATCATGAAACCCAAAGAACCCAAAATTCCTGGATTGAGGTTTGAATATGTTTTCCATCAATCTTTGATGCAGACATGAAAAGTCAAAGGAGGCTTATGGCAAAAATTGACCATAAACTTCATATCTATTATGAGTCAACCCTGCATTATGCACAGAGACAAAAGCAATATATGTATGGATTGAGAAGGCATTGTAATTGCTTATAGCTGAAGGGAGGTCATGTAGGAGAAGAAAGCAGATTTGGTTTGGCCAGAACAAGAGGGACAAGATATGAATTGCAGAGAGGTAGGATTTAGCAGAGTATTAACAAATAATTTCTAATAAGGAGATCTTTCCCACAAAGTAATGGGGTCTCTGAGTTCATAGTTCAAGAGCTGGAAGAAAATTTGCTAGAGATTTATTCATTCATTCAGCAAATATTTACTGGGTACCCAAGTAATTTCAAGCACTCTGCTAGATTCTGGCACTCAGCAATGAACGGAGATGTCTGAAGGATTCAGGTATTACATGCATGACTGTAGGAGATGGCTTTTTTTTTTTTTTTTTTTTTTAGACGGAGTTTCACTCTGTTGCCCAGGCTAGAGTGCAGTGGCGCGATGGCCGCTCACTGCAAGCTCCGCCTCCTGGGTTCATCTCCTGCCTCAGCCTCCTGAGTAGCTGGGACTACAGGTGCCTGTCACTGCACCCGGCTAATTTTTTGTATTTTTAGTAGAGATGGGGTTTCACCGTGTTAGCCAGGATGGTCTCAATCTGCTGACCTCGTGATCCACCTGCCTTGGCCTCCCAAAGTGCTGGGATTACAGGCGTGAGCCACCGCGCCCTGCCGAGATGGCTTTTAAGATCCCTTATACCGTAAGAATAATTCTGTGGTTTGTTCCGCTTTTAGGAATTTGGATTTTAATTAGCTAAAAATAAATGAAGCTATCACACATGAATTATCTGTTTTTCAAAAATCAAAATAAAACTTACTTATAACTGAAATTACGTGAAACCTAATGGTAAGAAAAACTCATCTCTGTAGATTTTACATAGAGTAGGGTAATCATTCTGAATATTAGTTACAAGTCTCAGAAAAAAGCAGGTTATTTGTGTTTTGGAGTGGATTGGATTATGAATAAACAGGCATTAACCTTTCCCATTAGTTTTTCTTAAAGTCTAATATTGAAATGCATTTGTATTCCTAATAATAAGGCATGTATGGGAAACTGGAAAGAAAGGAGATTTTATTTCTGGTCTCTTGTTTTTCATTTTTGTCTTCTCCTAGATCCAGAATCTTCTCTAACTTGCTTCAAAGATTGGTGATTCTGTCAGAGTCCAAAGCTCCCATGCTTCACATTGTTTTCTGCCTTCCTCCACCTTCCCAAAGTATCTCAAGCTTGCCAAATCATACATTTCTATCACCTCTTTTCTCATCTGCCACATACTTATTCTTTTCTTTGGCCTTGTTTCCCAAACTACCACTATAAGAAGAAAGTGGGCCGAGTGCTATGGCTCATGCCTATAATTCCAGCACTTTTGGAGACCGAGGTGGGAGCGTTGCTAGAGCCCAGGAGTTTGAGACCAGCCTGGGACACGTGGTAAGACCCCGTCTCTACGAAAAAATAAAAAAATTAGCCAGGTATGGTGGTGCCTACTTGTGGTCCTAGATTGCTTGAGCCCAGGAGGTAGAGGCTGCAGAGAGCCGAGATCGGGCCACTACACTCCAGCATGGGTGACAGAGCGAGACCCTGTCTAAAAAAAAAAAAAAAAAAAAAGAGAGAGAAGACAGTGGTCACTTTAAGGAGGCACTATGGCCTGCTGCAGTGCTTCTCTAACTTTATCATGCGTACATATCACCGTGGCTCTGGTTAGAATGTATATTAAGATTCAGCAGAACTGGGTTGGGGCCTGAAATTCCACAATTCTAACTAGCTCCCAGATGCTGCAACTGTTACTGCTCTGTGAATCCCAATTTCAGTAGTGAGGGCTTGATGGATTAGGAATTAGGAGCTATCTCACTTAGCTTTATGACCTTGGGAAAGTTACCTAACTCCCTGGGCCTAGTTTTATATAAGAATGAAAGAGATAAATAAATTCCCCCTTTCTCTGTACATTCTCAAATCCAAGATTCAACTAGTCTACATACACAGAAAATGGGTTTTTAGTTCACAGAGAGGGCTCATGAATATCGTTTGATTATGTTTTATGTCAAAATAATAATAATGTCAAAATAAATGATGACTTTCATTCGGGCCCATTGGAATATCAAGAGTGAACTCCTTGTTCAGATGTAATTGCTACTGTTCTTGCTTGAAATCCTACTATCTGACCTTCTCATTATGTTCCTTAGGAAAAAAGAAAACTCACTTCTTGCAAGGTACACTTGACAGTCTTGTAGTGAGGGTTACCTGGGAAAAGTTACTGCTATGCAACCTGACTTATCCCTGGTACACAATGGGGAGAAATTTGCACCAACTTTTCTGCACTGGTCTGTTCTTGAATCTGGCACTTAGCATCTCTCTAAATTTAATGGGCATTTTCTGTTTTAATGAATATCTAACTGTGTAAATGTAGATGTTGTTTGTTCAGCACCTTTCCCAGCAGTATTTTCCAGGGATAATTTGCCTGCAATAAACTCCCGAGGCAAACATTCTTCCCCTCTACCAGCCTTGCACAAATAGCCGATCGAGGCTCAGGGATATAAATAACCTCTTTGCAGCGGGACACTTACCTCCAGAGAGTCCCAAACTTTGTCAGAGTATTCTTTGTCTTGGAGGTGACTGCTTTCACATTTCTATTGATTGAGTCTCTGAGTTCTTCTTGGGACTGGATATTGGAAAATACTACCTTCTCTTTTTTGGGATTGTGGATCCTTTTGGAGCTAGAAAGTCTTTGAGATGAACATTCTAGTAGTTCTTAACCTGGAGTCCATGGATGGCTTTTTGGGGGCTCAATTTGCAAATCCCCTCTAATTATATGTATACCTTGGAGGTGTGTGTGAGGGCTGTGAGGGAATCCTGTAGCATTCACGAGATTCTTAAGCAGTCTGTAATTCAAAAAGTTTTAAGAACCTCTGATCTAATTGAGGTTCCCTGATTCCCAAGGTACCTATTTTTCAAACACATAAAATGATGATTAGCCTTTATCTGTATTTTGTAGTCCTTAAGCAAGCAGAAAACTGTTTGTGTTAGGTACTATCGAGTATACAAAGAGTTGCAATGAATAGTAATTGCTTTCATATACCTTACAATGTATTGTTTATTCATTCATCAAATAATTAAGGATTACAAAATATATGATATCCCCTATTAGACTGGGGATACAGAAATAAAAGACACTATTCCTACTCTCAGTAAGACTTCAGTGTAGGTGAGGGCATGTGACTATACAGCAATATGTGTTAAACATCAATGTGTCAAATGTCTCTCAGCTTCTTAGAGGAACTGTAGGACATGTGATGGAATTGTCAAAACTCTATGGAAGCAGCAATGTGAATTCAGAAACCTAGCTGATAATGCCATTTTTTTTTCTTTAACAGTGAAAAAACTGTTTCTCAACAATAGAGAAAAATAAAGCAGACAAACTATTCCTTGCGAAATTTTGGAGAGGAGTTAGCAGTATCCCAGGATTAAGAGAAACAACCACATTCTTCAAAGTAGCCCCCAAATTTTGCTATACATTAGAATACCCTGGAGATACTTTTGTCTTTTAATACATATCAAAATCATTCATGCACACAGTTATAAACATCACATAGTAGTTTGCTGATTGTAATGAAACACAGCAACCCCTGGTCAACATTCTTTATTCTCTGGTCTTGCTTGAGCAATTTTTGAAAACATGTGGGTTCCTAGGGCTCCACCCAGAGCTCTCAAATTGTTGGATGAGTGGAAAAGGTCCCAAACCTTCATTTTGTGCTGGAGACGTATAGTTTCAAAAGTTCCCTATGGATTGCCCCAGGCTGGATGATTAGAATCTCTTGGCCTGGGACTTTTCTGCTCACCCAAACATTTTAGGACTTCACTGTCTGTGGATGAAGTGCCATAAAAGTGCAATAGCTATGTTTTTTGTTTGTTTGTTTGTTTGTTTGTTTGAGGCTTTGAAGCAGGATCTTGCTCTGTTGCCCAGGGTAGAGTGCAGTGGCATGATCTTAGCTCACTGTAGTCTCGAACTCCTGGGCTCAAGCAATCCTCCTTTTTCAGCCTCCTGAGAAGCTGGAATTAAAGATGTGAGCCGCTTGAGTTGACATTTAAATGACCCTTGATGAATAAGTCGGATTTTCAGGCACACCTGCTCTTCCTTTCCTGGGAGGCCAGCTTTTGCTGCTGGTCAAGTTATCCTCTGGGCACTGGCACAGTTATAACCTAGGTTGCATTTCTGGTCAGATCTTCTTAAAGGCTTCTAAGTGAGATGGATTTCAATTTCTTCTCCCCCTTGGCCATTTCAATAAATCTTTTGTTTACACAAATGCCTAACTCCAGTATGCACAGTGCTTATTGATGATTACCTCCGTATTAGGAGGGAAATGAGATAAAAGGTCAACACAGTACTCTCACTGCTGCATTTATTTGAAAGGAGTACACATGGCCTTGCAAAATGCTGTGGCAGAAAATACAGTGAACCAAAATGAAAATATGCTTGTGACTGACTTGACCTATTCTCATAACAGTCTCTAAATACTAATCTCATTATATGCTTCTAATGCTGTACATGAGGATGGATTCTTTTAAAGGTCAACAAGTGAATGTATTAAACAGTCTCTTACTTGCTTATCATGTGAAAACTCATGAAATGCAAGCTTTTTCTATTTTTCAGGGACTGTGTTTTTTTCCTCTTCCCTATTCCTATTATGTTTCCTTGACTTTAATCTTTACAGATTACTAATAATCTCAATTCCTTGAGAGGTTTATTTTCTTCAATGAAACCTTTTTAAAAAAGTTTACAGCTAGAGTTTTCTCTATTCTAAGGATATCCCTCTACTTTGAGGATAACCTATACTATTCTCTGCTGAAAGGACAACAAAACTAAATATTATATTAATAAAATAATTTGGGATTTTGGGGAGAAATATACTACATAAAGTAGTGTCACATTGTTTCAAGGAAGAAGTAAGTACAAAAATTAGGTAAAGTCAAGGAATAATGTAAATAATTACATGGGAGTATATGAATAGAAAAATAATTTATAAAATATAGGATAAAGTCAAATGTTTCCTCTTTATTTCAGCAGGAAAGAAAGAAAGGAACAGATGAGTCCAAAGGGCACTGATTTTTCCTACTTGACAAAATACTAAACTCTACTTGAAAACTGAAATAGACAAATAGTAGAGTTCTAGGTGGGGATAGCAGGAAGTTACATAAGAATGGAGTAAGAATCAGTTTCCTGAATCCTTTTAAAAATGATTTTCAAGGAATGTTGGTTGTGGGAAAAGAAAGAGGAACCCTAGTCCTTGGAAGGATTTACAGATGCATCTGATGTATAAATAAGATCCCTATTTTATTACATTCACATCAGTGTCTAGAATTTGGGAGAAGCATCAGGGGTTTATCTCAGAAGGGGAAAGCCAGAGGTATAAATTCTATCCCAGGTATCCTATGGAGAATTAAGTCAAATGCCATGAAAATTAGGATAAATTCCAGTTCAAGTCCTAGAATTAGGATTAGAGTTAGGATGGAGAGCCAAGAGTTTTGAGTTAGGCGAGAACAGTGGTGTAGGAAGAGTTGAGAGATTTCAGAAATGCCTTAGGACATTTATAATCTCCTTATTTTGAGTTCCTGCAAAGGATGTGTGGTCCTTTGGAATGTCTGAGTGGCTAAAAGAGACAGAAAAGTTCTTGTTATTGAACTACGTATGCCAAGAGCATGTGTTCAAATAGCCCAAATAAACTCTGTAGTCTGTCTTAAAGAGTAGGCTGGAATCATTGCAGAACTGGTCTATACTATTTTTCAAGAAAAGATGGAGATCCTGGAAGTGTAAAGGGGGGATTTTTTTTTTACTTGTCAGCCTAACTTCTCTCTAGAAATTATTAAAGGCAATTGTGCAGCTAGACTTACTATGCAATTGTTTGCCATATGACTAGTCCTCTTTCCTGCAGGAAGATAACACTAAAATCAGTCGTGCCCTGGTAAATGATTAACAACTGGCTCTCCCCTTAAGAAATGTGTGTGTGTGTGTATATATATACACACACACACATGCATATATATAAGTTTATTATACATATATACACACACACATGCATGTATATAAGTTTATTATACATTTTATCAACATGAAAGATGTGCAGCACACAATTTACACTTAATAATAAAATATACATGACTCTTTATTATAAATTCCATATTGCCAATTGATTCTCACAGAATGCTATTATTGATTTTTTTCTGAATTCTTATATCCATAGCCAAGCTATGGTTGCAGTTGATGAATGAGTCTAGCTCTAACATGAGTGTTGGTTGATCTTTTCATTTATAATAATGACTGATACGAAACTGAAACAGTGAGGACATATATTGGAAATTTACTCTTTTGTCAATGATGTCAGTAACTTCTTTGCTGAACTGGATAATAATTTTTAAAAACTGACAGAATATTTCCTCAACTTTTTGTACTATTTGCAATGTAATGACTATCAATACAATAAAATTTTATGTTTAATCTGTATTATTAATAGTTTTGTTATTAGGAAAATAATAAATTAAGCTCTGATTCATAGCATTTGCTGATTTCTGTGATATACTTTCCGCATGGTTGATTTCAAGGTACCAACATGAATCACTGAAAGTGGAGTTGAGAAGAAATGCTCATTACCATACTATGTCATAATATATAAAAAATCCAGCATACAGAAAAAATATGGGTAAATAGCCTCAAGAACATCGCATCAGCTGGCTGCAAATTTGAGGGTTCCCATGACCATCCTCAGATTTAGTAATTCACTAGAATGACTTACAGAACCCAGGAAAGTGCTATACTCGCTATAACCATAATTACAATTTTATTATTGCAAAAAGGTATAAATTAGAACCAGGCAAAGGAAAAGTTGCATAAAGTGAAGTCTGAAAGGGGCCCAAATAGGAAACTTATAGTCATATTCTCTGCATGGAGTCCTGGATGGCGTTACCTCATCCTAGCTGTGATGTGTGACAATACTCAAAGCTCAAAGGGTATTGCCAACTAGGGAAGCTCACTGAGCTTTGGTTTTCAGAGTTTTTAGTAAGACTTTATCACATACTGTCCATGTGGCTGATTTTTAGTCTCCAGTCCCTTCTGGAAGGTCAGGCTAATAAGTTTAGTCTCTGATTCCTCTGGAGGTTGGAATTGACATGGAATATCCAAAAGCCCCCATCATAAATCACAGTGTTCACTGTCCAGTGGTCAAATCTTCAGGCAAACAAAGATATTCCTATTAGGCAGGACATCCCAGAGATGTAGAGATCAGCTTCTGATAGTTGAGGTGAAAGGTCAGTCCTCTTTCTGAGTGAAGTTAACTTTTCACTATACAGAGTTCGATAGGATTTATGTTGAAACTGTAGATCACCTTGGGTAGTGTTGTCGTCTTAACAATATTAAGTCTTGCAATCCATGGACACAGATTATCTTTCCATTTACTTAGGTCTTTTATTTATTTCTACCATGTTCATCGCAAAAGACCCAAACCTTTTTAAATTTATTCCTAAGTATTTTATTTTTTTGATGCTATTATAAATGGGGAGTTTTCTTAATTTTATTTTGGGATTGTTCATTTCTACTGTATTGAAATACAATTAAATCTTGCATATTGAATTTGTATTCAGCAACCTTGCTGAACTCACTTATTAGTTCTAATAATGTGTGTGTGTGTGTGTGTATTATTAGTGTTTACTATATGCAAGATTATCTCATCTGCAAATAGAGATGGTTGTACTTCTTCTTTTACAATTTGGATCATTTATTTCTTTTTCTGCGCAGTTGCTCTGGCTAGAACCTCCAGTACAGTGGTAAATAAAAGTGGTAGGAATGAGCATCTCTGTCTTGTTCTGGATGTGAAAGGAAAAGCTTCAGTCTTTCATTAAGTATGATGTTAGTTGTGGAATTTTTGTAGATTCCCTTTATCAGGTTGAGGAAATTTTCTTCCATTTCTTGTTTGTTTGTTTGTTTTTAATTATACTTTAAGTTCTAGGGTACATGTGCACAACGTGCAGGTTTGTTACCTATGTATACGTGTGCCATGTTGGTGTGCTGTACCCATTAACT
Organism: Homo sapiens; assembly: GCF_000001405.40. NCBI lineage: Eukaryota > Metazoa > Chordata > Mammalia > Primates > Hominidae > Homo > Homo sapiens. The sequence continues at coordinate 4,137,528 of NC_000003.12, read as the reverse complement.
CATCGTTTACATTGGGTATATCTCCTAATGCTCTCCCGCCCCCTTCCCCCCACCCCACAACAGGCCCCAGAGTGTGATGTTCCACTTTCTGTGTCCAAGTGTTCTCATAGTTCAATTCCCACCTATGAGTGAGAACATGCGGTGTTTGGTTTTTTGTTCTTGCAATAGTTTGCTGAGAATGATGGTTTCCAGCTTCATCCATGTCCCTACAAAGGACGTGAACTCATCCTTTTTTATGGCTGCAGAGTATTCCATGGTGTATATGTGCCACATTTTCTTAATCCAGTCTATCATTTTTGGACATTTGGGTTGGTTCCAAGTCTTTGCTGTTGTGAATAGTGCCTCAGTAAACATACATGTGCATGTGTCTTTATAGCAGCATGATTTATAATCCTTTGGGTATATACCCAGTATTGGGATGGCTGGGTCAAATGGTTTTTCTAGTTCTAGATCCTTGAGGAATCGCCACACTGTCTTCCACAATGGTTGAACTAGTTTACAGTCCCACCAACAGTGTAAAAGTGTTCCTATTTCTCCACATCCCCTCCGGCATCTGTTGTTTCTTGACTTTTTAATGATCGCCATTCTAACTGGTGTGAGATAGTATCTCATTGTGGTTTTGATTTGCATTTCTCTGATGGCCAGTGATGATGAGCATTTTTTCATGTGTTTTTTGGCTGCATAAATGTCTTCTTTGGAGAAGTGTCTGTTCATATCCTTTGCCCACTTTTTGATGGGGTTGTTTGTTTTTTTCTTGTAAATTTGTTTGAGTTCATTGTAGATTCTGGATATTAGCCCTTTGTCAGATGAGTAGATTGCAAAAATTTTCTCCCATGTTGTAGGTTGCCTGTTCACTCTGATGGTAGTTTCTTTTGCTGTGCGGAAGCTCTTTAGTTTAATTAGATCCCATTTGTCAATTTTGGCTTTTGTTGCCATTGCTTTTGATGTTTTAGACATGAAGTCCTTGCCCATGCCTATGTCCTGAATGGTATTGCCTAGGTTTTCTTCTAGGGTTTTTATGGTTTTAGGTCTAACATGTAAGTCTTTAATCCATCTTGAATTAATTTTTGTATAAGGTGTGAGGAAGGGATCCAGTTTCAGCTTTCTACATATGGCTAGCCAGTTTTCCCAGCACCATTTATTAAATAGGGAGTCCTTTCCCCATTGCTTGTTTTTCTCAGGTTTGTCAAAGATCAGATGGTTGTAGATGTGTGGTATTATTTCTGAGGGCTCTATTCCTTTGGTCTATATCTCTGTTTTGGTACCAGTACCATGCTGTTTTGGTTACTGTAGCCTTGTAGTATAGTATGAAGTCAGGTAGCATGATGCCTCCAGCTTTGTTCTTTTGGCTTAGGATTGTCTTGGCAATGCAGGCTCTTTTTTGGTTCCGTATGAACTTTAAAGTAGTTTTTTCCAATTCTGTGAAGAAAGTCATTGGTAGCTTGATGGGGATGGCATTGAATCTATAAATTACCTTGGGCAGTATGGCCATTTTCACAATATTGATTGTTCCTACTCATGAGCATGGAATGTTCTTCCATTTGTTTGTATCCTCTTTTATTTCATTGAGCAGTGGTTTGCAGTTCTCCTTGAAAAGGTCCTTCACATCCCATGTAAGTTGGATTCCTGTGTATTTTATTCTCTTTGAAGCAATTGTGAACGGGAGTTCACTGATGATTTGGCTCTCTGTTTGTCTGTTATTGGTATATAAGAATGCTTGTGATTTTTGCACATTGATTTTGTATCCTGAGATGTTGCTGAAGTTGCTTATCAGCTGAAGGAGATTTTGGGCTGAGATGATGGGGTTTTCTAGATATACAATCATGTCATCTGCCAACAGGGACAATTTGACTTCCTCATTTCCTAATTGAATGCCCTTTATTTCCTTCTTCTGCCTGATGGCCCTGGCCAGAACTTCCAACACTATGTTGGAATCGGAGTGGTGACAGAGGGCATCCCTGTCTTGTGCCAGTTTTCAAGGGGAATGCTTCCAGTTTTTGCTCATTCAGTATGATATTGGCTATGGGTTTGTCATAGATAGCTGTTATTATTTTGAGATACATCCCATCAATACCTAATTTATTGAGAGTTTTTAGCATGAAACGTTGTTGAATTTTGTCAAAGGCCTTTTCTGCATCTATTGAGATAATCATGTGGTTTTTGTCTTTTATTCTGTTTATATGCTGGATTACATTTATTGATTTTCATATGTTGAACCAGCCTTGCATCCCAGGGATGAAGCCCACTTGATCATGGTGGATAAACTTTTTGATGTGCTGCTGGATTCACTTTGCCAGTATTTTATTGAGGATTTTTGCATCAATATTCATCAAGGATATTGGTCTAAATTTTCTCTTTTTTTGTTGTGTCTCTGCCAGGCTTTGGTATCAGGATGATGCTGGCATCATCAAATGAGTTAGGGAGGATTCCCTCTTTTTCTATTGATTGGAATAGTTTCAGAAGGCATGGTACCAGCTCCTCCGTGTACCTCTGGTAGAATTCGGCTGTGAATCCATCTGGTCCTGGACTTTTATTGGTTGGTAAGCTATTGATTATTGCCACAATTTCAGAGCCTGTTATTGGTCTATTCAGAGATTCAACTTCGTCCTGATTTAGTCTTGGGAAAGTGTATGTGTTGAAGAATTTATCCATTTCTTCTAGATTTTCTAGTTTATTTGTGTAGAGGTGTTTATAGTATTCTCTGATGGTAGTTTGTATTTCTGTGGGATCGGTGGTGATACCCCCTTTATCATTTTTTATTGCCACTATTTGATTCTTCTCCCTTTTCTTCTTTATTAGTCTTGCTAGTGGACTATCAATTTTGTTGATCTTTTCAAAAAACCAGCTCCTGGATTCGTTAATTTTTTGAAGGGTTTTTTGTGTCTCTATTTCCTTCAGTTCTGCTCTGATCTTAGTAATTTCTTGCCTTCTGCCTTCTGCTTTTGAATGTGTTTGCTCTTGCTTCTCTAGTTCTTTTAATTGTGATGTTAGGGTGTCAATTTTAGATCTTTCCTGCTTTCTCTTGTGGGCATTTAGTGCTATAAATTTCCCTCTACACACTGCTTTGAATGTGTCCCAGAGATTCTGGTATGTTGTATCTTTGTTCTCATTGGATTCAAAGAACATCTTTATTTCTGCCTTCATTTTGTTATGTACCCAGTAGTCATTCAGGGACAGGTTGTTCGTTTTCCATGTAGTTGAGTGGTTTTGAGTGAGTTTCTTAATCCTGAGTTCTAGTTTGATTGCACTGTGGTCTGAGAGAGAGTTTGTTATAATTTCTGTTCTTTTACATTTGCTGAGGAGTGTTTTACTTCCAACTATGTGGTCAATTTTGGAATATTTGTGGTGTAGTGCTGAAAGGAATGTATATTCTGTTGATATGTGGTGGAGAGTTCTGTAGATGTCTATTAGGTCTGCGTGGTGCAGAGCTGAGTTCAATTCCTGGATATCCTTGTTAACTTTCTGTCTCGTTGATCTGTCTAATGTTGACAGTGGGTTGTTAAAGTCTCCCATTATTATTGTGTGTGCCCCTTCTAGTGGCAGAGAAGAGTCATTGGAATTTAGGAGCTGAGTATCCCCAGATTCGTCAGTCTGCCCGTGTGTTCCCATCCCAATTTTAATGATACTGTTCCTTCCCAGTCAATGCCCCCACTTTAGCAGTAGACACCTGTATTAGTCAGAGTTCTCTAGAGGGACAGAACTAATAGAATAGATATACATATATAAAGGGGAGTTTATTAAGTATTAAGTCACATGATCAGAAGGTCCTACAATAGGCCATCTGGAGGCTGAGGAACAAGGAGAGCCAGTCTGAGTTCCAAAACTGAAGAAATTGGAGTCCGATGTTCAAGGGCAGGAAGCATCCAGCACGGGAGAAAGATGTAGGGTGAAAGGCTAGGCCAGTCTCTCTTTTCACATTTTTCTACCTGTATATAATCTAGCTGCACAGGCAACTGATTAGATTGTGCCCACCCAGATTAAGGGTGGGTCTGCCTTTTGCAGCACACTGACTCAAATGTTAATCTCCTTCAGCAACACCCTCACAGACACACTGAGGACCAATACTTTGTATCCTTCAATCCAGTCAAGTTGACACTTAGTATTAACTATCACAAGTTCACCCCTTGTCAACTTGAACCCATACACATCTCCTGAGATCATACATAATTTTCAAATAAGGACAATAATAAGGTCATAATTATGCCTAATATAACTATCCTTCATACAACCCGAAACACACTAATCCCCAACCCAAATACTATTACATAAAGTTAACAATTCTTAAATGCTGATGTGAAATCAATAAATCTTATGTCACATGATAAAGGAGAAAGGAAATAAAATGAAGATTTTTCTTAGTACAAGTGTATACATGCACAAACATGTTTTTAACAAAAGAAGAAGGAAGTACTCATGACAATTACAGTCCTCTTTCTGCAGCTGGTCATGTGGTCATAGCTGATATTAATGACTACGTTATTCCAATACCCATTCTGTATTCCCTTTGCCTTCACCAAGCACCTAAGCAGGTTGTGGTTTTTTTCCTGGTGGAGTGAACCTAACCTTCATTCCTGAAGGGTGTGGGCCATTTGTCGTCCATCCTGGAGTGGGGTGCTGTAGTTTCCTATTGACCTTAATCACAGGGCATGGTAATGTTAAGAGATGCCCTAATGGATCTCCTGTATTCCATGCATACTCTTCCTTACCTCCGTTGTGGAGTAGTAGACTGATTTCTTCTTGATAGTCTGTGTCAGTCACCACAGCCAACACTGTAACTCCCTTCTTAGCCTGTTGACTTAAAGGTCGGAGGAGCCCAAAGTGTCCAGGTGGCAATCTTAACTTCCAGTTTAATGGAATCGTGTCTCCTGGTGGCAGCGTTCCTCCCCCAGGAACTAAGACGTCTAGGCCAGCAGAACATAATGTAATGGAAACAGGAAGCAAAAATTTTGCTAGTGGATCACTTGGGGTGATGGTGAGTGGTGCCACTTCCACTTTCACCCCTTGATACCTGGACCGATGAATCCTGGCTATGGGAGAAACAGTACCATATATTGGATGGTGATTCAGAGCATACATGGCCTTCTGGAGAACTTTGACCCAGCTGTGCAAAGTATTGTCACCTAGTTGACATTGTAATTGTGACTTCAAAAGGCCATTCCACTGTTCTATCAATCTAGCTGCTTCAGAATGATGGGGAACATGATAGGACCAGTGAATTCCATGAGCATGAGTCCACAGCTGCACTTCTTTAGCCATAAAGTGAGTGCCTTGGTCAGAGACAATGCTGTGTGGAATACCATGATGGTAGGTGAGGCGTTCTGTGAGTCCATGGATGGTAGTTTTGACAGAAGCATTGTGAGCGGGATAGGAAAACTCATATCTATATCCGGAGTAAGTGTTTATTCTGGTGGGGACAAACCTCTGCCCTTTCCATGATGGAAGAGGTCCAATATAACCAACCTGCCACCAGGTAGCTGGCTGATCACCCTGAGGAATGGTGCCATATCAAGGGCTCAGTGTTGGTCTCTGCTCCTGGCAAATTGGGCACTCAGCACTGGCTGTAGCCAGGTCGGCCTTGGTGAGTGAAAGTCCATGTTGCTGAGCCCATGTGTAACCTCCATCCTTGCCACCATGGCCACTTTGTTCATGGTCCCACTGGGCAATGACAGAGGTGGCTGGGGAAAGAGGCTGAGTGGTGTCCCCAGAATGGGTCATCCTATCCACTTTATTATTAAAATCCTCTTCTGCTGAGGTCACCCATTGATGAGCACTCACATGGGATACGAATACCTTTAGTTTTTGACTACTCAGAGAGGTTCATCCACGTACCTCTTCCCCAAATTTCTTTGTCACCAATTTTCCAATCATGTTTCTTCCAAGTCCCTGACCTTCCAGCCAAACCATTAGCTACAGCCCATGAATCAGTATGTAATTGCATATCTGGCCATTCCATATGCACTTCCATGCAAAGTGCACAACCAGGTGCACTGCTCGAAGTACTGCCCACTGGGAAGATTTCCCTTCACTGCTGTGCTTCAGGGATGTCCTAGAAAGGGGCTGTAGTAGTGCAGCTGTCCACTTTTGGGTGGTGCTTGCATATTGTGCAGACCCATTTGAGAACCAGGGCCTAGTCTTCTCTTCCTCTGTCAACTGATCATAGGGAACTCCCCATGAGGCCATTGGTGCAGGCTGGGGAAGAGCAGGCAGGGTGGCAGAAATGGAGACCATGGGCATTTGAGCCAATTCCTTATGTAACTTACTTGTGCCTTCATGACCTGCTCTAGCCCAGTCATGAATATACCACTTCCATTTGATGATGGAAAGTTACTGCGCATGACACACTTCATGGCTAGATGGGTCAGAAAACACCCAGTTCATGATAGGCAGTTCAGGTCATATGGTGACTTGATGACGCATAGTCAAATGTTCAGTTTCCATCAAAGCCCAGTAACAGGCCAAGAGCTGTCTCTCAAAAGGAGAGTAGTTATCTGCAGAAGATGGCAGGGCCTTGCTCCAAAATCCTACAGGGCTCTGCAGTGATTCACCTATGGGGGCCTGCCAAAGGCTCCAAACAGCATCCCTACCTGTCAGACATCTCAAGCACCATTGGATCTGTTGGGTCATATGGCCCAAGTGGCAGAGCAGCTTGCAAACCAGCCTGGACCTGTTGTAGAGCCTTCTCTTGTTCTGGACCCAACTCAAAACTGGTAGCCTTTGGATCACTCGATAAATGGGCCAGAGTGATACACCTAATTGAGGAATGTGTTGCCTCCAAAATCCAAATAGGGTCACTAGGCATTGTGCCTCTTTCTTGGTTGTAGGAGGGGACAAATACAGCAACTTATCCTTCATCCTAGAGGGGATATCTCAACAGGCCCCACACTACTGGACCCCTAAAAATTGTACTGAGGTAGAAGTTCCCCGAATTTTAGTTGGATTTATTTCTCATCCTGTGGCACACAAATGTCTCACCAATAAGTTCAGTGTGTTTGCTACTTCTTACTTACTGGATCCAATCAGCATAATGTCATCAGTGTAATGGTCCACTGTGATATCTTGCAGAAGCAAAAAGAGATCAAGGTCTTTCTGAATAAGATTATGATACAAAGCCAGGGAGTTTGTATACCCCTGAGATAGGACAGTAAACGTATATTGCTGGCCTTGCTAGCCGAAGGCAAATTGCTTCTGGTGGGCCTTATGGACAGGAATGGAGAAAAAGGCATTTGTCAAGTCAATGGCTGCATACCAGGTACCAGGAGATGTGTTAATTTGCTCAAGCAATGAAATCACATCTGGTACAGCAGCTGCAATCAGAGTCGCCAGTTGGTTAAGCTTATGATAATCCACTGTCATTCTCCAAGATCCATCTGTCTTCTGCACAGGCCAAATGGGAGAGTTGAATGGGGTTGTGGTGGGAATCATTCACCTCTGCATCTTTCAAGTCCTTGATGGTGGCACTAATCTCTGCAGTCCTTCCAGGATGCGATATTGTTTTTGATTTACTATTTTTCTAGGTAGGGGCAGCTCTAATGTCTTCCATTTGGCCTTTCTTACTGTAATAGCCCTCACCCTACCAGACAGGGAGCCAATGTGGGGGTTCTGCCAACTGCTAAGTATGTTTGTGCCAATTATGCATTCTGACACTGGGGAAATGATGACAGGATGAGTCCAGGGACCCACTGGACCCAGTGTAAGTTGGACCTGAGCTAAAACTCCATTAATTACCTAAGCTCCATAAGCCCCTACTTTAACTGGAGGACCACAATGACGTTTTGTTTCCCCTGGAATCAGCGTCAGCTCAGAGCCAGTGTTCAGTATTTCCCCAAATGTCTGATTATTTCCCTTTCCCAATGCACAGTTATCCTGGTAAACGGCTGGAGGTCTCCTTGGGGAAGCATGGCAGAAAGATTCACTGTATAAATTTTCAGTATTGTAGTGGTGTCCTTCCTTAAGAGAACCCGGCCTCCCCTTCATTCAAGGGGTTCTGGGTTTGTAAACTGGCTCAAGTCTGAAAATTGATTGAGGGGCCATGATTCACTGCTTTTATAATTCAAATTAGTCTTTTTTTCCATTTGATCTAGAAGTTTTCTGCTTATATAAATTAAGTAGGAATGCAGTAGGCTTCTTACCAATTTCACTTCTAGGAATGCCATGATTGATTAGCCAATGCCAGAACTCTACATTAGTCAGATTATTCTGATTGCTGCTTTGCCTCTGCTGTCCATTACAGTAGGTACACCCACTATGCCTTTGACAGTTGAGTGCTACCATTTGGCCCCTGCCACCTTGGGATCCAATTCTTCCCATTGTATTTAAATTTTGTAGTTGAGTGACTGTCATTCCCACCGTTAGATATGACATGCAGAGAAGGGCAATTACAGGGCTCTTCAAAGATGCAAGTGCTGCCCTCACGAATCTGTTTTGCAAGGCATTGGTCGAGGGTTTATCTTCTGTATCCTCCCAGCTGGGATGAGTAGGTCTAAAGTGACTAATCCACTCCACCATCCCAATCTGCCTAAGCCTTTGGATCCTTTCCTTTACATTAAACCAAGGGAGATCAGGCATTCCCAATTCACTCACAGTAGGTCATCTTTCAATCCATATTTCAGCTAACCAAGCAAATAAACTATTAGAACCTTTTTTAACTGCCTGAGCTGGAACATTAAATGCAGAGTCCCTACTTAGTGGGCCCAAATTAATACATTCAGCCTGATCCAACTCTATGTTCCTTCCACCATTATCCCACACCCTTACTATCCATTCCCATGCCCGTTCTCCAGATTTCTGTTTATATAAATTATTTCTAATTTCTAATTTATATAAACTCTAATTTATATAAACTCAAGCAGTTCTTTTTGAGTGTAGCACACCTTTTCATGGGTCACGCTCTGAACCTAACTTCTAAGTGCCTGTCGGTACTTTAGTGATAGGTCTAGAAGCAAACAGGGCTGTTGTGGATGGCTCCTGAGGAGAATGTACATTATCTTGCCTGGCAGCTGCCTCAGGGGAGGCCAACACTGTTGCCCCAGGCAATGCAGGGTTGATCTCCTCAGACAAAGGTGGAAAGGCTGATGGCAGCATGGATTGGTTAGGGGATGTTGCCACTACTGGGGATAGGGAAGCTGTTTCTTCTGGCAAGAAAAGTTTATCAGAGTTTACAAACTCGGTGTCCCCTGCTTCATCAGGGTCCTCCTACACATCCCCATTCCAAGTTTCAGGGCCCAATATTTTTCCAATCAATGCCCTCACTTTAACAGTAGACACCTGGTGAGGCTGTGCGTGCAACTTTTGTTGCAGGTCAGTCACTCGCATGATAAGAGCTCCTGTCTGTTTTTCCACAACTTTAGCTTTTTCTACAGGAGATAAGAATCTTACTCAGGGCAATCTTAGCAGATTTGAAGCTCAGTATCTGCTTCTGAAGCCAGGAGATAGAATCCCTGAGTTCATCATTTTCTTTCATCACTTTGTCCACTGAACTTAGGAGCAACTAACCTGCTTCATTATGTTCCTCGGTTCTCCACGTATGGTCAAAGGTATTATGTATAGAGTCACTAAACTCCTTGCCTTTCATGAGCGATGAATCAGGAGTGTCAAATGCATTTATTTTGTGTAAGTCTCTAAACAGTTCATGCCAAGGACTATCACTGTTCTCCATACTGTTAGAAGTAAAGTCCTTCCCATTTTTGGGTCTAATCATATTAAGCAGCCAACTCCAGAAACCCCAAAACCAATGAAAGAACTCCATCCTTTATATTCTGTTCGTCTAGAAATACTCCTGGTACCAAAGTCTGTGTTAGTCAGGGTTTGCTAGGGGAACAGAACTAATGGAATATATATAATATTTATACAAAGGGGGGTTTATTAAGTATTAACTCACACAATCACAAGGTCCCACAATAGGCTGTCTGCAGGCTGAGGAGCAAGGAGAGGCAGTCCAAGCGCCAAAACTGAAGAACTTGGAGTCCGATATTTGAGAGCAGGAAGCATCCAGCACAAGAGAAAGATGCAGGCTGGGAGGCTAAGCTAGTCTCTCTTTTCACATTTTTCTGCCTGCTTATATTCTAGCCTTACTGGCAGCTAATTAGATTGTGCCTGCCCAAATTAAGGGTGGGTCTGCCTTTCTCAACCCACTGACTCAAATGTTAATCTCCTTTGGCAACACCCTCACAGACACACCCAGGATCAATACTTTGTATTCTTCATTCCGATCAAGTTGACACCCAATATTAACCACCACAACACCCTGTGAGGTTGGGAATACAATTTGCTTTGTAACCAACCACTTTCAGGATGAAATCCTGGGTTTGGTTTTTAGCCATTTCAGCTCTCTAGGTTGGTATCACTACATTTTTGTAGCTTTACGGTAATTTTATTGTTTGAACATCACTGTGGGCTCATAGCCTTTTATACATCCAACTTGTTTCAATTAGTTATTATTTGCTTAAATAGACACAACCTGGTCAGTGAGAGACCTCTTAAATGGGCTCCTTTGTCCTCTGGAATCCTTGGAAGCAATCTTTACTTTTTGGTCACAGTAGATTTCTAACCCTATTGTAATTTTGTTCTTCTTCACGATGTGGAATCATTTACCCTCTTTTAAGTATCAGTGACTTACCTCAGGGAAGAATATTAGAGATTTAAGTTTGAGTACACATTAGATTGAAAGTAGGTAAGACTACTGCCGCTTTCATTGAGTTACTCTTGATAGTGACAGGACTGAAAAATTATTTCTTTTCATGATTATGAATTCAAATATCTTTTCAATTTAACTGTCTTGTTTTTTACTTTCCTTATATTATAGGTTTATCAACCAGTAAGACTTTTGCCCTCTTTGAAATCTGACACCCCTTCCACTGCCAGTTTTAGTTCTTCCTGAAAAGTGGTTGTATTCATACCCTTGTTTTGGGGGCATATCCTTACTTTCTTAGACTCCTGTTGCTGAAGTTAGCTCAAGGGAACTTCTGCTTCTAACAATCAAAGGTCTTAACAAACAAATCTTATTAACTAAGGATGAATGTAGTGAGTCTAGTAGATGGTCTAGAGGCTAAGATGTACTAAAATCTGCAAAAAAAGTTTTAAAGACAAGATGAACAAAATTCTATGTATAGTTGTGTTTAGAGAAAGAAGAGTAAGGAAGGAAGTCCTAATGATGTATCACTAACAGAAGAAAGAGGAAAAGCTAAATTAACATAGAAGAAATAAAGCTGTCAAGAAATATTATTTTTAAACTTGAATAAGTAGAACAAGCATGAAGAAAAAAGAGCTGACATATACAGTCCTACTTTTAACTGAGTTAAAAATTATCTAGGATGCACAAATTATATTTATGGGTACAAAGAATTGGCTAGACTATTGTTAGTGATCTTTCAGGAGTCCTGGGACACAAGAGACACAAAACAGAAAAGAAGCATCTATATATAATTCTGATTTTTTTTTATTTGAAAGGAGAATGATCAGCATGGCACTGACAGGTGGGATGCAGTTCTAGGGATAGTTTGTGCATGCTTAGGAAAATGGCACGAGGCACTAGCATGGGCTTAATAATAAGTGATGGTTGGGCATGGTGGCTCATGCCTATAATCCCACCACTTTGGAAGGCCAGTGTGGGAGGATCACTTGAGCCCAGAAGTTTGAGACCAGCCTGGCCAACAAAGCAAGAGTCTATCTCAATGAAAAATACAAAAACTAGCCACATGTGGTCATGCACACCTGTAGTCCCTGCTACCCAGAGGGTGCTGAGACAGGAGGATTGCTTGAGCCCAGGAAGTCAAGGCCGCAGTGAGCCGTGAGCATGCCACCGCACTCTAGCCTGGGTGGCAGAGTAAGATCCTGTCTCTAAAAATAAACAAATAATAATTGATTATGACAGAAGAACTTTCTCTTCTGTATTTCTTTTGACAGAGTTACAGATGTCTGTTACAACAGACAGTGGGCACTTGGATTTCAGCAAGCAATGTGATAATATTTCTCATGACATTCTCATAAATAAGAAGGAGAAAGTTTGTGAGTTAATGGTAAAAAGCAGATAGATTGTAACTAGTTGAATAACTGTACCCATGGGTGTTAATGTATAGATTGATGTCTATTGGAATATTCAGTTGAATGACTGAAACATTTATTTTAGTGCTTTGTAAAGATAATAAAGCATAGTGCTTTTTCTGTCACTTCATACCAGTGCCATTAAATAAATCTTCCTATGATTACAGAAATGTTCTATATCTGTGCTGTCCGGTACAGTAATAACCGGTAACATGTAGTTATTTGAGCACTTGAAATGTGGCTAGTACAACTGAGGCATTTATTTTATTTTATTTTTAATTATTTTAAATTTAAATATCCACATGTGGCTAGTGGCTATTGTATTGTACAGCACAGCTTTATGCTATCTACAAATTTTTAATAAAACACAAAGTTTTTTTATTAAGAAGTATTTAACATTTTATTTTGTAGAAACATAAAACTGCTTTACTAAGATATTCTTCTACTATTTTACAACTGTTTTCAGTGGGAAAGATTAGGCCTAAGGCAATTAAATGATTTGATTGGAATCACATAGCTATCAGATGAATAGGGGCTGAAATGACAGTTCTTTGAATTCCAGTCAGTGCATTTTTTATATGTACCACATTATAGAAAATGACCCTTCATGAGTATATAAGTGTATATTAGATATTGACTTTCAGTGGTCAAGCAGTAAAAATTTTTCCTGAGTTTTTTTTTTTGATATTAGATACAGATAGGTAGTATTCTCAAATCAATACATTGATTCTTTGTAGGTAGGTATTGCTAAAAACAGAACCTCAAGATTTTTGTTTCTTGGTCATGAAAGCCAAAGATAATTAACATTAGCTTCCAAATAGTAAATGTGTGTCCTTTTGGAGAAGACTATTTTTAGGGCCCTGAATTTCAGAGTTGATTTCCTCTTTTTTTTTTTCCTTCATTCAATTAAAATATATATGATTTAGGACTATGGCACTGTGCTAATGTATTTCTGAGAAAATAAAGAGGTGATCTGCTGCTGTGTAAAATTGTAGCAAGAAATCAACAGGGAAGGGATTAGAACAATTAAAATTTTACATTTGCAAAGGGAGGAAACGAAGTCTGACTAATAAGATCTGCAGTCTGTATTTATAGGAAGGAGAATAACATTGTGTTTCATAAACATTACTTGTACCAAACTGACCTCATTATCTTCTCCTACTTTCCAAGATATAGAAAAATTCCTCCTCCTACCATTGAATTGAATGGGCATTTGCATGCTTTTATCATTTTCTTCAGAGTAGAATTGTACTGTCTTGATGCCATTTTAAAGAAAAATCTGTTTATTCTGTCTCCCCAAGTGCAGGGAGGTGGCGTGTAAAGCTAATTTGCTTATAAATGAGATTTTTATTTTTTGGAAAGAAAAAGACAAAAAGAAATTGATGTAGCTTTCAAGTGTTATTGCTTTATTCACAACCTCTTGTTTTATTTATCAACAGGGGTCTCAATCATTCTCGTAAGTAAAGAGAGGGAGGGAGAGCTTTTAGAAAAGGAGCTGAATCTGAAAAGTGCCAACATGAATGCAAAGACAGGAAGAGCAAATATGTCCCAGAGACATAAACACTCACACGGATCAGCCATTGTCGAGTCCCCATGTCTGATCAATGTCTGTGACGCCCTAGCTAAACCTTTCTCTCTGAGCCCTACTCTCCTCTGCCCCCATATATATCATATACAAGAACAAGACCTCAGAGATATTATGTAGTTCATTTTTCCCATTATTTAGAGAAAATCAAGGTGCAAATAGTTGAAATGACTTTCCTATGATTGTATGGAATGTTAGAAGAAAATTGGGACCAGAACAATGGTCTCATAATTCCTAGGTCAGGGGTCTTTTCTCTCTACTGTGCTACTTTCCTAGTTCTGCTTTTCAAGGAAGTTTGAAAATGACTAAACTCTTTCTGACCACTTGATCAATAGAACAAGTACAATACATGTGTTTCATACTGAGCCTTGTTAGCAGTTATATTTGAGTAGAAGAAACAATGTTTTAGGGCAAATGTCTTGCTTCCTATGGACAAAAGTGGAACAAAAGCAAAGCAAAACCAAACTAAACAAACATGTGGATGCCATCTAGACACTCCCTCTCATTCTGACCTCCATCAATATTTGTTAAGTGTTCACTGTGTGCAGAATATGGAACTTAGCTCTGTATAGAGTTAGGAATTGTGAGATAAAGTGTCTGTATTAGTAAACTAGCTTCTGCTGTGCTGTGGTATCACTCCCACACACCGGTCCTCATGCTGAAGATTTAGTTCTCAACTAACATATTACTCCTTCAAAGATGCTTCCTTGACCATTGCATCTCTCATCCCCTCTAATCACGTCTATACAAGATTGCATTGCCTTCTTTTCTTCATAGCTGTGATCAATTATCTGAATTTATCTTTTTTCTTTTCTTCTCTTTTGTGTACTTTACTCAATGTTTCGTAAGTTGCATGAAAACAAAGGCCACTTCTGTCTTACCTAAAGTATAGAACGATGCCTGGTACTAAGGAAATGCTGAATACCTATGTGTAGAGTGAATGGATTTGTTGTTGAATGGGCACATATCCACTGTCCCCCAGTGCCTGGGTGGTTGATGCCGAGGTGTTGCAACGTCAGCCACACAGTGCCCTGTGGACTGCTTCCTCCAGCAGCAAACCAGATCCTGCTGCTGAGCCTGGGCAACAGTTCCAATACACTCCTCTGCTTTGAAGGCAGTTTTCCCTTTCAACCTTTTGGCTTCTCTCCTACTAGTTAACCACATCACAGCCACTTAAGTCCTTCTCAACAGATTTTAGTTACTTTAAACTTTGGACAGAATGGGTTGAGATCTTGATCCCATGTCTGCCATGAGGACTTTGGATTCTTAATGCTCCTTTTCCTTCATCCCTATGTCCAGTTTTCTCATATCAGTGGACATGAGTTTTTTTCATTGAGGTGAAATTCACATAACATAAAATTAACCATTTTAAAGTCAACAAATTAGTGGCATTTAGTACATTCACACTGTTGTAAAACCACTGCCTCTATCTGGTCCCAAAACATTTTCATGATCCCCAAATAAAATTCTATACCATTAAATACTTACTTCCTATTTCCCACATACCTTCTCCCTGAACCCTAGCCACCACCAATCTGCTTTGTGTTTGTATGGATTTACCTATTCCGAATATTTCATAGAAATGAAATCATATAATATGTGACCTTTGTATATGGCTTCTTTCACTTAATAGAATGCTGAAATAATATTCTGTTATACGGATACACCATAATTGTTTATTTATCTGTTGATGGACTTTTCAGTTGTTTCTACCTTTTGCTTATTGTGAATAGTGCTGCTGCTGTATTCACCATAGCAAAGACATGGAATCAACCTAAATGTCCATCAGTGTCAGACTATATAAAGAAAATGTGGTACATACACATCATAGAATACCATGCAGCCATAAAAAAAGAACGCGATCATGTCCTTTACAGGAACATGGATGGAGCTGGAGGCCATTATTTTTAACAAATTAACACAGGAACAGAAAACAAATACCACATGTTCTCACTTATAAATGGGAGCTGAATGATGAGAACACATGGACACATAGAAGGGAACAACACACTGGGGCCTATCAGAGCGGGGAGGATGGGAGGAAGGAGAGGATCAGGAAAAATAACTAATGGGCATTAGGCTTAATACTGGGGTGATGAAATAATCTGTACATAACCCTCATGACAGTAGTTTACCTATATAGAAAACCTGCACATGTACCCCTGAACTTAAAAGTTAAATAAAAAAATAGTGCTGCTGCTATGAACATGCATATATAGGCACTTATTTGAATCCTTATTTTCACTTCTTTTGGGTATATACCTAGGAATGAAATTGCTAGGTCATAATGGTAACTATATGTTTAACTTTTTGAGCATGTGTTTACTTTTCAAATTATGTCTACAGGCTACAAGGAGCCTCAATGGTGGTTCTTGGCAGAAAAAAAGAAGGTCTACCTTAAGTGGACATCACCAGTTGTACTAATCATAAAGAACACAACTATCATGTTTAAAGGATTGGTAGCCTTGCTAAAAACATAAAACAAAGAGACTATAATACCCATTACAAGAAGATGAAGTGAGATCCAAGAATAATGCGTGGAACCTAGTACATAGTAAAGATAATATATCTTAGCTCCCATCTTCTATAATTTATTAGTTATTTGACCTTGGAGAGGTCATTTAATCATTTTGGACTCAGTTGTTTTATTGTTAAAAATTATGTTCTTTTTGAAACTGGGGATATAAAGCTAGATGTGTGAAATCTAGAATGTTAATAATGGCTGGGAAAAAAATTGTCAAGTCAAATTTCCTGAATTTACAGTTGAGGAAGCTATATCCTTGAAAGATTATGTGATTAGCCCAGGGTCACAGCGTTGTTGCTGTTTATTACCCTGGTCTGAAGTCTGGTCCAGTGTTTTTCCATCCGGTAAAGTAAGTTCTTCTTCTAGTTCAGTTATTTCCTATCTGTTATCAGCTATTATTTACCTAGCACAAACTTGATACTAGGTTAGGTATGTGAAATACTCATGCCCTCACAATTATCCTGCATCTTACCAATGAGAAAATAGAAATTCATGGGATTTTGGCAGTTTGCCATGGTCATACAGTTAGTAAATTGTGGAACCAAAATGAGACTTCAGGTGCATTTAATACAAAACTGTGTGTTTTCCTGACACCTCAAGTTGGGGGTCTTGTTGAAGGAGGGGTAGAGTATAGAACCAGCAGTCCAGCCAGCCCAGCTAGAGTGACCTCGTAAGTCACTTTGCCCAAACCTCTTCCTGGTAGCATCCTGGAAATCCCCTCCTCCAGACAATCTCTATCTGATATCTGTGGTGAGAGAGGGACCCTTTCCTTCTTAGGCCAGCTGTTTGGCCTTGAATTTCCCATAGGTGTAATTGTGACTCCAGGAGGCCAGGCAGTATCATGATTATTTTCCCAACAGGTAGACAAAGAAGATGGTATTTTAGGTCAGAGTTGTACAAGACCATCACAAATAACCTGTAATTTTAGCTGCCCAAGATTACTTCTTTGAAATATCTTTTTGTAAAGTGTGTATCCTTCACCAAGTTATAGAAACTCAGGATTACAAATAGATTGTGAGATCTAACAAGCTTTCAGAAAACCAGATTTTGAAAGGTGTTTTAGGTTGGCTCATCTAACAAAATTTATTGTGTGTCCTACTAGGTACCAAATGCTGGGCTTGTCACTGAGCATACGAATATGAATAATATATGGCTTTTGGTTTCAGAAAGCTCACAGTTCAGTGGTAAAGACAGAGACATAAATAAATTATAATACAAAATTGGCAACTTTAATAGTAGAGGTGTGGGAAGATGGACTTCCTGAGACTGGAAGTCTGCAGGCAGAGACACTATTTAGGAACATTGTGCCTGGCTCAGCTTTCTCTCCTCTGTGAGGATATGTCTGCACAGGGGCTAAATTAAGAATCAGGAGGGTCTGCTGTTTGTTAACATTTCCTAAAAAGGAAGCTCATAGGTGGATGATGCTGTAAGTTCAAGTATAAAGGAGTGATAGTGTAACAATATTGCAACTTTTTTCTCAAACATGGCTGTACCCTACCTAAATGGACAGTGTCAGTGGCAGCTGCACAAACTGTGGGGAACCAAGGACCAAGGAAAACTTCCTGCATGTGCCTGTACTCTGTGCAGCTACTTCTGTTAAGTTTTGTACTTACTACAAGCTAAATACATGAGAACTTGGTGGTTTGTGTGTGTGTGTGTGTGTGTGTTTGTGTATGTGTGTGTGGCCTCTTGCTAGAGATCCAAAGCCTGACTCACAATGCTGCAGGAGATAACAACACAGGATATCAGGATATTGGGAACACTGAAGAAGAATTTTCCCTGCATGGCTTCATAGACAATGTGACATTTCAGTAAGGCCTTGAAGAATTAGTAAGTTTTCCAGTTGAAGAAATCAAGGTGGGGAATTCCAGGCAGTTGGACCAGGTGGGGTGATGAAGGAGCCTGAGGCATTCAGGACCAGTGAAGAATCCAGTGTGTCTGGGGCACAGGTTCTGTGTATATTAAGGCACATTGTCTGGAACATGGGTCATAGTCAAACTGCAAAGGCCTCCAATGACAGGCAAAGAAAATTATCCTGATAATGAGCTGTTGAAAGCTTTTAAGCAGGAGCAGATGTGGCTATAAGGAATATAACAGGCAGTAATGCAGAGGATGGACTGGATAGGAAGAGAATAGCATCTGAAGATAAATGATAAGCCTAAGATAAGGTAGTGACAATGTAGGCGGAGAGAGCAGTCCGGACTTTTAGCTCTTTCTAATCTGAAGGTTGAGGAAGGAGTTGAGAGTGACCTTATGGTTGTTAGCTTGGTCAGGCCATTAGCTGGAATGAAAAATGTAGCAGATTAGGTGGATTTGGGTTTGGGGAGTGGAGGAAAATAGGTAAATAATGAAATCAATGTTGTATATGCTGTTTGAGGTGTTTGTAGGACATCAAATAAAGATATAGACAGCTGGAAGTCAAGCTCAAGGGATACAGATTTGGCAATTATTGACTTACAGATTGGAAATCAAAACTTAGGAGTAAGGCTATCCAGCAAGTGTGTAGAGTAAAAGAATAAGTAAAGATGGGACATAAAAGTTTTATGTAATGTAGAAGCAAAAACAGCAGTGGTGATGTTGAGCTCTTGGAGAAAGAGAACTAAAGAAGAGTGACATTCTAGAAATTAAGGGAGGGTTGGGGAGTGGTCACATGACAAATGTTACATACTTCTCAAGTAGCATGAGTATTGGAAACTGCCCACTAGATTTGGCATTTAGAAGATCAATGTTGACTTCAATAAGTGTAGTTACTATGGTGTGTTTAATGAGTGAATTAGAAGTGACAAAGTGGATACAATAAGTATAAATAGTACTTGAAAACTACTTTGTTTTATTAAAGCAATATAGGTACACATTTAAAATATTTAAATGGTACTAAAAGGTTCTTCAGGAAAACTAGCAGTCCCTCTCTCTGGAACTAATGTTAGACTTCCTGGATTCATTCTCTGATTTTCTTATTTTTTTCTCTTTTATTTCCATTTCTTTGATTTTTTTTTGGCTCTATATTTTGGAGTTTCCTTGACTGAATCATTAACCTCTTTTATGGCATTTTAAATGTGGATAATGACACTTACATCTTCATGACTCTTTTTTGTTCTCTGTTTCTTTTTCATGTATCCTGTTCCTTTTTTCAAGCATGCAATATCTTCTCTTCTCTCTGTAAATAAAGAGAGGCAAAGCTAGAGGCGATGATGGTCAAGAGTACAAAGAGAACTCAGGAGAACATTCCTATGTCTTGTGGGGAGAGGAGGGTCCTATTTACTTATGCAAATGAATTCTCATTTACCCTACCCTATTATCTGCCAGATCCGCCCTGATATGTCCTGACCATGAATGTTAAGGGTGGACACAGCTTAGGTTCAAGCTGAGAATCCTGCTTCAAAGACACCTATTCATGCCTTGTTTTGGATGTTTAAAAAAGTTTGGAATAGTCACAGGCTCTTGGTGGGAACCATGTCTTCTTTGGCATAATAGGATGATTAGAAAGGCCTAGCTGTCATGCCGTCTCAACTTGAATACCAATTAGAACCATGTAGCCAATGGAAATGAGATCCAAGAACCTGAGTACTTAATGTATCTGTTTTTATTTCAGACAGAGCAGAAAACCAGCATGAGAAATCAGGGGAGAGATTCATGTTTAAGTTACATTTTTTGATTTCTAATGCCGTGCTCCAAATTTTCACAAATATTTTCTCAGGGAATTCTTACCTGAATTAGGTATTATTGTCCTCATTCTTGATAAAGAAATCAAAACTCAGAGAGGTGGTGAATCCTACCCAATTAAGAGGAGAGGCTAATAAGGTCATCAAGGCCTTCTGACTCTAAGCCCAGGCCTCTGTCTTACGAAGCCACCTATTTTCTTCCCCTCCGAAAAAGGAAGAGAACTAAGAAAACAAGTTCCAGAAAAGATAAGGAAGAAGCTGCCCTTAAGTCCCTGTTTACCTGATTTCTTGAGTATTAATTAGCATGTATCATAGTTTAAATTCTTTCCCAGGAATAATTTGTCATTTTGTCCCATGAGATTTTTTTTTCCTTTACACTTGTTGTATTCTGTAACTCATTTGAAAGATGGAAAGGGAGGTCCATGGCCCTATTAACCTTTGCTTTAGTTACATTTCCACAGAGAGGCTTTACTTATAAAGTAAGAAAGATAAACTCATTAGAGAAAAACTAGAAAGTATAAACAAAAATTTAAAAATATAAAAAAGCCATAATTCCCCTGCTTAGAGAAAATTAGTTTCCAGATTTTCTTCTATGCATGGATAAAATTTAAGATGCAGTCACATTATCTACACTTCTATAAAATATTATGAATATCTTGTGTCAGTAAACATAGATCTATGCCATTGTCTTTAATGACTGTAGATTTTTCCATGTATAACTATAAGTAGAGCTTTGTTTTGTTCACCTAGCATTCATTAGCTGTTTGCAAACTTTGTTTTATGCAAAGTCTCAAATAGATTTCCTTTGTTTTTTGCAATCCCACATCCCTGACCTTATTTATCTTCCAAGTGGTGACAGATTTGGACTCATGATTTGATAACTGCCAATCTCAGTAAGTATTGAAGTGACCTGATAGAAATTGCTGGAATTGTCCAGTGAGAAGTAAATAGTTGTTTAGTACTTATTTTCAGCACGATACCCTATACTGAAGATACCAGATAAGAAGTGATTAAAGTACAGACCAAAGAGTCTCTGAGTGAAAAGCATGGGTCACTGGTTTATTGCTTTTCATATAAAAGAAAGGATAAAAAGGAAAGAAACTCAGGGATAAAGTGTAAATGAATTTGACTTGCTGACCCTTGAGAAATTTGGGATTTGAGCACTGAATTTTAAACACCTTTAAAGAGGCGCTGAGTTCAAAATTTAATAGATCAAACTGGGATATGGGAAGATAAAACCAAAAGCTTCTTCACACCTCCATCTAGCAATAAATAACTCTTTTGAAAATTTAGGGTTTCTATGGGAAAACTTTGCAGGAAAGCAACTATGTATGTTAGTAGCTGGAAATTGCTTATTCTGCGCAATAAAGAGAGGAGAACCCGGGGAATAATAATCATTGTTCTTACTTGCGTTTCTTGAACACACTAAAGAGATGTGGCCCTTGATGTTGGGTAGTGAAGTGACGTGGTAGAAAACAAATTAGCAACCAGGAGACCTGGGTTGATCCCTCTTCTACGTTAACTTTCTGTGTGACATTGTATAGGTCACACAACCTCTTTGTGTCTCAGGATCCTCATATACATTGGGGATGATGTTAACTGTGGCCTGATCTACCTCATAAACATATGTGGGAATCAAGTGACATAATCATATAATGGGTTTGGAGACATGTTGAAAAGTGTAAAGCTCTGCAAATTACGGGGTCATGAAAAATATCAATAACTTTCATTTATTTGTGTTCAATCAAATGCCTGATTTTTTTGTTTCCAGAGTCCAATGTTTAAACACCAGAACTGTTTTCACTGATAGAGCTCTACAGTAGAAAATCTGCCAGCCCAAATGGCAGATCTGCCCCAATTTAGTCGTTTACAAAATAGATTTTTTATGTTTTTTTAAATATCGTTTCGTATCTAGAAAGTTTCAGCATCAAAATATTGAGAATAAAACATAAGACCATTTCATTCAGAAATTGGACTCAAACATGCAAAGAATATAATTCGTTAAAAAGATGAAAAATTAGCAAGGAAATAAATAATCAGTCTGCTCAGCTAGTCCAGGTAAATGGGGAAAGTTCCCTTATCCCCCTCGCAGAGGGTGCGATGCGGGTGTGGCTCGCCCAAACCCGTCGGAGGAACATGCATCATACTGGCAGGTCGTGAGGAGCGTTTTTGGGCTCTGACCCCAAGGCAGCATCTACGGTTGATTGTCTACAGCTCCCGAAGCCCCAGTGGGTGTGTGTTACAGGGCACTCTTTCAGTTTAGCCATCCTCAGGCTGCTTGTGTTAATCAGCTCAATTAGGCCCTCTGCCTTATTGCAAGGGCAGAGGGCTTTCTGTATCCTGGGGTTCTTGCCTTGGTGTACCAGGAAAATCGGATCACACGCGGGCTTGGAGAATGAGTGCAGAGTTTCGTTGAGTAGAAGTAGCTCTCAGCGAGGTAAATGGGGAGGACAGAAGGGAGATGGAGTGGGAAGGTGATCTTCCCCTGGAGACTGGCTGCCCCCAGCCGAATTCCATGTCGTCCTGCTGTTGATGGCCTGCCAGAGTCCACTGGTGCCTGTCGGTGACCTCTTCCGCTCCTCTGCTCCTCTCGAGGTCCAGCTGTCTGCATTTGTGCCCGCGAGGGTCTTGGGGTTTTCATAGGCACAGAGTGGCGGGTGTGGTGGGCCAGGGTGGTCTTGGAAAAATGCAACATTTGGGGGCAAAAGCAGGAGTGCCTGTCCTCACCTAGTTCCGTGGGCACAGGCCAGAAGGGAAGAGCCCTAGCCGGGGACCCTGCGTTTCTCCACCCAGTGCTTCCCTGCCTTCTTCCCATATCACAAGGACTAGATATTTTCCCTCAGAAATAAAGGCTACATATTTTAAATAAGTTGAAAATATTTTTAAAAGGCAGTTGATGTTCTCATTTGTGAACTGAACTTGTGTGTAAATGGGTGTGTCTAATGCACATGGACAAATTATGTTTAATGATTTCTTAAATACTTCTCTGTTATGTAATGTTAGGGAAGAAGCTAAACATACTCCCCAGTGTCCCATCACCTCCAGTTTAGCCTCTCCTTACCCAAAGTAACTCCAGATCAGCTGAAGTAGCTTTACAAAGTGGTTTAACCTGATACGGGTCTCATTAATTTTTATGTTGGCCACTTAAAGTACTTACAAAATGTAATGTATTATAAAATGCAAATAATAGTTTACATTAACTAGTGATAGTAACTTAGTCAATAAGGGCAGCATATTAAGGATTCTAAAAATCATATGAACAGTTACACTTAACCTTTGATGAAGCTGTATTTTTCTAGCAGCTTGCCTTAAATGTGGGGAATTACACTAGAATTTAGAGGTACTTTCATCACATGGTAGTCTAGACTCATTTCCTTTTTCTTTTGTCCCAGGGGTTTGTAACTGTAGATGACATAGGGGTGTGATAGAGAATATAAAAGCTTTGATTCTGCCATAGCAAACTCTGCATGGTACCTTACTCAAAAACTTCATGTCCTTCCCCATTGTAATTTTCTCTTTATTCATGGGTAACATCTGTCCTGGATCAGAAAGTTCAGTGGTGTAACAGGAAAGAGAGCTCAATCTTGATTTTAGGTATTTGGTTCCTCAATTTAAGTGTGGGACATCTCCCACCTTCTACCCAAGAAATTAGCTGATGAAATTTCCACCAAGAATCTACAGATGAAGTGGGATCTCAGAAACGTCCAATCAGCATCTTTTAAAATCAGCTTGTAGAGAAGTGATGACCTTTCTGTTTGCTCTCTTCTATATAGGATATGTTGTTAATGTTCATATTACCACTATCTAAAGGAAATTTAGAGAAGACAAATGCACTTTGTATATTATTCTACCTTTTGAGGAGGCATCCGGATCTGTGGATTAACTTTCAGTAATTGTTCCTATCTGCCTACCCCACATTAAGGTCATGATGACCTTTTTTCCTGATCCTGATCTGGGAGTGGTGGTACATCGTAATTGTGCCACATGAAGAGAGACTGAGTTTTTTCCTGTTGTTAAGAGTGGCATATCTTCCAAAAAAACCTTTAGTATTTTCTCTTAGTATTGACCACCTCTTTTAGCATTACTAGTTTAAAAGTCCTCTCTTTTAGTTCTAATGTTTGATAGCAGAGTAGGGTGACTATAGTTAGCAATAATATGATATATATTTCTTTCTTTTTTGGGGGTGGGGGGCGGTGACAGGGTCTCACTGTGACCCAGGCTGGAGAGCAGTGACACCATCATGGTTCACTGCTACTGTAACCTCCTGGCTCAGGGAATCCTCCTGCCTCAGCCCCCCACATAGCTGGGACTACAGGTGCAAGCCACCATGCCTGGCTAATTTTTATTTTTATTTTATAGAGACAAGGTCTTGCTATATTGCCCAGGATGGTTGAACTCCTGGCCTCAAGCAATCCTCCTGCCTTGGCCTCCCAAAGTATTGAGATTACAGGTATGAGCTACTATGCCCAGGTTGTAATATATATTTCAAAGTAGCTAGAAGAGAGATCTTGAAACGTTCCCAACACATAGAAATGATAAATATTCTAGGTGATGGATACCCCAGGTACCTTGGCTTGATTATTACACATTCTATGCATGCAACAAAATATCACATGTATCCCATAAATGTGTAAAATATTTACAATTATTTTTAAATCTCATTTTAAATCAGCTTTACCAAATGTATTTTCTCAATGAGTGATGAGGACCAGGAAATAAGTGCGTATGGGATCAGAACACCTCATCCTGCCACATACTTTAGAAATTGTAACTATTTATGCAGACTGGCATTCAGTATTTGATTGACAAACAAGATCAATTCAGATTCTGTGGGCTAGCTAGCACCATGAGGGCTTGCAATTATTTGAGTTTGTTGGTAAGCATCTACAGCTTTTAGTGTCTGAAAGCACAGCTTGTTCTCACTCTGTTGGATAGTGGGGTGGAGGGGATAAGAAGAAATCTCAAGTTTGCTGTTTGCTTTCTCCAGCTGTTTCCACTTATGCTGATTATAGCCTCATTAACCATTTCCCTTGCCCCTTTCTTTCCTCATCCAGCCCCCAAGTCTAGCTTCTTACCCAGAGTAACTCCAGACTAGCTAAAGTGGCTTCATGAAGTACTTTAACTTGATATGGGTCTCATTCATCTTTATGATGGTCACAAGATACTTTTCTATGAAACAGCCAATTTTAAGCAAATTATGAATTAAAAAGAGATACTAGAAGATGCTGAAGAGAAACAACTTAGCATCTTCTATTGCCTCTTTTTACAATTTCTTCTCACCATTAGCAATTTTATCTATTCTTGGCACAAGCTAACTCTTTTATTGGAAGGGACCAGGTACACTAAGTAATGCTAAGGTATAAATGAACAAGAGATGATTTAGTTGGCTATCCCTCTCAGCATTGGCATGTGTATAAAGAAAGAAACATGCTCTTGGGCTTAGAAATGTTTTGTTCCATCCACCAGGCATATTTTATGTATCTGGTGTACTAGTTTCATTTATAAGTATCCTCAGTAGATTGGTTCTTTGCTTGCTTGAAGTGCATTCTGATTTGCTTTATTTATTGGAATTTACAACAGAGTTTAAGGCTAGTCTGCACTAGAGTTAATTGTAGATCTTTTTGTCTCAGATTAGAAATAAAAAAACAAAATGAGGGGTAATAATCACATATATCTTCTTAGAACAATGACTGTTTTCTCATGCCTTTCCTGTCATTTATGTATACACATTCATATTTTCTATAATTGCCATCCTAATATCTACACCACTTTGTGACCAACTTTTTCTTTAACATTATTATAAATTTCCTCCAGAATTTCTCTCAAGTAAATTCTAATGAATGAATAATAACCTAGGCCAGTGCACTTCAAATTTTTTTTGCCATTTTCCATACTAAAACACCTTTTACGTTGTACTTGGTATACATACACGTAAACACATTCATATTTACAGAGCAATAAAGGTTTTTTTGGGTTTTTTTTAGACGGTGTCTAGCTCTGTCGCCAGGCTGCAGTGCAATGGCACAATCTCGGCTCACTGCAACCTCTGCCCCCTGGGTTCAATCGATTGTCTTGCCTCAGCCTCCGGAGTAACTGGGACTAACTACTAGAGGCAGGTAGAGGCAGGTGCGCACCACTACCCTCAGCTAATTTTTGTATTTTTAGTAGAGACGGGGTTTCACCATGTTGGCCAGGATGTTCTCTATCTCTTGACCTCGTGATCCACCCGCCTTGGCCTCCCAAAGTGCTGGCATTACAGGCGTGAGTCACTGCGCCCGGCCGAGAAATAAAGGTTTTATGAGATAATTCTTACCCTCACAAGGAATGATGTAGTCTGATATTTTCTATTTCATTTTATTCTGTTTTATACTACAGTTTACCCTTGAACAACATGGGTTTGAATTGCACAGGTCCACTTCCATGTGGACCTTTTTCAACCAATCATGGATTGAAAATGAAAATACAGTATTGGCGGGAAGTGAAACTCAGTATATGGAGGGCCAAATTTTCCTATACCCAAGTTCCACTAGGCCAACTGTGGGACTTGAGTATGTGTGAATTTTGTTACATGTAGGGGTCCTGGAACCAATCTGCGAATATCCTGAGGGAGGGGTGTATTTTCTTTCTTAATCATTTCATTAAAAAAAATGCTGACTTTGATCAACTGAAATATTTTAATCTCTCCCTTTTTTTTTTTGCTATGATTGTAAGTTTCTTTTTTTATTATTATACTTTAAGTTATAGGGTACATGTGCACAACATGCAGGTTAGTTACATATGTATACATGTGCCATGTTGGTGTGCTGCACCCATCAACTCGTCATTTAACATTAGGTATATCTCCTAGTGCTATCCCTCCCCCCTCCCCCCACCCCACAACAGGCCCCAGTGTGTGACGTTCCCCTTCCTGTGTCCAAGTGTTCTCATTGTTCAATTCCCACCTATGAGTGAGAACATGCGGTGTTTGGTTTTTTGTCCTTGCGATAGATTGCTGAGAATGATGGTTTCCAGCTTCATCCCTGTCCCTACAAAGGACATGAACTCATCCTTTTTTATGGCTGCATAGTATTCCATGGTGTATATGTGCCACATTTTCTTAATCCAGTCTATCACTGTTGGACATTTGGGTTGGTTCCAAGTCTTTGTTATTGTGAACAGTGCCACTATAAACATACGTGTGCATGTGTCTTTATAGCAGCATGATTTATAATCCTTTGGGTATATACCCAGTAATGGGATGGCTGGGTCAAATGGTATTTCTAGTTCTAGATCCCTGAGGAATTGCCGCACTGTCTTCCACAATGGTTGAACTAGTTTACAGTCCCACTGCCTCCTCAAGTGGGTCCCTGACCCCCAAGTAGCCTAACTAGGAGGCATCCCCCAGTAGTGGCAGACTGATACCTCACATGTCTGGGTACTCCTCTGAGACAAAACTTCCAGAGGAACGATCAGGCAGCAACATCTGCTGTTCACCAATATCCGCTGTTCTGCAGCCTCCGCTGCTGATACCCAGGCAAACAGGGTCTGGAGTGGACCTCCAGCAAACTCCAGCAACCTGCAGCTGAGGGTCCTGACTGTCAGAAGGAAAACTAACAAACAGAAAGGACATCCACACCAAAAACCCATCTGTACGTCACCATCATCAAAGACCAAAGGTAGATAAAACCACAAAGATGGGGAAAAAACAGAGCAGAAAAACTGGAAACTCTAAAAATCAGAGCGCCTCTCCTCCTCCAAAGGAACGCAGCTCCTCACCAGCAACGGACCAAAGCTGGACGGAGAATGACTTTGACGAGTTGAGAGAAGAAGGCTTCAGACAATCAAACTACTCCGAGCTAAAGGAGGAAGTTTGAACCCATGGCAAAGAAGTTAAAAGCTTTGAAAAAAGATTAGATGAATGGCGAACTAGAATAACCAATGCAGAGAAGTCCTTAAATGACCTGATGGAGCTGAAAACCATGGCACAAGAACTACGTGACAAATGCACAAGCCTCAGGAGCCGATGCGATCAACTGGAAGAAAGGGTATCAGTGATGGAAGATCAAATGAATGAAATGAAGTGAGAAGGGAAGTTTAGAGAAAAAAGAATAAAAAGAAATGAACAAAGCCTCCAAGAAATATGGGACTATGTGAAAAGACCAAATCTACGTCTGATTGGTGTACCTGAAAATGATGGGAAGAATGGAACCAAGTTGGAAAACACTCTGCAGGTTATTATCCAGGAGAACTTCCCCAATCTAGCAAGGCAGACCAACATTCAAATTCAGGAAATACAGAGAACGCCACAAAGATACTCCTCGAGAAGAGCAACTCCAAGACACATAATTGTCAGATTCACCAAAGTTGAAATGAAGGAAAAAATGTTCAGGGCAGCCAGAGAGAAAGGTCGGGTTACCCACAAAGGGAAGCCCATCAGACTTACAGCGGATCTCTCTGCAGAAACTCTACAAGCCAGAAGAGAGTGGGGGCCAATATTCAACATTCTTAAAGAAAAGAATTTTCAACACAGAATTTCATATCCAGCCAAACTAAGCTTCATAAGTGAAGGAGAAATAAAATCCTTTACAGACAAGCAAATGCTGAGAGATTTTGTCACCACCAGGCCTGCCCTAAAAGAGCTCCTGAAGGAAGCACTAAACATGAAAAGGAACAACTGGTATCGGCCACTGCAAAAACATGCCAAATTGTAAAGACCATGGAGGCTAGGAAGAAACTGCATCAACTAATGAGCAAAATCACCAGCTAACATCATAATGACAGGATCAAATTCACACATAACAATATTAACCTTAAATGTAAATGGGCTAAATGCTCCAATTAAAAGACACAGACTGGCAAATTGGATAAAGAGTCAAGACCCATCAGTGTGCTGTATTCAGGAAACCCATCTCACGTGCAGGGACACACATAGGCTCAAAATAAAGGGATGGAGGAAGATCTACCAAGCAAATGGAAAACAGAAAAAAGGCAGGGGTTGCAATCCTAGTCTCTGATAAAACAGACTTTAAACCAACAAAGATCAAAAGAGACAAAGAAGGCCATTACATAATGGTAAAGGGATCAATTCAACAAGAAGAGCTAACTATCCTAAATATATATGCACCCAATATGGGAGCACCCAGATTCATATAGCAAGTCCTTAGAGACCTAGAAAGAGACTTAGACTCCCACACCATAGTAATGGGAGACTTTAACACCCCACTGTCAACATTAGACAGATCAACAAGACAGAAAGTTAACAAGGATATCCAGGAATTGAACTCAGCTCTGCACCAAGCGGACCTAATAGACATATACAGAACTCTCCACCCCAAATCAACAGAATATACATTCTTCTCAGCACCACACTGCGCTTATTCCAAAATTGACCACTTAGTTGGAAGTAAAGCACTCCTCAGCAAATGTAAAAGAACAGAAATTACAAACTTTCTCTCAGACCACAGCTCAGTCAAACTAGAACTCAGGATTAAGAAACTCACTCAAAACTGCTCAACTACATGGAAACTGAACAACCTGCTCCTGAATGACTACTGGGTACATAACGAAATGAAGGCAGAAATAAAGATGTTCTTTGAAACTAATGAGAACAAAAACACAACATACCAGAATCATCTCTCTTTATGAATAGCAACCTACAGTTTGAAAAACACTGTTCTAGCCTTCGATATACTATAGTTTATTCCCCTATTGTTGGGCATTTGGGTTATTTCCAGAAATTGTTTTTTCTAGTTTCCATCTCTTTCCTGACCTCCTTATCTCTTTCTTTCTTTTCTTTTACTTATCACAGAAAATACCACACCAAACAGCTCATGTATTTAGTAGTTTGCTTTGGTTGAATTATTCCTAAGAATGGAATTACTAGGTCAAACATTATTTTTAAAAAAGTATAGCTCTTTATATTTGCACTTAATTCATTTATTTATTTTAGGCTGGAGTGCAGTGATGCCTTCATAGCTCATTGCAGCCTCAAACTCCTGGTCTCAAGTGATCCTTCAGCCTTGGCCTTCCAAAGTGCTGCTATTACCGACATGAGTTGCCACACTAGGCCCTGATATTTGCGCTTTAATAGGGAATAATTTCTTCCACTAGAGGGCTGAATGGCTGATCATTGAATGTCAGGCAATTCAGATAGGTGGGTAGGAGACAGGTGGGATTACAACGAAGAGAGTCCTTTATTCACAAATATCAAATAAACACCTACTAAAAGCTAGGCAGGATAGTACTGATAGGAGAATGATGAGTCAGAAACCATGGATATCAGTCTCAACTTTGTCATTTGCCCATTTTGTATCCTTAGGCAGCTGTGTGAGTGAGCCTCAGTGATAGCTGCCTCTCTAGGGTGTTGTGAATAGTAAATAAAACAGCACACTACTGCAAAACATTAGTTATTGTTTTATTATTACTGCCTGTATTCCTAAGGTTAACTCTGTGCACAGCTCTCCTAAGGAAAATTATCTTCCCATTTATTCAGTATGGGCATCAGAGAAAGAAAATTTGGCAAATCTTAGCTCCTGGACAGTTTACTGTTTATCTGAAAACCAAGAACAATTCTCAACTTAGAGTTTAGTGACACCAGAGACACTAGCTTCTGCTGCTTGTCCGTGAAGCTCCTCCATGCCCAACCTTGGGCTATTGATCTCAGTAGCTGATGGTAGAATGAAGTTGAAGAGGTAACACAACAGGAAACAAAAGGAAACCCTCAAAGCCCTCTAGGTACAGCCTTTCTGAACGGGTTGGAGAAATATCTGAATTTTTTTTCTCTTTTATGTTTTGCCTTTGTCTTAAAACCATCATGTTCTGGAAAAATATAGTTTATTTTACCTGATGGTATAGCTTTATTATGAGGATTCTAATAAATGTGGCCTATGTTTATCTAGGGTAAATCCTAATTTGTTTCACTGTCAGGAGTTATCGAGGGTTTCTAATGCAAGTTTGACATCTTCAGTTAATTGAAGAATAGATCTTTTTGCCTCAAACCAGCAAACCCTCATTGGGAGGACAAATTAATTTTAAGGATTCAAGTAGAGTCAGTTCCTGATTTCTCCAGGGTTTGACTACTTTGTGGATTATTCGGCTTCTACTTTTCCTGTTGCCTTCAAGTTTCTCGTTATTTCTTTATTAGTGACTTTACTCTTTGTTTACGTTGGAAAAGATGATTTTAAAAAAGGATACACTTCAAACAGTTGGAATTTCCTATCTGTTATATTGTTCTGATTAAAAGAAAAGGGAGTTATAGTGGAGATGGAAACTATTACCTACAATGAGGCATTAGTGAATGTCAGTTATCTCTTGAAGGGTATATGTGAAAACTAAATGAGATAATGATTGCAAGGTGCCTGGTTTATGGCCTGGTGAACAGTGCTATTTTCATCCCCTAGCTGAAAAAAGAAGTAGAAATATCACTACAAACGGATATCTTTATCTTCATTTTATCTTTTCTTTAGGCCAATGTTTACTAATGACTACTGTTAAAATTCCATTTTGATGCCCGATCACATAGCCTAAACCTCAAAAATAAAAGTTTCTAAACTCATTTTGTTTTTTATGGCCCAGCAATGCCACGGGAACCCTACAGAAATTCTCCTAAGGTGACTTAGAGAAGGAGGTTCACTGAAGTATTGTTTATTATAGTGAAAAGTTTGTTGGTAGAGGAACAGATAAAGCAAACAGATAAAGCAATTTTGACCAATTATTGCATAACTGTTAAAAAAAAAATGAAGTAGAGGTGTATATGCCAACATGGATAGATCTTCAAAACATAATTTTGAGTAAAAATTTTAAGTTGCCAAATTATGGAAATCGTGATTTGTAGTTTATTAAATAAACCACATATCATTTTATAATTGTATTGTTAGAATAATAATGTCCTTGGACCAGGATACACATTTATGTAAATAACATATAAAAATAGTTTGTAAGAATGCATATTCAATTTATGATATAGATTTCTCTGGTAAAGGGGACTAGTAGGAGCAGTGTAGACTTTAATTTTATCGTCTTGTCTTATTTCTTTTTAACAAAAAAATTTTAGTTCCCCAAACAGACATTCAAATGAAGAGACAGATATTCACAGGAAGAACTCCTAAGTTTCCATTAATAATATTCCTATTTCTGTCAGTATTATCATTTTCCAGATTACCTGGACCCAAAAATCTTTGATGATTTTTGATATTATTCTGCTTTTCTTACCTCTTTTCAGTATTTCATTCAATGATGTTCCTTCTTCCAAAATGTACCTCAGATCTGGACCTTTCCTTTTATTTTAAATATCACTATTCTAATTCACAAACTTATCACCTGTGTTAGTCAGGCTCACTGCAGAAAACTTAAGTTTTGTAATTGAGGAAAATTTAAGGAGACTCTTTTTAAAAATACACATTGTTATTAACTATAATCACCAGCCTATGCGAGAGATCTCAAAATCTTATTCCTTTTGTTTAACTAAAACTCTGTGCATTTGACAGACATCTCCCCTTTTCTCATTCTACCCTCCCAGACCCTGGAAACCAGCATTCTGTGCTCTGCTTCTATGAGTTCGACTGTTTTAGATTCCACATGTAAGTGAGATCATGCAGTATTTGCCTTTCTGTCCTTGGCTTATTTCACTTATCATGTCCTCCAGGTTCATCCATGTTGCAGCAAATGACAGGATTTCCTTCTCTTTTAAAAACAAAAGCTTAATAATATTCCATTGTGTATGTATACCACATTTTCTTTCTTTATGCATTCGTTGATAGACACGTAGGTTTATTCCATATCTTGGCAATTGTGAGTAATGCTGAAATGAACATGGGAATGTAGGTATCTCTTCAACATACTGATTTCAATCCCTTTGAATGTATACCAGAAGTGGTATTGCTGCATTTTATGGTGTAAAAGGACTCTATACATGTTTGAGCATAGAAAAAGAAGCAAAGGGTGAAAGAGGCTGATGGTAGGCAAATTTTTAGGCCTGGAAAGGTTAAAGGAAAAAAATTATTACATTGGAGAACAGGGGAATTGGTAGGGGCTGGGAGGAGAGACAGAAAGAGAGAGAGAGAGAGAGAGAGAGAAATCGAGATTTACTAGGATCCTCTAGATCCTCCACCTTTAGTACAGGACACCAACCTGAGGTGGCCCAGCAGGGTGGGTATCCGGAGAATACGGACCCTGACCTCTCTCTCTCCTTCCTGATTGCCTGTGGGTGCATTCTGCTGGATAACCTCTCTGGGAAGCTAAAGAGCAGATGCACTGCTGCAGGCTCCACAGATCACCTGTTGGGGCACGGAGCAGGATGAAGAGTGGGGAGTGGATCTGAAGGGCTGTATTAGTCTGTTTTCATGCTGCTGGTAAAGATATACCTGAGACAGGGTAATTTATACAGAAAAAGAGGTCTAATGGACTCACAATTCCACATGACTGGGGAGGCCTCACAATCATGGCAGAAGGTGAAAGGCACATCTTACATGGTGGCAGACGAGAGAATGAGAGTCAAGCATAAGGGGAAACTCCTTATAAAACCATCAGATCTTGTAAGACTTATTTACCTCCAGGAGAACAGTAAGGGGGAAACTGCCTGCATTATGCAGTTATCTGCCACTAGGTCCCTGCCACAACATGTGGGAATAATGGGAGCTACAATTCAAGATGAGATTTGGGTGGGGACACAGAAAAACCATATCAAGGGCTAAAT
This sequence comes from Homo sapiens, assembly GCF_000001405.40. Classification (NCBI taxonomy): domain Eukaryota; kingdom Metazoa; phylum Chordata; class Mammalia; order Primates; family Hominidae; genus Homo; species Homo sapiens. Next base: position 4,104,046 of record NC_000003.12, on the reverse strand, counting down.
GAAAATTTCCAGCATGGTCTCTCATCTTCTCATATCCAGACTTCTGAAAACTTAGATATAGGATGTAAAGACAAAAACTTAGGTTAACCACAGAAAATTTTGCTGTCAAGTAAACTCTGTGTTATCATCAAAATGAAAAATGTGTGAGGTAATTGGAGGGTCTGCTTCTGCTCTTCCAAACTTTCTAAGCATCAGTGGTTGATTCTTCTATCAGCTGTTTCCAGTTGTGTGATATGGAGCAAGGTTCTTGGCCTCTGTTCAGTTTTCTTATCTGTAGAGAGGACGTAATCATGGTGGTTTGTCTAAGGATCTGATTATGTGATTTATGTTCTGTTCCTAGCACAGGACCTGATACATAGTAAGTGTATCCATTAAATGTTGGTGTTTATTTTCTATTGGGGTGAAAATTATTCTCCATGCCTAAGAAAGTCAAGCTGCAATTACTGTGCTATTCAAAGCAGAAACCACTAATCACTAATGACAAATACGAGAAGGGAGATAGAATATCAAGGAACATTCTAGGACTTGCCATCCTCTTTCATTTTTGCTTATCCGTTTCACCACTTTCTTCATGTTCCAGCAAAAAAAAATCCCCTCCATTTCATAAAACCTTCTCTGAGTTCTGCAGCCATGCTGACCTTCATATTTGAATTCCTATAGTATTCCTTTTAGAGGCCAAGTACTAGACTGTGTGGTTATAATTCATCTAATATGGACCTCCTGTTATAAAAAAATATATTTCTATCTACCCAACTAGGTCAGAAGCTTTTTGAGGAGAAACATAATCTTTTTTCTTTCTTTTTTTTTTTATGCTTAAAAGTGTTGGCCGGGCACAGTGGCTCATGCCTATAATCTCAGCACTTTGGGAGGCCGAGGCAGGTGGATCACTTGAGGTCAGGAGTTCGAGATCAGCCTGGCCAACATAGGGAAACCCCATCTCTAGTAAAAATACAAAAATTAGCCAGATGTGGTGGCAGGCACCTGTAATCCCAGCTACTCAGGAGGCTGAGGCAGGAGAATCATTTGAACCTGGGAGGTGGAGGTTGCAGTGAGCTGAGATTGCACTACTACACTCCAGCCTGGGTGACAGAGTGAGATTCCATCTCAAATTAAAAAAAAAAAAAGAAGTTTCTGTTCATCTATCCATTTTTTCTTCTGCCTCTTTCTCCTTTCCTCTCTCTTCTTCTCCCTGTCTTTCCTCTTCCCTTCCTTATTTCTCTTTCTTCTCTTCTTCCCTACTCCTTCCTTCACCCTATCAAGTAAGCTACATTAATTTATCAAGCACCTATCAAATCCTGTGCTTCTGGTGCAAGACTCTGCCCTTGTAGAGCTTAAGGTACAGTTGGAGAGATGGAGTACACAAATAACCACAATCATAATTATTCCATATATAATACTAAGCAATGTAGAACATGGGAAGCACTATTAGAAAATCTCAGTTGAAGTCTTTGCATATTTAGACCTTAGTAAGATAAGCTTTGAATAATGGACAAGACCTCAGCAAAGAAAGCTTTGACAAATGGCTAGAAATTAAGGTGAGAGTTTACCCTCACTACTGACTAAGTGAGGAGCGGATGAAGGCAAAGGAAGACTGGACTCTATCATTACTGCTATTGTGGGATTTCAGGGATATACACAGCAGTAAGGTTAGTCTAGAGGAACTTATGTTCTTGTTAATAAGGGTTTCTTGATGGCCATTTTGGCACTAACCTGTTTGTCACAGCTTTCCAGAGAAAACATCTTCTAATATTAAACTTTTTGTACAAATGCTTATTGATATCTCTTACAACCTCCTGGTCTTTCAGAATCAGGTCTTTGTATAGATTTAATGACATTAGCAAGAATATTCCAGAAATTATGTTATGCAAATGATATGACTTGGCTGTATCCCCACCAAAATCTCATGTTGAATTGTAGTTCCCGTAATCTCCACATATCGTGGGATGGACCCAATGGGAGTTAATTGAGTCATGGAGGCAGTTACCCCCATGGTGCTGTTCTCTTGGTAGTGAGTGAGTTCTCATGAGATCTGATGCTTTTTTACGGGGCTTCCCCTTTTGCTCAGCACTCATTCATTCGCTCTTCTGCCACTCTGTGAACAGGTGCCTTCCACCATGATTGTAAGTTTCCTGAGGCTTCCCCAGCCATGTGGAACTGTGAGTCAATTAAACCTCTTTCCTTTATAAATTACCCAGTCTCAGGTAGTTCTTTATAGCAGTGTGAGAATGAAATAATACAGTAAATAGCACATTTTAATAAAACTCACATTTTCTACCTCTCTGAAAAAAATTGATAACAGAGTTCTGTGGATCCACTCTAGAACTATAGCTCTATGAAACAAATCTGGTTAAATAGCATATCTGTCACTTCAAATAGTTATCAGTTCTTTGCAGTGAGAACATTAAAAATACTCTCTTTTAGCTACTTTGAAATATACATTATTATTAACTGTAGTCGACTTGCTGTGCAATAGAACACCAGAACTTATCACTTCTATCTAATTGTAACTTTGTGTCTGTTGACCAAGCTCTCACCTTTCCCTGCCCATCTTCTCCACCCCCAGATCTGGTAACCACCATTCTACTCTCTACTTCTATAAATTTGACTTTTTTAGATTACATGTATAAGTGAGATCACATATTTGTCTCTGTGCCTGACTTATTTTACTTAATATAATGCAGGCCCTCTAGGTTCATCTATATTGTCATAAATGACAGAATTTCCTGTTGTGTTTTTTAAGGCTGAATAGGTTCCATTGTGTGTATATACCACATTTTAAAAATGCATTTATCCGTTGATGGACACAGGTTGTTTTCATATCTTGACTCTTGCGAATAATGCTTCAATGAACATGAAAATGTAGACTTTTTTTTAACATACTGATTTCAATTCCCCTGGGTATATACCTGGTAATGAGATTGCTTGATCATATGGTAATTTTATTTTTAGTATTATGAAGATCCCCCATACTGTTTATATGAATTTATAATATCACCGACGGTGTATAAAAGTTCCCTTTTCTTCACATCCTTGGCAATACTTGTTATATTTTATCTTTTTAATAATAGCTTATCTAACAGATGTGAGTTGCTATGTCACTGTGGTTTTAATTTGCATTTCTCTGATGATTAGAGATATTGAGTATTTTTTATACATCTGTTGATCATTTCTATGTCTTCCTCTAAGAAGTGTCTTTTAAAGTTCTTTGTCCATTTTTTAAATGGGGTTATTTGTTTTCTTGTTATTGGGTAGTTTGAGTTCTTTATATATTTTGAATATTAGCTTCTTATCTGATACATGATTTGAAAATATTTTCTCTCAATTTGTGAGTTGTCTCTTCACTCTATTAATCATTTTTTTTAGTTTGATGTAATCTAATTTGTTTAGCTTTCATTGCCTGTGTTTTTGGGGTCATCTCCAAGAAATCATTGCCCAGACCACTGTCATGTAGGTTTCCCCCTATGTTTTCTTCTGGTAGTTTTATAGTTTCAGGTCTTACATTAAGTCTTTAACTAATTGTGAGTTGATTCTTTTATAAGAGTGAGATGAAGGACATTTAAATTTTATCTGTGGCTTTTCAAGCACAATTTATTGACGAGACCATCTTTTCCCCATTAGTGTTCTTGGCACCTTTGTTGAAAATTAATTGACTGTAGACGTGTGGGTTTATTTTTGAGCTCTCTATCCTATTCCTTTGGTTGATGTGTCTGTTTTTATGCCAGTCCTATGCCATTTTGATTATTATTGCTTTGGAATATATTTTGTAATCAGGTAGTGTGATGCCTCCAGCTTTGTTCTTTTTGGTCACGATTGCTTTGGCTTTTCAGTGTCTTTTGTGGTTCCATATGAATTTTAGGATTTTTTTTCGATTTCTGTGAAGAATTACGTTAGAATTTTGATAGGGATTGCATTAAATTTGTAGATTGCTTTGGTTACTATAGACAATTTAATAATATGAATTCTTCCAATCCAAGGATTGGAAGAATTCATATTATTAAATTGAATTGGATTGAATTGAATTGGTATTATTAAATTAAATTAGATTGAATTCTTCCAATCCATGAACATGGGATATCTTTCCATTTATTTGTGTCATTTTCTATTTCTTTCATCTGTGTTTTGTAGTTTTCAGTATACACATCTTTTTTTTCCTTAGTTTAATTTACACCTATGTATTTTTTTTGATGCTATTGCAGGTGGGATTATTTTCTTAGTTTCTTTTTTCAGACAGTTTGTGGTTAGTGTATAGAAACACTGCTGATTTTTGCATGTTGGTTTTGTATCCTGCAACTTTACTGCTTTTATCAGTTCTAGTAGGTTTTGGGTGTGGAGTCTTTAGGATTTTCTATATAAGATCATGTCCTCAGCAAACAGACAATTTCAATTCATATTTTCCTATTTGGATACATTGTATTTCTTTCTCTTGCCTAATCACTCTGGCTAGGACTTCTAGTACTATGTTAAACAGAAGTAGTTAGAGTAGCCATCTTTGTCTTCTTCCTGATCTTAGATGGAAAGCATTTGACTTTTCAGTGTTGAGTATAATGTTAGCTGTAGGCTTGTCATATATAGCCTTTATTGTGTTGAGGAACATTTCTTCTATATCTAATTTGTTGAGAGTTTTAATTATAAAAATATGCTGACTTTTGTCACATGCTTTTTCTGCATCTATTGAGATGATCGTATGGTTTTTGTCCTTCACTCTGTGAATATGATGGATCACATTTATTGATTTATGTATGTTGAACCAAACTTGCCTCCCAGGGATAATTCTCACTTCATCATTCCACCACAACCTCTTATAATATCTTGCTGGTGTACGGAGTGGGGAGGTGTATAGCAAGGGAGGTTGGTGGTTTAAAGTCCACAACTATCTGTTATCATTTAACTCCTGATTTGGAGGCACAGCAGATTATACCCAAGCCACCATTATCTGGATGTTATCAGGGCAGATCCTTACTTCTTTTTATGCCATCTCATAACTCATGGAGAATAGGCTTTATTTTGCCTTGTTAAGGACTGCAGTGGCCAGAGTCTTCTTTACTGTCGCTAGTGGGTAAGAAAATCTATTTTCTGAGGCCCTAGCACATCAGATGTGAAGTGAATGCTACAAATCTGCTTAATGAGTCTCGAATGTTAACATTTTATTGGCATATTTAAAAATTGCAATTGTCAGAAATTCCTTTGTGGCTTCCTCTCAGGCCTGTGAATGGAAGTAAGTTAACTCTATGGTTTTCTGGCAGTTTTAATCTTTAACTTTTTTTCCTTTTGGTTTGAAACCATGAAGGATGATTATCTGCAGAATGCCTCTTGGCAGATGGAGGAAACATCCCAAAGGTTTCAAAGTAAAATCCTATACCAATGTTTAGCTAGCATGATTATGCAGTTTCTAGGGGGAAAATATTGTGCATAAAAATATGGTGATATTTATCACAGAAAAAATAGGCTACATCTAGAGACTCAGAAAGCTTTCAGAGTAGACAGTTTCTTTTGCTTTTGAGAGCCATTAATCATTGCCACACAAAGGGCATTTCTGGTGTCTGGAGATAGAAGAATACAAGAGAAATACACTTAAGAATCCTCTTTGAAATCAAACAAGATTAAAAAACAAAATGTAGGTGAGGCACACAGTTTTTCAGGCTCTACCACATTTTAATATATAATATTGTGTGTCCCTATGTGTCTGTAGCCTTGAAATGTTTATGTATGCTGGTCCTGAGTCTACCTTGTTAGAGATATGGGCTTAGAAACATACTTGCTTCTAAATATTTAGTATATTTTATAGTTTTGTTGATCCTCTGAAGAGATGTCTCTGAGAATGCCCTGGTGCTGCTAGGGGAGCTTCAATTTCCATGTGATGCTCTACCACTGAGTTATTCTGATGTCCCACTACTTCTCAGTGAACTTTAGCATTAAAGATAAAAGCAGTATGAGGCAATTTTGGAGGAAGTTTTGTAGTCTCAACCCTGACAGGAAGATACGTTATTCTTCTGGGCATTTCAGCGGAGACATTGTTTTGAAAGGCAAGAGGCCAGAGAAGGCCTGAAAAATCATGGCCATTGTTTCTGAGAGTAGTCAGGGTGTTGATCAGATTAAGCAAGACCAGCAGGCTGTGTCTTGAGAATTTTTGGAAGCATGTCTCTCTTTGTGAATGCCACACCAACTTCTGGCCCTTGACTGCTGTCAGTCTGATGGATAGCTGGAGCTAAAGCTTTAGGTCCAAGGACTGCTGGATGTAAGAAAGGGTGGTACTCTTGAAAGAACTCTGGTTAATCTAGGGCTATGCTTCTTAAACATGGTTTGCAGAGGTTTTGAAAGCCACAGAATAAATGTGGCACATTGTCCTGGAGAGTCTTTACTAGAGATTTTGGGGGTGAAAATCACCTTTCTTGATATTAAAAGGAAGAACACATGCGTTGTGAATTGGAAGGCAAAAAATACATGAATTTTTAATATAAACCAGAGGTGTTTTTTGTTTTTGTTTTTGTTTTTTTGAGACAGGGTCTCACTATGTCACCCAGGCTGGAGTGCAGTGGTGTGATCTTGGCTCACTGCAACCTCCGCCTCCCAGGTTCAAGCGATTCTCCTGCCTCAGCCTCCCAAGTAGCTGGGATTACAGGCACCTGCCCCCACGCCTGGCTAATTTTTGTCTTTTTAGTAGAGATGGGGTTTCACCATCTTGGCCAGGCTGGTCTTGAACTCCTGACCTCATTCGTGATCTGCCTGCCTTGGCCTCCCAAAGTGCTGGGATTACAGGCGTGAGCCACCGTGCCTGGCTCAACCAGAGGTTTTAAAGAAATAATAAACTTACAGTAGGTATATTTAGGTTGCCTCCCCAACCCTTATTGAGTGAATAGGTTAAAATTCTAGTTTACTTCTATGATCCCTCTGTTGGACATTTTTGAGCAATTAGATACCATTTTTTCATGAACCTAGAAATTGTCAAACATGTCTTGTTGACTAAACCAGAAGTTTTAATAATGAAATTTGAAGTTGAAAATTGTTAGTCTGCAGGCTGAATCTGACATACTGGCTAAATGTAATCAACAGACATGTTTAGTTGGATCCATGCTATGTTACTTTTTTCATTTCGTTGCCAGGAATCAAATTCCTCCTAATAATCCAGTTTCTCTTTAAAGATAAAAGGGAAGATTTGGGAACACTGAGCCTGTTCTCCTGCATAACAGGACTCAATTAGAACTAAATAGTGCTGTCCCCTTCACATAGTAGCTCACCCTGGTTCCGACCCAGCCCACTACCCTCACTATGTTACCTGCCTGATTGCTGTGGACATTTCCATTTGTGACCCTCGACTAAGATACCACCAGAGTTTTTCTTGCTTTATCTTTACAGATTCATGTCTCCTCCTAATTTTGGTATGTGTCTTCCTGATGACCATGGCTATCATGATAATCTGTAAAGAGATTTAGATTCCTTTGGATTCTGTGGACTAGTCCTTACTTAAGTATTGATTTCACCTGTATACAGAGAAGCTGCTGTGCACAATGGCTGTCTGAAGTCTGAGTCCATAGGCTGATGTTTGCTGCCTTGATATCAGGGACCTACAAAAGCTGCCCATTTCTACTTTTCACTCACTCTTTGGCTGGGTGAAGGTAACCCTTTCAGTTGTTATTATTCATTTTAAAACTTATTGTGAAAGAGGCAAGCAACAACTTTGTTATAAGGAGCAAGTATAGAGAACTTGATTGCTTAACAGCTATAGTGTGGGAGAAAGACCCTTAGATATGGAATTAGGGTCCTTGTGTTGCAGTCCTCACTCCGTACTTACTGGAAGTTCTCAGGCATGATGACCGACTGAGTTGGTGATGCTCAGCTTTCTGTTCTGATTTGGATGTTGTATCACCTGCCTTGACTATCTCACAAGCATATTGAGAAACTGAAATGTGGCCATGTAAATGAAATAGCTTAAAGACCATACAGTCTTTACAAATTTAGGATATCTTGTTCATATAGAATTCTAAGCCGGTGGGCTATGCCTAGTAATTCTCTTTTCCCTGTGACCACCATAATCCCATACAGTTAAGTGCTTAGTAGTTATTTTACCAGGTGGTGATGTAGTTTCTATTTTTAAAGACTGAAGAGAAAAATCAATTAGAAAAAAAATGTGTCTGTATTGGCTGAGTTGGGCCTTAAAATGATAAGAGTATTTTGCTTTCCCTTGTTCAGTGAATACCAGAGTTATCTACCACTAGCTGTAAACAAGAAATAATAAAGTTATGTAAAAGTGTGTTTGATTTTTACAGGCTTAGAGGTCACTGGGACCAGCTTTATATTCATTTTTTTTGTTAACACCATTTTTCTTTCATGCACTGTGGATTTGTGAGGGTCTTTTTCCTTTCAGGCAGTCAGGAATATGAATTTGTTTTATATTGTTCTGCTTATGGTAGTTGGTGTAACAGCATCTTGTAGTAGACATGCTGCTGGTCATATCTCATTTTACCTTTTATAAAAATCTTAGTGTTTCTTGTCAGTGGCAGAAAACATCAATGTTTCTCCTTGAACAATGCTGAACAAGTCATTTGATGTTTTCTGGCTTGGCTCTTAAATCTTGTGTGGTGTGGATTACAAAAAAAAGAGACATTAGGGATTCTATCATCAATCTCATTCTTCAGAGCTTTCAAAAGAAAACTTTGAAAGGTACTAGATTTTCTGCAGCCATGGAGGTTTCTGGCATTTTACATTCATAGAGATGAGTTGCACAATAATCCTTTTCAAAAAGAAAGCAGAACTCCATTTGTTCTGTTGCTTATGGTGCCCTATGGTCAGAGTTTTAAAAGCTGTTCTGGAGTTTAAAATATAGAGTTTAGGACCATAGATACAGTCTACCCTGTAAAAAATCATTTTTTAAAAATTTCATTATTCCTTTGAACAAGCCAAGACATTATTAAGAGACTTGTAATTTAGAGAGATCTATCCTGTATAAATATTACACTGTAGGTGACACAGCAATTATCCTATTTCTATTTAGAAATGCCTTACTAGCCATCAATACTTCATTCAATATTCATTTTTCTCTTTATAACATCACTACCAATTGATCATAAGGTTTTATGTTTCTTGAAGTGTGTTCTGTAGAACACTGGTTCCATGAGATGCCTCCTCAAAGTAGGGTTCACTGGTGAAGTAAGTGTTAGCATGGCTTGGAGTCAGCCTACATCACGATCCCTCTCCTTTGAACATAGTTCTCTTTTCTCTTTGTGATATTAGTGAGTAGTTGGTTTTGGGACCAAGGAGAACTGTATCATTACTTCCCTAACTATAAGTATTACATTATTAACAGCCTTTTGACTCCACTGTTCAACCTTCTCACTGACATTGGTTTTGAGCACAGGCTGGCACCCCTTCACCATAACTAGGGCAATTGCATAATTTATTGTTAAAATTAGGGAGTGAAGCTGGGGTGCTGTTAACAATTATGCTTGACAAAAGGCATAACTGGGACTGTGTAGTGTAAACTGGGACTTATGGTCACTCTGTGTTTAATAAGCTTACCTCACCTTCAAAGCCTAGCTTACATCCTGACCTCTCCATCATGACTTTTCTGGTTTCCCCAGTTGGAAGTCATTTTTCACTACACTGATATCCTTCTTTTGGTAATTATATCATTTACTACCTTGTCTTAATAGTTGCTTGGGTACCTTCCATTTCTCCCCTAGTAAGCTCTAAGTTCATGAGGGCATGATCTATATTTATACCATCTTTCTATCTCCAGTGCCTATTCATATTACCCTATCAGGAGAAATACCAATAAATACTTGTTGAAGGAGTGAGTGAATGAATAGATTAATAAATGAGCTCAACACCAAAAGTCCGATAGGCTTCTCAACTGTTATCTCTTTTCCCTTTTAAAGCAAATCATCTACACTCAAGCTACACTCAAGGTCATTTCATCATGACCTATACCTCATAAACCTTACTTCCTCCAGGCAACTTTGATTGTCTTTCTTATTTATTTTCTGTATCAGTTCAGTTTAGGTATGTCTTGGATTCATATCTTCAAAAATCCAGGACCAGGGCCTTACTGTATCATTCTTGAATGTACCTTATTTCGAATCTCTTTCCAATTCCCATTTTGGATATATACCTGCCTAATCTACCTAATATAGAATTTTAATATTTATCCCCTCTCTTAGAACTGAAAATACTTTTCAACTGTCCATAGGCTGAAATTCAAACTCCTTGAGTTGGCATTTAAGGCCCTTCATTAACTGAGAATAATTTACATATTCCACCTTGCCTTGTTAATTTTTTATTCTTCTTCCTTAGAATTAGTCATTATCATCTGACTCCTTTGCCTGAAGAAACAAATTCAAATCTGTTTTTTCCTAATTGTCCAGCCTTTTCCCTTATTGTTTCCCCTCTATATCCTGTACTCTATCTTCCACCAAACCATTTGCAATTCTTAGATTGTTTCTTAAATATCTGTATCTTTGCATGTAATATTCTATCTAGAAAACTTTTTTTTTGTTTAGTGTTTGTATGCTCCTACTCATTCTTTTAGACTTAGAATACTCACCATCTTTGTGATCTGTTTTCCTCCTCCTTTCCTTCTCCCCAACCACTGTTAGGTGCTTGCTCCCTGTGTTCCTATTTGCAAAGCTTTGGTACAATATGTGTCACGGTGAATTATTGATTTGTCAGTTGGTCTTCAGAGTGAGAGTTTTTGTGGCCAGCACTTTAGTTTTAATTTATTTGTATTTCTTGGGCCTAAGAGTGATTGACATATAACAAGTTATCTACAAATGTTAGTTGATAGTGATATCAATTATGACTAAAGCTTTTTGAATACTTGCTATGTGCTAGGTATTACCTTGTTTAATTTTATTTAACTTAATCCCCATAACCAATTCCTGAGCTAGCCATTCTAAATATCTCCATTTTATAGGCAAAGAAATTTAAAGGCTCAGAGTGGACAAGTGGTGACTTACCCAAGAACACCCAACTACAAATGACAGAACCAGGATCAGAAGCCAGTCTACCCAATTGCAGAGCTCTTACTTTTAAGCACTGCATGTATTCAGTCATTTCTATCTCTATAAACATTGGCACATTCATGGAATAACTTCCTCCTTGTTTTTTTTTCCTTTTATCAAAGCTTTCTATATTGTAAGGCACACACCAAAATTTACTTTTCTAACCATTTCTTCCATGACTATTATCAGCCTTACCTTCTTATATATTCACTCACTTGGCCATATGAAGTTCAGTACTTTAGCATGAATGTTTCACATGCAACAATTTTCTTATCAATTCTTTGACTCTCTCTAGACTTGGATTGTGTTCTAAATGACACACTACTCCACCCCCGATATACACACACACTACAGTTCTGGACACTTAGTAGAACTTAACAAGAATTATTGCTTTTATACTATAAGTAGTTGGTCACTTTCGTTGTTTTTCTTGTATGAGTCTTTAGAAGATTGGAGGCAGGCTAGGAATATGACATGGTTAACCAATTTGAAGGTTAATCTTTGTCAAGTTTTCTTCACTTAGGAAAGGCTTAACTACTTTCAACAAAGAGAGAATGTAAAGCAAAATAAAGCTGACACATTAAAATAGTGGTATCACCAAAGGCATAGATGCTCAATGTGGAAAGGATTCTTTGAAGTCATGAAATTCACCACCCTCTGAAAACAGAAAAGGAAACTGGGGGATGCTTGTGCTGCTACTTGCCTTGCTCCAAATCTCCCACTTTACATGCAAAGCCTGGATAGAGAATTGGGATCTTCTGGTGATTTCAAGTCCTGTGCTATCTCTCCTTTGGACAGGGGCTTCAGGTCCCAGACTGGAACCCTGGCCCTGTGTGAAATTGTGCTTTGGACACCACTGTGTGTCAGAGGAGATTATGATAGTGAGCTATGGAGCAGGACAAGCAGCCAAGCAGCTCTAAGAGAGGACTAAAGAATTGATTGTTGATAGTTGGCCTATACAATAATACATCAGGCCAAGTAGAAGCAGCTGGCCAGGATACCCAGCAAGGCATTTCCAGTCTACTCCTTTACTCCTTGCTGATGTGGCCTTTTGAGAGAAGAGGTGATAACTGGATGACTAAGTGCCTAAATGTATTGCAGCTGTCCTTTGAGGGGGGTCCAAGTATTACTTAATGGTCCCTGGAAGATGGTTTTTTTTTTTTTTAAATTGCACACTCAGAAATACAGTTGAATTGAAATGGGAGCATCCAGAATAATGACTATGTTCTGAACCAGGCTGTGAGCTGTATGTCCTTGTGAGTAAATGATGGTCCCATGCAAGGGCCTCTTACATAACCATTATTACCAGTAAATATAGGTTGCACAAACTGGTCCTGCCACACTGCCAAGTCTGGCAGAATTTCTTTTTTCCTTTTGATTCTAGTACATGCTGGTTGATTGCAATAAAAATGAATTTTTGTTAAAGTCATAAAGGGCTGTTATCCTATTCGAGGTTGTCTTAAAGGCTGCAACAGGTTTTTTGTCAACAGTGTGACAACCTTGTAATTGTTTAACTGAATATTCAATTTGTACATAAAAAAGAAGTCTTCTGAAGGAAGACACAGGTGAAAGGTAGAAAGCTGTGATACATTTTTAAAGGTACATTCAATTCCTTGCTGCATAGATGCACGTACACCCTCATGCACATATACACAAATATACACAGCTTTAGGAAATTATATCCAAGTTAATATTTATGGAGCCACTATCATGTTCAAGGCGTCAGATTCCCTGTTACAAGAGGTGAAGGAGTGTGCTGTCTTTTGGGAAGATACCACAGTAAGTCTTCACTTAAAGCCAATAGGTTCTTAGAAGCTACAACACTAAGTGAAACAATGTATAATGAAACTAATTGATATAAATAAGAGTTAAGTTTCTATGGCATATTTCTGGTCACAAAACATCACCAAACTTCTACTTAAAGACCCAAAATGTGTGTTTTTTGTTTTTTTTTTTGTTGTTGTTGTTGTTTTTTATGGAGTCTCGTTCTGTCGCCCAGGCTGGAGTGCAGTGGAGCGATCTTGGCTCACTGCAACCTCCGCCTCTCTGGTTCAAGCGATTCTCCTGCCTCAGCCTCCCAAGTAGCTGGGATTATGGGTGCGTGCCTCCACACCTGGATAGTTTTTTGTAATTTTAGTAGAGATGAGGTTTCACCGTGTTAGCCAGGATGGGATCCACCTGCCTCGGCCTCCCATCATACTTCTACTATTAAGCATTGAAATAAATGTGAACTATGTATATATTTAAGAAAGAATGATAAAAACAAGATAATGTTTACCCAATTTTTAATGAATCAGTGAGTGACAGTGGTTGTAGTAATGGCAGGTTAAATCAAGGAATAAATGCAAAGTGAAAATTGTCAGGAGCCCCTCCAACCACCATGCAGTTCAAAAACAAACAATAACAAATATGGGGGGTTTGCTGGATGCTTTTATACTGCACAGTTTGTTGTCAGGCATCTGTATATTCACTGTACACTTCACAAATTTTTATTTTACAGTGGTTTATATTTATTCATCCCTTCATTCTTTTCCAACCTGCTTAATTCCAATTCAGGGTCATGGGTGGCTGGAGCCTATCCCAGCAGCTCAGGGTACAAGGTGGGAACTGACCTTGGAGAGGACCCCATCCCATCACAATGTGCACTCACACATAGCTGCATTTATTCTGAGTGGGACAACTTAGACATGCCAGTTCACCTAACATGCACAGCTTCCAAATGTGAGAGAAAACCAAAGTACCTAGAGAAAACCCATGCAGACATGGGGGAATGTGTCAGCTCCACACAGATAGTGGACCTGGGTTAGGAAATGATTTTTTTTCCTCTGATCAATTCTATAACAAAACAATGTTGAATGAAGCAGCATTATTCGAGGACCTGCTGTGCATGCGCTCAAATTACATATTATTCATTAATGTATTCATTTACCAAATATTAATGAAGCACCTGCTATGGCCAGGCACTGTGCTAGTGCTGGGAATACCTGGTCAACAAAATCATATGTGGTCACTAGGGTCATGGAGCTCACAGTTTGTTGATTTGAGATAGTCTCAAGCCAAATGAATAAAAAGATAATTGTGTAACTACCGCTGAAATAAGTGCCCTGAAAGAATGGAACATGGTTCCATGAGTATGTAGATCAAAGGAACCAGTCTGAGATTGCAGTAGTGATCAGCAAATGAAAGAACTCTGAAGCTGAAAATGAAGGACCAGCATGAGATGAAATGTGATGAGTATCTTAAAGAAGACACTACAAAAATATGATGTGATCAACATGTAGGAAAATGAAATTTGGGTTGGGGAAGTCAGAAAGACTTTGCTAAAAGGTGGTAGTTGAGTTTCAAAGAATGAGTTAGGAATTGCATAGGTTTGAGGCCTTTAGGATCTCTGGTATATCACTTAATGACTAATATATTATTCTTCCCTTGTTCTGCAATTTAGTTTTTTATCCAGTGCTTTATTTATTTATTCATAATCCCTGGAGTTCCAGGTATATGATAGGCTCTGTGATAGAAAGGCATTGGGAAAATAGACAAAGAATAAGAGCTCACATTTCAAAGAATAAGACCTGAAAACAATGTTTGTATTTTTTTATACCAAGTATTTTCCAATTGTTTATTACACATTTCTCTAATAGAGCAAGTAGCTTTCCTTATTTCTCAAGTGACATTCTTCATCCTGTTTTCTAGGCAAGCAGTTTTACAAAGCAGAGCTGGACATTCTGAAGTGTTGCCAATTGTTGAGAGTTGTATTATGAGTAACTGATTACTAATCATAGGGAAAGTATTACATTTTAAGAAAATTTATTTTACAAAATAGAACTGATTCAAGGTCACCCCTATGCAAACACCATGTCCAGTCTAGATCTTGGATGCTTTGTGAGTAGGAGCAAAAGGGTGGAGTTTCAGAATACATGAGGGATAATTATACATAATCTGCACTTCATGTTATTAGTGCCAGCTTCCACAGTGTGGGTCATGGCCATAGAACTGTGTGACAGGGGTATATGTCATCTGTCACACATACCTGGTTGAGAGTCATTGGTGGACTGTGGGCTCCTTGAGAGGATAGTCCATGACTTAAATTATTCTTTTTCATCCCACCTAGATTGCTACATTCATTTGTCCATATATTCATTCATTCTAATCACTTTCATTCATTCAACACATTTTTTCTGTGTGTGGTTTCTCATCCCATTTCTCTCTCTCTGGAATTAAAGAGCTTACACATATTGAGTCAGGTGGGGAAATTGATCGGGATGGCCAATCAGAGACGTGTGCATCTTAAATTCTCTTCAGTAAGGAAGAAACTATGTGCAATAAAGGCAGAAATAAATTTATATATGTCAGGCTCCATCCTAGGCGCTGGGGACTCAACAGTGAGGGAAGCATAACAAACAATATTTGTCTTCATGGAATCTACATTTTAGCTGGGGAGATAGAAAATAAGTAAATGAAATGAATAAATGAAATTTAAAATGTGCTAGTGATAAATATTATAGACAAAATAAAGGAGGAAGGGAGGAGAGGGAAGAAGTAGAGACGTGGTGATATTAGTGGTGTTTGTGGTAATGGATGGCTCTTGAAGGCCTTGCTAAGATGATGTTTGCATAAAGACATGGAGAAGATAAAGGTGCATAATAGTTGTTCACAAAACATTTTTTGGGCAAATATATATTGTCTCAGTGTGAGGTGATGTTTACCTGGTGGACCAAGCAGTGAAAGAAATTCAGAATATGATTTTTGCCTATTTCCTAAGGTTGAATGTCAATATCAGGGCATTGTAAAAAGCAGACTGGTCTTACCTGAGTATGGAGAGTGGAAGGAATAGATGGAAGAAGGAGTGGTCTGGCACAGGTTTAAGGAAGGAAATCATGGAAGTAAATCAGAGGTGTCCAAAGAGAACACTCACCTGAGTTCAGAGGCTACCTGGATCCCCATCTTCTCAGTAGGAGTCAAAGTATACATCTCACTGACGTATCAGCCTACACAGGTTATCATTTTCTTCCTTAGTCCATACTTCTGCTTAGGAAAAATTGTATTACACCTTCTTAGAATCAAATAGGAGTGTGCATTTTTTTTTCAAATCAAGCTCTCAATCATTAATTTCTCTTCAAAAACTTTTTCAGGCTGTTAACAAAAATAAAATATCAGTAATTGCTGGGAATGGCTGATTTATCTGAGATTATCACTGAAGTATAAAATGCAGTTTAGAATCTCATGATTATTATTACATTTCATTCACTAAATATGGTGACCTTCTAATTTAGAAACTTAAGATGCTTATTAGATAAATATTAAAATGGTGCTGTTTTAATTGTAATTATTTTTTTCCAGTTTCCTTTCAATTTGATTATATAATATTTTGTTTGATTGCTATTGGGGGCTGTGGTGGGGAAGTAATGGCCATTTCTCCTACTGTCTTCTATGAAGCCAGACATTAAAGAGACTTCTAAAACTTTAAAACAATGTGATTCTTCTTACTATTTTACTTTTTGGAAAAATATAGTTTAATTTTTAAGAATCCTCAGACCAAAAAGTTTGAGAACTACTGGCTAGAGGTCAAGAAGATGGACATTGAAGTTAGACTGACTGCCTTTTACTGAGCTTTAGGTGACCCTCAGCAAGTTACATACCTGTGCAGTGCCAGACACTCCACCTGCAAGATGGGAATGGTCATCTTACCTATGTCATATGGCTATTTTGAGGTGTAATTGAAAGAAGGCATGCTGCATGGTAACTATTCAGTAGATGTCTGGTATTATAACTTGCCCAGCTCCATGTCTGCGAGATCAGAAAGCTGAGGCAATCAGATTAAATACCTTGGCTGAGGTCACACACAGAGTCTGTGTCAGGACTTGTCTTCTGATTCTCACTACCCCACGTTGGCTTTCCAGTACCTTTATCAGCCATTCGCTCCAAAGTTGCTCAGCGCCATAGAATCATTATTTAGTGATCGCTCTTTGGAAACTAAAGTGGGGAAAAGATCTTTTCTATTAGATGTTTTTTGGGAAGTTAAAATGATGATAGTACTTTGTATTAGTCTGTTTTCACGCTACTGATAAAGACATACCCAAGACTGGGTAATTTATAGAGAAAAAGAGGTTTAATGGATTCACAGTTCCACATGGCTGAGGAGGCCTCATAATCATGGTGGAAGGCAAGAGGCATGTCTTATGTGGCAGCAGACAAGACAGAAATGACAGCCAAGTGAAAGGGGTTTCCCCTTATAAAACCGTCAGATTTCATGAGACTTATTCACTACCATGAGAACAGTATGGGGGAAACCGCCCTCATGATTCAATTATCTTCCACTGGATCCCTCCCACAATATGAGGGTATTATGGGAGCTAAAATTCAAGATGAGATTTGGGTGGTGACACAGCCAAACCATACCATACTTCTAGTTCATTATAACTGTATGACATTTACAGTTCTCTAACCACTTGCAATCTGATTATCTTCATCCCTGTAAGATAAGCAGAGCAGGTGATTTTGTCTCTATTTAATAGATGAGGAATTCTGGTACTCAGGAAAGGTTAAATGACTTGCCTAACATTTCATGACAGATCGGGCATGAGACACCAGGTCTTCTAATTCCCTAGTGTTGTAGTACACAGCTGTCCAATATTGTAAATATTATCTAACCCAACCTCTTAATTTCACAGAGGAAAATAAGTCCCGGAGAGGTGAAGTGACTTTCCAAGGGCACAAAGGACTGAAATAATTTGGAGAAGAAACTAAAATAATAAATGTGGGATGGGGATTCTTTTATTCTTTGTTAGATGTTTTAGTTTACCCCAGTTTAATGACAATAATTCTGTTTTTTTTTTTTTTCTGATTCTAAGTGTATAAACACTGCAGGGCTATTGTTTTAGTGGTTTAGTTATCATGGTTTGGGTAATGTATATTTTGCCTAACAGCCAGGTTGTTTAATGGCCCTTGTTTCTGTGTTCTCTGTGTTTAGAACCCCAGCCTTATTGTGTTGTGGATCTTGTTGGAGGCAATTGGCTTTAACTTGCACCAGGGGATGCATAGATTGCTTCTCAGGACTGAGTTTCACTTCAGATATTTGCAAATTTCAGTTTTATACACTTTTCATGCTAGACTAGGTGGTTTGAGTATTTGTTCTTTTTTTTTGAGAGGCAGAAGAGGAAAGGAATGATTGATAACAATATCAAATCATGGGAGTATTGTCTATTTTTGTAGGAAAGGTGTATAGTATAATGTCAAGAAAGCAATATTTTTGTCCACTTTTGGGCTTTATATTAAAACAACTGCATGTCTCATGTTTGTAGTTCTTTAGGTAAAAGAGAAGGACAAAGTAGAACAAAAAATACTAAGTCTCTGTAGCATTTATATATGACATCAGTTCTGGCCAGGGTGGTCTAGGTGAAGGAGAAGGGATATGGAAATTATTGAATGACTGGGAGAATGAACTTTTGTTTTAATTATGTTTCTCAATACTTTAAGACTGACTATGAGTGACAAAAGGGACTATTCACAATTTAACAAGACATGTGGGTATCTCTTGCAGGCTAATAATTTGATGGCTCTTTGAAGAGATGTACTTAATAGTTCATTTAGAGGTGAATTTGAGCACTCTATGGGGTAAAGATGAAGAAAGATCATCACTGGTGGAAGCTCTCAACCTCACCTCTATTGTCTAAGCTCTGGTCCCCAAATTTATATTCTCCCCTCAGCAAAACCAAAACTCTAGGCTCTTCACATCCACCCTTCTTAGAAGGCGTCATCTTGGACTTGCCTTTCTGGGGACTCACAGAGCACCCAAAGCAGTTTATTAAGTAATTGTTCCCAGCCACATATATTTTATCCCTACTTGAAGTACTGGGAAACACATGTTCTTCATCTCATTACATTTAAAATACAATTTAGTATCCCAAGAGCCATTTTTTTAGCTTCCCCTATTTGATGGGGCCCTGATTACCTGAATGGTTGGCCCACCCCTAATCTGTCTCTGAGTCTGTAATATAGGATGGGTCTTCTATTTTAATATGCATAGAGTAGATAGACATCATCTATTTCCTGAATAAATGAATCAAGACACATACTGTAAAGCTGATATTTCATTGACTTGTAGTCACTGGAAGATTCAAGATGGTCTGTTTGAAACTTGACCTGTTATGTTGAAAACTGGGAAAGACGTAAAATTGGCACTTCTGAGGGATAATGGTCCTCTCCTCATCTTTAAACAAGATAACCACACAATGTTTTTCTAAACTCTAGGAATTTTAATCATACCCTTTTGCAAGATACAAAGAACATTATTATTTACCAATCTTTAAAATAACCCTTTATAGTATTAAGGATAAGGTACTATCTTCCCAATTTACAAAGTAATATTGCTAATAAACTCAAGAGCAGTTCTATGGATCAAAGATCACACTTTGTGCTAAGTGTGAAAGTCAGGAAGAAACTTAAGTCTTGAGTTTCTTTGTCCTGTGTTCTGTCTACTTTAGCTCCTTGCCTTGGTTCTGGAAATGCTTTGGTTCTTACTAATCAAGTAATTTTCTTCAGGTATCCTGTGTCTGGGAAAGTTTTGTTGTATGTAATTTCTCAAGCAGATTCTCTAGAGCAGAGGTGAATTATTTCCACATCATTCCATTGGCTGCTATGACTGCTGAGTGGAGGAAAACTCACAGGCAGGTCAGAACCATGAGCTGTACTTGTTATTGACATTTTGGGAAATTACAACATTTCTCAAAACATCTACTCCTGAGTAGCCTCCTGTATAGTCAATCTATTGGGTCCAGTGGTTGCAAAGACCCTTGGCTTTTATGCCACTTGCATTTTTCCTGGACTTGACTGGCAGAATAATTAGGAGCAAGAAGCAGGGAGTTGTGAATTTGCCCAGGCTCATGGAAGAGATGCCTTTCTTCATTTAATGACTTCCAAAGGAATTAGAGTGGGGGTCAGATAACCAGCAAATTCATTATTACTCCTCTGAATTATATCTATTTAAAAAGTGTCATTTCCTCCATGAACCCATTTTTCTTTCCTATTCCATCTTGAAATAAACATCATTGTTTTTGTAAAAATGATTCATACTTACTGTAAAATTGAAAGACATCATAAAGTACAGAGAAAAAGGCAAGAAGCATCCCCAAACCGACCACTCAGAGAAACACGATAACATTTGGTGAACACCTTAATCCTACAAAGTCCATTTCTAAGCTCTTTTTTTTTTTTTTTGACATGCCTGTGTGCCAACGATGATGTCATATTTGTATTTGTATTTGTATCTGATTAATATTTATGTTTTATCTCTCCCACAGAATATAAATTCTCTGAGGATAGGCATGATGTCACATATATCTTTGTACAGTGTCTAATAAGGCATTACATATTTTGTAGGCTTTCAAATATATGTTTTAAAATAAGCCAGAGGTATAAGTTCTTCTATAAGACCCTAATTTTGGATGGAATGTGCTTTCCTTGGAACAAGTTGCAAATGGACGATAGTGGTAGCAGAATATTGGGGGAATTAGATAAAGTAACAAGACACATAGACTTTTCTTTGCTTCTTCTGGGTGTTTCATAGTCACGCTGGGGTGCAGCCGATAGGCACCCTGGTGATGAGCTCTGGTTTGCTGACACATCCTCATCAGCTTAACTAGAGCTCCTCACAATGGGCATTGAAGGGTGGTGATCAGGATTCAGGGTTTGATTGCTGAACTTTTGCTGCCTTCAGGTTCCAGTGATTTTTAGTAACGTGTGTCTTGGAAAAAGGACAGGGTATTAACTCAAATGTCATGTTTAAAGGGTAGGCAGACTGTCCGTGAGGTTCCAATTGTGTAGCCGCCAACAAAGTTTGAATTACAATATTAACAAGTCAGTTTGCGATCTCTTAATCAAAAGTGAGGTGTTAGAACACAGCTGCATCCCAGCAGATGGCCCAGGATTTCATCCTTTTCAGTCTGGGCATGTTTATCCACGGGGTGCACTTTGATCTAGCCGGAGGGCCTGCCATTGTCTCTAATGTTCTAGACCCAGGAGACATTTAGATATTTTCTAAATAAATTTCTTAGCACTGTGCTTGGAGGAGGAACTTTTAAATATGAACCTCTGTCAGGCAGTGCACCACTCTGGTCGTTTATCTGCTGGGCACTTATTACACAGAAAAAGAGTTTAAACAGACATAGATTTCATCATCTAAAATAGATTGACTTAACTTAGCCTGTTTTGATTGCCTGAGAGACCCTCCTTTTCCATCTTTCATTTTTTCCTAGTGAAATCATACCCATTCTCTCTCTAATCTCCCCCAAACAGGATGTAATCTCTCTTTCTCTCTTTTTAAAATGTCTATTCATTAATAGTTCATAGAGGTAATATTGCACAATTAAAATATGGGTAATTGAGTTGTTTATTAAATAGATTAATAATTTTAAAATGTTTACAATAGGCATTTTGACTAATCTCTTTCACTCCACATCAGCAATCCTTGTCTCAGACCTTTGGTTGTTGCCAGAGTAAATCTGTTGGAACATTTTAAATATAATTTAATTCTATTGATTTTAAAATTTTAACTTTTAATTAAATTAATTAATTACTTAATTTTTGAAACAGGGTGGGTCTCACTCTGTTGCCCAGGATGAAGTGCAGTGGCATGAACACGGCTCATTGCAGCCTCGACCTCCCAGGCTCAAGCGATTCTCCCAATTCAGCCTCTCGAGTAGCTGGGACCACAGGGTGCATCACCATGCCCAGCTATTTTTTTTGTACTTTTTGTAGAGATGGGGTTTTACTGTGTGGCCTAGGCTGGTCTCAAACGCCTGAGCTCAAGCGATCTGCCCACCTTGGGCTCCCAAAATGCTGGGATTACAGGTGTGAGTCACCATGCCCAGGCTAACTTTTTTAAAATAATGATTTCAGACATAAAAAGTTTTAAAAGTAGTTCAAAGAATTCCCATATATCCTGTCATCAGAATCCCCAAATGTTAATATTTTCCCATATGTGCTTGATCAATATCTATCTATACACAATTCCAAACTACTTGTTTGAAAGTAAGTTGCAGGCATAATCCCTTCTGGAGAACTGTAGGCAAAGACTTATACCCTTACACTTAAAGTTATTGTGTTAAGGCTTTCAGTATGTGTTCAACAACAATGGAAATATCACTAACACTATTGGCAGTTAACATTCATTAAGTATGATGGACCAGGTATGAGCTTTACATACTTTATCAGTCAGAGTTCCTGATTGTAGATGTTAAACACATCTACAAAATACTTTTGTGGCTGCACCTAGTTGTGTTGGATTGAGTAACCGAGATTATAGGCTAGTCAAGTCCACACATACAATTGACCATTGCATATTATTCCAAGTTATCACTCATAACCCTATGACAGAGGTGTTATTGTCCCATTTTATAACTGAAGAAGCTGAGGTGAAGTAACCTGGCCATGGTCAAATTAATTAGGAAGTGGCAGAAGTACTCTTTGAGCCCATACAGCCCAGCTGTGGAGCCTTTTTTTCTAAACCACTCTACTGGACTGTCTCCTTAAGACCTAAATAACTGACAATCAGCTTATTGGCAACATCTAAAAGAAGTTAGGTGTATAATGTAAAGAGCTGATGAATGAATTCAACTCAATTAGATAATAAAGTTTACTATATGCTAGGAACGGTGCCAGCCAATGAGAATATGACAGGGATCTTGCTCTCAGGAAGCCCATCTGAGTAGAAGCAGGCAGTGAAGAAAGAGGATGGATATCTGTATCTACCCTAGATGAGGCAGAAGGAACACTGATTTGAGGAAAGTAGTGCTCTGAGGTTTAGAAAAATTGGGTTCTGGTCCTGGCTTTGCTACTAAGTAGTGTCCTGTCCTGACCTGCTCAGTGAACGTTACTTTAGGCAACAGCTCTTCTCTGAACTTTAGTTTCTTTATCTGTAAAATAGGAGGCAATACATAAGTTGAAAAGTGAGGTCATTATGTCAAGAGGCTTGAATTCACCTTTGTCTTGAAACCTGGGCAGTCACTGGGCTAAACGCTTAATGTGTATTGAGTCCTTTAAACAATTCTTACCAGATCATCATTATTCCCATTTTTCAGTTGAGCAAACTGAGGTAAGAAAATTTATTTAATGACTTGCTCATGGTCACCAGCTAGGAAGTGAGAAAGTCAAGATTTGAATTCAGATAATGTGGCTCCTGAGTCCAGATTCTTAATATGTGTGTTATACTTCTTTGAAAGACATCAGGAAAGTCTTCGTGAAATTTGAATATGTGACCTGCTCTTTTATAAAACCAGTGCTCTAATCCCTGAGCTAAGAAACCTTTAAAATATTTATACAAAATTATCTAGTACAAATATGTGTTTTATATTGTATTCTTTTATTGGTTCCTGCTATAAAGGTAACGTATATTACATGTATGTCTGTGTGATTAATGTTAAGTCCATATTTTATGATTTTTCTTCCTTTTTAGAACATTGTTTGGATGCTTAATTAGCAGCTAGTGCCCATCAGAAAATGAATAAAAACCTGGATTTTGTCCAGTGTTTTAGATTTGGCATCAGATTTTGAAGCAGGGTTCCCAGGTACATTGCATTGGATTCAATTAAAAAAAAGAAGAGTTGGTTCAAGTATTAGCATAGGTGCAGAAAGTCTGAGATTAGGAGGGCTGGAGATAAACTGGGACATGCACCTCAATACCAGCTTGGCCAGTGGCTCAAGAGGAAGTGGAATGCCGCTGATATGACCATTGTGGGTCATAGCCCATTAGACCCTCTGAGGCATACTTAAAAATTAATGGTATAATCTTTTGGTGTCCAGCTGTAGCCTTCATTCATAAAAAACTTAAGTTTGAGATCAAAGCAAATGGAATGTACGTGTGCATTTGTGCAAGGAATACTGGAGTGATTAGTTAACACTGAAACTGTCAAAACTGGAAGTAAAGAATTGCTGTTTGTAACGTCCAGTGAACTACGGGTAAAAGTGTTCCTCACCCCCTGGAAATACAGGACCCTCTGGGAGTGACTACTCTGTGAAGATCATTTGGATTCTGACTCATTTATTATACAGATAAGGACACCGAAGTCCAGAGAGCAGTGCTTTGCCTGAGGTTGCACGCAGGGAGAGGCAGAGCCAGGGCAAGAAGATTATTATGTTTCCTGAGTGCCTTTAGTTTTGAAGGAGACAATATATGTGATTTTGGGAAAGCCCCACAGTTTCTGCAGCTTCAGCTTCTCCATCTGTAGGTTTAAAAGATAGGACTAGATCAGAAATGGCATATAAATGGCACTGTTACTGCCACTGTCACCTCCAGGACCCATGCCAGATACGACAAGTTGCTTAAGATCAATATGTGTTAACAGCATGTTGAGTACTTAGGGCATACTAGATATTCCAATAAGTACTTTCCATATATTATTTCACTAAATTATCACAACCAACCTATCAGGTAGATTTCATCAGCCTCATTTCACAAACAAGAGAACTTAGATAGATTTAGTGCAAACTTAAGCAAGTTTCTATCAGCAAACAGTGAAGCAAGACTTTGATCCTAGGAAATCTAACCCCAGAGCCCATATTCCTAAGAGCTACACTGTACTGCTAGGACAGCATATGAGCTTCTGCTGCTCTCTCAGGTACATGTCAGGCATGTACCTTATTTCAGTAAACTCCAAATGGTATCAAAACCCTTCTCATGTCACTCCAGGCATCTACTACCAATCGATCAGATCAAAATGGGCATGTGAGGTAAACCTTTTTATTATCCCTGTATTAGATGATTTCCAAAAACCCTTCCAACTCTAAGATTCTGGTGTGTGGTTTCAAGGATTGAAGCGAGGTGTTAGCTAATAATATTTACAGAAGCTGGAATACAGGGTATTTTGGCTGGCTGAGCTGATGACATGGATGTTGTTACTTCTTGGGCTGATCTTGAATTCGCGGTTAGTGTGGGAAGGGCTAAAATGGGTGAAATTGCTCATCAGGGACTGTGAGGCGACTCACGCAGAACTGCTCTGAGGTACAGATGACAAACAATGTCACATAGGAGGAGGAAAAAACCCAGAGAAAACCGAGAGCTTCCCGAGAAAACATCTTTAGCAAAACATTGCCAAGTCTGTGATGGACACCTTCTGCAGCGACTTCTTCAAGAGATTTTAAGAGTATAAACTTTAAATCCACACTACCTGGCTCTGTTATTGATTAGATGATGACCTTGAGGTAGTTATTAAACCCCTCTCTGTCCCAGTTTTTTCACCTATAAAAATGAGATAACCACAGTACCTACTTCATAGGTTGTTGTATGGATTTTTAAAACTTTTTTTGATTTTTTTTTTTAGAGATGGGGGTCTCACTGTGTTGCCCAGGATGGACTCAAATTCTTGGACTTGAACTCTTGGCCTCAAGTGATTCTCCTGCTGTGGCCTCCCAAAGTGCTGGGATTATAGGTGGGAGCTACCACACTGGGCCTGTTACATGGATTAAATGAGTTAATGTATGCAAATCATTTAAAAATAGCACCTGGCATATAATTAGCACCATATAAATATTGATCCATTTATTGCATTATTCATTTTTTTAGAGGCTCCTACTCTAACATAATCAGAAAGAACTCTAAATTGTGGGCCGTTTCTGTAACTAATGAAACACATGATCAAAGTTAAGTCTAATTATCTTGTTTGTCAAGCTGATTTTTGTTATGTTGTTTTACATTTGGAACTGGGATGATACGTTCACAGGTAGTGGATAGTTTGAGTTTAGCAAGCTTGGCCTACTCATTACTCTGGTAACACACCAGCCAGTATTTTCATTGTCTGGAAAGCCAGCCCCATTTCCATCTGCATAGTTTGATTTTGAGGGATGCCCATAGATTCAGCTTGTATGCCTGCTCAGATTGCACTTTTGAACCCTGCTTTCAAAAAGATTTTGAGGTCATATTTCGGCTCAGTGGGGAACAGTACCATATGCAATCAGTAGTGTCTGCTATTAGCATAGGAGAGGGGAAGCTGCGCTCTTGCCAACAGGGCTGGCTACATAATTTGTGAGTCCCAGTGCAAAGTGAAAATATGGGCCCTCTTGTTTAAAAGCAAGAAAAAAATGCCATGAAAAGGACTAAAATATCAAGCTTTTTTCTTTCTTCCATGGTCTCTTTCTCTTGACTTAGCATGGTCTTTTTACTTACTATTTAGTATTGTTAATAAATAAAAATTTAAATTTAAATTATTAGCATGAATTTTACTATTCATCTTATATAGTTTAATGCCAGTTTTTTTTTATTATACTTTAAGTTCTGGGGTGCATGTGCACAACGTGCAGGTTTGTTACATATGTGTACATGTGCCATGTTGGTTTGCGGCACCCATGAACTCGACATTTACATTAGGTATTTCTCCTAATGCTATCCCTCCCCCAGCCCCCAACCCGATGACAGGCCCTGGTGTGTGATGTTCCCCTCCCTGTGTCCATGTGCTCTCATTGTTGAACTCCCACTTATGAGTGAGAACATGCAGTGTTTGTTTTTCTGTCCTTGTGATAGTTTGCTGAGAATGATGGTTTCCAGCTTCATCCATGTCCCTGCAAAGGACATGAACTTGTTCTTTTTCATGGCTGCATAGTATTCCATGGTGTGTATGTGCCACATTTTCTTTATCCAGTCTATTATTGATGGACATTTGGGTTGGTTCCAAGTCTTTTCTGTTGTGAATAGTGCCACAATAAACATACGTGTGCATGTGTCTTTATAGTAGCATGATTTATAATCCTTTGGGTATATACCCAGTAATGGGATTGCTGGGTCAAATGGTATTTCTAGTTCTAGATCCTTGAGGAATTGCCACACTGTCTTGCACAATGGTTAAACTAATTTACACTCCCACCAACAGTGTAAAAGCATTCCTGTTTCTCCACATCCTCTCCAGCGTCTGTTGTTTCCTGACTTTTTAACGATCACCATTCTAACTGGTGTGAGATGGTATCTCAGTGTGGTTTTGATTTGCACTTCTCTAATGACCAGTGATGATGAGCATTTTTTCATATGTCTGTTGGCTGCATAAATGTCTTCTTTTTTTTTCTTTTTTGAGATGGAGTCTCGCTCTGTTGCCCAGGCTGGAGTGCAGTGGCACGATCTCGGCTCACTGCAAGCTCTGCCTCTCGGGTTCACGCCATTCTCCTGCCTCAGCCTCCCGAGTAGCTGGGACTACAGGTGCCCGCCACCACACCTGTCTAATTTTTTGTATTCTAAGTTAAGCAGAGATGGGGTTTCACCATGTTAGCCAGGATGGTCTGGATCTCCTGACCTCCTGATCCGCCCGCCTCGGTCTCCCAAAGTGCTGGGATTACAGGCGTGAGCCACCACGCCCGGCCAGTGTCTTCTTTTGAGAAGTATCTGTTCATATCCTTCACCCGCTTTTTGATGGGGTTTTTTGTTTTTTTCTTGTAAATTTGTTTAAGTTCTTTGTAGATTCTGGATATTAGTGCTTTGTCAGATGGATAGATTGCAAAAATTTTCTCCCATTGTGTAGGTTGCCTGTTCACTCTGATGGTAGTTTCATTTGCTGTGCAGAAGCTCTTTAACTTAATTAGATCCAACTTGTCTATTTTGGCTTTTGTTGCCATTGCTTTTGGTATTGTATTCATGAAGTCTTTGCCCATGCCTATGTCCTGAATGGTATTGCCTAGGTTTTCTTCTAGGGTTTTCATGGTTTTAGGTCTTACATTTAAGTTTTTAATCCATGTTCAGTTAATTTTTGTATAAGGTGTTAAGGAAGGGATCCAGTTTCAGCTTTCTACATATGCCTAGCCAGTTTTCCCACCAGCACCATTTATTAAATAGGGAATCCTTTCCCCATTGCTTGTTTTTGTCAGGTTTGTCAAAGATAGATGGTTGTAGATGTGTGGTGTTATTTTTGAGGCCTCTGTTCTGTTCCATTGGTCTATATATCTGTTTTGGTACCAGTACCATGCTGTTTTGGTTACTGCAGCCTTGTAGTATAGTTTAAAGTCAGGTAGCATGATGCCTCCAGCTTTGTTCTTTTTGCTTAGGATTGTCTTGGCAATGTGGGCTGTTTTTTGGTTCCATGTGAAATTTAAAGTAGCTTTACTTCCAATTCTGTGAAGAAAGTCAGTGCTAGCATGATGGGGATAGCATTGAATCTATAAATTACTTTAGGCAGTATGGCCATTTTCATGATATTAATTCTTTCTATCCATGAGCATGGAATGTTTTTCCATTTGTTTGTGTCCTCTTTTATTTCATTGAGCAGTGGTTTGTAGTTCTCCTTGAAGGGGTCCTTCACATTCCTTGTAAGTTGGATTCCTAGGTATTTTATTCTGTTTGTAGCAATTGTGAATGGGAGTTCACTCATGATTTGTCTCTGTTTGTCTGTTATTGGTATGTAGGAATGCCTGTGATTTTTGCCTATTGATTTTGTATCCTGAGACTTTGCTGAAGTTACTCATCAGCTTACGGAGATTTTGGGCTGAGATGATGGGGTTTTCTAAATATATAAACATGTCATCTGCAAACAGAGACAATTTGACTTCCTCTTTTCCTAATTGAATACCCTTTTTTTCTTTCTCTTGCCTAATTGCCCTGGCCAGAACTTCTAATACTATGTTGAATAGGAGTGGTGAGAGAGGGCATCTTTGTCTTGTGCCAGTTTTCCAAGGGAATGCTTTCAGTTTTTGCCCATTTGGTGTGATATTGTCTGTGGGTTTATCATAAATAACTTATTATTTTGAGATACGTTCCATCAATACCTAGTTTATTGAGAGTTTTTAGCATGAAGGGCTGTTGAATTTTGTCAAGTCCTCTTTTGTATCTATTGAGATAATCATGTGGTTTTTGTCGTTGGTTCTGTTTATGTGATGGATTATGTTTATTGACTTATGTATGTTGAACCAGCCTTGCATCCCAGGGATGAAGCCGACTTGGTGGTGGATAAGCTTTTTGATGTGCTGCTGGATTCAGTTTGCCAGTATTTTATTGAGGATTTTCACATTGATGTTCATCAGGGATATTGGCCTAAAATTCCCTTTTTTTTGTTGTGTCTCTGCCAGGCTTTGGTATCAGGATGATGCTGGCCTCATAAAATGAGTTAGGGAGGATTCCCTCTTTTTCTATTCATTGGAATAGTTTCAGAAGGAATGGTATCTGCTCCTTTTTGTACGTCTGGTGGAATTTGGTTCTGAATCCATCTGGTCCTGGACTTTTTCTGGTTGGTAGGATATTAATTATTGCCTCAATTTCAGAGCATTTCAGGTCATTGGTCTATTCAGAGATTGAATTTCTTCCTGGTTTAGTCTTGGGTGGGTGTCTGTATCCAGGACTTTATCAATTTCTTCTAGATTTTCTAATTTATTTGCATAGAGGTGTTTATACTATTCTCTGATGGTAGTTTGTATTTCCATGGGATCGGTGGTAATATCCCCTTTATCATTTTTTATTGGGTCTATTTGATTCTTCTCTTTTCTTCTTTATTAGTCTTGCTAGTGGTTTATCTATTTTGTTGATCTTTCCAAAAAACCAGCTCCTGTATTCATTGATTTTTTGAAGGGTTTTTTTGTGTCTCTTTCTCCTTTAGTCCTGCTCTGAGCTTAGTTATTTCTTGCCTTCTGCTAGCTTTTGAATTTGTTTGCTCTTGCTTCTCTAGTTCTTCTAATTGTGATGTTATGGTGTTGATTTTAGATCTTTCCTGCTTTCTCTTGTGGGCATTTAGTGCTATAAATTTCCCTCTACACACTGCTTTAAATGTGTCACAGAGATTCTGGTACGTCATGTCTTTGTTCTCATTGGTTTCAAAGAATATCTTTATTTCTGCCTTCATTTTGTTATTTATCCAGTAGTCATTGAGGAGCAGGTTGATCAGTTTCCATGTAGTCATGCAGTTTTGAGTGAGTTTCTTAATCCAGAGTTCTAATTTGATTGCACTGTGGTCTGAGAGACTGTTTGTTGTGATTTCTGTTCTTTTACATTTGCTGAGGAGTGTTTTACTTCCAATTATGTGGTCAATTTTAGAATAAGTGTGATGTGGTGCTGAGAAGAATGTATATTCTGTTGATTTGGGGTGGAGAGTTTGGTAGATGTCTATTAGGTCCGCATGGTCCAGAGCTGATTTCAAGTCCTGGATATCCTTGTTAATTTTCTGTCTCCTTGATCTGTCTAATATTGACAGTGGATTGTTACAGTCTCCCATTATTATTGTGTAGGAGTCTAAGTCCCTCTTCAGGTCTTTGAGACCTTGCTTTATGAATCTGGGTGCTCCTGTATTGGGTGCATGTATATTTAGGATAGTTAGCTCTTCTTGTTGAATTGATCCCTTTACCATTATATAATGGCCTTCTTAGTCTCTCTTGATCTTTGTTGGTTTAAAGTGTGTTTTCTCAGAGACTAGGATTGCAACCCCTGCTTTTTGTTTTTGCTTTCCATTTGCTTGGTAGATCTTCCCCCATACGTTTATTTTGAGCCTATATGTGTCTTTGCATGTGAGATGGGTCTCCTGAATACTGCACACCAATGGGTCTTGACTCTTTATCCAATTTGCCAGTCTGTGTCTTTTAATTGCAGCATTTAGCCCATTTACATTTAAGGTTAGTATTGTTATGTGTGAATCTGATCCTGTCATTATGATGCTAGCTGGTTATTTTGCCTGTTGGTTGATGCAGTTTCTTCATAGAGTTGATGGTCTTTACAGTTTGGCATGTTTTTGCAGTGGCTGGTACCAGTTATTCCTTTCCATGTTTAGCGCTTCCTTTAGGAGCTCTTGTAAGGCAGGCCTGATGGTGACAAAATCTCTCAGCATTTGCTTCTCTGTAAAGGATCTTATTTCTCCTTTGCTTATGAATCTTAGTTTGGCTGGATATGAAATTCTGGGTTGAAAATTCTTTTCTTTAAGAATGTTGAATATTGGCTTCCACTCTCTTCTGGCTTATAGGGTTTCTGCAGAGAGATCCGCTGTTAGTCTGATGGGCTGCCCTTTGTGGGTAACCCAACGTTTCTCTCTGGCTGCCGTTAACATTTTTTCCTTCATTTAAACCTTGGTGAGTCGGATGGTTTTGTCTCTTTGGGTTGCTCTTCTCGAGGAATATCTTTGTGGTGTTCTCTATATTTCCTGAATTTGAATGTTGGCCTCCCTTGCTATGTTGGGGAAGTTCTCCTGAATAATATCTTGAAGACTGTTTTCTAACTTGGTTCCATTCTCCCCATCCCTTTCAGGTACACCAGTCAAACGTAGGTTTGGTCTTTTCACATAGTCCCATATTTCTTGGAGGCTTTGTTCATTTCTCTTCACTCTTTTTTTCTCTAATCTTGTCTTCTCACTTCATTTCATCAATTTGACCTTCAATCACTGATATCCTTTGTTCTGCTTGATCGAATCAGCTATTGAAGTTTCTGTATGCTTCATGAAGTTCTCGTGCTGTGTTTTTCAGCTCCAACAGGTCATTTATGTTCTACTCTACGCTGGTTATTCTAGTTAGCCATTCCTTTAACCTGTTTTCAAGGTTTTTAGCTTCCTTGAGATGGTTTAGAACATGCTCCTTTAGCTCTGATAAGTTTGTGATTATCCACCTTCTGAAGCCTACTTCTGTCAACTTGTCAAACTCATTCTCTATCCAGTTTTGTTCCCTTGCTGGTGAGGAGTTGTGACCCTCAGGAGGAGAAGGGGCGTTTTGGTTTTTGGAATTTTCAGGCTTTCTGCTCTGGTTTCTCCTCATCTTTTTGGTTTTATCTACTTTTGGTCTTTGATGTTGGTGACCTACAGATGGGGTTTTGGTGTGGATGTCCTTTTTGTTGATGTTGATGCTATTCCTTTCTATTTGTTAGTTTTCCTTCTAACAGTCAGGCCCCTTGTATTCGTTAGTTTTCCTTCTGACAGTCAGGCCACTTAGCTGCAGGTCTGTTGGAGTTTGCTGGAGGTCCACTCCAGACCCTGTTTTCCTGGGTATCACTAAAGGAGGCTGCAGAACAGCAAATATTGCTGCCTGATCCTTACTCTGGAAAATTTGTCTTAGAGGGGCACCTGCCAGATGCCAAGCAGTGCTCTCTTGTATGAGGTGTCTGTCGGCCCCTACTGGGAGGTATCTCTCAGTCAGGTACACAGGGGTCAGGGACCCACTTGACAAGGCAGTCTGTTCATTATAAGAGCTCCAATGCCATGCTGGGAGAACCACTGCTCTTCAGAGCTGTGAGGCAGGGATGTTTAAGTCTGCAGAAGCTGTGCCCACAGCTGCCCCTTCCCTCAGGTGCTCTGTCCCAGGGAGATGAGGGGTTTTTCTCTAAGTCCCTGACAGAGGCTGCTGCCTTTTGTTCACATATGCCCTTCCCACAGAGATGGAATCTAGAGAGGCAGTCAGCCTTGCTGAGCTGTGGTGGGCTCCACCCAGTTTGAGCTTCCTGGCAGCTTTGTTTACACTGTGAGCATAAAAACGCCTACTCAAGCCTCAGCAATGGCGGATGCCCCTCCCCCCACTAAGCTCCAGCATCCCAGGTCGTCTCAGACTCCTGCGCTAGCAGTGAGAATTTCAAGCCAGTGGATCTTAAGCTTGCTGGGCTCTGTGGGCATGGGACCTGCTGAGCCAGGCACCATAGGGAATCTCCTGGTCTGCTGGTTGCAAAGACCATGGGAAAGGTGCAGTATTTGGGCAGGAGTGTACTGTTCCTCCTGTTACAGTCTCTCATGGCTTCTCTTGGCTAGGAAGGGGAAATCCCTCAATCCCTGGTGTTTCAGGTGAGGCGATGCCCCACCCTGCTTTGGCTCGCCCTCTGTGGGCTGCACCCACTGTCCATCCAGTCTCAATGAGATGAACCAGGTTCCTCAGTTGGAAATGCAGAAATCACCTGTCTTCTGTGTCGATCTCGCTGGGAGCTGCAGACTGGAGCTGTTCCTATTCAGCCATCGTGGAAGCACCTCCTAATGCCAGTTTTAAATGCAAGTATGTAGTTTTAAGCTTGTATGTAGAATCACCAAAATTACTCAACTTGTTTTTCATAGCTTACATATATATATACAAATATATATGTATTATTCCTACCAGAACAGTGAAAATACTACACAAAGCTAAATCAACTTATTCTTCTTCTTCTTGATATGCACACAGTCTACCAATATCTCTGCCTTAAGCTTACTGTTGAGTAAGAAAGTACTGAAAGGAGGCCAGGCACGGTGGGTCACTTCTGTAATCCCAGCACTTTGGGAGGCCGAGGTGGGTGGATCATGAGGTCAAGAGATTGAGACCATCCTGACCAACATGGTGAAACCCCGTCTCTACTAAATATGCAAAAAATTAGGCGTGGTAGCAGGCACCTGTAGTCCCAGCTACTCAGGAGGCTGAGGCAGGAGAATGGCCTGAACCCAGGAGGTGGAGCTTGCAGTGAGCCAAGATGGCGCCACTGCACTCCAGCCTGGGCAGCAGAGTGAGACTCTGCCTAAAAAAAAAGAAAAAAGAAAAAGAAAGGACTGAAAGGAAAATAAATATGAGTTGCCCTATCTTTCCCTTTTCTTCTATGTCATCGTTTTCAGCATGAGTGGTTAGTTAATAAAGTAGCATAATTAAGAAAGGATATGATGAATTTCATTGGTTGTTCATGTTTCTTAGAATGGTGTGTCTCTTAGAAAGAATGACTTCATGCTGTGATTGAAGCAATTTCTGGTTCAAAGAGACGTTGTGGCTTCTCACGGTGCTGTCCTCTTACTCCGTTTGTTGATGAAAAGAGTCAAACACTGTATAATATTTTAAGAGATTGATTCTGAGCCAAATTTGAGTGACCATGCCTGTGAAACAGCCTTCAGAAGGTCCTGAGAACATGTACCCAAGGTGGTTGGGGTACAGCTTGGTTTTATGTATTTTAGGGAGGCATGAGACATCAATCAAATACATTTAAGAAATACATTGGTTGGGTTCAGAAAGGTGGGACAACTCAAAGTGGGAGCTCCCAGACTATCAGTAAATTTAAACATTTTCTGGGTCATAATTCGTTGAGTTTATCTGAAGACCTGGGATCAATGGAAAGGAATGTTCAGGTTAAGATAAAGGATTGTGGAGACTAAGTTTTATTGTGCAGAGGAATTTCTCAGATAGCAGACTTCAGAGAGAGCAGGTTGTATGTTTCTTATCAGAGCTAAAAGCGTATCTGGCTCTTAGTTGATTATCTCCTGGATCTGAAAAGGAAGTAAGGAAAACAAAGGGGAAAGGGGATTCTCTATAGGATGTGGATTTTTCCCACAAGAGACTTTTCAGGGTAATTTCAAAGTGTGGCAAGAAAATATATTTTGGGGTTATATATTTTTCCTTATCTCATAATGGTATTCCAGAGTCAGATTGAAAAGTAAGTCATGATATATAGAATAAAACCCATCTGATCAGAATTTATGGTTTATAGAGCATGACCCCCTAGACCCCTTAGGTAGGAATTTGGGCCAGATAAAAAATCAGAGCTTAGTTCTCAAGTTATATTCATAACACACTCACCTCACACTCCCTTTAAATCTCAGTAAACTCCCACACATGTGCTCATGGGGCATCATGAATGCTGTATGCAAATAGGTAGCAAGAAATGGAAGAGGGCACATAGATTGCATGTTACCTGTATCTCCTCTGCTCATGAACATTCTCCATTGTCCCAGCAGACTTCACTTAAAAAATATAAGTTCAGTGATAAAATTATTAAGAATTTCAGGACCATGACAGCTGAATATTTAACCAAGTGTGGCACTCTTCTGAGCACAGGGCCCTAAGTGATTGCACAAGTCACACATGACCTCGAAGTGGGACCTACTTGCATTTGCTGTTGTATTTCATCTCTCCCTTGCAGGGCCCTAAGACCCTACACGGATCACTGCCCCCATGGATTTGTGTAGAGCTCACTTTTGTTTGCCTGTTACATGCCATAAACAGCCTTCTGTGACTAGTTATCTCATCCTATGTGTTCTTTCTCCCTACAACATTCTAAGCTCTTGAGGACAGTGTCATAACAATGGCTCCATTTATCATGCACGGTTGGCCCTGCTGAGGCCTTGCTGTTGGTCTTGCTGATTCTATCAACTTCCTGGGTATTTAAATATAATATTTGTAGCTATTATTGTTATTATTATTGTTATTTTCATAAAAGGGTTCAGGCCCTGTAGTCAGATTGTCAGTGCTCAAATTGTTATCTTAGTTGTGACCTGGGGCAAGACACTTAATCATTTTAAGTGTCCATTTTTCGTTGTAGTTTGTTATAAGAATTAAGTTCTGTAAGTTCTCTAAAATTTAGCATGCCTGTCACATGACAAATAAATAAATATTACCTATTCATGTTATTATTATTTCTTCTTCTTCTTCTTCTTATTTGTTTTAGTCCCAAGAGTACTATGATCCCTATTTTCAAGATGTGGCATCTGAGATGTTGAGAAGACACACAGCCAGCAGGTGGAAGGCCTTCTCATCTCTAGAACCATGCTGCTCAATACGTAGGCATCAGCAATATGCAGCTATTGAACGTTTGACATGTGGCAAGTTTGAATTGAGATGTGCTGTAAGTACAAAATACACACTGAATTTTGAAGACTTAGTATGAAATAAATAATGTAAAAAACCCCACAAACATTTTTATATTGATTACATGTTGAAATAATATTTTGAACATATTGTGTTAAAGTATATTATTAAAATTACTATCATTGTTTTTTACTTTTTAAAATGTGGCTCAAATTTAAAATGTAAATTTTTGAAACTTTGATAATGTGGCTCACATTATATTTCTATTAGACAGATTGCTCTTTCTGGAGGTTGTGATTGTGGTGGCTCAGGATTGGGGGTGAAGCCATCTTTAAGAACACATTCCACTGAGCAAGCTAATAAAGCTCTTTGAATTCCTTGCTCATCATAATCTTTAAGTTTTAATTTTAATGACCACAGGAGGGAACTTTGGATTTCACTTATCAATGTAAGAAAATGTTTTAAGCTGGTAATTGGTTTGCATCTCAGATGAACCTAATTCTGCCTGGCAGGAAGCCCAGAGGCTTTCTCTTCCTCCATGTGGTGCTAATGGCCTAGGGAAGAACACAAGTTTTAGAATGGAAGATTTTAACCTCAGCTTCCTCTTCCAGCTGTGTGACTTCAGGCAAGATATTTTTGCTTTTTGGACTCTTAGTTTCTTTATCTGAAAAAAGGGACAATAATATCTACAGAGCTGAATATCTTTGCCCTCTGGTTACAGTCTTTATCCTCTCTACCTTGTTCTGTGCTCTGGGGGGATGACCTATGAATGACACCAAAGGGCTCTCTTGACAATTGGTTTCAGGTTGAGTTTGGACCCAAAACTCCCCACTCTCTTGAGTAGGGCTGGGCACCTGCAGGACATCAGAATTCTGGGAGAAAAGTATATGAATGGATTTCTTTGATTGAGCACGGATATTTGTGTACTGTGTTAATGTCCATAGAGAGCACCCAGAGTGGATGAGGCTCTCCATAACCAGGTGGATGAGCTGCCCATTCTGGGGATGCCCCAGAGCTTGCTCAATTGCCTCCTGTACAGAATGCCTTATCTGTCCCAATATTGCTTATGACTTGGGGTCAGTTTTTCTTGCAAAAGGTATGACATAGTCAAGTTAGCCTGATGGAATTCATTGGCATTATCATGTGCAACATCATCTAGAAGCAGCTACTTAACAGAATAGTGGGATGGCCTGCCAAAGGCTCAGTTATGAAGATGGTGGGAAGGCAACGTTCTACAAATTTGGAGTGCTCTCCTTCATGATATGGTATATATGCCTCAAAACCAATGGCTAGAATATAGTGTCATCCCTTATAGCCAGAATGCCCAGGTATGGGAACCAAGGGTGGAGATGAGAGTGGCCTGTCTTACTGATACACCAAATAACCCATTGGAAGTACTTCTGCTTAATGTTCTGGAGATGCTAATGCCCAAAGAAAGACTACTTCTAAAAGAGTCATGGTCCTAGTGAATTGGAAGCTGAAGCTGCCTCTGGCCATTCTGAGCTCCTTATGTAGCTGGACCATTGTATAGAAAAGGGGTCACTGCATTCAGTGAGGTGACTGGTCCTGATTACCAGGGGATAATGAGGTTATCCCCTAACGAATTCAGGCCCTTCATAAATCAAGACTGTGGTTAATTTTTCAGTAAGGAACACCATCCAGTTGAGAAATGGGCAGAGGATAGGGCAAACAAGGAATAGTGGTGGAAGAAGGCTGGCTGCTATGCTCATCACCTTAGGTCTTATGCTCGTATGCGAAGCCACAGGAACTGTTATGGAAATGCCAGGTGTTCGGTCTAGGTCCTGTCATTGACTGCTCAGAAAGCCAATCACTGAAACAATGAGTTTTGCCAGGGGATAAGGCTTTGTTATATTGCAGGTGACATCGGCCGGGAAGATGGCAGCCAAGCCTCAACTCTGTTCTTTCTAACCAGCTAAAATGGGGTTGGGGGTGTATATAGCAGGAAGGAATTTAGAAAACAGAAATTAAGAAAGAGTAAGGAAGCAGTCAGGAGGAATAATGGGTCTGGCATCTCACCGATCTGGTGAGTTTCAGTTTCCTTGATACTATCTGGGAAGCCTGAGGGTCGATTTCCTGAGAAAGGAAAGTTTGTCGGATAAGACAAATGTAAGTTTCAAGCTTTAATACCAGGAGGGCCAATTTCTATGTTTATTCAAGAACCATAAACATCATTCTATGAGACAATTTGGTTGGTTTCAGAAATATAACAGTTAAATTTTATGTTAACTAGTTATCTCCTCACTTTTTACTCTCATATTTTCATGAAAAAAGATCGTTTTATGAAAACCATCTTTTGGTGGTTGCTCATGTTTTGGGTTTCTGTTGGGAAGTTGACTGAACTGATATCATTTCATCCTGTTTTGGCATTTTTGCAATTTTTGAATTAAAAATAACAGTAAATGATGGGGGAGGGTTCCTGGGGGAGTGTTGCTGGGGGAGGGATGGACTGTGCTGAATGTCTTCTGTTTCCCTTCCAGATCCACTTTTCACCCTTCCCTACCCTGCTTTATGCCCCAGGAGGCTCATTCTGTTGGGTTTCGTCAGTGGGATCCCTTGTGCTCTGGTTCCAATTGTGTTTAGACAATGGAGCAGGAAGGGAGGCAGAAGCAGTAGATCAGACAGCGGGTGAGCAGTGAGTTAAGAGTATCTGTTCCCCTCATTTTTTCCCCTGTCATATCACAAGGGTTGGTTCCTCACTCCATGGAAAGCCATAGTTGGTGTTGCCATTTGCTACCCTTTCTGAGTTCTCAGAGCTGTTGCTAGCCTCAGGTTACTATAGCAATCCTTGTTGGATGACTTTAAACTCTGCTGGGACCAGGGCTGATGTTCCTGCCTTGCTGGGTTGTTGTAAGGATTGGAGATAATGAATGCAAATCACTCAGTACAATGGCTAGCACTCCATAGGCACTCAAAATGATAATTTTTTTTTTCTGCCAAATCCTTTTAAATTTCAAGTTCAAATGATTGCTTAAGGAATTAGCACTGCTTTAATAAATAAATGAGATAATGTATGTGAATGCTTTGTTCAGCGTAAATCACTGTAGAAATGCAAGATAGAGTTATAGTAGATTCTCTGAACCTTAAAAGTATTATTTTTAAAAATACGGTTCTGTTTGTCTTGCCTTAGTCAGATGCAATTAGGTTTTTCTTAGAAGTGGAGTAGGATGGAAACTTGAACTGCAGATTTACATGCAAATCTCATTGAATTAAAAACTTTGTACATCTTCTTCAGGCTCTAGGCCTTTGGTTTTAGATTTCCCATTCTCATTTCCTCTTCTTTCTAGCCCAGTGAAGCATAGGTATCAAGATGAGCAGATGGAGAGGTAATTGCTTCTCTGTCTCATTGCAGAAAAAAAAAGCAAAAAAGCAGTGAGAAAAAGCATCTTGAAATGCGGAAGAAACTATTAAGTCTGCACAGTGGCTTTGCACAGTACCTTCTGAGATGGGAAGGGAAATGGTGAGGCAAGGTAAACAGGAGTTGATTTTCCTTCTGCTGTAGAACTTTACATACCATAAATCAGAGTTACTAGGAGGACTTGCCAGAGAGGGTGGAGAACTGCACCATGGTGCAAACCTTGCTTTTTTATTTACATGTTGCAAGTGACCATTAGAGTGTTTCTTCCTCTGTGCTTCCATTTGTTACATCAGTTTAATGAAACTCACCACTTTTTGCTGTGTCCCATGCTGTTTTATTTTCCTTCCAAATGACACAGCTTGAAGAAATTATCTGAGCAAAGAAATTTAGCACTTGTTCATTAAAATATGGCTGAAGCGTACTCCTTCTCAGGACTGCAGAGACAATGATTAGAGCACAGTGGTTAAGAGCATGCGTTCTGTAGACCTGGGTTCAATTCCTGAGTTCCCCACTGTAACCTCTGCCTCCCGGGTTCATGCCATTCTCCTGTTATCAGGCTGTTACTGAAAAGGGGTCCTGACCCATACCTCAAGAGAGGGTTCTTGGACCTTGTGCAAGAAAGTATTTGGGGTGAGTCCATACAGAAGAGTGAAAGCAAGTTTATTAGACAAGTAAAGAAACAAAAGAATGCCTACTCCATAGGCAGAGTATGGGTGGCTCAACTGAGTATACTTATAGTTATTTCTTGATTATATGCTAAACAAGGTGTGGCTTATTCATGAGTTTTCCAGGAAAGGGGCAAGCAAACCCAGAACTGAGGGTTTCTTCCCCTTTTAGACCATATATGGTAACTTCCGGATGTTTCCATGGCATTTGTAAACTGTCTTGGCACTGGGGAGGGTGTTTTTTAGCATGCTAACGCATTATAGTTAGCATATAATGATCAGTGAGGATGATCAGTGGTCACTTCATTGCCATCTTGGTTTTGGTGAGTTTTGGTCAGCTTTTTTACTGCATCTTCTTTTATCAGCAAGGTCTTTGTGACCTATATCTTGTGCCGGTCTCCTATCTCATCCTATGACTGAGAATGCCTAACCTCTGGGGAATGCGGCTCAGTAGGTCTCAGCCTTATTTTACCCAGCTCCTATTCAAGATGAAGTCACTCTGGTTCAAATGCCTCTGACAGGGCCATTATCTCACCCTCAGTTTCCTTCTCTGTCAAGCAGTGCTAATAATTGTATCTTGTTGGGACAATCAAGCTCAGCAGTGACTGGCCAAGCCCTTTATAGAATGTCAAGTGATGTACTGATTTAAGGTGTTATTATTTCTAAGCTACCAATCTATGATTAATAAATCTGACTTTCATCAAACTGTATTTGTTTTGAAATAAAGACCAAGAAACATATAATAATTTAATAAGGTATATGATATGATGACATTGTCCACAAAAGTAAGTTTTCTGATTGAGTAATATAATACATGTAAAAATATCTAGAATAGTGCCTGGTGTCTTCCAAAAGACCACCAGGATGGCTAAATAGTAGAAAGGAGACTTTTATTGGTGATATCAGTTTGCAAACCAGGAAGAGAAGGTCTCTAGCATGGACTGAAGGTGCTCTCTCTTTGAAGAGGGAAAGGACAGGTTGGGTTTTATGCTTCACAGGGTCTTTATCATGCATATTCAGCAGGTTTGGGGAAAAGCTACACATATTTATGACGGGAGCTGTGAGCATGCCTGACGGGTAAATATATATATAACATACATCCCATGTTCACTTTGGGGTGGGGTTTTAGCATTAAAATGAGGTAGAATTTGGCTCTGTACATCAAAAAGTGAACTACAGGACACAAAAACATTTTGTGTGCAGTCTCTGTAAGCTGCTGAAACTGGTCTAAGTTCTGCAGTAGCTTATCAGAAAATGTTTGTAAGGCTGGCTCTTGGTCCTGTGTTCAGTTATAGTGGTCTGGGTTGTAAATCTGCCTGATAGCTCCTGTTGTTAGGCAGTTGATGTGTGGGCATTTAGAAATTTACCATGCCAGCCAGGCCCTGAACGCTCTACTGGTAGGTAACCTGGTTTCTTTAACCTTAGTGTCTGTCTTAATTGATAAAAGTGTAGTCTCTCAGATCGCATTGGCATATGTAAAGATGTCAATAAATGCTTGTTTCCTTTTTAAATAAAGCATTGAAAATGCAGATTTTTCTTTTCCTGGGAGGACTATTCATTATCAGGACATCTTTCCTTCCAGAAAGAATTTCAATTATAAGGCAACCAAGGAAAGCAAAGATCACCTGGTGGCCATCAAGCAGGCCATCCAGAGACAAAACTCCTTATTTGAGGAATTTAGAATATTAGACTTCCCTGTTATCTAAAGCAGGCATCTGGTTGCAGGTTTCTTTCCCAAAAATGTATAAGTAACTAGAATTGCTGTACATCTCCGGAATGCATGCATATTGAAACTCATTGTGCAACCCTTGTTGACATCAAGGTACCAAAATGCCTACAAATGCAATCATTTTTCATGACCTACATGGCTAATATGGTTCAAATTACCCTAAAGTACCCACTTTAAGATTCATAAATATTCCCAAGGAAAAATCCACCACATTGCGCTCATTCCTCTCTTGCTGAGGCACCCCACTCATTCTTCTGCAGTGTTCTTTCTATCTAATAAAATTTTCTTCTTCAAACCTATACGATTGTTGGTAAATTCTTCTTACTATCCTGTCCATGAACCAACCACTTCCTGATGCTGGGACTCTGACACCTCGTCTGGCAGCAACAGTTGATAATAACAATAAGCTGCACTTTGTAAGGTAACTTTTACTTGTGTTACACCTGGTGTGACCCTCACAGTAGCAGTGTGAAGAAGGTTCTATTGCTATTATTATCATTCTGATGTTGCACATAAGGGAGCTGAGGTTCTGAGCAGTTAAGTTTCTGACTCTCCCAAAGTCATATGGCTAGACTCTTTGATGCCCAGTTTGACCATGCTCCCAATACATTTGAAAGCAAGCACAGTGAGAATAGCTGTCAGCTTCCATTTCCCAGGCAAGGGTTGGCTCAGGAGTTTGTTTTTTCTGGGAGTCTGGTGATTTGTATCAGTGATTAGGAGCTTAGGGCATGACTGAATCTGTGGTAAGGGTGCTATGAGGAAGGGGGTGCTGTTCAGGCTGAGGTGTAGGAGAGAGAGGGTGAGACGGTATTAGAGGAGAGGTAAATACAGAAACGAGTCTGAGTGTAAATGAACTGTCCAGTGGGACAGAAGAGGTGGGAGGACCAGGTATCAAATGGCTATAGCATCATCATTACCCGTTGTTAATTTAAGTGTAGCCTAAAGCGGCCTCCTTACATACTTTAAGTTTGGCCTAAAGGTTTCTCCTTACACACTGCACTGTAACCTAACTAGATGTGTAAACAGACTGTAACCTACTCTTGTACCAATCATAGAGTTTTAGCCTGTCACAGGCTGTCAACTGTTCAACCCATGTTCTAATAAGACAAATGCCAAGCTGTACCCAGTCCAACTGTTTCTGTACCTCCCTTATGTGTCCCCCACCACCCCATTATTACCAAAATGCCAGCAGTTTGGTCTAGTTCTTGCTGCTCCCTGCATAGAAAGCCAATCACTGAGACAATGAGTACTGCCAGAGAAGAAGGCTTTAATGAGGTGCTGCAGCTGAGGAGATGGGAGATCAGTCTCAAATTCATCACTCTGACCAACCAAAATCAGGGGTTTATATAGCAGGGAAGAAATGTAACTACATGCAGAAAAACATAAGTTAATGAGGGGTAAGGAAGAGGAATTGGTCAGCAGGAAGCAGGGAGTCAGTTAGGCAATCATGATGGGTGAGAGATCTGGTGTTTCATTGTCCAGATGTGGTGTCTGGTAAGTTTTAGTTCCTCAATACTATCTGGGAGTCCTGATGGTTGGTTTTCTGAGAAAGAAACTCAAATAAGACAATTCTAACTTTCTCCACTTTTAAGATTGGGAGGATCCATTTCTATGTTTATTCAAAAGAAACCATAAACATCAGTGCTATGGGACAATTGGTCTGGTGTCATCATTGCTCTGAAGCTATTCTGGATCAGGGGGCTGCCCAATTCTCAAATTATTCTTTGCTCAATTAAACTCTGGTAAAGTTAATTTGTCTGAAGTTTTTCTTTTAACACTGATTAGGAATAGACTCAGGGTCCTCTACTGGCTTTTCCACAAAGTATTGGAAACAGACATTCCTCAAGACACTTTGGGGTCTTATGGAACTTGAAAGCTGGAAGGACCTCAGAGGTCATCTTATCATCCTTCCATTTACAGAGTAGGAACTCCTAAGTTCATGCAGCTAGCTAGTTTGGTACCTAAGAGCTTTATTTACTTAACAAATGCTATTTACTATGTGCCAAACACTTTCCCAAGGGTTTACAATGATTCATTTATTCCTCATCATAACCCTAGGAGGAAGGTACTACATATGCGTAGTCCCTCATTTGCAGTTCTGAATTTCAAAAGATTCTGAAAAAACAGAATTTTCTTGAAAGTTGGTGCAAACTCATTTGATGGCAAAACTTGATCTGGATTGACATAAGTCTACTTATTGGTCTTTATTCCACATAGTGTTAATAATCATACATCTTGCTTCAAAATGTGTTTGAATGTTAATGTGTTTGAATATGGGGTCCTACCCAAGACTCTGCTGGGGGTGTTACAGAATATTTAGTGTAATCTCATGCCTTTCAAAAGTCCAAAAAATTCTGAATTTCAAAATACATTTGGTCATGAAGATTTTGTAACCTATATTATCATTCTCGTTTTACAGTGAGAAAACCGAGGCAGAGAGATTATATAAATTGTACAAGGGCACACAGTGGCATTCCTGGGATTCCAAACCAGGAATCCTAGTTCAGCAGTCTGTGTTTTTAACCAGTCTGTGCCCTGGCAGGCCAGACATGGATTAAGAGGCTGCTATTCATTGCTCTGCCCAAATACTTTGTATATGATGTCATGTAAGTTCAGAAATCGCTAATCTCTATCACTTTAGTTCTGACATATTGCTTGCCTCCACCAATTTATTTACCACTGGGCAGCTAGAGCGATTTTTCAAAACGTAAATCTGATTCATATCATAACTTCTTTATCAGCCTCTGCTTCAAATGTCTTTCTTCTGCATTTATAATAACCTAAATCCTCCACTTGGCATGGTTTGACCATGCCTGTCTCTCCCATCTCAGCTCATCCGTAGCCCCTCAGGCTTCCTGCACCTTCTTTCAGTTCCTTAACTGTATTGTGTGGTCCCTCTTGCTACAGGACCTTTGCATATACAGTCCCCTGTTCCAGGAATATTTTTATTCTCCTTATCCAGCACATCACCCCTTGTCTTGCCCTGGTCACCTCTGATTTACTTTTCAGATCTCAGCTCAAGGTTTTTTTTTTTTTTTTCCACAGGGACACCTTTTAAATTCCTAACATGGATCACAGTTTTTGTTGTACATTTGTGTGATTTGTGATTATGCGTTAATGCCTCTCTTCCCTCTATACTGTGAACTCCATGAAGGCAGAAATTGTTTTCGTTTTTGCTCACCATTGTGACTGCGTATACTCAGTAACAGTAACATAGTCACAGATGAATACAAATTTGTTGAATAACATGATAGAATGGATTCTCTGCAAAATGCAATGTTTATTTCTTTGTTTTGTTGAGCAGCTGTAGAGGTTTAAGAGATTTGTGTATTCAGTCATAGGCAGAACTATCACCATCATCTTCTTGGTTATCACAGAGCTGCACTTTTAGATGTCCTTTAAAAGTTAATGGTTGTCTGGAGGATTTAAGTTTTCAATTCCAGAATGGCAATTTCCAAGGGCCTTCTTTTCCTCCTCCTATGAGCATAGAAGGGACAGTTGAAATGGGCAGCTGTACAGATAAAATACACTGCTTTCTTGAAAACTCTGCAAACCAAATTGTGTTAGATGCTCATCTGACTGTAGACCTTGCATTGAGTAGTAGTGGGACAGATA
Source organism: Homo sapiens (assembly GCF_000001405.40). Classification (NCBI taxonomy): domain Eukaryota; kingdom Metazoa; phylum Chordata; class Mammalia; order Primates; family Hominidae; genus Homo; species Homo sapiens. Next base: position 4,059,220 of record NC_000003.12, on the reverse strand, counting down.
GTATCTGTCCATCTATGAGCCTTATGCTGAATTTAGTAAGCTAAATAGTGCCGCCTTTTTATTTTTTTAAACACAAGTATATTGGTGGGATTTTTCTATAGGATTCTAGAAATCTGTCCCATGAAAGCTCACTATATATTTAGAGTGATCACCTTTTCCAGTATGTTGTCCCAAATGCCCTCTTTTCTCTGCTGTTCATTCTCTCTAATGAAAAGAAAGGCATTTTTTATTTACAGCTTTGTTGAATGCAGTCACCCATTATTTGGGGGTAATTGCTAGAGTAATCTCACCTCATTGGTTTCCAACAAAGCCTCCCAGATTGACATCTCACAAATTGAAAATTAAATGCACTATAAAAGCTATTAACTAAGCCTGACTGTTTGGAAATGGGGCATTGGGTTAATGGTTAGAATTATGGAGTGTTTTATTGTTTGTATGTTTTTGCATATTCATTGAAAACTTTTCTTCTCCCAGAATGTCTTTTGAGGAACCAAGCCTGTTCTACTTTATTTCTAGCAGTGATTTTTTCTTCAGTTTTGTATTTTCTTTTGCTTAAAGATACTATGTCAACATATTATCTTGAGGAACTCATCTCCTATATGATTACTAAATGATTTCCCTATCCTCCTCTTTTCCTTTTACTTCATTTTCCTCTTACTCTCCCAGCCATCTTTCAACAGAGTTCCTGCCCCCTTCTGTGTGGATCCAGCCAGTCCCTGGTCCCTTAATCTAGGCACCTTCCTTATGTTGTCCCTTTGGTATTCCATATCTAGTACATCACCCAGAATGTCTGCTTTTTCCTCCTCATTCCTTATCATGTCCCTGAATATTACTGCATTCGAAGGCCATTTCTGAACTTAAGAAATCTTTCAAGAGCATTTGTTATGTACATGACCCTGTAGAATGGATGTGGGGGCTTGCAGACAATGCTTAAGGAGTTGCAGAGCAGTCGGGCAGAATATATGTGTATATACCTGCTCGCGAGCAACATGGCTTTGTGATTGTGAATACAGATTGTGGTGCTATATTGCCTGGATTCAAATCTTGATTTGCTCATCTACTATCTGTGTGATCTTGGGTTTTATTGAATCTTTCAATGCATCAGTTTTCTCATCTATAAAAATGGGGACAATTTCCTTCCATGGATACTGGGATGATTTAATAAGTTACTATATACAAAGTACTTACAACAGTGTCCAGCATAGAGAGAACACTCACTTATACTTGTTGGTAGATCTAGACTCTAATCCCTGCTCTGCCACTTTCTCAACACCTTGAATCTCTTGTTTCACAAGGCATATATTAGAGACAGAGAAAAAAGCAGACTTTGAAGCCATAGGGTTCCAACTCTACCATTTATTTTTGTTAACTTGAGACAAGTTAACTTCTTGGAACCTCTGTGTTTATGTTGTTAAAAATAATCTATCCCCATAAACTACTCAAATGCCAGCCTACCTTGCACCTACCTGCAACTTTCCACCTTTATTTGGCTGAGACATTTTAGCTGCTGCTTTATGGACCACAGGTTCCTCCTTCCTTCCCCGTCATGATTCTTTATAGTTTGCTAAGTATACCATGTAATTTAATATTCATAACAACTCTGGGAGGCACAGGGCATTATTCTCCTTTCTATTTTAAAGTTATGGAAACCAAAGACCAGATAGGCAGCTAGGCTGACCCAGGTTGGCACAGTTGTAAATTGTGAAGGTGGGACTTGAACTTGTTTCTCTATGTTCTTTCTTTTATTCAACACAAGTCTATGAGTTTGGTTTTCGATTTACCCATGTCCTTCCTTTTTCTTAGATTCCTTTTGCGGTTTTTTGCCAAACCTGAGTCCCTTATCATGAGCAAACTGCCCATCCCCAACTCACGCCTTATGCAGTGAGTGATGGTGAGGAGGAGACAAGAGCAACTGGCCTCCAGCCCTTGACTTTATTCTTTGGTTTGGATTGGCCCATCAGACTCCTTGCTCATTTCTCCATCTGGCATACTCCCTCTCAGTGACAGCTTTTAATTCCCTTCCCATCTGAGTGCAGCTGGTGGTGCTACCCTTGTTGCCCCTCTGTCATCCTGCACATTCTTTTATTGGCACTCATTTCAACACATTTTATTTTTTAAAATAACTTTTTCTGATTGCAGAAGTTATTCATGCTTGTTGTAAAAATTATGGATCACGGCCGGGCGCGGTGGCTCACGCCTGTGATCCCAGCACTTTGGGAGGCTGAGGTGGGTGGATCACGAGGTCAGGAGATCGAGACCATCCTGGCTAACATGGTGAAACCCCGTCTCTGCTTAACTTAAAATACAAAAAATTAGCCGGGCGTGGTGGCAGGCACCTGTAGTCCCAGCTACTCAGGAGACTGAGGCAGGAGAATGGCGTGAACCTGGGAGGTAGAGCTTGCAGTGAGCCGAGATTGCACCACTGCACTCTAGCCTGGGCAGTAGAGCAAGACCCCATCTCAAAAAAAATAAATAAAAAAAATTATGGATCACATAGTAAGAAAGAAACAAAAACCACACATAATTCTATTACCCAGAGCTAAACATTGTTTTTGCTTTTTTTTAGAGACGTCTCACTCTGTCACCCACACTGGAGTGCAGTGGTATGATTTTAGCTCACTGTAACTTCAAACAGTTTAGGCTCAAGCGATCCTCCCACCTCAGCTTCCCAATTAGCATGCTACCACATCTGGCTATTTTTTAAGTTTTTGTAGAGATGAAGTCTCACTATGCGGCCCAGGCTGGCCTTGAACTCCTGGGCTCAAGTGATCCTCCTGTGTAGACCTCCCAAAGCACTGAGGTTACAGGCATGAACCACCATGTCTGACCAATAAATATTGTTAATATTTTATTATTTAATTTTGGGATTTATTTCATACTGTATGAACCTTTTTAGTTTCTGTATTTTGATAGCAGGAGCTCTAATAGAGAAAATTCAATGAGAATTACCTGGTGTAATGGCTTGGGACATGTGTGAATCTTTTGGGATCAGAAGACAACTCTGCTAGGCAGAATAATGGTCCCTAAAGATGTCTACATCCCAATCCCAGAAACCTGTGAATATGTTAGGTTACACGGTAAAGGAGAATTAAGGTTGCAGATAGAATTAAAGTTGCTAATCAGCTGACCATAAAATAGGGAGAGTATCCTGGATTATCTGGGTGGGCCCAATGTAATCACAAGGGTCTTTAAAAGTGGAACAGGGAATTGGAAGACAGAATCAGAGAGATGGCAGCATCAGGAAGTCTTGGCCTGTTATTGCTGGCTTTGAAGATAGAGGAAGATGGTCAAGAGCCAAGGAATGTGGCTAGAAGCTGGAAAGGCCAAAGAAACAGATTGTTCCTTAGAGCCTCTGGGAAGGAATATGGCCTTGCCAACACCTTGATTATAGCCCAGTGAACTCCATTTCAGAATTCTGAACTATAGAACTAAGTGTAAGATACAAATTTTTAGGCCAAGTGTGATGGCTTACACTTGTAATCCTTGCACTTTGGGAGGCCAAGACAGGAGGATCACTTGAGGCTAGACTGGGCAACATAGCAAGACCCCATCTCTACAAAAAATGTAAAAATGAGTGGGGCATGGTGGTGTGCATCTGTAGTCCCAGTTACTCAGGAGGCTGAGACCAGAGGATCACTTGAGTTCAGGAGTTCAAGATTACAGTGAGCTATGATCACTCTATTGTACTCCAACTGGAGTGACAGAGCGAGACTCTGTCTCTAAAAAATTAATAATAAAATAAAATAAAAATTTAACAGATACTAAATTTGTGTGGTTTAAGCTGCTAAGGTTGTGGGAATTGTTACCACAGCCCTAGAAAACTAATATACCTGGTATATGTAAATAAATAGAGCTATTATAAAGAGTCAATATATTAATACAGGATAATAACTTGGAAAATATCTGAGATATAGTAAACACTTAATAAAGGCTAGCTAACATTATTTTGTACTTTTGTCTGTATTGTTTTACAATCTGCTTTTTTCCTTTTCACATTTTTCCGTTTCATTGTATTTATGCCATATCATCATTTGTACCATAGTACTTTTCAACTATTCTTAACGCCTTTTCACTGTATGCATTAATTCAGATGAGTGTCAACAACACACTGCATGAAGAAAACGCACTCCACTACAGTATCTGTTTCAACAACACGCAGTGAGAAGACGTGAACTAGCGAAGTCATCCAGCCTGTTGGTTAAGTGCTGTTTGTAAGGCATCTGAGTCAGGGAGACCCCTGAGTCAGGAAAGACCCTGGGCGTACATTGGTTGTGTGGCCTTGGGGATGTTCCCTAACATTTCTCAGTCTCAATTTTCTTCATTGTAACATGGGGATACTTAGAACACCTATATTGCACATCTGTTGTGCATATGAAATAAGACTATACGTGGAGCCCTTAGCACAGTGCTGGTGCAAATTAACAGCTCAATATCTGTTAAAAGATGTTGTTGTTGATATTGTTACTGTAGTTGTTTATTTATCAGTTTCTCTGGGATTCTGGGTCAAGAAGGTTGAGTGAGATGGCAGACCTTCAGTTGATATCTGCATTGAGCACACTGTGAGTATCTCATAAATATTACATAGTACTGAGAACAGGCATGCTCTTGATGGTAAAAGACTGTGACAGATAAATGGAGGGTAGTGGGTAAAGATATCTTTTAAAACAGGCACATAAACATACACCTGAATAAAATATTTAACTGTTTGCTACAGCATTTGCATGAGTTTCAGAGGATGGGAGACTGATGCCAGAGAGCCAATAAAAGAAAGATAATTTGACAAGGTGGTGGATTGTCATAGCTTTTTTGCTGTTGTCAGCAAGGTTTTCATTTTTATTTTTAATTTTCTTTTCCTTTGATAATTTCTAGACCTAGTGCTGACATTTCAAAAGATTTTATCATTCCTGTGATAAATCCTTTAAATTGAAGCTGTTTTGTTTCTGGTGAAGGCATGATTGCTTTGAAAGCCATACTAGAGCTTTGTGTTGAAATTGTGCTCATATACAGTTCTTTTTCTCACTATTGGCCTGTGTTCATTTATTTAAAAGTTATTTATCTTGCAGAGTGTCAGCTCAACAAATGGTATTGCTCAAAAGGTCATGCTTGAGTTTTCTCTGACGTGATTAGTTTCATTGGCTCTTATTATTTCTCAGACATTCTTTTTTGAGTATGTTACTATTGATTGTTTTAGAAATTGATTTGGTAGAGACGAGTTTTGTGATGGATGGCAGTTTTTAACCCACAGAATAGGTCATTGTAGGGCTTCCAAATTACTTCAGAGCCAGTAATTATGATAAAACTTTACTTTTTATTGGAAGGACTTCATAGGTGTTATGTTTTTCATTTTCTAAGTTTATCCATATTTCACATTTCTCTTGCTTGGAAAGGTGAAAATATTCACCAACACTGATCACCTCGAGGTAGTGACGGTTGTTCAATGTTTTATTATGTGTCTTGGGAATTGTTTGTTCTCTACTCTCCCTTCTGTACTACTTAATAAGATTAATTTCCTTCCACTTCAAAAACCTTATGACCCTATTCTCCCTGATTTCAAAGGCCATGTCACAGTTCGGAGGGCAGTGGAGGTTCTTTAGGGGGAGAAAAGATTCTGGGATTCTGGACCACCTTCTAAATTGTGTTGCATATTTGTGAATTCCTCATAGCTTTTTTGATTCTTATTTTTAAAAATTGTGCTTTATTGTTTTTCACAGATTTGCATTTTTTACAAACTGAAGGTTTGTGGCAACCTTGCGTAAAGCAAGGCTATTGGTGCCATTTATCCAACAGCATGTGCTCACTTTGTGTCTGTTTCAAATGTGAAAAATTTTCACAATATTTAAGACTTTTTCATTATTATTATATCTGTTACAGTGATCTGTGATCATTGATCTTTGATGTTACTATTGTAATTGTTTTGGGGTGCCACGAACCATGTCCATAAAAGACGGCAAACTTAATCGATAAATCTTGTGTGTGTTCTGGCTTCTCCACTGACAGGCTGTTCCTCCATCTCTCCACCCCTCCTTGATCCTCCCTATTCCCTGAGACACAACAATATTGAAATTAGGCCCATTAATAGCCCTGCAATGCCCTCTAACTGTTCAAGTGAAAGGAAGAATCATGTGTGTCTCACTTTAAATCAAAAGCTAGAAATGATTAAGCTTAGTGAGGAAGGTATGTAAAAGCTGAGATGGACCAAAAGCTAGAGCTCTTTTGCCAAGCAGTTAGCCAAGTTGTGAATGCAAAGGAAAAAGTCTTGAAGGACATTAAAAGTGCCGCTCTAGTGAATACATGAGTGGTAAGAGAGCAAACAGTCTTACTGCTGATATGGGGAATGTTTGAGTGGTCTGGATGGAACATTAAACCACATACAACATTTCTTTAAGCCAAAGCCTAATCTAGAGCAAGTACCTAACTCTGGAAAACCAAAAAATTTGTATGACTCACTTTATTGTGGTCTAGGACCAAACCCACAATATGTCCAAGGTATACCTGTAATAATTGTTCTGCCTATCTCTTGAGGGTATCACGAGAAGAAGATTATGTGGACAAAAACAGTAGACAAAAAATGCAAAGAAAATAGTGGATGGGTAAGTAGTAGTTTTCTTAAACGTAACTTATTAGCACATAGTCCGGGAATATTGCATTTGAGAGGGCAACATTGCTTCTCCAGTAGCTGTTTGTTGTTAGAGTAGTTCCACTTGAAGCATGCAGGAGCTGCAGTTTCTCTGGGAGGCATGAGATGGGAGGGGAAAGCATGTATGTCCAGAGCAGTGGGCTAGCCCCAAGCTCTAGTCTTTGGTCAGTTCTAGGAAGGGGCAGATAAATACATATAAACTTTTTGCTGTGCTTGAATATTTGTGTCCTTGCCAAATTTATATGTTAAGTTCCTAACCCCTAATGTGATGATACTGGAAGGCCTTTGGAAGGTGATTACATCATGGCAGTGGAGCCCTTATGAATGGGATTAGTGCTCTTGTAAAAGAGACCAAAGAGAGCTGCCTTGCCCCGTCCATCATGTGGAGACACATTGAGAAGGTGCCATCTGTGACCTTGGAAACAGGGAAACAGGCTCTTACCAGATACCAGATTTTCTGGTGCCTTGATCTTGGACTTGTTAGCCTCCAGAGCTATGAGACAATAAATTTCTGTTGTTTTAAGCCAACCAGCTTTGGCATGGTGATATGGCAGCCTTAGGAAACAAGTACAGGTTGCTATGAAGATAGAGTAAGACAGAGAACCAAAACCATTTTGAGAATCAAAGTGCCCTATGGTTGTTAGTTGATACTTTCTTGGTTTACGTCACTCATAATCTAAAGTGCAGTACTGACCTTACTCAGACCGGTTTACCACTTAGGCTGCAGGGGTAGAAAAGAAGGAAGAAAAGCAAACTGATCAGACAGCCAGGTCTTTTCCGATGTGCAAACCAGTCTACATTCTTATGATCCAGTGGCATGAAAAGGAGAGAAGACAGAAGTGAACATGTAAGTGGTGATATTTTATTGCCTAATAGCCCCTCTGCTAACAGGCATGGCTAGTGTCCTGGAATTGAGACTTGTCCTTGAGGACTGTCAAAGATGGTAGGAGGGAGGAAAAAAGTGGGAGCCTTCTCTCTCTTAGGCATTTACATGGTACGTCTATTTAGAAACGTTACAACTTTAACATGTGCTTCTCCCCTTGCCTGTAGAACATCTGTATGGAGGCATAAGTAGGAGTGGGAATACAATAATATTTAATTTGGGGATTTTTTTCCTTTACAGCTCCTTGGATCGCACACTTGAGCGAGTGTGGACAGTAGAGGAGCAGGAAGGCTGTGCATCACTGGACAAAACCACTTTCTTGGGGCTCTTTGTCCTGTGACTTAGTTACAAAGAAAAGAACGTAGGAATGTACAACACTGTGATCCTGCACCAGGCCCTATGCTCAGGAGGGATGTGGAGATAGGAAATAAAGCAGAAGGGTAGAAAAACTGTGGTAACTTGTATAGCCTATTGGATGGGGTGGTTGGTTCTGCCTGGGAGGAACAGGTAGTTTCCAGTTGTTTTAGGAGCTTTCTTCCACTGCTTTCCTTTCCCCACCCTTTTTTTTTTTCTTTTTTTTGCCTTAGAATGTAGTATATTTAGCCCTGTTCAAATTACTTGAGTACTCGCATTGCAGGGATATGTGGGTAGTTGTGCGCAGCAAGTCATTTTAGCGGGTAGACAATCAACAATATCAGCAAAATAAAACGTCAAGTTTAGAGGGTGAGTGCGTAGTTTTCTCTCACTTATTAATATATTTGGAGGAATTAAATTTTCTTACATTTCTAAAGCCCATACTTGGATTTGAAGATTATGTTTCTTAGAAGGCTAATATTTAGTGATCAACTGTTTGTGCCAGGCCCTATGATGGGTGCTTTCATGTACATCATTACATTTTTCTTTTTCTTTTTCTTTTTCTTTTCTTTTTTCTTTCTTTTTTTTTTTTTTTTTTGAGACAGGGTCTCACTCTGGTTGCCCAGGCTGAAGTGGAGTGCAGTGGCATGATCTCGGCTCACTGCAGCCTCCACCTCCCAGGCTCAGGTGATTCTCCCACCTCAGCCTCCTGAGTAGCTGGCAGTACAGGTGTGTGCCAACACACCTGACGAATTTTTTGTATTTTTAGTGGAGACGGGGTCTTGCTATGTTGCCCAGGCTGGTCTTGAACTCCTGGACTCAAACAATCCACCCACCTCAGCCTCCCAAAATGCTGGGATTACAGGCATGAGCCACTACACCTGGCCATCATGACAATTTTCAAAGCCCCTCTGAAATTCTATTTTTATTCCCATTTTACAGATAAGGACATTGAGACCCAGAAAGCAACTGCTCAAAAGTCTAGGGAAAGACTCTAGCAATTTCAGTGATTTTATAACAATAGATTGCCTTGGAGATGTATTTTTTTTTTCGGAAAGTAGGTCAGGTTCTAAATGGATCATTTAGAACGGACAGGAGATAGGGAAATACTGGGTAGAAAAGGGTGGTTCCCTGGCAAGTGCCCCACTATCAAGCCAGGATACTCATGCCCCTAAATGGAGACAGGCATTCCTGTTTTCATGCCCAAAAGCTGCCTTTTGGCTCACCACAGCCCCTATCCTGTACCCATGTAAACCCCAGACTGCAGGCTCCAGAAGCAGACAAGGAGAAGAGTAGACAAGTGGCAGAATGGCGTGGGAGAGAGAAGAGAAGGGCCATCCGAATGCTGAGAGAAGTTTGGCTGGGGATGGTCAGAGAGGAGATTGGCTACTGGATGGCCAAACTCCAGGGGAAGAACATCTTCCCACTCCATCCCCCTTCCAGCTCCCCATTCGTCTCATTGAGAGCAATTTCCACCACTCAATAATACCCCCACATTCATCCTTCAAGTCTGTATGTGACCTGACTCTTCTGGGATGTTGGACGAGAGCTTGGGTACAGAAAGCTGTCACACTGGCCCTCTGCCATTGTGAAAAGGCAGAGAATTCACTGAGCTGGTTAACAGATAAGCTGCCCGCGAATGGCAAGGCTGAAAGAGTACACTGTAACACAGCCCATTTGGGCTTTGGGAGTTGCAGGCTCTCAACCCTGAATGCTGCCCTGGGGCTGGAGCCCAGGGGTGCTTACTCTGGCTCCTGAACCTACCTGTCTGCATGCTCCCCTCACATAAGGGGTTTGAGGAGCAGTGGTTACTGAACAGATGAGTCACATCCCTGTCTCACGTTCAGCAAGGGGTGTCAGGGAATTCTCCCATTTCAATTTCTCAGTGTTTTCTCCTACGCAGTCTGTTGTGGTGGTGGTCATTAGTGCCATCCAGCAAATATTTTGGCATGAGCTCCCTGCTGTGGAGTAAGAGGGCATTTCATCACTTTCTTGAAGGTAGACATAGACAGTGAAATACGAGAAGAAGTGATACAGCATTACCTCCAGTAAAAGCTGTGAGAGCTATTGAATTATTTGCCTTTGCCCCATTTTCCTTCTGCCATGGCAACTGGAAATGCTCTGTTAGCTTAGGTCCTGGAGTTAGGATGATGTAGAACAATGACCTCAGACAGCCTGCAATGTCTGTGTAGTGCAAGTGAGAAACAAACCTTTTCTTTAAGCTGCTGTGTTTATCATAGCAGCATAGCTTAACTTATTTTGACTGATACACTTTTGTGACATGGGTTTCATGCTCCCCATGGCTTTCAAATCTATATCTGTTAGGTTAGAAAACTCTTCTGTGGTCATCTTATTCTATAATTAAATCCAAGGCCTACTTAGAAGCCTTGGATGTTACAGAGTTTCAAATGGTACAGACAGACTGATAAGCAAAATTTATCCAGTAAATGTTTATTGAGTTCCTATGAAGTGCAGAACATCATGAGGGATCCAGAAATAAATTAGGTTGGTAACCTGCCTCAGAGAAATTAGAATCTAGCAGGGAAGGGCTCTATTTATGTATTAAATGTATGCAATGAAATGTACATGGTTTGTGCATTTATTCAAATATACTTGTATAAGGTCCATGACTACTGTATTTGTCAAGTGTTGGGGATTTTGTAGAGCAAAAAGAGATATGGTCATTTGTACATGGAGTTAGGGCCTAAAAAAGGAAATTAAAATTAATCACACAAACATAGATGAAATTATAACTGGGGTGGGGGCTATAAAGAAGCACATGGTGCTATGAGGACTTATAACAGGGGGAATTATTTAGTCCAAGGGCATAATGAAGAGCTCATAGTTAGTTTGTGGAAATGCCTTGGGCTCTGCAATCAAGCAGACCTGGGTTTAAATTCTGGTTCTGCCACTTTGAGCCATAAGACTCTGCTCAAGGCATTTTACTTTTCAAAACAGATATGAATGTATTTTTCTCAGGGTAGTTGTAAGACTAACATAAGCTTTTGACTGTGGCAGTGCCTGCATACCGTATATGCTATTAAATGTTTGTTACTGAGTCTCCTTCCCCTATGTGATTGATTCTATATGACCAATGCAGAGGATGCTGATGGCGAGTATGGGTCTTTCTGGGGGTTAGAGAAAGTTTTGTGAAAAAAAGTAGCATTTGAGCCCAGACTTGAAGAATGGAAAAGGTTTGAATAAAAATAATTGTAATCATATGGTGAGATGATAATTATAGGAAATGGAATATTACTTAGTAGCTAAGATCATAGGCTTCTGAATGAAACAGACCCTAATCAAAGGATCCATCATTATTAGCTCTGTGACCTTGGGGAAGGTGCCTCTTCTCTCTATTTGGAAGTTTCCCCATCCATAAAATGAGGATAATATTGGAACTATGCCATAGGATCGAGGTAAAGATGAAATGATAAAAGCATGTAAGATATTTAATACAGATCCTGGTAACTGAGGAGATGCTCCATATAATTGGCAACCAATATTTACTCTTATAAGCAGAGAAGGGATAGTCTCTGGGTTCTTTTTTTGTAGTGCTTTAGATTCAAACTCCCAGTGCATTGTCTGACTGCAAGGGGGTGATGTCATTGAGTACAGCATGAGATTTACTGTCTCCTTTGAGTATTAATCCCCACCAATTAATAGTGACAGTCACTAAACATTTAGTACCTAATGAGGTGCATCTCCTTAGTATGGCTGGAATGGTGTAGCAAAGGAACTATGTAATCCAACTCACCAGACTTCCTTCTCACTGGCTCTCCATGACCTCCCCACTGGGCTGCCTGAGGGCATTGACTTCATTTGGAAAATGCATTTAGAAATGTCACTGGCTGGAAAGTATTGAGCTCTAAAGCCTCCTTGGAACTGTGGATGCAAAGAATGTGAAGAGCCAGTCTCCTGTAAGCACCGAATCCCAAGTCATCATCTTGAAAATGGAGAAAATAAGGGTTAGAAAGGGGAATGAGATGACCAAGATTATACTGTTGGGGATATAGCAGTGAAATAAAGAAGTTAGGTAAGGTCCCTGCTCTTATGAAGCTAAAGATTCAGTGAGGGAGATTGACAACATGCAAGAAAACAAATAATTCCAAAAGTAAAACAGAGTACAATGGCAAAGAATAATGAGCTTAGGGGATATTTGATATATGGTAGTCAAAGGATGTCTCTTGGAAGAGGTGATATTTAAACTGAGACTTGAAAGATGTAAAGGCACCAGCAAAGATCTGGGGCAGGAGTGTTCCGGGAGTGAAAAGGAGTAGCAAGTTCAAAGTTCATAAGGCAGAAATACGTTTGGTGTGTTTGAAGTTTGGTGTGGCACAAATCCCAGTGAGCTAGGGTGTTAGTGGTAAGCGATGCGGTGACAGAGGTTGGTGAGGCAAAATGTGTAGGGTTTAGGCCACATTCAGGGTTCAAATTTTATTTAATTACGAAGGAAGGGAAGCCTCCTGGAAAGTTTCAAGCAGTGAAGTGACAAAACTGGATTAGTGATTTGAAAGATCCTTCTGCCATGGTATATAGAATAGGCTATTGGAGGATGAGAATAGAAACAGAGAGACAGTTAAGAGTTTAAATTCCAGGTAGGATTTTATTTCAATAGTCTAATTGAGAGATAGTGATGGAGTAAACCAAGGTTATAGACTGGAGAAAAGGGAGGGAAGTGGACAAACTGGAGCTATATTTGGAGCGAGATTTTGCAGGATGCTGGGAAAGAGTGAGGTAAAGGGAATGGGTAGTTGAGGATGGTTTTCTCCATTGTGTTTTTCCTTGAATGACTGGATATGTGCTAGTGACATTTATTGAGACGAAGAAGGCTGGGAGAAGAGACGACATGGGGGCATAAGATTAAAAGTGGGAAGAGTTGTGGAGGAATTTATGGGTTAGGCCAGTGGAAACTTCCATCTTTATCCCACTGGCTAAAACTCAACCTCACAGCCAGATCTAACTGCAAGGGAGACTGGGGCAGGTAATCTAGGTGTGTGACCTCAAAGAGAAGAAAAGTTTGGTGATCATCTCTCCCATGGTGCACCACTGGCCACTTGATTCTTAGGTACGAAAGCTTCTCAACCTAAGAGTCATTCAACTCACGACTTGGGCCAGGGGTCCTTTCTTCTCAGTCATGACCTCACTCAGCCACTTGGGAGCTGAGCCAGCCCACATTTAGGTAAGACCTGAGCTAGAATTTGGAGTAGGTTCCCCTCCTTTCTCCCCCTGAGTTCAGTTAACTTATTTTTATCCTGTAGCTCTAACTCTGGACTCAATCTTTTTTTTTCTTTTTTAAGAGACAAGCTCTTGCTGTGTCCCCCAGGTTGGACAGTAGTGGTGCAATCATAGCTCAATAGAGCCTCAGACTCTTGGCCTCAAGCAATCCTCTTGCCTCAGCCTTCTGAGTCACTGGAATTATAGGCATAAGCCAGTGTGCCCAGCTCGGGAATCATTCTTTATCTCAGTCATGTCCAGGCTCCTGTTTGAACATAGACCTCATATACTTTAGACTTGACTTCTGATACCTATCCCTGCAGACTCTGTCTCAAGTTCATTATTAGTTTCTTGTGAAGAACACCATATTTGGATGTTTGTGGCTTTGGGTATGATTCTCTCAGTCTTCCAAACTGTAAAGCTGGGTTTGGTAGTGTTGTGAAGTGGCCTTAGAATGTAACAGATATGCAGAATCTGGAAAACAAAATCACAAGGCCTGTTAGGAAAGAGCAGTGATTATATGGAGTTGTTAGCTCGATTTGAGTTAGTCAAATCAAATAGTAATTCTACATACACATCCTTACATTTATTTTGTGTTAAAATAATTTTTATATATACAATCTCATTTTATTCTTATAGCACTGCTGCAGAATAGGCATTATTATCCTCATGTATCAGTCAAGGTATAACAAGAGAAACAAGCAGAAAGATGGATGGATGAATGGATGGATGGATGGATGGATGGATGGGTGGATGGTTGGACATAGAATTATTGGAAGGAATTGGTTTACACAACTGGGGGCCGCTAGGTAATTTCAAAATCTGTAAGGCATGCTGTTAGGAGGGGGAGGCTAGAACTCCTTGGCATGATCTGAAGACACAGGCAGAACTTCTTCCTCAGGGAAGCCTCAGTTCTGCTCTTAAGGACTTTCAATGGATTGAACTAGACCCACCCAGATTACCTAGGATAATCTCCTGTACTTATAATTAACTGACTGTGGACTGTAATCACATCTACAAAACACCTTTGCAGAAACACCTAGATTAGTGTTTGGTTGAATAAATAAGGATTGCAGCCTAGCTAAACTGAACAAATAAAACTAATCATCACAGCCCATTTTATAGGTAAGGAAATAGAAGCAGAGGGTAGGAAGTTGCAGAGCTGGTTGTTGGACTTTTTTTTATCATGTTAAAATATCTCTTTAAGTATTTTTTCCAGTCCTTAAATTTCATATAATATTCTTAGCAGAATCTAAAGAAAATGTCTGGATTGACTTAAGAAGAATGATCTAAATGATGCAATATTCCAAACAGAATAGTGAAGAAAGTTATTGCCTGCAAGGCAGCCAAAAGAGTGTGAGAATGACTTATTTTTTCCTGATCTAAAAGTCTCATCATGAATAATTTCCAATATGCATAAGGCCTTGATTTTAAGTAAGTCGGTGATAATAGAGTTTGCTTCTTTAATTCTTCATGCAGGATTGCAAGACACGAATCCTTAACATTTACTTCCAGCCTGAGGCTGAACAAGTTATTGGTTTAATTATAGAAAGCTGAACTTTCATCTTTCTTTAATTGAGCATGGATAATTTGTACCTGTGATCAGTAGCCAAAATGCCATAAAATTTCTTATGAAGCCTCATACTCATACCCTTTTACTGCAGTAAAAATACCAATTCTGTAGGCCTGTACAGTCATCATTTTGGGCAACCATTTCAATGTGTTAGTAATTATTGTCAGCACTTCATGACTAATGTGGTTTGGAAAGTGGTGATGGGCAGTACATTTAGAGAACAAGAGGCCAGTGAGGAGAGAGATGCTGGCTTCTTGGGCCCATTGTTTGAATGACAGTCAGAGAACAGCAGATCATTATTTTTCACAGCAAGGAAAGGAGGAAGGGTCTCAGAAATCCTGAACTGAATGTCAGCTCTTGGGTGCTTTTGGTTACGCATTCTAACATAAGAAGGCAAGGGCATTTTTATTTATTTTCTTTTCTTCAATCACACCCTAGGAAGACACAACTATTATTATAGGTTATGTGTAACCTCTGAGCTCATGGTCTTTAGTGAGAAGGCACCCTAGAGGCCAAAATGACTATTGTGCCTCTTTCTGCTATAAATTTGAAATAGTATTGGGCCACTGAATTATTGCAGCCTTGGAATATGTGCCTAGTAATAATTGTGATCTAGCCTGGAAGAAATGGAGTTGATTTTATTGCCAGTATAGAAATAGTTGGTATAACCTCGAGGGCAAAATTGATAGGGTAGTCAATTTTTTAACTCTTTTAGGCAGAACTACCTTAAAAAAAAGAATAGTTTACAAATTTAGAGTTGAAAGAAACATAGTTTGAATAGAGTATGTTTCCCTGAAGGTATTCAAAGAGTGTTTTCATGCTCTGTTTCTCAATCCAAATTATACAGCAGACAGATCGATAGTTCAAATTCTTTCCTATGGAGAAATAAAGTGTGAGATAGACGAAGAAGAGAGGATGGGGAAATAGGAGCTTGGGAGAGGACTTATCAGCTTTTAAATTAATAGAGAACTGGTAAAGGGCAAGTCCAGAGCCATGGTAAATTCGCGCCTGGAGAGGAATGGGGGGTGGCTTATGACTTCCTGTGAAAGGAGTCTGGGTAAAGTGAGGAGAGGGCTGAGAGAGGAATTGGGGACAGGTGGTAAAAGTTTTTGGCAGCCTGTGAACAAATAGTTTGAAAAGGAGGAGTTTCTTAGTTTTCTCAGCAGAAATAGAAGACATGCTCAACTGGAATTTTACAGATAATTGAATAAAGGTACAATTTAAAGATATACAATTTAAAGGTACAATTTAGAGATGTGTGGGCAGGGCTGAGGCACCTAGGAAGAGAGGACGAGGTGCCAGGTTTTAGCAATAGCAGGAAGCTGTTGTACTGCCCAGGCCTGAAGAGCATGGGGTGAGCATGGGGATCCAGTGTTCATGGGGTGCCATGACCTACCACTGTGGAAGGAGGCTCTAGATAAGAGTCGAAGTTGTAGAGGGATCCAGTCATTGTCAGAGCCACAGTGCTGAGGCAGGGGGAGAGCCAGGGAACGAATGCTCAACTCTGCTCTCCTGCCACCTTTTGGTCTTTCTATTAGCCAGTCCAACCTGAAGTCAGAGGAGACAGGAGCTCCTGTGATGTGGAGAAGGGCAGTGAATGATTCTGGGAAAACAGCAGAGAGAATAAGCAGCACTGGTGGAGGGTCTAGGAGGTGATGGGATGCAAGGGCACTGGACTTGCCTTGGGAGCCAACTTGCTGAGGGACTTTAAGCAAATAGCCTGATCCTTTTCTGTTTCTCCCCCGCAACCCATCAATAAATAGGGATAATAACTTACCCATTTCCTGGGGTTGTTATTGTCAGCCTAAATAACAAACAGAGAGAGGCTTTCTAAAAGAAAAAAATATTTATTTGGGAATAGTGCATGAGAATACACTGCAATGAGACTGCTGTGCCCATATGAGTACTCAGGGAGGTAAAAGAAAGAAATGGTTTTTAAAGGAAAAAATGAGGAGAATTACATAATTGTTTTGAAATAATTATCCTTGGTTACAAAGATAAATAACAAGAGTGACACCAGTCTGAGATTGGACAGGCAATTGCTGGGCAGATGTCCTTGCAAAGGTATTCTTTTGTGTAAGTTTGTAATGGTCTTTGTACAAGGTTGTGTTTTTTGCAGTCATTGTGATAGTGTTTCTTGTCAGGTATACGAATATGAGAATCCTCTCTTCATGGACTTCTGTGGCTCTATTTATCAGGGTTTTTTTAAAAACAAACAAGCAAACAAGCAAACAAAAAAAAACTTTAGTGACTCCATTTTGATTTGGACAATTGTCACGTTATAAAGATCAGGTGACATAATAGATGTACCTCATTAATTTGTATTTATGTTGAATTTTATAATTTCTAAATCTTTCTCATGTCTCTTACCTCATTTGCTTCTCAATACTAGTCTTTAGAGTAGTCAAGATAGGTTTTATTATTCCCATTTTATAGGGAAGATGACTGAGTTGCAGAAATTAAGTGGTTTCCTAAAAGTTACCAGGTTAAGAGATCTGTTGACTCAAACTTGACTGTAATTTTCTCCTAGTATACTTTGAATGCTATTTAATTCAGCATTGTAGGTGATTTTGAGGGACTATTATCATCTTTGTAAAGCATAAAAGTTCCAGATGAGGAGCCTGAGACAGTACCTTTCATGTGGTCTGGAAGAACAGCACCCGGGATTCAGGCCTGCTTTCTTATCTGGGAAGACACCACAGGGAGGGAAAAAGCTGTGCTGCCGGTTTTCATAACCAGCCACTTCTGTTTCTCTCTGTGAAAAAGGCAAAAAGAGGTATAGCTCATGCAGGTAGCACACAGCAACAAATTGGAGTTACCTCATGTGTATGCCTGTGCCTTACAAGATGTGTTATTTTTTATTTTTGCCCTCTTGTAACTTACCTGTAGAATGTCACCTACGCATAAAAATGCTACTAATGGGGGCAAGTTTTCTTCCCCCCAACTTGTGTCTGGTCTGTAGATATGCCAGCTATCTGGGACAATCAGATCCTGCTGTATTAGGGGAATTTTACCATCTGCTGCTTTTATGTGGCACTTCCTTCTTACTCACTAAGTTTCCACCTGAGCAGGATTGCAGTGCTGAAGCTCTCTGAAGGGTATTGTCTACAAAAGTAGTTATTGTGTCAGGTGAACGTGAAAGGGAAATAAAAAGTAAGTCACCTGATATATCATCATAAAGAATGGTTGACTGGGTGCTGTGGCTCATGCCTGTAATTTCAGCACTTTGGGAGGCCGAGGAGGGCAGATCACTTGAGGTCAGGAGTTCAAGACCAGCCTGGCCAACATGGTGAAAGCCTATCTCTAGTAAAAATACAAAAATTACCTGGGCATGGTGGTGTGTGCCTGTAGTCCCAGCTACTCAGAGGCTGAGGCAGGAGAATTGCTTGAACTCCGGAGGCGGAGGTTGCGGTGAGCTGAGATCGCACCACTGCATTCCAGCCTGGGCTACAGAGTGAGATTCTGTCTCAAAAAAACAAAAGCAAAAACAAAAAAGAATGGTTGCATTGATTGAATCTGAATATCCCAGGAGGAAGGCACTCTTTGGGAACTGCCATAAACTTCAGACCCCAAGGGCACCCAACCTGAGGTTACTCCTGAAAACTGAATAAATGAGTCTACTAACATAGTTCTGGCTTTGCTTGAACACTTTTGGTTATGGGGAACTCAGTGCCCTCTGAGTTAGCCCACTCAGTCCATAAAGAGTTCAATAAAAATGTTTCACACCCCAAACTGAAATTGGAATGGATTGCCTCTCTGGTTCTAGTTACTCTGCATCTAGTAATACACAATTAGCCCATTTCGGCATCAACATTGCACACTGTTGAACTGTATTAAGCTCACTGTCTACTAAAACCAGATTACAATTTGTTAGTTTTACGTGACATACTGCTGCTAAATCAAATCTCAGACATTCTTCACTTCTTTAGGTTTTATACCCAATCTTGTATTTATATGTCTGTTAAACTTCCTTCTATTTAGACTGGCTTGATTGTTACGAGTATTTTGGAAGTTGATTTTGTTCATATAGTTGCTATTGTTTCAATTGCATGTTCAATAAATATATCCCGTATATCTTCATCTAAATCATTGATTAAAATGCTAAACAGGGCTGGAGGAAGGGTTATTAGACGCCTGCTGGGTTCCTGGTCACTATAGTAGGGAGACATGGGGAAGAATAAATTATGAAGAGTGACCATAGTATGTTGTAAAATTAATGAGTTAGTAGCAATAGGCCTAGAAAAGTAGGTTATAAGGAGCCTAGGGAAGAACTTTTCCCCATTCTGAGGTACATAATTTGACCTGTTGTTTTATTTATTTTCCCAAGCTTTATTGAAGTATAATTGACAAATTAAAATTGTATATATTTAAGGAGTACAAAATGATGTTTTGATATATTTCCAGATTGTGAAATGTGACCAAAATTAAGCTAATCAACATATCTATCACCTTACATAGTTATCTCTCTTTTGTGTGTGTGGTAAAAATACTTAAGATCTACTCTTTTAGCAAATTTTCAAGTATACAAAACATTTTTTTTCTTGAGACAGGTCTCTGTTGCCCATGTTGGAGTGCTATGGTGTGATCATGGCTCATTGCAGCCTTAACTCCTGGGCTCAAGTGATCCTCCTATCTCAGGCTCCCAAGTAGCTGAAATTATAGGTATATGCCACCGTGTCCAGTGAATTTGAAAATTTTTTTTGTAGAAACTAGGTCTCACTGTATTGCCCAGGCTGGTCTCAAACTCCTGGCATCAAGTGATCCTCCTGCCTCAGCCTCCAAAAGTGCTGAGATTATGGGTATGAGTCACCATACCTGACCATACAAAACATTATAATTAACTATAGTCATTAGGACCTATTGTTTTTAGAATATTGAGCTTTCTTCACCTTTTAATCACAATAGCAAAGACTTGGAACCAACCCAAATGTCCAACAATGATAGACTGGATTAAGAAAATGTGGCACATATACACCATGGAATACTATGCAGCCATAAAAAATGATGAGTTCATATCCTTTGTAGGGACATGGATGAAATTGGAAACCATCATTCTCAGTAAACTATCGCAAGAACAAAAAACCAAACACCGCATATTCTCACTCATAGGTGGGAATTGAACAATGAGATCACATGGACACAGGAAGGGGAATATCACACTCTGGGGACTGTGGTGGGGTCGGGGGAGGGGGGAGGGATAGCATTGGGAGATATACCTAATGCTAGATGACACATTAGTGGGTGCAGCGCACCAGCATGGCACATGTATACATATGTAACTAACCTGCACAATGTGCACATGTACCCTAAAACTTAGAGTATAATAAAAAAAAAAAAAAAAAAAAAAAAATTTGCATAGATGTTTCAGGCATGCTTGAAGGAAGTTATAGATCCATTTTTAGGATATGGATTATGATATATATTAAATGTATTTTCTGTATTTCAATTCTCTGTAATTTTTTTCTACTTGAACTATAAAAAATTAAGGGGGGAGTGCTTTAATGTTTGCCATTGCTGTTGCATTTAGGTAGTTCTCTTTTCAAACAAAATGTAAATATTATGATATGCTATTTTGTTTATAAATGGTTAAGTTGCTGTCTTAATTGTGAGTTAGTAAATTAATCTGTTTATGCTCTTTATTGCTTTTTTCTTGAATTAAGCATTGTCTGATACTAATATCGCAACCCCTGAACTCTTTTGATTTGCATTTTCCTGGTAAAACTTAGCTATCCTGAGCATACCCAGTGGTAGTGGTCTGGAGTTTCCCTGGGGAGAGACTCCCAGAGCCATCTGACTGCCTCTCTTCCACTGCCACAGCAGTGGTTCTATTCCTGCTGCCCTCAGTCTGGGGAAGAAACAAAGAGCCTGAGGGCTACACCTGAGCTTACAGCATGCCACTATCACCATATGGAGAGTAGACTAGTCTCTCTTCCCAGTGAGCCCTTCGCCCTTTGCTCCCCAGCAAGTGGAGCCCCAAGCTCACACCAACAGTGCAGCTGCCCCACCCCAATGGCTGAACACTCTGGGCAACAGCTGGGAGTCCACATTTATCAGAGGCGGATCCCCCGGGAGCAACTGAAAGCCACTCTGCTACTGCCTCTGTAGTGGTACTATCCCTGCTACCCTCAGTCTAATGAAGGAGCAAAGACCGTAAGTGTCTTATTCACACCTCTAACAAGCTGCAGTCGACCTATGGGGAGGAGGCCAGTCCTTCTCCCACAGACTCCACCCCATCACCCATCACCAAGCAGGGAACCCCTGCCTTGGGCCCACAGCACAGACCCCTTATCCTGGGCTGATTGCAGTGAGCGATTGCTGACCTGCATATCTCTGGGGTGGAGCCCCCAGGAGACAAGTGAAAGACCATCAGCCACATCTATTGATAAGGCCTCTTCCTCTGCTGCCTCCAAGTTGGTGAGGAAATATAAACCTGAAGATCACCCTGCAGCGGTGGTGGGCAGCCCAGGAATGTCAAGCCACGATCTACAGCCAGCTCTTAAGTGGGAGAGGAACTCACACTTTCAGATCATTGACCGAGAACACAGCAACTGAGCAAGAACCTGCTAACTGACCACTACATCTAAGTGCCACCTATTGGATCATACTCCAAAGCTTCAATACCAAAATACCTCAATAACATAACCCGCCAACTGTGAAACCAAAGGCAAGATGTCAGTTACAAATAAAGACCCTGCGCAAAGCCTTGGCCCTGTGAACACATCCAGAAAAGAAGTCTACTGACCATATTCAATCTATATCACAGTTAAAGGAACACACACATGTAGAGATGAGAAAGAATCAACATAAGAACTCTGGCAACCCAAATGACCCAAGTGTCTATGTCCTCTAAATGATTGCATCAGTTCTCCAACAAGGGTTCTTAACCAGCTGAGTTGTCTGAAATGACAGAAATAGAATTGAGAATATAGATAGGAATGAAGATCATCAAGATTTGGGAGAACAGCAAAATCCAATCAAAGGAAACTAAGAATCGCAAAAAAATGATACAGGAGTTGACAGATGAAAATGCCAGTATAAAAAAGAATCTGATAGAACTAAAAAACACACTATTCCTCCCTCTACCATTAACTTTCCTTCATCTCTTGTTATATTGGCATATGTGAAATTTTATTCCGATGTATTGGCCATTTATGTTTTCTGGGAAGAATGTTAAAATGGAAGATGTGAAAAGAATGGGTTAAAAGTGGAGGTGGATAAGGAGACCACTTAGAACTTACTATAGAAGTTGAAGGAAGGAGGCGGTGATGTCAGAATGAGAAGGAAGGGACCAGATAAGGAATTATTTAGAAACTTAGTTTCAATTTTATCTTTGCTATGTTACTTTCTTCATTGAAAATAAATGTGGTCTATCCATATTATTTCCTTACTCTGTGTCACTCATGCCAATAGATCACTCTTCTCTCAATGTATTTGACTAGATCTTAGTCTTAGAATATTTCTGTGGTGTAGTCTAGTTTGGGAATACTTGAATTTATTTGTTTCTCCTCCTGTGGTGATACACCTTTCTGATTTGTGTCTCCTTGAAACTTTTAAGCTGTGTGTATATCTTGGAACCTGGTCATCTTCATACTCTGAAGCCCCCAAAGTGTTCAGAACAGTGTGTTGGTTCCCTCAGTATCTCCACCTAGTTCTGTATGATTCTCCTTGTGATTTCACCATGGTCTCTTTTTTTTTTTTTTTTTTTTTTTTGCCTCACTGACCTCAGCAGATCTGCTTTGCCTGGACACTAACAATTAATTTGCTGTCTTGTTTTAAAATTAGAAAAAAAATTTAAAGCAAAGCCCCTCTGCTTTGTTGAGGTAGAGACAGAACATTCAGCACCAGAATAGATTATCATGTTAGTTTCTCCTCACAGTGGGGCTCTGTGTAGCTTCTCTGGACTGAGCAGGTCTTGGTTGACCAGCTCTGTTTTTTTTTTTTTAATGGATTCATTTCTGAGGATCATAGCAAGAAGGAAATGGAAGTGAGGAGTGAGAAAACTCCTCCTGCAGCAGCCTTCACTCAGGCCTATGGGAAGAGTTATAGAACCCTCATGCAGGTCTTCCCCAAAGAGCCTTCATTTTTTCTTTTTGGCCTCTGCCCTCCAAAAGTCAACAGAAAATTTTCAGCAGTACTTAATTTGATAAGAAATGTGATCCAGGGAGGTGGTCTCTCCCTGAACATCTGGAAGGGCAGAGTTCTTGCCCCAGGCAGAGCCTCAAAATAAGATAACAGTTTATAGGAGCTCTAAATGAGCTATTTCACACAAAAGTACTTTGTTTACATTCTAAACATGAGGTCTCCATGTGTGAATGACTACTTTCTCATACACATGATCCTTTGTCTCATCCTCATAATCACTGAGTAGCTCAATTACTATGTGCTAAGATAGGCACTGGGATAAATGTTTTACATTCATTGCTTGGTTTTGTTTTGTTTTCTCATATTCTAGTGGGAGCTAAATACATTCATTATTTTTTTAAACACTAATAGCAATCTCCTGATGTAGTAAATATTACAAATTTCCTTTCACAAATATCAGATTAAAAAAACTCCAGCAGACAAAGTCATTTTCCTCAGGTCACATAGGCCATTGGTCACATAGGCTAAGAACTGCACCCAAAGCATTCATTTCTCAACCCTGTCCACTCACCCCCTAAACTGCAGTGTCTCTAACATATCTCACAAAGCACAAGTACTTCATGTCACTAATATTACTACAGTTTATTGAGACCGCATTATGCACCAGACACCTACTATCTTAGAAAGGTATAGACATTATTCGAATCCTCACAACAACCCTACAAAATATTTATTATCACCATTGGGCACATTTGTTCTATGCCCAATAAGTAGCAGAATTGATTTTACAAACCAGGGTAGGTCTGTCTTCAAAAACTGGTCTCTGTCTATCTATCATACAGCCTAATGGAAGCCTATAGAAGGTTGAGTTGTGGCCTCTCTAAAATATATCCTTGTCCTAATCTTCTGTGAATATGCTTTTATTTGGAAAAAAGGTTTTATTCAGGTGTAATTAAATTAAGCAGCTAAATATGAGATCATTTTGAATGATCTGGTTGGGATCTTAATCCAATCACAGATGCTCTCATAAGAGACAAAAGAGGATGATAACAGGGAGAAGATGAGAAACTCACATGAACGCAGAGGCAGAGGTAGAAGTGATAGAGCCACAAGCCAATGATGGCCTGGAGCTACCAGTAGATGGAAGTGGCAAAGGATTCTTCACTCTAGCTTTTAGGTGGAATCTAGCCCTACCAACACTTGATTTCAGACTTCCAGCCTCCAGATCTGTGAGACAGTACACTCTTGTTGTTTTAAGCCATTCATTTTGTGATAATTTCTTATGGGAGTGACAGGAAAATAATGCATAGCCTATTTCATTTTGAAACCATAGACTAACTCATACCATTGCTTTAAAAACTCAAAATGTCCCCCACTTTATTATGGCCATCAGTGCCTTTGTTGTCCTCCAGCTGGACTGATTTTCTGACGTCTTTACTCACAGTCTTTGAGGACCTCTCTTCCACCATAGCATAGGCCTGGACATGCTTTTGTGCCTTTGCTGACCTTGGTCTGGACCTTCCTTCTGCTTGTGGAACCAACTTACTATTCCCCAATCTTACACCGTAATCTGCTGATCTCATTGTCAAGTTTAGTCTGACTGATACCTTTTCCTAAAATCCTGGAGGGAGAGCCCTGGCTAGAATTGATTGCTCTATTTCTGTGTGCCCAGAGCAGTCTACTTATACCTACCTCTATGTATTACTTATGTCTGTCTGTCCTGTATTGTAGTTCATCAATTGCCTGTGAAATCTTGGAGCCAGGGCAAGAATTTTTATCTCAGTACTTCTCATGGAGCCTGCCACGGAATATTTGCTGATGCCTCCTGACTTACCTCTGGATACCCATGTAAGTCTCTACAAAGGGTTTCTCAAACTTGAATTTGCGAGAGAATCACCAAATGCAGATTCTGGGCTTCTGCAATTTCTTTGCTTTTGGGAGAGGGACAGGAAGCTATATTTCTTTCAGGCAACACAAGTAATTTTGAGGCAGTGGTTGCCTGACCATACTTGGAGTGGTCTAAAATTTGAACTAGAAACTCCTGTGGTATTCACCTGTTGAGTAATACTTTTATGAATTTCTCTTGGGATGTAATGAGTGATCTAAAATTGCATTCTGCTTGGGAAAAGAAGAAGCAAATCATCCTTTAAACTTTGGTCAAAAGAGACTGCACATTTGGTCCCATTTCTAAACTCTGTCTCAGTCCACCTGAAATCCATTTCATACTTCCGTAGCTGCTGAGGATTTGGAGTTGGTTTCCTTAGTTAAAGCTCACATGCTCTGGGCTCTCAGCAGGCACATGGCTAGGATTGTCTTGCTCAGACAGCACAATTCTTTTCTGTCTCTTAAACAATGGCAAGTTCTAGTGCTTCTGTGCACCTCTCCCCATTTAACTTGATTTCAAAGGGCTCCAACCATCGCTTTAGGCATTGATGGAAAGAAAGTGTTGCCTAAGTATGCTCATTGAAGGAATAACTCATTGTGCTGTATTTTTGTCTTTGGGGACATTATGAACTTTTCCCTCCACTAGGATTGTCTTATGTCCTTGATAGCTTCTGCATAACCCAAAATCACTCAGAGCGAAACTCAGCATAAGATAAATGAACTTTTCTGAGCTCCAATTCCTCATGAAAATAGGTGTAATTGTACCTATTTCATAGAATAGTTTTGAGGCTTAGATAAAGTAATTTACTAAATAGAAAACATTTAATAGGATATTGGATCCACAAGAGGACCTAAAAATCTTAATATTGTGTTTATAGGCAGGCTTAATAGTCATAATTTCAGATGTAACCTAAAAATTCATTGTCATTCCCCTCTTCCTCATCAGCATTGCCATCATCAAATTGCTGGATTTGAATGAGATTTTACTCTGTGTGCTGGGGACATTCTAAGTACTTGACATTCCGTACCACAATTCCTTTGCTGCCATAACAAATTACCACAGCCTTAGAGCTTGACACAACAAAAATCTACCTCATAGTTCAGTAGGTCAGAAGTCCAACACAGGTCTTGTTGGATTAAATCCAGGTGTTACGAGGACTGTATTCCTTTCTGGAGGCTCTAGGGTAGAATCTGACTCCTGCTAATTCAAGTTGTTGGCAGAATTCAGTTATTTGCTGTTACAGGTCTGAAGTCCCTGTTTCCTTGCTGACTGTCAACTGAGTACTGTTTCTAGCTTCTAGAGGCCACCCACTTACCTGTGGCCACCTTCCTCAGTCCTCAGAGCCAACAAGTGTGGGTTGAATCCCTCTCATGCTTTGGAACTCTCTGGCCACTTCTCTGACTTTTCTGCTGCTTCTTCCACTTTTAAGAGCCCATGTGGTTAGATTGTGTCTACCCGGATAATCCAGGACAATCTCCCTATTTAAAGATCTGAAACCTTAATTTCACTTTCAGCATCCCTTTTGCTATGTAATATGACGTGTTTACAGGTTCTGGGAATTAGGACGTAGACTTTTTTGGGGGACGGGGACATTGTTCTGCCTATCACATATTCATTGTCTCACTGAATTTTCTCAGTGTCTCTATTTCATTGTTCCCATTTTACAGATGATAAAAGAGAGGCCTAGTGAGGTTAAATAACTTGCCGAGGGTCCAATTGATGGTAAGTGGTGAAGCCAGGAAACAAATCTAGGGACTTTGCTTATAGAATATGCTTAGTTTAGAACTATACTACATTGGGCTTATAAGATGAGCTCTAGTACCAGGGCCAGGAATCCCTTTTCTGTGTTTATGACCTTGGAAAACTGAAAAGGAGAAAAAGACTGGCTTGGATTTAACAACTTGGGAGATTTAATTTCCCACAGAAGGTCAGAGAGCCAAACAAGAGCTCTCAAGTCTGTCTCAAAGATGTATGTTTCTGACCAAGTCTTTTTGACGTAGGGCACGAACACCATCTTATTGCTCATTTCGCAACTTTCTCTCAATTTCAGACCTTTTCCATTCTAACTTTCTCACCGCCGAAACTCACAGGAAGTTGGAGGAAACATTATTAGGAACAAGAATTTACCTCAGCAGATATATAGAATACCTCATAGGGTTACATCTATTACCTATTTAATACTTACCCTGTGATAAATACCTTACTTAGTGACCCTGTAGGTAGACACTATTAACAGGCGGAGCTTACAGACAAGGAAACTGAGACACTGATAAGCAAACTTGTTGGAATTTCACTCTTGGCAGCCTGATGCCAAACCACTACACTCTGTGATCACTGTAATCTTCTCTTATCAGATGAAAATATTTGTATCTTTTTTTTCCTGCTCTTAGTAATTTCCATACTTTGCCTTTAACTGAGCTATCTGATACCAGACATCTTGGCATTCAGGCTGCTCTCCTATGTCCATCTGGATGCTATGATAATAGAGCCTCCATACCTCTAGGCCAGGCAAAGGAGAAAATAATTTTAAAACAAGGAGTTTGCAGACTATCACCTGGTGGCTCTGTGATTTGGTTTCTCTGTGTCCCTACCCAAATCTCATCTTGAATTGTAGCTCCCATAATCCCCACATGTTGTGGGAGGGACCTGGTGGGAGGTAATTGAATCATGGGGGGTGAGTTCCCCCACACTGGTCTTGTGGTAGTGAATAAGACTCACGAGGTCTGATGGTTTTATAGGGGGAAACGCTTTTCGCTTGGCTTTCATTCTCTCTTTGCTGGCCTCTATGTAAGATGTCCGTTTGTTCTTCCTTGCTCTTGTGCCATGATTGTGAGGCCTCCCAGACATGTGGAACTGTGAGTCCATGAAACCTCTTTTTCTTTATAAATTACCCAGTCTTGGGTATGTCTTTATCAGTAGAGTGAAAACAGGCTAATACATTCTGTTTTTTTCATATATAAATGCAAGGTATATTCATATATTATATATATTTTATATATATATATTATATATATATTATATACACACACACACACACACACACACACATACTCCTCTCCCTCTATATATATATATGTATGTGTATATATATATGTATGTGTATATATATGTATGTATATATATGTATGTATGTGTATATATATATACATACATACATACATATATATATTCCATTAGCTCTGTCCCTCTAGAGAACCCTGACTAATACATTTGGCATGTTTTAATTTGTTTAATCTACTCAATATCTATTGGGGTAGTTGTTGCTATTATTTCCATGTTAAAAGTAAAGCTAATTTACTTCTTCAAGGTCATGCATCTGGTAAGCTTGGGACTAGGTTTTAACCCAGGCTATTTGACTCTTAGGACTGCATCCTCACCTAAGACTCAATAGCATTATTTCCATTCTGTAGCTGAGCTAATTAAGATCCAGAGTGAAATTAAGGTTTGTTATAGGCCACCCAGGTGGCAATTCTAGGACTCTGACCAAGTTTTCTGCCTTCTATTTGGAGGCAGTAATGATACATCAGAATTATATGGAATCAGAGAGAGAGTTCAATTCACATCATGGATCTGTTGGACAATAAACTTGAGGCCTTGGGTAAATCATGGATATTCTCTAATCTTTAACTGACTCAGGTAAAAAATGGGGGCAATCATACCTATTTCCTTAGGTTATCAGCAGAATGGAGATAATGCTTGTAAAATGTCTTGCATGAAGTGAGTAAACAATAGCTGTTATTATCAGTCAGTGTTCTTTCCACTACACCAGCTGCCTCTCTAGAAATAATTGAGCAACTCTCAATTATTTTTAGCATGAGCCATAGGCTGTTGGCAGGCACTACCTGATAAACCAACATCAGCATAGGGGAAAGGCTCAGAGATATGTCCCAGACCTGAGAAATACAGTGGCTGAGACTAGGATACCTAGTAAGGTTCCAGTGAACTTGATATATCTAACGCAGTCAAAGCTGAGAATTGGGGCTTATTAATAAGCTTCATCCTCTTTCCTTAGCTGTTTTCCTAGATGAGTTTCTGGTAAACAGGATTGCTCATTATCTTTTCTGGTGCATATAAGCTCCCTCCTATAAGATGAGATTCCAAAGGCAGTTCTGGAAAGCTGAGCAAAATGTGGTGTTGAGGAAGTGGTGAAGGCTGAAGATTGTTCTTTGTGTCACATTATAAGTATTGGAGTAGATTACTGAAATACATATTGGTGGTTAGTTTCTAAAGCACGATCCCTTGAATGAACATTGATGTGCCCCAGAAACAGAGTTCTGTTCAGAATGATTTATGGTCCGTGGTGCTATGGTGTGATCTGAATTACCTTTGAAAGGAAGAGCAGATATCAAATGAATTTAGAGGATAGAAATAGGTGGATAAGCATAAACGCAGAAATGTTCCAGGTTTCTCAGTTCCTTGCAAGGAGACTTTTGGGGCATACCTGAAGCTCTACTACCTGACACTTACTGGCACTGAAGGTTAAACTGTAGAAATGTGTGAATTGTCTGCTCCCTTCTGAGGTTTGTGTATTTCTCTTTCCGCCAGTCTTTCCCTCCTAAAAAAGGAAAAAAACAAGAGGAGTAGAAGGAGGCTCAGAAATAGTGACATCTAGCCTGTCTTGGTGGCTGCTTTTCAATAACATGAACTAACGTACAGCTCTTTTAGATGTGTTAGGCATCTCAGGCAGAAGAAATGATCAAGTCCGTCATATCCAACTTGATTTTTTTTTTATCGAAATGAATTCCAAAAAGCCGTCCTGTTGGTAAGGTAGGTACCTCTATAAGCTCTGGACTCAAGTGGATCTACCTATCTCTAAATCCTACCTCTGTCACTTAATAGCTATAAGTCTATGGGAAAGTTACCTTATTTCTCTAACCCACAGTTTCCACATCTGTAAATTGGCAATAATCATAGTGCCTATCTATTACATAGGCTTATTATAAAGATTAAAGATTAAATTAGAAATATACTACTTAACAATATCTAGTCTGTAGTACACATTCGGTGTTATCTCCTGCCCCAATTCTATGGATGTATTAATCTTGGCAAGTTACAATGGGACTAGTTTATTCTACTTTTCTTGTAGGGTTAGTATTTAATAAAAGGTCAACCTTCACTTCAGAAGACAGAGCTTTAGCCAGGCCCAGCGAGGCAATACCCAGAACAGTGTTTGGAGCCAAGGAGAAGGAGAGACAGCATTAGGTGTTGACAAGCCCCTTAGGTATCTCCTGGCTCAGTCGCCTGGAGCAGGAGGTTCAGAGAACGTCATAGGCAACTGCTCTTACTCCTAGCCTGCTGCCGGGGCAGGCGGGAAACAGAAAGCTCGAGCCAGCCAGATTGCAGGTGCAAAAGCCACTGGAGACAGGAGCCCATTCCAAAGCTGCCTGGCACAGCTGTTTAAAATGAAGGTCGGCCAAATTCTGAGGCATCACCTCTATTGCTCTTGAAGAGAAACAAACCAACAAAAAAAGTAGACTTGAGAAACATGAATGTTTGATTTGGCCTTTCAAGGTGGTCAACTAGGGTGCTTTGAAACTATAGAATTAGACTAAATGTAAGTACAAACTCTGCTTTTACAGAGGGGGACACACAGAACCAGAGACGGAGATGAACTGTCCCATTCCACATAGCCATTGGTGCAGAGTCAGCCTGTGGCCTGAATCTCTGGACTCTGGCTTCTGTTACACAGCACTGCTGGCCAATTCCTCTTGGAAATTTGAGGGATACAAGTCATGCAAGAATCTAATATACTGAGTTTCTTAATAGTAAGTTTATGAAAAATAAGAAGCATAAATATGTTTCTCTATGATCTTCTAAATCTCCTAGATGGGCAGGATTTAGCTTACCCAAATCTGGACCTTTATAGCTTAAGAATGGTTTTTCTGGAAGCAAATGAGGGAGCAAACACAATACTTTTTATGTTTTTACCTTTGCTTGGCTTTTGAAACTTGTAACAGGTATCGCTTTAAAAAAAACCTTCTTTTTTAACACAGGAAAATAATATGCTTTCCTTTATATGAAAAGGTGGTACAGGTGATGCTGTTCCCCTGAAGGATGAAGCTGAGCTGCTTTTTGGAGTGGTGTTGATGGATTTGATAAGTGTACAGCACCATTATTTCACTGGCCCCTATTGTAACCAAGAATGGACATTTGCAAGAAAGCAAGCCCAGGTGGGGAGTGCATGCCTGGTCCACAAAAAAAGCTGAGCTAAGTGTGTCTGGCTGGGGATTCAACCCTTAACCTTAGATTCCTTAGCACGAGATTCTAACAGCTGAGCTGTAAGCATTCTTCTCAAGTGTTACAGTTAAACACCCACATGCCCCATCACACAATGCTGAATCCCTACAGATCAGTTAAACAGACACTGTTCCTACCAGAGACAATGAGAGATCAAACTGCCCAAAACAACCAGGCAAACAAGCACACTGTTTTGCATCTTTCTACTTTCAAAGAACCTTGGACAGCAAGTAAGCACTTTCTAACTTACCCAAATTCAGGGTCATTAAAACATGGCATTTATACCTCTTCTATTAAACTTACCTAAATGACTTGATAGAGATCTTGGAGAATAAGGATGTGTCCTCCAGAGCATTAGAGCCCTATAAAAATATAATGTAATTCAAACATGTGAACTACATTTGTAATTTTAAATTTTCTAGTACATATATTATTTAGGGTGAAAAGAAACAGGTGAAATTATTTTTAAAAATATATATTTTGTCCTGAATGGTAATGCCTAGGTTTTCTTCTAGGGTTTTTATGGTTTTAGGTTTAACGTTTAAATCTTTAATCCATCTTGAATTGATTTTTGTATAAGGTGTAAGGAAGGGATCCAGTTTCAGCTTTCTACATATGGCTAGCCAGTTTTCCCAGCACCATTTATTAAATAGGGAATCCTTTCCCCATTGCTTGTTTTTCTCAGGTTTGTCAAAGATCAGATAGTTGTAGATATGCGGCATTATTTCTGAGGGCTCTGTTCTGTTCCATTGATCTATATCTCTGTTTTGGTACCAGTACCATGCTGTTTTGGTTACTGTAGCCTTGTAGTATAGTTTGAAGTCAGGTAGTGTGATGCCTCCAGCTTTGTTCTTTTGGCTTAGGATTGACTTGGCAATGCGGGCTCTTTTTTGGTTCCATATGAACTTTAAAGTAGTTTTTTCCAATTCTGTGAAGAAAGTCATTGGTAGCTTGATGGGGATGGCATTGAATCTGTAAATTACCTTGGGCAGTATGGCCATTTTCACGATATTGATTCTTCCTACCCATGAGCATGGAATGTTCTTCCATTTGTTTGTGTCCTCTTTTATTTCCTTGAGCAGTGGTTTGTAGTTCTCCTTGAAGAGGTCCTTCACATCCCTTGTAAGTTGGATTCCTAGGTATTTTATTCTCTTTGAAGCAATTGTGAATGGGAGTTCACCCATGATTTGGCTCTCTGTTTGTCTGTTGTTGGTGTATAAGAATGCTTGTGATTTTTGTACATTGATTTTGTATCCTGAGACTTTGCTGAAGTTGCTTATCAGCTTAAGGAGATTTTGGGCTGAGACGATGGGGTTTTCTAGATAAACAATCATGTCGTCTGCAAACAGGGACAATTTGACTTCCTCTTTTCCTAATTGAATACCCTTTATTTCCTTCTCCTGCCTGATTGCCCTGGCCAGAACTTCCAACACTATGTTGAATAGGAGCGGTGAGAGAGGGCATCCCTGTCTTGTGCCGGTTTTCAAAGGGAATGCTTCCAGTTTTTGCCCATTCAGTATGATATTGGCTGTGGGTTTGTCATAGATAGCTCTTATTATTTTGAAATACGTCCCATCAATACCTAATTTATTGAGAGTTTTTAGCATGAAGGGTTGTTGAATTTTGTCAAAGGCTTTTTCTGCATCTATTGAGATAATCATGTGGTTTTTGTCTTTGGCTCTGTTTATATGCTGGATTACATTTATTGATTTGCGTATATTGAACCAGCCTTGCATCCCAGGGATGAAGCCCACTTGATCATGGTGGATAAGCCTTTTGATGTGCTGCTGGATTCGGTTTGCCAGTATTTTATTGAGGATTTTTGCATCAATGTTCATCAAGGATATTGGTCTAAAATTCTCTTTTTTGGTTGTGTCTCTGCCCGGCTTTGGTATCAGAATGATGCTGGCCTCATAAAATGAGTTAGGGAGGATTCCCTCTTTTTCTATTGATTGGAATAGTTTCAGAAGGACATAGGCGTGGGCAAGGACTTCATGTCCAAAACACCAAAAGCAATGGCAACAAAAGACAAAATTGACAAATGGGATCTAATTAAACTAAAGAGCTTCTGCACAGCAAAAGAAACTACCATCAGAGTGAACAGGCAACCTACAACATGGGAGAAAATTTTTGCAACCTACTCATCTGACAAAGGGCTAATATCCAGAATCTACAATGAACTCAAACAAATTTACAAGAAAAAAACAAACAACCCCATCAAAAAGTGGGCGAAGGACATGAACAGACACTTCTCAAAAGAAGACATTTATGCAGCCAAAAAACACATGAAGAAATGCTCATCATCACTGGCCATCAGAGAAATGCAAATCAAAACCACTATGAGATATCATCTCACACCAGTTAGAATGGCAATCATTAAAAAGTCAGGAAACAACAGGTGCTGGAGAGGATGCGGAGAAATAGGAACACTTTTACACTGTTGGTGGGAGTGTAAACTAGTTCAACCATTGTGGAAGACAGTGTGGTGATTCCTCAGGGATCTAGAACTAGAAATACCATTTGACCCAGCCATCCCATTACTGGGTATATACCCAAATGAGTATAAATCATGCTGCTATAAAGACACATGCACACGTATGTTTATTGTGGCACTATTCACAATAGCAAAGACTTGGAACCAACCCAAATGTCCAACAATGATAGACTGGATTAAGAAAATGTGGCACATATACACCATGGAATACTATGCAGCCATAAAAAATGATGAGTTCATGTCCTTTGTAGGGACATGGATGAAATTGGAAACCATCATTCTCAGTAAACTATCGCAAGAACAAAAAACCAAACACCGCATATTCTCACTCATAGGTGGGAATTGAACAATGAGATCACATGGACACAGGAAGGGGAATATCACACTCTGGGGACTGTGGTGGGGTCGGGGGAGGGGGGAGGGATAGCATTGGGAGATATACCTAATGCTAGATGACACATTAGTGGGTGCAGCGCACCAGCATGGCACATGTATACATATGTAACTAACCTGCACAATGTGCACATGTACCCTAAAACTTAGAGTATAATAAAAAAAAAAAAAAAAAATATATATATATATATATATATATATATATATATATATATATATATATTTTGTAATCTATTTTACTAAAACAATCCCTCCAAACTACTACCATTTTTACATGGAATCAATATAGAAATTACCAATGTTATTATTTTTATTCTAAATCTTCAAAATCTGATGTGTATTTGACATGTATAGTCTGTTCTGTGAAAAGACCACATATGCAAAGTGACCACCAAGCACAGAAGGAGCTGAGAAACCAAAGAATGAGGCAGACAAATCCAGTTTGCTAGTAAAGGGTGATTTACTGGGGAACTTGCCTCATGGTCTTGGGTGGCAGCAAGACAGGTAGATCTCCACACCATTACTCCTCAGACCAAGAGCTTATATACCACAGAGAAAGGGCATATGTGCTCTATAGCCAATTAAAGGCAGCCCTCCAGAAAAGGCAAGAATGCTATGTGCGTCATAGCCTATAATTTGTGCAATAACATCAAGGTTGCTTTGATGTAAAGGCGGGATTTATAGCAAGTACATGTTCTCACATTGAGGACAGTAAATAGAGTGGGAATCAGAAAGCATTCCTGGGACTGAGGTTAATAAGTCAACATAGCTATTAACATTTAATATGGAGTCACTTTGTCTGCACACAGTCCATGCCACTTGGACTGGCCCTATTTCAGTGCTCAATAGCTGTGTGAGACCTGTGGTAACTTCGTTGGTCAGTGTAGCATCAGAGCCAACATGAAGATCCCAGCCAATAAAGATCCCAGGGCTTGCTGGCATTCTCCAGGACTGACCTCTGGAAACAACTGGTTCTCTTAATACAATTAGGAAGAACAAATACTAACTAAGCAAAAACCAGAATAATTGTTTTGAGGTAGATTTTACTGAGTACTCAGTGTATTTATCCATTCAGCTCTCTGGGAGTTGCACAGGAGGTTAACATATTCTTATAGATCTGTTGGGGGGCGGGAGGCCAGTCTTTTCTGCCCCAAATAACATTTTCTTCTGGAACCCCTCTTTGGTAGCAGACAACTGCCTGTGTAGACAGGAGTACAAAGGGGCACTGTATTATTCTCTTGTGTATGGCCATGGCTGTTTTTCAGGATATGTTGTGATATAGACATATCCACTTCTCTAAATGCTTGAAATTTAACTAGAGGAGAGTTGTACACTTTTTTTCCTTTCCATTATCAAATAATCAAAAGTTATTTCTAAGGGCGAAGCTGTTCCTTGTGGTCACTCTTTAAAACTAGGCAGGAGGAAGTGATCTTGTCACTCCAAAAATTGTCTAATGCTATTGTCTACAGGCCAAGGGAAAAGGAAAAGGCTTCCCTTTTCTGCATGAAGGCTAGTTTTGTCAGTGATTACAATTTTATTGTTGACACTGTACCTCTGTATTAGTGTTGGTGCAAGGCTCATAAACTTTAGCAACTTCATTACTCACCAATTAGTTTCGAATGAATTTTACTATCTTGAATCTAATGGTGCTCTTCATGGAGTAGGCTCCATGTTCATAAAGGATTTAAGGATTTCACATCTGAGGATCTGGAGGGATAGCACAGATTCAGAGACACCAATTTTTTCATGTGCGTGCGTGCGTGTGTGTGTGTGTGTGTGTGTGTGTGTGTGTGTTTGTTTGTTTAGAAATGACGTCTCGCTAGGTTGCCTAGGCTGGCCTTGAACTCCTGGTCTCAAGTGATCCTCCTCCCTCAGCTTCCTGAGTGGCTGGGACTACAGGCTTGTGCCACTATGCCCGGCTTACCACCAGTTTTTTAGTTGGGAATTTTTATTTGACAGAGATGCCTCAGGTCTCTAAGTCAGAGGAAAATGGCTTCCAATTACTGCCTTCCAATTTCATTGATGCAACCTTCCCTTTTCTCAGAGGCTGTACACAAGTGTGGAAAATGCCCTGGAAATGGAACCAGAGGACTTGAGTTTCAGTCCAGGCTCCTCTGCATCTTGGTATGGGACCTCAAACCGGTTGCTTAAGCTTCCCAAGTTTCAGTTTGTTCGTCTACAAAATGGAAACTAAACACAAAGGGCTGTCCTGAGAGTTAAGTGAGATGATGGACATTAAATGTCATTAAAGTGCTTTGTGAACTATAAAGTATTCTGCAAGTGTGAGGAAGGGATACTTGTTGAACCAAGGAGAAGTATATACTTGTGAAGACCATGCTCATCTTGAGAGCCATTCTTGAGTTTAATAAACTTGGGGTGCTAGCTTAGATCCTGCTCTTTTTGGAATCCCCCCATTCTGGTTTGGTAAGACAGTGACTTAGGAAAGAGATGAGGCCTTACATGCATTCCAGCCAGTAGAATGATCCCATCATCACCATATTAATTTTTCTCATCTCTACTCAAACTCATTTCCCTTCCAGGGTGTCAATGACAGTCATTTCATCCTGGTTTCACCTGGATTAGAAGTTTGGGATAGAGCAGCATTGTTATATGTTGCAGGTTCAGGGTTGGTAGAGTTGGCCTTATACATTCTTAGCCTCATGGGAGAAATCTTCTCTGAGTTCAGTTCACATTGTAGACTTCTGAGTATCCTATAGCAGATGTGAATTTAAACAGATCTCATCATCTTGTATTTCTGCAAACTCTGTCTCAGAGATAACCAGCTTAGTTTCCTCCTTCCCCACCTCCCTCCCCCTCTCTCTTCCTCCCTGTCTCCTTTCCTGTCTTTGAAATTAGGATAGTAACATTTGATATTCAGGTAACTTATTAATTTGAGTCATTTCAAACATCTAGATTTTTTTATGTATTAATAAGTTTAACCTGTAACACTTTTGACTGTTGGACCCATATCTTATTTATGTCTGTCTTGTTATTCTGTAGA
This sequence comes from Homo sapiens, assembly GCF_000001405.40. Lineage (NCBI taxonomy): Eukaryota > Metazoa > Chordata > Mammalia > Primates > Hominidae > Homo > Homo sapiens. The sequence goes on along the minus strand of NC_000003.12, from coordinate 4,022,467 downwards.
ACCTAGTACAGTGCTTTATACATAGTAGGTGCCTAGTAAGTGTCTACTGAATGAATAGTGAGTAATAGCAATCAATACTTTTGAGGATCTAAAATGTGTTGGAAATCCTCCAGAGACATTCCTTTACTCTTCACAGTGACAGGTTATATTGCTCCCATTTTGTAGATGAGAAAACTGAGTGGCAGTGTGCTTAAGAGATTTACCCAAGGTCATTCAGTGGCAAGATACATGGATTTAAAATTGGCTAGTATTGCTCCAAAGCTCGTGCATTTTGTGCTATATTTCCACATCTTTTAATACTGGCCTCCCAATCTTAATATAAGTAGTTCTTTTTTAGAAAATGAAACTTTTAAAAAAGGGAAAATGGTACTAGAACAGGGGCCAGAGGCTATAGAAAATTCATATTTAAGAAAGAGAAAGAGTCTGACAAGGAGATACTTCTCTTCTTTAAATCCCATTCTACTGTTACGTTTCTCTTTAATTTTCACAAAACAACTGACATTTAATGAATATTTATGTGCCGGGTGCTGTGATTAGTGCTTTACTTGCATTTACTTTTCAGACAACTCCATGAAGCAGATAGTTATTTTTCTAACCATCAGATGAAGAAATTGTGACACAGAGAGATTAAGACCCTTGTCCAAGATCACACTGCAAATCCTAGATTAATTTTAAACCTAGGTCTCTCTGACTCCAGAGTGGAAGCTTTTAACCGCTACATGATGCTGTCTCTCACTTTTTCTGCCTTTGTAGTCAGAACTACCAGTTATGTGTTAGTTTGTTTGTGAATGTTGATAATCCCTGTAAGATTGCAAGCTCCTTGAGAGTTGGGCATCTTGACTTTAACTTGTGCATTGCTTCATACTGCTCAACTAGTGTTCGACAAGTGCTCATTTAATACTTGGGCATTCTCAGACTGAGTCAGCTGATCAGTCAGTCTCTCTATGACACTAAGAGAAATGAGTGTTTATATCTTCAGTGATATTGTTAAAAACATCATTTTAAACAAAATTTTATTTTTAATTAACAACACAGTTTTTATGCTGAAATAGACACTTTTTGTGCCCTCTGCTACAATCTCTTGATCCACCACTAATTTCCACTATAGCTGTGCTGGACAGTTCCCATGCAAAATGACGTCATCCCACTTTAAGCACCTCCCACCCCTCTGCACTTCTGCCTCAAGACTTTTTCCAAAGGCCCAGGAGCTGGCTTGATCTGCCTTTTGGGTAGCACAGAACTTTGGAAAATTGATGCTCCAGAGGCAAACTTCAACCACTAGAAAATATGATAGATTCCTTAACCTCCTGTCCCTTAGAAGGAAATTCTTAGGTACATCCTACCTGTCACTCAAGAATTAGTCCCCAGCTGCATCGAGCACCACTTGCCCATGGTGGTTAACAGCACCTCTTATGGTTTCTTCCTACCTCTTTGTTTCAATCTCCCCATTCCCTAACTGCTGCTTCCTGGGGGTATCTCCAAAATAAACTCCTTGCACCTAAGTCCTTGTCTCTGTTTATTTATTTATTTATTTTGGGTGGAGATATATAAAAAAACAAATTAGATCCATGCTTATTTGCTAATGGTTTCATGCCAGAGGCCACATATAATGTCACATAATGTGAATAAACCATGTGGTTGGATTCATTAGAGAAGTCATCTCAGAGGAGGTGGAACTTTAAAGGTCTTGGATACATAAGGTGAAGGTGAATGGAGAGAGAGTTTAATTTTAAGAATTGCTCTTTCCACCTTTAATAGTTTGCAACACATAACCAATTATACTGATGAAAACGTGCAATGTTTTAAAAGAATGCAAGAATTAATTTGCTGAAAACTAAGAAGGCTACAAATTCAGTTTACCTTCATTCTTAGTTGCATTGTTTTTGGTGTAAAAAAGGCTAACCTGCAATGCATTCCTAGGTCTGTGGTCCATAGCACTTGCCAGTGGATATTTGTTTGTTTGTTTTGTGAGACGGAGTCTCACTCTGTCGCCCAGGCTGGAGTGCAGTCACACAATCTCAGCTCACTGCAACCTCTGCCTCCAGGGTTCAAGCAGTTCTCCTGCCTCAGCTTCCCAAGTAGCTGGGATTACAGGAGCCTGCCACCATGCCCGGCTAATTTTTTTGTATTTTTAGTAGAGACAGGGTTTCACGGTGTTGGCCAGGCTGGCCTTGAACTCCCGACCTCAGGTGATCTGCCTGCCTTGACCTGCCAAAGTGCTGGGATTACAGGCGTGAGCCACTGCTCCTGGCCGGATATGTTTTTATTACTTGTTTTCCCCCTTGAGATCTCTGATAGAGTTTTATTTTTAAAAGATGCCAGATATGACATTCATAATCACTGAGTTGTCACCCCACCAAAAAAAGTTGAGAGAAGAACATGGCAGATGGTGTCATGAAAATTATATTGAAGGATATCCCTCATAATGATGAAAGATACAGCAGTGAAGTCCTGGCATACATATGGATGGCAGGAAGGATTTATGCCTGGTGTGTCTGGGCTCTTAATAAGTAATGTATCAACTTGTTTGAAAACTTTTTAATTAGGAGGATCAGCAGGATTTGTGGATGAGTCATGAAGAGACCTTTCCCTTTCAGCAAATGAGGACAAACTAACCATCAGTAGCAACAGATGCATTTATTTCAGTCCCCAATAAAAATGGCACTGTTCAAATGAAGATAAGGCCAAGGGTCTTATCTTTCTATGGGCAAAATCAGCCGCTTGGTTCCTTTGCCCTGACTGCCCTTGGTGCTCTCTGGCAGCTGTCACACAAACCACAGGTCTCATGGACTATGCCACAAACTACAAATTTACATCTGACCTTGCCACTTGCCCAATGAAAAACATTTGCTGGTTCCCTATCACACTCAGCATAAACCCCAAACTCTTTATCACAGCTCTTAAGTCCCTGAAAAGTTTGTCTTCTGCCTCTTATTGCTATTACCTCAGTTTGAGGGATGCTCTCCTTGCTTCCTGTTTCAGCCAAACTGTCATCCAACAGATCCAAGCTCTTACCAAGCATTTTTATACCTTGGCACTTATCAGTCTGAAATGCTGGACCTGGAGTGCTTTTTTCTGGCCTTTTAAAAATGACTAGCTCCCCAAGGTCTCGGCATATAGTATTATCTCAGAAAATCATCCCAGGCCACTTCTGCTACCCTTCTCTTAGCATTCGCTATCAAGTCCTCTGCTTATTGGCTTTATGGCATTTATCATGAGCCATATTATTCAGTTTGTTTATTTATTTATTTTTGCTTCACTGTCTATTTCTCCCATGAAGACAAAATATGTTTCCCAACAACTAGTCTACTGCCTAAAATCTAACAGGCATTCCATCAAATATGTGTTGATTGGGTAGTAGACAAAGTGAAATGCACACTCTAGGGGTGGCGGGCTAGAAATATCATCTTTTGCACATAAAATGAATTTGGAACAATCTAGAAAATGTCTACAGGCTTCACATCTGAGTCTTTCAAACATTGGTTGATGATTCTTGTGTTGGTCCTAGCTAGAGAGCTGCAATCTCTGTTTGGAAATTTGTGTTGACATGCTTGGGAAAGATCTGATGTTGGGCTGAGGTATTGCGATGTAGATGAACAGTTTTCTGGCCATTAAATAAAGTTATGAACTTCCCATTGGCATAATGATCCATAGATGTTTCAGGGATGAAGAGTTGAGACTGCAACCTGAATGCGCAGTTCTTAGATCTCACTGTTGCTCAGTGTTGAAATATGATATTATTACTTGAGGTTTCTGTGACTGTGAGGTTTACCATTTTGAATTGGTTTTTACCAGGGTAGAACTCCCGATGGCACATTGTAGATATTCAATAAATATTTAGTGAAAAAAGAAAGATTTATATTTTCTATTATTAATCAGTAGCTAGTCTTATGACATTCAAGCCCTAGTTTAGTCCTCTCCCACACTGGATGGGGCTGATTTGTGTAATCAGTAGGATATTGTGGAAATGGCAGTGTGTGACTGCTGAGGCCAGGTCACAAAATATAGTGTGACTTTCTCTTGCTCTTTCTTGGATCATTCATTCTGGGGAAATCAGCTTCCATGTTGTGAGGATGTTCTGGCAGCCTACGGGGAGGTTTATGTGGTGAGACTGAAGCCTCCTGCCCATAACCATGTGTGTGAACCATATGGAAACTGATCATCCACCCCCAGTCAAGCCTTCAGATGACTGCTGCCCCAGCCAACTAAGCTGCTAAGCTGTAAGATAATAAATGTTTAATGTTTTAAGCTACTTAGTTTTCAGGTATTTTTTATATGACAATAGATAACAAATACACAGAGGAATCAAAGCAATGACCCTAAACAAAACCTCATTAGAAACCAGGCTTTCCAAGTCTTTGCTATTGTGAATAGTGCCGCAATAAACATACGTGTGCATGTGTCTTTATAGCAGCATGATTTATAATCTTTTGGGTATGGGATGGCTGGGTCAAATGGTATTTCTAGTTCAAGATCATTGAGGAATCACCACACTGTCTTCCACAATGGTTGAACTAGTTTACAGTCCCACCAACAGTGTAAAAGTGTTCCTATTTCTCCACATCCTCTCCAGCACCTGTTGTTTCCTGACTTTTTAATGATCTCCATTCTAACTGGTGTGAGATGGTATCTCTTTGTGGTTTTGATTTGCATTTCTCTGATGGCCAGTGATGACGAGCATTTTTTCATGTGTCTGTTGGCTGCATAAATGTCTTCTTTTGAGAAGTGTCTGTTCATATCCTTTGCCCACTTTTTGATGGGGTTGTTTTTTTCTTGTAAATTTTTTTAAGTTCTTTGTAGATTCTGGATATTAGCCCTTTGTCAGAAGAGTAGATTGCAAAAATTTTCTCTCATTCTGTAGGTTGCCTGTTTACTCTGATGGTAGTTTCTTTTGCTGTGAGGAAGCAGCTCTTTAGTTTAATTAGATCCCATTTGTCAAGTTTGGCTTTTGTTGCCATTGCTTTTGGTGTTTTAGACATGAAGTGCACTTGGAACCAACCCAAATGTCCATCAGTGATAGACTGGATTAAGAAAATGTGGCACATATACACCATGGAATACTATGCAGCCATAAAAAAGGATGAATTTGTGTCCTTTGTAGGGACATGGATAAAGCTGGAAACCATCATTCTCAGCAAACTATTGCAAGGACAAAAAACCAAACACCACATGTTCTCCCTCATAGGTGGGAATTGAACAATGAGAACACTTGGATAAAGGAAGGGGAACATCACACACGGGGGCCTGTCGTGGGGTGGGGGGAGGGGGGAGGGATAGCATTAGGAGATATACCTAATGTAAATGACGAGTTAATGGGTGCAGCACACCAACATGGCACATGTATACATATGTAACAAACCTACACGTTGTACACATGTACCCTAGAACTTAAAGTATAAACAAACAAATAAAAAACAGGCCTTAATTCTGTCGTCTTTATCATTCTTTACCCCTGTTCTCATTGGTATCTTAGTGACCTTGTTGTATATTTAAGATAGTAATCTGATGTCTACCATATTATTTGGCAATGTTTTCCCCAATCTATAATTTATCTCTATTTGGGGTTATGCTTTTGATATTCAGAAATGTGTTCATGTATAGGTGACATAGTATATCCATCTTTTTCTTTCTGGTTTTTCAAATTGCTTCTAGTTTCTCTTTCCAAAGCTTTGATTAGTATTCAATTAGTTTTTAAATAGCTTTGTATATATTTAAAATTGTAGTATACATTATCCTGTTGTTTAGTTAACCACTTTTTGCATATAACTTTCCAGTCATCTCATTACTATAAAAATCTAGATTTTTATCTTATATGGTACTATGTATTGCATGGCAGAATTGAAAAGATTGCTAAGGTTATAATAGATTATATACCCCTTTTCTCCTTTGTTTATGTGGTCTTTCACTTTGTCAAAAAAGGAAATTTACATTGATGTGCTCTGTATTATCATGCTGATTGCTATCTAGTACATTGTTTCTACAAATTCCTTTCCAATTTAAGTTGTAGATGGTTCTAGTTTAGATTTTCTATAAGCATAAAAGCCCACAGGTCTGCAATTTCATATATCTTAGCTTGTCCAGAAACTTTTAATCTACTTTCTGGCTTATAGAATATCACCTTGACCTTCTCCCTTCCTTTGGGTTTGTGTTTGATCTGATAGTCTGAACTTGCAGAAATGTCAACAGTCAATTTTCTTTTAATTAATATCCTTATCAGAGCTGACATTATATCACCCTCATTTATAAGTCTTATAAGTAATTTCCCCAGCAGTGTTCTTGAGAGACAAATGACCTATCCATTCTATTGATACCTTTTTTTTTGAGTTTCATGCAAGCTCGAAAGAAAATATCCATTTTGTGGGACAAATTTTTGTTGTGACAAAGTCAGCTTATAATTTCTGTGGTTGAAACTTGACCCAGGAGTTCAGGAAGTCTGTTGTTTGCATTTTGAATTGTTTCCAAGCAGCTGCATTTGATCACAACCTGGGGGCTTCTCTTCTGGCATTTCACCTGTACTGTGTCAAACTAGGTTGGTATTCATTGGTGGCTCTGCAGTGGAGATTTCTGACAAATTCTGTCATTTGTTTGCCCTACAGTCAGGTTCTTTTATGCGTGGTGAACCTGTATCTTTTGTTCTTTCTGCTGCAAGATTTTCAACTTGAAAAAAGTCACTGTGGTGATGTTTTATTCCATTCCTGCCTTTATTAGCAGAGTACCCTAGTCACTGAACAACACCAGCTAATGTTTTGACAGTGCCTTTGTGTTGGGGAAGAGTTCTTTTAGATGATTTGTATACTTTTATCCTATCAACACCTAATATATTTTGTGCTTTCATACTTAAAGAAATGTTCTGTGCCCTGTTTCATATCATCTCACAGCTACCCTGTAACATTCACTCCCATATTTTAAACTTTTCAATGGCCATTTTTGCTGGCCTTCTTTTCATTTCGTCAAACCAGCTATGCTTCCTGCCACTACGGAGCCTTTGAACATGGTGGTACCTTCTCCTAGAATATACTTCCTCTTAACTCCTTCCTCCTTTCAGTGAATTAATGACCACTCATCTGTCAAATCCAAGTTGAAGCATCACCTGCTACGAAGGAGGTCAGGTACTTTTGTTCTATTCTCTGAAAGGACCATATTAGTTGTCTTCAAATCCTCATTCATTTGTTGTATGATTATTTAATACTTAACTCTCCCTCTATACCATAAAAACCATGAGAATGAGTGAATGGTTCTTAAATTATACATATGGAAACTAGGCTTAGAAATCTTAAATAGCTTGACCAAGGTCCTACCACAACTGAGTAGCAGAGGTAGAACTTGAACCTAGGTCTTTTATTTCCTAGTTTCATGATTTTTTATTAAACACAGCTGCTCTACACTTCTAAGTCAGCCCTAATTTTTAATATATCTTCCATCTTAAAGTCGTTTTTTGTTTTGTTCCTTGCACGTGGCCAGGATAGCTGTGACCCACACCTTGAGTGTGGTTGCAGCTTGAAAGTAAATTATACAAAGTAAGTGAGAGGTGTATGAGGGCTCTTCACAAGTTCATAGAAAATGTGTGTTATGAAAAAACTATGCATAGATTAAAATTTTTTTTTGCATCAAAATAAATTTGTACTAATTATAACATGTCTGAACAGAAACTACTTTGAGATAATAAGAAGGATAAGACATCAGTTTGAAAAGAGCCCTATCAGAGCAATATGAACATCAAATTTATAATGATGCTTGGGTGAAATCATTGATGCTTTACCAAAAGGTTATAGGGATGGTGCCCCAAAGAAATCAGCAGTTCACAAATGGATGATTTGTTTTAAGAAGAGACAAGATGATTTTGAGGATGAAGCCTGCAGTGGCAGGCCATCCCTATCAACTTGGAAGAAAAAAATTCATCTTGTTCATGCCCTCATTGAAGAGGACCAAGGATTAACAACACAAACAATAGTATACACCATAGATAGTGGTTCCAACCACATTCTGTTTGAAAAATTAAAGTTGAACAAGCTTTCTACTGGATGGGTGCCAAACTTTTGTGCTCAGCTCAGCTGCAGACAAGAGCAGAGCTTTCAATGGAAATTTTAAACAAGTGTGATCAAGATCCTGGAGCATTTATTTGAAGAATTGTAACAGAAAATGGAACATGGTTTTACTGATACAATGCTGAAGATAAAGCACATTCGAAACAATGGCTACAAAGGGATAGAAATGGTCCAGTCAAAGGAAAAGCAGAACTGTCAAGAGCATAGGTCATGGCAGTAGTTTCTTTGGATGTTCAAGGCATTTTGCTTGTTGACTTTCTGGAGGACCAAAGAATGATAACATCTTCTTCTTAGGAGTGTTTTGAGAAAGTTAGCCAAAGCTTTAGCACACCACCACCTTGGAAAACATCACCAGAGAGACCTTCTCCACCACAACAATGCTCCTGCTCATGCTTCTCAACAAACTAGGGCAATTTTGCAGGAGTTTTGATGGGAACTCATTAGGTATCCACCTTACCGTCCTGATTTGACTTCTTCTGACTTCTTTTTGTTTTCTAATCTTAAGAAACCTTTAAAAGACACTCATTTTATTTTATTAACAAGTAGAAAGACTGTATAGACATGGTTAACTTACCAGGACCCTCAGTCCTTTAGGGATGGCTAAATGGCTAGTATCATCACTTAAAAAAATGTCATGAATTTGATGGTGATGGTATAGAGAAATAAAGTTTATATTTTTTATTTTTATCTTTTAATTCCATTTTTCCAGAAAAATGGTTTTAGATTTGTTACGTGGGTTTACTATGTGATGCTGAGGTTTGAGGTCTGAATGATCCCATCACCCAGGTAGTGACCATAGCACCCCATAATTTTTTGCCCCTTTCCTCACTTTCCTCCTTTCCCCATGTAGTAGTTCCCAGTTTCTATTGTTGCCATTTTTATGTCCATGAGTACCCAATGTTTAGCTCCCACTTGTAAGTGAGAACATGCAGTATTTGGTTTTATGTTCCTCTGTTAATTCACTTAGGATAATGGCCTCCAGCTGCATCCATGTTGCTACAAAGGACATGATTTCATTCTTTGCTATGGCTGTGTAGTATTTCATGGCATATATATACTACATTTTCTGTACCCAAGGGGTCCCCAGCCCCTGGGCCCCAGACTGGTACCAGTCCATGGGCTGTTAGGAACTGGGCCGCACAGCATGAGGTGAGTGGTGGGCAGGTGAGCATTACCACCTGAGCTCTGCCTCCTGTCAGATCAGCCATGGCATTAGATTCTCATAGTAGTGCAAACCCTATTGTGAACTGCACGTGAGAAGGACCTAGGCTGCATGTTCCTTATGAGAATCTAATGCCTGATGATCTGAGGTAAAACAGTTTCATCCTGAAACCATTTCCCCACCTCCCCTCCCCACCTCCATATGGGGAAAAATTGTCTTCTGCAAAACCAGTCCCTGGTGTCAAAAAGGTTGGGGACCATTGCTTTATCTGATCCACTGTTGATGGGAACCTAGGTTGAGTCCATGTCTTTACTATTGTGACTAGGGCTGTGATGAACATATAAATGCATGTGTCTTTTTGGTAGAACAATTTATTTTCTTTTGGATATGTAGCCAGTAATTGGATTGCTGGTTTGAATGTTTTAAATTTTAAGTTCTGTTCTAAGGTCTCTGATAAACCTCCAAACTGCTTTTCACATTGGCTGAAGTAATTTATATTCCCACCAACAATGTATAAGCATTCTCTTTTCTCCACAGCCTCACCAGCATCTGTTGTTTTATGATTTTTTAATAATAGCCATTCTGACTGGTGTAAGATGGTGCCTCTTTGTGGTTTCGGTTTGCATTTCTCTGATAATTAGTGATGTTGAGCGTTTTTTCATATGTTTGTTGGCCACTTGTATGTCTTCTTTTGAGATGTGTCTGTTCATGTCCTTTTCCCACTTTTTAATGATGTTATTATTATTATTTTTTTGCTTGTTGAATTAAGTTCCTTGTAGAGTCTGGATATTAGATCTTTGTCAGATACATATTATGGGAATATTTTCTCCCATTCTGTAGGTTGTCTATTTACTCTGTTGATAGTTTCTTTTGCTGTGTAGAAGCCCTTTAGTTTAATTAGGTCCCACTTGTTAATTTTCATTTTTATTACAATTGCTTTGAGGACTTAGTCAAATTCTTTCCCAAAGCTGATGTCCAAAATTGTATTTCCTAGGTTTTCCTCTAGGATTCTTTTATTTAAATCTTTAGGTCTTACACTTAAATCTTTAATCCATCTTGAGTTAATTTTTACATATGGTGAAAGGTAGGGGTCCAGTTTCATTCTTCTGCATATGGCTAGCCATTTATTCCAACACCTTTTATTGAATAGGGGGTCCTTTCCCTATTGCTTATTTTTGTTGCCTTTGTCGAAGATTAGATGGCTGTAGGTGTGCAGTATTATTTCTGGGTTATCTTATCTGTTCCATTGGTCTATGTGTCTGTTTTTGTACCAGTACCATGCCATTTTGGTTATTGTAGCCTTATGGTACAGTTTGAAGTTGGGTAATGTGACACCTCTGACTTTGTTCTTTTTGCTTAAGATTCCACAAATTTTTTAAAGTCCCTTTTTATATCAGTGTGCCTGCACATATGTGGGTGGAAAAAGGAAATGGAAATTATACTTCTTCAAAAATCTTTTCCTTTTAATGTGTTTCAGTTTCAGAGATGTGGATCGGGCTGTGGAGGATATCATAAAGAAATTCATTTGGTGTAGGGCTGTGGGGGACGGTCAAAGCATTGTTTTGAACCTATCACATGTTTAGCCTGAACTCTAAGATCTAAGAAGCATTACACCCAGCCCAGAAATGATTAAATATTTGTAATCCTGAATTTTCTACTCATTAGCTGTGAGATTTTGTACAAGTCCCTTTGCCTCTGTGGCCTCAATTTCCTGTCTAGTAAATTGTGTATGTTGGGGCTGGAGATGATTGTAGAATTTTTGACAGAACTTCTGACGGTAAGTGTATAAAAAAGACTCATTCCCTGGGGATCTATGATAGAAACTTATTCTATTATGTAATTCAGCTCTTCCAAGAGTCCACTTGTCTTTGGATTATAGCAGTTTGTGGGCCTCATTTTAGGCCATATTGCATAAGACAGGATTGAATGCCTGGTGTATTTATTTCCAGTTAGAATTATGAAATGTGAGTACTAGTAGGGACTTTGTGAGTCAGTAAATACAGCCACTCATTTTGTGTATGAAGACAGCTGAGGCTCAGATAGGAAAAACAGAGAGCTGGAACTCACAACTGAAGACTGGCTTGTAGGTCCAGTATTGTTTCTACTACACTGAGTAGTTTAAAATATCTTAAAATAATCTCTGATATAAGTAATATTAAAATTTGGAAAACATAGTGAAGAATTAGTCTCTTTATCTTCCTTTTCTAATAGGAATATCATTTTTCTAATTATAAAAACAGTACATACTCATTGTAACAAAATCCAAGCCATTCAGAAGTGCATAGGGAGAAAATGAAGGATTCACTACAATCCCAGTCTTCCATGAAAATCACTGTTAATTTGATTCACCATTTTTACGCTTTTCTCTTTCTCAAACATACATACAAAGTTAAAAATTAGTTCATATTACACATACTATTTGCGTCCTACTTCTTTTTCTTAGCAATATTTAATGGACACATGGGCAACAGATGGACATAGTTTCTTGTTAGTACTAACTTACTGTGTTTATTGTTAGAATCTTGTTAGTATCTAACTTAGTCTGCTTATTGGCTGGATGATAGTCCAGTGTGTTACTGTACTATACTTAAGCAATCGTCTCCTGATGGATATTTATATTGTTTTCAGTCTTTATCTTAGGCATTGCTGCAGTAAACATCTTTCGGCATACATCTTTCCATATTTATCTGTTTCCTCATAAGAAATTTCTGGAAACCACACTTCAAGTTAATCACAGTATTTAGTTGCAAAGATGGCATAAATAGAGCAATACAGTTAGCCAATTCCTGTGGAAGACAAAAAGGATATTTCAGACTAAGGGTGATTTTAGGTACAAGTCCACAGAATGCACAAAGCTTTCTTTGGTCAAGCTTTGTAATTTTATAATCACAGTTTTGCAGGATTAGCTCCGTGTGCTGAATTCCAGTTCAGTGGATTCCACAAATCCTTTCTAGCTGCTCTCTAAATCATTGCTTCCCTTGGCTAAAGGTCACTGTAAATGGATCTAAGGAGGTGAAAGACGCCTAGAGTTTAGTTTATTTCTTCCAGCTCACAATAGTTATTTTCTTTTCAGCTTTGTTCTGAGTTAATCAGTTATGGGAGGTACTACCAATTATGTGTTAAGGAGTCAGGCAAAGAGGAAAAATATCACTTTCTTACTGATAAATTGTTGTTTATGAGAAAATAAGCTGATGATGTCTCTGAACTGGCTTATTGCCCAGGGGGATTATGAGAAAGGGAAGAGCCCCCCGCATAGCTTGGATTTTCTATTCCCTTTAGTTGCTTGAACTTTGCATTCTCTGTGATCCCCTAAAATATAGCCATTCTTTCAGAAGGATTTCATAGCTTCCCCACCCTCCAAGCCCTATCTCAACTGATGTGGTCCATATCTATGATAAGGGATTATTGTTTCTTCTTCAGCATGAATCGAGAGACTCAGTGATCTGAGAGGGAGATTTCAGAAGTCACTTGATAGGTTAACTTCTTCTTTTTTTATTTGAGACAGAGTCTTGCTCTGTCACCCAGGCTGGAGAGCAGTGGTGTAATCTCGGCTCACTGCAGCCTCCGCCTCCTGGGTTCAAGAGATTCTCCCGCCTCAGCTTCCTGAGTAGGTGGGACTACAGGCATGCACCACCATGCCCAGCTAATTTTTGTATTTTTAGTAGAGACGGGGTTTCACCATGTTGGCCAGGATGGTCTCAATCTCCTGACCTTGTGATCCGCCTGCCTCAGCCTCCCAAAGTGCTGGGATTATGGGCGTGAGCCACCTTGCCTGGCGGGTAACTTCTTATCTTTGGAATTTCTCTGTCAACATCACTGTAAGGTCGTCTTCTTTGAGTGGCTCCTATTGGTCCTCAGAATAAAACTTACATTCCTGGTCTAGTGGTTAAAACCATCTCCAAAGAAGATATAGAAGACCTTTCCAATTGTATTTTCTAGCTCCCAAAAACATGCCCTGTACTCCAGTCAGCCTTCAACTTCTCCTCTCCATCTTGGCTTATGCCATTTTCTCTATCTGTTAATGTTATTCATATAGCTTAAATGCCATCACTGTCCCAATATCTTCCTTCGTAAACTACTCTGAACTCCTGTGGCATTTTAACTGCACTTTTTCTGTGACACATAGTTTTATATTCTATATTGGAATTTTCTACGCATCTACCTTATTTCTCCTTAGAACCTAAACTCTTTGAGAGCAAGATTGATATGACTGGCACTATTCTTTGTATTCCTCCAATATCCAGGACATTGCCTAATACTCCATAAGTATTTATTAGGGAGTTGAATGGATAAATGAACCCAGTCTTCAGTTGAATTACCCTGTGCCAAGGATGCTAGATGAGGAAAGCCATTCTGTTTTGGAGACAGCTTTAATTATCAGGCCATCTGAATCTCATTAACAGAAAACAGTGCTATATCCAGGGTGTCTAGAGCCACCTCCTTCTCACCTTGTTCCTAATTCATCACCTGAAAAACTGATCCTGTCAGATGAGTGGGAGAAAAGTGGGAAGTCCAGCCCTCCATAGACAATCAAAACGTCTGCCCAGCTCATACTCAGATGAGTTTCCCGATAGGTTAACATATATTAGTTCTCCACTTTTATAATTTTGTGCTAAAAAACAGTCCCATATTCCATGGCCTTGAAGTTATCTATTTTTAAATGCACTGCAACAAATCCAACAGTATCTCCCTTAACATCCTTCTTTTATAATCTTTACTTTGAGGGCAATTTAACTGAATTTATAACAGGTTTAACACATGTAACATATGTAACAGATGTCTCACAGGAGGAGACTCTATCTGTGTCAGCTTGGTCAGGGACCACTGTGTGAGGCTGTGTGGTGTATGACGTCTAGTGCAGGAATGCACCATGATGTGACCCTGGGAATACTGCCCTCTGGAGCTGTGCACTGTACAGTTGGATGGCTGCAACAATCTAATGTTCACGGACATGCACTTCCAGTTTGAAAACTCTGAATTTCTCCTGTATTAGTTTGTTGGGACTGGCATAACAAAGCACCACTGATTGCATCACAGTTTTGGAGGCTGAATGTCTGAGATCAAGGTGTTGTTGGTAGGCTTGGTTCCTTCTGAGGATTGTGAGGGAAGGATCTGTTCTAGGCCTTTCTCCTTGGCTCATAGGTGTCTGTCTTTTCTCTGATTCCTCTGTGTCTCTTTCTTGGTATTCATATTTCCTCTGTGCATAAGGACACCAGTCATATGGGATTAGAGCTCACACCAAATGAACCTATTTTAACTTTAATATTTCTATAAAGACCGTATCTCCAAATATGGTCACATTCTGGGGTACTAGAGGTTAGGGCTACAAAATATCTTTTTCAGGGAGGATGGAGGAAACACAAGTCAACCCATAACAGCCCCTAACAGATGAAAAAAAAAAACAAAAACAAAAACAAAAAAAACTAGATCTCTTCATGGGAAAGACCATGGGGTTCAGAATCAGAGAGAGGTCAATTTGAATCCCAGCTCTGCCTGTTCTGCTTGTACTCACAGCAGAAAGGAACATGTGGGCCTGCATTCCAAGCCACCTTAGATAGCGTCTTGGGCTAGACTGAAATTAAGAACGGAGCTATAGACAAGAAAGGATGATATGGTTTTAATCAGGACACTGAGCCACAATTTTTCATTATAGACTAGGCTGGGCATTACTCCAAACTCTCCTGATAATGGAACTGTGACAGCAAGGCTGATTTTCAGCACAATATATTGCAGGAAGTGTGTGTGTGTGTGTGTGTGTGTGTGTGTGTGTGTGTGTGTGTGTGTGTGTGTTAAGGGGACCTGGTATTGCCCAGATCAGTAAAAAAACGGGGTAGGATGGAACATCTAAATGAAGTTCTTTCCCATCTTTGAAGGGTTGGGGAAGATAGGGAACTGCACATTTATGAACTCTTTTGCAACAATCCTCCGAGACACAAAGACACCCCCTGTAGATGCTGCCTCTGCTACAAAAATTTATGCTGCCCTGCTTCGTCTCCCAGGCATCCTGCTCCCAGTAGTGTCTACATAGGTGGAGCCTTGCAGCTTTGAGGATATCCCATGCTGACTTTTATGCAGACATGACCAAGGCCTTTACCACAGGACCTCAAAATGCCTATAAATATAAATATAAACATAAATATAAGTAATACACACAGACACAGAAACACACACACACAGACATATACGTATATATTTACATGCTTACTCCAGAGTCCAGAGGTTCATATAATCTGAGAAAAAAGAAGAAATATCAGAAGTTGTAAATATGCATAAATGTGTACATAAAAATATAGACATTTGGACCTTCTTTTTCTATTTTGTCAACTTCCAAAAAGTTATCAAGAAGTATTATTCTTCCCTTCATAAATGTTATCAATGAGGTATTGTGGGGACCAGGACAAATAGCCAGAATGTGTAGAGCCGGAATTTATCTCAGCCCTAGAGGGCTGATATACAAATAACCAGAATGTATACAGCCAGAATGTATATCAGCCCTAGAGGCAAACTTACGAACGTATGCAGTAGCAGATGTGTGGTTTTCTTTTGTTTATCACATTCTAGGGTAGTACACAGCAATTCAGCATGACTGCAAGTCAGATTTCTGGGATAGATCCCCATCCTTGGGCTTTGGGGCTTTCAAGTTGAATTATTAGGGAAGCATCACCTCCTCCTTGCTATATTCAGAGATCAGCCAGGATACAACAGCAATATGAGCTGGCTCTAGCTCCATGCTGCTAACTCAGCATTTATGTCTGGGGTAGCACCAGCCTCTCCCCTGGAGTAATTAGCAGGCTGGAGTCCAACTCTTGTGGTTGCAGCTGTATAGTCTAGCAAGCTGTCGGCTGGATTTGCCACATCAGCATTCATAGCTAGAGAATCTGACATAACTGGGGGACTGGGATCCAGGACTTGCCATCATTGACCAGGATTAATGTCCTTAAGATTTAGGCCATTGCCAGTTTCGTTGGTACTTTGCAGAAAGCCCACTTGTTTCTTGGGAGGCCTGCTTCAAGGGACAAGTCTTAAATACTAACCCTTACCTCTTAAGGGAAATAGATAAGTGTAGAGCACAAAAATAGGTAGGTGTAGTCCCAGCTATTCAGGAGGCTGAGGAAGGAGGACTGATTGGTCCCAGGATTTCAAGGCTGTAGTGTGCTATGATTGCATTTGTGAATAGCCACTGCACTCCAGCTTGGGAAACAGCAAAATCTGTCTCTTAAAAAAAAAAAAGTAGGCAGCAAGGGAGTTGGCCTTTAAGTAAAGATTCAACATATTTGCCCTCCTGTCTGATCCTCTAGTCTTACCTACCACAGAGTCAATATTTGAATACAGATGTTTTTTATTCCAAATTCACTGATTTTTGCAACATCATTTAGCTCCTCACCTGTTTTTCTTTGGAATGGTTGTAGAGCCTGTGGGAGGTGGGCATAGTATGGATTAATCTTTTTTTGGCAATAGCAGCTATGTCCAAATAATTCCCCAAATAAAAATAAGATTTACTTCAGGGTCCAGAAGTTACCTTCTCTTCTCTGTTGGTTGTGGAGAAATCTTAAAGACATATCAACACTGTATTCATTTTTCTGCACAGTAAGACTTCAATTTATCACTTATTTCAGTTCTTTCTTTTGGGAGAATCAATCATTTAAGTAAATTATGAATTAAAAATTATACATGTTTCAGGCCACACATCTTGTGGATTTCCAGTTTTATTGCTCTTATCGATTGGTGTTTTGCTTTCTGCCAGTCCTGGATAGCCATGCACTATTCAACCAAACCATTTGCTGCAAGTGAAAATAACTACATTTGCAGCTCCGAGAGTTACAAAATGGAGGCCAAATTAAATTGCACATTAGATGCTATTCTTGAAATTGAAATGTTTATATGACTGACAAATATGTGAATTGTACGAGAAGATGTCCAAAGCCATACTCTTGGTTGAAACACACCATTTTTGATCCATACGGAGTGAAAGACTCCTCCAGAAGTCTTGTGATTGCGCTGAAGCCAATTTCCACTATTTTTGCCCAGGACACAGACTTGTGGGTAAAACTACCTTGGCAACATAGTTTAAGAAAAGCTAGTCTTTAATTCACACTATTCCCTTGTTTTGAGTTTCTTTTCCTATAATCTTTCCTATTAAATCTCTACTACTAAAAAATTAGTAACTAGTAGCTAGTAAGCACTTGTTATGGGCCAAGCATGGTACTAAGAGACCTACATACACACGCTTATTCATTTTTTGGTTTGTTTTTGCATTGTTTGTGCTGCTCTAGGCAGGCTGTGAATGAGAAAGAAATAGTCTCATTGGTCTGATTTCTCTAGTACTTACATTCTAATAAGGGAGATAAGAAAATAAGGTAATTTCAGAGAGTAGTAAGTGTCATGGAGAATGTTAAATAGGGTAATGGGAGTGGAAGGGGCAATTTTAAAGGAGGTGACCCCAGAAGGCTCTTCTGAAGCTATGGGAAGGAGCCAGCTCTGCGAAGATCCATCAGCAGACCTGCAGGAGGAGAGATTTTCAAGGCCCAAAGCCTGAGGCAGGAGTGAGCATAACAATGTCATGAAGTTGGTAGGTCCATTTGTGTGACATGGCCAAGATGCATAACTTGTCTGAACCCCAGTTTCCATATCTTGCAAAGGCAGATTCATTAGCTCATTCATAAAATTTCTCTTGAGCACTTACTATATGTCAGGCACTGCTGAGACTCCTCTGGGGATAAATAAAAATAAACAGTCACTGCCTACTATCCTGAGAGAGAATAAATGTTTACATTCTAGTGGAGGAATGGGGAGACAAGCAACCAACAAATACAAATAAAGAAAGATTGGTAATGGTAAGTGCCTTGAAGAAAAATAAACCAGAGTAAGGAGAAGAGAGTGGAGCTGAGAGGTGGGTTATTAGGGGGATCAAGGAGAGCCTTTCTGTGGAAGCAACATTTGAGTAGAAGGAAGAGAGAGAGAAGCAGGCCATATGGACATCTGGAGGGAGTTGGGGGACATTTGAGCTGGAGAGAACAGCAAGTGCCCTGAGGTTAAAGAGAGACTGATACATTCAAGGCATAGTAAAGGGGTCAGTGTGGTAGGATGTATGCCACAGAGGAAGGCAGGAACCATATCATGCAAGACTAGGTCATTCTAAGGGTGATGAAGGTTAGCAGGAGGAATATGATGGGAGTAATGATATCGACAACCAGGTGTTGGAAGAATTAAGAGATAAGGCAATATAACTAACACAGTCCCTGACATACAAAGCCTGCCTCCTCCCTCCCTCCCTCCCTCCCCTCCCCTCCCTTCCTCGCTCCTTCCTTCCTTCTTGCCTCCCTCCCTCCTTCCTTCTCTCCCTCCCACCACAGCTTTTCCTCAATGTCTCCCTCCCTGTTCACTTTCTTCCCCTTTCTTTGTACATCTGCACTGCTCAAATATAATCTCTGAAGAAGATGTCTAACTTGCTGTTGTCTGTTTACTTACCACTTTCGTGCCAAACTATAAGTTCTTGGAGGACAGGAAAGTTGTCTTTTATTTCTGTATAATAGCCACATTGCCCCCAGTACCTTGCAAAATTTGTTGAATCTGCTTTCCAAAATTTTGCTCCATGGGGAATGGAAATGATTTCCGGGAGTTAAGATGTATGAATGGATTAGCACGACCTCCTTGTTTGGACTGGAGAACCCTGAGTTGGTCATGACAACTACACTGGGAAAGCTGCAGTAATATGGTTGTTCCCATAAGAGCTCTCTAGTTTGCTATTAGCTTGGAGCCTGGTGCTAAATCTAGTGGGATTTGGGCAAGTCCCTTAATTTTTCTGAAGTTCAATTTTCTCATGTGTACAATTGAAATAATAATCTAAAGGATTACTGGGGGATTGAATGAAATAATATCCACCAAGCTGTAAGCACGGTGGACAGCTCTGAGTGACTGATAAATACTGTCTAGTATCGAAGGTGTTGTCCCAATTTCCTTCTCTTCCCCCATAATCATCAAACCAACTTTGGAAGCTATGGAAAAGCATGGGGAGCCTTTCCTCTACTGAAGTGGTAAATTCTACTCTTAGTGATAATTATAATATGAGCCTGGTGCTGGGAACAAAGTTGAATCACTTAACACCAACTCCTCCTGTTGGACCTTGCCTACCTACCTGTGCCTGATTTAATTTAGCTGTTTGAAAGCAAAGAACTTGTTTTATTTTTCTGTATGGTAAAGAGGATAATAACTTACCTAAGGTCACACATATAAATAGCAGAGGAGGCTTTGAGTAAAGATGTGGCTCATTCTGAAGTTCATGGGAACGGAAGAAAGCATGCTCTCCTAAGAGGCAAGAAACAAAATGTAGGCACTCTACTACTTACCTTGTCACCTTGGGAAAATACATTTATCCTCTTTCAGGGAAAGGACTACCTTTCTGATTCCCAGGCCAATGCCCTTTCTGTTGACCTTCTTGGGTTTCATTTTTCACATGTACAAAGATGTTGGCATAGCCTGACCCTGTCCTGCATTTTCACACCTACATGGTGATATACATGCCCCAGGCCCTTATTAGTGACCTGATTCTGTAAAGTGAGCTTTCTATTGAGAGATCCATGTGATTATTCCTAGGCACCGATCGCCACCAGTACTTGATAGAGTCACTCAATATTGCAAAGCAGTAAATAGAACAACTTTGTGTGTGTAGTTCAGCAGAGGAGATAACCTTACATTTCAGATTCTTTGCTTTTGTTCTCCCAGTCCTTCTCTAAACACCCTTCCCCCAGCCTTGCTTTTTCTCTTTCATCAGGTGCCTTCTGCTTTTAGTCCCATCTGTTCCTCCTTTTCCTCATTTTCTCTCCAATTGGGACCTGGAAGATATGAAAACATACATCTGAAATACAAGATTTGTTGCCTGGGAGAGATCAGAGGATTGTTTTTTTCTTTTCTTTTTTTTTCTTTAACAGCATGATCAAATCTTAGTTCTTTGCTGAAAACTTTTCCAGACAGGGTAGTTTCTTTGCTAATTAAAAGGTTGGATAATGAGCATTTAGTGTTCTGGTGATTAAGACCTCCTCAGCCTCACAGGTCAGTGCCACCTGAATTAATTGGCACCTTCTCAGTTGGGGTTCAGTTCTCACATTTTATCCTACCAAGAATGGCATTCAGAGCTCTCTGTAATCCACCCTCATGCAGTTTTCCCAGCCCTTCCTCCCTTTACTACACCACTCTCTGTTGATGTAGTGATTTAACCTCTGTCACCCTCTTGCTATGTGATTTGCTTCCTTGCCACTATATTCCCTATTTCCCTCTGACTGAAATGGTTTAGTTATGATTGTAGACTTAGGAGACAGTATGTATTGGAATCATTGGAACTAGCCCTGTCACACTAGTTGTTTAACACCTCAGCCTTTTTTTTTTTTTTTTTTTTTTTTTTTTTGTGACAAAGTTTTGCTCTTGTTGCGCAGGCTGGAGTACAATGGTGTGATCTCAGCTCATCGTAATCCTTGCCTCACGGGTTCAAGCAATTCTCCTGCCTCATCCTCCCAAGTAGCTGGGATTACAGGCATGCGCCACCATGCCAGGCTAATTTTGTATTTTTAGTAGAGACGGGGTTTCTCCATGTTGGTCAGGCTGGTCTCGAATTCCCAACCTCAGGAGATCCGCTCATCTCGGCCTCCCAAAATGCTGGGATTACAGGCATGAGCCACCACGCCTGGCCTAATCTCATCGATCTAACCTATAAAAAAGAGAATAATAACTTACTCACCTCATTGGATAGTTATGAAGATAAGATAGAGTATAAAGGGTTTGGCAGAGCGTCTGTCCTATGGTAAATGCTCGCTAACTGGTTAGCTACTATAATTTTCTATTTGTATCTATTCAAATCTCACTGCTTCTGCAAGTCTCCTAACAAAAAGTTTTGCCAAAATTTATTTTGCCATTGAAAGTAATGGCAAAAGCCACAATTTTGCACAAACCAAGAAGCCTTCTCTGCTTATCTTCCAGTCCAAGATTATCTCCTCTTCCTAGTATTCTTATTTTGTGACTTTTATAGAATCACTTGGTTGGTCTGGGTTTATGTTTAAAGTTCCTGACTACAGGTGAAATACTCTTGGAGAAAGAGACCTAAACTTCTAGCGTAACGCTGAGACACATCTTCATAGAATAGAATTGTTATTTTATGTCCCCAATTAAAGGGATTTTATTTTTGTGGATGTTTTCTTGGGTTGAGTGTTCTACTGATTTATTGAATGGTCTACTGATTTCTCATTATGTGAAAACTCCAGAGTCCTAGGTGTGTTTCTTCCAAGAGCCTAATTAATTCAGGCTGCTAAGGCTGCCACATGGACTCTGGTTTAAAGACTAGGCTATTTGGTGAGCAATTCTAAGTCCTATTTTGGAACACTAAGGTCATATACCTTTGGAATGCCAAATTACAAGATGCTTTGAAGGAACTTTTAGGGTAAATCACAATCTCATCCGTGTGCATCTGCAGTTAAGGTTTATAAAGAGAAGTTTGGTTCCTGATTTTCAGTAGCAGTATCATTAGTTTTTTAAAAACTACAGGAAATTTTACATGTATTTTGCCTCACAAATACCAACAATTAGGTCAGAATTCAGAAAAGTGGATTCTGTTTGCATAGAATTACATTAATTCTGCATTCTCTCATAGCAAAGTTGAAAGAGAGGATTAATCACTTATTCATGCAAAACCAATTCACATGAATCATTTATTTATCTTGTTCTGGTAATTTTGCAGAGCTCATTTTTACATGCCTCAGGTTGCAGATAAAGTGAAAACTCAGAGGGTGATTTACCCTCCACAATAAAGACCTGATGGCCGTGTAAACAGCATGCTTCCTATAGGAAATCAATAGGTAACCATGGAAATGACTCCACAATGGGAAATTCTATTTCTTTATGAACAAATCATCAAAAAGATCAATTGTAAGATGAAAAGGCTTTGCCTGTGCCCTATCTTTCGCAAAGGCTTTTGGTCTATGTAAAGAAGAAAATATGTGCCTTGGTGACAGTAAAGAATTATCTTAAAGCTGTATTGAGAATGAACATCACTTGTTACTTTATAAAGTTTGGGCTGAAATGTCTTGTCCTCCATTCCTGGAGGCCTAGCTAAGAAACTTATATCTAATGGCAAGAAGAATGTTCCAGAATACAGGATGCTTGAATTCTTGATCCAGCTTAATTTCTTTCTTTTTTTTAGGAAAAAAACAAGACAAAACAAAAAAACAAGGGTAATAATATCCAACGCCAAAGAGCCTTTGATAATTAAATAAGATAATAGTTGGTAAAGAATATAGTACAGTGCCCAGCACAGAGCAAGTGGAAAATGCTATTAACAGCCACTTGTACAGTGATGATAATTGCCCAAACAATATTAATCCCACTAGTAAAGGGTTTTCACATTACAGGTATTTTTTTTAAAACTTTCATCTTAGGTTCGGGGTACATGTGAAGGTTTGTTACATAGGTAAAGTCATGTTATGGGGGTTTATTATACAGATTATTTCATCACCCAGGAATTAAACCCAGTACCCAATAATTATCTTTTCTGCTCCTCTCCCTCCTCCCACCTTTCCCACTCAACTAGACCCCAGTGTCTGATGTTTCCTTCTTTGTGTTCATAAGTTCTTATCATTTAGCTCCCACTTATAAGTGAGAATATGCAGTATTTGGTTTTTTGTTCCTGCATTCATTTGCTGAGGATAATAGCCTCCAGCTCCATCCATGTTCCTGCAAAAGACAAGATTTCATTTTTTATGGCTGTATAGTATTCCATGGTGTATATGTACCACAATTTCTTTATCCAATCTGTCACTGATGGGCATTTAGATTGATTTCATGTCTTTGCTATTGTGAACAGTGCCACAGTGAACATTTGTGTGCATGTGTCTATATGGTAGAGTGCTTTATATCCCTCTGGGTATATACCCAGTAATAGGATTGACCCAGGCTAATTTCCAGCAGCAATGAGATCTTTTTTTTTTTTTTTTTTTCTTTTTGGGATGGAGTCTCGCTCTGTCGCCCAGGCCGGACTGCGGACTGCAGTGGCGCAATCTCGGCTCACTGCAAGCTCCGCTTCCCGGGTTCACGCCATTCTCCTGCCTCAGCCTCCCCAGTAGCTGGGACTACAGGCGCCCGCCACCGCGCCCGGCTAATTTTTTGTATTTTTAGTAGAGACGGGGTTTCACCTTGTTAGCCAGGATGGTCTCGATCTCCTGACCTCATGATCCACCCGCCTCGGCCTCCCAAAGTGCTGGGATTACAGGCGTGAGCCACCGCGCCTGGCCAGCAATGAGATCTTTAACAAGCAATTTCGTCTCAGTGGGCCTTGATTTCCTTATCTGTAAAGTGATCAGACGAGCCTAGGGATGGCAGTCTAATTTAGCCCATGGACAGATGGATGTTGCACGTATAGCATTATCTCACTTTCTCTTACTTGGAAGACATTACTAATCAATTGTAATCTTCTTTGTCACTGAGCTTGAACAGAGTCTCAAAATCCTTATTTACACATTTCTCCAGGCAGCTGCTGCCTATGGATCAGAGTTGTCATATGTAAAACATCCATTTACCTCTATGTGACCTTTAAGTTTTATTTAGCCCTGACATTACAAGAATCTGAAAACAAGCTTTAAGTACTGAATATTCATGTCTATTCAGCTAGTCTTAAGCAGACAATCCAACTAACAAGGATAGCACCAACAATAAACAATTATGATATTGTCTTTATTAAGCCAAATAAACTGTTTGATCTCATTAATGTCAAAATATTTATTTCAATGCTAAAGTTACTACTGAACCACTGACTGATAATAATGAAATGGTGTTTGTAGCACTCTGCTGCTGTTCACTTATCAGCTTAAGACACACAAGTAGCAAATCTGATTGCCGTTTTCATGCTTGCTCTTTTTTCAACAGTAGAGGGCAGCACAGCTATTTTTAAGTGTCGTCTTTGCGAGCCATTTGTGTGTGCCCACAGGCATTCTATACAATGGGTGCAAAGATGTGAGCTGTGGTGGGTTGCCATAGAAGAGTATGTTCACATGACAAAATAGCCTGCTTAATCAGATCTCTTGGATTGTGGTGTGGAATTTTCCTCTTTAGGCTTTCAGAAATTACCATTACCCTGTTAGTATTTACATGTTTCAGCATTTCATATTGATCCTTTTAATTTTGTTCTTTCTGTTGTTCTTTTCTTCCTGTTGTTACTTGTCTCACTTTAGAGGCAGTGTTATGTAGGTGAAAATATCACAGCTTTTGGCTTCTGAAGGTGTAGACTCTAATCCCAGCTCTCTTGCTAGCTCTGTGACTGAGCTGATCAGAATCTCAGAGCCTCAAGATTCTTTTTTAAAACAGATACAGAAATACACAATTGAGAGTTTTTAGCATGAAGTGGTGTTGAATTTTATCGAAGGCCTTTTCTATATCTATTGAGATGTGGTTTTTGTCATTGATTCTGTTTATGTGACGGATTGCATCCCAGGGATGAAGCCGACTTGACTGTGGTGGAGAAGCTTTTTGATGTGCTGCTGGATTCGGTTTGCCAGCATTTTATTGAGTATTTTCACATCAACGTTCATCAGGGATATTGGCCTAAAATTCTCTTTTTTTGTTTTGTCTCTGCTAGGTTTTGGTATCAGGATGATGCTGACCTCATAAAATGAGTTAAGGAGGAGTCCCTCTTACTCTATTCTTCGGAATAGTTTCAGAAGGAACGGTACCAGCTCCTCTTTGTACCTCTAGTAGAATCTGGCTGTGAATCTGTCTGGTCAGGCTTTTTTTGGTTGGTAGGCTATTAATTATTGCCTCAATTTCAGAACTTGTTATTGTTCTATTCAGGGATTTGACTTCTTCCTGGTTTAGTATTGGGAGGGTGTATGTGTCCAGGAATTTATCCATTTCTTCTAGATTTTCTAGTTTATTTGTGTAGAGGTGTTAATAGTATTCTCTGATGGTAGTTTGCATTTCTGTGGGATCAGTGGTGATATCCCCTTTATCATTTTTTATTGTGTCTATTCAATTCTTCTCTCTTTTCTTCTTTATTAGTCTGGCTAGCCATCTATCTATTTTGTTAATCTTTTCAAAAAGCCAGCTGCTGGATTCATTGATTTTTTGAAGGTTTTTTTTTTTTGTGTGTATCTCTATCTCCTTCAGTTCTACTCTGATGTTAGTTATTTCTTGTCTTCTGCTAGCTTTTGAATTTGTTTGCCCTTGCTTTTGTAGTTCTTTTAATTGTGATGTTAGGGTGTCGATTTTAGATCTTCCCTGCTTTCTCCTGTGGGCATTTAGTGCTATAAATTTCCCTCTAAACACTGCTTTAGCTGTGTCCCAGAGATTCTGGTATGTTGTGTCTTTGTTCTCATTGGTTTCAAATAACTTATTTATTTCTACTTTAATTTTGTTATTTATCCAGTAGTCATTCAGGAGCAGGTTGTTCAGTTTCCATGTAGTTGTGTGGTTTTGAGTGAGTTTCTTAATCCTGAGTTCTAATTTGATTGTTGCATTGTGGTCTGAGAGACTGTTTGTTATGAATTCCGTTCTTTTGCATTTGCTGAGGAATGTTTTACTTCCAATTATGAGGTCAATTTTAGAATAAGTGCAAAATGGTGCTGAGAAGAATGTATATTCTGTTGATTTGGGGTGGAGAGTTCTGTAGATGTCTATAAGGTCTGCTTGGTCCTGAACAGAGTTCAAATCCTGAATATCCTTGTACATTTTCTGTCTCATTGATCTGTCTAATGTTGACAGTGTGATGTTAAAGGTATTGATGGAACGTATCTCAAAGTAATAAAAGCTATTTATGAAAAACCCAAAGCCAATATCACACTGAATGGGCAAAAGCTGGAAGCATTCCCTTTGAAAACCGGCATGAGACAAGGATGCCCTCTCTCACCACTCCTATTCAACATAGTATTGGAAGTTCTGGCCAGGGCAATCAGGCAAGAGAAGGAAAGGGTATTCATATAGGAAGAGAAGAAGTCAAATTGCCTCTGTTTGCAGATGACATGATTGTATATTTAGAAAACCCCATCATCTCGGCCTCAAATCTCCTTAAGCTGATAAGCAACTTCAGCAAAGTCTCAAGATGCAAAATCAATGTGCAAAATCACAAGCATTCCTATATACAAATAATAGACAAAAAGGAAGCCAAATCATGAGTGAACTCCCATTTACAATTGCTACAAAAAGAATAAAATACCTAGGAATACAACTTACAAGGGATGTGAAGGACCTCTTCAAGGAGAACTACAAACCACTGCTCAAGGAAATAAGAGAGGATACAAACAAATGGAAAAACATTCCATGCTCATGGATAGGAAGAATCAATATTGTGAAAATGGCCATACTGCCCAAAGTAATTTATAGATTCAGTGCTATCCCTATCAAGCTACCATTGACTTTACTCACAGAATTATAAAAAAACTACTTTAAATTTCACATGGAACCAAAACAGAGCTCCTATAGCCAAACAATCCTAAGCAAAAGGAACAAAGCTGAAGGCATCACGCTTTCTGGCTTCAAACTATACTACAAGACTACAGTAACCAAAACAGCATGGTACTGATACCAAAACAGATTTATAGGCTGATGGAACAGAACAGAGGCCTCAGAAATAACACCGCACATCTACAACCATCTGATCTTTGATAAACCTGACAAAACAAGCAATGAGGAAAGGAATCCCTATTTAATAAATGGTGTTGGGAAAACTGGTTAGCCATATGCAGAAAACTGAAACTGGACCCCTTCCTTACACCTTATACAAAAATTAGCTCAAGATGGATTAAAGACTTAAATGTAACACATAAAACCATAAAAACTCTAGAAGAAAACCTAGGCAATACCATTCAGGACATAGGCATTCGCAAAGACTTCATGACTAAAACACCAAAAGCAATGGCAACAAAAGCCATAATTGATAAATGGGATCTAATTAAACTAAAGAGCTTCTGCACAGCAAAAGAAAATATCATCAGAGTGAACAGGCAACCTACAGAATGGTGGAAGCAATCTATCCATCTGACAAAGGGCTAATATCCAGAATCTACAAGGAACTTAAAGAAATTTACAAGAAAAAAACAACCCCATCAAAAAGTGGGTGAAGGATATGAACAGACACTTCTCAAAAGAAGACATTTATGTGGCCAACAAATACATGAAAAAAAGCTCATCATCACTGGTCATTAGAGAAATGCAAATCAAAACCATAATGAGATACCATCTCATGCCAGTTGCAATGGTGATCATTAAAAAGTCAGGAAACAACAGATACTGGAGAGGATGTAGAGAAATAGGAGCACTTTTACACTGTTGGTGGGAGTGTCAATTAGTTCAACCATTGTGGAGGACAATGTGGCAATTCCTCAAGGATCTAGAACCAGAAATACCATTTGACCCAGCAATCCCATTACTGGGAATATACCCAAAGGCTTATAAATCATTCTACTGTAAAGACACATGCACATGTATGTTTACTGCAGCACTGTTCACAATAGCAAAGACTTGGAACCAACCCAAATGCCCATCAATGATAGACTGGATAAAGAAAATGTGGCATTATATATACCATGGAATACTATGCAGCCATGAAAAAGGATGAGTTCATGTCCTTTGCAGGGACATGGATGAAGCTGGAAACCATCATTCGCAGCAAACTAACACAGGAACAGAAAACCAAACACCACAAGTTCTCACTCATAAGTGGGAGCTGAACTATGAGAACACATGGATACAGGGAAGGGAACATTACACACTGGGGCCTGTCGGGGGTTGGGGGCTAGGGGAGGGATAGCATTAGCAGAAGTACCTAATGAAAATGATGGGTTGATGGGTGCAGCAAACCACCATGGCACGTGTGTACCTATGTAACAAACCTGCACGTTCTGCACATGTATCCCAGAACTTAAAGTATAATTTAAAAAAAAGAAATGCACAGTCTTCTCTGTCATCTCATCGTGTTGTTGTGAATATCAAATGAAATCAATATATGTGAAAGCATTATTGAAATATAGGTTTTAAAAGTAATAGCCAATCTCTTTATGCTATTATTGCTAAGAGTCATGCTTTTAATTCAAATGAATTACACAAATAATTTTTAGGTTTTATTTTTGAATTGTAGGATGGCATCTGCCAATGGATAGATTTGACTGCAAGGCATCCTGAGACATCCTTGGCCTGGAGGATGCCTTGTTGGGAGCTGAAGTGCAGGAACTGATGCAGCTGTAAGGGCGAAGCCATGAAAGGGTATGGCTGGTATCTACAGGGTTTATTGAGAATATTCACTTTATTCTCAATAAATACTAATACTGAGCTTAAACCTATCAGACCTAATATCCCCTCTTCCCAACAGACATTTTGTAGTGCCCTTCTTACTCTCACAGATAATATAACTTGTAGGTAATACAATATCTCTACATACTTAATTTCATATAGAAAATAAATTAATATAATGCCCTAATTTTTATATAAAGGTTTAAAAGTGTAAAATAATTAAAAGTAACATAATATGTAGTTAATACCTAAGGGCTTGAGCTTGGTTACACTAAAAGACATAATAAAGTAGTCAGATGCTTGTAGCTACATGAAGAATGGAAACTGCAAATGCAGACCGTTACAGGAGCTTTGTACTTGTCACTCAAGTAGCAAGAATGTCATTATAGTGTTGGTGAAGTGATTTTCAGGGTGGTGAACAATTTTTGGTAAAGTTTCCTCCCCATGATTTACAGGCTAGAGACTGTCCTGGAAAATTAGTTGCATATTAAAACTTGCTGCAAAAAGTACTTTGAGATTATGTGTGAAACAGTTAGCTTCTAGGCTCAGATACTAACAGAGAGGTTTTCCATCTGTGTGAGTGTTCGAGAACACAGTACAACTAATCCTTGGGTGGATTACACAGTGCATTCATTGTGGGATGTCTATTTTCTCTGGCCCCCACACTCTAAATGCCAGTAAACATGGGGTGATGCTGTAGAAGGAGGCAGATGTTACTGTTATGACAACCAAATATATCATCAAGAGTTTCTGAAACATTCTACTGGGGCAGAACCATCCCATCTGAGAATCAATGATCTAAGGCAGGAGTCCATATAGCAGCTTGGGCATGTCAATAGTAAAGAAATGTCACCCAGCCACTGACTGGATGTATAGGGAATGGAAACCAGCCCTGAAGTGTGCAGGTGGCAATGGCTGGCCAGAGTATCAGAGCTCAACCAAACAGGCTAGGGTTCCCGTGAGAGCTCTAGTGGAGAACAGGAACCCCAGACAGAAGTCAGTTGAATGGATTAGACTCAGGGCTGGCAGCAGGTGGAATTAAAGGGAACACTGCAGTGTAACAGATATGCAGTTGCCCTGGGCTTATAACCCACTGAAGCCCGCGGTAATGGCCGCAAGATTAATTCCAGACTCTCAAATACTTCTGGTGCTAAGCCTAGTGATCTTGATCAGCCTTGGTCCAGACTTGCTCAGGAACTTCAGAGGGCTATGGTCCTAGACCTAAGGCATTGTGGAGTCTCACCCTGAAGACTTCGGGAGAAGGCATGCGCTGAAAACTATGGACCTAGACACATTGGAAGAAAGTTACCAAAAAAACCATGTGTTGGCTCAGTATTTGGAAGCTCTTAAAATGAAATGATCTGCCTTGTAAAATGGTGACCTACTGAGGAGTAATAATCTTTTATGTTTACAAAGGGATTTCATGTCTGCTACCAAGTTTCGTGTACATTATCTTAAATCAATCATGCCTTCTCTTGCCCAGCAGTCTCATATTGTTCTGGATCATTTATTGCTAGCCATCTAGTGAGTTTATTTACACTGCGGTAGTAGGTTCTTCACATATTATCTTCTAGAGTCATTAGTGTTTAGAAGAAAAGGCCAATGCTTATCTCAGTAGTCTGGACTGGATTTTCGTATTGCTGTGCTTCAGAATCCCCTGGAGAGATTATATATATATATCTCAATGCCCAGGGCCTACCTCAGGCTATTTAGATTCAGAAGATATGATTGTGGAATATGTATTTTTTTAAAGTCCCACAAGTGATCCTTTGTGTAATTCAGGTTAAGAACAACTTTCTTATACATAGATTTTTTTTCATCCATGTTAGAATATAAATGTCTTCAGTGAGGAATTCAGTTAACATGCTCTGTAACACTAGATCAGTGCCAGACACAAAGTTCTTCCTTGATAAATGTTTGTTGAATCTTTGGTTAATATGAAATTTTAGGCACTGTGGCTCGTGTTTATGTGCAGCATGTTGGAGCAGTGTGAGGCTTTTCTAACACTTCTCAATTTTTTACCTTACAGGCAATGGTTTGCTTCCAGCAGATTTAAGTCTGATCGTAATCCTACCTCCTTCATGAGTTAATCATATCCCTCCCTCCCTCCTTCTCTCCCTCCTTCCCTCCGTCCTTCTCTCTCTTCCTTCCCTCCTTCCTTCCTTCTCTTCTTCCCTCTCTCCCTCCCTCCCTCCGTCCCTCCCATCCATGCATCCATCCATGCATCCATCCATGCATCCATCCATGTATCCATCCATCCATCCATGCATCCATCCATCTGTCCATCCATTCACATCCATCCATCAGTCTGTCTGTTATGGACTGAACTGTGTCTCTCATCAAATTCATATTTTGAAGCCTTAACCCCAAGGTGATAGTATTTGGAGTTAGGACCTTTAAGGAGATAATTAAGGTTAAATGAGCTTAGAAGGGTGGGGCCATAATCTGATACCTTATACAAACAGGAAGAGACACCAGAGAGCTCATTTCATTCTTTCTCTGTGAGTGCACAGAGAAAAAGTCATGTGAGCATTCAACAAGAAGGCAGTGACCTGCAAGCCAGGAAGAGAGGCCTTGCTACATACTAACCCTGATGACACCTTCGTCTTGGACTTTCAGCTAGCAAAAGTATGAAAAAATAAATTTCTATTGTTTAAGCCACCGGTTTGTGGTTTTTAAGGTAGCCTGCTATGGTCTGAATGTTTGTGTAAACCCCAGATTCATACATCGAATCCTAATCCTCAATGTGGTGGTATTGGAAGGTGGGGAAAGTAGTTAGGTTATGAAGGGCAGGTCCCTCAGAAATAGGATTACTGCCCTTGTAAAAGAGGCCCCAGAGAACTCTCTTGCCCCTTTTGCCATGTGAGGACACAGCAAGAAGTTGCCATCTGTGAACCAGAAAGTGGGCCTTCACCAAACAAGAGATATGCCAGGGCCTTGATGCTGGACTTCCCAGAATCCAGAGCTGTGAGAAATGTTTCTGTTGTTTATAAGCTACCTGGTTTATGGTATTTTGTGATAGCCAGCTGAATGGATTATGACATAGCCCAAGGAGGCTAATACACTATCTATCCTCTGTCAATCATCTTTTACCAGTGTGCAGCAATTTGTCAGGCAGATAGTAGCTTCTTTCCCATTAACTCAAAGGCATCCCAGAAATGATTGAGTTTTTGGAATTATTATTAATAACAATTCCAGGCACTAAAGTTCCTGTTATTATATGTGAAAAGATGTGGATGGCATAAAGGATTAGGTGACCTAGGTATTTTTCAGGATTGAGGCTTGAGTGACAGGCAGTTTAATAACACATCTGCTGACATCTGGTACTGCTAATGAGATATATTTTTTGAACCCTGGGATTGAGTATCTTGAGTAACTCATGAGGTCAAAGGAGAGCCAATGTCTTCAGGCAGTTTTATACATAGTAAGTTTAATAAGATTTTTATTTTTAGGAGCAGTGGCTGTGCTTTACTTTCTGATAATTTATGAGAATAACAAATTGAGACAATAAGGCTGAGAAGCTGAGAATTTGTGAAGCATTAATTTTAGTTTATTGTCTCATTGCATTTTTTGTCAGTAGACTCATTTCCTCTCATTTTTACACTTACCAGTGAGCTTAACACCTTTATAATGGATTACATGCCCAATGATAAAGGACTAGACAGTCATTTTCTCTCCCTTACAATTCTGTTTAATAAGACTAAATTATACCCAAAGAGTTGCCTTTTCAGACCACCTTTTATGAGCTCTAAGAATGTAACAAGAAAAGGATCTGACTTTATGAACCTATCTAGGTGGAGTTGTAAGTCAATGCCAAGTGGTTGTATGTGAAAATCTTTAGATTGCAGTTAGATTTTCGGTTGAGTGAAAATGTTTCCCTGGGGATTTCAATTCAAAGAATTATTATTCTACTTATACATTATCTATGTGTCTGTCTATTTCCCTTGAGAGTTCGTATGTGCATGTTATCTCTCTATCACCTTTAGCGCCTAGCTTTCCATAGAAAAGGTCATTCATTCATATTTATCAAACATATAATTATTTAGAAGCCTACCATTTTTAGACTTGTTTGGGAGATAGACATGTATGTAAACAAGTAATTCAAGTAACCTCTTGCAAGAGATGTAAAAGTTGTTATAGGAGCCCAAAGGAGGAGGTAATTAACTCTCCCAGGGAGGTTGGAGAAGAGGTAATATTGGAGATGTATCAGGAGGGACAGTGGGGAGTTGGCATAGAGGAAAAGGGCAAGGCCTTTCCTGACAGAGGGCATGGATATAGGCAAGGAGGACACAGTGATGCTCTTTAGAGGGGCTGGGGAACACAGAGATTACCTAAATGTGTACAGCTGTGAGGATGCTTTACCATGATAGGTCTGTGTAAAAGCAAAGGCTGTTTTGCTTTTGATGCGCAATATCTTTCATTCTGTATGCTGGCTCCTCCTCAAAGATGTTGTTCACATCCCTGCCTTTGTTTTCATGGTTCCTTCTGCCTAAATACCTCTTACTCATCCTTTGGGGCCTAGCTCTTCTGTGAAACTTTTTAACACTTTCTTAGCAGAATTTATTGCTCCCTCTTCTATGTTCCCATAGCACTGTGCTCACATTGCTATGCAAGTATCATATGGGTATTGTTCATGTTGACGTTTTCCTTACTGGACTGTGAGGTCTTCAAGTGCTGATACTATATATTGTTTTCTTTTTGTATTCTTATTAGCATAATGACTGGCAAACAATATGTATTTAAAACATGAAGAATCAGTACGGATGACCCCCTTAATGTTCCAGACAGAATTATTTTTAAAAGAGAAGTAGCTTGGCTCATTGGGAAGAGGCCTGTATGAGGATACTAGAAACTGAAATCTAACTTCACTTTGCTTCTTGGTGCTAACCAGCTGTATGGCAACAGGCTTGCCCCTTAACCTGCGGCTGCATCTTCGCTCA
This sequence comes from Homo sapiens, assembly GCF_000001405.40. Taxonomy (NCBI): domain Eukaryota; kingdom Metazoa; phylum Chordata; class Mammalia; order Primates; family Hominidae; genus Homo; species Homo sapiens. The sequence continues at coordinate 3,989,063 of NC_000003.12, read as the reverse complement.
TATGGATAGAGCAGTAGCTTATCAGCATAAACCCAGGAGATGGAGTGAAATGATCTTCTGTGATTCCTTCTGACTCTAACAGCTGGAATTTAAAATGTATCTGATGAATTGATTTTATATTTACTCATATTTTCTTCATTTTCCTTTGAAGTGTCAGGAGACTTTATTATTTATCTGCTTAACTGTTCTCATAAATAACACATGGAGGTTTTTTATTACTAGATATTAGTGAAGGAAACTAAAATCCTGAGTTTGTGCTCAGAATAGTCATAGAGTCAGAATGGATACTTGGAGCATCTTGAGAATATCTTGCTGTCTCTAGACAGTTCTCAAACTATTCTCCAACTGACTTTGTGCAAAAGTAATTGTATGTTGTTTTCTCTAAACTGGTATATTAACATACTATCTCCAAAAATTTTCTTTTTGAGTTGAATTTCTAATGAATTGATTAGCAGCAGATGGTCAGAATCTAGGAAAATAATAATAAATTATTTTGTCAGTATTCACAGTGAACATCCTTTGAGATACTGAAGGAAAAAGGAAATAACTCAGAAATTATTTTTCATCTGTTTGTTGTAATCAGGAAAACATGGCCAACTAAGTATATCAGGTAAAAACATGATTTTATAAACTATTATGTGATTCATCAATGAAGTATTAAAACAAAGCAAACATTTATAATATTGTTCCAATAAGCACATAAATAACTTCAGCTGTTCTGATAACTGAGAAGATTATGAATCTATTCTTGAAAATTATTAATTTTTATTAAGTGATATTGTGAACTGAGCCCTGTAGTAATTAACACAAACACAACCTGTGGCTCTTGGGCATTAAGGGGCTTTTCAGAGCTTTGTCTGAAAATGGTGGTCTGCAGTGAGAATAGCAGTTGAGAGCACGCAGAGGGCTGACTGGGTAGGATAGGGCTGCAGAAACAGCCCTCAGCTTCTGTGTGTTCGAAGGTAATGGCAGCTTAACCTGAGAAATGAATGGTGTCTTGTTATGAGAGAGACCTATTTTTTTCCTCTATGTCCCAGAAGAGAATAGCTACGTCACAGATATTAGTCTTCCTTGTCTTTAGGGGAGTATTTAGAGGCTTTGTTTTGATGTTGCAGTGTCCTGTAGGGAGGAAGAGGCTAGGCTCCTTTACCAGCTTGCCAGCTTGCTAACCTGTTTAGAAGGGAAGGTGGGGTATAGATACTAACCTCTCAAGACCCAGGCCAGAGTCTAGCTAGATTTAACACCTTCAGCTGGATACAATGACCACCTGGACCAGGTAATCTTTTCACATGCATAATTTAAAGTATTATTTCAATAGTTTTTTGATTATAAAAGTAAAACATTACTATTGCAGGAAACTTGAAAAGTATAAAATAGAAAGTTCAAACAAGAAAATTAGAAACACCCCAAATCCTACCACTCAGAAATACCCACTGTCAATATTCTACACACTTCAACATAATTGAGATCCTAGTTTGTATACAATTGTTTGTTGCCGAACATTACGTCATAACCACTTGTTAAACCTTTGAAAATACTTCTTAAGCATTATTTTTAATAGCAGGTTTACACAGAAGAAGATTCTTAGTTTATATAACATATCCTCTATTGTTGATATTTAGATTGTTTCAAAATTTTTCTGCTTCTATATTCTGTTCAAAGAATGACTTTCTTCATAAAGTTTCTTTACTCTTTAGATATTTTGGTAGGATGATTTTCTAGCAATAGATTTATGTCAAAAGATATGGATGTTTTTTAGACTCCCAGTATGTACTATCTTTATAGAACTATTATGTTGCTGTATCCTCTGTTTAATTTTTGTGTTTCCTCTTACGCTTTTCCGATAGGGTGCAAGATTTTCTGACACTGAGAATGACTATGTCCACCAACGCTAGGCCAACCACTCTAGTGCCAATCAACTGATTAATGACGGTCCTTTGACTTTGACTTAGACCCTGTGAGAGATTTTATAAGAAGTGAAACATATGGTTGTGTTGTAGAAGTTTATAATCCAGCAAAAGTAATGCATGTGGAAAAATTCACAAACAATTCAAGATAGAATCTCTGTAACCCTTCTTTGTAGGACACATGTGCAATAGGAATCTGAGGTCTCTACAATGTATATTCCCAATGATTATTGTGATCAATCCTGGGGCACCATCTATTCTAGGTTTCAGGGAGCAATTTCTTATTCTCTCTTTTCAATGAAGGTGTCTCGACATACCAACCGTTCATATCATGTTCATAGCGTGATCTTGAACACAAAACCACACAGCCTCTCATTCTGGAAGGGCAAGAAGCTGAGCCTCTGCTAGGAAGTGTTTCTCTGTCAGACTCTCCAGCTAGAGTCTAGCTGCTCTTTCCAGAGGCAGCTCCAGGCGAAGGACTTTCTTGTTGTTTGTAGCCACAAGTCCGACAACTACTTTCCATGGTGTCTCTCTTCAGGGGTGTTACTATTCAGCATTGCTCTTGCATATCCTCCCATCAGAGTAGTTCAATAGACTCTTTGGTGTCTGCTGAAGTCTGGCTTTCTGGGCTCCCTCTCAAAAACGGCATATTTAGCCTTACTCTTGGCATCACCTCTGCAGGGCGTCGGACAGCACTGCACCCATGGCTTTGCATAAGTTCTCAACCCTTCAGAGGAATGAAGGAAGCTGCAATTGCCCCCAATTCATAAGCCAAGGGTCTAGGCACTGCCTTCTTGTTGAATGCTGACCAACATTCAAATTTAAGTATTCTTGCCTATCTGATAAGCAAAAATGTTCCTGATGTTTTAACTTGGAAGAAATTATTTCAATATCATGATTTCCATAATTTCTATCATTTGGTGTTCTTATAAAAGCTATCTCTCATCTTATTCTGGAGATCTTTCCTTCACATAGGAACCTCTACATGACACAGAAAAGAAAAGATAGATGGGCGGCGAGAGTCTAGATTTATATTCTAGCTGTTATGCATGGTGAGGCCAGCTTAAGAAACACGTGGCTTTTGAAAGACTTTCCATTGTATAAGGAGCAGACCAGACTTTTAACCACAATCCAGAGACTTTTAACTTCACAAAGATATGGCATTTTATTTTAATAAAGCTATCGAGAGAGCTCCCTTTTCGAGTGACTTTTCAAACGCATCTTTTGTCAGCAGAGGGCTTTTATTAGCTAATGTAACCTTTCTGTACTCCATGTTAGCAGAGAGAGAAAGGAAATGTCCTTGGGTTCCAAATGTGGAAAGTTGTGCAGAGACTCTCAAGGAGAAAGAAGTTTTCCGCTTTCCAAAGCTGCATTTGTCACTCGCTGTTGTATCGTAACTGAAAGTAATGAACTTTCCGATGCTACTGTCCAGAAGGTAAAGGTTTACAAGATTATGCCTCTAAACTGGCAATTGCATAAAAAGAGATCACCAAGGATTAAAATGTAGAGACCAAGTAAAAGTGTGAATTTAGCTGTGAGTGATAACTTGTAGAGACTCAGCTATAAAATACCTGAAATGGGGGGAGTTAGGCAAGACCTAGGAGTGAGGAGTGAGAGTAACAGTCTTGGCTGTGGAACAGGGTAGCTAGATGTTTAGGGCTTAATCCGAGCCACTACTGATAATTAAACAGCATCGATAAACTGAAGGAGCATGGGGAAGGAGTATGGATTGTGGGCTCCGGGTGCAATTCATGTGGGGTGTCGGTGTTGTGGTTCCATTAATCAGTCGTTTGATGGAAGAGCTCAGTCAGTAGTGGAAGAGGCTGGTGGCAGGGGCTTTGACAGGTCTTAGGACACTGGGAAAATAGATTGAGATTCTAGAGCAGGGCTAGTGCAGTGTGGGATCTGAACGTGTTGTCAGGACTGAGCCCAGCCCTTTGATTACAGTCAACATAGTAGGAATGGAGAAAGTCACACCTAAATGGGAACCTGAACCAGGGCTTCATTTCAAAGCCCATGGAACAGATAGGGAAGGGTGACTAATGACTTTTCTACTGTTGCAGACTGGCTTACAAACTGAGTAAGGCACAAAAGGAAGAACTGGTGTTGATAGCAAAGTGTCATCAGAGAAGGCAGGAAGGACACCCTGTCATACTGCCCGTTGGCTCCCCAGATATCACTATTTTTTTTTCCTCATCCTTGTTAGGAACTGGCAGGTAGTTGTGCTTGATGTCTATTAGACTTCATTTCAATTTTGAGGTCCATAATTCAATGGGGATAGATATAAAAAGGCTTCCTTTTTCATTAAAAGGGTAATTACCTCGTTATCAGAGTGCTGGAAAGATGAGAGCTCATGGATTTTTCATAAAATTATAAGTTTATAAGGAGTCGGGTGAAGTCATCTTATTCTGTCCTCAAGCCAGGGACAAATCTAATTCACCCTTGATGGATGGGACATTGTTTAACAAGGATCTCTAGAGAATAAGCGTTGATAACTTTCAGTATTTTGCAACCTTCAGTTGTGTTATTTCTTCTATCCTGTTGAATATATTGACACAGAATGGAAGTCCATAATTTTTTTGTTCTCTTTGGGTAGAAAGAATAGTGTTATAAATGTACTTCATTTTCATTATGTTAAAGAATACTTATCAAATGCCTTGTATGTGCTTGGTGCCAGATACAGCTGTGACACAGGGAAGAAGACAGACTTGATCCCTGCTGTCATTTAGCTGTGAGACTCATGAGGGATAATAACCAATAATCACATCAGTAAATGACTACAAATTGTAATAAGTGCTGTGAAGGAAACACTAAGGCATTGCTACAGAGGATAACAGGAGGAAGCTAAGACCTCACTGAGCCTGTGGCTCCGGCCGCTGAGTGATGGTCCCTTCTGTCTGCCAGGGTGGGATCGGGCACTCATCCAGTTGCAGGTGCGAGCACTATTGAGTAGCACAGGGTCTCAAGCTGTGGCCATGGACTTGGGCAACAGGAAATTAGAAATATCCTCTGGAAAGCTGGCCAGATTTGCAAATGGCTCTGCTGTAATACAGTCAGGTGACACTGCGGTAATGGCCACAGCCGTCAGTAAAACAAAACCTTCCCCTTCCCAGTTTATGCCTTTGGTGGTTGACTACGGACAAAAGGCTGCTGCAGTAGGTAGAATTCCCACAAACCCTCTGAGAAGAGAGATTAGTACTTCTGATAAAGAAATTCTTACACGTTGAATAGTAGATTGTTCAGTTAGACCTATCTTTCCAGCTGGCTACTTCTGTGATATACAGGTTCTGTGTAATCTGTTAGCAGTAGATGGTATTAATGAACTTGATGTCCTAGCAATTAATGGCAACCTCTGTAGCCCTCTCATTATCAGATATTCTTTGGAATGGACCTGTTGGGACAGTATGAATAGGAATGACTGATGGAGAATGTGTTGTTAACCCAACAAGAAAAGAAATGTCTTCTAGTACTTTAAATGTAGTGGTTGCTGGAGCACCTAAAAGTCAGACTGTCATGTTGGAAGCCTCTGCAGAGAACATTTTACAGCAGGACTTTTGCCACGCTATCAAAGTGGGAGTGAAATATACCCAGCAAATAATTCAGGGCATCCAGCAGCTGGTAAAAGAAATTGGTGTTACCAAGAGGACACCTCAGAAGTTATTTACCCCTTCACAAGAGATTGTGAAACATGCTCATAAACTCACTATGGAGAGACTCTATGCAGTTTTTACAGATTATGAACATGATAAAATTTCCAGAGATGAAGCTGTTAACAAAATAAGATTAGATACAGAGGAACAACTAAAAGAAATATTTCCAGAGGTCGATCTATATGAGATAATAGAATCCTTCAATACTGTTGCAAAGAAAGTTTTTAGAAGTATTATTTTGAATGAATACAAAAGATGCGATGGTCGGGATTTGACTTTACTTCGGAATATAAGTTGTGAGGTAGATATGTTTAAAACCCTTCATGGATCAGAATTATTTCAAAGAGGACAAACACAGCTGCTTTGTGCTGTTACATTTGATTCATTAGAATCCAGTATTAAGTTGGATCGAGTTATAACAACTATAAATGGGATAAAAGATAAAAATTTCATGCTGCACTATGAGTTTCCTCCTTATGCAACTAATGAAATTGTCAAAGTCACCGGTATAAATAGAAGAGAACTTGGGCCTGATGCTCTTGCTGAGAAAGCTTTGTATCCTGTTATTCCCAAAGATTTTCCTTTTGCCATAAGAGTTACATCTGAAGTCCTAGAGTCAAATGGGTCATCTTCTATGGCATCTGCATGTGGTGGAAGTTTAGCATTAATGGATTCAGGGCTTCCAATTTAATCTGCTGTCACAGGTGTAGCAATGGGATTGGCCACCAAAACCGATCTTGAGAAGGGTGAAATAGAAGATTATCATTTGCTAACAGATATTCTGGGAATTGAAGCTTACAATGGTGACATGGACTTCAAAATAGCTGGCACTAATAAAGGAATAACTGCATTACAGGCAGATATTAAATTACCTGGAATAACAATGAAAATTGTAATGGAGGCTATTCAACAAGCTTCAGTGGCAAAAAGGAGATTTTACAGATCATGAACAAAGCTATTTCAAAACCTCAAGCATCTAGAAAAGAAAATGGACCTGTTGTAGAAACTGTTCAGGTTCCATTATCAAAATGAGAAAAATTTGTTGGACCAGGTGGATATAACTTAAAAAACTTCAGGCTGAAACAGTTGTAACTATTAGTCAGGTGGATGAAGAAACGTTTTCTATATTTGCACCAACACCCGGTGCTATGCATGAGGCAAGAGACTTCATTGCTGAAATCCGCAAGGATGATCAGGAGCAGCAATTAGAATTTGGAGCAGTGTGTACTGCCACAATAACTGAAAGCAGAGATACTGGTGTAATGGTAAAATTATATCCAAATATGATTTTGGTACTGCTTTATAACACACAACTTGATCAATGAAATATTAAACATCCTACTGCCCTAGGATTAGAAGTTGGCCAAGAAATTCAGGTGAAATACTTTGGATGTGACCCAGCTGATGGAAGAATGAGGCTTTCTCATAAAGTGCTTCAGTCTTCAGCTACAACTGTTGTCAGAACTTTGAATGACAGAAGTAGTATTGTACTGGGAGAACCTATTTCACAGTCATCATCTAATAATTCTCAGTGATCTTTTTAAAGAGAATTCTAGAATTCTATGTTTTCTAGGGTAATGTGCTATAGAGCAAAATTTTAGTAGTATCTTCCGTTGTGTAGCTGTGTATACAGTATAAATATATTCTAATTATTTGTATTAAAATGCTCATTTACATGTGCCAATTTTTAAATTCAAGAGTAACCCATATTCGCTTAATCTTATTTACATTATAAATCAAGAAATATTATTAAAAGTAAGTCATCCATACATCTTAGAAAAGATTACATACTTTTTTTTCTATAATTCTGAAATATATGAAAAACTTAGATATATGTCATATATGTTATTATAACAGATCTCTTCCTATATCTCATTTGTCTTCTTTATATACAGTAGTGACAATTTACCCTCAGTCATCCTATAGCTCACCTCTTTGCCCAACAACTTTACTTGCCTACGACTGTTCACAAACTGGAACAGGCCATATTCAAAGCCAGTGCCTATTTCTTCAGAATGGTTACTAGACATAGTAAGTTGAGGGAGCTAATCTGATACACTTTTAATAATACGATGCCTTCCAAGTTGGTTACAAAATCATGAACATAGTGGAATAAATATAAATGAGATTCTAACTAGGATGAGGTAGTAATTATGTATATTTTTCAAATTTACCTAAACATAGGAAAATTATTTACTTGTCTAATTGAACTAGGTCACTTTTTGAATATGTATATTGCTCTAATGTATGGAAGTTCTTAGTATAAGAGCTGGAGGAATCATCACTTTCAGTTAATAGATGTTTGAAATAGATGTTTAGAGGTTACTGATATACATGTCAACTTGTTCATTCCCATCATTTAAAATATCACCTTATAATTCCACACAAAAGTAAATGGTATGTGGACGTCATAATTTAGAATATGTTATCTTTTTAAAAATCTTATAAAAATACACCGGACTCAGTGGCACATGCCTGTAGTCCCAGCTACTTGGGAGGCTGAGGTCGGAAGATCACTTGAACCCAGAAGTTCAACACTGTAGTGTGCAATGATCATGCCTGTGAATAGCTACTTCACTCCAGCCTGGACAACATAGCAGGACTCTATCTCTAAAAACAGTTTTAAATCTCATAAAAAATAAGTAAATCTGGCCGGGCATGCTGACTTGTGCCTGTAATCCCAACACTTTGGGAGGGTGAGGCGGGTGGATCACCTGAGGTCAGGAGTTCGAGACCAGCCTGGCCAACATGGCAAAACCCTGTCTCTACTAAAAATACAAAAATTAGCTGGGTGTGGTGGCAGGTGCCTGTAATCCCAGCTACTTGAGAGGCTGAGGCAGGAGAATCTCTTGAACCTGGGAGTTGGAGGTTGCAGTGAGCTGAGATCACGTCACTGCTCTCCAGCATGGGCAAAGAGAGTGAAACTATCTCAAAAAAAAAAAAAAAAAAAGTAGGTAAATTTATGACTCAGGGCTAACTAGTTCATAAAATATTAAAAGTTTAGCTGGTTAAACCAAAGATTTTAAAGATATGTATATTTATATCAAACATTGATCATGTATCTATTGTGTGTAAAACAGCATGTTAGGCAATGTTGATATACTTTCTGAAATATTAAAGATTAATTGAAATTGAAAGATTAAATTAAAAAAAATATGTCATTGAGATGAGTGATCAGGAAAGGCCTCTTTTTTAGAAGTGACATATAACATGAGCCCGGAATTATAAAAGGAACCAGCCTTTCACAATGAAAAGAGCACTCCTGACAGTGGGAGCAGCATGTACAAAGGTCCTGCACTAGAAAAAGCGTGGTATGTTTTGAGAATTTAGAGAGTTCAGTATACCAGGAGCAGAGGGGTCAAGGAAGAAGGTGGCACGCCATGAGATTAGAGAAGTAAGCGGACAAATAATGCCTGATCTTATAGGCAATGGTGAGGGGTTTGGATTTTATTGTAAACGGAATGTCTTTAAAAGATCACTCTGGCTACTGTGTGGCAAATGAACTGGAAGTGGAAAAATCAGAACAGAGAGAGAGGTTAGGAGGCAGTCCAGGAACAAGATGTTGGTGGCTTGGACTAAGGTGGGGTCAGAGAAAGTGGATAGATGTTTTCGAGATACACTTAGGAGGTCTTACTGATGGTTGGCTGTAGGGAAAGAGTAAAGAAAAGATACCAATTCAAGGCTGACACTGGTAAGATGATAGTTCCATCTAGTAGATAGAGAACAAGCAGGGAGGAACAAGTCTGTAGTGGGAAGGATGGGGGGTAGATGTTTACATTTGCACATGTTAAGTTTGAGCGGCCTGGGAGACCCAGAAATAGAACTGTTGATTCTAAGTCTGGAGTTCAGAGATGTCAGAACTGGAGAAATACGTTTGGATGACTAAGTCTGTCAATGAGAATAAAAGCTTGGGAAAAGAATGAGATAAGGAAGAGGAGGAGAGAGAAAGAAAGAGGCCCAGTTGTGAACTTTGAGAAACTCTTAACATCCCCCCACAGCCTTGAGAACAATTGGCAGAGTAGAGAGAGCACCAGACTCAAAAGGGTGTGGGTTCTAATCCCGTTTTAGTTTTAGACACTGACCTTGAGCAAGTAACTGCTTCTTCCTGAACTCAGGATCTACACTTTAAGGTAAAAATTATTCTCTAATTCTCTTCCATCACCAATATTCTGTAATTCTCTTGGTATTAGGCTCATTTTCCAATTACTTTGAACATATTCGTAACTCTCTTTACCTACCTTAAACTGTCATATCCAGAATACCCTTTTCTAATCATGATTTGAATTTTAGGTGCATTAAGTTAACATTCCTCTAAATCTTTCTCTTCTGCCAAATTGTGATTTTTTTTGTGGGGGTGGAGGGGCAGTTGTGCTTGTGCTTGTTGGCTTGTGCATTCCAATCCAATTTGGGCACAATGAGGCATCTGTGGCCCAATGGAGATTGGTATTGGTAGGCTTCCTTGTTCATTAAAAATGAACTTCTTTATTTTTGCCATTTCTGTTGAGCTCAATTTCCCAGTCTCTTTTAAATCAGCTTTAGAGATTTGAGGATTGCCAGTGGGGTGTGTTATTTGACCTCACTTAATATTTGTGTTTGGTTCAGATCATAAAGCAAACCAAATTGACTGCCTCTGCTCAGTACCCAATAGGACTTATAACCAGGCAAAATGTGGGTTGAAAGATGTATTCCCAATTGCAATGCAGTGGAAGTGTTTGTATTAAACAAAGTTTCAGAGAACTGCTTAAGGATCTCAGGGTGGTATGTGTTCTAGATATTTTTTTCTTAACAAATTAACACTGTCAAATTATTCAGGTTGAAATAATTTTTTAACAAAGTGCCTTTGCTGTCCTGTCACAGTGCTTTATTGCTAATTTTTCTCATGAGATGATTCTCCCTGTTGCTTTTGCCTTTGTCTCACAATGTACCATCTGAAACTGCTAAGAAAGTTGGAAAAATTAAAAAAAAAAAGACTTCATGCTAAAAAAAACCCCACACATTTCAGTGGTTAGTGAAAAATGATAGCTAAGATAGCAATTAGATGTCCTTTCCTTTTGACCTAATAAAGACTCTGAAACTGGCATTGGGTCATCTCAGCAAACAGAATTATTATAGTGATGACTTTCCTCCTATTATGGGTAAGGGCTTGTTAGTAATTTATCTTTACTACGTGTCCCCGTTTTCAGGATTCAAGCCTCTAGTCATGACTGATATGGTTATTAGAGACAAAAGAGGTTAGAGTAACTGAAAGCAATAATTCCTTGTTGCATCTTGGATTATTTGGCCAAATTAACAATGGTGTTAAATGCGTGATGCACTTAATGAATGTAGTGAGGTGTGAGCCAGTACCATGATTGTGCCCAGGTAAAATATAACATTATCAACCTGCTTTTGCATTTTTTTTTTCCTTCACGGTCCTAGATGGAAACCCTTTCAAATTCTCCAAAATAGATTCAGCTGGGGGAAACTTCAATGTCTGCTTTTATATGAGATAAATATTCCCAAATTGTTACTTTGACTATATTATTTACCTTTCCCCTTTTCTATCTTTTGAGAGTTGAATTGTGCCCCTTCCCAAAAAGAATATATCCAGTCCTAATCCCCAGTACCTGTGAATGTACCCCTATTTGGAGAAAAGGTATGTGCGGATATAATTCAGTGAAGGATCTCTAGATAAAATCATCGTGAGTTTACTGGGTGAACCCTAAATCCAATGACAAGTATCCTTATAAGAGGAGGAGAAGACATAAACAAACAGAGGATAGGATAAGGCCATGTGAAAAGAAGGCAGAAATTGGAGTGATTTGTCTGCAAGTGAACTAACATCAAGAATTTCAAACAATCACCAAAAGCTAGGAGAGAGTTATAGAATGGATTCTCCTTCAGAACCTTCAGAAGGAACTAGCCCTACCAACACTTTGGTTTTGGATTTCTGGTCTGTAGAAATGGGAAAGAATAAATTAATTTCTTTCTTTCTCTCTCTCTCTCTCTCTCTCACACTCTCATTTTCTCTCACTCCGTCACCCAAGCTGGAGTGCAGTGGTGTGATCTTGGCTCACTGCAACTTCCACCTCCTGGGTTCAAGTGATTCTCCTGCCTCAGCCTCTCAAATAGCTGGGAATATAGGCAAGTGCCAATCTTTCTTTCTCCCTCCCTCCCTCTTTCCTTCTTTCTTTCCTTCTTTCCTTCCTTCCTTCCTTCCTTCCTTCCTTCCTTCCTTCCTTCCTTCCTTCCTTCCTTCCTTCCTTCCTTCGTCTCACTCTGTCACCCAAGCTGGAGTGCAGTGGTGAGATCTTGGCTCACAGCAACTTCCACCTCCTGGGTTCAAGTGATTCTCCTGCCTCAGCCTCTCAAATAGCTGGGAATATAGGCAAGTGCCATCACACCTGGTTTATTTTTATATTTTTAGTAGAGACAGGGTTTTACCATGTTGGCCAGGCTGGCATCGAACTTCTGACTTCAAGTGATCTGCCTGCCTTGGCCTCCCAACATGCTGGGATTACAGGCATGATCCACTGCTCCCGGCCAGGAAGAATAAATTTCTATTGTGTTAAGTTTCCTAGTTTGTAATAATTTGTTACAACAGCCCTAGGAAACTAATACGCTACACTCTACCAATCATTCTGTAAGAGGCAGCACGCTGGAGTGAGAAAGACATTGGACTTCGAAAACAGCTTCTGAGCTTAATGCTTCTACCAGTAGCTGTGTGACCTTGAGTGTACTGCAACTCCACCCTGAGTCTCTGTTGCTTCATCTACAAAAGGGAAGGATGTGGACTTCCTTTTCAAGTTCTTTCTAGCTCTGTCCTTGCTCTCCCACCATAAAGAAACCCAGAAAATTGAACAAAATTTAAAATAATGATTTTTGGTTGTTGGACAACCGGTATTGTAGGACTGTGGCTCCTGAGAGAAGGACAACAGACAAGATAATTTCTAAGCTCACTCCAAGTTTAGCCTGAAGGTACTTTCTGGACTATGCCACAGAGAAATGAAACATAATCAAAGCCCAGCAGGACTTTTGAGTTGAAGGGATAAAATTGGAATTTGTGGAGAACAAAGTTACTGACATTTGTGGTACAGAGCACTAGGAGGAAAGAATTATGTATAAAAAATAGTTCCAGAAATATGCATAGGATTCTTCTTGAATTTTTGCTGAATGCTAAGATGTTCATGCAAATGGTGACGCTTCACGAGGTTGGGCAATGGAAGTGACTGGATAACTGTGAGCTAAACCTTTCCCAGATCTCACACAGGGCTGGGAGATGTTTCAGTTCCCACCACATTGGGAGACTGCACTGAACACCTCGTGCATTCATTAGAGATACCCAAAAGGGTAATGTCTCAGTAGGAGGACTAAATTAGCTCTAAGGTAAAGGCTACATTTGACTTATCTTAACAGATCATAAACATAAGCCTTTAAAATCTCATTTGCAAGAAATGTTTACTGCTTGCCAAAATAACCTTCAACAGTCTTTAGAAGAAGACAGAAAAATCCAGATATTCAGCAACGTAATGTTCATAGTGTTTTTCAACTAATTAAAAAGTACTAGACACTCTGAGTAGCAGGAAAATATGACCCATAACCAGGAGACAAATTAGTCAATAGAATCAGACCCAGGAATAATAGAAATAATGGAATTACCAGACAAAGATTTTAAAACAGCCATGTAAATATGTATAGAGATTTCAATTAAAATATGGACACAATGAAGTGACAAATGAAAAATACAGAAAAAATCAAATGGAACTTCTAAACTGAGAAACACAGTATCAGGAATAAAAAAACTAACTAGATGAGGATAACAGTTAATTGGACCCTCCAGAAAAAAAAGATCAATCATATAACTTAAAGACATAGTAGAAACTATCTGAACTAAAGCTCAGAGGAAAAATAAAGCTCAAAAATAATGAACAGGGCCTCAGTGACCCATGGGAACACAGGGTTCTAACATATGTAACTGGAATCCCAGAATGAAAAGATGGGACAGGAGATAGAAAATTAATGACTGAAAAATCCCCAAATTTGATGAAATCTGTAAACCTACAGATCCAAGAAGCTCAATGAGTCCCAAATAGAATAAGCATAAAAACACTATACTAATGTATATCACAATTACAATCAGAGATTCTTTAAAAGTCTTAAAAGCAGCCAAAGAAAAAGGCATCTTACAGAGAAACAAAGTAAGACATACCACTGATTTTTTGCTAGAAACAATGCAGTCTAGAAGATAATAAAATGGCATCTTTAATATCATGGGCAGAAAAAAATATGGTGACTTAGAATTCTATATCCCCAGTGAAAATATCCTTCAAAAGTGAAGGTAAAATGACACTTTCAGACAAACAAAAGCTGAGATAACTCATTCTCAGCCTTTCTGCACTAGAAGAAATCATAAAGAAAATTTCACTTCTCAAAAGAAGACATTTATGCAGCCAAAAGACACATGAAAAAATGCTTACCATCACTAGCCATCAGAGAAATGCAAATCAAAACCACAATGAGATACCGTCTCACACCATTTAGAATGGCAATCATTAAAAAGTCAAGAAACAACAGGTGCTGGAGAGGATGTGGAGAAATAGGAACACTTTTACACTGTTGGTGGGACTGTAAACTAGTTCAACCATTGTGGAAGTCAGTGTGGTGATTCCTCAGGGATCTAGAACTAGAAATACCATTTGACCCAACCATCCCATTACTGGGTATATACCCAAAGGACTATAAATCATGCTGCTATAAAGACACATGCACACGTATGTTTATTGTGGCACTATTCACAATAGCAAAGACTTGGAACCAACCCACATGTCCAACAATGATAGACTGGATTAAGAAAATATGGCACATATACACCATGGAATACTATGCAGCCATAAAAAATGATGAGTTCATGTCCTTTGTAGAGACATGGATGAAACTGGAAATCATCATTCTCAGTAAACTATCGCAAGGACAAAAAACCAAACACCGCATATTCTCACTCATAGATGGGAATTGAACAATGAGAACACATGGACACAGAAAGGGGAACATCACACTCTGGGGACTGTTGTGGGGTAGGGGGAGGGGGGAGGGATAGCATTAGGAGATATACCTAATGCTAAATGACGAGTTAATGGGTGCAGCACACCAGCATGGCACATGTATACATATGTAACTAACCTGCACATTGTGCACATGTACCCTAAAACTTAAAGTATAATAATAATAAAAAAAAAATTCAAGATGAAGGAAAATGCCAGAGGGAACTTTGGACCTCAAAAAAGAATGAAGAGTGCAAGACATAGTAAATATGTGGGAAAATATGCAAGACTTTCTTTCCTCATGTTTACATTTCTTTGAAAAAATAATTTTCTTTTTAGCAAAAATAATAATGCATTGTGCGGTTTATAACATAAGAGTAAAATATGATAATAGCACAAAGGAATGAGGGAGGAATGGAAGTATTCTGTTGCAGTGACTTGGTTATTACATTATGTATGAAGTAGTATAGTATTATTTGAAGGTAGACTGTGAAAAAATTAAGATGCCTATTGAAATCGCCAGAGTACTAGTTGCATTATTGTAATGGCCTCCTAACTAATCTCCTTGCTTCTGTCCTTCTCAATTCAGCAGCCAAGTTATATTGTGTCATACCTCTGCTCAAAACTTTCTGAGGACTGCCCACATCAGAGCAAAAACTGGTGTTTTATCAATCCATATATAATTTGGTCCAAAACTGCTTCTCTGACCTCATCTCTAACCTCTGCCCCATCACTGTCTCTACTGCAGACATGAATCCTGCTTACTGTTCTTTGAACATGGCTGGCAAGGTCCTTCCTCTCAGTCTTTGCTCTTGCTCTCTCTTTTCCACTACCACTCTTCTTCCCAAATATCTGGTTTACTCCCTTCCCTCCTTCAAATCTTTCAAACTTTGACTTTTCCTGTAATCTTCCATGAACGCCAATTTTAAATGGCAAGTCTACCATTTGCCCTTCTGGCAATTCCTATATCTCTTCCTGGCTTTATTTTATTTATAGTGCTTTTTATTTTCTAAGGTATTATAAACTTTACTTATTTGTTTAATTTATTGTCTGTCTCTGTCCCCAAAGTCTATTGCAACATAACCTTCACATGAGTAGGTGATTTTTTTTCCTGCTTAGTTCACTAATACATCCACAGGGCCTAGAATAGTGCCCAATATGTAGTAGGCACACAATAAGTATTTGATTGAATAACAGGATCCATGGCCAGTAAAGCCTGGGAACTCCAGGAAGAGCACCAAGACTCCTCTTTGCTGTTGCTGCCCCTCGGTGTTTGTCTGTGAATGCCAGCATGTAGAGTATAGCCCTTTCCCTGCCCTGTCAGCAATTTCCCAGTCATCTCCCGGTCCTCAAGGCTGCAAAAAATTGGGAAGACATTCCTTAGCACAGAAAGAGAGACTTGAGAGTCCTGCTCTAGGCTTTTTATTCACCCTGACAAATGTAACAACCTGCTTTTGTCTTTAAAGCATTTGTGTGTCTGGTGTCTGGAAAGTAGCCACTCTGAGAAGGCCTGTTTTTTTTTTTTTTTTTTTTTTTTTTTTTTTTTTTTTTAATTTCAAAGTGAACTTGTGGTCTTTTTTGGGTTTTGATTTTTATCTTTTGGAAAAGTCGGCGTCTGCAGCTGTGTTGCACTTGAGGCTTGGAATCTTTCATCCCTGACAGCAGGAGGATAAAAGGGGGCTTACCATGGTCTACTAAGGAGCCTTTCTTTAGCTTCAGGCAGCAGTGGATGTAAGCAAAGGCAAAATGACCACAAGGATCTTGCTTTTTGTTGGGGCTGGGGTTGAGGAAAGCATAGAGCCCATTTTGCCCTACACTAGTTAGTTTATTTTGCAGACACAGCACTTGTCTGTTTCCAAGTCTGCTTCTATGCCCCATGGATGGAGTTCTGGTGGGAAAGCCCAGAGCACTTTGATTCCAGCCTCAGTCTTTGGCAGCCAAGTTCCCTTGACATCCAGGGCACTGAAAGGAAAAGTCAGTACAAGACAAATGGGCAGACGTTGAATGGTCTAAGGTAAAGTTTGAGACTAAAGCCTGCTTCGCTAGTAATGAAAAAGTATCTTTTAGGTCATGCTTTTGCACCATATCTGAAGGTTAAAAGACTAGGTTGGTTATTTGTTGTTTTAAGCTGGCTTTATCTTTACATATGTCCAGAAAATGAATAGCGGTAGTTTCCATTAGTAAATTTAATTTTCTTTTGAATTGATTATCAAAATAGCAGTGCTTCTCCATTTCCCTAACATATTCAGCATAGCTAACCTTCTAGATTTATTTCTGTAAAGGTAGTGAATAAGGCTTTTCTGGGCTCAGGATTTTTGAGCATTTGCTAATGGTTAGACATGTTAGCTATTATGCCACTAGGCTACAAGCTAAGTTTTATCTTCTTTTCTTGACTCTTTCTTCTGTCCCCCAGTTCATTTCCTGGCATCCTGGAGGATAGCACTTTGTGAATTGGAAATTAAAAAGGCAGGTTAAGCTGGGTGTGGTGGC
Source organism: Homo sapiens (assembly GCF_000001405.40). Taxonomy (NCBI): domain Eukaryota; kingdom Metazoa; phylum Chordata; class Mammalia; order Primates; family Hominidae; genus Homo; species Homo sapiens. The sequence continues at coordinate 3,971,996 of NC_000003.12, read as the reverse complement.
TCATGCTTGTAATCCTAGCACTTTGGGAGGCCGAGGAGGGCAGATCACTTGAAGTCAGGAGTTCGAGACCAGCCTGGCCAACAGGGTGAATCCCTGTCTCTACTAAAAATACAAAAATTAGCCGGGCATGGTGGCGTGCACCTGTCCAAGTTTTCCCAGCTACTTGAGAGGCTGAGGCAGGAGAATCTCTTGAACCTGGGAGGTGGAGGTTGCAGTGAGCCGTGATCACACCACACCACTGCATTCCAGCCTGGGCAACAGAGCAAGACTCTGTCTCAAAAAAAAAAAAAAAAAAAGATGAGAAAAAAATCTGTGTTGATCTGTAGTTAGACAAGGGAAGAAGGGGCTTGACTAGAAAGTAAAGAATGCAATCAGGTTGGTGGCTAGGATAAGAGTGTTACCCATTGTGTCCCTTGCTTTAACTACCATCTTTCTTAGTTTACAATTAGAGATACTTTTATTTTTATTTTTATTTTTATTTTTTTTATTATTATACTTTAAGTTTTAGGGTACATGTGCACAATGTGCAGGTTAGTTACATATGTATGCATGTGACATGCTGGTGCGCTGCACCCACTAACTCGTCATCTAGCATTAGGTAGATCTCCCAATGCTATCCCTCCCGCCTCCCCCCACCCCACAACAGTCCCCAGAGTGTGATGTTCCCCTTCCTGTGTCCATGTGATCTCATTGTTCAATTCCCACCTATGAGTGAGGATATGCGGTGTTTGGTCTTTTGTTCTTGTGGTCGTTTACTGAGAATGATGATACTTTTATCCTCATAAGAGATTAGTTGCCCAAACAAGTTATGAAAGGTCTCAGATGATTTCAGTATACCTCTGATGCTTTAATTTTATTTTTAGACAAGATTCTTTTGGAAGCAGTGGACAGAAATCCAACTTACATTAACTTGAATAATAAAAGAGAATTTTTGGTTCACACAACTTTGAAGTGAACGTTTATCACAGTTTTAGGCACAGCCTGATCCAGAGGACCAAGCGAGGTTATCAAGACTTGGTCTGTCCCTCACCTCTGTTTGTCTGTGTGGATCTCATATTTTGTTATAGAATATAGGCTTTCTCTGTGTAATAGGGAAGATAGTGGGGCAGTGTTTGATTCACATCCTTCTGACCAGTGACTCAAAATCCAAGCCCTTCCTCCATTAGCTCCAAATCTAACAATTCTTGGGGGAGGAATCTGATGGAACCAATTGCATCCCACACCCAGCTTTGAGGACAGGAGGACTGAGTATTTTGATCCTCAGCCCTATTAGAATCTCCTATTTGAATGTGTGGAGACATTGTTTAATTAAGTTTGGATAGAGCTTTTACAGTTAATTTTTATTTTCTTCTGCTGCTTACAAGTGCATAAAATATCACTTTTGCATTGCCATGGTCTGAATAAGATGGTTATGTAAATAAGTTCTGACCCCAATATAAAGATTTAATAGTTTTATCTCATAATTATCATTTTGCATGGCATAATACACCTTGGGGCAGGTAGGGGTAGAATCATCTTAATTTTGCATTTAAGGAAACTAATCCTTTGACAGGTTAGAAACTCAGAAGCCTTAAGGAGAGCCAAGCAGAAGAGCAAACGCAATTGAATACACACTCTCTTTTATGTTCATTTTTGGGGGGCTTAACATTCTATGGGTAGAAATGAAATATTAAAATATAAGTACAGTACATATTTCATAATTTACCTTGTGTATTATCAACAGCAAAAATTAAAACTTGGACTGGGCTTCTCCAATTTTCCCCCTTGCTTTCCTTAATTTTTCTAACTTCCACTTTACTGTTTTGAGAATGCATTAGAGTCAATCAACCAAAAAGTATTTACCTTCTTTAGACCTAAAAGTTCTTAAAGGCAGTAGGCTTATCTTGATTTATAGTATGACCCACAGTAGTTAACAAAGACACTCACATGTAACAAGAAATAGGGGCTTAATGAATATATAAATGAGTAAGTTTAAATAAATGAGTACATGAATAAATAAGTGAAGAAAAAGAGCCATAGTCTCTTCTGATTTTCCTACTTTACTAGGCTTTCAGTATAAAAATCATGCCCAGCCACAAGAGAAAAGCAATTGCTTCATGCTTTTTCTTATTATTAGAGTTGTATTTTGCTATATTATGCCAAAATAATATTATTATAGTTACTTATTTTATTTCTAGGGTTGTATTTTGCTATATTATACCCAATGCTCTCATTTCAAGAAAAATATTGCAGCTCTTTATCCACTGCTGCATAACTAGTCACCCCAAAATTTGGTTGTTTGAAGCAACCATTTACTGTCTCTTGCTATTCTGTGAGTTGACTGTATACTGCTGGGTGGTTTTTCCACTACATGTAGTGTTAGTTGGGGCTGCAATGATCTCAGTGTTCAACAGCCCTAAGATGCATAAGATTGCTTACACACATGACTAGCTTTGGTGCTGGTTATTGAGGCTGTTGACTGGCACGTCCTGGTTCTGCTCCCTGTGGCCTCCTACATGGCTTGGGCTTCTCACTCCACAGTGGTATGGTTCCCAGAATATTCCAAGAAGGTGATAGCAAAAACAGCAGATCTCCTTTGTGCTAGCTTGGAAGTATCTTAGTCACTTCCACCACATTCCACTGGTCAAACCAAGTCACAGGGCAAGTCTATATTTAAGGGGAGAACAATACGTTTTGCCTTTCAATGAGCACAGTGACAAAGAATTTGCAACCATCTTTCTGCTACAGTGGCATTTCTTTAGGACAAAGATATTCACTGAATAAATTAATATACTCATGAATGAATGAAATATATAGGACATGTCTGAATTCAATCCTAGCTCCATCATTAATGTGTGGTCTGATCAAGTTATTTAAACTTGCTGAGACTCAGTTTTTTTTTTTTTTTTTTTTTTTTTTTATTATACTCTAAGTTTTAGGGTACATGTGCACATTGTGCAGGTTAGTTACATATGTATACATGTGCCATGCTGGTGCGCTGCACCCACTAATGTGTCATCTAGCATTAGGTATATCTCCCAATGCTATCCCTCCCCCCTCCCCCGACCCCACCACAGTCCCCAGAGTGTGATATTCCCCTTGCTGTGTCCATGTGATCTCATTGTTCAATTCCCACCTATGAGTGAGAATATGCGGCGTTTGGTTTTTTGTTCTTGCGATAGTTTACTGAGAATGATGGTTTCCAATTTCATCCATGTCCCTACAAAGGATATGAACTCATCATTTTTTATGGCTGCATAGTATTCCATGGTGTATATGTGCCACATTTTCTTAATCCAGTCTATCATTGTTGGACATTTGGGTTGGTTCCAAGTCTTTGCTATTGTGAATAGTGCCGCAATAAACATACGTGTGCATGTGTCTTTATAGCAGCATGATTTATACTCATTTGGGTATATACCCAGTAATGGGATGGCTGGGTCAAATGGTATTTCTAGTTCTAGATCCCTGAGGAATCGCCACACTGACTTCCACAATGGTTGAACTAGTTTACAGTCCCACCAACAGTGTAAAAGTGTTCCTATTTCTCCACATCCTCTCCAGCACCTGTTGTTTCCTGACTTTTTAATGATTGCCATTCTAACTGGTGTGAGATGATATCTCATAGTGGTTTTGATTTGCATTTCTCTGATGGCCAGTGATGATGAGCATTTCTTCATGTGTTTTTTGGCTGCATAAATGTCTTCTTTTGAGAAGTGTCTGTTCATGTCCTTCGCCCACTTTTTGATGGGGTTGTTTGTTTTTTTCTTGTAAATTTGTTTGAGTTCATTGTAGATTCTGGATATTAGCCCTTTGTCAGATGAGTAGGTTGCGAAAATTTTCTCCCATGTTGTGGGTTGCCTGTTCACTCTGATGGTAGTTTCTTTTGCTGTGCAGAAGCTCTTTAGTTTAATTAGATCCCATGTGTCAATTTTGTCTTTTGTTGCCATTGCTTTTGGTGTTTTGGACATGAAGTCCTTGCCCACGCCCATGTCACACTGAATGGTAATGCCTAGGTTTTCTTCTAGGGTTTTTATGGTTTTAGGTTTAACGTTTAAATCTTTAATCCATCTTGAATTGATTTTTGTATAAGGTGTAAGGAAGGGATCCAGTTTCAGCTTTCTACATATGGCTAGCCAGTTTTCCCAGCACCATTTATTAAATAGGGAATCCTTTCCCCATTGCTTGTTTTTGTCAGGTTTGTCAAAGATCAGATAGTTGTAGATATGCGGCATTATTTCTGAGGGCTCTGTTCTGTTCCATTGATCTATATCTCTGTTTTGGTACCAGTACCATGCTGTTTTGGTTACTGTAGCCTTGTAGTATAGTTTGAAGTCAGGTAGTGTGATGCCTCCAGCTTTGTTCTTTTGGCTTAGGATTGACTTGGCCACGCGGGCTCTTTTTTGGTTCCGTATGAACTTTAAAGTAGTTTTTTCCAATTCTGTGAAGAAAGTCATTGGTAGCTTGATGGGGATGGCATTGAATCTGTAAATTACCTTGGGCAGTATGGCCATTTTCACGATATTGATTCTTCCTACCCATGAGCATGGAATGTTCTTCCATTTGTTTGTCTCCTCTTTTATTTCCTTGAGCAGTGGTTTGTAGTTCTCCTTGAAGAGGTCCTTCACATCCCTTGTAAGTTGGATTCCTAGGTATTTTATTCTCTTTGAAGCAATTGTGAATGGGAGTTCACCCATGATTTGGCTCTCTGTTTGTCTGTTGCTGGTGTATAAGAATGCTTGTGATTTTTGTACATTGATTTTGTATCCTGAGACTTTGCTGAAGTTGCTTATCAGCTTAAGGAGATTTTGGGCTGAGACGATGGGGTTTTCTAGATAAACAATCATGTCGTCTGCAAACAGGGACAATTTGACTTCCTCTTTTCCTAATTGAATACCCTTTATTTCCTTCTCCTGCCTGATTGCCCTGGCCAGAACTTCCAACACTATGTTGAATAGGAGTGGTGAGAGAGGGCATCCCTGTCTTATGCCAGTTTTCAAAGGGAATGCTTCCAGTTTTTGCCCATTCAGTATGATATTGGCTGTGGGTTTGTCATAGATAGCTCTTATTATTTTGAAATACGTCCCATCAATACCTAATTTATTGAGAGTTTTTAGCATGAAGGGTTGTTGAATTTTGTCAAAGGCTTTTTCTGCATCTATTGAGATAATCATGTGGTTTTTGTCTTTGGCTCTGTTTATATGCTGGATTACATTTATTGATTTGCGTATATTGAACCAGCCTTGCATCCCAGGGATGAAGCCCACTTGATCATGGTGGATAAGCTTTTTGATGTGCTGCTGGATTCGCTTTGCCAGTATTTTATTGAGCATTTTTGCATCAATGTTCATCAAGGATATTGGTCTAAAATTCTCTTTTTTGGTTGTGTCTCTGCCCAGCTTTGGTATCAGAATGATGCTGGCCTCATAAAATGAGTTAGGGAGGATTCCCTCTTTTTCTATTGATTGGAATAGTTTCAGAAGGAATGGTACCAGTTCCTCCATGTACCTCTGGTAGAATTCGGCTGTGAATCCATCTGGTCCTGGACTCTTTTTGGTTGGTAAACTATTGATTATTGCCACAATTTCAGAGCCTGTTATTGGTCTATTCAGAGATTCAACTTCTTCCTGGTTTAGTCTTTGGAGAGTGTATGTGTCGAGGAATGTATCCATTTCTTCTAGATTTTCTAGTTTATTTGCGTAGAGGTGTTTGTAGTATTCTCTGATGGTAGTTTGTATTTCTGTGGGATCGGTGGTGATATCCCCTTTATCATTTTTTATTGTGTCTATTTGATTCTTCTCTCTTTTTTTCTTTATTAGTCTTGCTAGCGGTCTATCAATTTTGTTGATCCTTTCAAAAAACCAGCTCCTGGATTCATTGATTTTTTGAAGGGTTTTTTGTGTCTCTATTTCCTTCAGTTCTGCTCTGATTTTAGTTATTTCTTGCCTTCTGCTAGCTTTTGAATGTGTTTGCTCTTGCTTTTCTAGTTCTTTTAATTGTGATGTTAGGGTGTCAATTTTGGATCTTTCCTGCTTTCTCTTGTAGGCATTTAGTGCTATAAATTTCCCTCTACACACTGCTTTGAATGCGTCCCAGCGATTCTGGTATGTGGTGTCTTTGTTCTCGTTGGTTTCAAAGAACATCTTTATTTCTGCCTTCATTTCGTTATGTACCCAGTAGTCATTCAGGAGCAGGTTGTTCAGTTTCCATGTAGTTGAGCGGCTTTGAGTGAGATTCTTAATCCTGAGTTCTAGTTTGATTGCACTGTGGTCTGAGAGATAGTTTGTTATAATTTCTGTTCTTTTACATTTGCTGAGGAGAGCTTTACTTCCAACTATGTGGTCAATTTTGGAATAGGTGTGGTGTGGTGCTGAAAAAAATGTATATTCTGTTGATTTGGGGTGGAGAGTTCTGTAGATGTCTATTAGGTCTGCTTGGTGCAGAGCTGAGTTCAATTCCTGGGTATCCTTGTTGACTTTCTGTCTCGTTGATCTGTCTAATGTTGACAGTGGGGTGTTAAAGTCTCCCATTGTTAATGTGTGGGAGTCTAAGTCTCTTTGTAGGTCACTGAGGACTTGCTTTATGAATCTGGGTGCTCCTGTATTGGGTGCATAAATATTTAGGATAGTTAGCTCTTCTTGTTGAATTGATCCCTTTACCATTATGTAATGGCCTTCTTTGTCTCTTTTGATCTTTGTTGGTTTAAAGTCTGTTTTATCAGAGACTAAGATTGCAACCCCTGCCTTTTTTTGTTTTCCATTGGCTTGGTAGATCTTCCTCCATCCTTTTATTTTGAGCCTATGTGTGTCTCTGCACGTGAGATGGGTTTCCTGAATACAGCACACTGATGGGTCTTGACTCTTTATCCAACTTGCCAGTCTGTGTCTTTTAATTGCATAATTTAGTCCATTTATATTTAAAGTTAGTATTGTTATGTGTGAATTTGATCCTGTCATTATGATGTTAGCTGGTGATTTTGCTCATTAGTTGATGCAGTTTCTTCCTAGTCTCGATGGTCTTTACATTTTGGCATGATTTTGCAGCGGCTGGTACCGGTTGTTCCTTTCCATGTTTAGCGCTTCCTTGAGGAGCTCTTTTAGGGCATGCCTGGTGGTGACAAAATCTCTCAGCATTTGCTTGTCTATAAAGTATTTTATTTCTCCTTCACTTATGAAGCTTAGTTTGGCTGGATATGAAATTCTGGGTTGAAAATTCTTTTCTTTAAGAATGTTGAATATTGGCCCCCACTCTCTTCTGGCTTGTAGGGTTTCTGCCGAGAGATCCGCTGTTAGTCTGATGGGCTTTCCTTTGAGGGTAACCCGACCTTTCTCTCTGGCTGCCCTGAACATTTTTTCCTTCATTTCAACTTTGGTGAATCTGACAATTATGTGTCTTGGAGTTGCTCTTCTCGAGGAGTATCTTTGTGGCGTTCTCTGTATTTCCTGAATCTGAACGTTGGCCTGCCTTGCTAGATTGGGGAAGTTCTCCTGGATAATATCCTGCAGAGTGTTTTCCAACTTGGTTCCATTCTCCACATCACTTTCAGGTACACCAATCAGACGTAGATTTGGTCTTTTCACATAGTCCCATATTTCTTGGAGGCTTTGCTCATTTCTTTTTATTCTTTTTTCTCTAAACTTCCCTTCTCGCTTCATTTCATTCATTTCATCTTCCATTGCTGATACCCTTTCTTCCAGTTGATGGCATCGGCTCCTGAGGCTTCTGCATTCTTCACGTAGTTCTCGAGCCTTGGTTTTCAGCTCCATCAGCTCCTTTAAGCACTTCTCTGTATTGGTTATTCTAGTTATACATTCTTCTAAATTTTTTTCAAAGTTTTCAACTTCTTTGCCTTTGGTTTGAATGTCCTCCCATAGCTCAGAGTAATTTGATCGCCTGAAGCCTTCTTCTCTCAGCTCGTCAAAATCATTCTCCATCCAGCTTTGTTCTGTTGCTGTTGAGGAACTGCGTTCCTTTGGAGGAGGAGAGGCGCTCTGCGTTTTAGAGTTTCCAGTTTTTCTGTTCTGTTTTTTCCCCATCTTTGTGGTTTTATCTACTTTTGGTCTTTGATGATGGTGATGTACAGATGGGTTTTTGGTGTAGATGTCCTTTCTGGTTGTTAGTTTTCCTTCTAACAGACAGGACCCTCAGCTGCAGGTCTGTTGGAATACCCTGCCGTGTGAGGTGTCAGTGTGCCCCTGCTGGGGGGTGCCTCCCAGTTAGGCTGCTCGGAGGTCAGGAGTCAGGGACCCACTTGAGGAGGCAGTCTGCCCGTTCTCAGATCTCCAGCTGCGTGCTGGGAGAACCACTGCTCTCTTCAAAGCTGTCAGACAGGGACACTTAAGTCTGCAGAGGTTACTGCTGTCTTTTTGTTTGTCTGTGCCCTGCCCCCCAGAGGTGGAGCCTACAGAGGCAGGCAGGCCTCCTTGAGCTGTGGTGGGCTCCACCCAGTTGGAGCTTCCCGGCTGCTTTGTTTACCTAAGCAAGCCTGGGCAATGGCGGGCGCCCCTCCCCCAGCCTCGTTGCCGCCTTGCAGTTTGATCTCAGACTGCTGTGCTAGCAATCAGCGAGACTCCGTGGGCGTAGGACCCTGTGAGCCAGGTGTGGGATATAGTCTCGTGGTGCGCCGTTTCTTAAGCCGGTCTGAAAAGCGCAATATTCGGGTGGGAGTGACCCGATTTTCCAGGTGCGTCCATCACCCCTTTCTTTGACTCGGAAAGGGAACTCCCTGACCCCTTGCGCTTCCCAGGTGAGGCAATGCCTCGCCCTGCTTCGGCTCGCGCACGGTGCGCACACACACTGGCCTGCGCCCACTGTCTGGCACTCCCTAGTGAGATGAACCCGGTACCTCAGATGGAAATGCAGAAATCACCTGTCTTCTGCGTCGCTCACGCTGGGAGCTGTAGACCGGAGCTGTTCCTATTCGGCCATCTTGGCTCCTCCCAGACTCAGTTTTATCAACTGTAAGTAGAATAGTTTTGAGGATTAAATGAGGTCATTATGTAAAGTATTTAAGTCAGTGATTCAGTTCTGTTGTATATACTCAAGAAATTGTTAACGATTATTGTTTTTGTTATTATTAGTTGAATAGTTAGAGATATATAAAGGGCATAAATAATCAACTGCACTCAGATATTCATTTTAAATGAAGTGTTATGCCTTTTTAAAAGTAATCAGTACTGAGATTATATGAAAGCATGTTGGTATTCCCAGGTACTTGAATTAAACTCAAATTCCTATTTTTACTGATTGATCTTTTTTCCTGCTGAGTTTAGTGATTGTTCTGTGCATAGGGTAGGCAATGCATTAGAACCATGTAAAGGCTGTCATATTCAGGTCCAGGGCTGTCTTATTTTATTGATGTTAGATTTGTGGAAGATACTTAGTAGAAAATGAAAAGCCTTATAGGTTTTTCACTTTTCAAAATTTGCTTTCAGTGAGTCAGAGTAAAAGATCAGAGAGATTTTTAAATAAACCTATTGAACTAATAATATGAGAACTGAAAAGTGAGCCAATCTAGTTTTCCTTCTGGCTTTGAAATGGTGTTTCATTATTCACAAATAATCTTTCTGAACATTTTGATGCACTTTTATAAAAATAGGCTTTGAAATAGTACTTAAATATTCAGTTCAGGGGTCTTTCAGAAGTGAATAACAATTTTTGTCTCATCACTAACGTGTGCTCATGACAACATTTTAAAGCACATTTCTCAATGTGGTTGTAATTCTTGATAGTTCAATCTGAGGTACACTTCAGATGTTTAATAGTCTTATCTTGCCACAGTTTGGTACAGGTTGAGTATCCCTTATCTGAAATGCTTGGGATCAGAGTGTTTTGGTTTTCATTTTATTCTGAATTTGGAATATTTGCATACACATAATGAGATATCTCAGGAAAGGGACCCAAGTCTAAACATGAAATTCATTTTTGTTTTATATACATCTTATGCACATAACCTGAAGGTAATTTCGTACAATATTTTAAATAATTTTGTGCGTGGAAAGGTTTTGACTGCATTTTGACTGCAACCTGTCACATGAGGTGTGGTGTGGCATTTTCCACTTGTGTCATCATATTGGTGGCTCAAAAAGTTTTGGGTCTTGCAGCATTTGGATTTTAGATTTTCAGACTAAGGATGCTCAACCTGTAGCAAAGTTAGAGCCATCATTTTGATAACTTGCTGTTACTTTATTTTTGGCTTTTTAAATTAGACAATATTTTGGAGGTAAAATATCTTTAAGATACTTGCCATGTTCTTCAATCAAAAATGTGTTAAGCATATCCAGAAAGATTTAAAGCTGAATTTTAATGATTCTTTCAGGGTACAAAATAATATAATATTGAATGCCTACTAGAAGCCAGGAGAATTCAAGCTCTCAGAAACTAATACTTTAAGGTAGGTATTACTCATTAGCCTCATTTTGTAAAATAGAAACAAATTCTCAGGGCGCTGAAAAAACTTTTTCAAGGTCGTATAACCAATATTGGAGAGTCAGGATTTAATGTAAGGTCTGCCTTGTTTCAAAAGGTTTTGATCATCCACAATACTAAATACTATTTTTTAGGGTTGGTGTCATCTTACCTGTTCTTCATGATGATTTGAAATATTAATGATGAAAACTAGAGGACAAAAGAAGGGAGTTCAATGTAAGACTAGTAAGCCCCAAGGGAAATTAACTGGAAAATTTCTAATTTACAATACTTGTATAGCCACAGAATTTTATAGAGGGGAAGCATACCTTAGAGATGATCTATCACATCTAATCCAACATCATTGTGCATATGGTGAGGGTGAGATACTGATTGTTTGGGTTCCCACAGTGAAAAGGAGGTTGACCGGATTAGAACCAGCTTTCATCTCTAGAAAAAATCATTTCCAATCACTGGAAGACCATATCCCTCTGTAATGCCAATGCTCTTGAACTTCTCTCCTATGCCTATAATATCTACCATTTTATGATGGTCAGGGATATAACTAGGTACTTTGCAACAGTATCTCATTTGACTTCCAGAGCAGCTTGTTGAGATAAATAGTATAATCCCCAAAATAGTAGTGAGTGTTGAAACTGGGAAAAACTAAATAAATATTCTTTGTCAATAGGTGAATTGGGGAGTCAAGCCCAGGTCTATTTGACCAAGCTGTGACGGTCCCCACGAGCAGGTTAAGTGTAGCAATCTGATTAGAAAAGAGGTTTAGTGGGGGGCACTTGAAGCTACCTGGGTTGAGGAAGATCACAAGAATCCTACCAAACTGTTAACTTAGAATTGCCAATGACTCTTTCCCAAGCACCTACTGCTTGGAATCTACATCATTACATGCTGTGCAAAAACCAGATAGCCAGGATTATAGCCTGTGCTTGATTTTAAGGTCTTGTTTCTTTGGATGTTGTTGATTATGATAACTCTGTTGTAAAAAAATAATGAATACGTTTTAGGCTATTTGCAGAAAGGCGAGAGAATTAATTTTGAATCTGTGAGTGATAACAGTGGGTTATCAAGAAAAAAATCTGGAGCAAGTCCTACTAGGCTTCTAAGAAGTAATTCACTCATATGCTATGTTAAAATTTTTCTGTTCTTATCTTTCTTTCTTTACCTTTCCTTTGTTCTTTACCATGTGCTCCCAATTCTCTATTCTCTCTCTTAGCAGTAACTTTATGCACCTGCCATTTTTTTTTGTACCCATTGCTTCCTTGTATTCTCCATCCATCAATCAATAAGCCTTGGGCTTCCAGGACTCTGCTTCTTTGGATCTAAGCCTGGCCTGCTCTCTCTGTTATTTGTGGTGCATCCAACCTCTAATTTTAACTTTGCTTGGCCCTATCATGTAAAAATGACTATTTAGAACAAATCATTTTAGCCTACTCAAACTATAGCATTAGCACATATTGAAAATAGGTCTGTATTAGGACAATATAAAATCATTCTGGCTTGAGTATATCAGAATCAATAAAGTAGTAAACTCAGGATAAATGCAAGCTTTAAGAATTTTGCATCTCTCTGTATATGTATGTCTATGTATATGTATACATATTATGCTCGGTTTGCTAGGTTCTAATGTTTACAGACATACTTCAGATACAATGTAGGATTCTCTTTTGCCATTCAGTATTTTATTTTGTATTGGAATAACCTATATTGTTCACTTGAGGGACTTTGAAACTAAAGTACCTAGGTTAACATCCACTATTAGTAAGTGGACTTCATGGAATGCATACTGAGTACAAACCTCATTCTTGGTTTTAGCTTGCTTTTATACTCTCTTTGCCTTTTGCTTCATCTTGTTTATTTTACTTTGACATCTTCAAAGTTGCTTTAAATTCCTTTTAGAATTAAACACTATATATATATAAACAATAAAACATATATACATTAGAGTTAAGTATTTACACTTATTATTATTTATGAGCTATTTAGAGATACATTTAATTTACTTAGCTTGAAAATAGTCACTTGTCAGGTTGGGCGCAGTGGCTCACACCTGTAATCCCAGCACTTTGGGAGGCTGAGGTGGTTGGATCACTTGAGGTCAGGAGTTCGAGACCCTCAGCCTGGCCGACATGGTGAAACTCCGTCTCTACTAAAAATACAAAAATTAGCCGAACGTGGTGGTGCATGCCTGTAATCTCAGCTAGGAGGGATGCTGAAGCAGGAGAATCGCTTGAACCCAGCAGGTGGAGGTTGCATTGAGCCAAGATTGCGCCACTGCACTCCAGCCTGGGTGACAGAACGAGACTCCATCTCAAAAAAGAAAAAAGAAAAAAAAAAGTCACTTGTCCCTAGTAAGCAGAAAGAATGTTCATTGTACTTAATTTGTTGTCTGTTTCTAGCCACAGGGGATTGTGAAATGGGAGAAAAAAGAACAGAAAACAAAGAACAGAAAATAATCATTTTAAAATAATTTGCAAGGCTATAGACTCCATGGTGTATTAATTTTTCTAAACCTGTTAACAGTTAAAATAAATTTTTTTTATTTTTAAATATCTTGAAGAGGTGGATACAATGTCTGAAAGCATTTCTAAGGAAAAAATTTAGTTTTATTTTACATGTAGTGGGCAGCAATGTATAAGTAATAAACGTATCATTATTTAGGAAGAAGAGCTAAAGGCTATTTTTTTTGTTTCAACTAGAAGTTATGAAGAGTTGGATTTTCCCTGAGGAGCTAATTATTTGCTGAGATTTCTATAGTAACAGATTTTACAAGGATATCAAGATTCCTGTAAATAGCAATTAAAAATAACTATAGATGTCATTTCAGTGCAGCACTGAAACCATATAAACCTGTTCATTTTTTTAAAAAAATGACCAAATGTATAAATTATTTTAACTTTGAAGAATTTTTTAAATTAAAAAGTTTTATAATTATGAAGTAACATTTGAATTTTTTCTGATTGCCTAGTTTTTTTGCCTACCATTAAAAAGGCAATAACATTTTATAATTTTCAAGTTGGCATATAAAGTTCATACTCTTTCAGAAGATGTCTTTGTCTGTAAGGCACCAAGAGTTATATTGTTCATCCATAATGATCATCTATATGTTGACATCTTTGTAAAATACTATCTTTGGGAATATTCCATGGCAACATATGCTTTCATGAGGTACTTTTGTATTTTCTAGAGTATGTGTTCTGGTAGTGAACCTTCTGTTTCTTGTCCTTGTGACCAGAATCCATTCTCTCTTTTTCTGGTAAGAGAACCAGGTTTTTGTACAAGAGGAAACTATTCCTCCCTTCCAGTTAGTATATATAGTTCAGATGGCCTTGAGTCTACCTTCTAACTCCACAGGGTCTGAAACCCAGGCTTGTCCAAAGGGAAAACTCACATGCTTTGTCAGGGATGGGTGTATGACCCAAACCATGTTATGGTCAGTGAGTATAAGTCCTGCCATATTTTGCTGGAGCTTCGGAAAGAGGTTCTTTCTCTTCACTAGGGTTGCTAAGCTGGGAGAATTTAAGTGGGGAGCTTCTGTTGCTCATATTTGCCACACTAGAGATAGAGCCTTCCTGATAATTACTGTGGTGGCAGAGCCACACAATGGAAAAATACTGTGTCCTGATACTCTTGCTGGTGCCCTGGATCTGTCTATGGCTATAACCAGACATACCCATGGATGGTATGTCTGGCTACTTGCACCACTATTTTACCTTATTTTGAGGTACTATTTTACCTTATTTTGCTTAAACTAGCTTGAATTGTGATGATTTCATTTGCCAAAAAGTTTAGAAGATTCAGATTGAATTTTAGATAGTCCACTGTACTCTAGGTTACAGTATGTGATTTAATAACAAGATATAGTTTTACTAAGATGAAGCTCATGTTTTTTGTCAAGGAAATTATTGAAGCAATTATCAGGAAAATTCAAGGCAAAGTATTCTTAATTACATATTTTCCACCTAATTATTTGCATTTTTTAAATTTTTAGTAGAACAATATAACTTTGACTAATATTAATCTTGAAAGGATGAAAGGAAAGGAGCAAAGTAAAATGTCAAGAGCACTAGATTAAGAGTGAGAAAATGAATTCTTCTGGGTGGATGTAAAAGGGAATATTCAAAAAGCATGGAGGTGAGCTCTAATGGGCAACTAGCTTAAGATCCAGTGGTCTGGCCGGGCAGACATTCCAAGCCTGCTTTGGTAGGCTTCTGTTTCCTCTTCGTTCCCCTCAATATGCTCCCATATCTTGGTGATATCTTAATTTTTTAAAATCAGTAGCATAGTTTCCTACAGACCTTTCTGTTATAAAACAGTCTTTATAGTCTCCTTTTGTGATTAGGATTCAATAATTTAGTTACAGCTGGGATTCTTTATCTACCCTCTCTTTGCTATGCAAGATTTATATAATTTGGAGGTTATCTATAATGATGTCTTTGGGCATTGTGAAAGCCATGTAATGAGTCTCAGTGATAAATGTGACCTAGAAAAGTTAGAATTACCTAGGATTTTTCTGGGAATATTTTTCAGTCCTAACTGGATAGTGCGCTTTAGCAAACAAAGTCAATCCTCTGCAAGTCAAGATGCTTAGATCTTGAAAAGAGATACCAAATCTCGTCTCTTTTGCCTCTCTTGATAATGGCCCCTACTCAGCTTTTTATGGATTGTGGTTTGCTAAGATTACAGTTGGAGGAAGGGCACAGACAGGGAGTGAATTGGGAAACATGTTACTGTGTGTAATGGAATATATATACATATATGTTAACATATATATGTATATATACAAATATACACACACATTCATATATGTTAATCCCTTGTTTATTATGAAGGTTTGTGATGGGACCTTGCTAACCCATATATAATAATATGAAGAAAGTCTCTTGAGTACCTGAAAACTAGATGTATCTCTTTTGTCTATTTGTCTATTGCCCACTGACTACTTGGAGGTCAAAACTACTAAGCAGTGCCTGTTAGTAACAGGTTCTATTCCTGTTACTAAGTAGCTTTGACCTTGAGCAAGGCACTTTCCTTATCTGGATATTTGCCACAGATATTTTCAGTTATAAATTTTTTATTCTATGGGAATCTTTTGTAGGTCATTCTAATCTTAACACCAGAAATATTTTGAGCTGAAAAGTGTGGGTAGTCATATTATTTCTGTTTCTTTAGCATTTCGTTCTTGCTTAATTATCTAATATTGTTCTCCATATCCTTGGGGGAGCACAGCCCAATACATTAACATAAATATTCTAACTAGAGAGAAAACTGAGTAACGAATCCATTATTCTGTGTGTTTATCAAGAAAGATCACAGTGAGTCAGAGCATCCTTCTGAGACATTTTGCTTACTTTTGATACAGGTTGTCCTTCATGTGACTTCCACCTTGAATTCTCTCACCTTGGTGATCTCCAAACTGGAACACTAACAGGTTCCTTTTATGTTGCCACTTGTTACAAAGATAGACAGTTTCTGACAATAACTTGTACAGATTTGGGGACATGTTTGAAAATAACATAGCATTTCCTAGAAAAGTGCTGTCTTCTGGATGCATCATTGATTTTTTTCCTTCTACCATTCTGTTTCTTACCAAGTGTACTACCAGATTTCTTATCAATCTTATCAGAGATATGAGAAACCCAGTATTCCTCTGGGAATATTATTTGTGTTGTGTCTTTCCAAAAATGCAATGGAAAAAGAGACTCTATAACTTCATACAATCTTTCAGACAGAGTTGGAATACTAAAATTGTAGAACAATTGTACATTCTAGCTATAAAGCAACCACTTGTTAATCTTAAGATTAATTATCTTAATTATTACAAGAAAGAAGAGATACTTTCAAAATTTATATCAGTAAATTGGCATCATAAATTCGTAATTATAGTGACTTCAAGGTTATGAATGATACATATTTAAGGACAATTAATGAACAGAATGCTTCTGTGTATTTTACGCAAGAGTTAATATTAGCTAGGATAATCTACTATCTTACAAAGTTTAGCTTCATATACATTTGCTTTATACATAGAATGCTAAGGCCGAATGAGAACTTATCCAATTCTTACATTTTATAGATGATGAAACTGACCAAAAAAAGGTAAATGATTTGCTTAAGGTGTGTCATTTACCTTTTTTTGCCAGTTTCATCATCTATAAATGTGCATAGTGATAGAGATGAGAAAAGATCACAGATCTCCTAATAGTCACTTATTATTTTATTTTAAAAGATTCATTTATAAATAAAGACCAATTATTTTCATTCTTAGAGCATTTTAGAGTAGGTATCTTTGGGAGTCTCCCTTATTTAATAATACATGTTTTAGTAAAAAATTGAAAACAGTAGCATTTAATTAAAAACAATAAAAGATCAGTTTGTAATTAAGTTAACATAGGTACCAATCTAAGCCAAGTATTACTTTTGTTTTTTATACCCAAAGCCTATGTTTTCAAAATGGAAACAGCCTTTGGCTCTTTTCATTTCTCTTTCCTATACCTTCGGAAAGTTGATCACATTGCTTCAGGTCTATAAGAGCTGACAACTATTTTAATGATTTTATTCAAGAAACCAGGGATGAATCATAAGATGGACAGTTTATAATACACAGACATAAAAGGAATCTTCTAAAGTCATCTTTTATAGTGTTGTTCACTTATTTATATCATGGATCTGGTTAATTTAACAAGTTTTTTAAAATTTTAGCTGTGAATTCAGTATAGTGTTTAGAATTATTTTCTGTCTTTATGCAAATATTTGTGCAGATGTATATTTGTGTAGAATCTTTATTTGTGGTAATCACAGGTAACATATGCACAAAAGTAATGTACGGATTTTAAAAAGTGCAAGCATATAGCCAGTGAATTTTCACAAAGTGAACATGCCTATTTCAGCACTGTGCAGATCAGAATAAAACAGAATCAACCCTTGAAAACCTCCTAATATGCCCTACCAGTCTTCAGCCATGCCTCTCCCTTACCATGCCCAGAATCAGCTATTCTCCTGACTTCTGTCATCATTAATTAGTTTTTCCTGGTTTTGACCAATACATTAATGGAATCATATATTAGGTACAATTTTATGAATGATTTTCTTCATTTAATGTTGTATTTGTGAGATCTATCCATATTGTTGCAAGTGATTGTAGCTTGTTCATTCTCATTGCTGTGTAGTAGTCCATGGTATGAACACATCATAATTTATTCTATTATTGATGGGCATTATGTCATTTGGCTATATAGATAGTGCTACTCTGAACATCCTGCACATGCCTTTTGATGTGCAAATAGATATATGTATTTCTGTTTGATAAATACCTGGAAGTAAAATTATTGGGTCATAAAGTATATACGTATATATGTCCAGTGTTTGTAAATACTGCTGAACAATTTTCCACATTTTTATTCCTAGCAGAAATATGAAAATTATAGTTTTTCTCCAGTTTCATCAACATTTTGTATTGTTAATCCTTTAAATATTGCCATTCTGAAGGTCTGGAGAAAAGGGAACCCTTGTATACTGTTGGTGGGAATGTAGATGGGTACAGCCATTGTGGAAACAGTATGGAGGTTCTTAAAGGAATTAATAAGAGAACTACCTTATGATCCAGCAATCCTCTTCCAGGTATTTACCCAAAGGAAATGAAATCACCATCTTGTAAAGATATGTGCACTCCCAAGTTCATTGCAGCACTATTCACAATAGCCAAGATACAGAAACAACCTAAGTATCCATCAATGGATGAATGATAAAGAATTCAGTTTTAAAAAAGGATAAGATTCTGCTATTTGCCACAACATGGACAGACCTAGAGGATGTTATGCTAAGTGAAATAAGCCAGACATGGAAAGAAAAATATGTCATATTCTCACTTATATGTGGAATCTGCTGGGTGGGTGGGGTGACAGGGGAAGGTCAAACATATAGAGATGGAAAATAAAACAGTAGTTACCAGGGTTGGAGTTGGGAGGAGAAATGGGGAGATGTAGGTCAAAGGATGCAAAATAATAAATATGATGGATTAACAAGTCAAAAGATCCACTGTAAAACACGAGGAATATGGTTGATCATAGTGTATTGTATTCAAGACTTTTGCTAAATGAGGTTATAGCTGAGTAACTATGATGGTTTTTTTTTTGGTTGTTGTTGTTGTTGTTGTTTGTTTGTTTTTTTTTTTTTTTTTTTACAGAGTTTTGCTCTTGTCACTCAGGTTGGAGTGCAGTGGCTCAGTCTCAGCTCACTGCAACCTCTGCCTCCCGGGTTAAGTAATTCTCCTGCCTCAGCTCAGCCTCCCAAGTAGGTGGGACTCCAAGCGCCTGCCACCACACCCAGCAAATTATCATTATCATCATATTTTTTTAAAAGACAGAGTCTTGCTCTGTCACCTAGACAGGAGTGTAATGGCGCAATCTCGGCTGACTGCAACCTCCACCTCCTGGGTTCAAGCTATTCTCCTGCCTCAGCCTCCCGAGTAGCTGGGACTACAGGTGCCTGCCACCACATTTGGCTAATTTTTTGTATTTTTAGTAGACACAGGGTTTCACCATGTCTATCAGGCTGATCTTGAACTCCTGACCTCAGGTGATCTGCCTGCCTTGGCCTCCCAAAGTACTGGGATTACAGGCGTGAGCCACCACGCCTGGCCGATGATGGATATGTTAATTTGTTCCACTACAGAAACCATTTTACTATATATCTTATAGCATCATGTTATGTACCTTATATATATACAATAGCATTTATTTTATAAATATTGCCATTCTGGTAGTTACACAGCAGTGTTTTATGGTGGTGTTAATTTGCATTTCCTTGAAAATTAATAAAGTTGAGCACCTTTTCAAACATTTATCAGCCATTCAGAATATCCTCTTTTGGAAAGTGCTTGTTGAAGTTTTGTGCCCATATTTTTTTCTATTGAGTTACCTTCTTCTTATTATTATTTTGTAGGATTTTAAAATATATCCATACAAATTATACATATACTGCAAATAACTTTTTCTACTCTTTGGCTTGCCTTTTAAATATCTCTTTTGGTGAACAGAAGTGCTTAATTTTAATGTACAATTGACCCTTGAACAACATGGGGGTGTTTACCTCCATGAGTTGAAAAATACGTGTGTGGCCCAGCGCGGTGGCTTATGCCTGTAATCCCAGCACTTTGGGAGGCCGAGGTGGGTGGATCACCTGAGGTCAGGAGTTCAAGACCAGCCTGGCTAACATGGTGAAACCCCATTTCTACTAAAAATACAAAAACTAGCCAGATGTGGTGGCACGTACCTGTAATCCCAGCTACTCGGGAGGCTGAGAGAGGAGAATTGCTTGAACCCAGGGGGTGGAGGTTGCAGCTAGCTGAGATCGCACCACTTCACTCCAGCCTGGGTGACAAGAGCAAAATTCCGTCTCAAAAGAAAAAAAAAACAAAGTGTTTAACTTTTGACGACTCAAAAAGTTAACTATGAATAGCCAACTGTTGACTGAAAACCTTACTGATAAACAGTTGATTAACACACATTTTTATGTTATAAGTATTATATAATGTATTCTTATGATAAAGTAAGCTAGAGAAAAATGTTATTTAAAAAATCATGAGGAAAAGAGAATGCATTTTTAGTACTGTGTAATATTGCTCAATATCTTAAGTTTACATTGTCTGTTTACAAGATGAATTGTTTATCTGACATGGTGGGCAACTACAGCTGCAGACCTCATTCTATGGTACATATCAAACAATTCAACTTTTTATTGGAATGTCGTGACTTTTTCTCTGCTTTTTGGGAGCACTTCCAGCATCACTAGTGGCATTTCATATGAGTCCTTTTGGTGTTATTCTAGGTTTACGGTATGGCGCTAAACACGGGGAAATATACCTAAGGAATTTTTATTGCAATAAACAATTTACTGGAGAGAGGAACTGCTCAAGCAGAGATGATTAGCGTCACATTGTGTTTTAAGTAGATACGTGCAACACTTGAGCTCAGCAGAACAGCAACAGGAGGTAGCTACAAAATTGTTACAGTAGTACAGTATGGACTACAGTTAATTTTATGCATTTATGATTTAATACTGTATCTTTATGTTTGTTTACGTTTCTCTCAACTGTGAATATTGCCATGTAAGGTCTTGTGTTTGTATGCCAAAGTTTTGTTAAATTTTAACTTTTTATAATAGATTTGTATATATTTTATGGTATTAAATGATAAAACATTAGTATCTACATATATTTTGTGCATTCATGACATACATAACCGTTTCTTTTTTTTAAATATATTTTTGGACTACACTACATGGTCCATCTGTGAGTTTTTTCAAATTGTGGCAAATCTCCAAAAAATTTTCCAGTACATTTATTGAAAAACTCTGCATATAAATGGGCCTGCATAGTTTGAACCCTTGTTAGTCAAAGGTCAACTGTAGTCCAGTTCATCAGTCCTTCTCATTATGGTTAGTGACTACTGTCCTGCTTAAAAAATCTTTGTCTACTCAAGTCATAACAATATTTTCCTATCTCCTAGAAATTTGTGGTATTACTTTTATATTTAGATTACAGTTAAATTAAGTGGTCATATATGTGTGAGACAGTTTTGATTGTATTCCATTTATATATTTGTCTATCTTTAGGCAAAACATTCTATTTTAATTATTATAGTTTTGAATATGTTTTCATGTCTGATAGCATAAGTCCTCCAGCTTTACTCTTTTTCAGGTTGTTCTTGGATATTCATGGCCTTTTGCATTTGTATATACATTTTACAAGTAGCCTATCAATTTATATTTTTAAAATACTAGCTAGAATTTTGATTGTGATGATGCTGATCATCATTGCAATCAGCATATTGCATGATGCTAATGCAATAGGGATAATTGTCATTTTTACAATATTGAGTTTTCTGTTAATAGTTCTCAAACATTGTATAGCCTTCCATTTAGTTACTTTGTCTTTAATATGTCTCAGTGATTTTTTAAAAGTAAGCTTTAGTTTTTAGCTCAATTCTAATTTCACCACCAAATTGAAAGGAAGGTTATAGATTTCCCATCTACTCTGCCTCTACTCCCACATACATGGCCTTCCCCATTATCAATATCCTGTACCAGAGTGGTACATTTGTTGCAGTTGATGAACCTACATTGACATATTATCACCCAAAGGTTATAGTATACATTAGGGTTCACTTTTAGTGTTGTACGTTCTAAAAGTTTGGATAAATATCTGATGGCATGTATCCACCATTATTCTATCATACAGAGTATTTTCAGTGTCCTACAAATTATCTGTGCTCAGCTGGGCATGGTGGCTCATGCCTGTAATCCCAGCACTTTAGCAGGCTAAGGCGGGTGGATCAGTTGAGGTCAGGAGTTTGAGACCAGCCTGGCCAACATGGTGAAACCCTACCTGTACTATAAAAATACAAAAATTAGCTGGGTGTGGTGGTGGACGCCTGTATTTTCAGCTATTCAGGAGCCTGAGCCCGGAGAATCACTTGAACTCGAAAGGTGGAGGTTGCAGTGAGCCCACATTGCACCACTGCACTCCAGTGTGGGTGACAGAGCAAGACCCTGTCTCAAAAAAAAAAAAAAAAAAAATTTTCCGTGCTCCACCTATCACCTATTCATTCCTCCCTCCCGCCTAAATCCTGGCAACCAGTGATCTTTTTACTGTCTCCATAGTTTTGCTTTTTCCAGAATGTCATACAGTTGGAATCATACAGTAAGTATCCTTTTCAGATTGGCATTTTTCACTTAGTAATATGCATTTATGTTTCCTCAATATCTTTTCATTAGCTTGATAGCTTATTGTTTTTATTAGTGAGTAACATCTCATTATCTGTATCTACTACAATTTATCCATTTACCCATTGAAGGACGTTTTTGTTGCTGGCAATTGTGAATAAAGCTGCTATAAATATCCATGTTCAGGTTTTTGTGTGCACGTAAGTTTTCAACTTACTTGGATAAATGCTAAAGATCATGATTGCTAGATTGTATCATAAAAGTGTATTTAGTTTTTAAACATTTTAATGATATTACTTTTAATTGACAAATTGTAATTATATGCATTTGTGGATTCCAATGTGATGTTTTGATAGATTTATACAGTGTAAAATGGTTACATCAAGCTAATCAGCATAGCCATCATGTCACTTACCTACCATTTTTTATGTTGAAGCATTTGAAATTTACTTTTAGTTATTTAGAAATATACTGTACATTATTATTGGCTGTAGTCACCCTGCCGTGCAATAGATCTCAAACCTTATTGCTCCTGTCTGTCTGAAACTTTGTACTCTTTGATCACCATCTCCCATTTCCTCCCTCCTCAGCCTCCTAGCCTCTAGTAATCATCATTGGACTCTCTACTTCTATGAGTTCAACCTTTTTAGATTTCAAATATGAATGAGTTAATGCAGTATTTGTCTTTCTGTATCTGGTTTATTTCACTTAGCAAAATGTCCTTCAGGTTCATCCATGTTATATTTGAGAGTGTGTTTAGTTTTGAAAGACACTGACAGATTGTCTTCCAAAGTGGCTGTACCTTTTGTATTACTACAAGCGGTGAATGAGAGTTCTTGTTGTTCCACATGCTCATGAGTATTTAGCATTGTCAGTGTGTTGGATTTTGGCCATTCTGTTAGATATGTGGTAGTATCTCATTGTTGTTTTAATTTGCAGTAACCTAATAATATATGATGGTGAGCATCTCTCATATGTTTTTTTGCCATCTGTATATCTTCTCTGGAGAGGTCTCTGTTCAGGTCTTTTGTACATTTTAAGGTCAGGTTTTTGTGAGTATGTTTTCTTATTAAGTTTTAAGACATCTTTTAAGAACCACAGTGTTACTAGACTTAGGGTGCCCCTGAAAGCAGAAACAACTTAGATTACAACATCCATGTTCTTTCAAATATCTGGAAAGCCTTCCAAGGAAGGACAGCTACAAATAAGCCCAGATAGTGAATACCACAATAAATACTGAACTCTTCAATGCCCAGACAGTGGAGAACATCTACTAGCATCAACACCATCTAGGAAAACATGACCACACCAAATGAACTCAATAAGGCACGAGGGACCAATCCTGGAGAAACAGAGATATGTGACATTTCAGGTAGAGAATTCAAAATACCCATGTTAAAGGAACTCAGAGAAATTCAAGATAACACAGAGAAGGATTTCAGAATTCTATCAGATAAATTTAACAAAGATATTGAAATAATTTAAAAGAATCAAGCAGAAATTCTGGAGTTGAAGAATGCAATTGGCATACTGAGGAATGCATCAGAGTCCTTGAATAGTGGAGTTAATCAAGCAGAAGAAAATTAGTGAGCTTGAAGACAGACTAATTGAAATACACAGTCAGAAAAGACAAAACAAAAGAATAAAAAACAATGAAGCACACCTACAGGATCTAGAAAATAGCCTCAAAAGGGAAAATCTAACAGTTATTGGCCTTAAAGAGGAGTTAGAGAAAAAGATAGGGGTAGAAAGTTTATTCAAAAGGATAATAATGAGAACTTTCCAAACTTAGAGGAAAATATCAGTATCCCGGTACAAGAAGGTTAAACACCAAGCAGATTTAACCCAAACAAGAGTACATCGAGGCATTTTATAATGAAACTCCCAAAGGTCAAGGATAAAGAAAGCATTCTAAAAGCAGCAAGAGAAAGAAACAAAATACTATGGAGCTCCAATATGTCTGGCAGCAAACTTTTCAGTGGAAACTTTACAGGCCAGGAGAGAGTGGCATGACATATTCAAAATGCTGAAGGGAAACAACCTTTAACCCCAGATTAGTATATCTGGCAAAAATGTCCTTCAAACATGAAGGAGAAAGAAATGTTTTTCCCTGACAAACAAAAGTTGAGAGAGTTCATTAATACCACAACCATTCTACAAGAAATGCCAAAGGGAGTACTTCAATCAAATAGAAAAGGATAGTAATGAGTAATAGATAATCACCTGAAGGTATAAAACTTACTGGTAATAGTAAGTACAAAGAAAAATACAGAATATTATAACTCTGTAATTGTGGCATGTAAACTATACTTGTCCCAAGTAGAAAGACTAAACAATGAACCAATCAAAAATAACAACTCAACAACTTTTTAAGACACAGTCAGTTTAAGAAGATATAAATAGAAACAATAAAAAGTTAAAACATGGGAGGACAAAGTTAATGCAAGTTTTATTAGTTTTCTTTTTCTTGTTTGTTTATGCAAATACTATTAAGTTGTTATCAGGTTAAAAGTGGATTATAAAATAGTATTTGCAAACCTCATGGTAGCCTCAAACCAAAAAACATACAACAAATACACAAAGAATAAAAGGCAAGGAACTAAATCATATTATTAGAGAAAATCATCTTCACAAAATCAGGAATGAAAGAAAGAAGGAAGAGAACAGCACAAAACAAACAGAAGACAAATAATCAAATGGTAGGAGTAAGTTCTTGTCAATAATATTGTCAATAATAACATTGAAGGTAAATGGACTACACTTTCCAATCAAAAGTCATAGACTGGCTGAATGGGTGAAAAAAAACAATACCTACTGGTCTGTTGCATACAAGAAACACACTTCACCTATAAAGACACACATAGACTAAAAAAGGGATGGAAAATGATATTCCGTGCCAATGGAAATCAAAGGAGTAGGAGTTGCTATGCTTATATAAGACAAAATAGATTTCAAGGTTAAAAACTGTAAGAAGATACAAAGAAGGTCACTATATAATGACAAAGTGGTCAATTCAGCAAGAGGATTCTATTAGGGTTCTCTAGAGGGACAGAACTAAAGAATATATGTATAAATGAAGGAGTTTATTAAGGAGAATTGACTCACACAATCACAAGATGAAGTCCCATGACAGGCCGTCTGCAAGTTGAGGAGTAAGGAAGCCAGTAGTGGCTCATTCCGAGTCCCAAAATCTCAAAAGAAGGGAAGCTGACAGTGTAGCTTTCAGTCTGTGGCCAAAGTCCTGAGAGGCCCTGGCAAACTACTGGTGTGAGTCCAACAGTCTAAAAGCCAAAGAACTTGGAGTCTGATGTTTGAGATCAGAAGCATCCAGAATGAGAGAAAGATGAAAGCTGAAAGACTCAGCAAGTCAGCTTCTTCTACCTTCTTCTGCCTGCTTTTTCTACCCATGCTGGCAGCTGATTGGATGGTGCCCACCCACACTGTGGATGGGTCTTCTTGAGGGTGGGTCTTTGTCTCCCAGTCCACTGACTCAAATGTTAATCTCTTCTGGCAACACCTACAAACACCCAGATACATCCAGAAACAATACTTTGCAGCCTTCAAGCCAATCAAGTTGACAATATTAACCATCACAGGGATATAACAATTTTAAATATATATGCACCCAACACTGATGCACCCAGATATATGAAGGAAATATTATTAGAGGTAAAGAGAGAGATAGGCCCCAATACAATAATAGCTAGAGACTTCAACACCCCACTTTCAGCATTAGACCAGTGTTCCAGACAGGAAATCAACAAACAGACAGCAGACTTAATCTGCACTATACACCAAATGGATCTAATAGATATTTATAGAATATTTCATCCAACAGCTGCAGAATACACATTCTTTTCCTCAGCACGTGAGTTATTCTCAAGGACAGACCATATGTTACATCACAAAACAAGTCTTAAAACATTCAAAAAATTGAAATAATATCAAGTATCTTCTCTGACCACAATGGAATAAAACTAGAAATAAATAACAAGAGGAATTTTGGAAAATATAGAAATAGATGGAAGTTAAAATATGTGCTCCCAAATGACCCGTGGGTCAATGAAGAAATTAATAAGGAAATTAAACATTTTCTTGAAACAAATGATAATGAAACACAACATAGCAAAACCTATGGAATATAGCAAAAGCAATAGTAAGATAGAATTTTATGGCTATAAGTGTCTATATCAAAAAAGGGAAAATTTCAAATAGACAATCTAATGATGCATCTTAAAGAACCAGAAAAGCCAGAGCAAACCAAACCCAAAATTAGTAGAAGAAAGGAAATAATAAAGATCAGAGCAGAAATAAATGAAATTGAATTGAGAGAGAGAATACAAAAGATGAATGGAACAAAAAGTTGTTTCTTTGAAAAGTTAAACAAAATTGATAAACCTTTAGCTAGACTAAGAAAAAAAAGAGAAGATCCAATTAAATAAAATCAGAAATGAAGGAGACATTCTAGCTGATACTGCAGAAATTCAAAGGATCATTAGTAGCTACTGTGAGCAACTATATGCCAATAAATTGGAAAATCTAGAAGAAATGCACAAATTCCTAGCCACATACAGCCTACCAAAATTGAGTCAAGAAGAAATCCAAAACCAGAACAGACCAATAACAAGTAATGAGGTCAAAGCCATAATATTAATAAAAAGTCTCATAGTAAAGAAAAGCCCAGGACATCAGGGCTTCAATCCTGAATTTTACCAAACAAGAACTAATACCAGTCCTACTCAAACTATTCAGAAAAATAGAGGAGGAAAGAATACTGCCAAACTCATCCTGTGAGGCCAGTATTACCCTGATACCAAAACCAAAGACAAATGAAAAAAAGAAAACTACAGGCCAATATCTCTGGTGAATATTGATGCAAACATCCTCAACAAAATACTGGCAAACTGAATTTAACAGTACATCAGAATGCTCATTCACTATGACCAAGTGGGATTTATCCCTGGGATGCAAGTATGGTTCAACATATGCAAATCAATTGATGTGATATGTCATATCATCAGAATGAAGGATAAAAACCATATAATCATTTCAATTGATGATGAAAAAGCATTTGGTAAAATTCAACATTGTTTTATGATAAAAACCCTAAAATAACAGGGTATAGAAGGACTATAGCTCACCATAATAAAAGCCATATATGACAGACCCATAGCTGGTATACTGAATGGGGAAAAAAATGAAAGCCTTTCCTCTAAGATCTGGAACATGACAAGTATGCCCACTGTCACCAATGTTATTCAACATAATCCTGGAAGTCCTAGCTAGAGCAATGAGACAAGAGAAAAACATGAAGGGCATCCAAACTGGAAAGGAAGAATTAAGGCCGGGTGCAGTGGCTCACACCTATAATCCCAGCATTTTGGGAGACCAAGAAGGGTGGATTGCTTGAGCTCAGGCATTCAAGACCAGCCTGGGCAACATGGCAAAACCCTGTCTCTACTAATAACACAAAGCATTAGCCAGGTGTGGTGGTACACTCCTGTAGTCCTAGCTACTTGGGAGGCTGAGACACAATAATTGCTTGAACCCAGGAGGTGGGGATTGCAGCGAATCGAGATCATGCCACTGCACTCCAGCATGGGTGACACAACAAGACTCTGTCTCAAAAAGAAGAAAAAAAAAGGGAAAGGAAGAATTCAAATTATCCTTGTTTGCAGATGATATGATCTTATACTTGGGAAAAACCTAAAGATTCCACAAGGAAACAATTAGAACTGATAAATTCAGTAAAGTTGCAGGATACAAAATCAGCAGACAAAAATCAGTAGCATTTCTGTATGCCACCAGTGAGCAATGTGAAAAAGAAATAAAAAAGCAATCATTTATAATAGCCACACATAAAATTAAATATATAGGAATTAACCAAGAAAAGAAAGACCTCTATAATAAAAACTATAGATCACTAATGAAAGAAATTGAAGAGGACATCAAAAAATGAAAAAATATCTCATGTTCATAGATTGGAAGAATCAATGTTGTTAAAATGTCTATATAACCCAAAGTAATATATAGATTCAATGGAATCTCTTTCAAATTCCAATAACATTCTTCACAGAAATAGAAAAAACAATCCTAAAGTTTACATGGAACCAGAATACCCAAAGCTATTCTAAGCAAAAAGAACAAAACTGTAGGAATCACATTACCTGACTTCAAATAGCTATAATAACCAAAACAGCATGGTACTGGCATAAAAACAGAGACAGAGACCAATGGAGCAGAATAGAGAACACAGAAACAAATTCACACACGTATAGTGAACTCATTTTCGACAAATGCGCCAAGAACATACACTGGGGAAAAGACAGTATCTTCAATAAATGGTGCTGGGAAAACTGGATATCCATAAGCAGAAGAAAGAAACTAGACTCCTAACTATTGCTATATTTTAAAAAATCAAAATGAATTAAAGATTTAAATCCAAGACCTCAAACCATGAAGTTACTACAAGAAAACATGGGAGGAAATCTCTAGGACATTGGTCTGGGCAAAAATTTCTTGAGCAATACCCCACAAGCCCAGGCAACCAAAGCAAAAATGGACAAATGTGATCACATCAAGTTAAAAAGCTTCTGCACAACAAAGAATACAATCAACAAAGTGAAGAGACAACCTATAGAATGGGAGAAAAAATTTGCAAAATACCTATTTGACAAGGGGTTAGTAATCAGAGTATTTAAGGAGCTCAAACAACTCTATAGGAAAAAACATAATAATTTAATCAAAACATGGGTGAAAGATATTTCTCAAGACATACAGATGGCAAACACACACATGAAAAGGTGCACAGTATCATTGATCATCAGAGAAATGCAAATCAAAACTACAATGAGATATCACCTCACTCCAGTTAAAATGGCTTATATCCAAAAGACAGGCAATAACAAATGCTGGTGAGGATATGGAGAAAAGGGAACACTTGTACACTGTTGGTGGGAATGTAGATTAGTACAACCACTATGGAGAACAGTTTGGAGGTTCCTCAAGAAACACAAATTGAGCTCCCATATGATCCAGCAATCTCACTGTTGTATATATACCCAAAGGAAAGAAAATCAATGTATGGAAGAGATGTCTACACTCCCATGTTTGTTACAGCACTGTCTACAACAAGATTTGGAAGAAACTTAGTTTCCATCAACAGACGAATGAATAAAGAAACTGTGGTGCATATATACAGTGGAGTACCTTTCAGCCATAAAAAGAATGAGATTCATCATTTACAACAACATAGATGGAACTGGAGATCATTTTGTTAAATGAGATAAGCCAGGCACAGAATGACAAACATCAGATGTTCTCACTTATTTGTGGCATCTAAAAGTCAAAACAATGTAATTCATGGATATAGAAAGTAGAAGGATCCTTACCAGAGTTGCGAAGGGTAGTCAGGGGTTCATGGGGGAGAAGGTTGGGATGATTAATGGGTACTAAAAAAGGCTAGAAATAATGAATAAGATTTACTATTTGATAACATAACAGGATGGCTATAGTCAATTATAACTACATTTCATAATAACTTAAAGTGTGTAATTGGATTGTTTGCAACTCAATGGATAAATGCTTGAGAGGATGGATACCCTATTCATGATGTGCTTATTTCATATTGCATGCCTGTATCAAAACATATCACATACCCCATAAATATATATACCTACTATGCACCCACAAAAATTAAAAATTAAAAAAATAAAAATTTGTGTAAACTTATGGTGCACAAGGGTAATTTTGTTTCATGCATAGATTGCATAACGGTGTAGTCAAGGCTTTTAGGTTAGTTATCTCAATTTTAAAAAAAATATATAGGTCTATTTGAGGCAGGGGTGGAGGGAAGAAGATGGCCAAATAGGAACAGCTCTGGTCTGCAGCTCCCAGCATGATCGATGAAGAAGACGGGTGATTTCTGCATTTCCAACTGAGGTAACTGGTTCGTCTCACTGGGACTGGTTGGACAGTGGGTGAAGCCCAGAGAGGGTGAGCTGAAGCAGGGTGGGGTGTTGCCTCACCTGGGAAGCACAGGGGGTCAGGGGATTTCTTTTTCTTAGCCAAGGGAAGCCATGACAGACTATCTGGAAAAATGGGACACTCCTGCCCAAATGCTGTGCTTTTCCCAAGATCTTAGCAACCAGCAGATGAGGAGATTTGCTCCCATGCCTGGCTCAGTGGGTCCCATGCCCACAGAGCCTTGCTCACTGCTAGCGCAGCAGTCTGAGATCAAACTGCAAGGCGGCAGCCTGGCTGGGGGAGGGGCGTCCGCCATTGCTGAGGCTTGAGTAGGTAAACAAAGCGGCCAGGAAGCTTGAACTGGGCGGAGCCCACCGCAGCTCAAGAAGGCCTACTGCCTCTAAACTCCACCTCTGTGGGCAGGGCATAGCTGAACAAAAGGCAGCAGACAACTTCTGCAGACTTAAACATCCCTGTCTGACAGCTCTGAAGAGAGCACTGGTTCTCCCAGCACAGCGTTTGTGTTCTGAGAATGAACAGACTGCTTCTGCAAATGGGTCCCTGACCCCTGTGTAGCCAAACAGGAGACATCTCCCAGTAGGGGCCAACAGACACCTCATATAGGCAGATGCCCCTCTGGGACAAAGCTTCCAGAGGAAGGGTCAGGCAGCAATATTTGCTGTTCTGCATATTTGCTGTTCTGCAGCCTCCTTTGGTGATACCCAGGCAAACAGGGTCGGGAGTGGACCTCCAGCAAATTCCAACACACCTGCAGCTGACAGACCTGACTGTTAGAAGGAAAACTAACAAACAGAAAGGCATAGCATCAACATCAACAAAAAGGTCATCTACACGAAAACCCCATCTGTAGGTCACCAACATCAAAGACCAAAGGCAGATAAAACCACAAAGATGGGGAGAAAACAGAGCAGAAAAGCTGAAAATTCTAAAAATCAGAGTGCCTCTTCTCCAAAAGATAGCAGCTCGTCGCCAGCAATTGAAGAAAGCTGGACAGAGAATGACTTTGATGAGTTGACAGAGTAGGCTTCAGAAGGTCAGGAATAACAAATTTTTCCGAGCTAAAGGAGGAAGTTCAAAACCATCGCAAGGAAGCTAAAAACCTTTAAAAAGATTAGACGAATGGGTAACTAGAACAGTGTGGAGATGACCTTAAATGACCTGATAGAGCTGAAAACCATGGCATGAGAACTTTGTAATGCATGCACAAGCTTCAATAGCTGATTCAATCAAGTGGAAGAAAGGGTATCAGTGATTGAAGATCAAATTAATAAAATAAAGCAAGAAGACAAGGTTAGACAAAAAAAGAGTAAAAAGAAATGAACAAAGCCTCCAAGAAATAGGGAATATGTGAAAAGACCAAATCTACATTTGATTGGTGTACCTGAAAGTGATGGGAAGAATGGAACCAAGTTGGAAAACATTTTTCAGGATATTATCCAGGAGAACTTCCCCAACCTAACAAGGCAGGCCAACATTCAAATTCAGGAAATACAGAGAGCACCACAAAGATACTCCTTGAGAAGAGCAACCCCAATACACATAATTGTCAGATTTACCAAGGTTGAAATGAAGGAAAAAGTGTTAAGGGCAGCCAGAGAGAAAGGTCGAGTTACCCACAACGGGAAGCCTACCAGACTAACAGCAGATCTCTGGGCAGAAACCCTACAAGCCAGAAGAGAGTGGAGGCCAATATTCAACATTCTTAAAGAAAAGAATTTTCAACCCAGAATTTCATATCCAGCCAAATTAAGCTTCATAAATGAAGGAGAAATAAAATCCTTTACAGACTAGCAAATGATGGGAGATTTTGTCACAACCAGGCCTGCCTTACAAGAGCTCCTGAAGGAAGCACTAAAGATGGAAAAAAACAACTACTACCAGCCACTGCAAAAACAGGCCAAATTGTAAAGACCATCAATGCTATGAAGAAACTGCATCACTTAACAGGCATAATAACCAGTGAACATCATAATGACAGGATCAAATTCACACATAACAATATTAACCTTAAAAGTAAATGGGCTAAATGCCCCAATTAAAAGACACAGACTGGGAAATTGTATAAAGACTCAAGACCCATCAGGGTGTTGTATTCAGGAGGCCCATCTCACGTGCAAAGATGCACACAGTCTCAAAATAAAGGGATGGAGGAAGATCTACCAAGCAAATGGAAAGCAAAAAAAAAAAAAAAAAGCAGGGGCTGCAATCCTAGTCTCCGATAAAACAGACTTTGAACCAACCAAGATCAAAAGAGACAAAGAAGGCCATTACATAATGGTAAAGGGATCAATTCAACAAGAAGAGCTAACTATCCTAAATATATATGCACCCAATACAGGAACACCCAGATTCATAAAGCAAGTTTTAGAGACCTACAAAGGACTTAGACTTCCACACAATAATAATGGGAGAATTTAACACCCCACTGTCAATATTAGACAGATCAACAAGACAGAAGGTTAACAAGGACATCCAGGACTTGAAATCAGCTCTGCAACAAGCAGGCCTAATAGACATCTACGGAACTCTCCACCCCAAGTCAACAGAATATACATTCTTCTCAGCACCACATTGCACTTATTCTAAAATTGACCACATAATTGGAAGTAAAGCACTCCTCAGCAAATGTAAAAGAACAGAAATCACAACAAACTGTCTCTCAGACCACAGTGCAATCAAATTAGAACTCAGAATTAAGAAACTCACTCAAAACTGTACAACTACATGGAAACTGAAGAACTTGCTCCTGAATGACTGCTGGGTAAATAATTAAATGAAGGCAGAAATAAAGATGTTTTTTGAAACCGGTGAGAACAAAGACACAATGTACCAGAATCTCTGGGACACATTTAAAGTAGTGTGTAGAGGGAAATTTATAGCACTAAATGCCCACAAGAGAAAGCAAGAAAGATCTAAAATAGACACCATAACATCACAATTAAAAGAACTAGAGAAGCAAGAGCAAACAAATTCAAAAGCTAGCAGAAGGCAAGAAATAACTAAGATCAGAACAGAACTGAAAGAGATAGAGACACAAAAAACCCTTCAAAAAATCAATGAGTCCAGGAGCTGGTTTTTTGAAAGGAGCAACAAAATTGATAGACCACTAGTAAGACTAATAAAGAAGAAAAGAGAAGAATCAAATAGACGCAATAAAAAATGATAAAGGGGATATCACCACCGATCCCACGGAAATACAAACTACCGTCAGAGAATACTATAAACACCTCTATGCAAATAAACTAGAAAATCTAGAAGAAATGGATAAATTCCTGGACACATCCACCCTCCCAAGACTAAACAAGGAAGAAGTTTAATCACTGAATATACCAATAGCAGGCTCTGAAATTGAGGCAATAGTTAATAGCCTACCAACCAAAAAATGTCCAGAACCAGACCGATTCACAGCCGAATTCTACCAGAGGTACAAAGAGGAGCTAGTAGCATTCCTTCTGAAACGATTCCAATGAATAGAAAAAGAGGGAATCCTCCCTAACTCATTTGATGAGGCCAACATCAACCTGATATCAAAGCTTGGCAGAGACACAACCAAAAAAAATAATTTTAGACCAATATCCCTGAGGAACATCAGTGCGAAAATCCTCAATAAAATACTGGCAAACCGAATCCAGCAGTACATCAAAAAGCTTATCCACCACGATCAAGTTGTCTTCATCCCTGGGATGCAAGGCTGGTTCAACATACACAAATCTATAAACATAATTCATGACATAAACAGAACCAAAGACAAAAACCACATGATTATCTCAATAGGTGCAGAAAAGGCCTTTGAAAAAATGCAACAGTCCTTCAGGCTAAAAACTCTCAATAAACTAGGTATTGATGGAACATATCTCAAAATAACAACAGCTATTTATGACAAACCCACAGCCGGTATCATACTGAATGGGCAAAAACTGTAAGCATTCCCTTTGAAAACTGGCACAAGACAAGGATGCTCTCTCTCACCACTCCTATTCAACATAGTGTTGGAAGTTCTGGCCAGGGCAATCAGGCAGGAGAAAGAAATAAAGGGTATTCAATCAGGAAAAGAGAAAGTGAAATTGTCCCTTTTGCAGATGACATGACTGGATGTTTAGAAAACCCCATCATCTCAGACCAAAATGTCCTTAAGCTGATAAGCAACTTCAGCAATGTCTCAGGATACAACATCAATGTGCAAAAATCACAAGCATTCCTGTACACCATTAACAGACAAACAGAGAGCCAAATGATGAGTGAACTCCCATTCACAACTGCTACAAAGAGAATAAAATACCTAGGAATCCAACTTACAAGGGATATGAAGGACCTCTTCAAGGAGAACTACAAACCACTGCTCAACTAAATAAAAGAGGACACCATAAAATGGAAGAATATTCCATGCTCATGGATAGAAAGAAACAATATCGTGAAACTGGCCATACTGCCCAAAGTAATTTATAGATTCAATACCATCCCCATCAAGCTATCAGTGACTTTCTTCACAGAATTGGAAAAAACTACTTCAAAGTTCATGTGGATGTGGAGAAATAGGAACACTTTGACACTGTTGGTGGGACTGTAAACTAGTTCAACCATTGTGGAAGACAGTGTGGCGATTCCTCAAGGATCTAGAACTAGAAATGCCATTTGACCCAGCCATCCCATTACTGGGTATATACCCAAAGGATTATAAATCATGCTGCTATAAAGACACATGCACACGTATGTTTATTGCAGCACTATTCACAATAGCAAAGACTTGGAACCAACCCAAATGTCCATCAATGATAGACTGGATTAAGAAAATGTGGCACATATACACCATGGAAAACTATGCAGCCATAAAAAATGATGAGTTCATGTCCTTTGTAGGAACATGGATGAAGCTGGAAACCATCATTCTCAGCAAACTATCGCAAGGACAGAAAACCCAAACACCGCATGTTCTCGCTCATAGGTAGGAACTGAACAATGAGAACACTTGGACACGGGGGGAGCATCACACACCAGGGCCTGTCATGGGGTGGGGGGAGGGGAGAGGGATAGCTATTGGGAGATATACCTAACGTAAATGATGAGTTAATGGGTGCAGCACACCAACATGGCACATGTATACATATGTAACAAACCTGCACATTGTGCACATGTACCCTAGAACTTAAAGTATAATAAAAAATAAAATAAAATTCATATGGAACCAAAAAAGAGCCAGTATAGGCAAGACAATCCTAAACAAAAAGAACAAAGCTGGAGTCATCACAGTACCTGACTTCAAACTATACTACAAAACTACAGTAACCAAAACAGCATGGTACTGGTACCAAAACAGAGATATAGACCAATGGAACAGATCAGAGGCCTCAGAAATAACAGCACACATCTACAACCATCTGATTTTTGACAAACCTGACAAAAACAAAAAATGGGGAAAGTATTCTCTATTAATAAATGGTCCTGGGAAAACTGGCTAGCCATATGTAGAAAGCTGAAACTGGATCCCTTCCTTACACCTTATACAAAAATTAATTCAAGATGGATTAAAGACTTAAATGTTAGACCTAAAACCATAAAAACCCTAGAAGAAAACCCAGGCCATATCATTCAGGACATAGGCATGGGCAAGAACTTCGTGACTAGAACACTAAAAGCAATGGCAACAAAAGCCAAAATACACATGTGGTATCTAATTAAACTTAAGAGCTTTGGCATGGCAAAAGAAACTACCATCACAGTGAACAGGCAACCTACAGAATGGGAGGAAATTTTTGCAATCTACCCATCTGATAAAGGGGTAATATCCAGAATCTACAAAGACCTCAAACAAATTTACAAGAAAAAAAACAACCCCATCAAAAAGTGGACAAAGCATATGAACAGACACTACTCAAAAGAAGACACCTATGCAGCCAAAAGACACATGAAAAAATGCTCATCATCACTGGTCATCAGAGAAATGCAAATCAAAACCACAATGAGATACCATCTCATGCCAGTAAGAATGGCAGTCATTAAAAAGTCAGGAAACAACAGATGCTGGAGAAGATGTGGAGAAATAGGAATGCTTTTACACTGTTGGTGGGACTGTAAATTAGTTCAACCACTGTGGAAGACAGCGTGGTGATTCCTCAAGGATCTAGAACTAGAATTACCATTTAACCCAGAAATCCCATTACTGGGTATATACCCAAAGGATTATAAATCATGCTACTATAAAGATACATGCACACTTATGTTTATTGTGACACTATTCAAATAGCAAAGACTTGGAACCAACTCAAATGTCCATCAATGATAGACTAGATTAAGAAAATGTGGCACATATACACCAAGGCATACTATGCAGCCATAAAAAAGGATGAGTTCTTGTCCTTTGCAGGGACATGGATGAGGCTGGAAACCATCATTCTCAGCAAAGTACCACAAAGTCAGAAAACCAAACACCACATGTTCTCACTCTTAGGTGGGAATTGAACAATAACACTTGGACACAGGGCAGGGAACATCTCACACTGGGGCCCGTTGCCGGGTGGGGGACTGGGGGAGGGATAGCATTAGGAGAAATACCTAATGTAAATGATGAGTTGATGGGTGCAGCAAACCAACATGGCACATGTATACCTATGTATCAAATCTGTACGTTGTGCACAAGTACCCTAGAACTTAAAGTATAATTAATATATATTAATTATATATATAAAATATATAATTATATATATAACCTGTATATATGTATATATATATTAGTGTTCTAGTCATGAAGTCCTTGCCCATGCCTATGTCCTGAATGATATGGCCTAGGTTTTCTTCTAGGGTTTTTTGGTTTTAGGTCTAAAGTTTAATTCTTTAATCCATCTTGAATTAATTTTTGTATAAGGAGTAAGGAAGGGATCCAGTTTCAGCTTTCTACATATGGCTAGCGAGTTTTCCCAGGACCACTTATTAATAGGGAATACTTTCCCCATTTCTTGTTTTTCATATTATTGTGTGAGTTTTGGCAGATTGTGCCTTCCAAGAATTGGTCCATTTTATCTATGTTATCAAATTTGTGGGCAGAGTTCATACTATTCCATTATTATCCTTTGAATGCCCATGGGATCTGTAGCAATATCCCCTTTTTGATTTCTGATATGGGTAATTTATGTCTTCTCTCTCTATTATCCTGGCTAGAGACTTATCAGTTGTATTGGTCTTTTCAAAGAGCTGGCTTTTGTTTTAATACATTTTCTGTATTAGTTTCCTGTTTTCAGTTTCATGGATTTCTGCTCTAATTTTTATTATTTCTTTACATCTGCTCACTTTGGATTTAATTTACTCTTCTATTTCTAGTTTTCTAAGGTAAACACTTAGGGAATTGATTTTAGATCTTTTATTTTTTCTGGTACCAAAATTAATATAGCTACCCCAGCTTTCATTTGATTAGTATTAGCAAAGTAGTTCTTTCTGTATCCCTCTACTTTTATATTTAAAGTGGGTTTCTTGTAGACAACATGTAGTTGGGTCTTATTTTTTAATCTACTATATCTGTCTTTTAATTAGTAAGTTTAGCCCATTGACATTTGAAGTGATTATTGATTTAGTTGGGTTAATGTGTACCAAATTTGTTAATGATTTTTATTTATTGCCGTTCTTCCTATTTTGTATCTCATTCGTTTCCTATCTTTTGTGGTATTAATTGAGCATTTTCTATGATTTGATTTTCTCCCCTTTCTTAATATATCAATTATACTTCTTTTTGAAACTTTTTTAGTGGTTGCCCTAGAATTTCTGATACACATTTACAGTGATTCCATGTCTATTTTCATATAACAGTATATCACTTCATGGGTAGGACAAGTACCTTAAAATATCAAAATATTCCTAATTCTTCTCTCCCATCTCTTGTATCATTGCTGTAATTCATTTCACTTATTCATAAGCTATAATCATTGAATATATTTTTACTATTGTTATTTTGAGCAAACTGTTACCTGTTAGATCATTGGAAAATATGAAAAATAAAAGTTTTTGTTTTACCTTCACTTTTTCTTTCTCTAGCATTTTTCCTTTTTTAAGGTAAATTCAAGTTTCTGAACTATATCATTTTTCTTCTTTCTGAAGAATTTGTTTTAACATTTTTTGCAAGGCAGGTCTACTAGTAATAAGTTCCCTTAATTTTTGTCTGAGAAAGTCTTTAGTTCTCTTTTGTTGTTGAAGGATAATTTTGCAGCATATGTAATTCTATATTGGTGATTTTTATTTTCTCTCACCACTTAAAATATTTCACTCCCCTCTCTTCTTGCTTACATGGTTTCTGAGGATAAGTTGTTTGTTATTCTTTTCTTTGCCTCTCTATAGATAAGGTGTTTTTCCTCTGGCTTCTTTCAAGGTTTTTTTTTTTTTTTAATTTATTTTCTGCAGTTTGAATATCATATGCCTGAGTGTATGTTTTTTAATGAATTTATCCTGCTTGATGTTCTCTGAGCTTCCTGGATCTGTGTTTTCATGTCTGATATTAATTTGAAAAAATTCTCAGTCATTATTGCTTAAAATATTTCTTCCGTTTCTTTCTTTTATATCCTTCTAGTATTCCTATTACTCAACTACCTTTTGTGGTGGTTTCACTGTTCTTGGATATTCTATTTTCTATTTTCCAGTCTTTTTCCCTCTGCTTTTCAGTTTTGGAATTTCCAATGAGACATCCTCAAGCTCAGAGGATCTTTCCTTAACCATGTCCAGTCTACTAATGAGCTCATGAAAGGCATTCTTCATTTCTATTACAGTGTTTTTGATATCTAGCATTTATTTTTTATTTTTTTCTTAGAATTCCATCTCTCTGCATACATTAATCATCTATCCTTGCATGTTGTCTATTTTTTTCCACTAGCACTCTTAGCATATTAATCACAATTTTAAAAAATTTTTAGTTCAGAGTATCTGCCATATCTGAATTTGGATCTGATGTTTCCTCTGTCTCTTCAGACTTTACTTTTTAATATATCTTGTAATTTTTTTGTTGAAAATTGGACATGATGCACTGGAGAAAAGAAACTGTTGAATAGGCCTTTAATGATATGGTAATAAGGTGTAGGCATCAGGGAAGTATTATTCTGTAGTTCTATAATTAAGTTGCACACATTTAGTG
This sequence comes from Homo sapiens, assembly GCF_000001405.40. Classification (NCBI taxonomy): domain Eukaryota; kingdom Metazoa; phylum Chordata; class Mammalia; order Primates; family Hominidae; genus Homo; species Homo sapiens. The sequence goes on along the minus strand of NC_000003.12, from coordinate 3,932,776 downwards.
AGCCTGTTTCCTTGCACTGTAATCTTCACAAGTGCTACTCGGTCCCTTTTCCTCCCCTTACGTAGGGCAGATAGGATGCCTAGAGGGAGTTGGAGTTGGATATCCCTTCCCCATATAAATGTTTTGTAGTTTTGGGTTTGGCATTTTTGCTTATCTTTTAATAGATTTATTTCTAAATACTTGATTTTTTGAGCCACTATGTAAGTGGTCTTTTTAAAACAATTCTTTCTCTAATATTATTTTTTCTCATATATGAAAGTGCAATAGATTTTTTACTACTAATCTTGTTTCCAGTGAACTTTCTGAATTCACATATTAGTATTAAAAATGTACAGATACATTTGGACTTTCTACATACATGATCATGTCATCTGCATGTAACAGTTTTATTTCTTCCTTTTCAGTGACTACACCTTCTTTTCCTTGCCTTGTTGCACTAGCTAACATGTACAGTTTAATGGTGGTAGAAATTGTAATAGTAGAGATATTTATCTCATTGCTGATTTTAGAGAAAAAGCTTTTAATATTTCACGAGCATAATGTTTATTGTAGTCCCTTCTATTTTTGTAGATAAGATTTGTCAGATTAAGGATGTTCCCTTTTATTCTTAGTATTTGAGTTTTTTCTTACATAGATACTACATTTTACGAAATGCTTTTACTGCATTTATTGAGATGATTATACTTTTTTTCCATTTTGTTAATTGGTGAATTTTATGGATTTTTTTTTAAGAGACAGGCTCTCACTCTGTTGCCCAGGCTGGAGTGCAGTGTCATGACCATAACTCACTGCGGTCTCAAACTCCTGGACTCAAGCTATCCTCCTGCCTCAATTTTCTGAATAGCTGGGACTACAGGCATGTGCCACCACAAATGGTTGATTTTTAAAAATTTTTTTTTGTAGAAATGAGGTCTTGCTATGTTGCTGAGGCTGATCTCAAACTCCTGACCTTAAGTGATCGTCCCACATTGGCCTCCCAAAGTTCTGAGATTATACACATGAACCATCATGGCTCACCCTGGATTAATATCTTGATAGCTAAACCAATCTTGCATTTCTAGAAGAAACTCAACTGAGTCATGATGGATTAGCCTTTTTGTGAATTGCTGGATTCAATTTCTTAATATTTTCCTAAGATATATACATCTATGTTCTTGACAGAGATTGACTAGTAATTTCCCTTTCTTGTAATTTTTTTGGTCAGATTTTGGGACAATGTTATGTTGTTCTGATAAAGTGAGTTTGTATTTTTTCTCTCTTTTTCTAAAATCTACAAACATTTGTGTAAAGTTAGTATAGTTTCTTCATTAAATGTTTATAAAATTTCAACAGAAAGGCCAACATGAGCCTGTATATTTTGTTGTGGGAAGCTTTATAAAGTATAGATTCAATTATTGGGCAAATAGGGAATTATCTAGACTTTTCGTTTCTTTTTGTGTTGGTTTTTGTGGGTTTCATCTTTCTAGAAATTAGTCTATTTCATTTAAACTTCCAAATTTATTGTCATAGAGTTGCTCCTAATATGTTCCTGTTATCTTTTTAACATTTATAATGTCTTTAGTGACGTTCCCTTTTTAATTATTGATGTTTAAAATTCATGCTATCACTTTTTTCTTAATCAGCTTTGTTAGGTGCTTATAAAAGTTATTCATTGTTATAAAGAACCATTATTTGGTGCTATTGATTTTTCTATTGAATGTTTTGTTTTATTCCATTAATATTTGCTCTTACCTTTATTGTTGCCTTCCTCATATGTTCTTTGGGTTTTATTGGCCGTTTTTCTAATTTCTTGAGATAAATCTTAAATCATTAATGTTCAGTCATCTTTTCAAATAAATGGATTGTAAGGCTAATCATTTTCTTCTGAACACGCCTTTATCTCCATCCTCCATATTTTTTCACTATCTAAAATGTTTTAAATTTGCTTTAATATTTGAAGAATAATTTGCTCTGAATGAAATTCTATGTTGTAAGTTTCTTTATTGTAGCATGTCAGATACGTCATCCCACTTTTTCTTCGATCCTATTACTTATTTTGAGAAGTAACCTGTTAATGTTATTGTTGTTTCTTTGAAAATAATGTCATCTTTCTTTAGCAGGGCTTAAGATTTTTCCCTTGCTTTTTTAAAATTAGTTTTGCCAAGATGTGCCTAGATGAGTTTTTTCATGTATTGATTGTTCTGGGAATCTGTAGCACTTCTTGAATATATGGGTTAATGTGTTCTATCATTTGTGAAAAATTCTTTGTTCTCTTTTCCCTTCCCTTCTAGGAGGCAATTACACTTATGTTGGTCCTTTTCACCATGTCTCCTGTCGTAGATTAAAGATGGCCACAGATTATTTGCTGCTCTTCCAATTAGGAAATGGAATCTATTCCCCTGAAACACACTCTATCTCCTTAGAATCTGGCCTGGCCCTGTGACTTGATTTGATTATGAGTACCTCCTCATTATAGCCAGTGGTACACAAAGTGTGGTCACTGGAGCAGCAGTTTGAATATCACCTGAAAAGCACATATTTTGAGGAGCTATCCCAGACCTACCAAATAAGAAACTCTGGGAGTAGGGCACAGTGAGCATTTTTTGACAAGTCTTTGAGGTGATGTTGATGCATGCTAAAGTTTTAGAATAGCTGTCCAAGCCAATGGCAGTTGGTCCAAGGGGGTGGTTAGATAAACTAAGCAGGATATTTGAGTCTTTTGCTATGATTATATAAACCCTAGGAGGAAGAAGCTCTCATTTTCTGATGGCATTGCTAAGCTAGTATAATATAACCTGGAGCTATTGGCAGCCACTTTCTGTCTCTTTGCAGAAAAAGTGCCCCTAGAGTAGGACAGAATAAGACTGACACATAGACAGGAGAAAGCCCAGACAACTTTGTGTGAACCCTTAATCCCATTGTGCCTAAAGTCCCTGATTAGCCGTTGACTTCTCAGTTATGTGAACATTTTTTCTTTGCCCAAGCTAGTTCTATATGGTTTGTGCACTTAAAACTAAAGAATCATGACTAATACACAAGTAAGCCCCCATCCCCCTACAAATGATATCTCATAGAGCACCTCTAACATATAAGACAGATAAAAGTAGGTCTGCTCTGAATGAGGAAGAAATAGAAGTCCTAAAATCTTACCATGTGGCTCTTCCGGGGTGTGATAGTTAATTTTATATGACAACATTACTAGGTTAAAAGATACCCAGATAGCTGATAAAATATCATTTCTGGGTGTGTCTATGAGGATGATTGATCCAGGCAATCAAAGGGAAATTGGATAACCACTCCATAATGGAGGTAAAGAAGCATATGTCTAGAATACAGGATATCCCATGGGGCATATCTTAGTATTACCATACCCTGTAATTAAGGTCAATGGAAAACTACAATTCAATCCAGGCAGGACTACAAATGGCCTAGACCCTTCAGGAATGATGGTTTGGATCACCTTGCTAGGTAAAGAGCCAAGACCGAATGAGATGTTTGCTGAAGGCAAAGGAAACACAGAATGGGTAGTATAAGAAGGTAGTTATAAATACCAGCTACAACCACATGACCAGTTAGAAAAACAAGGACTATAATCATCATGAATATTTCCTCCCTAATTTTTATAAGTAAATTTGTGTGTATATATACATATATGAAGGAAATACCTTTGTTTTCTTCCCTTTACTGACTTATGTAAGTATGTATAAGTATTTTCCTCATAGTATTTAAGTTATGGGATATCAGGAGAAGAGTAAATATCACTCATGGACTTTTTATCCTCAGGGAAAGGATTTGTTCATTTTTGTTTGTTTGCAGGATAGTTGCATCCTGCTAGGTGGAATTAGGATCTTGTTATTATCTTTAATTGGAGAGTAAGTATGGTGTAAGGAGATACATATGAGTACCAGTTTGACAAGGGAGGGACTTGTGATTGTTAATTTTATGTGTCAAGTTGACTGGGCCATATGATGCCTAGATATCTGAATAAGCATTATTTCTGGATGTGTGTGTTACCAGAACATATTACTATTTGAATAGGTAGATTGAGTATAGATGATCCCCCTCATTAATGTGGGTAGGCGTTATCCAATCAAGGGCCAGGATAGAACAAAAAGGTAAAGGAAAGGCAAGTTCACTGTCTCTTCTGGAGCTGGGATATCCATATTTCTCCTACCCTTGGGCTTTAGAGCTCCAGGTTCTTGGGCCTTCAGACACCAACACCAGCAGCCCCTACCCCTGCCCCAGGTTCTCACACTGAATTATATCACCAGTTTCCCTGGTTCTCCAGGTTGCAGACAGCTTATCATGGGTCTTCTCAGCCTCCATAATTGCATGAGCCAATTCTCGTAGTAATCCCCTCATATATATATAAATATCCTATTGGTTTTATTTCTCTTGAGAACCCTAATACACTAGGTCCTTTCTCAGGCCTCTCTGGAGCCTTTTTGCAGAACAACCCCAAAGTTGTAGGCAACGTACTTTAAAAACCACTTGTAGTAGATTCTTTGTGGCCTATGACACAACCTCTTGTTCCACCTGATTTCAGCTGCAGCTGTGATGGAGAGTTGCTTAAAGTACACTAACTCAAGTGCCAGGCTGTGTCTCTGTGCTTTTCTGTCCTTAGGCTTTTTCTAAAGTCACTAGGCTTGCTTAGTCATAGCCTGAAAACTTGGGGAAGTTAAGGCCTGTGGGAACAACCCTCTACTGGAATGAGTGGTTAAGTGTTGTGGGCTTCCATCCTGTGAAGGCACATTGCTGATGTATGTGGTGTATGATTCCAGTGGGTCCATAGTGAGATTTGGCCCTAGTTTCCCATAGTGATAACCAAATCAATGTTGCATCTATTTTTCTCTTCTTTCTGGCCTCATCTTCCTGCTTTATTGCTCCCATTTCTTATGATTACTTCTAAAATAAACCACCTGCACCCAACCCCTTTTCTCAGGCTCTGCTTTTGGGGAAATCCAAACTAAAATATCAGTATTAGGAAGTCTTATAGTTCTGAGTCTCAGCTCTGCAAGTTAGGTTATGATATAGGCCAAATTGCTTCCTTTCTCTCGGCCTTAGAGATGTCATTTGTAAAATGAGGAGGTTGAATTAGCTGCTTACTTGGTTCCTTCTAGCTCTGACTTTCATGTAACACTGTATATTGTTTCAGAAACTGAACACTTACAACATAAAACTAAAATGATGAGACTGGTTGATCTGAATAGTCAGGCCCTTGAAACTTCCCTGTTTTCTAGCCATCTTTTTCCATAAGTGTCCAGATGATCTGCCTTATCCTCCACCTTCACTGCTGGTTGTAGATACAGACACAGAAAAACACCAAAAATACCCAGCCCAAGCAAACTATACACAGCTATTTTGACAGGGAAGAAGCTCTCAAAAACCACTGACATTTAGAGCCTCATGTTTATGCAGGACAGAAAGATTGAGAGTGAAAACAAGTATAGGCTGAATATGATCAACTATCTGGATGACTAAATGCATCATAATAGCCTTAGTACTTTAGAGTTGGAGCCAAAAATACTTACTGCAAAATGCTTCCATTTCATATTGATTTTAAAAAATGAAACGTTACACCTGGGGATCTAGCTATAGATTTCAATCTACTTTTCCTTGTAATTTGAGACAAATTGAAATCTATGGTAATGAACATAATCAGGAAGGGAAAGTCTATTATTTTCTTCTTTTAGTAACTAGAAATGATCAATTTGAAATTTTATTGTTTTTTATTTCTATTTTTAACACAGTGGTAGCTTTCCGTGGGGCCTTAACACAATGATTGCATTGATTCCTGTGGGGAAGAAGAACAGAGAGACGCAATGCTTGCTGTTTTAAAAGGAAAAAGGTCTGGAAGGGAGGATATTCTGCATACTACTGTCTGGAGAGAGGTGCTCACCATGCTCACCAGTGGCTTCTTCAGCAGGACTGGTCTTAAGAAGAGAGTAGGCAGCCACCAACAAATATGGTTTAAGGGGTTCATGCAGGGCTCCTGTTTTTCAATATGTTTTCTCTTTACTCCTTGATGTGTAAAATTTCTTTAAGGTAAGAACATTCCTCTGAAATTAAAAAAAAATACCTTTGTGAAGGTATAATGAATAGAACTGTGAGTTGGGAGTCACGAAACAGAATTCTTGCTTCTGTTCTGTATGTACATCATTAGCTCTGTGAACTCAGGTAAGTCCCTTAACCTTTCTGTGGCTAGGTCTCCACATCTGTAAAATGACTGGGTTCAGAAATGGTTTCTATCATCCTTTGCAGCTCAAAAATCTGGATTATTGATGGAAATTCATGCTAATTCATAAATGACAGGTGTCATATTATTTCTCAGAGTTCATTGGATGGGAGGAAGAGAAGTAGACAAAAAGGAAGGTAAGTATCAAGGCTGGGAGAATCTGAAAGTGGCCTGGGGACACAAAAAGGATGAACTATGCTTCTTTACAATTTTACCTCTCATGTGTATTACCACTCCATCTGCAGCACTGCATAGAATGACATTAAATATAGGAGGAGGCTTGCAGTAGTCTAATACCAATAGTTTAATACTTTCATTGAAAGACAAACCTTGATTCTGATCCTGGTTCTGCCATTTATCAGTGACTACAGGAAATTACTTAATAGTTTTGAGCCTCAATTTACACATCTATAGAATGGGGAAGGAAGGAAGGGTTTGTAAGGATTTATAAGCTGGTTTTTGCCCTCTGGATGACATTGTGTCTCTCTAGTACAGAAGATCATGAGCTCTGCTCTCTGCAGGATATCAACTTGAGAGACAGAGGGAATCATAGACATGCTAATACTCTGGCAATTTCACCAACAGTTAAGCTACATTAGTACTGCTCAATACTGCATCATTTCAAAGATAGCATCCAGTGCTAATATCTTTGGAATCAGCAACATTTTCCAAAAGTAGTGATGCATCATAGATCTTATCAATATCACTAAAAATGGACTCATATCTAGGCACATGGAAAGTTAAAGCTTAATTATGGATCATTGCTGTGCAGTAAATATAGGCTGTGTTCAAGTAGCAAATAGTCTCAAATAACTGAAACCATTATTTTGAAGAGAATAGTCTGAACTGAAATCTACATTTATTATTAATGTTCCTGATGTTGTCAGAAAAGCTTAATATTTTCTTTTATTCTAATTGCTTTTGTTATGTGTAAAGCTTCAACCATAGAGAAGAAAACATCTCAGAATATATCTTCAGTTGAGTATGAAAATTCATCATTCCATAATGTGTTTTTTATACCTTGGAGAGGACTTTATGGTTAAAAACTCCTTTTATAATTCTTGATATTTTAATTTAAAAGCTCTTTATAGTCTTTAATACTTCTTTAGAAATCATGAATACCAATTCTTCTAGTGATATGTTACCTTAACTGACCACCCCAAACCAAGAGAAGTTGAATTTCATCTTAACTCTGAGGATGACAGATTTTGAAAACCTTAAAACTTCTTGAGCAGTTTGGATCTAATATGTGGACCCCTTAAATGGAAAATGCTGTGACTTTTCAGCTCCAGCTATTATAGAATCATCAGAATTTATTCCTACTTTTATTTCTGCACAGTAGGAATAGTATTCAAATCTCCTGCAGCTCATTGCTGCAAGATGAGGGATTGAAAGTCAGATTACATATGCCTACTATAAAAAGTCTGTGTGGGAAAATATGCAAGTTTCCAGTAATTCTCATTACCCAGTTTATCCATTCATAAATGCCTTCCAGTGAAACAATGCAATATGTACTTTGTGAGTATTACATGCTTCCTTATTAGAATTGAAAGGAGAACCATAAAATATAACTGGCCACCTCCTTCTTGGTAGTTATAGTGCATCTACTGGTGATACTACCAAGAAACATACATTAAGCTCCCATCCAATAGATTTTTTCTTTATGAGAAGAACAGTACATACATCTTCCCTTTTTTTTATAACCGTTAATGCCATGTACCTATGTGAAGAGGGGAAATCTAGACTCATTCAGGAGCTCGCTGATGAGCATAACAAGAACCCAACTGCAGCATCCATACAACATCATTTTATTGAGAAAATTGTTATTTATCAGCAGAAGCAGCAGTGGGCTGTTTGTTTCATAAGTAAGCTCCCCAGCCTTATTTAATTAACTTGGAGGACCTTATTCTCAGAAACAACAGCACTATAATGAGTGTACCATCAGACACCGATTTATTTGCTGAAACAGAGGGAGTTTGAAATGTACAGTAAATAGGGAGTTCCTGTGAGCAGAGAAGACAAACACCGGAGAAAGCTTGCTAATGTAGGGCATGGTATTTGACCTCTTTTAATTGGTTAAAATTTCAAAATTGGCTAAAATTTCAAAAACAAGGCTGTGAGGAGGAAGAAACAGCATGGGTAGTGATGGAAGAAGTGACTGGATCTCTAGAAACAACTTGAACTCTTTCTGCTCTGCAGCTTATTGAATCCTTTGAAGATTTTTCTGTGTTGTGGCTAGGTTGCTGTGCTGATTATGAGACAGATCCTGGTTATGAGCATATCACAGGGTGACGGTCTTGGTACATGATACCATCTGTGTATCATGAAGTTGTTATCAGGTAAGCCTTACCTAGATAGACATCCCTGCTTTGACAAAATAAATTATTAAGAGATTAGTTTGTTTTATTTTGGCTGATGTGAAAGAATCAGAGTGACAGAAAGAATGAGAAAGAAAAGAATCAGACAGCAAGAATGAGAATCACTGTATATGTGATATTCACAAATCTTGGCCTCTTTTTTTCTGAAGGTAGCCAGATCTTTTGTGTTCTTCAAGTCAAGGGCATTTCTCAAACTTAAAGTAGAAGCTGCTTGAAAATAATTTTTCTAGTTGCCTTTTGTGATTGTTATTGAGGAAGGGGAGGCAGAAGAGGGAGAGAGATGAGAAATTCCCTAAAGTAGAAGTGGGGCAGAGAATGACATTATAGGTCCCAAGTGTATCGGAGACCAGCACCATAAAGCTTGGCAGCATGCCAAGTAGCAGGATCTGGAAAGAGAATGGTGTTGTGTCCAGACTGGGATCCCTAGGTAAGCTGGTCAAAGGTGACCCTTTTTTCTAGGCTCACTTCTCTGGGGTCAGTCCCCTGGCTTGGCCTGGTTTTTATACTGGAGTCTAAAGACATCTCCAGAGCATGATGAGGGAGGGGTGGAAATGTCCCTAAGGGTTGAAATTCCACCTCCTACCAACTTGGCAGAACAGGGGCTTGTATTAGATTTCCAGGGCTGCCAAAACAAAGTACCACAAACTGGGTGGTTTAAACAACAGAAATTTGTTCTTCCATAGTTCTGGAGGCCAGAAGATAAAGGTATCAGTAGGGTTGGTTACTTCTGAAGGCTGTGGGGAAGAACTTGTTCCATGCGTCTTCCTTAGTTTTTGGTGGTTTGTTGTTAACCTTTGATAATTTTTGGCTTGTAGCCCCATCACCCTGATTTCAGTCCTTGGCTTAATCAACTACGTACATAGTGATGCCATTTGCTGAGATGGGGAAGATTGTGGGAGGGACAGATCTACACAGGAAAAATCAACAATCATATTTTGGCCAAGTTAAGACTGAAATGCCTATAGACACATAGATGAGGATGTCAAGCAGTTAGCTAAACAGATAACTTTGGGGCTAAATTAAGAGGTCAGGGCTAGAGAGTCCTTGTTATACATATTATATTTAAAACACAGGTCTAGATGAGGATTAATGTAGAGTTTGAAGAATGTAGGGACAGAAAAGAAGACTAAAGGAAAGCTTGGTGTATTCACACTTCAATGATTGAAACAGGAGAGAGAACTAGCAAAAGTGACTAAGAAGTAATGGCCAGTGATATGGAAGGCAAATCGTGAGAAATCAAGAGAAGGGAATATTTTAAGAAGGAGGGAGTGGACAACAATGATAAATACTTCTGAGAGGTCAAAAGAGATGAAGAGAGAGATGATCATTTGAGTTGGAAATATGGAAGACACCCTGTTAAGAGTGGTTCATTGGAAAGGGAAGGAGTAGTTGGCGGGAAAGAAGCCTGGTTTTAGAGGATTGAGGGAGAATAGAAGGAGAAGTAGAGATAGCCGCTTAGAGAGCAGAGAAACATGGATGTGTAGAGCTAGATGGGATTATACTGCAGTGACAAAAACCAACTAAAAGCTTCAAACAAAATTGGTTTGTTTCTTGATCACATTCCATGTCAGTAGCTAGAGGTCAGCTATGCCCTGTACCATGTGTCTTATGACTGGACACAAGCTGACAGAGCTCCCCCAATCTGGGACACATCCTTTTGATAGAAGAGAGAAGAAGTGAGAGACAGAACCATGCCTTGCAATGTCTCAAATCTTCAGCTTGAATTTGCCATACTACACATTTACACACATTCCATTGACCAAATCAAGTTACATGGCAAGCCCAATGTCAATGGGCAGAAAAGTACACTCCTTCTGTAAGACACTTCACTGCCTATGGTAATGTGCACAAATGAAGAAATAGTGAGCACTTGAAAACAATAATGCAATCTATCCCCCCGCCCCTGCAACCACCACATATACACACCTTTTTTTTTGTTGGGTGATATAGACCATGTTTACATGCTGTTGGAAATCATGCAGTAGATCCATTAATTGTAGAAAAAAGCCTCTGAGGAGGTGAGGTTGCTTTCTTAGGGATAAGAATACTATATTATTAACAGGAGGAAAGGTATAGAGAGAGTACGGATACTGAAAGGTTGGTATGCTTGCCATATTTTTTATATGATGACTTTTTGATTCTAAATTTTGGTTCTGTTTTTGCTTCCCAATAACGTCTAAGATCAAGGTACCTGGGGAGTATATTTTCTGAAATTTGAATATTTAGACATCTTTTGTTGCCTGTTGCCTTCAACAAAACAATTTGATAGGTCTGGAATTATTTTTTTAATTTCCAAATGTCTAGCCATATTGCTACATTGTTGTATGATAATATTTCTGTTACAGAGGTGTTTAATACTAAGATCTCATTATCTCTAGGACATGCCGCCTGAGGGTTATAGCAGCTCAAAGCCTGCTTATTGAATGAGTGCATGCATGAACTCCATACATTACATTTTTTCAGACAACTCTTTAATGGCTCATTCTTTAATATTTTTAATTAGATCATCTTTTTTAGCTCTGGGAGAGTAAAGTGCAATTCCCTTTGATGAATACTAAGTATGAAAGGAAAAAATAAGTGTTATAAGCATGTATTTTGAGAATGAAGTCCTGTAAAATGTAGATAGATCAGGCACAATTAAAAACTCTAACATGTAGTTTGTAGTTTCTTTTCTTGCCTGAGACGGTATGAAGAAAATCATGTATCTATTAAGGTGGTAAAGCAGCAAGGCTTTCAGGGTGAAAACTGGATCTTCCTTACAGTCTATATATTAAGATCATCAATCTTAGTAATAACTTCTATGGGATGAACAAATATAAGGGATTTCACCTACGTAGAGCTTAGAAATGAACTCATTTCCTTCTCATAAAATATCCTTTTCTTCATAGCAATGGTAAAAGGTGGTAACTCAAGTAATTATCATTGAAGAATGAGAACACCTACTTAAAGTGTCCTTGCATGGATGGCTTCCTTGCTCTCTTCACTGAGCAAAGCCATTGGGATTGGAGAGATGGGTATGAATGCTCAAGTGTGTGGCACATCAATATGCAGTGGCATTTTTCAGTAAGTTTTGAGCTATTGAGTTGCCACTTGTCTCCTCTGAGAACCATGATTCTTAATTATAAGAAAGACATTTTGACAAAGATTGACAGCGGCAGAGACTTAAATGTAAAGTTAACTGTGAGAATATCATCTGCCCCCCGTTTTTATGTGTTCTGGAGAGTATTTGGGAACAAAGTTCCAATTTCATAGCTATTGCTCTTTAGTATATTAATTGGCAGTGATGGGAGAGGGGAAGTTCATGGCATTTCTGCCCAATAATTTTTAAATTATTCCTAAAACAAAAAAATCACCTGATTCATTTTTGAAATTTAGGTGTTGTCTAACCAATAGGAAGCTCAGGGACCTCTGGGAGACAGCAAGCCTTCTCCTGTAGTTTAGCCGTAGATAGACCCAAGTTTGAAAAATGATTCTGTCACTTACTACTTGACTGAAATTGGGAATGATTTTTTTTTCTTTATGGAGGCTGGTTTTACTCATCTATAAATAGGAATACTAGTGTTTGTCTTATTAACTCGTCTATTTACTCTTTTAATAATCACTGACTAGTTACCATATTCTCATCCCTGGTTTGTGGATACTAAAAATGCAAATAATAATAGCTAACAATTGATGGGTATTAACCAAATATAAGCCACTCTGAATGCTTTTATTGTTCCCATCAGATCTGGGAGAAAAATGGATACCATTATGCTCATTTTACAGATAAGAAAGCTGCACTTAGAGTTTAAGTACCTTGTCCATGTTACATAAACTAGGAAGCATGGAGCCGAAATTCAAACCAAGACAGCCTTCAGTTGAGAGTTTATTTTCTTAACCACTGTGCTATACTGCAAAGATGCAATGATAGACTCTCTGCTTGCTAGTATGGACACAGACAAGAAAGTAAGCAATTATAATAAATGGATATGCAAAGTATCCAGGCATTATAGAGGAACAAGCATTTACTTCCTTGGAATCAGCTTGTTTTGAGATTCAAGATCATGATGAATCTACAAAAGTCTTATCTGATGTGTTGGATTTTGTGCTGATATCAAAGCCGTTGGCATCAGAAACATGCATACATACTATAATTTTGGAAATGTCAGTATTTAATGTCAGTCCCTCTCTATAAAAATTCATGATGTTTTGGTGATACAGTACCAGAAATCTTACCAAATTTCTGCTACTAGGAAATACTTAGCCTAGGCCACCATTTACATTAAGAACATGGTTAGACATTTTAAAGATTCTGATTTTGTTAATGACTGATGCTATTAAGAATACAATTCACAGAAAATATGCTAATAATATTTTCATTAATCAAGTGCATATTTTAATAAACACCAAAACGTAATTTTTATGAGCACATAATAGGAGGATGTGATGTGTGAACTGTACTACACGGGTGCTGATAAATCAGAATGAAACAAATGAAAATAATTAATTTTTAATGACTTGAAGTTTGGGTCAGAAAAAAAGTGAAATTAGAACGTCTTCAATTAGTAGCAGACTGCAAGCTTGAAGACCTGGATACAATCCACCCTTTGTATGTATGGTGTGCTATTAACTTGAAAGCAAAAATGGCCTCTGTAAAACATTGCCTTTTGTTAATTAGACAACTTTGAGCTTTGAACATGAATCATTAACTGCTGATATTGCCCTAAGGCCAAATATTTGTGATCTCCTGGGGCTGTGAGAGATAAAGAAGATAAAACAATGAGGAAAGGAAAGTGCTTATTTCTCAGTTTTAGATTATCCAATTATTTCAAGTAGAGAAATACCATTAAAAGAGTCACTTAAAATAGAGTCAGTGGGAAAATAGGAAGACAGCATCCCCATTTCAGGCATGGAATTTTATGACAATTACAAAAACCTAGCAATCTATCATTTTAATGGTGGCAGGAGAATAGTGGGTTGCAAGCTTGTCCATGTGAGGAAGATGTGACATGTACCAGTAACATCTCTATTACTACAAAGTAGGGGACCCAGCTTTCAAGCAAAGCCTATCAGCTATTATTAAGGACTTCTGTGATGTTCTTGGCCATATGAGACTATGTAGATTGAAAGGGAAATTTCATTATATCTTTAAACATTTAAATACTTGGCTTCATAGTTCACTGATCTTGAGCAGCCTGACTGTCATTTTGATTCAGGTTTCCTTTGTTCCTTGGTGGTTTATTGATGGTGCTTTTCTCATTTATTGTGTCACATTGAGAGGCGCTCCCTCCCTAAATGTAGAATGACTGTCATGTGCTGATTTTGCCAGTGATGTGACAGATTTCCTGGGATCATTTGTAGGATTACCTCTTTGAAGCTCTGGTGTCAGGATCCACTGCACATGTGCTGAGGAAAGTGTTCTTTATCTGCAAAACTACAAATTACCAGGATGAGCCTGCTTCACTCTGCTCTTACAGCTCTTTTGTGGCCTCTGTTCCTGGGAAACAAAAGGTGTAGAGGTGAGAGGTAAAGACCAAAGTGTTCTCCATTCTGTTCACATCAAGAGACTTCAGCACCCAGAGATGATAAGCGGCGGCCAAGGAAAAATGGAGTGAGGAGGTAGTGTCAAGGAGAAAATGGCTCTGAAACACTTCACAAAATGTAAAGTGCTATATTTAAGGGTTGTAGGTATTATTTTTATTTCTTGCTTCGACAGTTTAAATTTCCTGTGCTCCCTCTGAAATTATGCAAGGGACCAGGCTATATTTTTCTTCTAACACTTTTCTCTTCCCTGCCACTTTCGTTCCTCTTCAGTACTGTTCTTCCTATGCCCCTTACCCTCCTCTAACAATGAGGCCCAGTAAGTGGCGGATGGAAGGTCTGGGCAGATCCACTCCCTGTCTCTGTTCCATGACCCCTGCCCCTTCAAACTGTGAGGAAACTAATGGTGATCTTGTTGACTGACATGTTTACATCCTTCCTATGTTCAGAACCTTCCACTTGAGTCACAGCTAGTTTTTACTCCAGCATCCCGGCCCTCTAAGTGCCTCTCCCAATGTCCTCTCCCTCATGTCTAGTTTTTTCTGTGACCTATTCCTTGCCTCCATTGGCAAGTACTTTCTTTTTTTCTTTTTTGGTCTCTTTATGTGCTCAATTTTAATAAAAATCATGGCCCTTTTGTACTGCTTAGAGGCATTTTATCATGATCTTCAGACAATAAAAGAGAGAAACATTTCAAATGAGAGCAACAGGGACTGTGTGCCCAGATCATCTTTGTTGGATACATGCCGGTTTGCACAGCTAATGGTCTTCTTTGTGCCTGGGTGGTTATTAGATGTTTAATGACCATTGCTCTGTTAGAAATCTAGATGGTCTTAAATCTGGGTGAACAGTTTAAAATCTGGCTGCATTAGCGAATGCCTCATTGTAAGGAGACATATTTCTTCCTATTTCTAAGTAAGAACACAGCAAGATTTAGTTTTTGATTTTTGTGGGGGATGAAATTCGGCACGACAGTGGATCTGTTCTGTCAATAATTCTTATTGGAAGACTGCTAGGTAAGGACATCGTAAGCACGTGGGTATTTAGAATGAAGGGTGATACAAATAGAAATAAATCTTGTTTATAATTTTATTTATGGAGGCAACACATAATTTCTTGATCAGAGATTTTGGGATTCTGTTTCCTGGAACCTAGGAAAAGACTTGGTCCATAATGGACACTCAATAAGTGTCCTAGCCAACTACATAGTGAATGAATGAATGAATGCAAAACGCAAACACAGGAAGAGAAACACATGGCAAACAGAAGATAAGTATTCAGACACTGCTAATGAAACCATCCATCAAGGAAAGCCATCTGTTCAGTGGTAGTATCTCTGATAGAAAAGGTAAATATACATGAAAAACAAGTAGTTTTGTTTTTGTGACCTCTCTGTGCCTCAGTTTCTTCATCTATAAAAATGAACAGTCTGAATTAGATCAATATTTTTAAAACTTTAGCTTTGTGCATGACAATCACCTTGCTGAAGAGAAAGTTTGGGAATCCACTCCAGATAATCTGAGCTGATGGTTCTGGGGTAGAGGTTAGGAGCCTACATTTTTCAAAAGCCATGTTCAGTTACCTTCATGGATTGATGGCCAGTCTTTGAGTTGGCTGACCTTGGGTCAAGTTCACAGAGTTCTGGCTGGAGTGAGGCTATTCATGTGTACAGAAGATGGCCTTCCCTGCTCAAAGAACTGCTTTTCTCAAAACAGGCTGTGAGTGCGGCAAGCACTGACTGACCTACCACTTCAGTATTATCCAACTTGGCTCTCACATGCTCATGTGGTAGAGATGGCCTTGCTCAAGGCACCAAGATTCTTCTGATGGAGCTGAAGCCACAATGGGTTTGGCTGCTCCCTGTTCTGGTGAGGCACTTCTGCCTTCCAAATGCCATGCTTTATGCTAACAAAACTGACAAGACTCCATATCAGCCTTTGCTGATGTTATTGCTGAAAAACTGGTATCTGTTTTTACTTCACCTTGTACCTTCCTAAATTCTTTTCAGTTGAGTTGATGGACTGTGGCACTCCTGACTTGAGCTCAAGTACATATGCCTTGAGTAAAATGGCATTTATTTTCCTTATCTTTCATTTTTTATATGATTTTTACAGGAATACATTTTATAGTTTTATAGCTAGGAAAAAAGTGAATGAGCCCAGGTAATCTTATTACATACCTGTCTTCTCTGGGTGTACTGGAATTTTTTTTTTAAATTCTGATAAATCTCTCCAATCAGCTTGACATTCCTCCCATCTCTTCCTTACGTGACTCTTATTTCCTGGTTGGTGAAGAGTATCTGTGGCTTCTGTCTTAACAGGGTCTTGTGAAACATTTATTATTGTTCATTGGCTCCAGTTGCAAATACTGTATTAAGAGTTCATTTCCATGATATGTTTTTGGAACTGGGGTGATGCTGACAAAAGAGCACAGTGCCTGGCACATAGTAGATACCCATAAATGCTGTTGGATGAACAGATTAATGCCTGAGTTGGGGATGTCAAGTCCTGACTCTACTATTTCTGAGTTCTGCCTTCTCAGGCAACTCATTCAGCCTTTCTGAACTTCAGTTTCCTAATCCGTAAATGAGTTCAGATTAGGTGGCCTCTTTCTGCTAAAACAAAAAAAAAGTAAAAATTCTGATGTGGCTCTAAGCATAAAAGAAACCCTGGATAGTTGTGATTGTATATTGAATATTTGCCTTACCTCTCAGGATACTTTCTGCTGCAAATTCAAAGTAATAGAATCCTACACTGAAATGGCCTAAAGGACATTTATTTTCTTATATAACAGGAAGATAAGAGGTAGCGCAGGCTTTATATTTCAGTGATTCAGCAGCTCAACAATGTCACAGGAACCCAATAACTTTCGTCTCTCTGCTCTGTGATCTTCTGCATCAGCTTCATCCTTTGCTGGTTCTCCTGGAGACTTTATGTAAATTGAAGCGTCATGCTTTTCACATCCAATGTGAGAGAGAAGAAAAATCTCCTAGCCAACTACATAATATAGTTCCTTCTCTTCAGTCTGTTTGGGCCAAAGACCCGTGCCCCTCCTTGGACCAGCTGAGCCCCCAGAGGATTGAATAGGGTGATTAAATTGGACTGATCATGTGGGATGGGATAGACATGAGTCTACTCATGCAATGTCTACTTAGGTTTCTTAATCATTTCTGCAATTGTTCTTCGGGTGCCAATCATCTATCTGCTGTCCATTATTAGCTATTATGTATTTGGTCTTGCAGTGGTGAATAGAAGGCAAAATCTACTTTGATGCCTTTATATATCTACTAGTAGGTACTAGGCTTGCTATTGTAACTGTGCACACCAAGAACCAAGTTTCAGCTTGGTTACTGTGTTGAAGACACCTTTGCTATATTTCAAGTCATTCCTTCTTTTCTCAATTTTTTTTAATTGACAAAAATTTTATATATCGTGTACAACATCAATCAATCTTGGCATCTGTATTTGTCAGGGTTGTCTTAGAGGGACAGAACTAATAGGATATATATAAGGGGGAGTTTATTAAGTATTAACTTATATAATCACAGGGTCCCACAACAGGCTGTCTGCAAGTTGAAGAGCAAGGAGAGCCAGTCAGAGTGCCGAAACTGAAGAACCTGGAGTCCGATGTTCAAGGGCAGGAAGCATCAAGCATGGGAGAAAGATGTAAGCTGGGAGGCTAGGCCCATCATTGTTTAATGCTTTTTTTTTCTTTTTTTTAAATTTTATTATTATTATACTTTTAGGGTACATGTGCACAATGTGCAGATTTGTTACATATGTATACATGTGCCATGTTGGTATGCTGCACCCATTAACTCGTCATTTAGCATTAGGTATATCTCCTAATGCTATCCCTCCCCCCGCCCCCCACCCCATAACAGTCCCCGGAGTGTGATGTTCCCCTTCCTGTGTCCATATGTTCTCATTGTTCAATTCCCACACCTATGAGTGAGAACATGTGGTGTTTGGTTTTTTGTCTTTGCGATAGTTTGCTGAGAATGATGGTTTCCAGTTTCATCCATGTCCCTACAAAGGACATGAACTCTTCATTTTTTATGGCTGCAGTATTCCATGGTGTATATGTGCCACATTTTCTTAATCCAGTCTATCGTTATTGGACATTTGGGTTGGTTCCAAGTCTTTGCTATTGTGAATAGTGCCGCAATAAATATATGTGTGCATCTGTCTTTATAGCAGCATGATTTATAATCCTTTGGGTATATACCCAGTAATGGGATGGCTGGGTCAAATGGTATTTCTAGTTCTAGATCCCTGAGGAATCTCCACACTGACTTCCACAATGGTTGAACTAGTTTACAGTCCCACCAACAGTGTCAAAGTGTTCCTATTTCTCCACATCCTCTCCAGCACCTGTTGTTTCCTGACTTTTTAATGATCGCCATTCTAACTGGTGTGAGATGGTATCTCATTGTGGTTTTGATTTGCATTTCTCTGATGGCCAGTGATGATGAGCATTTTCTCATGTGTTTTTTGGCTGCATAAATGTCTTCTTTTGACAGGTGTCTGTTCACATCCTTCGCCCACTTTTTGATGGGGTTGGTTTTTTTTTCTTGTAAATTTGTTTGAGTTCATTGTAGATTCTGGATATTAGCCCTTTGTCAGATGAGTAGGTTGCAAAAATTTTCTCCCATTTTGTAGCTTGCCTGTTTACTCTGATGGTAGTTTCTTTTGCTGTGCAGAGGCTCTTTAGTTTAATTAGATCCCATTTGCCAATTTTGGCTTTTGTTGCCATTGCTTTTGGTGTTTTAGACATGAAGTCCTTCCCCATGCCTATGTCATGAATGATATTGCCTAGGTTTTCTTCTAGGGTTTTTATGGTTTTAGGTCTAACATTTAAGTCTTTAATCCATCTTGAATTAATTTTTGTATAAGGTGTAAGGAAGGGATCCAGTTTCAGCTTTCTACATATGGCTAGCCAGTTTTCCCAGCACCATTTATTAAATAGGGAATCCTTTCCCCATTGCTTGTTTTTGTCAGGTTTGTCAAATATCAGATGGTTGTAGATATGCGGCATTATTTCTGAGGGCTCTGTTCTGTTCCATTGATCTATATCTCTGTTTTGGTACCAGTACCATGCTGTTTTGGTTACTGTAGCCTTGTAGTGTAGTTTGAAGTCAGGTAGCGTGATGCCTCCGGCTTTGTTCTTTTGGCTTAGGATTGACTTGGCGATGCGGGCTCTTTTTGGTTCCATATGAACTTTAAAGTAGTTCTTTCCAATTCTGTGAAGAAAGTCATTGGTAGCTTGATGGGGATGGCATTGAATCTATAAATTACCTTGGGCAGTATGGCCATTTTCACAATATTGATTCTTCCTACCCATGAGCATGGAATGTTCTTCCATTTCTTTGTATCCTCTTTAATTTCATTGAGCAGTGGTTTGTAGTTCTCCTTGAAGAGGTCCTTCACATCCCTTGTAAGTTGGATTCCTAGGTATTTTATTCTCTTTGAAGCAATTGTGAATGGGGGCGTTCACTCATGATTTGGCTCTCTGGTTGTCTGTTATTGGTGTGTAAGAATGCTTGTGATTTTTGTACATTGATTTTGTATCCTGAGACTTTGCTGAAGTTGCTTATCAGCTTAAGGATATTTGGGGCTGAGACAATGGGGTTTTCTAGATATACAACCTTGTCATCTGCAAACCAGGACAATTTGACTTCCTCTTTTCCCAATTGAATACCCTTTATTTCCTTCTCCTGCCTAATTGCCCTGGCCAGAACTTCCAACACTATGTTGAATAGGAGTGGTGAGAGAGGGCATCCCTGTCTTGTGCCAGTTTTCAAAGGGAATGCTTCCAGTTTTTGCCCATTCAGTATGCTATTGGCTGTGGGTTTGTCTTAGATAGCTCTTATTATTTTGAGATACGTCCCATCAATACCTAATTTATTGAGAGGTTTTAGCACGAAGGTTGCTGAATTTTGTCAAAGGCCTTTTCTGCATCTATTGAGATAATCATGTGGTTTTTGTCTTTGGTTCTGTTTATATGCTGGATTACATTTATTGATTTGCGTATGTTGAACCAGCCTTGCATTCCAGGGATGAAGCCCACTTGATCATGGTGGATAAGCTTTTTGATGTGCTGCTGGATTCGCTTTGCTAGTATTTTATTGAGCATTTTTGCATCAATGTTCATCAAGGATATTGGTCTAAAATTCTCTTTTTTTGTTGTTGTATCTCTGCCCGGCTTTGGTATCAGGATGATGCTGGCCTTATCAAATGAGTTAGGGAGGATTCCCTCTTTTTCTATTGATTGGAGTAGTTTCAGAAGGAATGGTACCAGTTCCTCCTTGTACCTCTGGTAGAATTTGGCTGTGAATCCATCTGGTCGTTGACTTTTTTTGTTAGTAAGCTATTGATTATTGCCACAATTTCAGAGCCTGTTATTGTTCTATTCAGAGATTCAACTTCTTCCTGGTTTAGTCTTGGGAGGGTGTATGTGTCCAGGAATTTATCCATTTCCTCTAGATTTTCTAGTTTATTTGCGTAGAGGTGTTTGTAGTATTCTCTGATGGTAGTTTGTATTTCTGTGGGATCGGTGGTGACATCCCCTTTATCATTTTTTACTGTGTCTATCTGATTCTTCTCTCTTTTCTTCTTTATTAGTCTTGCTAGCGGTCTATCAATTTTGTTGATCTTTTCAAAAAACCAGCTCCTGGATTCATTAATTTTTGAAGGGTTTTTTGTGTCTCTATTTCCTTCAGTTCTGCCCTGATGTTAGTTATTTCTTGCCTTCTGCTAGCTTTTGAATGTGTTTGCTCTTGCTTTTCTAGTTCTTTTAATTGTGATGTTAGGGTGTCAATTTTGGATCTTTCCTGCTTTCTCTTGTGGGCATTTGGTGCTATAAATTTCCCTCTACACACTGCTTTGAATGTGTCCCAGAGATTCTGGTATGTTGTGTCTTTGTTCTTGTTGGTTTCAAAGAACATCTTTATTTCTGCCTTCATTTTGTTATGTACCCAGTAGTCATTCAGGAGCAGGTTGTTCAGTTTCCACGTAGTTGAGCGGTTTTGAGTGAGTTTCTTAATCCTGAGTTCTAGTTTGATTGCACTGTGGTCTGAGAGACAGTTTGTTATAATTTCTGTTCTTTTACATTTGCTGAGGAGTGCTTTACTTCCAACCATGTGGTCAATTTTGGAATAGGTTTGGTGTGGTGCTGAAAAAAATGTATATTCTGTTGATTTGGGGTGGAGAGTTCTGTAGATGTCTATTAGGTCCGCTTGGTGCAGAGCTGAGTTGAATTCCTGGATATCCTTGTTAACTTTCTGTCTCGTTGATCTGTCTAATGTTGACAGTGGGGTGTTAAAGTCTCCCATTATTAATGTGTGGGAGTCTAAGTCTCTTTGTAGGTCACTCAGGACTTGCTTTATGAATCTGGGTGCTCCTGTATTGGGTGCATATATATTTAGGATAGTTAGCTCTTCTTGTTGAATTGATCCCTTCACCACTATGTAATGGTCTTCTTTGTCTCTTTTGATTTTTGTTGGTTTAAAGTCTGTTTTATCAGAGACTAGGATTGCAACCCCTGCCTTCTTTTGTTTTCCGTTTGCTTGGTAGATATTCCTCCATCCCTTTATTTTGAGCCTATGTGTGCCTCTGCACGTGAGATGGGTTTCCTGTATACAGCACACTGATGTGTCTTGACTCTTTATCCAATTTTCCAGTTTGTGTCTTTTAATTGGAGGATGTAGCCCATTTACATTTAAGGTTAATATTGTTATGTGTGAATTTGATCCTGTCATTATGATGTTAGCTGGTTATTTTGCTCGTTAGTTGATGCAGTTTCTTCCTAGCCTTGATGGTCTTTACATTTTGGCGTGTTTTTGCAGTGGCTGGTACCGGTTGTTCCTATCCATGTTTAGTGCTTCCTTCAGGAGCTCTTTTAGGGCAGGCCTGGTGGTGACAAAATCTCTCAGCATTTGCTTGTCTGTAAAGTATTTTATTTCTCCTTCACTTATGAAGCTTAGTTTGGCTGGATATGAAATTCTAGGTTGAAAATTGTTTTCTTTATGAATGTTGAATGTTGGCCCCCACTCTCTTCTGGCTTGTAGAGTTTCTGCAGAGAGATCTGCTGTAAGTCTGATGGACTTCCCTTTGTGGGTAACCTGATCTTTCTCTCTGGCTGCCCTTAACATTTTTTCCTTCATTTCAACTTTGGTGAATCTGACAGTTATGTGTCTTGGAGTTGCTCTTCTCGAGGAGTATCTTTGTAGCATTCTCTGTATTTCTTGAATCTGAATGTTGGCCTGCCTTGCTAGGTTGGGGAAGTTCTCCTGGATAATATCCTGCAGAGTGTTTTCCAACTTGGTTCCATTCTCACCGTCACTTTCAGGTACACCAATCAAATGTAGATTTGGTCTTTTCACATAGTCCCATATTTCTTGGAGTCTTTGTTCATTTCTTTTTATTATTCTTTCTCTAAACTTCCCTTCTTGCTTCATTTCATTCATTTAGTCTTCCATCACTGATACCCTTTCTTCCAGTTGATCGCATCGGCTCCTGAGGCTTCTGCATTCTTCACGTAGTTCTCAAGCCTTGGCTTTCAGCTCCATCAGCTCCTTTAAGGACTTCTCTGCATTGGTTATTCTAGTTATCCAATCATCTAATTTTTTTTCAATGTTTTTAACTTCTTTGCCATTGGTTTGAATTTCCTCCTGTAGCTTGGAGTAGTTTGATCGTCTGAAGCCTTCTTCTCTCAACTTGTCATTCTCCATCCAGCTTTGTTCCATTGCTGGTGAGGAGCTGCATTCCTTCGGAGGAGGAGAGGCACTGTGCTTTTTAGAGTTTCCAGTTTTTCTTCTCTGTTTTTTCCCCATCTTTGTGGCTTTATCTACTTTTGGTCTTTGATGATGGTGATGTACAGATGGGTTTTTGGTGTGGATGTCCTTTCTGTTTGTTAGTTTTCCTTCTACCAGACAGGACCCTCAGCTGCAGGTCTGTTGGAGTTTGCTAGAGGTCCACTCCAGACCCTGTTTGCCTGGGTATCAGCAGTGGTGGCTGCAGAACAGCGGTGGTTGTAGAACAGCGGATATTGGTGAACCGCAAATGCTGCTGCCTGATCATTCCTCTGGAAGTTTTGTCTCAGAGGAGTACCCGGCTGTGTGAGGTGTCAGTCTGCCCCTTCTGGAGGGTTCCTCCCAGTTAGGCTGCTCAGGGGTCAGGGACCCACTTGAGGAGGAGCCAAGATGGCCGAATAGGAACAGCTCCGGTCTACAGCTCCCAGCATGAGCAACGCAGATGACTGGTGATTTCTGCATTTCCCTCTGAGGTACCGGGTTCATCTCACTAGGGAGTGCCAGACAGCGGGTGCAGGATGGTGGGTGCAGTGCACCAGGCGCGAGCTGAAGCAGGGCGAAGCATTGCCTCACTCGGGAAGCCCAGGGGGTCAGGGAGTTCCCTTTCCTAGTCAAAGAAAGGGGTGACAGACGGCACCTGGAATATTGGATCACTCCCACCCTAATACTGCACTTTTCCAACAGGCTTAAAAAATGGTGCACCAGGAGATTATACCCCACACCTGGCTCGGATGGTCCTATGCCCACAGAGTCTCCCTGATTGCTAGCACAGCAGTCTGAGATCAAACTGCAAGGTAGCAGCCAGGCTGGGGGAGGGCTGCCTGCCATTGCCCAGGCTTGATTAGGTAAACAAAGCAGCCTGGAAGCTTGAACTGGGTAGAGCCCACCACAGCTCAAGGAGGCTTGCCTGCCTCTGTAGGCTCCACCTCTGGGGGCAGGGCACAGACAAACAAAAAGACAGCAGTAAACTCTGCAGACTTAAATGTCCCTGTCTGACAGCTTTGAAGAGTGTAGTGGTTCTCCCAGCATGCAGCTGGAGATCTGAGAATGGGCAGACTGCCTCCTCAAGTGTTTCATTCTTTTCTGCCTGCTTTATATTCGCTGGTGGCTGTTTAGATGGTGCCCACCTAATTAAGGGTGGGTTTGCCTTCTCCAGCCCACTGACTCAAATGTTAATCTCCTTTGGCAACACCCTCACAGACAAACCCAGGATCAATGTTGCATCCTTCAAGCCAATCAATTTGACACTGAGTATTAACCATCAGAGCATTATATAGAAAATCCAGATTAAGTAAATAGCATGTTTCTTGCTCTCCAGGAATTCAGAGTTTCATAGAAGAAGCAAGGAAGAAATACCCAAAAAGTTAAATTAGAATACAAGTAGAGTACATGTGAAGTGCCAAAGGACCCATAACAATATATAACCAACTACTAGACACCTACTGTGTACGAGGCATTGTGTTAGGTGTGTTGTATATGTGATTGTATTTAATTCCTGCAACAAACGTACTAGGTAGATGGCAATATCTCCACTTGATGGAGGAGAAAATTTAGGCTCACAGAGATTAGGTACCATGACCCAGATAACACAGAGCTGGGATTTGAACCCAGAGCTCTGTTTCCAAAGCCTGTGTTAATGTTACTACATCATGCTTTGGACAATATGTAAAAGTAGGACCAGAAACTTCCAACCAATTAAGTATTTTTTATCAACTTATTTTGGAGTGTTGGGCTGAAGGGGATGCAATTAAGAGGAGTTAAGATCACAGAACAGAAAAAGGTGATTGTCACAGATTGGGTTCTCAAGAAGCAGATGCTAAAATGGAGTTTGAGATGCAAGACATTTCTTGGGTTTCAACACCTGCAAAGGGGAACAGCAAGCAAAATTGTACAGAGGAATAAGTTAAACTGTGATGCAGGCCCAAGAAACCCATGGCCAGGTTGGCAGGGAGTGCTGCAGTGAGCATTGCCCTGCATAGTGTCCTGCTACAGGCTGAATGGCAAGACCTGTCTAGCCCCACTTTTCTCAGCCAGTGGATAAAAGCTATCCTGGGAAGGGCATGACCTCTTTGAGCCAGCTCTCTGCAGCTAAGGTGGTCCTGCAGAGGCTGACAGCTGGAGGCTGTCTGCTGGTGATACTCCCTGTGGCAGGGAAGCAAGGCCTTCCTTGAAGGGGGCCTGGACCATGCCTTTCTATGTCTACCACAGTGATGCCAAAGGCAAATTCTGCCGGTATCCCAATTCTACCCATATCCTAGTTTGTGTCCAGTGGGTGTTACTAAAAGTGGTGAGCAGGGACCTATTTGAGTGAAATGGATAGGGGCCTGGGAATGATAAGCCCACAGATGTCATTTCCATGCTTGCCAAATGCTTATGGAAGGACATCTTTCAGTCTGGCCTCATTTCTTTCAAACTGGGGTCTCATTTACTTTCTCAGAAGCAATTTTAAAAATGGGCCATGGTGTATCAAAAGACAGGAGTCATGCTTTTTATCACAGCAGTGAGGTTTGGCCAAACCAGGTCACCAGAGTTCATTGTTTTTTCAAAGCTGATGGATTGGGCTCTGCTGTGGTAATCACCAGATCACAGTAAGCTTCTTGAGGTCAAAAGTTTACTCCTCTCATTCAGGGATCCTGGCTGACTCACTGACTCATCTGCAGAGGCCTAGGTTACTAAAGTGACCTGGAGATCTTTTCTGTCCCATACTGCTTGCCTGAATTTGCATGTAATAATTAAGAGATATTACACAATCTAAACCACACTAATGTGCCCATGAAACAAGGCTGGAGGAGAAGCATAGATTCTCCTTTGTCATTCAGATATCATACATAATAACATTCCACCTTGCCTTGCAATGGTCAGACAGGTCTGGAGTAGTCTTTCCTGGCTCTCTAAGATGCTAGGATAACTGAGTGCCCAGCATACCCAGTGCAGGTTAGTGGGGATATTTGCAAGCATGCAGTGTGCACCTATGAAAGATTCCTCCCAAAGAGGTGCTGGAGTTGCTAATGGAAGCGATTTTTCCTTCTCTCCTTTTCTGTCCAGAATGTGCTGCCCTTCTCCTTCTTAGCCTCTGTATTAGTCCGTTTTCATGCTGCTTTTCTTCCCGAGACTGGGAAGAAAAAGAGGTTTAATTGGACTTAACAGTTTCACATGGCTGGAGAGGCCTCAGAATCATGGTGGGAGGCAAAAGGCACTTTTTACATGGTGGCAGCAGGAGAAAATGAGAGAAACAAAAGCAGAAACCCTGATAAACCCATCAGATCCCATGAGACTTAATCATATCAGGAGAGCAGCACGGGAAAGACCAGCCCCCATGATTCAGTTACCTCCCCGGAGTCCATCCCACAAGACGTGGGAATTCTGGGAGATACAATTCAAGTTGAGATTTGGGTGGGGCCACAGCCAAACCATGTCAGGCCCCATCAGGTTCCTGGGCTTGCTAGGTGGGTGGCCTTGATACACCAAAGCTGAGCTCTCAAGCATCAAGCCACACACAGCCTCAGCCAGGAGAACAAGGGAGCTGGCTTTTGGCAGGGTTCCACACAGGCTCTATTGGAGAGACAATTGGTGGGGCTGTCATTAGTTACCTCTTAATGGCTTTCTTAAATGTGCTGACTTAAATTTATTTACTTCTAGGGGTTCTCTGAGCAGTCATAACTATATTTCAAATTGTGATTTCTATAAATTAGAAATGCCATTTTTCTTCAGCTCAAGAATTTCAATGAACCAATTATTCAAAACCAAATCTAATCAAGTGCATTTTTTTCCTTTGCAAGCGTGTGTTCCCTGGACCTGCAAAGAAACACAGTGTTGCCATTGGATTGGCTGAACAGAGCTGATAGATGGGGCTATCAGAATTTATTGCTAATTTGGCTGTTAAGCCTTGAAAGGACTTGATACAGAACTGGTGCCTTACATAATAATATTTAATGCCTGGCCTTGGGTTTAAACTTCAGTTTTCCCAAGTGTTGGTAAACACATGGCTTTGCTGTGCTTTTGCAAGTACTCTCGACTTGGTTGATTTCCTTTGACAGAAGACAATGTACAGTTGTGGCAATTGTTTTACTGCATTCTCTCTTTGTTCTCATTGTGCCCCATGTGCTATAACTTGTGCGTGTGTGTGTGTGTGTGTGTGTGTGTGTGTGTGCGCACTCATGCACACAGGTGTTTCAAGTAACTACCTCTGACTGTGGTATCCACAACCTATTTTATTGAGTAAGGGTATAAATTCTGGTCAAGGAAAAAGGACTGCAGAAGGTTACCAGAGTAAGAAAGTATGAGAAATATTATAAATTCTTTTGTCATATTTAGAGACCAAAAATGTACTAAGAGCACAAAATCAGCCCAAGATTCCCTAGGCTGAATCCTGGCATCACTATTTACTAGTTGTATGACCTTAGTGAGTGACTTGTTGTGGGGATATGGTCCATGTAAAGTGGTTGCTCATTGCCTGGTTAGAAACTGCCCACTTTATGCTGGCTATTGTTACCATCAATACAAGCTTAGAATGTGCTACTGAATGATTGCTTCACAAAATTCATGGACAAAGGTAACCCCATATAACAGAGACAAGGCTTAAAGACCAATAAATGATGATCTTCCCACCTTGCACAAGCATTCATTGAGTTCGACGTATGTATAACCTTGTAATGGGATCTCTGCCTCTCCAAAAACTAAATAATAATAAAGGAGCAAGGTCTTGCTCTTGAGGATTCCAAAATCAAGGTATGTTAGACTACAAGATACCTGAGATATTTTTCAGCATAAAAGTCTATGATTTACAGTCTCTTTACCTTCAAATTTGGTGATTGTTATTTTCTAATATCCCCAGGGAACTCTGAGATGAATCTCATAGGGTAGCATTCGGTTTCAGCTTTCAGGTCTATATATGGAAGATTTTGGAAATACAGCCAGATCCCATTCCCCATCTTCACCTCATGCCTCCAGGACCTATTCTGGCCCAGTGTCTAGGAGGTGAACTGAAGGGGAGGATTTCCCCACATATTATGGCTGGCTCCAATTTGTGTTCTAGGATGGATCTCTATCATGGATAATCATTCTAATAGCTAACATTTATGGAGCACTTACTATGTGCCAAGCATTGTGATGATTACTTTATGTGCATGTCATATTTAATTGTTACACTCACCTTGTCATCTAGGCATGATTAGGATCTTTATTTTACCTGGGAGGAAATTGAAGCTAAGTGGGATAAAATAAGTGGCAGAGTTGGAACCTCACCCCAGATTGCCAAACCCCAAAGCTCTTCCTGGTACCAGCATGGTGGCATGGACAGTTATTTCCTGGCTCTTTTTTTACCTTTCTCATCTATAAAGTGAGGATGCTAGGCTTTGTCTCTAAGACTCTTCCAGTTATAACATTCTATGACTTTAGATGCGTTGAATGCTTTATATCAAATAAAATTTTTGTAGAATCCACAGTCATATACATCATCCCCCTAACTCCTTCTCTCCTTTGACTTTGTTTCAAATGACCTGAGAGTGGATTGCAGAGTAGTATACATGCATTTTATTTTCTTCTTTTTTATGTGTGAACTCACCTCAGTGGATCGCTTACATACTTTGGGCTTTGCTTGTTTCTGTGTCTGATTCTGGTCCTGAGAGGCACCCATTCTTGCCTACAGTGATGACTGAGAGCAGCTATCTGGGGACATTTGACAAGTCATGGCTGAAACAAGGTAATAGTTGTGTTCAGTAAAATGTTTTCATCCAAGTTAGCACTGAGGCTTGAGGAAAGCAGGTAATAGCTGGCCCTCTATTAAACAGAAGTATTTGAAAATATGTGAGTTCTTTGGAGTGCCTGATAGTAAATATGTGGTATAATTTTTTTCAGGTTTAGGCTATCACCCCTTCAGGTTTGATTATTAATGAGGAGGCTATGAACTTTGGAGAGTGATAAAGCACTCCCTGCTCTCTGATAAATGACATGTGAAATCAAATGACATGTAAAGACACAGCAAAGAGAAAAGGAAGGTGAACTAGAAAAATTTCAAATCCTATTTATGGAAATGTTTAGGATAAGCCTTTTTAGGCCAGGTGTGGTGGCTCACACCTGTAATCCTAGCACTTTGGGAGGCCAAGGCAGGTGGATCACTTGAGATCAGGAATTCGAGACCAGTCTGGCCAACGTGGCAAAACCCTGTCTCTGCTAAAAATACAAAAATTGGCTGGGCATGGTGGTGCATGCCTTTAATCCCAGCTACTCGACAGACTGTGGCACAAAAATCACTTGAACCAGGGAGGCAGAGCTTGCAGTGAGCTGAGATTGTACCACTGCACTCCAGCCTAGGCAACGGCATGAGACTCTGTCTCAAAAAAAAAAAAAAAAAAAAAAAAAAAAGGAAAGAAAAAGAAAAGCCTTATTAAATTATCAGAGATTTTACTCCCTTCCTTAGAACAATGCATAATATAGATGTAAACTTACCTGATTACCATGATATTTATAACTAAAACAGCATTGCAGAAGGCTTTTGATCTCAACTCAACAATTAATGGCTAAGAATGGGATGATAAGCAAGTATCCATCTTTTATTCTTATATTTAGTCATCACCCATCTTTGTCTGGAATCAGAATTATTCATGTAGGATTGTGTCTGAACTTTGGAAAGATGTTTGTTACTTTTACTTCCATTTCTTTCTTTGTAATATAAATTAGAAATTGCTAAAACTGAAAGACCTTGACATTTGAAGGCCAACATAAAAATATCTGAGAAGGCAGATTTTAGGAGGTACCTTTAAAGGCTGGATGTCTTGGTTTCTTAGCTACCTGACCCTCCAAAGACTGAGAAACTAGTTTTTTGAAACTTTTGATGTCTCAAACACACACGCACACACTCAAACTTTATATATAGGGAATATAAAATGAGGATCAAGATGGAAGAAGCAGCAAAACTGTGACCACTGGATTTTATATAGTTGTTAAACATAAGTTTGGCTAAGAGCTTCCTGGTTGCCAAGACAAAAATGGCAACACTAAAAATTATGAGATTCACTAAAAATTATGAGATTCCCCAGTTTCCTTCTGGTGGCAAGAAGGATACATATTTATTTTACTTCCTGTGATATTTTACTGTTAGAATATTCCAGAAGGCAAGAAAACAGTGGAAACCTTGTCAGTAACTGTAGAGGCATGCCTTGTTCGTAGCTTGAATGTATATGGCGGTTTTAGTAACCCAAGAATAACCCTTAAGTCAGCTGCCTTCATGGTTCAGATTTTTTCTCTCAGTTTACTTCTACTCCCTTACTGAGTTGATTGACAATTCTCTATGTATATCTTGCATTCCACTTCCCCAAGAAAGGAGAACTGGTTGGAATTGTTGGTCACTGTTCAATATGGAGCATTTCTGTTGGGCACAGTTCTCAAGTCAAGTAACCCTAGAGGTTATTTCCCAGCATATAGAACACCAGTTCAACCAGGTGTGGCTAATTCGACCTGGTCTAGTGGAAAAAGCATGCCAAACCTCTGAGTAAGCATCTTCTTGTAACAGTTTCCTCAAAAGAGAGAAGTGCAACATGTAGGATCTTTGAGGTTTTGTGACCACTTGATACACTTTCCTTGCCAGAAAGGAAGAAGCCAGTGTTGGCTCTATCCCTTATTCCCCACCTTAGAGCAGACACACCATTCCTGGGAAATGGTAATGGCAGGGTGTGCAATTGTTTCATTTTACTGAACTTATTCAGGGCACCAGATGAGTGAGTATTCACCCTTTTCTAATCCTAGGCTACTGGGATTTCTTTTCAAGTAGCAATGCTAACAAGTGAAATAGATGAAAGAATCTGAATTGTAATGACCTTATTTTTTGCCTAAAATGACTTAACCAGCATCAGTGAGAGAAACAACAGGTCTACAGAATCTAGAAATCCACTTAATAGTATGATATCAAGTTAACTTTTTTGTATATAACTAAATTATTCTCCTTCCTGAAGTTTTAAATCTCCCAAAGTCCTCCCTAGACTTTTTCTCAAGAAGGAGATACTAGATCACTGTGGCTCCATTTCTAATTACTGTTTGCTTTATTGGCATGTGGTTTTTCTTATTTTAATGCCAGGACAAGCAGGAATGAAGTATCCAGAGAGAAGCATTTAGCAAACACCACATTTTCATTTGTTCAGCTTCATACTGTGTTCTTAGTCAAAAGAATGGAAACCATCCCAAAGTTACTTTGATTAATCCCACTGTATTATTTCCTTATTTAACCATGACTCCTGACCTGAATTTATTTAACTGAATTTATTTACTCTTCTTATTTCTACTACCAAACTTTGATATCGTTCCCTCTTTGTATACAGTTATTTCCCCTTCTATTTATAATGCTGCCCTTTCAAAATGTAACGCTTTTACAAAAGAAACAAAACTTTTCCTGGAATTGACTTCAAAAATAAGGTTCCAATATGGACTCTTAACTGGGGGTTTAGTAGTATAATTGATGAACAACTAATGATGAGTTTTATAGCAAAACGAACACAGTTTAAGTTTGATCAACACCCAATATTCCTGGGCAGGGAGTTGAGGAGTCATGTGTTAGATTCCTATGAGTGGAAGTATGAGAATTCCACTTTTTGCCTTGCTTTTCTTTGTGTTGCATTTCCTGCCTGTGATAAATGTGTCCCAATATTTGTCTTTTGGTTGTTGTTGTTGAGAATCATTTCTCATGTTGGGAAATGTGAAGTCAAATAGTGTGACAGGACTTGCTGAATGATTGAGTCAACCACAAATGGTATTGTCAACCATGGCTGTTGAATTAATGAGAACAATTAAAACTCATTTTTCAGAGGTCAAAAGATGCTCACTTTTGTGATTTCATGTCAGATGATTGATGACTTTTTTTTTTTTTTTTTTTTGAGACGGAGTCTCACTCTATCGCCCAGGCTGGAGTGCAGTGGCATGATCTCGGCTCACTGTAACATCTACCGCTCAGATTCAAGCAATTCTCTTGCCTCAGCCTCCCGAGTAGCTGTGATTACAGGCGCCTGCCACTGCGCCCGGCTAATTTTTGTAGTTTTTAGTAGAGGTGGGGTTTCGCCGTCTTGGCTAGGCCAGTCTTGAACTCCTGACCTTGTGATCCACCTGCCTCGGCCTCCCAAAGCGCTGGGATTACAGGCATGAGCTACCACGCCCAGCCTGATGACCATTTTTCCACCCTTCATTTTGACATTTTTGATATTGAAAACCACCTGCAACAGAACACCATTTAAGATCAATGACTAGTGTCAGAATGAAAGAGATAACACTGTTCATATTTGAGAGGCAGAACCTTAGAAGAAACTGGGTGTTAAGACGATTTGTGTTAGAATTCTAGCTGTGTGATTAGCTCTGTGACCTTGGAGATATCATCAAACCTCTAAAAACTTACCTTCTATTGTTTTTTTCACTTGTAAAAGCTAGGTAATACTCTTACTTTATTTTAATAATCAAATAACATGATAAATGTGAAAGTTTGCAATCTATAAGTCACAGTGCAGTTCTATTATATATTATAATTTTCTTATTTTGTTTACTTAAAATTTGTTCTGAAAACATATTATCTATCAAATGTTCCTTAAATTACCTCAGTGAGTGCTATATTGGGTCTTCCTCTGGTAGGGCTGTGATTAGTCCCTTCTCACATTGCTATAAAGACATACCAAGAATGGGTAATTTATAAAGGAAGGAGGTTTAATTGACTCACAGTTCTGCATGGCTGGGGAGGCCTCAGGAAACTTACAATCATGGTGCAAGGTGAGAGAGAAGCAAAGGCATGTTTTACATGGCAGCAGGTGAGAGAGAGAGGGTGTGTGTGTGAAGCAAAGGAGGAAGAGCCCCTTATAAAAACCATCATATCTCATGAGAACTCATTCATTATCGTGAGAACACCATGGGGGAAACCACCCCCATGATGCCGTCAACCTTAAACTTGGTCCCTCCCTAGACACGCTGGGGATTATGGAAATTACATTTCAAGATGAGATTCGGCTGGGGGCACAGCCAAACCATATCAGGTTAAGGGCTATTTCACAGGAGATGTGACACTTTCAAACGAAAGGCAAGAAAACTTTTCTTTGAACAAAAAGATTAATTGTATGCCAGGAAGATTGACTAGAACGCTGAATAAATGTCCATCTACTTAAGTAATATGGCTGTATTCGTTTTCTCTTACTACATAACAAATTACCCCCAAACTTAGCAGCTTAAACAATACATATTTAGTATCTCACAGTTTCTCTGAGTCTGGAATTCTGCTTTGTTAGATGTTTCTGGT
The DNA here is from genome assembly GCF_000001405.40 of Homo sapiens. NCBI lineage: Eukaryota > Metazoa > Chordata > Mammalia > Primates > Hominidae > Homo > Homo sapiens. Next base: position 3,899,591 of record NC_000003.12, on the reverse strand, counting down.
TCAGTGTCTCTCATGAAGTTATGGTCAAAATATCAGCTTGGGTTACAGTCATCTAAAGACTTGAGAGTGGCTGTTGATAGGAGGTCTCAGTTCCTCACTAGCCATTATCCGGAGGGCTCAGTTTTTTTTACCATATGGGCCTCACCGTACGGTTGCTTGAATGTCTTCACGAAATGGCAGCTGGCTTCTGCTAGAGTGAGTGATCCAAGAGAGAAGGAGGAAGCCACAGTGCATTTTCTGACCCAGGCTCTGAAATCACACATTACCACTTCTACTAGGGTTGCCAGACATGACACAAAATACCCAGTTACATTTGAATTTCAGATAAACAATAAATAATTATTTTTACTATAAGTATGTCTCATGCCTGGCTCACCTGCAGTATTGTTGATTCCCAACTATATGTTTTCTCCCTTTGTAGCTATCAATGGTGCTAAAATCTGAGTTCAAAATCCATAGAATTTCATATATTTAAAATTAAATATTTTGTCAAAGGCCTTTTCTGCATCTATTGAGATAATCATGTGGTTTCTGTCTTTGGTTCTGTTTATATGATGGATTACATTTATTGATTTGCTTATATTGAACCAGCCTTGCATCCCAGGGATGAAGCCCACTTGATCATGGTGGATAAGCTTTTTGATGTGCTGCTGGATTCGCTTTGCCAGTATTTTATTGAGCATTTTTGCATCAATGTTCATCAAGGATATTGGTCTAAAATTCTCTTTTTTGGTTGTGTCTCTGCCTGGCTTTGGTATCAGGATGATGCTGGTCTCATCAAATGAGTTAGGGAGGATTCCCTCTTTTTCTATTGATTGGAATAGTTTCAGAAGGAATGGTACCAGCTCCTCCTTGTACCTCTGGTAGAATTCGGCTGTGAATCCATCTGGTCCTGGACTCTTTTTGGTTGGTAAGCTATTGATTATTGCCACAATTTCAGAGCCTGTTATTGGTCTATTCAGAGATTCAACTTCTTCCTGGTTTAGTCGTGGGAGGGTGTATGTGTCCAGGAATTTATCCATTTCTTCTAGATTTTCTAGTTTATTTGCGTAGAGGTGTTTGTAGTATTCTCTGATGGTAGTTTGTAGTTCTGTGGGATCGGTGGTGACATCCCCTTTATCATTTTCTATTGCGTCTATCTGATTCTTCTCTCTTTTCTTCTTTATTAGTCTTGCTAGCGGTCTATCAATTTTGTTGATCTTTTCAAAAAACCAGCTCCTGGATTCATTGATTTTTTGAAGGGTTTTTTGTGTCTCTATTTCCTTCAGTTCTGCTCTGATGTTAGTTATTTCTTGCCTTCTGCTAGCTTTTGAATGTGTTTGCTCTTGCTTTTCTAGTTCTTTTAATTGTGATGTTAGGGTGTCAATTTTGGATCTTTCCTGCTTTCTCTTGTGGGCATTTGGTGCTATAAATTTCCCTCTACACACTGCTTTGAATGTATCCCAGAGATTCTGGTATGTTGTGTCTTTGTTCTCATTGGTTTCAAAGAACATCTTTATTTCTGCCTTCATTTTGTTATGTACCCAGTAGTCATTCAGGAGCAGGTTGTTCAGTTTCCACGTAGTTGAGCGGTTTTGAGTGTTTCTTAATCCTGAGTGCTAGTTTGATTGCACTGTGGTCTGAGAGACAGTTTGTTATAATTTCTGTTCTTTTACATTTGCTGAGGAGTGCTTTACTTCCAACTATGTGGTCAATTTTGGAATAGGTGTGGTGTGGTGCTGAAAAAAATGTATATTCTGTTGATTTGGGGTGGAGAGTTCTGTAGATGTCTATTAGGTCCGCTTGGTGCAGAGATGAGTTCAATTCTTGGGTATCCTTGTTAACTTTCTGTCTCGTTGATCTGTCTAATGTTGACAGTGGGGTGTTAAAGTCTCCCATTATTATTGTGTGGGAGTCTAAGTCTAAGTCTAGGTCACTCAGGACTTGCTTTATGAATCTGGGTGCTCCTATATTGGGTGCATATATGTTTAGGATAGTTAGCTCTTCTTGTTGAATTGATCCCTTTACCATTATGTAATGGCCTTCTTTGTCTCTTTTGATCTTTGTTGGTTTAAAGTCTGTTTTATCAGAGACTAGGATTGCAACCCCTGCTTTTTTTTGTTTTCCATTTGCTTGGTAGATCTTCCTCCATCCTTTCATTTTGAGCCTATGTGTGTCTCTGCATGTGAGATGGGTTTCCTGAATACAGCACACTGATGGGTCTTGACTCTTTATCCAGTTTGCCAGTCTGTGTCTTTTAATTGGAGCATTTAGTCCATTTACATTTAAAGTTAATATTGTTATGTGTGAACTTGATCCTGTCATTATGATGTTAGCTGGTTATTTTGCTCATTAGTTAATGCAGTTTCTTCCTAGCCTCAATGGTCTTTACACTTTGGCATGATTTTGCAGTGGCTGGTACAGATTGTTCCTTTCCATATTTAATGCTTCCTTCAGGAGCTCTTTTAGGGCTAAAAACTCTCAATAAATTAGGTATTGATGGGATGTATCTCAAAATAATAAGAGCTATCTATGACAAACCCACAGCCAATATCATACTAAATGGGCAAAAACTGGAAGCATTACCTTTGAAAACTGGCACAAGACAGGGATGCCCTCTCTCACCACTCCCATTCAACATAGTGTTGCAAGTTCTGCCCAGGGCAATTAGGCAGGAGAAGGAAATAATTTCCTAATTTTCCAATTAGGAAAAGAGGAACTCAAATTGTCCCTGTTTGCAGATGACATGATTGTATATCTAGAAAACCCCATTGTCTCAGCCCAAAATCTCCTTGAGCTGATAAGCAACTTCAGCAAATCTCAGGATACAGTATTAATGTACAAAAATGCACAAGCATTCTTATACACCAAAACAGACAAACAGAGAGTCAAATCATGAGTGAACTCCCATCCACAATTGCTTCAAAGAGAATAAAATACCTAGGAATCCAACTTACAAGGGACGTGAAGGACCTCCTCAAGGAGAACTACAAACCACTGCTCAGTGAAATAAAAGAGGATACAAACAAATGGAAGAACATTCCATGCTCATGGGTAGGAAGAATCAATATCATGAAAATGGCCATACTGCCCAAGGTAATTTACAGATTCAGTGCCATCCCCATCAAGCTACCAATGACTTTCTTCACAGAATTGGAAAAAACTACTTTAAAGTTCATATGGAACCAAAAAAGAGCCCGCATCGCCAAGTCAATCCTAAGCCAAAAGAACGAAGCTGGAAGCATCACGCTACCTGACTTCAAACTATACTACAAGGCTACAGTAACCAAAACAGCATGGTACTGGTACCAGAACAGAGCCCTCAGAAATAACACCGCATATCTACAACTATCTGATATTTGACAAACCTGACAAAAACAAGCAATGGGGAAAGGATTCCTTATTTAATAAATGGTGCTGGGAAAACAGGCTAGCCATATGTAGAAAGCTGAAACTGGATCCCTTCCTTACACCTTACACAAAAATTAATTCAAGATGGATTAAAGACTTAAATGTTAGACCTAAAACCATAAAAGCCCTAGAAGAAAACCTAGACATTACCATTCAGGACATAGGCATGGGCAAGGACTTCATGTCTAAAACACCAAAAGCAATGGCAACAAAAGCCAAAATTGACAAATGGGATCTAATTAAACTAAAGAGCTTCTGCACAGCAAAAGAAACTACCATCAGAGTGAACAGGCAACCTACAAAATGGGAGAAAATTTTCGCAACCTACTCATCTGACAAAGGGCTAATATCCAGAATCTACAATGAACTCAAACAAATTTACAAGAAAAAAACAAACAACCCCATCAAAAAGTGGGCGAAGGACATGAACAGACACTTCGCAAAAGAAGACATTTATGCAGCCAAAAAACACATGAAAAAATGCTCACCATCACTGGCCATCAGAGAAATGCAAATCAAAACCACAATGAGATACCATCTCACACCAGTTAGAATGGCAATCATTAAAAAGTCAGGAAACAACAGGTGCTGGAGAGGATGTGGAGAAATAGGAACACTTTGACACTGTTGGTGGGACTGTAAACTAGTTCAACCATTGTGGAAGTCAGTGTGGCGATTCCTCAGGGATCTAGAACTAGATATACCATTTGACCCAGCTATCCCATTACTGGGTATATACCCAAAGGACTATAAATCATGCTGCTATAAAGACACATGCACACGTATGTTTATTGTGGCATTATTCACAATAGCAAAGACTTGGAACCAACCCAAATGTCCAACAATGATAGACTGGATTAAGAAAATGTGGCACATATACACCATGGAATACTATGCAGCCATAAAAAATGATGAGTTCATGTCCTTTGTAGGGACATGGATGAAATTGGAAATCATCATTCTCAGTAAACTATCACAAGAACAAAAAACCAAACACCGCATATTCTCACTCATAGGTGGGAATTGAACAATGTGAACACATGGACAGAGGAAGGGGAACATCACACTCTGGGGACTGTTGTGGCATGGGGGGAGGGGGGAGGGATAGCATTAGGAGATATACCTAATGCTAAATGACGAGTTAATGGGTGCAGCACACCAGCAAGGCACATGTATACATATGTAAGCAACCTGCACATTGTGCACATGTACCCTAAAACTTAAAGTATAACAATAATAAAATAAAAAATAAAAATAAAATTAAATAAAATGCAGAGAAACTTAGAGGCAGAGAAAACACCTAGTGAACCACAAGTGTAATTAATATTTTCCAAATAACTATAATTGTTGAAGGACAGTGGTATTATCAGATACTCTCCATCCTGACCCCTGAATTCTATGTATAGTGTAACTGCCCCCAATTAGGGGAAAATACAGGGTGCCTATAAGTTCAGAAGCACAGGAGAATGAATGAATATAATGTTGTTCAGGACAACTTCAGTCTGTGTGTGTGTGTGTGCACATAAACATATATAAAATTCACATTTTCAGACTTTGTAGACGTCCAATAGTTAAATGTCAGACAATGTAAAGAGAGAGTAAGAACAGTTAAGGTATAGAGATAATTAATGCCTGAATAATTCTTTTTGAACACCATTCTGGGATGATGTACATTTATTCCAAATTATCCAATATATATAGTCTGCACTGATCACAGAAATGAAGTCAAGGTGGAGGCAGTGTGACATAGTGGCTAGGAATATAGCCTCTCTGGGTACCATTCTGGCTCTGGGACTTGAAACAAGTTTCTTATCTCATAGGGGGCTTGATTTCTTGATCTGTAAAATGGGAATGATAATAATAGTACCTCACAAAAAAATTCTTTTCTTAGGATCAAGTAAATTAAATTTTCTACATAGTAAGAGCTCAAAAACTGTTGGTAATAATTATTTAGGAGTGATTGAAATATAGAAATGAATAAGAATTGTTCCCAAGGAAGGAAAAGTCTGGCTTTGAATAGCTAATCAAAAAGAACTGGTGGCTTCTACATGTTTAGGTTTTATGTGCTTGGTCATCATTGACTTTTCAAGACTGATGTGCTGACTGGTAGGGTAAAAAACTTGCGACCTTCAGTTGCTGAGTTTCCCCCCAAATAGCAGCAACTGCTTCGTTTTCCCTCAGTTCCTTTGCTCAAAGACTCAAAGACATTCCTGTTTTTCCCACACATCTTCATCCTCTTCTCTGCCACCTATTGCTGTTAGTGGGAAAGTTTTCTGAAATAAATGAGAGCTCTTTCTCCTCTTCTGTCATTTGTTTTCCAGATCTTTTCTAAATTATACTTCAAATGCTACTTCCCCATTTGTCACCCACCTTCCCGTCAAGGTTGACAGTGATGATTAGCATACCCCTACATCCTGCCACTCATTCCCCGCCTACCCTAGCGTCATACTGTGTAAAGGGGTCTGCATTTGCACAAGAGCAACTCCAAGACTCCTTGAAAGGGGCCCTGAAATGAAATGCAAAATAAATATCGTTGGTACACTTCAGAGGTGCTGTAGAAGAGATCCTTGCTTTGGGTAAGAAAGGGGACTAATGACTGATAAGTTCTCATTCTCTGCAAGGACTCCATGAATATTATGGGAGATTTATCATAATTCACTATGATCTTATTTTATGATTCTTTTTTGGCTCCCTGTGGCAAGTTTCTTAATTTTTCTTCCTCACTAACAAGAATGATAATTTGGGGTATGTGAATGAGATAAAAATTCACAAATAGCTCCAAGAACACTGAGAAATTAGTTTGATGAGTATTTTTTATTTTGCCTTTTCCTTCTCTCCTTCATCTTTTATCATTGTACTAGTTATTTAAAGCTGTTGGAGTTCATTGATTCTAAGGTGCTTTTTCTCCCCCACATTTTTACTTCTCTGCAATAGAGCTTTGTCTCATGTTTGATGGTTTTTTACAATTAATTGACATAATTTTTTTCTTTTGTAGAAGCACATGCCTCAACGGTGCATCTTATAATGGATGATTTCTTAGAAAAAATGAAACAGGGCATTGTCCAGGCTTTGTGCTATGTCTGTTGTGTACATTTTCTAATTTAGTCCTTACAATAATCCAGTGATTAATTAACCAGTAGATTTACTCTAAACAAACATTTATTGAGCTAATACAATTAATAATAATATTTAACATATTGAGCAGGCACTATATAAGTACTTTACATATACTCTCTCCACTTAGCACTTAGATGACCCTGGGAGGTAGATATTGATATTATTTGCATGTTTGCATGTTATAGGCCAGCAAAGGGAGTACTCAGGCGTTGAAAAACTTGCCAAAGTTAGAGAGTTAGTAGCAGGCAAGGCAAGATTCAAGTCTGGGTTGTTCTGACTTCAAAACCTATGCTATTGACCACTACCCTACATTGTGTCAAATTATTATAATTAACATTGGTGAAGTACTCTACCATTTACAATGGCTTTCACAAACATCTAATTTATTCCTAGCCTAAAACAAGACAATGCAATTCCTTTTATATATTTTACTTTTAAATATATAAAACACTGTTAAAAACATTCTTAAAAACCTTCTTAAAATGGTATTAGCAAACCAAAGAAACTTTAAGGAAAACTGAAAATCTGGGACTGTTTCACTTTATTAGGACAAAGTAGAGAAAAGCTGAATCAGAGTTCATGCTAAATAGTATCCAAAGGATAATTATCTACTTTATTATAGAAAATCAAGCTATTGCACCATATGAGCCTTTGCTCTGAGATCTAAGTTTGAATTTCCAACTAACTAAGGAAAATACCACCCAAATCAACTGGATTATTAAAACGACGGGTAATAATAATTTGTAAAATGGATCACTGGAGTTAGTAAATATGATAAATGAACTTAGGCCAATGAGTCTTCTGTATAGCTTCAACTTTACAGGGAATGACTTGAAAATTCACACTATTAATGTATTTGGGTTAAATCTATTGTCTTGTTATTCTAGTGATTTATGGCCAACAAAAAAATACCCTAAAAGAGGCATATGTCTGAATGAACAAGGGAGCTATAGTTAGATTCACATTGTCCCCAAAGAATTGTAACCATTTCATCCATTAAGTAATCTAGAAGTGGGTAGCTGACAAGGTGGCTGAATAGGAACAGCTCCAGTCTGCAGCTCCCAGCAAGATCAACGCAGAAGGTGGGTGATTTCTGCATTTCCAACTGAGGTACCCAGCTCATCTCATTGGGACTGGTTAGATAGTTGGTGCAGTGCATGGAGGATGTGCTGAAGCAGGATGGGGCATTGCCTCACCCAGGAAGTGCAAGGGGTCAGGGAACTCCCTTCCCTAGCCAAGGGAAGCCTTGAGGAATGGTGCATTCCAGCCCAGATAATAGGTTTTTCTCACAGTCTTTGCAACCTGCATACCAGGTGACTCCGTTGGGTGCCTACACCACCACAGCCCTGAGTTTCAAGCACAAAACTGGGCAGCCATTTGGGCAGACACCAATCTAGCTGCAGGAGTTTTTTTTCATACCCCAGTGGCACCTGGAATGCCAGTGAGACAGAACCATTCACTCCTCTGGAAAGAGTGCTGAAGTCAGGGAGCCAAGTGGTCTAGCTCAGCAGATCCCATCCCCATGGAGCCTAGCAAGCTAAGATCCACTGGCTTGAAATTGTCCCTGCCAGAAGAGCAGTCTGAAGTTGACCTGGGATGCTCAAGCTGGGTGTGGGGAGGGGCATCCACCATTACTGAGGCTTGAGTAGGCAGTTTTCCTTCACAGTGTAAACAAAGCTGCCTGGAAGTTTGAACTGGGCAGAGCCCAACACACCTTGGCAAAACCACTGTAGCCACACTGCCTCTCTAGATTCCTCCTCTCTGGAAAGGGCATCTCTGAAAGAAAGGCAGCAGCCCCAGTCAGGGGCTTATAGATAAAACTACCATCTCCCTGGGACAGAACACCTGGGGCAAGGGGCGGCTGTGAGCACAGCTTCAGCAGACTTAAACATTCCTGCCTGCTGGCTCTGAAGAGAGCAGTGGATCTCCCAGCAGAACACTCGAGCTCTGCTAAGGGACAGACTGCCTCCGCAAGTGGGTCGCTGACCCCTGTGCATCCTGACTAGGAGACACCTCCCAGTAGGGGTTGACAGACACCTCATACAGGAGAGCTCCAGCTGGCATCTGGCAGATGACCCTCTGGGACGAAGCTTCCAGAGGAAGGAACAGGCAGCAATCTTTGCTGTTCTGCAGCCTCTGCCGGTGATACCCAGGCAAAAAGGGTCTGGAGTGGACCTCCAGCAAACTCCAGTAGACCTGCAGCAGAGGGGACTTACTTTTAGAAGGAAAACTAACAAACAGAAAGGAATACCATCAACATCAACAAAAAGGACGTTCACACAGAAACCCCATCCAAAGGTCACCAATATCAAAGACCAAAGGTAGATAAATCCACAAAGATGAGGAAAAACCAGCACAAAAAGGCTGAAAATTCCAAAACCAGAAGGCCTCTTCTCCTCCAAAGGATGACAATTCCTTGCCAGCAGGGGAAAAAAACTGGATGGAAAATGAGTTTGGCAAATTGACAGAAGTAGGCTTCAGAAGGTGGGTAATAACAAACTCCTCTCAGCTAAAGAAGCATGTTCTAACGCAATGCAAGGAAGCTAAGAATCTTGAAAAAAGGTTAGAGGAATTGCTAACTAGGATAACCAGTTTAGAGAAGAACATAAATGACCTCATGGAGCTGAAAAACACAGCACAAGAACTTCCTAAAGCATGCACAAGAACTTCATGAAGCATACACAAGTATCAATAGCTGAATAAATCAAGCAGAAGAAAGGATATCAGAGATTGAAGATCAACTAAATGAAATAAAGCATGAGGACAATATTAGAGAAAAAAATGAAAAGAAACAAACAAAGCCTCCAAGAAATATGGGACTATGTGAAAGGACCAAACCTACATTTGCTTGGTGTACCTGAAAGTGAGGGGGAGAATGGAACCAAGTTGGAAAACTCTTCAGGATATTATCCAGGAGAATTTTCCAACCTAGCAAGACAGGCCAACATTCAAATTCAGGAAATACAGAGAACACTACAAGGAAACACCTCGAGAAAGGCAACCCCAAGACACAAAATCGTCAGATTCACCAAAGTTGAAATGAAGGAAAAATGTTAAGGGCAGCCAGAGAGAAAGGTCGGGTTACCCACAAAGGGAAGCCCATCAGACTAACAGTGGATCTCACTGCAGAAACCCTGCAAGCCAGAAGAGAGTGGGGGCCAATATTCAACATTCTTAAAGAAAAGAATTTTCAACCCAGAATTTCATATCCAGCCAAGCTAAGCTTCATAAGCAAGGGAGAAATAAAATCCTTTACAGACAAGCAAATGCTGAGAGATTTTGTCAACACTAGGCCTGCCCTAAAAGAGCTCCTGAAGGAAGCACTGAACATGGAAAGGAAAAACCAGTACCAGCCACTGCAAAACATTCCAAATTGTAACGACCATTGACACTGTGAAGAAACTGTATCAAGCAATGGGCAAAATAACCAGCTAGCATCATAATGACAGGATCAAATTCACACATAACAATATTAATCTTAAATGTAAATGGGCTAAATGCCCCAATTAAAAGGCACAGACTGGCAAATTGGATGAAGAGTCAAGACCCATCAGTGTGCTGTATTCAGGAGACCTATCTCATGTGCAAAAACACACATAGGCTCAAAATAAAGGGATGGAGGACTATTTACCACGCAAATGGAAAGCAAAAAAAGCAGGGGTTGCAATCCTAGTCTCTGATAAAACAGACTTGAAGCCAACAAAGATCAAAAACGACAAAGAAGTGCATTACATAATGGTAAAGGGATCAATGCAGCAAGAAGAGCTAACTATCCTAAATACTTATGCACCCAATACAGGAGCATCCAGATTCATAAAGCAAGGTGTTAGAGACCTACAAAGGGACTTAGACTCCCACACAATAATAGTGGGAGACTTTAACACCCCACTGCCAATATTAGACAGATTAATGAGACAGAAAATTAACAAGGATATTCAAGACTTGAACTCAGCTCTAGAGCAAATGGACCTAATAGATATCTACAGAACTCTCCAACCCAAATCAACAAAATATACATTCTTCTCAGCACCACATCACACCTTTTCCAAAACTGACCACATAATTGGAAAGAAAACACTCCTCAGCAAATGTAAAAGAATGGAAATCATAACAAACAGTCTTTCCACAGTGCAATCAAATCAGAACTCAGGATTAAAAAACTCACTCAAAACCACACATGGAAACTTAACAACCTGCTCCTGAATGACGACTGGGTAAATAACGAATTTAAGGCAGAAATAAATGTCTTTGAAATCAATGAGAATGAAGACACGACCTACCAGAATCTCTGGGACACAGCTAAAGGAGTGTTTAGAGGGAAATTTATAGCACTAAATGCCCACAGGAGAAAGCAGGAAAGATCTAAAATCTACACCCTAACATCACAATTAAAAGAACTACAGAAACAAGAGCAAACAAATTCAAAAGCTAGCAAAAGACAAGAAATAACTAAGATCAGAGCAGAACTGAATGAGATAGAGACATGAAAAACCCTTCAAAAAAAACTCAGTGAATCCAGGAGCTGGTTTTTTGAAAAGAATATCAAAATAGATAGACCACTAGCCAGAATAATTAAGAAGAAAAGAGAGAAGAATCAAATAGACACAATAAAAAAGGATAAAGGGGGTATCACCATTGATCCCACAGAAATACAAACTACCATCAGAGAATACTATAAACACCTCTACACAAATAAACTAGAAAATCTAGAAGAAATGCATAAATTCCTGGACACATAAACCCTCCCAAGACTAAACCAGGAAGAAGCTGAATCCCTGACTAGACCAATAATGAGTTCTGAAATTGAGGCAGTAATTAATAGCCTACCAACCAACAAAAAGCTCAGGACCAGATGGATTCACAGCTGAATTCTACCAGAGGTACAAAGAGGAGCTGGTACCATTCCTTCTGAAACAATTCCAAACAAGACAAAAAGAGGGACTCCTCTCTAACTCATTTTCTGGGTCCTGCATCATCCTGATACCAAAGCCTGGCAGGGAAATAACAAAATAAGAAAATGTAAGGCCAATATTTCTGATGAACATTGATGCAAAAATCCTCAATGAAATAGTGGCAAACAAAATCCAGCAGCACATCAAAAAGCTTATCCACCATGATCAAGTCAGCTTCATCCCTGGGATGCGAGACTGGTTCAACATATGCAAATCAGTAAACAATCCATGACATAAACAGAATCAATTACAAAAACCACATGATTAACTCAATAGATGCAGAAAAAGCCTTTGATAAAATTCAACACCCCTTCATGCTAAAAACTCTCAATAAAATAGGTACTGATGGAATGTATCTCAAAATAATAAGAGATATTTATGACAAATCCACAGCCAATATCACACTAAATGGGCAAAAGCTGGAAGCATTCCCTTTGAAGACTGATACAGGACAAGTATGCCCTCTCTCACCACTCCTATTCAACATGTTATTGGAAGTTCTGGCCAGGGTAATCAGGCAAGAGAAAGAAATAAAGGGTATTCAGTTAGGAAAAGAGGAAGTCAAATTGTCTCTGTTTGCAGATGACATGATTGTATATTTAGAAAACCCTGTTTTCTTAGCCAAAATCTGCTTAAGCTGATAAGCAACTTCAGCAAAGTTTCAGGATACAAAATCAATGTGCAAGCAATATGAAAAATCACAAGTGTTCCTCTACAACAATAATAGACAAACAGAGAGGCAAATCCTGAGTGAAGTCCCATTCACACTTGCTACAAAGAGAATAAAATACCTAGGAATCCAACTTACAAGGGATGTGAAGGACCTCTTCAAGGAGAACTACAAACCGCTGCTCAAGGAAATAAGAGAGGACACAAACATGGAAAAACATTCCATGCTCATGGATAGGATGAATCAATATCACAAAAATGGCCATACTGCCCAAAGTAATTTATAGATTCAATGCTGTCCCCTTCAGACTACTATTGACTTTCTTCACAGAATTGGAAAAAACTACTTTAAATCTCATATGGAACCAAAATAGAGCCCGTATAGCCAAGACAACCCTAAGCAAAAAGAACAAAGCCGGAGGCATCACACTACCTGACTTCAAACTATACTACAAGGCTACAGTAACCAAAACAGCATGGTACTGGTACCAAAACAGATATATAGACCAATGGAATAGAACAGAGGCCTCAGTAATAACGTCACACATCTACAATCATCTGGTCTTTGACAAACATGACAAAAACAAGAAATGGGAAAGGATTCTCTATTTAATAAATGGTGTTGGGAAAATTGGCTAGCCATATGCAGAAAACTGAAACTGGATGCCTTCCTTACACCTTATAATAAAATTAACTCAAGTTGGATTAAAGACTTGAACATAAGACCTAAAACCATAAAAACCCTAGAAGAAAACCTAGGCAATACCATTCAGGACATAGGCATGGGCAAACACTTCATGACTAAAACACCAAAAGCAATGGCAGCAAAAGCCAAAATTGACAGATGGGATATAATTAAACTGAAGAAATTCTGCAGTGCACAGCAAAAGAAACTATTATCAGAGTGAACAGGCAACCTACAGAATGGGAGAAAATTTTTGCTATCTACCCATCTGACAAAGGGCTAATATCCAGAATCTACAAGGAACTTAAAGAAATTTACAAGAAAAAAACAACCCCAACAAAAAGTGGGTGAAATATATGAGCATTCACTTCTTAAAAGAAGACACTTATGCAGCCAACAGACATACAAAAAAAAGCTCATCATCACAGGTTATTAGAGAAATGCAAATCAAAACCACAATGAGATACCATCTCATGCCAGTTAGAATGGCAATCATTAAAAAGTCAGGAAACAACATGCTGGAGAGGATGTGGAGAAATAGGAATGCTTTTACACTGTTGGTGGGAGTGTAAACTAGTTAAACGATTGTGGAAGATAGTGTGGCGATTCCTCAAGGATCTAGAACCAGAAATACCATTTGACCCAGCAATCCCATTACTGGGTATATACCCAAAGAATTATAAATCATGCTACTATAAAGACACATGCACACGTATGTTTATTGCGGCAGTATTCACAATAGCAAAGACTTGGAACCAACCCAAATGCCCATCGATGATAGACTGGATAAAGAAAATGTGGCATATATATACCATGGAATACTCTGCAGCCATAAAAAAGGATGAGTTCATGTCCTTGGCAGGGACATGGATGAAGCTGGAAACCGTCATTCTCAGCAAACTAACACAGGAACAGAAAACCAAACACTGCATGTTCTCACCCATAAATGGGAGTTGAACAATGAGAACACATGGATACAGGGAGGGGAGCATCACACACTGGGGCCTGTCAGGCGGTGGGGGGTTAGGGGAGGGATAGCATTAGGAGAAATACCTAATGTAGATGACAGGTTAATGGGTGCAGCAAAACACCGTGGCACGTGTACACCTATGTAACAAACCTGCACGTTCTGCATATGTATCCCAGAACTTACGTATAATAAAAAAATGAAAATTAAAAAATAATCTAGAATTATCATAAAGGCACAGAGTGGTAGAATTTTAGAGATAGGAGGAGTCTCAGGAGGTTGAGCATTTCCCACTTACACAGATAGAATGTGAACTCCCTTAAACAGCTATCAATATTTCATTTCATTTCTTCTTTGTTGGGCGTCTTCTTTAATTGCAATTTGTTCTTGTCTTATAAGGTTTTATAGGTATCTGACCTGGGTTTGTTGGTTTTGAAACTTTTATTTTCTGGAACAACACCCTTTCTAATCCCCTTCTGACAGGTGGAGGGGGGGCAGTGATATGGAATATGATGTTACTTTTGACAAAGGGGTAGAAATATTACCATTTTGAACACCAGGCATCCTCCAAAGCGTCCCATGTTTTATGCAAGAGATGGATTATGCTTGGTCCTGAATGCCTGCCTTTTAGTCAAAGATCTCCAGGGTGAATGAAGCACCTACCAACTAGGTAAAGGATTAGTAACCAAGGTGAGGAAAAGAAATCTTCCTTTTATCCAATCCCAAACTTTCCCTTCTTCCTGTTCTTCTGTCTGTGGAGAAAACCCTCACCATAAAAAAGCCTGTATAGCCCAAGAGACAGGCAATAATTTTTTATCTCAATATTTAAATAAAAATTTTTATAATATATTTTTCTTTAAAAATATTACCTGACATTATTTGCCATGGAATTATAATGGATTTAGAACTGGAATATACCTCAGAGATTATCCATTCCAATTCTCTTATTTTGCAAATGAAAGATTTTGTAACTGGAGTGATTAAATGCCTTACCCAACAACATATAGCTATTTGTGGCAGCTGTAAATCTAGAACCTTTGTGTTATAGTCTGTTTGTGCTGTTGTAACAAAATACCACAGATTAATTAATTGATAAAGAACAGAAATTTATTTTTCACAGCTGTAGAGGCCAGGAAGTCCAAGATCAAGACTCTGGCATATGATAAGGGCTGCTGTCTGCTTCCAAGATGGCACTTTGAATGCTGCATCCTTTGGAGGGGTACAGCGCTGCACCTTCACATGGCACAAGGTGGAAAAGCAAAAAGGAACAAAACTCTCTCTATCAAGCCCTTTTATAACAGGATTAATCTATTCATGAAGGCAGAGCCCTCATCATCTAAACACCTTCCAAAAGACCCCACCTTCCAACACTATTGCAATGGGGATTAAATTTCCAACACATGAATTTTGTGTTGAGGGACACATTCAGACCATAGCACCTTGTTTCCTGACTCCCAACTTGATTCTCCCCCTATAAAAAATTTTTCAATTAATATTGGAAACTTCTCACAAGTAAGAACAATTTCCGTAAAACTCTTTTCTTGGGAAAACTGGCAAAATATCCTGACTAGGTTGCAAAAGAGATTGCTCTTTAAGACAAAGTTTCAGAAATGACCTTTGAGGGCATTTTCCGTATTTCTGATTAGTGGGTGCAATAACCTTTAGCTGAAGAAAAGGGCACCCAAAAGAGCAGAGCAATAATAGAGGAATTACTTTGGCAATTACTATTACAAGTCCACCTTTGAAAACAGGTGGAGAAGTCAGTGATGGAAAGAGCCAGCATCACAACCTATGATAAGAACAGAAATGTCAATATCAACCATCTAGGGCATTTCTTTGCCTTCTCTGCTTGGTAGCTAAAAAATGAAAAAAACAGTATGTTTTTTCCCAGTTTAGTAAAAGATATTTTCTATGCAGCTAGGTGTAATTAAACCTAAGAAATTACTTGGTATCTTTTAATTAATATAAGCCATAGCCTTGTCACCTCTAAAATGAAAGTAGTGTAACCTAACCAGCTTACCTCATATGATAAACATAAATTTAATAAATGATAAGACTGAGAAAACCATTCTGGTTTTGAGTGAAATGTTTGAACTCTGTTAGGGCTTCCTCTTAATGACAGTAGCCTTTAGATGCATTTCTTTAGATTATTTTATGTAAGTGCTGACTCCTGCTTCCCAGTTCTCTGTAAGTTATGGAAGAAGACAGAGAGTATCTTGCTTAAGATGAGAAAAGCTTCAGGTCATTTTTAAGTTAAACTATTCAGCTGAGGATAATTGAGTGAGGGAATACAAGGTGTGCCCAAGAGTATGCCTTCAACATTTCCCACAACACAGGCTTGGCTTTGCCCATGGTGGGCATGCCCATCATAAACAAAGCCCATCCTAGCATGGCAGAACACAGATTAGACCAATAAACCCTTTATTTGAGCAAGTTACATTTGCTTTATCTTCTTTTATCTCTCCAAAGAATACAATGAGAAAAAAATTACCTTTTCTCTGACATTAGCTTTTCTAGATTCCCAAATCCTTCTTTTTCTGTTTTTTTTTCCAGAATTAAGAATTTTTGGCTTGTGGTGACATGGAGTGTCAGCAGTTAAAAAAAAAAAAAAAAAAAAAGACCTTCATGACTCTGCCATTCACACTCCCACTTGGGACCATGATAGTTTTCTTGCAATTTCTCTTCCCTGTTTCCTCCTTGGAGGGGAAAAGTACTGTCTTTTATCCATAGTTTACCCATTAGGGATATCCTGAGAATAAATGAAACCATCACATGTTGAGATAATCCTCTGAATAAAGATCTCTTAGAATCTGATACCATTCAAAATTTTAATAGAGTCACAGGGTACAAAATCTCTCACTCTTTGCCAGGCTATCCCAGGGATTTTTGAAGATATGAAGGTTTTACTCTCAGTTCTATCACTGGCTCAGCTGTAGGGCCAGATGAACACCACCTGTCAGCTCCGTGCCAAGCCTTCTCTTCTCCAAAGTAGTCACCATCATCTTTCATCTTTTGACATCTTTTTTTTAATTGAGACAGAGTCTCTCTCTGTTGCCAGGCTGAAGTGCAGTGGCATGATCTCGGCTCACTGCAACCTCCACCTCCTGTGTTCAAGCGACTCTCTTGCCTCAGCCTCCCAAGTAGCTGGGACTACAGGCATGCGCCACCATGCCCAGCTAATTTTGTATTTTTTGTAGAGACAGGATTTTACCATGTTGGCCAGGATGGTCTTGATCTCTTGACCTTGTGATCTGCCTGCCTCAGCCTCTCAAAGTGCTGGGATTACAGGTGTGAACCACCACGCCCTGCCCATCTTTGACATCTTAACCAGCGCTCCTAACCAGTTCCTGACCTCCAATTAAGAATAGGACTCTACCTGGACAGATGATTTAACAAACCATATAAAATAAAAATATTTATAGTTATACAGCACCTTTTTAGATATGAAAGTACTTCCTCATTCATTAATAGAAAATTAGGCCAAGATTTTGAGGAATATGCTTTCTCAAAACCTGAAGTAATCTTCATAAACCATCTACCTTAAGGCATCAGCCTAGCTTTGCCACTTGACTTAAAATTTCTGTGTTGCAGCTTTCCCCTCTGGGGAGAGGCCCAGAAATGTTATGAGAATAATGAAGCCACCATTGGATTCAGACAATTTCCTGGACAAAAAATGAAAATGCCCTGTGAACTCAAAACAACGTTAGTTATTCTACGGACTTGGGGGTTGCTGTGCATGCATTTATGCCCACGCATTTTTATCTCTGTTTCCTTGAACACTCCTTCTTCAAATTTAATTGTTCTCATTTTTTTCTGTTAATACCCCTTGACCACATCCAAATCCTTGATTTCATGCTAAGGCTTTGAGACACTGAGAAGGAGCTATGCTACTTGGTATAAGTGGGGGTTCCAGTTCAATTTAAGAATTTCTGAAATTGCCTTAAGCTGTAATCAGAGCAAAGGAGCAAGTGTCAGAATATTTCTGTCTGTAATGGAAATAACCAGAGAAATGCAAAATATTTTTCTCTAGTCCATACTAACCAATTCTATTTTAGATTCCAAGGCAACTGCCAATTTGATACCTGGGTCCCTTTAAGCAGAAGTTTGGACTTGCAATGAATTTAACAGGCTGCAGGCTATTAAATGACTGTTCTCTTTATAGCAGCTCCCTCTCCCTTTTGTTTGAAAAATTTAAAATGGAAATCACATAGTCAAAAATTCCTGATTTATTTAGGTTCCTCCTTAACCTCACTCATCCAACCGATTAGGAGAAACAGTGCTTTTAGAAGAATGTCTTAATTTTGGTTTCTCTGGAAGCAAACTCTGAGGAAAGAAATTGAGTACAAGTAGTTGATTTGGAAGGTGATCCCAGGAAACAGTAGTCTAGACGTGGGGAAGAGAAAAACAGAAGGAGTCAGTAAAGGCTGTGCGATTAAAGAAATTACCACTGTGGGTAACTGAAGCTCATTCCTACCGGAGAACTCCGGGAACTAGCGTAGAACACACACCTCCCTGCTCTCTCCCTGGAAGAGTGAGAGAGCTGGGGTATTTATGAAGCAACTCCAAAACCATCAGATTTTGGTTGAGAAATGCAGGTGGGGATGTTGTGCAACTTACCAGCAATAGGTCCTTGATTATATCACTTAAGTCCTTTGAATTTCATTTTCTTATGAACGAAGTGGAAACAAGAACATTGCTTCACGAGATTGTAGTAAGAATTCCATGCACTAGTGTGTTAAAGGGGTTTGTAAATTACTAATTTGCTAGACAAATGTTATTTATTATTAATACAGATGAATAACACATGCTCTACACCACCAAGGACCTTGAAGTCTTAGGGAGTTAAGACATAAATAAATACAGCAGTTCTCCCTTATCCTTGGTTTCACCTTCCACAGTTTTAGTTACCAAAGATCAATCACAGTCCAAAAATCTTAAATGGAGAATTTCAGAAATAAACAATTCATAAGCTTTACATTGTGCACTGTTCTGAGTAGCATGATGAAGTTTCACACGGTCCAGCTCCATCTTGCCCAGGTCGTGAATCCTCCCTTTGCCCAGAATATCCATGCCGTAGCTGCCACACATCCACTAGTCACTTAGTGGCCATCTCAGTGGTCAGATCGACTATGGCAGTATCACAGTGCTTGTGTGTTCAAGTAGCCTTTATTGTCCCTAATTGTTCTATTTTATTATTAGTTATTATGGTAAATCTTGTACTGTGCCTAATTTATAAATTAAACTTTATCATATGTATGTATGTACAGGGGAAAAAATGCATAGTATATACAGGGTTTTGTCCTATCCGTAGTTTCAGGCATCCACTGGGGGTCTTGCAATATATTCCCCATGGATAAATGGTGACTACTGCAACTATCAAAGACAATATGTAATCCATACCATTAGAGAGGAACAAATTTCTCTGATAGTACAATGGATTAAGAACCTAGCTTTTGAGTTCCAACCTTTGCTCTGCTACTTACTAGTTTTGTGACCTTGGGCAATTTACTTGCTCCTTATGAGTCTCAGTTTTCTTATCTACATGATGGGAATGCCAGAACTGTTCATGAAGTTGGTATAAATATTAAATTAGACAATATAAGTAAAGTGCTTAGTGCTTATTAAATGGTGGTATTATCACTCTTATTATTATTTCTGCTGCTACTACTACATGGGACTCACAGGAGGGAGAGATCACTAGTTTGGAATGTGAAGGACTCTGGGAAGTCTCCTGACATGAGGTAGTGAATAATGGAAGGCCTTCATTAACTGTACTTTCTATCATCAATTTCAAGGTATGATTAATCATAAATAGGGTTACATGACTTGGGCATTAGAGTCTGTAGAACTATGGAGGCAGACGTGAGAGAGGAAATGCATTTTAAGTATGAGAAATGGAACATGGAAATGAGAAAAGACTGCAGTGTCTCAGACACGTTTTGCAAAGAGTGAGCAGAGTCGTGGGCATGAGGAGAAGGAAGAATGAAGTGGGAGATGGCGTCAGTACAGGGAAGGTCTTGGGGACCAAGGTAAAGAACTGGAGACCCAATTAATGTTTTAAAGAGATGAGTGACTTGGAGTCATTGCTTTCACAGTTTTGCATGCCTGAGCCTTCATCCACTCATGTGTGGCCTCTTCAGTCCTCAATCCAGAGCCACCATTGTACTGCCTGGCTTGATTTCCTTCTCCTTCCTCTGTCCTGGGTGCTCCTCTTCCTACTCTCCCACTTGTCTTCTTGCTAGTCTTTGCTAATGCTGCACTCCTTACCTGGAGTCCCTTTCCCAATTGTGTCCTCCTTAATCACATCTGCCCCAGTCAGCCATGCATTTCCCACAGCGATCCCTTCTGCCTTAGCACTTTCAACACTTTTAGTCTCTACCATCCACTTGACCCATTTCCCAACAAGAGTAAGGCCTTTCAATGCAGAGAATGTATTTTCTATTTTCATATTCCACACAATTTTGGATTCACAGAGAGTTCTTAGCAAATACTTGGCTGCTGAGACCAGTGGCCGTATCTTCCCAAGGGTCTCAACTTGTGTTTGTTAGGTCAATTGTGTCTTTCTTGAATGCATCTGGTCATAGTCAGCGGAGTAAAATGACAGGCCTGTCTTGACTTCTTTAAAGAAGGTCTGGTGATGTTAAAATTATATGGCTCTGTGAAATGGGATCCATGAAGCTCCAGGTAGCAATTTGGGAAAAAAGACTGATGTTTTCTGTGATATTTTGGATATAACTGTCTTGTGTGCTATTAAATTTCACCTTGATTCACTACTAGCTTTGAACCAGAAGTCAAGAGATCCCATTTTAGTTCCAGATTTTCCATGAACCAGCTATGTGCATTTGGGCCAGTGTTTTCCTCTCTTTACCAGTAATGGCTGTCATTTATTTGACTGAGTGCTAGGTAGTCTGCTAAGTGCTATACATTCATTATCTCAATCTTCACATCACCCCTGTGAGCTGGGTACCACAACTCATCCTATTTTCAGATGAGTAGAACCAGGTTCCAGTCTGTAAAGTAACTTGCTCAGAGACACAAAACTAGTAAAGTGGCAGAATCAGAACTCAAAGCCCAGGTTGTCTGATTCCAAAGCCTATGAGTTTAACCACTATGCTTCACTGCCTCAGTTTCTTCAAGACTCTGCATTTTCAGCCTTACATAAAGAGATGGGACTCAGATCTTTAGGATAATTTCTAAGTTGATGACTGTACTCTAGGGTCTCATGTTATTTCAGGCATGAAATAGAGATCTGTAGCTTATAACTCTGCCATCCCCCAGCTTCTAGCTAAGGTTACTCCCTGAGGAAACCCTCACTCTCACTTGGCAGGGTGTGTGTGGTGGGGTGGCTGACCTCTGCTCCCCCCACCACCTCCAGGGCTGGCATGGGACCCAGGACCAGGCTGATCAGCTTATTGTATTCTTGGGCCACAGTGCTTGGTTCAGATTTGACCATGTGATTTAATTCAGGCCAGTAGTAATGAGGCTCAGGATTTTTGTTCTGACTTTGGAGGAAAACAAGTACTCATTTGCACTGAAATTGAACCTGGGAAGATGCAGACTCAGAGCTTGTAGCAGTCAGCCACATTGCTGCTTGTGGAATCTGGGAATAAAACAACACAGAACAGAGGAGAGCCAAAAGAGGGAAGGACTGTGTCTTACTGACATTGTGATATCCCCTGAATCCAGCCCTGTCTGAGGTCAAGGCCTACGGCTGAACTTTGCAGATAATTGAAGCATGTGTTCCTTTTGCAGGGTTCAGTTTTCTGTTTCTGAGCACCAAAAGAAAAGAGGAGATCATGATTCTATTCTTCTTTTTGGCACAAACCTACCAAAATCTGATTGAACAAACGATCAGGATCACACCCAGCCAGAGTGCATCAGGCCTGGAATCACCTTTAATTATTGTAGGGAATATATTATTACAGTGGATGGAAAAGTACCTAATTTATCATATGATAAAATATCTGTTAAGTGGTACGATGAAACTTTATGACTCCCTTCTGCCAAGAGGCTTCCTGATCATTTGCTTGTCTCCAGAAGACGTTAATTGCTAATTGTCAATGTGCATTTCCAGAAAGCGAGCTGCTGCCTGTGATGCCTGTTAGCTTTCAGTGGCAACTCATGTCTGTCCTCTTCATTTCTCTGTAATTACATTTGAACTTTGAAACGCAAAATCATTTAGATTGAGGCAATATAATTTGATTGAATGAATTATCTTGTATTTTTACATTAGTAATTATATTTCATTGAATCATGGAATGTTAGGGTCAAAAGAGACTTTTAGAGAATAGATTTTCCAACCTCTCTAATTTAGTAGATGAGGGAAATGGCAGCCAGATGTTGACACTGAGTCACAGGGCAGTGAGAGCCTGTTAGGGACTAGAGTCAAGGTCTCCTGATGAAACCAGGGTAATTTTCACTATACTATACCATCTCTCTTGACCCTGTCCTGATGTGTTACATGAATATAAACTAAAAAAAAAGCTCAAGAGACATGCTAAATAAGTGTAGTCTGCCAGATACGAATTTACTCATTGACAGTTCCGCCTCCCCAGTTCTTTCTCCCCACCTTCTGTTCTTTCCCTGTGTCAGGCTAAGGGGGTTGAAATGTCTCCTGGGTAGCCGATTCAGTTAGGAAACCTACCAAGAAGCTAATGCAAAGTAAGGTAAAACCTTAGGCACTTGTCCCCACAATTTGTGATGAGTTTTAAGGAATTTGTGATGAGTTGTGGTGCCTGGAAAAGAACAAATTTTTCCATGTGATATAAGAAAATTCATTTTCTAATTACAGGTGGTTTTTGAGTTTTCATTATAGTAGGTTTGATCCATTCTCTGCCTGGCAATACTGTTAGAACTTCAATTTATATTATTACCCTTGAAAATAAGAAGATCCTAATTATTAATTACATTCTGTAATTTATCTATTTTTCTTTCTTTCTATGTTTGTTTGTTTTTGTTTTTGTTTTTTTGAGACAGGGTCTCACTCTGTCACCCAGGACGGAGGGCAGTGCCATGATCATAGCTCACTGCAGCCTTGACCTTCTGGGCTCAAGCAGTCCTCCAACTTTAGCCTCCCAAGTAGCTGGAACCACAGGTATTTTTCTTTTTTTCCAGATTTACATTGTGCACCAAGATTTCAACTATTTCAGTGAGAGACAAGATTAAATTTATTTTGGGATCACTGAGTCCATTGTAGACTAAAGCCACTTAGCAACACTGCAAAAATGCTATCTTAATTCATCATTAAGGGTCTCCCTCCTAAAAACTTAATTAGTACACTACTATCCGTAATTTTTCAGAATAAGAAATCAGAGAAGAATCAGAAGGAGGACCAATAGGAAACTTGGATTTCCTGCTGGATTTATAAGGACACATTTTTTAAAGACGGCTTTCACTTTAGTGACAGTAAATAACTGGAAGTGCTAACAACCATCCCTGAGGTTGGTTAACCAAGGGCATAGACTGTCACTCAGACTCTCAGAGTGAAGAGGGAGAGCTGCAGAAATTACCCTTTGAAAATGGACATGTATAAGTGATGGTCCTTTTCTGTTGTCTCTGAAAATTTACATTGCAATTCATCAGTACAGCATCAAAGACAAAATTTAGGCTCCTTGAAATTTTGAGCTTTTGATAGACAGGTTTAACGATAAAAAGTGAGAGCCTCAGTTCAGAATTAGAAACATAACTTAGCAATGTATAAAGTTAAATTTTGACACTAAAAAAAACACATCACAAATATCTGTTTAATTATTGATTCTTGCTAGAAGTATTAAGGTCATAAGAAGAAGAAAGGTAACTTTGGAAGATATCAAAATGAGGCCCAGTGTAACTTTTCCTAAAGTAAAATGACTGGGAGGTGATTGTACATTTTTTTTAAACAATTAAGCAAGTGATAATACTGATGCTGATAAACTGGGTTTCTAACCAAAGGTGATAATCTTAGAACTCAGTTCTTTTTTATGGAAGATCTATTGAGAGCTTAGCGGATGTCTTTTCGAAAATGTTAAATCCCTGTAAAAAATTATGTCAAGCCAATAGGAAAACTCCCCACTCTCTGCTAGCAGTAAAGGATACTTTATGGACTTGAAATGTTAAAGGTGAATGGACAAGTTTACTGCTGATTTAGTGTCCTGTCTCTGCCGAGTTCTAATGCTTCGTGTAGTAAAGAAAGGAAGGGCCTTTTAATAGGAACTGCCCCATTGGAGCTGTGGATGGGGGCCGAATGAGGGCAAGGGACTGGGCAGGGTGGCCGTTTAACACAGGTGGCAGGTGTTACGAAGATGGCTGTATTAACAGTGCAGAAATGCCCTCCCGAGCCTTTTCACAAAACCACTATCACAAAACACCACCACAACAAAAACCAGCCAGGAGAGTGAAAAAATGGAAAAATGCCAGATTGTAGGCCCCCAGTCACATCTGACAGGTGGGCACAATGCCAACCCTTCCTGAGGACCCTCCCAGCCTCCAGGGCTCCTCAGAGCCCACAATTCTACAAGAGTATGGCACTCTAGAGTTGGCCTTTTCTGCTGTCTGTGCCATTATGTTGACCCATGTTTGAAGAAGAAATAATTAATGCAATCTTCAACAAATCCTTATTGGACACCTATTCAGTAGCATCCTACAGATCTTAAAAAAGCATCCAAATATGGATTAATATAACTACATTTTCTCACTGATACAGTGGTAGATAGTAGGCCTCTAATCCAACTAGTTGATTACATTCCAAATAGTTAAAACTCTTCACTTTGAATATTAAATAATTAATGCAAATCTTAAATACTGGGTGAACACCTATTGGGTGGCAGATTTTATTGCCTCACATCCCAGAAAGACTCTTTATTTATTGAGCAATGATGACATTAGATTAATAAGAAGAACATAGTCACTGCCATTTGGGAGTTTACAGTTCAGTGAGGAGACAGGCAATAAGCAAGTAAACAAACAGAATTTATAAATTGTTGTAAGTACTAAGAAGGAAACAAACAGGGCTCAATATTAGAGGACATTAGGAGAAAGAAAAAAGCTGAAACCAAGAGATGGACCATTACTTGTGCAAGACCAGCCAAGAAGTTAGTGATGGAAAGGAGATTTTAGAATCTATAAGCAATTCCTGAGCTCTATGTCCCAGGTATTTTTCTAGGCACTGGTGGTATAGCAGCAAAAGCAACACAGACTAAAATCTTTGCCTGTATGGACTTTTAATTTTAGTTTGGAGATATAGATTACAAATAAATGAGCAAACAAAAACATATAGTATGCTTATGTTTCTAATTACTATGGAGAAATTAAGCAAACCAGGGAAGGTGGATGAAGAGTGCCAGGTGGCGGTGACTTGCTCTTTTAAGTACTTTGATCAGGAAAGCCTCACTATTAAAGTGACATTTAAGCAGATACCTGAAAGAAGTGAGGGAATGAGCCATGCAGATATCTCAAGGAAGAGCACAGTAGACCTGCTTTGTCTAATATGGTATGCACTAGCAACATGTGGCTGTTTACATTTAAAATAAATAAAACACATACAATTAAAAACTCAATTCCTCAGTTGCACTGGCTGTATTTCAAGTGCCCAAAAGCCACAGGTGCCTGGTAGCTACTGTACCTAAAACAGATCTAGAGCAGATCTAGAACAGCACAAATCTAGAATATTTCCATCATGATAGAGAGTTCTATTGGATAGACAGAGGAACTAACCAGTGCACAAAGGCTTTCAGAGGAAAGAGGGTGTGAAGTGTTTGAACAGTGGCAAGAAGACCGGCACAGTAAGAGTAGAGGACTGACTGAGAGAATTGGAGGTCGTGAAGTCTCAGAGGTAGCTGGCAATGATAGGAGCACAACTAGGCCTCAAAGGCAGTTGTAAGAATATGGGCTTTCACTCAGAGTGAGGTGGGAAATCACTGGAAGGTTTTGAGCTAGGGAATTCCATGCTTAGTCTTACATTTAAGGGGATCATTCTAGCTTAGGGTCAAGGGCAGGAGCAAGGGGACCATTTAGGAGTCCCTTGTAGTCAACCAGGCAAGAGATGATAGTGAATTGATCCAAACCAATCAGAGTCTGGATATTTTTAAGGCAGAGGCAAGAGAATTCACCAATATTTCAAGTGAGAGGTGATGGTGGTACGGATTGGGTTTGTGTCATTGGAGGTAGTGAAAGTGTCGGATTCTGATTTTGCACCAACGTTAGAGCCAACGGGATTTGCCAGTAGAGCAGATGAATGATATGAAGGGAAAAGAAGAGGCCAGGATGAGTCCAAGATTTGAGACTCAGACAAAATGAAGGTGGATTTGCCTTTAACAGATATGGGGAAGTTTGGGGGTAGAGTACGTTTTGGGGAAAAATCAGGAGTTCAGCTTCAAACATGTTAACCTTAAAAGGCTTATTAGAAATGAGGGTACAGATGCATATTAAAGACTAGAACTCAGGAGAGAGGTGTGAACTGGAGGTAGAAATTTCAACCATGAATGTGCTGGTGACAATCAAAGCCCTGAGACTGGAGTGTGTGTGGGTGGAGGTGTGGGGACTGAGTCTTGGAGTACTCCACAGCGAAGAGTTTGGGGAGATAAGGAGAAACCAGCAAAAGGGCTGAGAAAGACTGTTCTGTAAGGCAGGTGGAAAATCAAGAGGGTGTGGAGTCCCAGATGCCATGGGAAGAAACTGTTTCCAGGAGGCGGGAATGATCAACTGTGTCAAATGCTGCTCACCTTTCAAGTAGGATGAGGCCTTTAAAGCAAAATCATTCAGTTTAGCAGCATGGAAACCATTGGTGTCTTTTTCAAGATCAGTTTCAGGGAAGTAGATTCAAAAGTGGATTTATGGGAGGGGATAAACTAGAGAGTCTGCTTTAAAGGGCAGCTGAGAAATGAGGTGGTAGCTAGAGGGAAAAGTGGGTCAAGATTGTTTTTTTTTGTTGAGATGTAAGAAATTACAGCACACTTGAATGCTGACGAGGATAATTCAGTAGAGAGGGAAAATTTAATTATGCATGAAAGAGAGGGACCAATTGCTAGGGAAATATCCTGAAGTAGGCAAGAGTGGATGGCATCTACTGCACAATTGTGGGGAATTAATTTAGGTAGAAGCAAGGACAAGTCCAGGAAGCAAACAGGAGTAACAGGAGGGAAGGCAGGGCATATGGACACAAATGCAGGTGGGAGGGTAGATGTGGCTATGAGAACATACAGAATTTCTCTTCTGATTGTGTCTATTTTCTCCATGAAATAAGGAGAAAGGGCATTCATTAGCTGGGAGTAAGGGAATGGGAGGAGTTGTGATGTCAGGGGAAACAGAAAGCGTGAAATACCTCTCTTAGGAAACGGGGAGAGGGAATGCACTGGGGGATGCAGTAGGATTACTGGGTACTGCTATAACCCTTTTGGGGTTCACAATCGTTAACTTAAAGGCAGAACATTTCTAATGGTTGTAGTTTTCTTTCCCCAGCCATTTCAGCTACACAGGTATAAATTCAGGGTTGGTAAAAAGTTGGATTTACCTAGAGTAGCGTTTGGTTGGAGAATATGAAAACAATAAAGGGCAAAGAAGTGGGGGTTGTATACACATCAAGGAATGACACACCTGACATAGAAGCTGGGTAATAAAGAAGTGAGGACATACGAGGTTTAAAGGACAGGAAAATGGCTTTAGAATAGTGGACTGCTTGTCCTGGTTGGGAATGAAGAATCATAGGAGGCAATGGATCTGCTTTCCAGAGTGGAATATTTGAAATTGAGAGTATGGAGGGTTGTTAGGAATGATGAGGTCCAGAGAATGACTGTTGGGTAAGTGGCTGAGATTGTGTGTGGGACAAGGTCATTGGAAGACAGGAAGGAAGTCAAGGAATTAAGATGCCATGCAACTGGAAGGATTCTCTACATCAATATTAAACACATCAGGAATGATGACAGGAGTAGTACTGGAGAAAGCAGCAGTAAGTCAGGACCTAAGATCTCCAGGAATAATGGGGAGTGACAGGGATCTGTAGAAGCCTGTAATAAGAACTAGTAGTAAGGGGTAAAGCCAGATCTTGGGGTGTTTATAGAAGGGGGGAGGAGAAAGGTCTTTAAGTAGAAGGAAGCATAGGATGCCTTAGAACCCTATTCCTTCCTTAAATGCCTTTATCTTCACCTAACTACCATAAATACCTTTTCCCCACTGGGTCAGGGGAAAGAGCTGGGTTGGCACCACACAGAGTTGGCACTGCTCATGATTTTTTGTCAGTTGAGAACAAATTGTGTTCTTATAATATTCCTGGGTCTCAAGGTTGTGAAGCCACATGATTGCAGAGATGCCAGAGGGAACATGGCCCATTGGTGAAAGTTTTCAGTTCTAGAATCAGAAAACCTATATCCAACCTACCTTTCTCCACTTTCAGTGTGACATTGGGCAAATCACTAAATCTATTTTTGTTCTCCATGTTCTCATCTGTGTGACAGAGTTAATAGTAGCAATCCTTCCAATTGCATGGCATCTTAATCTATTTTATCAAATTGTGGTGAGGATTAAAGGAAATAATTTACACTAAGGGCCTTGAATGTAGGATGTAACTGGTAAGTTTCGGCTATTGTCAGTGATATTCAGATTGTGATGTTTATCTTTACTCAGCAAAATGTACTTTGCAAAGTACATTCATTCCTAGATTGGGAACTGGTTGGTTCCTTGCAGATACTGGACTTGTAATTCAGGTAGGTGTCACCAAAAGTGAAGGCCTCCTAGATTTCCCAAACAAGACTTCTTCCCAGGCTGGCCTAGTGGATTATCTGTCCTCTATTCAAGAGTTGAGAAATCTCCAAACTGCTTTCCGTAGTTGTTGAACTAATTTACATACACACCATCAGTCTATAGGTGTTCCCTTTTCTCTGCAGCCTCGCCAATATCTGTTATTTTTTGACTTTTTCATAGTAGCCATTCTGACTGTTGTGAGATGCTATCCCATTGTGGTTTTGATTTGCATTTCTCCATGATTAGTGATGTTGATCATTTTTTTCATGTTTAAAGAAACATAAATCATTCTACCAAAAGATACATGCACTCATATGTTCATTGCAGCACTGTTCACAATAGCAAAAGCAGGGAATGAATCTAGATGCCTACAAATGGCAAATGGGATAAAGAAATTGTGGTATGTATACACCATGGAATACCATGCAGGCATACAAAAGAACAAAATCATGTTCCTTGCAGCAACATGGATACAGCTGGAGGCCATTATCCTAAGCAAATTAACACAGGAACAGAAAACCAAATACCACATGTTTTCATTTATAAGTGGGAGCTAAACAATGAATAGACATGGACATAAATATGGTAACAAAAGACACCAGAGACTGCTATAAGAGGGGGTGAGGAAGGGTAACAATGGCGGAAAAACTAATTATTGGGTACTGTGCTCATTACCTGGGTGATGGGATCAATCGTGCCCCAAACCTCAGTATCACACAATGTACCCTGCACATGTACCCCCTGCATCTAAAATAAAAATTGAAATAAAAA
The DNA here is from genome assembly GCF_000001405.40 of Homo sapiens. Classification (NCBI taxonomy): domain Eukaryota; kingdom Metazoa; phylum Chordata; class Mammalia; order Primates; family Hominidae; genus Homo; species Homo sapiens. Next base: position 3,870,328 of record NC_000003.12, on the reverse strand, counting down.
AGCGGGCTGAAAGGAGAATTTGCTTATGCCCTTGAGCAAACCATTTAATCTTTTGAATGTTAGTTTTGGTATCTGTAAATTGAGATAATAGTACGTCTCTGATCTAACTCAGGTACTCAATAAATATTTGCTGAATCAATCAGTCAATTTGCCACTACTTAGAGGAAGCCTACCTTTACAGCCTTATTTCTAACACTCCCCACCTTGAAATCCATGCTGTAGTCATGCCAGACTATCTGCATGTCCAAGAACACACAATTTACTTACACATCTCTGTCCTTTGGCTGTACTGCTCTGTCAACTGGAATTTCATCCTTACATTTCCAAACAGCGACATTCTGCTTTTCTTAAAGGACCAGTAATAAAATAATCTCCTTTTTGAACCTTCTCATTGTCTTCATTGAATTATTCAGTCTCTGCTTTCCCTCTCCAAGGCATTCTGCATATACAGTTATATTTGTATTGACCATAGCATCATATTATAGTAGGGAACATAGGTGTTTTCATTATTAAAGGATGGATTCCTTATGGGGAAAGATGAGTCTTCCTTATAATTGCATCTCCAAAGGCTAGCTCAGTACCTCAAAATTAGAACATGCCTGATAAATGTTGGCTAGATATATAGGTTATAAGCAGGCTCTGTGTTGGTTATTTTACATTCATTTTCTTTCAGATTTTTATAGTAGTATCCCATAGGGATAATTACTATTATTATCTCAGCTTTGCAGATGAGGTTAAATTCTTGTCCAAGGTCTCAGTTAGTAACTGGCAGAGCCTGTATTTGACCCTAGACAGTTTGACTCCAGAGCCCATAATCCTAAGAATGCAGCTACTAAAATGGGGGTTTTAAATACAGAACTCTCATTTTGGGCATCTCTCGTGTTTCAAGATGCCAGCTTTGCAAATCATTTTTGTGAAAAATAGGATTTACTGAAAATGTGCAGTGCAGAAGTCTGCCATCTATTCTTACATCAGTACGGTTATTTGCTGTCTCTCAATTTTATTTCTTTAGGAATAAACTTACTTCTTTTAATCTCTTCATTAAAACTTAATTTTCAACTCCCAGAGCTACTGTGTTTCGAGAGAGAGTGGGCAAAAAAAATGCATAAAAGAGGAATTGGAAGAACAGGATAATTAGAAAGAGTGGTGTGCAGCTGGGCCTATTTCTATATCCATGATTTGGTAGAAGCAGATCCTAGCAGGTCATGGAAGAGCCGCATTTGATGTTTTCTTTTTATTTCTGCAAAATTCCCCATCCATTCTCTCTTCCTCTGAACTACCAATATAGGAATCTAGATTACACAATTTAGTATTTGATTTCATGGTGTCTAGAGGTTTTGGGGCTGCAAGATTTCCTAAAATGCTAAGATTTTAGAAAGTTGGAACTAAGAGAGCTTAGACATCATTTGTCCAAGTCTATCATTTTATTTATTTATGTATTTTATTATACTTTAAGTTCTAGGGTACATGTGCACAATGTGCTGGTTTGTTACATATGTATACATGTGTCATCTTGCTGTGCTGCACCCATTAACTCATTATTTACATTAGGTAAATAATGTAATTATATTCCTCCTAATGCTATCCCTCCCCCCTCCCCCCACCCCATGACAGGCCCTGATGTGTGATGTTCCCCTCCCTGTGTCCAAGTGTTTCCATTGTTCAATTCCCACATATTAGTGAGAACATGTGGTGTTTGGTTTTATGGTCCTCGTGATAGTTTGCTCAGAATGATAGTTCCCAGCTTCATCCATGTTCCTACAAAGGACATGAACTCATCCTTTTTTATGGCTGCATAGTATTCCATGGTGTATATGTGCCACATTTTCTTAATCCAGTCTATCACTGATGGACATTTGGGATGGTTCAAAGTATTTGCTATTGTGAATAGTGCTGCAATAAGTATACGTATGCATGTGTCTTTATAGTAGCATGATTTATAATCCTTTGGGTATATACCCAGTAATGGGATTGCTGGGTCAAATGGTATTTCTGGTTCTAGACCCTTGAGAAATCACCACACTGTCTTCCGTAATGGTTGAACTAGTTTACAGTCCCACCAACAGTGTAAAAGTGTTCCTATTTCTCCACATCCTCTCCAGCACCTGTTGTTTCCTGACTTTTTAATGATTGCCATTCTAACTGGTGTGAGATGGTATCTCATTGTGGTTTTGATTTGCATTTCTTTGATGGCCAGTGATGATGAGCATCTTTTCATGTGTCTGTTGGCTGCACAAATGTCTTCTTTTGAGAAGTGTCTGTTCATATCCTTTGCCTGCTTTTTGATGGGGTTGTTTGATTTTTTCTTGTAAATTTGTTTAAGTTTTTTTTGATTCTGGATATTAGCCCTCTGTCAGATGGGTAGATTGCAAAAATTTTCTCCCATTTTGTAGGTTGCCTGTTCACTCTGATGGTAGTTTCTTTTGCTGTGCAGAAGCTCTTCAGTTTAATTAGATCCCATTTGTCAATTTTGGCTTCTGTTGCCATTGCTTTTGGTGTTTTAGTCATGAAGTCCTTGCCCGTGCCTATGTCCTGAATGATATTGCCTAGGTTTTCTTCTAGGGTTCTTATGGTTTTAGGTCTAACATGTAAGTCTTTAATCCGTTTTGAATTAATTTTTGTATAAGGTGTAAGGAAGGGATCCAGTTTCAGCTTTCTACATATGCCTAGCCAGTTTTCCCAGCACCATTTATTAAATAGGGAATCCTTTCCCCATTGCTTGTTTTTGTCAGGTTTGTCAAAGATCAGATGGTTGTAGATGTGTGGTGTTATTTCTGAGGGCTCTGTTCTGTTCCATTGGTCTATATCTCTGTTTTGGTTCCAGTACCATGCTGTTTTGGTTACTGTAGCCTTGTAGCATAGTTTGAAGTCAGGTAGCATGATGCCTCCAGCTTTGTTCTTTTGGCTTAGGATTGTCTTGGCTATACAGGCTCTTTTTTGGTTCCGTATGAACTTTAAAATAGTTTTTTCCAATTCTGTGAAGAAAGTCATTGGTGGCTTGATGGGAATGGCATTGAATCTATGAATTACCTTGGGCAGTATGGCCATTTTCACAATATTGATTCTTCCTACCCATGAGCATGGAATGTTCTTCCATTTGTTTGTGTCCTCTTTTATTTCATTGAGCAGTGGTTTGTAGTTCTCCTTGAAGAGGTCCCTCATATCCCTTGTAAGTTGGATTCCTATGTATTCTATTCTGTTTGAAGCAATTGTGAATGGGAGTTCACTCATGATTTGGCTCTCTGTTTGTTATTGGTGTGTACGAATGCTTGTGATTTTTGCACATTGATTTTGTATCCTGAGACATTGCTGAAGTTGCTTATCAGCTTAAGGAGATTTTGGGCTGAGATGATGGGGTTTTCTAAATATCCAACCATGTCATCTGCAAACAGAGACCATTTGACTTACTCTTTTCCTAATTGAATACCCTTTATTTCTTTCTCCTGCCTGATGGCCCTGTCCAGAACTTCCAACCCTATCTTGAATAGGAGTGGTGAGAGAGGGCATCCTTTTCTTGTGCCAGTTTTCAAAGGGAAACTGTTTTTGCCCATTCAGTATGATATTGGCTGTGGCTTTGTCATAAATAGCTCTTATTATTTTGAGATATGTCCCATCGATACCTAGTTTATTGAGAGTTTTTAGCATAAGGGGCTGTTGAATTTTGTCAAAGGTCTTTTCTGCATCTATTGAGATAATCATGTGGTTTTTGTCTTTGGTTCTGTTTATATGATGGATTACATGTGTTGATTTGCGTATGCTGAACCAGCCTTGCATCCCAGGGATGAAGCTAACTTGATCGTGGTGGATAAGCTTTTTGATGTGCTGCTGGATTCAGTTTGCCAGTATTTTATTGAGGATTTTTGCATCGATGTTCATCAGGGATATTGGTCTACAATTCTCTTTTTTTGTTGTTGTATCTCTGCCAGGCTTTGGTATCAGGATGATGCTGGACTCATATAATGAGTTAGGGAGGATTCCTCCTTTGTCTGTTGATTGGAATAGTTTCAGAAGGAATGGTACTAGCTCCTGTTTTTATCTCTGGTAGAATTTGGCTGTGAATCCCTCTGGTCCTAGACTTTTTTTAGTTGGTAGGCTATTAATTATTGCCTCAATTTCAGAGCCTTTTATCGGTCTATTCAGGATTCAACTTCTTCCTGGTTTAGTCTTGGGAGGGTGGATGTGTCCAGGAATTTATCCATTTCTTCTAGATTTTCTAGTTTATTTGCATAGAGGTGCTTATAGTATTCTCTGGTGGTAGTCTGTATTTCTGTGGGATCGGTGGTGATATCCCCTTTATCATTTTTTATTGCATCTATTTGATTCTTCTCTCTTTTCTTCTTCATTAGTCTTGCTAGCAGTCTATCAATTTTGTTGATCTTTTAAAAAAAACCAGCTCCTGGATTCATTGATGTTTTGAAGGGTTTTTTGTGTCTTTATTTCCTTCAGTTCTGCTCTGATGTTAGTTATTTCTTGCCTTCTGCTAGCTTTTGAAGGTGTTTGTTCTTGCTCCTCTAGTTGTTTTAATTGTGATGTTAGGGTGTCTATTTTAGATCTTTCCTGCTTTCTCTTGTGGGCATTTAGTGCTATAAATTTCCCTCTACACACTGCTTTAAATGTGTCCCAGAGATTCTGGTATGTTGTGTCTTTGTTCTCATTGGTTTCAAAGAACATCTTTATTTCTGCCTTCATTTCATTATTTACCCAGTAGTCATTCAGAAGCAGGTTGTTCCGTTTCCATGTAGTTGTGCAGTTTTGAGTGAGTTTCTTAACCCTGAGCTCTAATTTGATTGCACTATGGTCTGAGAGACAGTTTGTTATAATTTCTGTTCTTTTACATTTGCTAATGAGTGCTTAACTTCCAACTATGTAGTCAATTTTGGAATAAGTGTGATGAGGCCTGGAACATATAAATGACTTGCCTAAAGTTACACAGCAGGTAAGTGGCAGCACCAGAATTAGAGGGCAGATCTGCTCACACTCAGACTAAGACTTTGGATACTAGATCAAGGTGCCTCTTGCCTTCCAAATTAGATTTTAAACATCTCTTGAAATATTTACTCTTGCCTTCATATAACAGACATTGTCAGAATGTTTTCTATGTGCCACACATGTACTAGGTACTGAAGTATGAAGAGGAATATGTTCGCATCTCAAGGGCTCAGGCATGAAGCATCCTTATCTCAGTCCCTTGAAAACTCATCCTTACAGGCATGAGCATTAACGAAGGTGTGTACAGAATCCTCCCAGACTTCTGTACGTACAAATAAGTTTCCAAGCAGGAGCTGGGAGGCAAAAGGCATCCCAGCAGAGGGATGGGCATTTGCAGCAGCATGGTGCATGAAGGAGGATGGTTTGGCTGAGGGCAGAGTATACAAGGTAAGAAGGTATGAGAATGAGATGGGAGGAAGAATAAGGGAGCCACTTGGGGAATGGTGAGAAATAAGGCTGATGACTGTGGACAGGGGTCAAATTGTGAAGGGCCTAATATAGTATCCCTAGAATGATAGACTATATCCTATAAAGAGTAGGAAATAACTACAAGTTGTTAAGCAGGAGAATAACATGATCGGACAATATGCTCTTTACTTTTCTTAAACCCCCATGTAGAGTCAGGCTGGTGTTGGGTAGATAATAACCGATACGGTTTGGCTGTGTCCCCACCCAAATCTCATCTTGAATTGTAGTTCCCATAATCCCCATGTGTTCTGGGAGGGACCAGATGGGGGGTAATTGAATGATGGGGGAGTTTCCCTCATGCTATTTCATGATAGTGAGTGAGTTCTCACGAGATCTGATGGTTTTATAAGGGGTTTCCCCCTTTGCTTGGCTCTCTTTCTTCTTCTTCCTGCCACCATGTGAAGAAGGATGTGTTTGCTTCCCCGTCCATCATGATTGTAAGTTTCCTGAGGCCTCCCCAGCCTTGCTGAACTGTGAGACAATTCAACCTCTTTACTTTATAAATTACCCAGTCTCTGGTATGTCTTCATTAGCAGTGTGAGAATGGACTAATACAATAACATGAACTTAATTGACTTAAAAACAGAAACTAGATTCAGTGGTAAGTTTCCAATCAAATATGCACTTTCTCTTTCAGGAATTTCTGGAAGTGATCATGCTTTATTTATTAAAATTTATTGGCATTTTTGGACAAGTACAATGGTTTATACATATATTGGTTGCTGTAAGAATTACAGCCTTTAGAATAAAGGAGTAGCCCGCCTATTCTATCTCACTATTATACTTCCCTCCTGCCATGCATGTAAAATGAAGGCAAAATGTAGAAGAAGGCACAATGGATAAGCAGAGGATGCTCAAAAGGAACTTCAGGGATTCACACTGGGCATCTGACTTAGTGATCAGAGGTTGAGAGTTAGTGGATATTTCAAACCCATCTTGTCCTTCATTTCTCCTTGAATTGTTTCCTTACATACTGCTTACATCCTGTATTTTCTTCTATAGAGAATTCCATAAAATAACATTCTCCAAGTTTTTTAAAGAACATTTTTATAGTGTTTCATTATTCTAGTATAAATTCACTTTCCCTTGGGTTTGCAGTGTAGATGTTTGTAAACTGACCTTTGGTCTTATCTGTGATAGTTGTTAACTATGTTAAATATTGCAGAGTATATGATGAAGCTAAGTTTTACCAATGATACCAAAATTTTATAAGCCTCTATCTTTCTCTGGGGCCTTTTTTAGTCATAATAGACAAGGTCCTCTATCTCTCAAATTGCCAAGAACCCACAGCAAGAAAGTAACACGTTGAGGTGAGATCCACAGAGAGACACATCAAAGTGTGCTGCTTTGGCCTCTTTCGGTAATGCTCCTCACTGCTTATTTCATGACTGAATTGTTGTAACAGAAGACAGGGTTGGAGGGGATTAGGAAGTCTGGTAGTACAGGCAGTCAGTGCTCTGCCCTTATGTTGTTGAATTTACACCAGTCTGAGTATAGATGTCTACACCTGTGTCTCTTTGCCTGAGGCTTCCTCCAGTCACAGCCTGCAGAGTGGAAGTGCTGGTGAATAAACATCCCCGAAACGGTCCTTTAAAAATGGCTGATGAGAGTGGGCATATGTATTAGTTTCCTACTGCTGCTGTAACAAACTACCACACACGTGGTGGCTTCAAACTCTGCCAATTTATTATCTTATAGTTCTGGAGGTCAGAAGTCGGACACAGGTCCCGCCAGGCTATCTCAACAGGCTGGCAGGGGTGTGTTCCTTCTGGAGGGAAGAATCTGCCTTCTTGCCTTTGCCAGCTTCTAGAATTCTGTGGTCTGTGGCTCCATATTGCTCTGACCTCTGCTTCCTCGGTCACATTTCCTTCCCTGACTCTGACTCTTCTGCCTCCCTGTTTTAAGGACCCTTGTGATTACATTGGGCCCACCCGGCTAATCCAATCTAATCTCACCATCTCAGTATCAATGTCCTTAACTTAATCTTGTCAGCAAAGTTCCTTTGGCCTCGTAAGGTAATATATCCACAGGTTCTGGAGATTACGGCATGGACATCTTTTGGTGGGTGGTGGACATTATTCTGCTTACCACAATGTATGAATATTCTAGTTTCCTCATTCTTTAAGTGTGTAACTGAAGCATATGTTCTGCGGTTTTCACGGTCTCCAAGTGAAATTTAGCCCTAGCTGTTCATATTGGTTACTTGCTCAATAAATACCCTTTCCTGATTTCCTTCCCTTTCCCATTTCACTGCCTCATTTCCTTCCCCATGGCTCCCAGAATTACCTCCCAAATCCAAATACTCGTATTTGGATCCTTTTCTCAGGGTCTGCTTCCTATAGCTTAGTTGCCTAACTTCTATAAATTCTTATGAGTGAATTTCTTTGAGTGCTCAAATAATGATGGACAAAGGGACAGGTCAAAAGGACACAGGTGCCAGCTTGAAGGAACTCCCAATAGCCAAATCTGAGACAACTGGTGAACCAAAATAAATAATTATAATAAAGGATTATAATGTATTGAATAAAGTGTTATAAGAATCCATGAGTCCATAGATAAACAAAAAACAAACAAATGAAAATGGAAAACTCTTTCTTATAGTCAAAGTCCAACTAATAAATATAGAAAGGAAGATGAAATTATCAAATCATTATTTGGCAAACATCATAATAATAACTAATCCAGACAAGAATATTCAATGACTCTTAAAACCAGTAGGTGAAAGTTTGAGGAGTAACAGGATATTTACATAGTCTCAAAGCATTTCCCTCACGAGATAATTACAAAGGGTAAAAGAATAACTTTATAGTGGAGAAACCTGATATGCCACCTTAACCAAATGACCTAATTGGCTTATGGGATATGGGATATATCTGTAGCATGTGCCTTCTGATATGATGCACCGAGAAGAACTCAGCATCACTTCTGTGATATTTCTGCCAAAAGTGTGTAGCTGGAATCTAATCTTGAAAAAAGATCTGACAAAACCAAATTGAGGGACATTCAGTAATCTTGGCCTGCCCTCTTCAAAAATGTCAATGTCACAAAATACAAAGAAAGACTCAAGAACTATTCCAGATTGAAAGAAACTAAAAAGACATGAACACTAAGTGAAACACTTAATCTTAGATTTTTTATTTTGCTATAAAGAACATCGTTAGGCAATTAGATAAATCCAAATAAGGGCTGTAGATTAGATAATAGTATTATATTCATATTATTTGTCCTGATTTTGTAAATTGTACTGTGGTCATGTAAGAGAACATTCTTTGTTTTAGGAATTACACATTGAGGTATTTAACGATAAATGGACATCGTGTTTGTAACTTGCTCTTAAAGAGTTCAGAACAGAGAGAAAAATGAAACAAACGTAGTAAAATGTTAACATTTGGAAGATCTGGGTAAAAAGTATATGAGAATTCTTTGTATTATTCTTGTAATTTTCCTGAATGTCTTTAAAATTATTATAAAATTTTAAAAGCACAAAAATTGTACGGTGTTTTGAGTCATTGGGTCTTTGTGCTTGCTTACCTCCATGATGGATCGTGTCATTATGAGATAAGTGAAGTGCCCTCAGAATTCTTACGCCAAGATATCTCTGTCTATATATGTCAATTGGGAAACCCAAGGATGTACTGACTATTAAGGAGACTTCCTAATACCTGTACCAGAGCACAGGATTTGGACTAAAGAAAACAGAATTTGAGTCTTTCTCAAAAGTTGTGAGACCTTTGATAAGTGATTTCACTTTTCTTGGCTTTAAACCATGTCTGGAATGTTAAGGGCTTGATATAAGTGATTCTTCTTTAACCCTTCCAGAACATTAATTTATTATTCTCATATGTTCTTTGAGTATTTAAATAACTGAGTCTGTTCTTCTGAATGTGGCTCATGATGGCTGCCTTATAACAAATTCCACTTGATGTGGTCATGAATTCATGTGAAAGAAATTTCCATTGTAAGGTTACTTGTTTGTTGTTTTAAAGGAAGAAAAAGCCAGCTGAAACAGTCAACAAAATTATTCAGTTTGTGATTCTGTTGACTAGATTTTCTCACACAGGAAATTTTATGAGTTTAGGCAAATAAACTTCATATTAATAATTATTGAAAACAATTTACTTAGCGTAACAAATATGCCCTGTTTGTTGAGTTGGGATTGAGTTGGTTTATTTCTAAAACCTTCGGGCATATGTTAGTTCCCAACTTACACTGAAGGATAGAATTAAATGGTCTAATGTAAAAAGCTAGCAACAGGGGGATCTGAGCTGAGCCACAACATCAACCCCACAGCTGCTTTGCTCCTTAATATTTGGCAGAGGGTAGTTCTCCAGTCATTGCCCTTCCTCTTTCTTAAATAGAAGTAATGAGGCTTGAACCTCTGTTGCCTCTCAGGAGTGCTGCAGTGATGAATGGAAATGCCATTTGAAAACTGCTGTGAGTCCTCTGCTAGGAAGATATTTAAGTAACAAAGCATCCTCATCAGAGTACAGTCAGCTATTGCTACAAAGCCAGCACCAGGGGACTGAATCTTTTCATAATAGCATGATCTAGAATGTGCTGTAGATAGCCGTGGGTGGGGGCCAGGGAGGGTTGGGGAGGCGGGGGAAGGAATAGGCTACCTTCTCTCTCTCACACAAAGTATTCTTATCTCAGTACTCTTATTTTTTATAGTACTTATCATAAACTGAAATTAACTAATTATTTAACTTATTATCTAGTTGTCCTTCAAAAACATAAATTCAAAGAGGGCAAGAAACAAGTCTGCTTTGTTTTCTTGTATCCCCTGACAAATGGTAGGAGCTCAATAAAGACTTATTTAGAGATTAATTAATGAATTAGAAAATCCATGATACAATTTTGCTATTCTTTTTTGATAGAATTTGAGCACATTTGCTAAGATGCTTATAATTGCTCATGAACATTTGAATTTCCATAGCCAATAGGCAATTTGCCATGCATGTGATTTTTAAGATATCAACTGTAGACAACAAATAAATAAGTTGGCATGAGATGCTTAAAAGTGAATACTTCATGTGTCAGTACAATCTTCTTAAGGAGCTTCAGCATGTACACCTAGTATCAGTGAAATGGATAATTGAGAATGTAGATTTTTTTTTGCAAAGTAATTTTTTTTTTCTTTTTTTGTGACAAAGTCTGGCTCTGTCGCTCAGGCTGGAGTGCAGTGGCATGATCATAGCTCACTGCAGCCTTGAACTCCTGGGCTTAAGGGATCCTCCTGTCTCAGCCTTCTAGGTAGCTGGGACTACAGGTGCATGCAACCACACCCAGCTAAGTTAAAAATAATTTTTTTAGAGATGGGAGCTCGCTATGTTGCCCAGGCTGGTATCAAACTCCTGTACTTAAGTATTCCTCTGCCTCAGTCTCCCAAGCAGCTGGGATTACAAGAGTGAGCACTGCACCCTTGAAGTAATTTTTATATCTGTTTTTTCTGCTCCATATCTTGTCACATTTTGTTGTGTTACATTGCTATAAAAAGCGCATCATCCACTTTATATCCATCTCTTTATATCCAAAGAGCTAAGGGTCTCATACCACTGCAGGCAGAAAAGGAGCAAGGTGGCAGTAGGGCCACCCACTGGGATTAATCATTTTGTCACAGGTAGTCCCCATACTTCTATGGGTAATTGATCTTTACTTCCATGCAGGTTTTAAAGATGAAGAAACTTTTGTGTTGCACCTTCCAACAGCCACCATTGGGGATTTGCTTCATTTGTCTCTCTAGCCTCCTCTGTACTGGTGCCCCATAGCCTGACGTCCTGAAGCAATTCATGAAATACAGGTGGGGAAAGATGAAGACTGTCTTTCTCTTATTAACTGCCTCAGTTCTTTAATGGTAGCTGAAGCAGGGAAATTACCTTGGTGCTTGAAAGCTGCACTTTTATTTTATATTTTTAAACTTTTGTAAGAAGTCTTGGTGGGGGTCTTTCTTGCATGTATTTTGGATGCTTGATCCTTGATCATTGTATTATTACCTTGACCCTCCTAAAGAATGACATTGATTATGTCATTCTCATTGTTCAAAGTCCTTCAGTGGCTCCCTTCTACTTGAAGAAGATAGTCTCAGGCCTTCACTCCAGCACAGTTTTCCTCATAATCTAATCCTAGGATAGTGTTGTGGTGATGAGCATTGATTCTGGGTTAAATACCTGATTCTGCCTCTTGTGACCTTGAACAAATTGCTTAACCTTTCTAAGCTTCCTGTTTCCTCATGTATAAAATGGAGGAAACAAGAGAACCTGTCTCATAGGATTGTTTTGAAGATTAATGAAATTATTCATATAAAGTGCTCACCATTGTCCCTGGAACATTGTAAAGGCTCAATAAAAGTTTGTTATTTTTACCACTTCTCCCTCCTGAACTAGTCCAGCAACTAAACTAATTTTTGTTGCAATACCCCATAATTGACATTTTCCTTCAGACTTCCTTTAGTTCATGCTTTTCCTTCCCCGACTTTCCCAAGTTCAAATGCTCCCCATTCTCTGAGGCCCTGCCACAGTGTCACCTCATCTCTAAATCCTTCCACAAAAATATACTTCCCCCTGTTTTTCCCTCTACAGTTCTAAGAGATCTCTCCTTTTTTTGAATTCCTTAACACTTTTTGAAAGCCACAGCCACTTAAATCAAGGAGGCTCTCTGGACTCCCACTTAGGTGAGGTCTGGGGGATGTGTCTTCTTTTCCCGTGGGCTTCTATGATGAGGTAATGTCAGTCCGCTCTACCATGCTGACTCTAACCAGTAAAGAGGACCACCTGTAATTATGCCCAACACATAATAGTTGCTCAAAAAGTATTTATTCAGTGAAAGGACCATCCTGTGACTACTGTACAGATCACTCCACCAGAAGCCCTAGTTTCATTCCAAACTGCAATTCCTCAGAAAATGTGTGTTGAGATTTCAAAAACTGTTGAGCCTTGGGTCTGGGGAGGATTTGGTAACATGTCAGATATATTGTATGACTCATTAATTTAAAGTGGTTTGGGGGATTCTATATGCTAGTACTCGATCTTTTCAAACTAAGAGTTCTTTTCTCCATAACAGCTATAGTTTTTGCTCGTGTTAGAGGTTCAAAATGATTGCATGGGAAGTGGAATGCTTTGGTATTTGAAAAGATTATAAGGAGTTATTTCTGTCTTGCTATCTTCTTCCCTCACAAGATGGCTGGGAAAAAGATGACATCCCCTATATTTTGAAAAAAAAAAAAAATGTCTTTTTTATCCAGAAGAATAGAAATGGGCTTGAGGATTGCTGCCTGTGGTTTTGCTCAGCCCAATTGATCTAGGCAGGGTGTTGGGGTGAAAACGGAATGGAACTTCTACACATTATAGGAGCTAACAGCAAGACTGTCACTCACTGGTGGCTGCTGGAAGGTGCAATATATATAGCCAGAAATATATATGTCCGTAGATTATTCCTCCTCAACAGACTTAATGAAATTAGCCTAAGGCAATTTTCCTCATAATGCAGGGTGAGAAAATTTTGGGGGAAAGCTTAAGTTTTCCTATTTCTAAATGTAGGGAGGCTTTACTTCTAGTTTCAGCTTCTCCACTCACGGGTTGAGAGTGCCTGGCTAAATTATTCTCTTTCCCTGGGCCTCAGTTTCTCCATCTGCAAAACAAGGGTATTGAACTAAATGGTCTATAAAGGTTCCTCAAACTTTTATCAATATGCCTTGATGAGACATATCGGGTTGGGAGCACCCATTTGGCGAGTGAGAAAAGCAGAACTTGTTTTGTATGTCATTGTGAAGGGTATGCCCTACCCAGGATTCACAATGACAGTCAACTACCTGGACATACTCATCCAAGCAGAACTCCCAATTGTTGTGGTTGAATTGTCTCCCCAAAGTCCCTAACTGCCAGTACCTCAGAATGTGACTACATTTAAAGACAGGGTCTGTTTGGAGAAAATCAAGTTAAAATGAGGTCATTAGGGTGGACCCTAATACAATATGACTAGTGTCCTTATAAGAAGAGGAAATAGGACCAGATGCGGTGCCTCCTGCCTGTAATCCCAGCATTTTGGGAGGCCAAGGCAGGCAGATCACCTGAGTCAGGAGTTCGAGACCAGCCTGGCCAACGTGGTGAAACCCTGTCTCTACTAAAAATACAAAAATTAGCCAGGCATGGTGGCGGGCACCTGTAATCCCAGCTACTCGGGATGCTGAGGCAGGAGAATCACTTGAACCTAGAAGGCAGAGGTTGCAGTGAGCTGAGATCGCGCCATTGCACTCCAGCCTGGGCAACGAGAGTGAAACTCCATCTCCAAAAACAAAAAAAAAAAAAAAAAAAAAGAAGAGGAAATAGGACACAGAGACACACAGAAGGAAGACCATGTGAAGACATAAGGGGAAGACAGCCATCTACAAGCCAAGGAGAAGAGCCTCAGAGGAGACCAACCCTGCCAACATTTTTCCTTGGACTTCTAGCCTTGAGGACTGTGATGAAATAGATTCCTGTTGTTTAAGCCATCCAGTCTATGGTACTTTGTTATGGCAGCCCCAGCAAATAAATACAAGGACTGTGCTCTCTAAGGAAAAGTAGAAATGCTATTGTGGTGAGGGAGAATAGCAGGAAAAAACTGGGGTGAGAGAAAAGATTTTGCAGGGCTGCTCCTAAAATTGTATTTCCTAAGTGCCCAGTCCTTGGGTCAGAAGTTGGGCATACATTTACTCATTATTTAGAAACGGGGGAGAAAACAATTGAGAAGTTACCTGGGGCCATGTACTGTTGTAGGCCCTGGGCATGCAGTAGTGAATAAGGCAAATATCTTCCGGTGGTGAATAAAGTCAGCAGCCATAACGGTTGCTAAGAAGGAGAGAACAGCCTAATATAAGAAGGTATGACAGGCAAAACTAACTTAATCTGGGCTTCGAAGGCTTTGTCTAAAAAGCTCCAAGGAAAGAGTGAGGATTAAGCAGGGGAAAAAGGAGGAGGTGTTTCAGTGAGAGATCTATGTGAATGTGAGAAGGTACGACCAAGGTTCTGAAAAGCATTCTAGTGGAACTGCAATACAGAGAACAAGAAGTAGGGATGTGGAAGTATAAGCCAGTAAATTAGAAAAGATAAGTAGCTTAATTAGCTTAATACTTTTCATGGAGGAAGAGAAAGGACTAGGGTTAGAAATGAACTGACCGAGCCATTTGGCTCTGACTGCTAGCCATTCTAGACTTTATCCATCATTCTTTCACCTTCAGGATGGCTAATCAAGGGATGGTCAAGCCTATCATATGCATTTTTTTTTTTTAAGAATGCATGGACAGAGCTTTTATTCTGGATGCCTTTTTTCCGTATGCCCTGGGGAACTGGCCAGGACAACTTAAAAAGAAAACTTTAGGATCCTTAGAGTCCAGACCCCTGCCTCCACTCTTCTACATCCAACTTCGAGCTTTCCTCACTCCCCAGAATGGATGTTGCCTACAGAGAAGAAGATAATCCAAATGAGAGAGGTGTTACAAGTAATTGTAGAAATTCTGAACAGCTTTGCTTAGAGAAAGTGAAAAAGAAGAGGGAAAAGGAGAGACTGTTTCCTAAGAGGCCAGTTTAAAAGGCTCTTCTTTCAGCAAACTTTGAGTTATAATTTGTCCACTCCCACCAGGATCTCATGTTACAGAGCTTTGAGGGAGAGAGAGATGTCTACCACTCTGCCCCTAAGCAGTATTTTCTGACTACACCATCTCCACTGTTTGACATTTCCACAGTGGCTGTGTGGCTTTCTTTCCCTTCCTCCTCTGGTGTCATTACTCTTTCCCAAACTTCTCCCTAACCTGACCTTTGGTAGTTGTGCTACAAGAGGAAGATTGTGTGTTAATTCCCAGTATTCATCTCCAAAGTGCAAAATTTGCTGGGGTAAAAAATAAGATGGCTGTACTCTTTTGAATAAGGCTTCCAGAGTTTGAGGAACTGTGAAAGTGTACCCCCCTGAACTATAAAGAATAGGTACTCATCTGACCAAATCTACTGAGAGTTGCTACGTGCCCAGAAAATGTAAGCTGTTGTGTTGTGTGTTCAGAATAGCACCTTGGGGAGCTGAACACAAATCCAAGCAATCCCAGATCATTACAAGTGGCTCAGCCCAAGCAAGATGTCCTGGGTTGTATGATTTCCACAAACTTGGAATGAAGTTAAGGGAAATTTCCCAGGTCTCAATATGGAAGAAAAAAAAAGAAAATTTAAGAAATACAATCTGTTCCCCTAAATCAACCAAATGCCAGCTTGCTCTCTGCAACAGTCCAGAAATCTATTACCAGACAAAACAAAGTATAACCAGGGAGATGAATGCATTTGCTTCTAGCAAAAACTTACTATTCACTCCAAAGTCAAAGTTGTGAATGACTTCATTCATTCAACAAACCTCTATTGGCTTTTGGATGGTCCAGTGTTTTTCACTGCTTACAAACTGCTCCTCTCAATTTATGTAGTTAATGGGAAGCTAACTATAACTTGTAAGTCTGGGGAAATGAATTGAAATTAAGCGTTTTGTAAGATGGTCAGTTGAGTATTTCTCCAGAGAGAGACCAATAATTCAGAGGAGGTGTTGATGGAATCTGCCCTGGACAAATCTCCTAATGATCAAAACAACAAGACGTATAATGTCCACCCATATACTTGTTAAGAGCAGAATTGGGGAAAATAACCTTTTCTATCAATCTCTTTTTGCTATCAGGAATTTCCATGATCAGAAAATCAATCCAATTAAAAACCCAAGGAAAATCCCATAGGAATAAAATCTAGATTCAGAGGTATTTTGTATTAAGTTATACTACAATGTCTTTGACCTGTTTTACTTTTGGAAACAAAGGGAGGGGAGCAATATGTGAGTCTGGGGGTACATGTATCCAAGTATGGTTCTTTATTACTATTCCAAGTCTAAGGCCTTGTTTGTTACACTAAAAAAAGGATCAGAATTTTGTCTAAGCAAGTGAACTAGAAATATTTGTATTTAGTGGGCAAAGGACAAGCTGAAGAGGATTCATTTGTGCTTCTAAACACCACATAATCAGTTTCAATTTTCCAAACACGCACTTCCTATTTTCTTGACACCACAGACACCAAAGAAAACCTGTACTAAGTGCAAGCCACTGACTGGGATAGTCTTAAGCAATTAGGGCAATCTCACATCTGTTTAATGCTTATGTCTTACATATTACCACAGCTGAGGTTCCACACTGAGGCCCCAGGGCTTGGAAGGTTTATCAAATTGCTCTTGTGAGCTTCTCTTATCTCACCAGGAAGGCACTCCCCCCAGTGATTATGTGGAATGGCTTAAAAAATCAAACTGGGAATAAAGCTTCATCTGGGGACCATAGGCTCCTCATACAATCCAGCCTCTCCCTCTCCCCTCTGCACAAAAACTTGCTGTAGTTTCTCTCCTACTTCAGCTCCCAATGTAGTTACCCTGTATTTTTAGGAGCCCTTTCCCTTTTATCAGAAGGCCTCCAGAATCCCCAAGTCCTCCGGGAAGACTTCTTCCACTTCCTTAGAAAGCCTGTGATCACAGCAATTTGTTCGCTGCCTAGGATGCCCTCCCTCTGGATGCTTGCTTGTGAAGCCCTCGGCTCATCTTTTCATTCTGAGCTTAAGTAGTGAGATCTGAAATTTGAGCTCCCCAGTCTGACCAGGGTTCTTCTTCCCTGTGCTGTCCTGCTGTTTCATCTTCTCCGTGTAGTTATCATACTGGATGGTCCTTTACGTGGATGTCTATCTTCCTCTGTGACTACATCCTGGAGAGCAGGGGCAGGGTAGGCTCATCTTTATGTCCCTGGTGTTTGACGTGGAAGAGGCAAAATGCTTCCAAAAGGACTTGTTCCATTACTGAATATCCATATGATAGATGGTTATACAGCCTTTAATACCATGGTTTCCAAGATAGTTTAATAATATAAAAAGATGCTTACATTTTGCATAATAGAAAAAAGTGTACAAAGCTATATATACCATGATTCCAATTCTATACTCATAAAGGTATATATTTTTTATAATTATATGTATATATACATATATAAATACATACACAGAGAAAAAAGAGAGTAGAAGGAAGTGTACCAAAATCTCATCTGGTTTTGAGTTGTTGAATTCTATTTTTAATAAATATTTTTCTCTAGATTCTCTATAGTAAACATATACTACTGTTATAATCAGAAGAAAAAATGCGATTTTTAAATGAGTTGCAAACACGAACCATCTTATGATGGTGGGAGCCCCCCTAAGCTAGTTAGAACAAAAATTTGGTAAAATCAAGT
Source organism: Homo sapiens (assembly GCF_000001405.40). Taxonomy (NCBI): domain Eukaryota; kingdom Metazoa; phylum Chordata; class Mammalia; order Primates; family Hominidae; genus Homo; species Homo sapiens. Next base: position 3,852,612 of record NC_000003.12, on the reverse strand, counting down.
ACTGTTAATAGGTGTGTGGTGCTCTGATAAGTGAGAAAATAATATGAAAGCATATATTTTGGTTCATATTCATGGTCACCTTCTTTTCCTAGTTTCATCAGTAGCACAGGAGATACTTAAACCAGTCTGCCTCTTACAAGATTGAAAGTAATATATTTTTAAATTAAGGGCTATTGAGATCACAAAGATACAGGATTAGTCATAAAACTCTTCACTAACAGTTCTCCAGGGAGTTTATCCTCCTAGCACCCCCAGCCCCCAGAATGGTCTATAGGAAAGTTAAGATGAGATTACTTACAGCATCAGAACAAGACTTTGCTCTGGATGATGTGGTATATGATTAAAATGGGAGACTAACCTTAATGGTTAAAAAAGAAAAGCAGCAAGGTAGCATTTCCTTTCTTATCTAAGGCTGTGGTATTAAATGCCACATGAACAAGCCTTCTGTGGGGAGGTCCCTTGCAAGATTATGACACCTACCCTTTTCTTTGTTCCTCATTCTCAGGAAAGAACTAAATCCATCAGGCCAATGAGATGGCCAGCCCAGTACTCTGAGTGCCTTTTCAGTTAGAACATAGATTCATGGTTAGTCTTGGGCCTTGGAATCTGATAGCCAGGGCTGCTTGGCCTCATCACTTATCAGTGATGAACTGAGGCTCAGTTTCTCTATGTGAAAAATGGGGACAGGAATATACCTACTTTACAGTTATTGAGGATTCCACAAGATAATACAGGCCAAGCGCTCAGTACGGCATCTGAAGCACAAGTGCTCAAAATACGGCCATATTTGGGACCTACTTTTACTCCCACCCACTCTCATTTTGACTGATTGCTTTTCTTTTGCAGCTTCAGGTTCTTCCAGTTCAATGTAGGGATTTGTTGTCACAACCATGGAAGACCTGTCCTTTACTTTTTCCTCTTTGGCTTGTGATTTCCGTATATTGATCTCAGGTTTGAGTCTTAAATTAGACCCTCCCTCTTCTCCATTGTTCCTGACTCAAATGCTGAATATTTGGGAGTTATGTGCTCTCTATTCCTGACCTAGATTTAGCTTGTGGACCATTATACAGTTGGAAAACTACTGGTTTTAGTCAGTCAGTCCTGAGTTAAGTCTCAGTTGTTTCTTACCAGCTGTGAGATTTCAGGCAAGTTGCTTGGCTCTGTGAGGCTGAGTAAACACTATTCTCTAACATAGGGACGACATGGGCAACTGAAAGGATTCAATGTAAGTAATCTCTGTGAAGCTCCTAGCAGAGGGTTAGATGCACAACAAATGCTTCTCCCCACTTAAGTCACAGCTGTAAAAATGTAGTCCTTTCTGCCCCAATTACATGGTTTGTTTCCCTTCTCCTCATGACCACTGTCTTGTTTATATGAATGAGACGTGGTAATACGCAGACTGATGCATTAAAATGCTACCTTATTAATTCAGGACACCCCCACCCCTTACTAGAAATTCATGATCACTCTGTCAGGGCCCAGGCTGAAATTTACTTTGTCCATCTAATCTTATGGGAGGGAGACAGGGAGGCCCAGGTGGAAAGGAGAGGCATGATCTGACGCACTTTGTGGCCAGAACTGCTTGCATGAGGTACATGATACTGGATTTGCTTCATATTTAATATATAACTGACATAATGGGCTGTCAGGAGGGCAAATGCATAATGCCACTTTAATGTCTTACGGCATCCATATAAACTGGGGAGGGGGACTGGATGATTTCCTAAATATAAACACATCCACAAACTCCACAATTTGGTAATTATGCAAGAGCCATTGTCTGGCTGTTCCCTGTGTTTTCAGGCATGTCAGGTACCCTTGCAAATTGCTCAGTTTATATGAACTTCACATTTCCGCATTTAAGCTTTGGAGCTAAACACTTGAGTTTGTCATTAATTTTATAAAAGCTTTCCATGGTTTCCTGCTAAGGAAAGAGTTTGGTGTCTTCTCCACAAAAATCTATACATTTCAAAATTTTAGGAGTGTGTAACAGAGAATAGTATGGGGGAGTTCAAGATTAGAATTAAAATTTAGCCTGATATAAGTATAGTTTTGGAATGTACCTCAAGATTCCCAGCATATAAGGTTTCTTAAAGAAGAAAAGATAAATAAATTTGAAGACATAAAGAAAGCCTTCATTGTCATCTCCCGCCGTCAAGTCTCCTAGGAATTCTTTAATATGAGAAACCCATTTAGTTCTGTTTACCTGTTCTGGGCAATGTTGAACCAGCAGACATAAAAATCCTTAGTTCCCTCAGCATCTCCTTTTTACTAAAGAAGCTGGTATCAGTGCTTATGGGGGAAGTGGGGGTTGGGGCAGGGGAACTGTCCACACCAGATTAGATCAAGTCCTGCAGAGATTCCAGGCCAAAATTATTCTAGACCTCCGGATGGTGATTCTGAATCACCAATCTTTAAAGAAACATTTTTTTTTCTTCCAAGCTAATCCCTTTTGAATAACAATAAAAAAGTCTATTTGCAAGCAAGGCGAGAGTGAAAGAACTGAGGTGAAGAAAGCATTTCCAGTTGTACTTAGAATGCTTCAGAAGTAGTTACATTTCCCTTTCCAGTGAATAGAAAGGGAAAAAGTGTGGTTTTTCCCAGCAAACTGTTGGAGATATAAAATGCTTCCCCCTACCCCACCAATGGTGAAAACAGTAATAAAGAAAAGAAAATGCCTTGGAAAATGAATACAGAAATAGAAAACAAACACCAAGTAAAGGGTTGACTATGGCGTCCTTAGCAAACAAATGAATGATTGAATAAATAGAAACCACATGAGAGAAAATATGCACTTTGATATTGTTTGCAAAAAAATAGAGATGATTCCTTTTTGCCAAATCAGAAACACTGACAATCAAACATTACATTTGTTTTTATATCCATGGCATCAGTTCAATTTTTCATTAATTAAATGAGCAAGTTAGGGAATGCCTGTTTTAAGAAACTGCTCCAAAAATAACCTTGAAAAATCAGGTTAGAGATACACTATATACCCTGAAGGCAGCAGAAAGCAAAAGGGAAAATATGAAATTAGAAAGTGACCTATAATAACCACTTCACTGTTAAAGGTGACATAACATTCATTATCCATCAGGACCTAGTTTGAGGTCTAATTTCACTGGCTGTCTAATTTATGAAATTAAATACAAATGAGAAAATACTTGGCCAAGGAAAAAAGTACTCTATCATTTTGTTTTCTATCAGCTGAAAATCAGCTCATTAGCACAGACAGGGAAAAGTAAGTTCCAGTACTTTACTGAAGAAAAATGTAAAAGGGGTTTTTCCCCCCAAACTGGGCTGGCAGAAGATATTGTTGATGAAAAATCTTAGATTTCCCGGTGCTTGCTATATCTTCAGAATGGAGAAACGGCTGAGGTTTTTCCCTTCATTTATTGCACCCGTATTTAAGTGCTCATTCTGTGTAAGTTCAAATGTTTGCTTTATGGGCCGAATGAAACCTCGCAGATTTGCAATTGCAGGCTGCTGAGGGTCTAATGCATCAGTGCCATCCATTTTCATGGTTCACAGATGAACAGGAAAGTTGTAACATGGTCCATTACTCTGCAGACGTTTGAAGACAAGAATTCCTCAAGGGAAACACCTCAAGTTTGCATTCAACGCAGCTCCAATTCTCTGTGTTTCCCATACATACTTTGCAATACTAACAGTAGAGACACCGTCTGATCTGCCCTGTGCTAAAATGTATCCTGAGTAAATGGGAACTTGAGGATGTACTGCATTTTTGAAGCAGGGGCACTAGAGGTTATTCAGAACTGCAAAAGAGGGGCCCTGCACAGGAACCTAACAGGCTGCCGGGCCTAGAACAATCAATGGAGTGCAGAGCGCTGAACTGGCAGGAGTCCGAACTGGGTAAGCTGCAAGCCCTCCCTGGGCCCAGGTTTTTCTCACCAATAAGTGAAGGCTTTGGGAAGGGATACCTCGAGCTCAGGTACTTATTTTTCTGTTGCAGCTCATTTGTTTCAAGATCTGAAATTCTGTTTGCCAAAACCCCTTAAGAATGGGAAGAAAGTGATTTTTTTTAATAAAGTGATTCACAAAAGCAAGATACTGCCAAAGAAAGAAATACCTCAACCTACATCACCTGGACTTTCTTTCTGCCAACTTCCTTGCTTTTGCTTGTCTGGCACCTGTCTGATGGAATGCTGTGTGCCTGGCGGCAGCTGCCTTTTGAAACAACCTTTATTTTCAAATGGGTTCTTCTTTACCTATTAAATCCCATCCCTCCCTCTGCCCTTTGTGGAACTGGCCTTCTACCTAAACCTAGTTCCATCTGCTCTAAATGTTACATGTTTCCTCTATAATCTTGAAACAATTCTCCAAAACTGTCTATATATATTTGGATGAAAAGTTTGAACTGTACGGAAGTTGTTTTGTTTTCTATTAATCATTTACTTGTCTCAGCAGATATTGCCACACAGATATAGAGACTAACACGGGTCTAAGCATATAGACAACTGTTAAAAAGAAATAACATGTCATACAGTTTGTGACACTCCACAGACGTTTTTGTACTTTGATGAAGAATGTGGATACTACAAAAGAAAATCAGGTTTTAACAAAACTCTTACAGAAATGACATATCCAATATATTCATATATATATACACACGCATTGTGTGTGACAGGTTGGGATGTGTGTGAGTATATATGAATATATTGGTGTATATATATATTTACCTTTATTTATGCATGGGATACAACAATACACCTTTTTTTCTTCATATGAACCACCCTCCCACTGCCCATTAGGTGCTAGTCAGTACTATTTAAAATACAGAAATCCTGTTCATTAAAATATCTTAATTAAAATAGACATTTCTTCCCTTAGAAAAAGAATTAAAACCTTTTAGGGCCTAGCTTTAAAAAGCAACATGCTACAGCTGATTTATTTTGGTAGTTGTTTTTATGGATGTGAAAAATATTACCACTGCAACTAGCAAGAACTATAAATGATACATTATTGCAAGTGTTCTAAAAAATCAGAACAAAACTAATTTATTATAGTTCTGTCTTCATTATACACCACGTGTTGGTGAGTTAAACACAACAAACTTGTCTTTTCTTTTAAAAGTGTCTACTAAAGATAAAAAGAATAAGATAACAATTAACATGTAGTTTGTTACATTAAAAAATCTGATATACATATTTCTATTGCCTGTTAGCTTGTTCTAAGCCTCTTTAACTATTACAACAAAAAAAAAAAAAAGGAAAGAAAAAGAAAATTCATTGTTTAAAGGCAAACATTCAATTCAGTTGATACAACATTACAGTACAGTCAACTAACATCATTCAACGAAGGTAACAAGTCTAGCCTTAGCTTCTTGAGTTAAAAGTCTATAGACCAGATTGCTACAAAAGTTTCAATGCTGCTTCAAAACCGTATGTTAGCTTTTTGGAGGACAAAGTACTTTCTACGGATGGCTTCAGAAGGGGTCATGCTACTGGTAAAAGCACAGGGGAACCCCATCCTGTCATTAATCATTTTATTGAGCACTGTAGTTAGAACAGCATTATTGAGTTTAGCACAACAACTAAAATAAAATAATAATATAATAACAATCATAATAATGATAAGAATAAAAACCAAACACAGACTGGAAGCCTAGAGTCGCTGGCAGCCGTGTCAAACCCTTGCGATACGCTATACTAAAAAAATTTGAAATATCCACCCGTCCTCTCCACTCTGCCACAAACTAGCAAAGTCAAAAATACAAAAGTCTTCAACTTGTTCACTTTTGCAGAATAAAGCAAAAACGTCTTTGTGCTCCTTACTACCAGAAGCAAAATATCCTCTGAGTTACCACATGTAATAGCTTCTGGATGTGTCGACCTGGGTTGGCTTGGTGTCTGCAGAACCATCTTTGTCTTTCTCGCTGTCACCTTCCCAGAGGTTAATGAGTGGTGGGTACAGCTCATTTAGTGGGATTGAAGAGGTTTTTTGCATATACTTTTTTAATGAGTGGTGGTAGTTTTTTCTCTTAAATCTTTTGGCAAAGTACACAGCAATGGACGCAAGGCTAATGACGGCAAACATAGACCCCATTACTGCAGCAAGGGCTGTACTGGTTTCTTGATCAGAGATGTCCACTGCGAAGGCGGCATTTTTGGTTGTGACATTTACGCATGACTTTTGAGTCTGCTGATGAATATTGGACACTGTGAGACACACTTCATAATCTGTGGAAGGCTGCAGATGCGTTAGGTTGTATTCATGGACATCGACTGGGACCCTGGCAGTATATGTTATGTGAGGGTTATCAATCTTCATGGTGGCAGACGACCATTTTAAGTTTGACGTCATGACATTGGAATTAACTTTCCAGGACACTAAGATGGAATGGGATTCTGTCTGCTTGACGTATATTTTTAGCACCTGGGTACCATCCAGAAGGGTCCCATTAACCTTAATTGTTGCCACCCGAGTGTCTGCCCCTTGGACATTCTGGGCAACACATGTGTATCTTCCTGAGTCTTCAATTTGTATGTTAGATATTTCCAAGGTACCTTCGCTACTTAGCTTGTATTTATCTGAAAGGGTTTCCACAGTTATCTTATTTCCAATGGGAGTGACCCAGTAAATTTCAGGTTCTGGCTCAGCCATGGCTCGACAGTCTAGGAAAACCGTCGTGCCGATATCCACGTTTAAACGATTTGGGAAGCTGTCGTGAGATATCATTGGGAGGCACTGTTCACTCGAATCCTGGATTAAAACTTCCTTCACCTGGTGCCCTTTATATTCGGGCGGCATGGCACAGAACATGGACAGGGGCTCCATGAAGCGGATGTTGGTTTTGTTGGAGTTAATCCAGTGGATCACACAGTCACACCTGAGGGGATTGCTATGGATACTGATCTCACGCAGATTGGGGAGGGATTCGACTGTCTTTTGGTAAATGGCATTCAAGGCATTGTTGTTCAGCATCAAGCTTTCCAGAGCAGGGACACTTCGGAAAGCCAAGCGGTGGATGTAAGAGAGTTTAGGGTTATTGGTGGCTTCCAGCTTTGTGAGTTCAGGCAAGTTATCCAGGGCATAGCGGTCGACAGAAACGAGCTCGCCCATATTGTTGATTCCCAGTTCTTTTAACCGAAGCATATTTTTGAAGTCCCCTTCTTGGATTTTGTGAATGGGGTTTTTGTTGAGGTCTAAGAATTTCAAATTTGGAACTTTTTGCAGGGCAAGTTGAGGGACTTTAACCAGTTTGTTATCATAAAAAGACAGGCTCTCAAGGCTATCCAGACCCACCAAAGCATTTCCAGGAATATCAGTGAGATACATTCCTGCCAAAACTAAGCTTCTCAAATTTGCGAGGGGTTTGAAGTTCATATCCAGAATTCCAATCACAGGGTTTTCTCCGATCATGAGAATTTCCAGGTTGGGTGTAGAATCAAACCAGCGACTATCAATAACTTTCAATTTGTTGGAGTTCAGGTGGAGCCTTAATAGATTTTTTAAGCCTGCAAAAGCATGAGCAGAAATAGTGCTAATTTGGTTGTGGTTGATGTAGAGTTCTTGAAGGTTGCTGAGGTCTTGTAGACAGTAATCAGTCATCTCGGTAATCTGATTTTCCTCCAAATGCAGCGTTGTGAGCTGGGTTAGGTTTGCCAGCCCGACCTCCTTAATGTTAGTAAAGTTGTTTTGGGAGAAATCTAGTTCAGTCAAGTTGAAAAGCTGCTGCAGCTCATCCACAGTCTTTGCGATGTTATTGCTCTGTAAGAGAAGCACTTGTGTGTCACTAGAGAGGTTACTGGGAATCCTTGTTAAGCGGAGGTCATTGCAATCAACAGTGGTGGCTTCTCTGTAAGTTGACTGTGGGGTAAACCAGGGACGAATTTCACATACGCAAAGTTGTGGACACTCACTATTCTGTATGGAAGACTCGGTTAATGAAGTCATTAGTAGGCCCAGCACCAATTGGCAAGCTGCTATAACAAAGCTCATCCTAGCCATGCTGGCTTGCTGAGCAAGCTCAACTCCTGACACCCCAAAGTTTTAACAAAACGTGAACACTATATTGTGATATGTAGGACAGCGAGCAGAAAATGTAAACATTCAAGCAAAGTCTTGGTTGAGCTGTGTAGAATTCCAGAGTCCAAAGGGATGGTTTTCAGGAGTTTTCAAAAGGCAGAAAGCAACTTGGAGTCTTTTAACTGTGTCTCTCAATTCCAGGCATGTGCACAGGTCCGTGGCATGAATTATTTCAGCCAAATTGAAGTCTGGAGATGTGCCTGAAAATTAGATTAGGACAGATGTTATGCTTATTCCATATACTTTCTACATTATAGCCTTTCTTTTGTTTACTAAAAAGGCATAGTCACTCGCAAATCTAGTATTGAATACATTCAAAATCCATTGAAGATAACCAAATAAGCTTTTAAATTGTAGGACATTCTTACTATATCCCACTTACTATACTAAAACTAGTTTTAGAACTCCTTCACTTTTACAATTAAATTGAGATTCCATGTACCACTAGTCATATATGACTGTGTACATTTGTATGTATACACATGTAAAGTCACTAAACATGCACACACACACACACAAATGCACACACTCATACATACTTAATAGGAACACTAAGAAAAAGCCTGCAGATGTCTTTTCTTTAAAAACAAAGATGTCTTTAGAAACTACATGTATTTATAGCTCCAAAAAATTAAAAGTTCATTCCTAGTGAAAGCAAAACATGAAAGGTAGTTTATTAAAGACTCAAAGCTAATTTTTAGTTATTTACATTTTAGTTACTACCTCATTTGTCTCCTGGAAGTCTTTCTTTTCTAAATGCTACATTCTGCAGACATATTCAGCCAATGCTTTTCTAGCTCAGTTATTCCTATGCAAAAAGTTAATTTAATATCCTACAACATGGATGAAAATATCAAAAACATGCTTGAAAGATGCCAGTCATAAAAGATCACCTATTTTATGATTCCACATATACAAAGTATCCAGAATAGGACAACCTGCAGGGACAGAAAGTAATTTAGTAGTTGCCTATGGCCAGGGGTATGGGGGGGGGTACAGTGGGAAGGGTGCTAAAGGCTACAAAGTATCTTTTTGAGATGATGAAAATATTCTAAAGATTGTGGTGATGGTTGCACAATTCTGTGAATATTCTAAATATTCACAGTTATTTAAATATTACATTTAACTTAACTAAAAAAGGAAAACATCAGTTTTGCCTATATTTGAATAGCCACATCAGATCTTGACTGACTGATAAAAGGACTTCATTCTGTCATACCATTGGTCTCCATTAAAAACACAAACATACACAATAGATGTATTTGTATCTCACACAGATGATCTCATTAATCTCGTGAGAATGTCACTCACTGCTTAATAACTGTTGACCATGAACATGTTTATATAACCTCTTGAAGCCTCAAGTATCTTCAGCTATAAAATGGGGTTGCTCATACAAGGACAGTTCTCATAGGATTATTGAGAAAATTAAGGGAATCTATGTAAAGTTCTTAGTGTAGTAGCTGACTCACATTATATGCTCACAAAAGTTAATAATTGTTATTCATCATCTTGTATCTCTAATCCATTTTAGTTTTAGCTAAATAGTGGTTGTCAGATGACAAGTAAAAGAAGGAAAGCTGAGGATATTTGTTTTTATTAACCATCATCTATTGGTTTCAATAAAATCCTCTGAAGTCAGGTATGTACTGCTCACCTGCTGGCAAAGATAATATTAGTAGTTAGTGGTTCCATTTTTTCTGCATTCCAATCAGGTGTAAAAAGCCATTATGGATCCAGTGTTTGTCTTGCTTTCCCAAACTGGGCCATTCACTTGCTAAAGTATTCGAAGCAGAGTTACATGTTTCCTGGTGTTTGTCTTGCTATAGTGCACTTGAGTCTTGAGCACTGAAGGAACTTCAGTGACTAGTGTATTCTTCACTTTCCTACTATAAGGACTTAATAAAATAGAGCATATGTGTTTAAACCCAGTGCTCAATACATAGCAAGCTCTGAATTCATGCTAGCTGCTATTATTAACCTTTCGACTTTGTAAAACGTAGTTATCTTTGTGACTAAGAGTATAAGAATACAAATGGCCAATACTAAAAGTTATGTATTTAATGAGTCATATTTTCACAGTAAGAAGGAAAAGTCCTACAACTTTTTTGTTATACAAAATATGAAAACTGCATTACTGGTCTAACAATAAAAAAAAAAAATTAAATCCAGATTCTGGCAAGTGTGAGACAGGAGTAGGAAATGATTGTATAAGTGTGTTGCCTGATACTAGATGCCTGCTAGTCTGTGGGAGGAAACATACATTTGGCATTCTTCTCCCTCCTCCCCATCTCCAAGTCTGGTTACTTTACCATTTATTATGTAGTCTTGTGCCACCATAAAGAAAGTTTGGCCAATGATGGACCGCATATACAATGGTAGTCCCATACAGTTGTATTAATAGTACCATATTTTTACTATACCCTTATGTTTCAATACACAAATACTTGCCATTGTGTTACAATTGCCCATTGACTTCAGGATAGTAACATGCTATACAGGTTTGCAGCCTAGGAGCAATAGGGTATATCATATAAGCCACATATATCATATAGGCTACATACCACCTAGGTTTATGTAAGTATACTCTATGACATTTGCACAATGACGGAATCACCTAATGACACATTTCTCAGAACACATCCCCATCATTAAGTGACATGCTTGTATTTGCAAAACTTTTCAGTATTATAAAACTAGTTGACTCTGACTTTTATCTGGAAATTCTATGAAATGAAAAAATACAGGCCGGGCGCGGTGGCTCACGCCTGTAATCCCAGCACTGTGGGAGGCTGGCAGGGGGCAGATCATGAGGTCAGGAGTTCGAGACCAACATGACCAACATGGTGAAACCCTGTCTCTACTAAAAATATAAAAATTAGCTAGGCGTGGTGGTACGTGCCTGTAATCCCAGCTACTCAGGGGCCTGAGGCAGGAGAATCGCTTGAACCTGGGAGGCAGAGGTTGCAGTGAGCCAAGATGGCGCCACTGCACTCCAGCCTGGGCAACAGAGCAAGACCCTGTCTTAAAAAAACAAAAGAAAAGAAAACATACCACAGAGAATAACATTTTTATTATTAACTCCACAAATTTATTTCACTCTTGTTTCTGTTTAGAGTAATCTTGAAACAGGTGCACTGGCCACAATACATTGTTAAGAAAACCTCTGCCACAGGTTATTTCTCAGTCATAACTCAAAATAGAAAACCAAAAGAATAAAGCTACCTTTCATAACTGAGACAGAATTTCAACTAATTTTTTTTTTTTTTTTTTGAGACAAAGTCTCGCTCTGTCGCCCAGGCTGGAGTGCAGTGGTGCGATCTCGGCTCACTGCAACCTCTGCCTCCCGGGTTTAAGCAATTCTCCTGCCTTAGCCTTGTGAGTAGCTGGGACTACAGGCACGTGCCACCACACCTAATTGTATTTTCAGTAGAGACAAGGTTTTGCCACATTAGCCAGGATGGTCTGGATCTCCTGACTTCGTTATCCGTCCACTTCGGCCTCCCAAAGTGCTGGGATTACAGGTGTGAGCCACCGCACCCAGCCTCAACTAATTTTTATGTTTCTATTGAATGTAAGGAAATGTACCAAGAAGTAAAATATGTATTAAAGTTGTGTGAGAGACTTCCAAAACAGTCTGTTAGTATTGAGAAATAGCCTTTATGGGGCTATAGGTTCAACATTATTATAGCTAATGCCCCCATTTTAGTTTAAATTATATGATTTGAGATAACTGTGTTGAAATGTTCAAATTTTTCTTTGACATACACACATACCTTTTTCAAGCAACTAACCAACCAATCAACCATGGAAACTCAGAATGTTAGAAATCAGATCAAGCACAGAGGAAGACATTTTTTTCTCCTACATTCTATAAGAATGTATGTATAAGAATTTCCTCTCCACATCCTAGAAGACATTCCTTTGGCAGCAAGGAATTAAACATCCTTAATAAAAAAGGAGATGTTTAAGATATTTCTATTTGTATTTAATTCTGAATTCTCTTTAGCAAATTTCACCAAACTTTTTTAATGTGACATTATACATAGAACAACTTTATTATAGAGTCCTTAAGCCATTTTAGATGTTTACAATGTATGGCATTTCTCAGGAGCTACTCGCCAATAGTGTTTAAATGTAAATCCATTATCACAACAAGAAAACTACAGACCAATATCCCTAATGCATACTGATGCAAAACTTCTCATATTAAAAAGATTATATACCATGAACAAGTTGGATTTATACCAGGAATGCAAGGAAGGTTCCATATGTGAAAAACTATCAGTATAATATGCCACATTAACAGAATGAAGAAGTAAAAACACATGATCATCTCAATTGATGCACAAAACCATCTGACAAAATTCAACACTTTTTCATGATAAAAACACTCAACAAATGAAGAATGGAAGGAAAGTACCTACACATAATAAAAGTCACATATGAAAAGTCCACAGTTAAAATGATTCTTAATAGCAAAAAACTGAAAGTTTCTCCTCTAAGAATGGGAACAAGGAAAGGATGCCTATTCTTGCCATTTCTATTCAACACAGTACTAGAAACTCTAGTCACAGCAATTAGACAAGAAAAATAAATAAAAGGCATTCAAATGGAAAAGAAGTAAAATTATCTGTTCCCAGATTACATAATCTCATATATACAGAAAATCCTAAAGATCCCACAAAAAACCCACTAAAACTAATAAATGATGTTAGCAAATTTGCAGGATACAAAATCAACACACAAATGAGTTATATTTCCATAAACTAACAATGACTAATCTGAAAAGGAAATTAAGGAAACAACCCCATTTACAAAAGTATCAGAAAGAATACAATGCTTAGGAATGAATCGAACTGAGGAGGCAAAAGACTTGTACAATGAAAATTGTTAAGAGATAACCAAAATAAATCAAAGATGATATAAACACAATGATGAAACATCCCATGTTTATAGACTGGAAAATTTAATATTGTCATACTGTCTATAACACCCAAAACAATCTACAGAATCAATGCCATCTCTATCAAAATCTCAATGGTAATTTCTACAGGAAAAAAATCTAAAATTCATATAAGATCAAGAGATTTTAAATTGCCAAAGTAATCCTGAAAAAGAACAATGTTGGAGACTTCACACTTCTTGATTTCAATACATACTGTAAGGCAACAGTAATCAAGATGGTGTGGTACTGACATAAAGGCAGACATACAGACCAATGGAACAGAGTCCAGAAATAAAGCCTTCTATACATGCTCTTTATGATCTTTGACAAGGGTGCCAAGACTATACAATAAAGGACAGTTTCTTCAACAAATTGTGTGAGGAAAACTGGATATCTACATGAAAAGAATGAGGTTGTACTCTTACCTTATGCCATATACAAAAATTAACTCAAAATGCATTAAAGACCTAACCATAAGACCTAAACCTATAAAACTCCTAGAAGAAAACATAAGGAAAAAGCTTCAGGGTATTTGGCAATGGTTTCTTAGATATGACACCAAAAACACAGGCAACGACAACAACAACAGAAGACAAATGAGATGATTTCAAACTTAAGGTCTGTGCATCAAAGGAGATAATCAACAGCAAAAAAAGATGACCTACAGAATGGGAGACAATATTTTTAAATTATATATATGATAAAGGGTTAATATCCAGAATATATTATAAACTCCTACAACAAAATAACCTTATTAAAAAATGGGTGAAGGGCTTAAATAGACAATTCTCCAAAGACATACAAATGACCCACAAGCATATGAAAAAATGCTCCATATCACTAATCATAAGAGAAATGCAAATAAAAAGCACAATGAAATATCACCTCATACTCATTAGGATGGACACTATCACAACAGAAAATAACAGGCATTGGAAAGGATGTAGAGAAATTGTAACCCTTGTTCACTGTTGTAGAGAATGTAAAATGGTGCAACCATTATGGAAAACAATATAGTGATTTCTCAAAAAATTGAAAATATAATCACCATACGATTATGTCCCAGTTCAGGGTACATATCCAAAAGAATTAAAGCGGAATCTTAAAGAGATATTTGTACACCCACGTTCATTGCACCTATTATTATTCACAATAGCCAAGAGGGAGAGGCAGCCCAAATGTCCATTGACAAATGAATGGATAAGGAAAATGTGGTTTAATTAGATCCCATTTGTCAATTTTTGCTTTTGCTGCAATTGCTTTTGGTGATTTTGCCTGTGCTTATGTTTTGAATGGTATTGCCTTGATTTTCTTCTAGGGTTTTTATAGTTTTGTGTTTTACATTTAAGTCTTTAATCTATCTTGAGTTAGTTTTTTTATAAGGTGTAAGGAAGGGGTCCAGTTTCAATTTTCTGCATATGAGTAGTCAGTTCTCCCAGGACCATTTATTAAATAGGGAATCCTTTCCCCATTGCTTGTTTTTGTTAGGTTTGTCAAAGATCAGATGGTTGTAGATGGGTGGTCTTATTTCTGAGTTATAAAAAGAAACAAGATCATGTCCTTTGCAAGGACATGGATGAAGCTGGCAGCCATTATCCTCAGCAAACTAACGCAGGAACAGAAAACCAAACACCACATGTTCTCACTTATAAGTGGGAGCTGAAAAATGAGAACACATGGACACACAGGGAGGGGAACGACACACACAGGGCTTGTTGGGTGGTGGGGTGAGGGGAGGGAGAGCATTAGGAAAAACAGCTAATGCATGTTGGGCTTAATACATAGGTGATGGGTTGATAGGTGCAGCAAACCACCATGGCACACGTTTACCCATGTAACAAACCTGCACATCCTGCACAGGTACCCTGGAGCTTTAAAAAAAAAAATTAAAATTAATTAAAAAAAAAGAAAAAAAAATGTGGTGCGGTGGCTCAAACTAGACTGCTCTGATCCCACCAGAACCCTGCTGCTGTCCATTCACATCAGGATTACCCAGGAAAGCAAACAATTTAGCCTTCCTGGCATTATATCACCTAGTTCCTTGGACTATAGAGTGAGGGCTTATGTATCTCCTATTTAGAGAGTGTGTTTCATAATTGTAGAAAGGGTAGAAAATGGACCAACCAGCAGGCTGAGTCATTTTTTAAGAGGGTGGCAGGAATAACCCCAAATGAGCTCAACAAAACTGAGGAACCCAAGGAATGGTGCTTGAAGGGAAGGTGGGGTTGGTTGTGGTCCTTAAAGCTCTTGACACTTGGTGTGGGGTTATAAAATGGGGGGGGGAAGGAGTAATAAAGCCCTTGCCCCCAATCCAAATGCTCTCAAGGACTTAGTATGTAGTCTTATTTTCCAGTTTTGTTTGTTTACAAAGTAACCTTGCTTGATACTGCATGGAAAGTCAAGTTTTTCTTTTTGCACACTCAGGGCCACCTGCCTGGGCCGGCATCTTCCCCAGCGTCTTCACAGCACTCCTAAGGAAGACTTTTGCAGTGCTTTCCAGAGCTGAGGGGAGTGGAATTTAGTCCAGAGAAAGTGAAAGGAAAGTGAGGTTTCCTGTTTCATCTTCTCAAGGCGGATGTTCTCAGCTTCCTTCACACCTCCTTCCCATGGGTGCAGGAGACAGTACAGCTGGGTTGTGTAGGTGGGCCAAGAAAAAAGGGGCACTGGTCCAGTCCCAGGTTTGGCCCAACACAGGTACACAGCAGATACCATCCTATCTTCCCCTCTTAATAGCAGGCCAACCACATGTAACCCTTTTTTCCTTTACTGATGAACCTTCTTATGTGGTACCAGCAACAGGGGACAGACAGGCCCACCCACTGTAGTCTAGGGAGAGTTTTGCTACTACCCCTAAAATTGTACCACCCCCCATATCCCACTCCTTTTTGTAAAAACGAAAGGAGTTTAAACCTGTAAGCATGCTATTGCTTCCTATGTGTTAATCAGTTTCCTTCCATTTGAGCTGCATAGGAGGGAAGGGTATTGGAAGCACAGGCCGTGATCTTGTGCCAATCAGTAAAAACCACTACTACATACACACACACAAACACACACACACGAAAATGTGGTGTGTACATACAATGGAATACTATCCAGCTTTAAAAAGGAAGTCCTGTCATATGCTACAACACGGATGAATCTTGAGGACATTATGAAATAAGCCATTCACAATAGCGTGAATAGTACGTGATTCCATTCATATAAAGTAGCCAAAATCATAGAAACAGAAAGTAGAAAGGTGGTTGCCAAGGGCTTGGAGGTAGAGGGAATTAGTGTTTAATAGGAATAAAGTTTTAGTTTTGCAAGATGACAAAGTTCTAGAGATCTGTTACACAATAATGTGAATATACTTAACACAACTGAACTGTACACTTAAAATTGAGAGATGGTAAATTTAATGTTAAGTGTTTTTACCACAAAAAAAGCGAAGCCATAATAATTCAGGCCAACTTTTATAACATATACAAATTAATTATCTTAAATTCTGCAACAAATAAGAAATGGCTGGAATAGATTTTTTTTTTTAAGTGAAATTGCTTTCTTCTAGGGCTGACTGACTAGATCTATCAAATGTAAGAAGAAAATGTCCTGCTAATTACCAGGGTGATGTTCCACAAAGAAGTCTGGCAGTTTAAAGAAACAATCCTTTAATTAACAAAACATGGCTTTAAGGCCCAGAATTGGCACGGGATGCATTTCAAGAGTCCCACAAACAATTATACATTACATTTGATGCTTCTTTTTTTTTTTCCAACACGATATGTTTGGGACACTCTGTTCTGAGTATAAAATTCTGAAGGAAATGAACTGCATGATCATCACCATCACTGCACTTGGCGGAGACTCTCACTTTCCCCATAGCATTGTGTCAGATAGGATATTAGTTTAACAGAATGACATTATTCGGTGGGACTTAGCTCTATGATTTATATGCATTAACTTCTTATGAAGTTGGGCAAAAAGAAATATATACTCACAGTAACAAGCTAGTTATTTGTATTTCTGTTACTGCAAAAAAAAAAAAAAAAAAATCAGGCAGCTCTGGGGTTGGAGAAAGAATTCTACCCTGGAGGAATCAAGTGTTCTGTATTCGAATTATGCTTCTCCACTTACTAGATGTGTCACTTTGTGCAAGCTGTAGACCTTCCCCAACTGACGATAGTTCAACTTACAATTTTTTGACTTTACAAAGGTGTGAAAGCAGTACACACTTAGTAGAAACCATACTGTGAGTACCTATATGATAGCATCCTATTTTTCACTGTCACTGCAGTGTTCAATTACATGAGAAATTCAACACTTTATTAGCAAACAGACTTTATGGTAGATGATTTTGCCCAATAAAACTAATGTAAATGTTCTGACAATATTCAAGGTAGGCTATGATGTTTGGTAGGTTAGGTGTATTAAATGCATTTTAAACATAATGATATTTTCAACTTAAGATGGGTGTATCAGGACGTAACCCTATCATAAGCTGAGAAGCATCTGTACTTAAATTCTCTGTGCCTCAGTTTCCATAGCTAAACTTAAGGCTAAGTATATATGGTTCATACATGTAAATTATGATAACAAAAAAGTACTTATGTAAAAATATTCAGCCTAGGGCCTGGGTATGATGGTTAATACCCAGTGTCAACTTGACTGGATTGAGGGATACAAAGCATTAACCCCGGTTGTGTCTGTGAGGGTGTTGCCAAAAGAAATTAACATTTGAGTCAGTGGGCTGGGGAAGGCAGATCCACCCTTAATCTGGTGGGGACAATCTAATCAGCTTCTAGTGAATATAAAGCAGGCAGAAAAACATGAAAAGAAGAGATGGGCCTAGCCTCCCAGCCTACATCTTTCTCCTGTGCTGGATGCTTCCTGCCCTCGAACATCAGACTCCAAGTTCTTCAGTTTTAGGACTCAGACTGGTTCTCCTTGCTCCTCAGCTGGCAGATAGCCTATTGTGGGACCTTGTGATCATGCATGTTAATACTTAATAAACTCTCCTTTACATATATTATATATATAATGTATATAAAATATGATATATAATATGTATAATAATATATATATCATATATATATATATATATATATATATATCCTGTTCTGTCCCTCTAAGAGAACGCTAATACAGATTTTGGTACCAGGAGTGGTTCTAAAGGAACAGAATATTAAAGGATGGAGTTCTTTCATTGGTTTTGGGGTTTCTGGAGTTGGCTGCTTAATATGATTAGACCCAAAAATGCTAAGGACTGTACTTCTAATAGTATGGAGAACACTGATAGTCGTTGTTGTAAACTATTTAGAGACTTATGCAAAATAAATGCATTTGACACTCCTGATTCACTGCTTGTAAGAGGCAAGGAGTTCAGTGACTCTATACATAATGCCTTTGACCATATGTGGAGAACCGAGGAACACAATGAAGCTGGTTGGTTGCTCCTAAGTTCAGTGGACAAAGTGATGAAAGAAAATGATGGAAAATGATGGACTCAGGGATTCTGTCTCCTGGCTTCAGAAGCAGATACCGAGCCTCAAATCTGCTAAGATTACCCTGAGTGAGAGTCTTGTCTTCTGTACAGAAAGAGCTGAAACTGTGGAAAAACAGACACAAACTCTTATCATGCGAGTGGGTGACCTGCAATGAAAGGTGCATGCACAGCCTCACCAAGTGTCTACTGTTAAAGTGAGGGCACTGATTGGAAAAGAATGCAACCCTGCAACTTGGAATGGGGATGTGTGGGAGCACCCTGATGAAGCTGAGGACACTACGTTTGTAAACTCTGATGCACCTTTTTTGCCAGAAGAAACAGCTTCCCCATCCCCAGTAGTGGCAACATCCCCTCCCCAACACATGCTGCCATAGGCCTTTCCGCCTTTGTCTGAGGAGACAAACCCTGCGCTGCCTGAGGCAACAGTGATGGCCTCTCTCCTGAGGCAGTTGCCAGGCAAAATAATGTTGATTCTCCTCCGGAGCCACCCCTAATACCCCTGTTTGCTTCTAGACCTATAACTAAAATCCCGATGGGCCCCTGGAGGTGAGGTTGAGAGTGTGACCCACGAGGAGCTGCACTACACTAGAAAAGAACTGTTTGAATTCTCTAATTATATAAAGAGCAATCTGGAGAACAGGTTTGGGAATGGATATTAAGGGTATGGGATAATGGTGGAAGGAATACAGAGCTGGATCAGGCTGAACTTAT
Organism: Homo sapiens; assembly: GCF_000001405.40. Taxonomy (NCBI): domain Eukaryota; kingdom Metazoa; phylum Chordata; class Mammalia; order Primates; family Hominidae; genus Homo; species Homo sapiens. The sequence goes on along the minus strand of NC_000003.12, from coordinate 3,833,422 downwards.
TGATTTGGGCCGACTAAGTAGGAACTCTGCATTTAATGTTGCAGCTCAGGAAGTTGAAAAGATTCTAATAGTTTATTTGCTTGGTTAGCTGAAGTATGGATTAAAAGATGGCCCACAGTGAGCAAGCTGGAAATGCCTGATCTCCCTTGGTTTAATGTAGAGGAAGGGATCCAAAGGCCTAGGGAGATTGAGATGGTGGAGTGGATTAGTCACTTTAGACCCACTCATCCCAGTTGGGAGGGCCCAGAAGATATAGCCTTGACCAATGCCCTGCAAAATAGATTTGTGAGGGCAGCACCTGCATCTCTGAAGAGCCCTGTAATTGCTCTTCTCTGTATGTCAGATCTAACGGTGGGAACAGCAGTCACTCAACTACAAAATTTAAATACAGTGGGAAGAATTGGATCCCAAGGTGGCAGGGGCCAAGTGGCAGCACTCAACTGTCAAAGGCAAAGTGGGCATAGCTACTGTAATGGACAGCAGAGGCAAAGCAGCAATCAGAATAATCTGACTCATGTAGAGCTCTGCCATTGGCTAATTAATCACGGTGTTCCTAGAAGTGAAATTGATAGGAAGCCTACTGCATTCCTACTTAAATTACACAAACAGAAAACTTCTAGGTCACATGGACAAAATACTAATTTGAATTATAAAAACAGAGAATCATGACCGCTCAATTTCCAGACTGGAGCCAGTTTATGGAACCAGAACCACTTGAATGAAGGGGAGGCTGGGTCCCTTTAAGGAAAAACCCCACTACATTACCAACAATTTATGCAGTGAATCTTTCTTCCATCCTTCCCCTAGGAGACCTCCAGCATTTTACCAGGGTAACTGCACTGGGGAAAGGGAAATGATCAGACATTTTGGGGACTACTGGACTCTGGCTCTGAGCTGATGTTGATCCCAGGAGACCCAAAACATCATTGTGGTCCTCCAGTTAAAGCAGGGGCTTATGCAGGTCAGGTAATTCATGGAGTTTTAGCTCAGGTCCAACTTACAGTGGGTCCCCTGACTCATGCTGTGGTCATTTCCCCAATGCCAGAATGCATAATTGGCATAGACATACTTGGCAGCTGGCAGAACCCCCACATTTTCTCCCTGACTGGAAGGCTATTATGGTGAGAAAGGCCAAATGGAAGGCATTAGAGCTGCCTCTACCTAGAAAAATAGTAAATCAAAAACAATATTGCATCCTGGAGCAATTGCAGAGATTAGTGCCACCACCAAGGACTTGAAAGACGGAGGGGTAGTGATTCCTACCACAACCCCATTCAACTCTCCCATTTGGCCTGTGCAGAAGACAGATGCATCTTGGAGAATGACAGCAGATTATCATGAGCTTAACTAAGTCGTGACTCCAATTGCAGCAGATGTGGTTTCATTGCTTGAGCAAATTAACACGTCTCCTGGTACCTGGTATGCAGCCATTGACATGGCAAATGCCTTTTTCTCCATTTCTGTCCATAAGGCCCATCAGAAGCAATTTGCCATCAGCTGGCAAGGACAGCAATATACCTTTACTGTCCTACCCCAGGGGTATATCAACTCTCCAGCTTTGTGTCATAGTCTTTTTTTTTTTTTTTTTTTTTTTTTTTTTTGAGACGGAGTCTCGCTCTGTCGCCCAGGTCGGACTGCGGACTGCAGTGGCGCAATCTCGGCTCACTGCAAGCTCCGCTTCCCGGGTTCACGCCATTCTCCTGCCTCAGCCTCCCGAGTAGCTGGGACTACAGGCGCCCGCCACCGCGCCCGGCTAATTTTTTGTATTTTTAGTAGAGACGGGGTTTCACCTTGTTAGCCAGGATGGTCTCGATCTCCTGACCTCATGATCCACCCGCCTCGGCCTCCCAAAGTGCTGGGATTACAGGCGTGAGCCACCGCGCCCGGCCGTGTCATAGTCTTATTCAGAGAGACCTTAATCATTTTTGCTTCCGCAAAATATCACAATGGTCCATTACGTTGATGACAGTATGCTGATTGGATCCACTGAGCAAGAAGTAGCAAACACAATGGACTTATTGGTGAGACATTTGCGTGCCAGAGGATGAGAAATAAATCTGACTAAAATTCAGGAATCTTCCCCCTCAGTAAAATTTTTAGGGGTCCAGTGGTGTGGGGCCTGGTGAGATACTCCTAAGGTGAAGGATAAGTTGCTGTATTTGGCCCCTCCTACAACCAAGAAAGAGGCAGAATGCCTAGTGGGCCTATTTGGATCTTGGAGGCAACACATTCCTCGTTGGGGTGTGTTACTCCGGCCCATTTATCAAGTGAACTGAGAGGCTGCCAGTTTTGAGTGGGGTCCAGAACAGAAGCAGGCTCTACAACAAGCCCTGGCTGCTGTGCAAAGTGCTCTGCCACTTGGGCCATATGACCCAGGAGACCCAATGGTGCTTGAGGTGTCAGTGGCAGACAGGGATGCTGTTTGGAGCCTTTGGCAGGCCCCCATAGATGAATCACAGTGGAGGCCTCTAGGATTTTGGAGCAAGGCCCTGCCATCTTCTGCAGATAACTACTCTCCTTTTGAGAGACAGCTCTTGGCCTGTTACTAGGCTTTGGTGGAAACTGAACGTTTGACCATGGGTCACCAAGCTACCATGCAACCTGAACTATCATAAACTGGGTGCTTTCTGACCCATCTAGCCATAAAGTGGGTCATGCACAGCAGCATTCCATCATCAAATGGAAGTGGTATATACATGATCGGGCTCAAGCAGGTCCTGAAGGCACAAGTAAGTTACATAAGGAAGTGGCTCAAATGCCCATGGTCTCCACTCAGGCCACCCTGCCTTCTCTCCCCCAGCCTGCCCTGATGGCCTCATGGGGAGTTCCCTATGATCAGTTGACAGAGGAAGAGAAGACTAGGGCCTGGTTCACAGATGGTTCTGCACAATATGCAGACACCACCTGAAAATGGACAGCTGCAGCACTACAGCCCCTTTTTAGGACATCCCTAAAGGACAGCGGTGGAGGGTAATCTTCCCAGTGGGCAGAGCTTCAAGCAGTGCACCTGGTTGTGCACTTTGGATGGAAGGAGAAATGGCCAGATGTGTGAGTATATACCGATTCATGGGCTGTAGCCAATGGTTTGGCTGGATGGTCAGGGACTTGGAAGAAACATGATTGGAAAATTGGTGACAAAGAAATTTGGGGAGGAGGTATGTGGATTGACCTGAGTGGTCAAAAACTGTGAAGATGTTTGTATCCCATGTGAGTGCTCACCAATGGGTGACCTCAGCAGAGGAGGCTTTTAATAATCAACTGGATAGGATGACCCATTCCGTGGACACCACTCAGCCTCTTTCCCCAGCCACCCCTGTCGTTGCTCAAAGAGTCCATGAACAAAGTGGCCATGGTGGCAGGGATATAGGTTAAACATGGGCTCAGCAACATGGACTTCTGCTCACCAAGGCTGACCTGGCTCCAGACACTGCTGAGTGCCCAATTTGCCAGCAGCAGAGACCAACACTGAGCCCTCGATAAAGCACCATTCCTCGGGATGATCAGCCAGCTACCTGATTATATTGGACCTCTTCCATCATGAAAAGGGCAGAGGTTTGTCCTCACTGGAATAGACACTTACTCCAGATATGAGTTTGCCTATCCTGCATGCAGTGCTTTTACCAAGACTAACATCTGTGGACTCACGGAAAGCCTTATCCACCATCATGGTATTCCATACAGCATTGCCTCTGACCAAGACACTCACTTTACGGCTAAAGAAGTGTGGCAGTGGGCTCATGCTCATGGAATTCACTGGTCTTACCATGGTCCCCATCATCCTGAAGCAGCTGGATTGACAGAACAGTGGAATGGCCTTTTGAAGTCACAATTAAAATGCCAACTAGGTGACAATATTTGCAGGGCTGCAGCAAAGTTCTCCAGAAGGCTGTGTATGCTCTGAATCAGCATCCAATACATGGTAATGTTTGTCCCATAGCTAGAATTCATGGGTCCAGGAATCAACAGGTGGAAGTGGCGCCACTCACCATCACCCCTAGTGATCCACTAGCAAAATTTTTGTTTCCTATTCCCACGACATTACATTCTGCTACCCTAGACATCTTAGTTCCAGGAGGAGGAACGCTGCCACCAGGAGACATAACAACGATTCCATGAAACTGGAAGATTGCCACCTGGACACTTTGGGCTCCCTCTACCTTTAAGTCAACAGGCTAAGAAGGGAGTTACAGTTTTGGCTGGTGTGATTGACCCAGATTATCAAAATGGAATCAGTCTACTACTTTATGATGGAAGTAAGGGAGAGTATGCATGGAATACAGGAGATCCATTAGGATATCTCTTAGTATTACAATGTCCTGTGATTAAGGTCAATGGAAAACTACAACAGCCCAATCCAGAAAGGACTACAAATGGCCCAGACCTTTCAGGAATGAAGGTTTGGGTCACTCCACCAGGAAAAAAAAAAAAAAAGAAAGAAAAGAAAACACAACCTGCTGAGGTGCTTGCTGAAGGCAAAGGGAATATAGAATGGGTAGTACAAGAAGGTAGTCATCAATACCAGCTACGATCACATGACCAGCTGCAGAAACAAGTGCAGAAACAAGGACTGTTAACTGTCATGAGTATTTCCTCCTTGTTAAAAACACGTTTGTGCCTGTATATACCTGTACTAAGAAAATATCTTCATTTTTTTCCTTTATCATGTGACATAAGATTTATTGACTTCATATCAGCATTTAAGTATTGTTAACTTTATGTAACAGTATTTGGGTTGGGGATTAGTGTGTTTCCGGTTGTGGGAAGGATAGTTATGTTAGGTGTAATTATGACCTCATTATTGTCTCTATTTAAGGTAATGTATGATCTCAGGAGATGTGTGTTCAAGTTAACAAGGGATGGACTTGTGATAGTTAATACTGTCAACTTGATTGGATTGAGGGATACAAAGTATTAATCTTAGGTGTGTGTGTGTGGGTGTTGCCAAAAGAGATTACCATTTGAGTCAGTGGGAAGGCAGACCCACCCTTAATCTGGTGGGCACGATCTAATCACCTTCCAGCAAAAAAAAAGGCAGGCAGAAAAACGTGAAAAAGAGAGACGGGTCTAGCCTCCTAGCCTACATCTTTCTCCCGTGCTGGATGCTTCCTGCCCTGGAACATCAGACCCCAGGTTCTTCAGTCTTGGGACTCAGACTGGTCTCCTTGCTCTTCAGCTTGCAGACAGCCTATTGTGGGACCTTGTGATTGGTTTAATAAACTCCCCTTTATATATATAATAGTCACATACACTAATGGGAGATATATATATAATATATATATATATATATATAATTCTGTCCCTCTAAGAGAACCCTAACACACTGGGAAAATATCCAGCACATAGTGAGCCCTCAAATACTTATTTTTGAACCTCTGGAACCCTATCAGATTTGCCTTTGAATTTCATTTTCATCTTGTTATTGGGAGTAATGAATGATCTCTTTAAGGCCCTTGGGCATGGCAGATACTTGGTAAAGAGTTATTATCAATATTATTTGTCATTTCTATTATATTTTCAACCATTATCATTGAAATTAATAAAATCCAGAGACCAAATATTGTATTAAAGCTAAATTGAAACCCTATCCAGGCAATTTATAAAACACAAACCTCCAACCTGGAAATTATCACCATCTCATAGATAGTATAATCACAGCAAAGAACTAAAATTTTGATCCCCAAATGAAGAAAAATGCCTTCTGAGGGCATGAGCTTTATGTATCCTTTCTGGATTGGCCAAATCCATATCATGTAGATAATGTTCAAAAAACATCATTCTTTTAGCTTTTTCTCAGGCTCCAAATAGATCCATGGCAAATGCAGGATTCAAATTTGCTTCCTTTCTTTTAGGAATGGCTTGAATAATGGGGAAATGGGATTTTTGTTCAACCAAGATTTCCTTCTTGCCTTACAGAGTTTAAGAAAAATAGATTGCCTCAACACCAACATTGCCTGTAGCTACTCCATGAGGCAAGATGGACCCAGACTCCACTGTGTGGACTGACCTCCCAGAAGGATCCTCCTGTCCCTGAAGGCCACTCTGCCTTCAGCTACAGGCCCCAGTGCTGATTGTGATACTTAACAAGGGCTTTCAGATGTCTGAAACAAGAGTATAGCATAAAGTTAAGAATGCGGCTTCTGGAGAGACAGACTTGGTTTCAAATTCAGCTCTGTGACCTTGGGTAAGTTATTGAAACTTTCTAAGTCTCAGTTTCCTCTTTAAGAAAATGGAGATTATAAAACCTGCTTTATAAGGACTGTGAGAGAATTAGAATGAACTGTTAAATGTAAAGCCTTTGGCAGAGGGCCTGGCACATGGCAAGCCCCGAGTAGATGTTAGCTACTATTATTTACAGGATTGATGTCTCGTATTGAATCTGAGTCTTTTTCATGGGTGTTGAAGATGAAAGTAAGGCATAGATCGTTGAAATCAGTAGAGAATGCCTTTTGTGGTATGATCCAGTACAAGTTCTGTACCTTAAATAATGTAGCTAGCCAGTACAGGGGGGTCAAAGAGAGAAATTACAGTAAATTTTGTATTGAGGATGTATTTTATTCCTCTTGGGAAGGAAAGAGGGCCTTGCACATACGATCTGAACGCTGAATCTGCACAGACTCTTTTTAAAAACATTAGTTTCTTAGACTTTTTTCTGGCACCTGACCCTTTCTGACTCTTAGATTTCTTTCTCCAACCATTTTCCAAAATTATGTTCCTGGTTCACACATTATCCAAAGCCAACACTCTGTAGTGTGTGTTAAGTGATCACAGATGGAGGGTCGTATGAGAGGAAGAGCTATAATAGTCTCCGTAATGCATTAAGGAAACAATATAGTGTATCCCCTTGCAAGGACACAATGGATCTTCCTGAGGCTCTTTTGCATAAGGAACTGTTCCTAAAAGCCCACATTATTCATCACCAAGCAGGGCGGCCACACATCTCAATAGGCCAGGCAACAGAACAAGGATGTTCGCCAAGAAAGGAATTCTTAATTTTGGCTTCAGCATAAACTTTCTGGACGACCTTGAACAAGTCATGTAACTTTGTATCCTATTTTATTTTTCTTACCTTAAGTAGTCATAGCTTCCCAGGCCTAAAGGAACCTCAGGAAGTCATCAGCCCTTTCCTCTGGTGTCATGGAAAACTTTACTTCCAATCATTTTCAGAGAGGCAATGCTTCCTCCCTCCCTTTCTCTTCCTTTCTTCCCTTCTTTTTTCTTCCTCTTGTGTTATTAAATTGTTTTGGAGGGATGGAGTTTGATTGTGACAAAGATCTCAAACTTAATGCTTTCTAGGGCCAGGTAGGTGTAGGGAGTTGATTCTAACACAGTAAGAAGCAGTAGTCATGTAGAAGGCTGGAGAGTGCATGAATTCCAAAAGGCAACCCAAAATGTTTTAGCTGTGCAGGCCAAACAGAACCTACCTGCTTTCAGAGTCCCTTTATGGCCCATGGCCAGTTTGCAACCTCTGAATATAAGTATAAAAATAGCATCTATAATGGTGAGCTAAAGGGAATATATGATAACTAGATGATTAGATATAAATTTTCAAATATTATTGGCAAATACTCCATACGTGAAAATCTATAATTATAAACTCAGTTTATTATGGTGTGACTCTCTGCTCAGAAGAAAACTTCTTTAGTGCTTTAAGAAGCATTACATTTCCAAAAATTCATTTTACACTCCTTTCTTTCAGAAGACCTACTTTAAAAGGTAGTCAGGACCTTAGAGATCCCCTAGGTGATCCAAATTGACCCAGTTAATTGTCAGGGGAACAAAATGAAACTCGAGTGCCTTGCTCCCAAATTCAGTGTTTCCTAATCTGACCATGTTAAATTTCTGGGGTGGTTTTACTGGCTCCCAGAGAAAATTAGATTGTCCTCCCCCTAATTTTCTTTTCCTTTTCTCCTTTTTCTTGTATGTTATTACTATTAATTCATCGAGACAAAAATTCTCTGGTGATATAAATGTACTAGTGTACAAAGAAGGGGATGGATACAAGTGATCTTTTGATTCTCCCTCATTTTCCTTCCTCTTTCAGGCAAGGGCAAATCCATCACACTGCAGGTGCAGTCTCATCCAACATCTCTGGGAAAAGCCCAAAGGCGCAGCTGGTCTCCAAGTCGAGCATAAAAGCTGGGGTCACAATTCATTCAGCTCCTAAGAGGAACTGGGCATGGATGGCACTTTAGCCCTTTCAGGAGGGTTGGCCAGGCATGGGAAGCAGGGTAGGCTGGACTGGATGGACTTAAGAATTACAACAGAAAATGTAAAAAGCAAAAGAAAAATGAAAAGCCAAAAGCCCAGTGCCAGCTGGCATGAATCCAAACCCAGGAAGGTGTCTTGGGACAGACGGGAAGGGTGTCTATGAAAGAGCCCTAGGGAATAACGTCGACCTCAGAGTCTGATTTGACTTCAACTGATCAAAAGCAAGCAGGCTAGCCTCCCTGTGAAATATACAGATGCGCAAACTGTGAAAGGTAGAGACGGCCTTACAGATCACAGGACACATCTACAATAACCTCTCATTTTGCAGAGGACACCTCAGAGAGGTGAGGTCACATATTTGGAGGCCAAGCTCCACTCTCCAAGCACCCTGTCCTGCACTCTAGATAGACAATCCCACATTGCTTTGCTTTGTCTAAGGTTAAATTCATATTCTTTGCCACGAGGGCAGGGTCTACAGTTCTTTGAATGACATTAGTCTTTAGTGCTCCATCAATGAATCATTTATCAGTAGCACAGGAAAACATCACTCAATTTAGGGATAGTTCAGTGGCTGGTTTTCTTTAATAACCTCCATTTTGACCTTTGCTTAGGTAGGTTGGGGGTTGTACAGATAGCTCAATCAATTACACTGATGGCCAACTTATTTCAAAAAATTAGTCAGGTCAGCCGAACAATGTTCACTGATTTTTTTTTTAACATGGCAGTAAATTGATTGTAATGTTGATCTGTGCTGTATAAGCACAGCCAAATTGCATGTATAAGTTGTAAAATGTGTAAGTTAAATTTCTCTTAATTGGTGATAGAACATGTGCCTGTAAAGTCTATGAGGGCATAGAAATTCAAGTGAAAGAAGTGCATAGATTTTTAAAATAATTAGGAGTTGGAGTTGGACATTCAAGATAGGAAAGCCCTCATGAATAATATGAATGTAACTAACTCTACTAGTAAACTCACTTTAATAAAAGACTATGTACTAACCACTACACTGAGTGACTTACGTGTATATGGTATGATCATCTCTATTCTTTACAATGATGTCAACTCATTTGTCTCAAGTGAGCTAGTAAGTCATGGACATAGGGCCCATGCCTGAATGCTGTCTGGTTCTGAGTCCTATCTGACTCTCAGGTAGTTTGAGAAGCAGCACGGTACAGGGGCTGGAGCACTGGACCAAGAGTTAGGGGACCTGAGTCCTTACCTCTGGTCTTGACTCCAGCTCAGTGCATGTTAGCCATCTTTCCTACCTCTAAATGATGAGGCTGGGCTGAAACTAGGGCTCCAGCTCCAGGTATTGAGTATTTGATGCTTTGTTCAGGTTTCTGCTCTTAAAGGTACCCATTAAGCAGCACTTCTTGATTGGGAGCAAAACACTTGCTCCCAGATTTTTAAGAGAAACTGTGTTTAGCTTTAAAAAAAAATTAAAAAGAAAGGCACAGTCTCAAGAGGCAGACAGAGCTGGGTCCATATCCTGGTACTACCTATGCCACCTGGGACAAATGACTCCACCTCTCTAAGCCCTGGTTTCCCCCTCTTTTTGATGGGCATAGTTATACCTACCTCATTTGGATGTTCTGAAGATTAAATGAGATAACATGTCTTGAGCAGTGGATCATAGCAGGATTTCAACAAATTTCCTTTGGCGTCAACTTAAGACAATTAGAGTCAGGTGCTGAAAACCTAAGTTAATATCTACTCTTCCGATAAGAAAATTAATTTATGTCCTGAAAACAATCTCCTGAAAATTATCTGGAACTTTTCTTCTTTTAACCTAACCTTCTTCTTCTTCTTTTTTTTTTTAAACAACATCCCCAGGAGCTAGGTACTATGATTGTCCCCTTTTTACACTGAGGAAATAGATGCATAGAGATATACCTGCTCAAGGTACACATCTAGAAAGTGATGAAGGAAGGAATCAAATGAAATCGTCTTGGTTTCAAAGCCCATGCTCTAAGTACCACCTCCCACAGGACACACAGTCATCCCAAAAACCCCCAATTTTGAATCAAATGAATGAAGTATCAATAGTATAGTCTGGCTACCTGGGAGCATTTATAGCTCTTGAAGCCAACACCGATTTTTCCCAAATGACTTGAGCCCCTCCAATCACAGTGAAGACCCTGGGACAGTTCATCTGTTCACTGAATAGCTTGGGTGCCACAGAAATATCCTCTATCCCTTGGGTAAGGATAGAGTAGATTTCTAGAATATTAGAAAAAGTTTAAAGCAGGTTTCATGGAATCTGAGGTAAGAATAAAGCAGGTCCTGGATTTGAAATTAATTTCACTATTATATACAGGTGCACAGCAAAGTCTTCTTCTCCCCCCGATGAAAGAATGGGAAGGACTCAGGAAGGCTCAACTTGCAAACTCCCCAGTATCAAGTGGCTGCCTTCAAAATCCAACCCTTCTCTTCCCAGCTCATTTCCAGTATGTATTTTCAAAGGCCATGTCATTTTTGAAGGTAAGAAAAAAAGTCACACATTTATTTTAATGAGAAATGCTAATTAAATATTTGCATTCTAGTTATTAGGATTTCAGTTTTGCAGTTTAATGGTAAGCCTCTTTAAAGAATTCTTTGTGATCTCTCTACACCAAGATAGGTTGAATGACACCTGAAGCATTTCCCTATTCTTAATTGTCTGGAAAGAAGTGTTTCAAACAAGTTAAATCCTTCACCAAAGAAACATAAAAAATAAAACAAGAGATAGGCATCTACCAAAACATTTATATATCCATCTCAGTGATTTAGGATGCAAGGATGTAAATAGTAAGCTACAGGAATTAAACTGCTAGCTCAAGAAAGACAGAAAACACCCTTTCCAAATAATGAGTTATTTTCTAACCTTGCAGACACCTAATTTTTTACATCTTAATGTTAATTGCAGGGTAGTTTTGGCTGAGTAGTAGTTGTAAGAGTAACAGCAGTTAGTTCTTATTAAGCTCTTATTATGCAACATGCACTGCATTGAATCATTTACATAAATTATTTCATGGAATGCTTGCAACGCTATGAGGTGAATGCCATCATGTTCCTATTTTTATGGGTGATGGAATGGAGACTCAGAAAAATAAAATGAACTACCCAAGGTCTTGGAACTAGTACAGCAGAGTGGTTGAGGTTCTATGTGAATCCAGGCATCTGATGCCAGAACCCAAATCGCATCGCTTTTCTATCCCAATCCGTCTGGGCAGGGAGACTCCTTGCCAATATTTCAATATGCCATATGAGAGTGTGCATCTCATGGAGTGAGGAACCCGTTTCTGTCTTGTTCACTCTGAGTCATTCCAGGGTGAGGCAATGAGTCTGGCATCTACATAGTGGGCACTCAATAGATAAATCAAACAGCTAGCTGAATCAATTCAAATGTGCTTTCTAGGTACCCAAATATGACAATAGGTTTAGGCTTGCAAATACTCACAGCTCTGGTGGGTCTTTTCTACATTTTGTGCTTAAGAAAACCTTGCAATTTAGCAAAAATCCATCCTACTGTTTGTGATTGAGACAAACCTGTTCTGTGATCCATCCTTTTCTCTAGACTCTGATGAAATCTAGTGTCAGTTGAAAGGCAAAAGAGATCCAATAAAATGGTGCAAATTGAATCACACTGATTTAATTAAAAATACATTCAGTGTTTGCTGTGTCACAGGGCCAGGAAGACCAGACCCTGCCCTTAAACAGCTTCTAATCTTAAGGGGAGTGTATAAGACAAGTACACAAGTTACTCAAAAAAAAAGAAAAGGTACATGTCAAAAGGGAGGAGTAAAGAGATAGGTGGATCTTTGGGAGGGAGGAATGAGAGTTACTAATTTGTGTTTGCTCTATTAGCACTATCTAATGCAACTTCAGAAATATTCAGTCTGCACTGCCTAGCATGGTAGCTCCTGAGTGGCTACTGAGCAAGTGAAACGTAGCTGGTGGGAATGAGAAATGGAGGTTTCACATTTTATTTCAATTGACTGGAATTACATTTAAATAGCCAGATGTAACCAGTGGCCACCACACTAGGCATGCACAGCCCTATATCTCCAAACTTAGTTGTTCATGAATCTGGAGATCGTTTTAAGGGAATGCACATTCTCATGCCTCATGGAGATTTTGATTCAGTAAGTCTGGGATGGGGTCTGGGAATATCTGTATATTTTTTAAAGCACCAGAGTCCTGTCATGCAGACCACGTTTAAAAAGATTCCAGCCTTAGTCTGGCTCTGACCTGCCACCACTCACAGGCTCAGAGGATCCAGCAGGCATGTCAGCTGGGGCCTGGTAACTGCAAAGACAGAGGTAGCCATGGCTTTGCTCTAAGCCACACTGTTTCATTCTTCCAGTCACTCATCAGAGTGTTCTCAGAGGTGACTCAAACTCTTGAAGTCCAAGGTTATGTTTTATTCATCCTGGTAGGTACTGCACTTAACACAGTGACTAGCCTGCAAGTGTTCAATGAAACAACAACCAGAGTACATCACAAAGTATATTTAGACCTTTCTTCATTTATTGCATTTCTCTCGCTATACCTGCGAGAACAAAGCCTGTCTGAAACAGGTGTATGGACTCGTAAAGTTCATGTAATTTGAATCCAGAAGGAAATACATAAGAATTCTTTTACCTAAACCCTTAGGATGGAAGCAAGCAAAGGTTTCCATCAGAATAGATCTCCTCTTTTCAAGTATCAGAGTACACCATTGCTCTCCTTATTTATTGTATTTGAATAAATGAAGAGCGGTTTACATAGAAAATAACTTAAACAAAAAATGTTCAGCCCTGTATGAAAGGCCATGACTCCCACCATATTCCCTAAAGAAAAGGCTGAATGAAACTTTTTAGAAATTAAGAGCTTTTGATGGCAAATTTGCTAGACAGGGCCTAGTAGAATGCTAGCCCTAGAGCAGGTACTCGAAAATGACTGTTGAATGCACAAATATGCCTTTTAGGTGTTTTGTACTTTAGGCATTTTAGTTACTTCCTATTAAAAATATATGTCATTTCTAGATCACATTCTTGGACAATGTAATTACAGAACATATGAAGTAAAAGTAATTCTAAAAACTAGCAGGGCAAATTAATATTATTGTGAGAAAGGTAGACATGGTTTTTGAGAACTCAGGAAATTATCTCTAGATTTTCCAACAACAACAACAACAACAAAAGAGAATGGGAAAACAGGATCCCTGGGAAGGCAGCTCTTTAGAATACGAGAATGAGCATAGGCTTCGGAGTCAACAGATTTGAGATTAAAATCCAGCTCCACACATGATACTTTTCTAGTCTCTGTGTCTTCCTTTGAGAGTAGTGTCAGCATCCTTTCCTCATGTGGTTGTCAAAAAGATGAAATGAGTTAATATGCACAAAATGCCTACACCATTTACCATCAGTGTATCCCATGATCTGGGTCAAAATGCTTGTTAGTTACGGATTGTGGATTCAAAAAAAGAGATGTTGAAGTCCCAATCCCAAGGACCTCAGAATGTGGCCCTTTTTTGGAAACAGGGTCATTGCAGATACAATTCGTTTAGATGAGGAGTAGACTACTGGAGTAGGCTATAGGCTAGGCCCCTAATCCAATATGACTGGTGTCCTTTAAAGACGAGGGAAAATGATGTGAAGACAGGGACACACAGCAAAAACACCATGTGACAATGAAGGCAGAGACTGGAGTTCCACAGCTGTAAACAAAGGAATGCCAAAGTTTGCCAGCAAACCCCCAGAAGCTAAGAGGCAAGGACTTATTCTCTTACAGGTTTCAGAGGGAGCATGGCCCTGTTGACACCTTGATGCTTTCATCTTGGACTTCTAGCCTACAGAACTGTGAAATAATAAATTTCTGTTGTTTTAAGCCACCTAGTTTGTGGTACATTGCCACGGCAGCCCTAGTAAACTAAAGAAGTGTAAGATTTTAAAGTAGTTAATATTGGGTTGAGCACATTGGCTCACACCTGTAATTCCAGTGCTTTGGGAAGCTGAGGCAGGAGGCTTGCTTGAGCCCAGGAGTTCAAGACCAGCCTGCTAACATAGCGAGATCCCATCCCTACAAAAAATACAAAAATTAGCCAGGCATGGCGGTGTGTGCCTATAGTCCTACCTACTTAGGAGGCTGAAGCAGGAGGACTGCCAGGAGTTCAAGGCTGCAAGTGAGCTGTGATCACCCCACTGCCTTCTAGTCTGGGTGAAAGAGTGAGACTCTTGTCTCAAAAAAAATAAAAGTAAAGTAGTTAATTAATATGTGTATTAACTGCCATCTAAATTATTTTTATATGAATGCTTATTTTATCAAATACTTAGAGTCCTGACTTTCCTTACCCTACTTCTCCCCATTGTACTCTTACTACACACAACTGATTATGAAAAGAGTTTGCTTTCTACTGTTGCCTGTATATCCTACAGATAGGGAGACAGAGGTACCTGTTCCTTAACTTTAAAAGCTGTGGTAAGCTCTATGATCTTTATAACTTCTTCTAGGACCCAGCAGGCTAAACTTATAATTATTCAAGAAATACCTTAGCTCTGTGCCAAAATCATTTTCCTCCCATGTTTTGAAAGTCACACACCAGATACAGTTTGAAGAATCTCGAGCCTTTAGTCTTTCACAGCCCTTTTAAACCCAAGATTCTATGACAGGCAAAGAAAGTAGGACGACGGGAAAAATTTTTTTCTGTTTAAATCACTTGTAAGATCAAGAAAGTTGTTTTTTTCTTTTTAAGAAATAGACTATTTGCATAGCTGGAATCATGAAAGTGGCAATTTAACATTATTGAATTGAGAAACTGACAGAAGGCCCAGCACAGAACAAAACATCAACCAACAACTGGGCTGTTTTTATTGCTCCTTTTCAGCACCAGCAAGTGTAGTTATTAAAAACTACCATGAAATCAATTAATTTTAGTCTTTTACAGATTATTTTAATTCTCTCCCTGTAATATGTCTATATGAAATAATTGCTTTGTAATTAGCTGCATGATTAAATGTTAAATGCCAAATCTTTACTTTGGCAGGCTTAATATGCCTGGAAGGCCCAGTTGCATTACTTCTGTTTAAGTCTTTCACAGTATAGCACTGGGTATTCTCACTTCGGACAGATTTCGCCATGCCCTGTTAGTAAGTGTTGCATAAGGAACTGGTTGCTACAATGGTTCCGGATTGTACATTCAACACTACACATACACCAGTGAAAAAATAGACTCGTCACTGTGGGCACTGAAAGTGCCAACATGTAGGCGGCTAATACTGAGCCATAGATTTTTGGATGCTGATCAAGTCAAGCAATTCCATTAGACTACATCAGATTTGCTTTTCTCCCAGACTGAATTAAGTTTAGTTTGTAATGGTGAGGATAATTCTCCTCATCAAGAAAATGGCTAACATTTTCACATTCATTTCAGAACATTTATTGCATTTTTCTCTGCTCATCTAGAGCTCTGCGCTGTCTTTTGTTATATTTTTTAAACCAGTAGTAATCTGTACTAATTATCTGACATTTTAACAACATTTTTATTTAAAAAAAAAAAAAACTAACATCCAATGTCCTTAAGACGGGAGCCTTTAGCTCTGATCTAGTGATATTTCTCTAAAGAGCCTGACTGCTTAGGGCTTCCTAATTAGAAGACGAAGTGCTGTTTAAACTTTAGACTAAGAAAATGTCAAGAACATATCCCTTCCACATTAAAATGTTCCTTTAAAATTTGAAGGCAGATGTACAGAAGTGTGCATACATTTAACATAGAAGTTCCCGCTAGTCAAGGTTAAAGACAGCAGTGTTTGGGTGAATGAGACAGTACTTGTCCTTTGACTTGATAGAACTCAACCACATTGAATGCCATCTTTTTTTAAAGAAGCAAAGTAACGCCATCTGCCCCTGAACTCTTAAAATAAACTTGATTTCAAATTCCTTTTCTAAACTATTTTTTATGACTATTTCTAATAAGGACTTAAAGAACTAGACATTTTTAATCGCCGCAAGAAAATGAAGTAGAGGTGTGCCTGCTTGTTGAAACCTTTCCTCTGAAAGCTTGGGGGCCACAGTGAGTCTTTAAGGAAGTGGCCAAAGACAGGGATGGGGAGCAGAATACAAAACAGAAACTGTGAAAGGTGCTTTACTTACATTCTTACAACACTGGGACAGAACATCAGTTTTCCAGCTTATAGATGGCAGGTGGTGGGGCTTCTCGGCCTCCATAATCACGTAGGCTAATTCCTGTAATAAATCTCTCTATCGTATCTTATCTATCTTATCAATCAATCAATCAATCACCCATCCTATTCATTCTCTTTCTCTGGCAAATCATGACTAATTCAAGTAATGTCACAATTCCCGCAGCTATAAGTGAACCAGCTGAAGTTAAAGTCAAGTTCGTTGCACAGGGCCTTTCTGTGATACCACCTGCCTTAATTGTCTTATTGGACCCCAAGAGTACATTGCAGCCTTCTTTTAGACACGTAGAAGAAAGCTAACTTGTAGAGCGAAACCTTGGTTAACTAGAGCATTAGGCTCAGGGAATGTGCAAATTTAATTTTCTGTTTGACTGAAGGTTTCCTAGAAAGCTTTTATAGTTTCAAATTGTAATACCTATATTTTTGCCTTTAATAAGGGTGGTTATATATTTTTTACTAAGACATAGTTTTCTTCAAGGCCCTAATAATGAACTCATATTGGAATATTTTTTTTTCTTAATTGAAAGCCCTGGTTAAATTATTTTCTTCCAATCTTCCCTTTTCTTCTAAAAGTGGACTGAGGGTGGAGGGGATCTAGTTAATTAGGATTTCTGTTAATCAGGTTTTTTAATTGTTTTGGTAAATTAAAATCAGGTGAAAGTTACATCCCTGAATTTGAAAGAGTTTCTTATTGTAGATTTTCCTTGATGCCAATGTGTTCCCCTATCTTAGTATGCATTTGAAACTAATGGTCCAATACTCAAAGTGCTCAGATCATCGATGACCTGGAAACCATAAATCCACCAGTGCACATTAGTGGATGGTCCTTAATTACACAGTCTAGGCTTGTGTAATCATATGGTGCAAAGGAACAGCTGAGAACATTAAAATGCATTATAAATCATAGTGCATTCTATAATAGCTCTTCAACTAATATGTTCATTATTAAAAGTAAAAAGAATAATTTTAGTTGAATATCCATATTGTCCTTCATAACCATTAAAATACAAAAGAATCCAATGCTATGATAAGATCATCTTTATTGGCTTACCTCCTATTTTTCTAATAGAAATTGTAGTTGCATTTTGAACTTTCAATATAGAAATTTTTTATATGAAGCAAAATTAAAGTTATCTCTTAGACTAAGAAAGGGTTATTTCTTAATAAAATAAATTTTAGAGTAAATTGCAGTGCAATCATATATGTCTAGGATGAACATGTACCTTAAAAATTTCTGTAGAGTTTTTGATTTAAGGGGACATAAACTATAGAATATTCAAATGGTTATAATAGTGAGGAAATACATTTTAATGGTGGTTTATTATTACTTCAAATTACATTTAATTGAGGATAATGAAGACATGGTTTGAAAACAAGATCAGAAAATGAGAATTATTTTATTGGAGAATTAAGCAACATTAAGTAGTATGCTATGCTTCAGCAACTTAGCACAAAATGTGAGCAAGTAGTTAGTTTATTTTCACTTCAGCGTTTTCAAGTCTCAAAAATCCAGCTAGTACCTATGTTGGCACTCACCAAAAAATTCTGGGTACACAAATATTACCATCAACATGTGGCTAGTAAGTAGGTTTCTGTACCATTCCAAATGCCCACAGGAATGATAGAAATGAATTAGAATAGTTTATTGAGCAACTCTTCTGTGTAAGGCACTGAGGGCAGTGGCAGGGGAGGTGGGGAGCTGTACACAAAGCAGTGGTATTCTGAGTCAGTTGTGAGCATTTCTTTCCAAATCTGAGTTCAGAGACATCACACTGGTAGCTTAAAATTGGTCACAAAAAGGAGGGCTTACCTTTTTGGAGAGCCAGTTGTTAAACATTTACACTGGTGTAAAGGCGTCAGGGCAGCAGACTTGGAATAGGGGACAGAATAGGAATGCTTTCATTTTGAATGGGATTTTGGTTATGCCACAGTAGCTATGGAAATCAAGACAGGAAGGTAGGATGGTTCCTAGATATGGAGGGCCTTTATGCTTCACTAAGGAGTTTTCTCTGATTTCTCATCCTTGTCAGAGACTTAGAAGAAAACAGATGGTACATTAAAAAGGGAATGAATACAGAAAAGTTTTAAAAAGGGACCATTTTTAAGATTCTTACTCCATTCCTGTCACTATATTAAAATACCTGAGACTGGGTAATTTATAAAGAATATAAATTTATTTTCTCACAGTTCTGGAGGCTGGGAAGTCCAAAATCAATATACCAGGAGATGTGGTGTCTGGTGAGGACTGCTTTCTGCTTTGAAGATGGTGCCTTCTTTCTGTGTCTTCACATGGCAGAAGGGGGCAAAGACAAAACTGAGGCTGTGTCCTCACATCCTCACATGGCAGAGGAGATGGAAGGACAAAAGGAGACTAAGGAACTCCCTTCAATCTCTTTTATAAGAGCATTAGTCCATTCATGAGGGCAGAGCCCTGATTACTTCATCACTTCCCAAAAGGCCCCACTTCTTAATACCATCACCTTGGGGTTTAAGTTCCAATATACAAATTTTAGAGGGATGCATACATTCAAACAATAGCATAAGGGATGGGCGAGGTTAAAGTCAACTCACAAAGGATGGGCAAACAACCCTGAGTGAGCTACCGCAGGATGCAGAACCCAACAAGAAGCCAGATGGCAAGGGACCCATTTATGGGTACAGCCCATATACATCTGATTCCTGGGGCACACAGCAAAGTGGAAAGGGGTACTGGGTGGAACTGGAGGGACATCAAGAATATCCAGCACATTACTATAGCCAGGGGGACCATTTAATGCCTCTTTACAGGGGAACTATGGGATCAGTTCTATAATTCCGAAAGATGAATCCACCAGCTCTATGTCAGAATGGAGAGGAGGCACACTAGATAGGGAGAAACTGGTTAAGAAGCACTTCCAATAAGCTAAAGGAGAGGCGATGAGGGCTAGAATTCGGGTGGTGTTGACAGGAACAAAGAAGAAGTGCCATATTTAAAAGACACTAGGGAAATATAACTAGAGAGGCATCTATTGGATACTGCAGTTGACTAGATGTGCAGACAGGGGAGGGAGGTGTTACAAATAATTTCAAGGTTGAGCCTGAGTGATGGGATGATAGCAGTTCTCAAAACAAGATAAGGGCCAGCAATGGCAGGAGCTCATTTTGGGAGTGGGGTGAGTTTCCATTTGAATGATTAGAAGAGGGTGGGAAAAGAGAGGCTGGAGTACTTCTCCTCCTGGTTCCCTCCCTGCTGGGTCAATAGGCAGGGGCTTCGTTCCTCTGCAAAAGGACGTTCTCTCTCCTCTTGTACAGCCACAGTTCACTCTGCATCCTGGAAACCACCTCTTCCTCTTGCTCCTTCGGTGATGTTGGGATTTTCAGGGTGAAAATATCCAGCAGGCATTTGGAAATATAGGACTGGAGTTTGGAAGTGAGGTTATGGTTGGAGGGAAATTTGGGAGTTTTTCTCATAATCTAGTAAGTAGAAGACTTAAGATCTCAAGGGACACAGAAAAGCAGGTTAGTAATAAAAGGGTGCAAGGGAGTCCAAGATTTACTGCCATAAAGCATGTAATAAAGGATAACTCAGCATCTTGCTGAAAAATAACCCACTCTACCCCCACTATCTTTTTCTGATAAGTATTTGGTAATAGTGTCTAAATTTACTTATAAGTCAATACAAAGATGGAACTAAAACAAATTGTTACAAGGGCAAAATGCTAACTCAGTGTTGAAATGATCTAATATTATGAACCATAATTAAGATCAGGCAGAAAAGTACATCTCTCCACTGAGGACAAATCAATAACAACTAAGTGTTATGGTCATTAGAGCACCGACGAAATTACCATCTAAAGCTTGTGAAGGATCTTGTCCACTCACCAGCAGTCACCTCTGTTCATGCGAACAGCAGCCAGATGTGGCTAAGTGCATTTTACACAATGAGTTCATGAACGAGAATGATAGCATTTGCATGCCAAGCAAGAGAAATGTTTCGGCTATCACCAAACTACTATAAAAAATCTGTATCTGTGAGCAACACAGGTGATGTGATCTCAGTTAGCAAGTATCATAATGAGAGGTTCACTACAATGAAAGGAAAGTGTAGTACAGGGAGAAAAAGGTTATGAGGAGCAGAAAATAAAATAAGCTAAGCTAACTTACTAGACACTATGTGCCACGTTCACATGCATTATATCTTCCCATTCCCACAAACTTCACAAACTTGTGGTGCTACATCTTTTTTTTTTTTTTTTTTTTTACAACCAAGATTCAGAGAAGTTAATCAGCATGCTCAAAGCCACACAGAAATGGAGGAGAAACTTTCTTCCTGGTGTGCCCGACTTGGCATATGCCAGTCCACACATGTAAGACAATGACATGCCACCTAACCAGCCAAGACTCAATAGAATTACTCACACAATTTCCCTCTCCACCAATTCAAGCCTTCTGTCATGGTGACATATCTCTTCGGTATAGGATGCAGTCTCTTCCTTCGCTGAACTTTGTACAAGTTCTGCCTTCTCTGAACTCCAAGTGCACTTTGGAAGTAGGCAGAAAAGAAAGTACCCTTTTATTCTATTCTAAGCCACACTGGTCTTCTCCCTGTTGATCAAGCATACCAAAGTCCTTCTCACCTCTGGGCTTTGGCTTACAAAGATCTTCCCTCTCCATACGCTTTGCCTGGCTAACTCTCCCATGACCTTCAGATTTTGGCTTAAATAAGTGTCAGTTCTTTAGGAAGGTCTTCTCTTAGAAGGCTTTATGTTACATTCTCCTGGCCTCGTGTACTTCTTCTTCACTGGACTTAACACAGCCATCATTTTACATTTACTTGTGTGATAATTGGATTATTGCTTTTATCTCACATCAGACAGCAAGCTCCACATGGGAAAGGAACACACATCATCTGTTTTGCTCACCACTGTACTCCCAGAAAAAGATCTGCACACAAGTGGGGCTGTAGATATCTGCCAAATGATTGCAGTGAATGACTGTCATGTTCTAAGAATTGTACCAAGTGCTTTCCCATACATTCTCATAGCAGCCCTAAGGGTAGACATTATTCCTCCATTCTACAGATGAGTTTGCGGTCAATAAATTGAGTCTTTTAACCAATACTGAGCACAGCTATTACGTGACAAAGTTGAGATTCAAACCCGTCTGGTCTGAGCCCCTGTTTTTCTGCTTTGTTGCAGAATTCCTACAGATGATCACTTAATTATTTTGATTTGATTCTATTCACTCTACCTCCCCAATGAGTCTGGAAGCTCATCTGGACAGAAATAACACCATGTACATTTTCTTCAACCCTCATATCACCTTTCTAATAGCACTTGATATTCGACATGCATTTAATGAATACTTTTTGATTAATAACACTTCCTTGGCAATAATATCACAAAAAGCATTCCCAAATGAGTTCAACTTTCTATAATAAGCTCTCTAAAGCAGTAACATAGTAATATCTCTGAGTATAATACAGGTTTATGAACTACTCATTTTCTACCAAAATACAGATGAAATAACTTTGTACAAATTATTTTAAAGCAGCAATATGGCAAAATGAAATAGACATATGATACGGAAGCCCCTTTCCTCTTTCAACGACTGAATATTTGCTAAGTACATTTTCCATGTGCCAAATGCTTTTATAGGTGCCAGGGACCTAAGACTCAGTCATAGCCTTTTCCCTTACGAAGCTGCTTGGTGGTGGTGGTACTACAGGATGTAAATAAAGATAACACATGCTAGACTTGAGTGAGGACAAGGAGATGTGGGAAGATCAAGGACAATGTGACTAACTCAGTCTGGAGGAAAACCAGAGTTAAGAGTATTGTTCCTATGCATACTTCTTACTAGCTGTACGATACTGGGCAAGATCCTTGTCTAGGGTTTTTTTTCCACATCTTTAAAATGGGGATAATACATAACTCCCAGAGTTGGTATGTGTTCCTCTCAGCACACTTAGAAAACTCTATTTATTGGCCTGCAAGGGTAGCCAGGTGACCAGCTGTGTGGTACTGGCTTTCCCCCAGAGCTAAGAGTATGGATATCTACAATTAACCTGTAAATGTGGTCACAGCAATTGGGAAGCACTGATGACGAGGATTAAACAAGACAATGAAGTTCTCCACAAATAATTACTATTTCCATTTCACAAAGAATTCAAAGAAAATCAAGTTAATGGTATTCTCAACTCTTCCCTTCATGTGCAAGTGAAAATCAGCTAGCTAAAACACGGGAGGTGCCAGGGAGGCCAACTCATAGCAACTGGCCTCTGTGGGTTCATCTCCCTAAGGATCACACCTGATTTGGCTTGCCTGGTGACTGTCTCTTTTTCTTTTCTTTCTTTCCTTTTCTTAAAGAGACAACATCTTGCTTTGTCACTCAGGCTAGAGTACAGTGGTGTGATCAGGAATCACTGCAGCCTGAATCTCCTGGGTTCAGGTGATCCTCCCACCTCAGCCTCCCAAGTAACTGGGACTACAGGTGTGCACCACCATGCCCAGCATACCTGGTGACTTTCTCTTGCTTCCAGAAAGATTTGTGGTTAAACTGCACTGTTCTAATCTGGTCCTAACCAGAAGCCTTGTGGTTTGGTCAAGATACAAGATGATGATATTGTATGATGACGATGATACTAAGAATTAACAGTAACAATGGTAGCTGCATTGTCTATGGACCATTTACAACACGCTCAGCATTGTTCTAAGAGTTTTACATGGCCAACCTTCATATCACAGTGGAGGCAGAGAGGTGAAGCTTTTGGGTTTGTTTGCTACAATGTCTTAAATTCAGCTCCTCTTGGTGGAATGATATCTCTGAACCTAACCTATTCTCTTTATTTAGAAAATGTGATTCCATGAATCACCATTTAGGGGCATTATAATATTTTCAGAGAGAAAAGAGAGAGTGGGATACAGAAGAGAATCTGGAAACAAACAAAAAAGGCTCTAATGTATTCACCTGTTTGCCAATTCTTTCAAAGCACATCAGTGGAATCCATATTTCTCATGTCTAGACAAACATAAAGCACTCTAGGGGTCCACCACGAAAGGTGACAACCATGTCAACTACGGACTTCATAAAATATCTAGTCTGAGTCTTCTTGTCCCTTAAAATCTCTCCACTTGCCTCAGAATTAGCATCCTCAGAATGCAGACTTTGTAGCAGGCAGAAATGTCAGATTTGAACACAAATACCACTTCTACTCATTGCTACTGTATACTAAGTATGTACCTTGGAAGAGGAACTGTGCTAAGGACTTTATATGCATGTTCTCACTGAATGATTCTAGTGATTCTAAGAGGCGGGCTCTATTATCATCCCCATTTTGCAGATGTAGATACTGAGGTTCCATGAAATCACTCTAGATCACAGAGCTGAGAAGCAGTTCTGAAACTAACTCTTCCCAAATCTAGGACATGCCTTGTTACCCACTCCTTCCCCTGCCTTGGGCTGCATGTCCTGTAACACTACGGCAATGACTGACACATTGCTCTGATGCTTCACTTGCATGTCAGGAGGATACCTTAAAGCAAAACAATCCTTAGAAGCGAATCTCAAGTAGTAGCTTTTAATATTGCTAGCAGTTTGAAGCTCATAAAAATCATTCAATACTTTTCATGGCCGGGGGCAGTGGCTCACGCCTGTAATCCCAGCACTTTGGGAGACCGAGGCAGGTGGATATCTTGAGGTCAGGAGTCCGAGACCAGCCTGGTTAACATGGTGAAACCCTGTCTCTACTAAAAATACAAAAATTAGCTGGGCATGGTGGCAGGCACCTGTGATCCCAGCTACACAGGAGGCTGAGGCACAAGACTTGCTTGAACCCCGGAGGCAGAGGCTGCAGTGAGCCAAGATCACGCCCCTGCACTCCAGCCTGGGCGACAGAAACAAGGCTCCATCTTAAAGAAAAAAAAATCATTCAATACTATTCATTAGATTCAGCAACCTACTTATTTCTGCAAATATCGGCAGTAATTTTTTCAAAATTAATCACTTTACCTGTCTTTTCCCTGTGTAACAAAAGATGCTTTTCAATTTTTAGACACCTAAATTTAGACAATGATGATATAACTTAATAGGCAGTGAGATGGTAAGGGTTAGGAGAATGCAATCTGTAACTATGCATTCTCATCCATTTAAAATGATTTAAAGAGGGTTTATAAAT
This sequence comes from Homo sapiens, assembly GCF_000001405.40. NCBI lineage: Eukaryota > Metazoa > Chordata > Mammalia > Primates > Hominidae > Homo > Homo sapiens. Next base: position 3,808,897 of record NC_000003.12, on the reverse strand, counting down.
ATGTTCTGTTAATAATTCTAATATAATTTTAAAAGATAATTCAATGATTGGTTAAATAAAAATACCAAACTAGATTTCAAAATTAAAAGTAGTAAAATAAAAAAAAAGTGATTTATTTTACATAGACTTTAATATGGAATTATGTAACTTTTTGAGTGGAATGGGCTAAGAGAGCTAACGTAGTCCAGTCCTCTTGTTTTATAGCTGCAATTAAAGAGGAAGAAATATAGCCAAGCACTTTAACAGTACAGGTTTAGAGTCAGACAGACCCAAGTTCAACCCCTGCTTCTCCACCGACCAGCTCTTCCCCTATCATTCACAAGTCACAGAGGCAGTTCTTGAAAATGCTCTGCCTGGAAAGCAGGAATGCCATAAACTGAGAATTCAAATAAAGGACTCTCTCCTCTAAAACAGATGTGTACCCATTCATTCATTCATTCATTCACTTGACAAATATTTATTACATACACACTAGTTGTTTGACCTTGGGCAAGGTACTTAGTTGCGGTCTGCCTTAGTTTCCTGAGCTATAAAGTGGGTGTCTACATTACAGAGTTGTTGCAAGGATTAAAGGAGTTAATGCACATAAGGTGTTGGTGATGGGTCCCAACACATTGGAAAGGCACAGTGTAGAGTATCATTATTCTACTGCTACTACTGTATGCTACGTTAGGAAAAATGGTGGGCTCTGGGGATAGAATTTGGGAGCTCTATGTAATATTTTCCTCTCGATCACTAAAGCATCTCATTTGCATAGAACTAATCTCCGCTCCAGTGCTCAATCCTGGTAGTGAAGCCATTTGGGAACTTGTTCACCAGGACTCCAATTTGACAGTGTGAATGAATGCATGAAGAGAAACATATCCCACCAGCCTTTGCCCACATATTTTGTGTTTTGCCTTCAGATGGCTTTGAAGTGACCTACATTTTTCACATGGCCTCCCCATGAGAAAGGATGAGTTTCTGAGTACGTGAGGAGGCTGGCTGTGTCCCTGTGGAACACAGCAAAGCTAACTGGTCCTTTGGGGGGTTAGGCCTTACATGTAGTCCTCACTGCACAGAACCACAGTCAGCTGGAATAACAACCTGGAGAAAGCCAGTCATTGCTACTCCACTGTCCTTATGGTTCTCTGATGGTCTGATGAGTTCATGTAGATTCCACATGTGTCCTGGAAACTCTCAGGATATGGTTGAAGTCCTACCTAACTCTCACTCCTGATCCTGGAAACCACAGAGAATGAAAAGAACCTTGAGTAGTCATGTGGCTTCTCAGTCTTACTTCTCATAGGAAACCTTACACTCATTATCCCAGAGAAACCAGAAATAAGACCTTGAGGGAAGGTTCTCTCCAAAACTCGTTCTGACGTGCAAGTCTTACTAAACAAACAAGAAAGAAACATAAACTTGTATGAAATCTGTCTCCCCTGCTCTATATGTGTGATGTGTGTGCATGTAAGTGTGCATATCTGTATACACTGGTCATTATTCTCTGATAGGAAAGTTAAAACGCTCCTATCAAAGAAAAAACAAAAATCAATGAAAACAGAAAATGATACCACTATAACATCTATTCTAGGCAGTCCATTCTTCCCACATGTTCTGGGTTGTCCCATTTTCTATCTCGTTTTCTAACTCTAGCTGCACTCTCCTATGAACCTTTCTTCCCAGATTGTCACAAGTCTTTTTTTAAGTGGCTAAGGTCAGCTTAAGATAAGCCATTAGGTAGGGGGCGTGGTTAATCCTTAGGTATAGGGGAAACCCAGCTTAAGTTTCTCTGCATGATACTTTTTAACCGATGCATCGTAGGTCCTTGCTTTCTTCGGTAACCCAAGAGCTAGCATGCTGAGTCACCGTCAGCTTGTTACCTGTTAGGACTCCACGGTCTAGGAAGCTGCTACCATCTGAGTGGAAGACACTAGGTCTGAGAGAGACAGGAGTCTCAGGTCTTATCCCACCTCCAGTCTCCCCCTAGATGGGTGACCCTAGACAAATTCAACTTGTGCTGGGAAGAGGAGCCTCACAAGACCTCTCCTTTTACAGATAAACTTCATCGAGTGACTTGTCCACAGTCACAATGAACCTCTCCATGACTCTTGTCCCTCAGTTACTGGGGAAAAGGAGAAAGAACAATCACATTTGGTTTCTCAGGATGTTATAGGTCAAATGAGATAAATATTTAAGGATTTGGCAAAGTTTAAAGCTCTAAAATATGAGGCAGTGACAGCTTTGTCAACTCAGCTGCATCTTCTCTTCATGCAGCTTGTGCTGTCCTATGTCTATTGCTATCGACTTTCTCTCTGTTTCCAGCCTCCTCTCCCGTTTACTCAAGACACACTGAATTCTGACCAACTCCTACAAGGAATTAACTCCATCTTCAGTTTAAAGTTCTTGACAAACTTAAGGAGTCTACCCTCTCTCAAGCAACCATCCAACCCCCTTATGTTCAAAGAGGCTAGATGGAAAATCGTCTCCTGCTGAGCACTTGTGTGGCAGGTGAAAGCCTGTTCTGTGAATTAACCAGTCTGTTTCTTAAAGCCTCTGCTGGCAGCTGACATCTGAGTTAAGGCTGCTGCTTCTGTACTTGTGTAGCCTGCACTCCCACCATCATAGCACGCTATGCTGCACTTGTCAGTCTCCTTTCTGTAACCCCGACTAGACTGAAGCTCACTGAGGGCAGAGGCAGGATCCTTGCGACTACTGACATTTGGACCAGATAATTCTCCGTCGTGGGGCTTCCTGTGCTATGCATTTTAGGATGTTGAGCAGCATCCCATTAGATGCCGGTATAACACCCTCATCCCACCCTCACTTGTGACAGCGATGACAAAAAGAAGGCTCCAAATATTGCCTAATGTCCCCTCAGAGGCAAAAATCACCCTTGGTTGAAATCCTCTGTGCAGAGTGCCTTTTTCCTACAGAGCACTCAATAAATACTTGTAGGAGAATGCATAGGTTGATGGAAACAAAATGCTCCAATGTACAAGCTGCAGAAAAATCAAGCTAACTTATTTCAGTTTTACTGCCTTCTGTAATGCCTGGCATACAGCAGGTGCTCAATATATACTTGTGAGGTGAACAAATGTTTAATGATTGTAAATGGCTTCCTGTACCCCTGGTAAAATTTTTCCCCTCAAGCGGGCCCAGGTGAGGTGGTGAGAAACTGTCAATGCTAGGGAGAGAAAATTTTAAAAAGAACAACAAAATCTCTTAGCTATGGGATTAGGGACCAGAAACATCACCTTGCAGAAAGGTAGGGGCTGTACCCAGACCATTAGCTCTCCATATAATTCTAGCTCTTGGGGCAGAAATCAAATTATTCGCACTGGTGATATTGAAATCATCTACCAGTGTTCCTGGATCCTTTAACGCACAACTCTGATAGAGCCATGAAGCACCGGGATGGTTGCAGGACATCCAGAAGGTCAGACATTGAGTCATTAGTGTCATTGCTGGGAATTGAGCCTGCGCCTTCCTGATTCTCTGTACAGTACTTGATTACACTGATTATTATGGATGCAAACTAAGACTTATCACTATTGTGAAATAACAATGCAGGTTAATGATATTCTTTATTGCCATGCTAACATTTTTCTTTCTAGAGGGGAAAATTATAGGCATGAAACCAATTAAGCCACCTTTCTCTCTTTTAAAGCTTTTTTAGTTTTTCTAAAGGATGATTCTTTCTGTGGCTCACTGCTTAATAGTGCAAACTCCTTTTTTGTTTCCTAGGTCTTACTGAGATAGGTGCTAATATTGGTGCTGCCCACTGTCCCCCTGCAAATTGAAAATGACTATGCTAATACATTATCTCACAAAGGGCAGTCACAAATAGGAAGAGCAAATATTTTGAAATGAATATTAAATGGACACTCTCCTGAAGAGGTTAGGCATTGCTGGAAATGCCTCCCTTGAAAATCTTTGTTTCCAAGATTGTCCTTTCCTGGACACCACTGTAGGATGGCTCTCTTCCCTGGATTGAAATGGTGGCTCCGGAATACAATGGCAGACTAATTTATGTGTTCCCCAAACTTTAAATAGTTTTCCTTTACTCCCAGTTCTACAAAATATCTGCCACAGAAACCTTTCACATAGAAGGATGTCACATGTACATTGTTAATGTAACTATGGTAACCAAAAAATGCCACCAGTGTGTCTGTTTCATACACAAATGAGGGGACAGCTGTGGAGTCCACATGTCTGCCAGTGGTATAATAGATGTGAGCTAGGACAGCCTGGGTTGGAAAATTACAACTCATTTATATTAATCGGAGCTTTCAAATAACACTCTAACCTCTGAGCAATAAAGAGTATAAATGGAAGGCAATAAGCCACTCTAAAAGCAGTTTTCACTCCATAGATTTTAAAACTAAGTGTCTTAAGCTGATACAGCAGCATCTTTAGAGGGTACTCTAAAGTCAGAGTGGACAGGACCTTGGGAATGTATTATTCCAAGTTCACCCCTAGATTCTCCGCATCTCAGGAATGATCCTCAGTTCATTAGGTACAATGGTTCCATATAAGTTAAATGTTGATGTTAATTGTGGTACTGGAGGCATGGCTTACATAAACCTTTTAGTAATCTCACTGATTATGGCAGTTAGTCCTTCCAGCGTTATTCTCCCAACTCGATTATGTTATACATGACAAAATTGAAGGTTGGTATGGGGTTAAGCAACTGATCCAAGATCATCCAGCTACGACTGGATAATAGCTTGCTAACCAACCAATCAACTGATAAAATTGTTAATAACTCCCGACATTTGCCTAGAGCTTTGAAAACATTCAAAAAGTAGAAAATATAAATAGTAGTAAAGCTTGCATATTGTTTCTTTTAAAAAACTGTAACATAAAATGGTATGTATTTTAATTATTGGATAATATGCTTAACAGTTCTACAGGGTGCCCATAAAGTCTGGAAACATTTATCATTTTATCATGGATTATAATGCAATGTCAATAAACCATTTATCATGCATTTATCTATGTTTCAGAACTCGGGAGGCTACATTCTGTAACAGATCTGTAAAGCAGGTGAATGCTAATATATGCTAAAACAAGAAATTAAAAAGCAAACTTCACCTAAAAAGACCTTTAGAACAAATGGATCCCTTGGTCACTAAAGTATTGAATTTTACAGATAGGGTTTAACTTTTATCTCTATTCTGTACTTTGAGCCAAAACAAGAGAGAATAAATGTTTTTCTGACTTCATCCATATAATTTCATCCTGAATTAAATATTAATCAGAGCTCTATTCATGAGTTAAAGATACTTTCATTGTTCCCAGAAACATATGATTCTAAATGATCATATGATTCTACAATGGAATTTGCTTTATCTCCAGATTGGCTTAACCCAAAACAGATGTTCAGCATAATTTTTTAAAATTAAATACAATATTTGAATAACCTGACATTAGTGCTGAAATGAATCATTCGGGGAACTATTATTTTGTAACTTAAAAATAAATTTTAAGTAAGCATTGTGCAAGTCTCGTAAAACTGGCATCTGCATCCTATAATTTACCATATTTTATTTATGACTTATGGCCTACTTATGGTGGTATAAAAAGCCCACCATTCTGATTATTTATCATTATTATTTATATTCCACTGGCTTGGGAAGTAGCAATATAACTCCGTAGAGACCGATTTTCTTTAGTACCTAGTATATTCCCATGAGTGTCACTGCTTTAGAATATGTGGTAATGGCTCTAGCAGTTTAGATCAAGAAGGTGGCCTTAGCACAGACTAACCAGAGAGAGATCAATGGTTGAGTTTTTCCTTGCTTTCCCAGAATTTCAGACATTAACCAGAGCTAGCTGAGGTTATGTTTTAGAAACACAGTCTGCAGTTGGATCTGGTCTTGAGATCTTTTATTTAGCAGAATGATCCTTTTCTAATAATTAAACACTTTATCAGTTTTATTTACCAAGGAATGAGTTCTAATCTGTCCTTTCATTAGACTTGCAGAATAACGATTACACAGGCAGGTTAATTGCCAAAGATAAGGTTTCACAAATGTGAGGGTCATTTTTAACTTACCAGGTTTCAAAAATATCTAGATAACTTTACAACAAAATGGTTTATAGTCTAGAAATGTCAAGTTTATTTTAAGTTACCCTTCAACTCTATCAGGAAGACATCAGGCGTGTAGAGTCAAATTAAGAGTTTATTAGAATGATTTGTTACTTTCTGACTTCTATATAGCTCTAAGACACAAAATGCAAACTTGGCTATAACATTTTCTTACTTAAATTTGATTCAATTCATTTTTCCCCATCCTGTGAAAATATTGCCTTATGTATAAAAGGCACTGAACCTGCAAAAATAACTTAAAGGAACATGTAAAATAGCAGACTAACATCTGTTGTCCACCCCTCCCCCGAAACACTGAGCCCTCCAAAACAATGTTGTCTTTTTTTTCTGGCGGGGGTTGGGGGGGTGTTGTATTTTAATGTCCCTTTCAGTGAATATATAGAATACTGGGGCAAATGCTGTTCCGTGAATAGGTTCTTTTTCCCTTCAACAGTGTTTGAGGTTGACAAAAGAAGAGGCCACTGGGGCTGGTTAGTCGTAGGTATTAATATAATCGCCTGCCTCACGTGCGGCCCACACTGCCTGCCTTTTGTTCAGCTGTCGCACAACGCCAAGAGGTGAACAGTGCAGTGTGGTCACGCAGCTAATGTTAGACACGGCAGAAAGGCCCTTGCTCCAGAGTCTACTGCACGACTACCTCCCCGTTCACTGTTATGTGACCTGAAAACCACTCGGGTAACTAGGGTTGGGACAGTTGCATCACCTGCAGTTCTACAGTTTGGTGCCTTAAGAACCGAAATGACTTTGGCTAGACAGTGGACATTCTCAGCTAGACAGTGGACATTCTCAGGAAATCTTCATGTCGGTCAACGACAACGATCTTCTACTATAATGAATAGCTCTGAAGATGAGGACCAAATTTGAGCAAGAGTCAAATTATTAAAAGAAAACTCGAAAAGTTGAGGGGTCAATTCAGAAATCACTTCAAGCCGCCAGAAGTGGGTTAAAGTTACTGTCTGCTTCACACAAACCTTTTCCTAACTAGCTTAGAATATCCAGCTTGAATATTGCACGAATATATACAGCCAGGTAAAGAGCAAGCAGCACTTTGAGCTTTCAATACAATAGCACTTAAAGAATTTGGCTCCTGAATAAAGGTGTCAGCAAACCATGGAATTCCCAAACAGAAAAACTCACACTGCGTCTTTATTCTCTTTTCTTAAGGTCTATTGTTAACTGAAGACTCCTTGTCTTTTCAAATTCCTTCATGTGAATGGATGAGGCCAGACATCTGCCAGGATCCGCTCACATTTGCATGCAAATCAGAGACTTCGGGACACATATGGCCCTGGAGCCAATAACACTTTTACTCTAGATTTATACTGATCAAAGTGCCTTCCTGAACTTTCCACTCCTCCAGCCCTAGCTTTTAAAAATGAAATAATGAGCCTATTCCACTAACATGATTTAGATTGTCATGGCAAGACAAAACAAAACATGTTGTCTTTTAGAAAATCCTCCACGCAAAAGCCAGAGTCGGCAGCACCTGTTCCCTCACCCAATTAGAATTCCACTTTTCCTTTACGATTTAGGTTTGGGAATGAAAATACTTACGGCGGGATGGGATTTAGACTCTTAGCCTTTGCCTGTGAGCTTCAAGTGCTTCAGAACCATTTGTACCCCGGCCAGTCGTTCACTCACGGCCAGGCTCTGTTCTTGGCGCTGGGGCCGCGGCGGTGGACACGGCAAGCGAGGTCCCCTTCTCCTGGATCCGGCATCCGGGCCGAAGCGCCTGGTCCGCGTTTCCGCGCGGGCTCCCCTGGAACCGTCCCGGGACACGCGGCCCTCTCGCTGCTGGACTTTTCCCCGAGCCCCAGCTTGCCAGGCAGGGACTCCCTGGGCGGGCGGCGGGGAAGCGCCGAGTCGGCGGCCGCCCACACCCCTCTCCACGCAGCACAAAGGACACTCGCCGGCAAACTTTCCTCGCTTCTGACCCGGGCCGAGCCGGGAACTCAGCGCCAGCTCTGTTCCTGGCGGGGCTGAGGCTTCCCTCACATTCCAGGCCACCTGGCAAACGTCCTGAGGCTGCCACTCCTTCTGGGCTCAAGGCTCACGGGCTGAGGTCTGTCCCCGCGTGGAGCTCAAGGCTCACGGGCTGAGGTCTGTCCCCGCGTGGAGCTCAAGGCTCACGGGCTGAGGTCTGTCCCCGCGTGGAGCTCAAGGCTCACGGGCTGAGGTCTGTCCCCGCGTGGAGCTCAAGGCTCACGGGCTGAGGTCTGTCCCCGCGTGGAGCTCAAGGCTCACGGGCTGAGGTCTGTCCCCGCGTGGACCGCCGAGAGTTCGGTAGATCCTTCCCAAGGCTCTGACTTCAATACTTTCAGTGCCTTGTCAATTATACCCCTTGCCCCTTTCTCTTACCAAGGCCACCGCCAAGACACCCTTTTTCTTTCCTCTCCCCGTCGCCCGCCACCTTCCTTGCCCTCCTCTTGGCCCTCTTTCCAGCTCCCTGGGCCCCCTTTCCGCGCTGCTCTCCAGCCCCAGCTGCCTTCCCCGGTTCACATCCCGGCAGCCCTCCTCCCTCCCCGTCCCCGGGCACCTCCCTCCCCTGGTCGGCCCCTGAAATCCAGCAGGCTCGGCTCCGGTCACTGCCTTTTTTTGCCTGTTTCTATCTGGCCTGCCTTCCCAACTATCGCTCTCCCACACCTTTTTTTTTTTTTTTTTGGCAAGGGGGACGGGGGGAAACGGGGCACTATATTCTCGTTTCCCGACTTCGTCATTTTCCCCAGCTCCGTGAGCCGCGCCCCCTCGTCCCCCTCAGGCCCGCGATCTTACCCTGAGGTTCCCCAGACCCCGTAGGGTCTCCCACGCCACCAAGTTTGCCTCGACTTCCCCTCGCTGCCTCCCACACCTCCTGCCGCGGCGCGGCCGGCCAGGGACTTACCCCGAGGCCCAGCTGGTGGGGGTGTTGGGGTGCGCGCGGACCCGGCACCCACGGCGGCGGCGGCGGCAGCAGCAGCAGGAGGAGGAGAAAGACGAGGAGGAGGAGGAGGACTAGCTGAGCGGCGCCTCCTTCCCAGCCCGCAGCGCGCACTGGCTCCTTGGGGCACCCCCGGGAGAGCACCAAGACCGGAGACTAGGCGGCGACACAGGCAACCGCTGCTGCACGGGGCTGGGCTCAGTCGGCTCTCAGAGGCCAGGGCAGGGGGAGGCAGGACTGGGAAGGAGGGTCGGAGAAGTGGGGTGCAGAGGGCGGGGCAGCGAGCGGCCAGGTCCGGAGGAAGGCGCCCCAGGCGCCTAGGGATGCCGCCGCCCGGGCTGACGCCGTCGGCCCCTCTCCCCGCCAGGCGGGCGCTTGCAGCCGCGGGCGCACGGGCCTCGCCTCGTTCACCGGCTCGTTGCCGGCGCCCGCGGTGCGCCCCGCTTTGTGCTCCCCGCAGCCGGCGTGCACCTGGTGTAAGCAAAGGCGGTCAGCTGATGGGCCGCGCGCGGATTGGCTGCTCCGCCGTCTCCTCCCCTCCCGCCCGACCCTCTTCGCGGCCTCCCGCCCCCGCCCTCGGCGCGGCCCCGTGCTGGGCACCATCTGTGGACCGCCCAACAAAGGCGCAGCGCGGCGGGGCTCGGGTGGCCGGGCCGCGGTCGCCGCTTTTTGTCTAGGGGACGGCAGGCTGCGGCTGGGCAGGGAGGCGAAGCGCACTGCCGGTTTTTAGCAAAAGACAGACCAAAAGAAAATACACGTCCGTGCTAGGAGGCCAGCTAGGCACAATGGGGCCCCATCTCTTTGCGGCGTAGAACTCGGGCTCGGGGGCTGAGAACCAGACACAGTTCGGCCTGGGGCTGTGGGAGCCAAGTTTCGGGGTGAAATCCGACCCTGCGTCTTAAAATACAGGGCGCGTCCTCGGGCTGTGTGTGCGCGCCCGGGGGCGTCCTCCGCAGACCTGGCCCGGGCCGGTGTCCCTGCCGCGGGAAGGAGGATTCGGACGCTTAACTCAGCGGCGAAGTCGCTTCCCATTGGAGGAGGCTTTCCGAAAACGTTTCTGAAACTTTGAAATTACAGCTTTCTGATTTGTGAGGGGTGGAAGTTGTGTTTAAACAGGCGGCGAGGGACTGAGAAGGCAGTGTTAAGTGGAGGTGTCTCCGAGGAAGGGGAGGAGGGTGGGGACGGAATAGGTCTTCGGAAACTGCGCGTGAACCTGCGTCTCAGCTTCAAAGTCGCCAGCCGGAAGCAGGGCTTCAGAAAAGCCTTGGCACCCTTTATTGGGGGAATCGGCTTTAAGCGAAAGCATCATTAGCCCCTCAGTACTGAACAACTTCTGGCAGAGGAACGTGGTGACATTTCATTATGATGTCTAAACTTAGAACTTCTGGAGAATTTGGAAGGATACATTATTCGAGAATCATCCTTTGGATTCTTCAAAGCCACAGGATACATTCAATGTCAGTAACCATATTCTTGATCCCTGTAACATTTATTGGCGTTTCGCTTAGGTCTCTGATAAATGTTTGACGTCTTTGTGTGTCTTCACACTTTGTTATCCTGAAACTGTGTCATGTAGACATAAATGGTCACAGTTTGTCTTAAAAGTCTTTAGGAAAAGGTGATACTAGCACTTGGGCTAGAAGGTCGTGCAGAGCAGAGGAAGAAAAAGGCCCACTGCTGTCTACAAATGAATGGGAAGATTTAAGATCTTTCAAAGCAAGTTGAGTCTAGACCCTTGCCCAAGTTTTGTAACATGATTTTGTCTCTTTCCCCCCTTTTCATGCAGATTATCCATGGAGTTAGCATGCAGATAGCATGGAGTTTGTCTGATAGAAGTTGGGCTCTGGTGGAAGTACGGAAATTGAATGGTCAGGGAAAGATAGAATGCAGGTTTCTTAGGGAGTCTCTATTAGGTTTCCAGCCTGCCTTCCTGGGAGTGGAAGAGAGATGAGGTTGTGCCCTTCAAGGAGGAGCTTTACAGAGGTAGGTCTTGGAGGAGCAGTCGGAGCAATTAATGATGGTGAGAGTTGCTCTTGGGAGGCCAGATCTAGAACAGCCTCCAGGTTTTGGAAGAGACTTCATGAGAATGGTGTGAGTCAGGGACCAAGGTGTGAATTTTGAAACCAGGCCAACACTGCTTAGGTCCCAGCCCTGCAATTTATGAGCTGTGTCCCTAATGGCAAGTCACTTTATCTCTTTAAGGCTTAATTTCCTTGGCTCTAAAGTAGGGTTAATATCAGTACTTATCCCAAAGGATTGTGATGGTTAAGTGGGAGTAAACATGTAAAATGCTTAGGACAGTGCTTAGTATATAGTAAGCATTCAACGACAGATGTAAGCTCTAGGCATTATTAGGCAGGTATTGAAGACTAAAACAAGACATCAATTCAGACAGGTGGGATAATGATTCCGCATGTGACAGAATATCTCAAAGGCACTAGCTGCTCCAGTGGAGGAAATGGACTCTGTCTCTCCACTGTTCGATTCATTTCTTTTCAAATTAGCATATCATTTATTTAAACTAATTTCCCTCTTCCCCAAGGCAAGAGTGAGAAAGGCAGCTTTTCCCATTTCTACTTGACCACTGCATGCATTTGGTTCCAGACAGAGAGAAGAGCATTATCATTAGGAAGAAATGTGTGTCAGGGATGGGGGAAGGAATTTGGGTGAGAGGATGGGGCTTGCTGTGGACAGAAGAGGAAAAATGAGCATGACAATTATGAAAGAGTCTGAAATGTGGTGTAATTATTAGAAATTTGCTGAATTGCCTGAATTGGTAATTGGTCCAAATTTTAGAAATTACCCTTTTTTAACTCTGCAAAGGGGTTTCGGGACTGTCTTGTTAACTGACACTTAAAAGCTCCTTGTCATTGGGATGGATGAAGAGGAAACACGCATTTTTGCATCATTGGACGAAGAGGAATCAATGAACCAGCATAACCAAATCTCTTACTTGCTTCTTGCTTAAAGAGCTCAAATCCATCTGAATTACTCCTAATGAGCTCACCCAGTCCTGGGATCCTGAATTTATTAGTTAGTAAAAAAGCACTTAATAGTTATTTATTAAGGTGTGGTAGAAGACCTTGGAATTTTTGAAGGAGAACGGAATTGGAGACAAGAGCCCAAGAGTTCCCAGGAGAGCAAGGTCTTATTGTTGATGTAAAGAGTTCTTGCCCCTCGATTGGCTGTGTTGAGACACTACAAACCCCTCTGGATTCCCCTACCAGCCCCTTGAGGTTCTTTAGCTTTGGTTTGAAGGAACATTATCATTGGTGTTAGCCTAATTGTACTGATCTATGTGGTAAATGAGGAAAAAAAAGAAAGATGAAACTTCAGAAGACAGTCGTATTTGAATAATCTTTAGAAGAACATCTGTATTTTGAAAAGAAAATTATCATATGCCTCTTAAAACTGCAATTTTTCAAAGTTGAAAATATGTCTCTCTCTAATTGAAATATTAATAGAGTACCGGTAGTCAGAGTTCTTTCCAATTTCTGAACTGAAATTATGATTTTAAAACAACCACCACCAAGCTCTTAGAGGGTGATGACTGTAGCTTAAAATTTTGTGACTATTGTGATCATTGTTAACTTTCATACCAAATGTATTGTTTCTCTAAGAATTTTTGACAATGAGTGGGTTTACTACATATACGTAGTTCCTGTTCTTCTCGGGTTTTGTTTGTTTGTTTGTTTGTTTACTGCATATGAAACATCCCAACACAAAAAAGGGATTAATTGACGTTTCTGTAATTAAAACTAGTTTTTGCATTTAAGCTTAAAAATTTGACATAGAACTAAAGTGACCAACCATCTTAGTTTGCCTGGGAATCTCCAGGTTTTAGTCCTAAAAATCTCAACATCTCAGGTCACACCTTAGTCTTGGATAAACCAAGATGGTGGGCGGTTCTAAATAGAACTAACATTAATAGGTTTATGGTGCTGTTACAATTTTAGTTGAGTTGCAGCTTTGCAGATATATCAAATAATGTTTTATTCCTGACTGAATAAAGGGTCCTGTTTCCACTTGTAGAACTTAGTTGTTGCAGAGATGTTGACAGTCATTGTATTGGTCCATTTTCATACTGCTATGAAGAAATACCCAAGACTGGGTAATTTATAAAGAAAAAGAGATTTAATGGACTCATAGTTCCCATGGCTAGGGAGGCCTCACAATCATGGCAGAAGGCAAAGGAGGAACACAGGCACATCTTACATGGCAGCAGGCAAGAGACCATGTGCAGGAGAACTGCCCCTTAGAAAACCATCAGATCTTGAGACTTATTCACTATCATGAGAACAGCACAGGAAAAACTCACCCTCGTGATGCAATTACCTCCCACTGGGTCCCTCCCACGACATGTGGGGATTATAGGAGCTACAATTCAAGATGAGATTTGGGTGGGGACACAGCCAAACCGTATCAGTCATCAAATCCAACTTCTTTATTTTGTAGATAAAGAAACTAAGCCCTAGAAGAGGAACTCTGCCAGTCTATTTACAAAGCCTGCACTGAAAGCTAGACCATATACTCTTTGGAGAGGGATGATGTGACCAGCTCATAGACTAGGGCCTATACCATGTAATAGGTACTCAAACTTTTTTAAAATAAATGAATCAATAAATGAATGTCTTTATGTAATCGGGTCACATTATTTCATGAGTATTTTCTTCATATCATTAAAAAGTCTTTGAAGCTATAATGCTCAATGGCTGCATAATTCTACCAACTTTTTGTTGGTGAGAAATAAGGACTCTCTCAATTATTTGCTATCACATATAATAAACAAACTTGTTTAAAATGCTATTTTGGTTATTGATCTATAGATATAAACTACACTTTGGATTATCAGGTTAACATATTCAACTTTTTCTGTTTCCTTACTGTTTACCTTTAGCCAGCCAAACGTTATTAAAAAATAAAAATATTTGTTTGCTTATGTAAAGATTTCGGTTGATAGAATTTTAGAATTTTCTTTGTTTTTAATTGTTTGCTCTCCATTCTGATTTCTCTTTTGTCTGTATAACAATAGTTAACATAAACTAAGAACTAACTCTGTGTCATTACATTACACTTAGTAGGGTTTTTTTTTTTTTGTATTGAGAGAGACAGTCTAGTGCAACGATTCAGAGCCAGAGCTCATGATTTGGGGTCCCTAGATTTACATTCCAGCCCAACACACTGTGTGAATTTGAACAATTTACTTAAGCTCTCTGTGCCTGTAATAGTACCTGTATTGTGGAGTTCTGTGAGACTTAAAGAGGTGCGTATGCAGCATACCTATGTAACAAAACTGTACATATACCCCCGGAGTCTAAAATAAAAGTTGAAAGAATAATAATAAAAAAGATGCTCAACATCACTAATCAGGGAAGTGCAAATCAAAACTACAATGAAATACTACCTCATACCCATTGGGATGGCTATTATACAAAAACAAAAACAAAAAACAAAAAACACCAGTGTTGGCGAGAATGTGGAGAAATTGGAACCTGATATGGTTTGGATTGGTGTACCCACCCAAATCTCATGTCGAATTGTAATCCCTAATGTTGGAGGTGGGGCCTGGTGGGAGGTGGGGCCTGGTGGGAGGTGATTGGATCATGGTAGTGGATCCTTCATGAATGGTTTAGCACCATCTCCCTAGAGCTGTTCTTGTGATAGGGTTCTCATGAGGTCTGGTTATATGAAAGTGTGTAGCACCTCCCGCGTCTCTTTCTTCCTCCTTCTCTGGCCATGTAAGACGTGCCTGCTTCCCCTTCACCTTCTGCCATGATTGAAAGTTTCTTGAGGCCTCCCCAGCCATGCTTCCTGTACAACCTGCAGAACCGTGAGCCAATTCAACCTCTTTTCTTTATACATTTCTCATTCTCGGGTATTTCTTTACAGTAGTGTGAGAACAGAATAATACAGAATACTTGTGCACTGTGGGTGGGACTATAAAATGATACAGCCACAGTAGAAAACAGTATGGGAGTCCCTCAGAAAATTAAAACTAAAATTACCATATGACCCAGCAATTTTACTTCTGACTGTGTGCCCAAAAGAACTGAAAGCAAGGTCTCAAAGAAGTATTTGTCCACCCACATACATAGCAGCATTACTCACAATAACTAAAACATGGAAGCAACCCAAATATCTATTGAGGGATGACTATATAAACGAAATGTGGTATATACATATGTATTAGTCTGTTTTCATGCTGCCGATAAAGACATACCTGAGACTGGGTAATTTATAAAGGAAAAGAGGTTTAATGGACTCACAGTTCCACGTGGCTGGGGAGACCTCATAATCATGGCGGAAAGTGAAAGGCACATCTTACGTGGCAGCAGACAAGAGAGAATTGAGAGCCAAGTGAAAGGGGCTTCCCCTTATAAAACCATCAGATCTCGTGAGACTTACTCACTACCACGAGAACAGTATGGGGGAACTGCCCCCATGATTCAATTATCTCCCACCAGGTCCCTCCCAGAACGTATGGGAATTATGGGACCTACAATTCAAGATGAGATTTGGGTGGGAACACAGCCACACCGTATCAACATACAATGGACTATTATTCAACTTTAAAAAGGAAATAAATTCTGACATACCCTACAACATGAATATGAAATGAGGACGTTGTATTAAATGGAGTAAGTCAGTTACAAAAAGACAAATACTGTATTATTGCACTTATATGAGATACTTAAAGTTGTCAAAATCATACAGAAAGTAGAACAGTGGTTACCAGGGCATGCAGAGAGCAGGGAATGTGGAGTTTTTAATAGGTGTAGAGTTTCAGTTTTATAAGATGAAAAGAGTTATGGAGACGGCTGGTAGTGATGGTTGCATAACGTTAGGAAAGTGCTTAGTAACACTGAACTGTACACTTAAAATGGTTAAGATGGTAAATTTTATGTTGGTATATTCTATCACCAGGAAAAAAAGAAGTGTGTATGTGCCTACCATATAGCAAGCACTCACTAATATTAATGTATTAGTTAATATAATGGTCACTGAAAACAAGTAAACCAAAGACCATCAGTGGCTTAAATAAGGCAAGTTTATTTCATACTCAAGTAACAGAGTATGCTTCTGGCCAGGTAGCCTCTACCCAGTCATTCCAGGCCCAGGTGACTTCCATTTTTTGCTTCTTCCTCCTCTATGGCTATAGACATTTTTTTCATTCACACAGAGTGTAGAGAAAGAAAGATAATAAAGGATCACACGGGAACATCCTATGGGCCAGCCTAAGAAATGGCTCATGCTATTATTGGTGAGAACCCAGTTACATAGCTATGTCTAATAGCAAGGGAAGCAGAGGAATGTAGGCTAGATATGTGCCTAGAAAGTAGACAGAGAAATTGTGCAACACATTGCAATCTGTATTAGCAATATAGCAACATACATTAGAAACACAGTCATCTCTCCTACTGTTGGCTATTATCTTACTTAGTCCTCATAACAAGTCTGGTAAGGTAAGAGAGAAAATGACTAGTTCAGGGACATCCTGCCAGTAGGAGGGCATCATTATAGCAAACAAAATGTCTATAGAACAGCTACTAGAGCGGTGCTTTCCAGTTCTCTGTTCAGTTTAAAACTATTCTTGGTTGATTGCTAACCTAATTGTCATCAACACAGTGCCTTCTTGAAGTTCCCAGAGACTTCAAGCAGGGAGAGGAAGACTGTCAGCTGCCCCACCGGCAGCTTGTACTTCTTATTCTTTCAGTAACATCTTTCTTCTTTCAGTAACCATAAAACTTTAAGGGAGTTCAGAATTGTTCCCCATAAGAAAGCGCTTAGAGACTATTGCACTGGAATTCAATGCCCCTATTATCATAAATTTAACATCCACACTTACTTTTAGTCCTAGGGGCCTATGAGGCTATAAAAGAAAGATTGGCAGATAGAGTAGACACAATTGGCTTATACACATTTTGCGGAAACACTGAAGCCCACAGAATTTCCTCTACATTTCATTTAGTACCTTCTTCTGTCAAGTTTGTCTCCATTTTGCCTGCACTTCATTTTATTTTTATGGTAGAGAACTCTCATACTTGTTATCTCTGAGTATGTTAACAGTCACTTTTGAGCAAAACATTGCCCTTATTGCATTTTTATGGATAACTAAGTATTCGCCTACTGGACCAATCATCTGTTGAAATCCATATTTTCTTGAATTCAGGTCACATTGTACTCTTGAGTCTGTATCCCTTTGCTCAAACTTTGCATCACATCCAAGCTATCTTTTGGAAAGGAGACTGAGTTTTTGAGTTTTGTAGCTTTGGAGAAAGAAGGCTGCAGATGCATTTGTGATGTATGAATGGTGACTTATCTAGTTACTAGAAGCAAGGTCATATTGTAATTCAACTCAGTAAGGACCAGAGGGTTTTGGAGCTATAAAGAGCCTTATAGATGATCTGGCTCAACCTTTTCATTTTATAGATGAACAAACTGAAGTCTCAAGAAGGCCAACACTTCCATGTACTTCAGAGCATCTGGGAAATCTGACTGGATTTAAATCCTTATCCAAGGTCCCACTGCTGGTTAATAGGAGAGCTAGGCTAAAATCTAGTTTTCTTGATTTTTCTCTTATATTAGTGTAACTTTAATTAGGATCCTCAGGCCTCCCTGAAGTTCATGGGATATACTCTTAAGAGTCTGTGACTTTGCTATATATGAACCCCAGATCACGGATAACAAAAGCAAAAGTATATGAATAGGATTACATCAAACTAAAAAACTTTTGCACAGTCAAGGAAACAATCAACAGAGTGAATAAAGAGCCTACAGAATGGAAGGACATATATGTCTCATGCACACCATACATCTGATAATGGGTTAATATCCAAAATATATAAATAACTCAAACAGTTCAATAGTAAGAAAATCACCTGATTACAAAATGAGCAAAATATCTGAATAGACATTTCTCAAAATAATGTGTACAAGTGGCCAACAGGTATATGTATATTTTTAAAAAATGCTCAAAATCACAAATTATCAGAGAAATGCAAATCCAAACCACAATGAGCTATCACTTCACACCTGTTACAGTAGTTATTATCAAAAGATGAAAGATAAATTTTGGCAAGGATGTGTAGAAAAGAGAACACGTACACACTGCTGTATAAGTTGGTTCAGAATTGACTATCCAAATATCTTAATTGTGCTGTCTCTCTCTCTCTCTATGTATGTATGTGTGTATATATATACACACATACATATATGTATGTATATATACACACATATACGTATATGTATGTATATGTATATATGTATATGTATATACGTATGTATATATGTATATATGTATATGTATATACGTATGTATATATGTATATATGTATATACGTATATATGTGTATATATGTATATATGTGTATATATGTATACGTATACATATGTGTATATATGTATACGTATACATATATGTATACGTATACGTATACATATATGTATATATGTGTATATATGTGTATACGTGTATGTATATATGTGTATATATGTGTATACGTGTATGTATATATGTGTATATATGTGTATACATATGTGTATACATATGTGTATACATAGATGTATATGTGTATACATATGTGTATACATAGATGTATATGTGTATACATATGTGTATATATGTATATGTGTATACATATGTGTATATATGTATATGTGTATACATATGTGTATATATGTATATGTGTATACATATGTGTATATATGTATATGTGTATACATATGTGTATATATGTATATGTGTATACATATATGTATATATGTATACGTATATGTGTATACATATATGTATATATGTATATGTGTATACATATATGTATATATGTATACGTATATGTGTATACATATATGTATATATGTATACGTATATGTGTATACATATATGTATATATGTATACGTATATGTGTATACATATATGTATATATGTATACGTATATGTGTATACATATATGTATATATGTATACGTATATGTGTATACATATATGTATATATGTATACGTATATGTGTATACATATATGTATATATGTATACGTATATGTGTATACATATATGTATATATGTATACGTATATGTGTATACATATATGTATATATGTATACGTATATGTGTATACATATATGTATATATGTATACGTATATGTGTATATGTATACCTATATCTGTGTATATATGTATACATATGTGTGTATATATGTATACATATGTGTGTATATATGTGTGTGTGTGTGTGTGTGTGTGTGTATATATATATATATATATTTGGAGAGAGAGAGCTCTGAACCAAAGTCAGAAGATTTGAGTGTGTCACTTGCCAGCCATGTACCTCTCTCTCTCTCTATATATATATATATATATACACACACATGCATATATATATCCAGACAAGCATATATATATATATATATATACAGACAAGCAAATATATATATATATATATATGTATATTTGGAGAGAGAGAGCTCTGAACCAAAATCAGAAGATTTGAGTGTGTCACTTACCAGCCACGTACCTCTCAATGTGCCATTGACAGTCTGTCAGCTTTCACATGCTCCCTGAGAAGTCATAGTAAAAGCATCCATCTGGCCTTCCTCCTCAGTTTCCAGATCAAATCAAACTGTTCAGGGAAGTACTTTGCAAATGGCGGAATGTGTAGACCATTTTATCATGATACTGGGATAGTGGAAGGCTCTGTGAGTGGTAGACTTCCAGAATGGGGTTCCCACAGACTGTGGCAGCCTGCGCCATGTGGATGATGTCTAGTGTAGAATTATACCAGCCAACTGCACCTGCTCCCTTTCACTTCAGTGCCTGAGAAGAAAACAGAACTGCCAGCAGACTATGGGACAAACGACTAAATGCCCTCCAGACGTTCCAGAGTCCTCTGCCTCTCAGGCTTCAGTTCTTCCTGAAGGAATCTGGAGCTGGAAAGCAGGAAGCAATTTGCTGTGGAATTTTTTCCATCACAGGTAAGTTTTAGTTTCAATAATAATAGTAATAATAATGGCTAATTAAGTATGAACTGTGTGCTAGGCATGGTGCAATTTCTGCTTGAATTCTATGTAATTCTTAGAATAATCCCGTGAGACAGTTAGATGTTATTTATTAGTCTCATTTTTTTCAGAAGAGGCCACTGAGACCTTAATGAAGTTAGATCATGTGCCCTGGATCACCAATCTGATACCAGAGCTCATGCTCTCAACTCTGATGTGATCTATAGTCCCGGATTTTATCTATGCCATAATACTAGAATCTGAAAGGCCTGCACTGTTTTGAACATATCAACACTGATACTATGTCTACTGGGGGAAAAGATTCTAAATTCAAAAAACAAAATGGATTGAAGTAGTGTCCAAGGAGCTGTCCCCAGATATATTATTTCTTTCTAAAATGAGGAACATGAGGACTACTGCTCACATTTTATTAGAATAACAGTCACATTCACAAAGTAATGTTGGAAAGTGAACAGTAGGGGATTTAAAAATGTTTGATATGTAAAAGGTGATGAATTTTCTGTTTATGACACTGGAGCTTTCTGACAGGGGCGCGCAGAGGGCCAGCCATGGACCACGTGGTTGATTCTTTTTTTTTCTTTCTTTCTTTTTTTTGAGACAGAATCTCTCTCTGTCGCCCAGGCTGGAGTGCAGTGGCGCGATCTCAGCTCACTGCAAGCTCCGCCTCCCGAGTTCACGCCATTCTTCTGCCTCAGCCTCCTGAGTAGCTGGGACTACAGGCACCCACCACCACGCCAGGCTACTTTTTTTTTTTTCGTATTTTCAGAAGAGACGGGGTTTCACCGTGTTAGCCAGGATGGTCTCGATCTCCTGACCTCGTGATCTGCCTGCCTCGGCCTCCCAAAGTGCTGGGATTACAGGCGTGAGCCACCAGGCCCGGCCAACCACGTGGTTGATTCTTAATGGCAGGACAGTTATATGGGATGTGGTTTGCCAGGTCACTTTCTGGAATGTTTCCTGGTGAGCCTCTGGTGAGAACTGGATTCTAGATTCAATCTTACCACTCATCACTTTCCATCTCTGACCCTCTATGTTCTTTATGTGTAGAATGAGACCACTGAAAGTATCTGTGATATTCATACTTTCTTTCCCCCCAGAACTTTTAGGTTAAATTAAATCATAAGAAAACACCATATCAGGCCAGTCCTGGTGGCTCATGCCTGTAATCTCAGCACTTTGGGAAACCAAGGCAGTTGGATAACTTGAGGTCAGGAGTTCAAGACTGGCCTGGCCAACATGGTGGAACCTTGTCTCTACTTAAAAATACAAAAAGTAGCTGAGCATGGTGGTATGTGCCTGTATTCCCAGCTACTCGGGTGGCTGAGGCAGGAGAATCACTTTAATCTGAGAGGCAGAGATTGTAGTGAGCTGAGATCGTGCCACTGTACTCCAGCTTGGGCAAGAGAATGAGACCCCCATCTCAAAAAATATAAAAAAAAAAAAAAAAGGAAAAGAGAAAGAGAAAAACCATTTCAAGACATAACAGCAAATTTATCCAGGTTCTTGGTCACAACAACCAAATCTACTCTAGCTAATTGGGCAGGAAGATATTTACTAAAAGGTGCCAGTTTGCCTACAGGGTCTCTGGAAGGGCTGGAGAACATGGATGTTGCCCAGCCGGGAATAAGCCCCCAGAGAAAACCCCCTGACATCCCACGTGCCTCTTCTGCTGGAATCAATGTTGTCATTCTTGCCCATCATTCGATACCTATCCCACTATGGTCTGGTCTGGTCAGAAAGTCTGCACACTTCTCCCAAATCATACTGACATTGTCCTTGCCAGAAGATCTAAGCCCCTAGCCATAGCAGTCTTTTTATGTAGCTCACTGTGCCTCTGTGCTGCTTGACCAAACCTAGGCCCAGTGCAGAACAGGAAGCCAGCTAGAAGCCAGGACTGGGTGCTGGTTGGGCCAATTCACTGTTCCTGCCATCGGCACTCATTGAAGATGGCCAGGGCAGGAGCCCCTATTCAACTTTCTCTTGTCCCTGTTACTTGGGGATGATGGTGCCTTGTTGGCTGGTCAGGCACTGAACAGGGCCCCAAAGCTCTGCAGATCAAAGTCAGATAATGACCAAACTAGATTATTTTCAAGATTCTCTCTACTGCTAAAATTCCTTGATTCTGTTTTCCAAGGTTAAACTAAAGTAGAGGTGTTTAAACAAGTACTTTCCTGTAGGTCTTGGCTAATTCCAATAAATTCTCTGTAATTATCAGTAGTTAAGAATATTATACCCAAGGAGTATGGCTTTGTCTATATTTACATTGCCTACAGTGTTTGGTACAAGTTCAAATTTATAAGCCCCTAGCACAAAGCTCCAGAAGTCAAAAGAAGGAGGGGGCAAACTTAAGCTACCTTAAATTATACAGAGGTCTGTTTATGTAATCTTTGGCTCTCTAAAGTCTCTCAATTATCAGAAAATAACTGTTATCAAGGTACCCCAAAGACATCAGATATCGATGAGGTGCCATCTTATTAGGCATAATATGTCCATCACTGTATGATAACTTGGGATACACCATGTCATTTTGCCCAAGAGCTTGGGCTCTGGATTTATTCCCTTGACTTTTGGAAGCATTAGTTAACTTATCCATTAGATGGGAATAATACTAGTAACTGCATCATGTTGCAAGGATTAAATAGGACAATGTATGTTAAATTATTAGCACATTGCTTGAGACAATAGATGTTTTGTCTAGTGCAGTCGCTGGAGCATCTACCCTAGCCTTTGGACCTTTGGGAGTCCACATGGGGCCTAAATGGTGTTAGCAGCTGAACAGTGATTTGGGGAGGCTGCTGCTGGGGAGGGGAAAAGCAAGAGATGTGATATTCATAAATGTGCCATCAACCCACAAGTCCTCCATCATCACCAAGACATAGGGACAGAGTCTACTTCTGAGTCTCCCTTAACTTTTAAAGTTTGCCCTTGATGTTTATTATTGTATTAGTCTGTTTTCATGCTGCTGACAAAGACATATCCAAGACTGGGCAATTTACAAAAGAAAGAGGTTCAATGGGACTCACAGTTCCATGTGGCTGGGGAGGCCTCACAATCATCATGGAAGGCAAAGAGGAGCAAGTCACATCTGACATGGATGGTGGCAGGCGAAAAGAGAGCTTGTGCAGGGAAACTCTCGTTTTTAAAACCATCAGATCTCGTGAGACTCGTTCACTATCACGAGAACAGCACAGGAAAGACCCGCCCCCAGAATTCAATCACCTCGCACTGGGTTCCTCTCACAACGTGTGGGAATTGTGGGAGTTCCAATTCAAATTGAGATTTGAGTGGGGACACAGCAAAACCGTATCAATTATAGACGGATTTCATCTATATTTGACTCAGTAGACATCGACAAACATCAGCTACATGTAAAACAACAAGGCCTGAGAGGATCATATGGGGGCTAAGGTGGGGACATGAGGAATTAATTATGTTAAAGAAGAGACATTAGGGTTGACTCTGCCCCATATATGTTGGGAAACCACAGATAGCATGAGTAACCATCCCAGTTTGCCTGGGACTGAGGGATTGTCTCAGTCATAAAACAGTTCTTTTTAAAACCAGGATTGAGTGCTTTCCCAGGATGTGGCATTTTCATGCTAAAGCCAGGGAGGTTCTGCTAAATTGGGATAGATTGGTCATGTTAACGTGTTTTACATCCCCTCTTGGACAGCCTCTCTACCTTTGAGGAATTTAATTCCCTGCATTCAAAATGAAAAGCTTTGAACTGGGATGTGGTGGTGATGTAGTACAGAGAAGTCTGGAGTGAGATATAAGAGAGCAGCTCAGACCCTGGCTCTAGCTCTTGCTATTGTGATGACTCTTGGCAAATTGATTACCTCTCTGAAATTCAGCTCTCTCATCTATACAAGCAGAAATACCCACCTCCTGGGAGTTCGAACAGGTTACATAAGATAATATGTGCACAAGTGCCTAGCACAGAGAGGAAGTGCATTTACATTTTAATTTTCTTTTGAATAAGAAAACATGTCACATTGGCTTAGAGATAAGAAGTTTCATACACACGCTTGTCTGAATTAGCCTTTCTTCGTTTATGCTTCATGTATTGCCCTGGTAATGCTATTTAAATGTTTCCATTGAGTGTGTTCCAAGTTACTAACAAAATTGTTGTAAACTCCCCAAGTGTAAGCGTTACCTTTTCACGTCTTGGCTATCTCCTGAAAGCTTCTAGAAATTAGTGTAGTCAAATTTTGGGAATACAAATTGCTGAGATTGGTTCGTAATGCCTTTAGAATAAAATATGCAGCAAATATTTAGTTTTTGATCTGCATTTTATACTGCAAGCCTACCACCATGAATGTTAATGTTATATATATATAAGAGGAGCCAGCTCAGAACAGATCCTCTTGAAGCCTTTATCTTACCTAAATTATTGCATTTTAATCCCTTTATCCATGTGATTTCCTTGCCATGTGCAAATGCAAGGGCAGTGAAAGGTGGTAGAGACAGGACAGATGTATACCTTGCCATGCTAAGTAGGCAGAAATCCTTCTGTGCCCATGAGCCTGAGAAAACATGGTTGAAATGTCAAAGCTAACTGTGGGGCCTGGAGTTTATAAGCAGCAACAAGCAGCGCATGCAACCCCACATTAGCCAAATGGAGATAAACGTCTTTGTAATTTCTAATTTTCTGTTAACATAATGGGTTAGTCGGTCTGCTCATTTGGGAAACTCTTAAGGGCTTTATTTAAAAGTTCCTAGGGGAGAAAATGTCACCCATTAGCAGTGAGCTTGACTCTTCCCATATTAATTTCCTTTCTCTCCTTTTCCTCCCTCCCTCCATCTCTTCCACACCAAGCAGTTTCTGTGATTGACTTTATGCCAAATGTTCATTCAGCATCCTTGGCGTATGTTGTTGTATGATGGCTGTGCTGGTCTTCACATTATGTCTCTCCTCCGGATGATTGAATCAGCAGAGCCAGATGCTCTGATGGCGAAAGGCATTGCAGATTCTGAGATGGTTTAGCCCTGGGTCGTTGGGATCATCCCCTAAACCAGGCTGGAGAAATCTGCTAAAATCACTTAACTGGAAACATTCCCTTCTGCTGCTTGAAAGATGTTCCTGGGTGTGTGCCCATAGATTGAAAGAGGTGATTTGCAGCGTTTTATTTTCAGGGTGGCAGAAGGGAGGTGGGCTTCAGCTGAATATTGCCAAAAGAGCGAATATGACCTTGGGCTTCATTAAAAGAAGTGCTGAAAACAAGGGAGGAGAGGTTTTGCTGAACATGAGCGGCGGTCTTTAATTTACTCATTTATTCGACTAAAATATATGGCGCCTATTCTATGAAAGGCACGGTGCTGTGAGAGATACAAAAATAATAGCAGCACAGCAAGACAGATGTAAATTGTATTAAATGAGAGTTCTTTGAGGGGACTGCTGCTTTTCTAGTTTGGCTCATGGAATTGCTAGATTCTTTACTCCAGCAGTCACAAACCCAGATGTCTGCAGGGGGCTGGCAGATAAGTGAGTAAAGTGGCATGGTAGGGACTGTGCCAAATTGGAGAGGATGTGCCCTGTCTGAAGTGGGCAGCTGCTATTCAGTCCTATTTGATTGCCATCTTCTGAGACTGTGGGTCTGGCTTTGCCAAGAAAAACTGGGAATCCAAAATTTGGGTGAAATAGTCCATTTAAAAACGTCAAGATAGCAGCTAAGTCAAATTTTTAAAAGCTCTGTAGAATAACTCAAATGTCTTTGGGCTACATCCTGCTCATGGGCTTCTCATTTGTAAATTCTTCTAATAAGTAGTGTTCACCCAATCGAGGCATATTTGTCAGTAGTTAGAGGAGTCCTTTAAGTTGAGATTTCATGTAAATAACCAACTGGTGTATGCGATAGTTAATATTGAATGTCAACTTGCTTGAATTGAAGGATGTAAAGTATTGTTCCTGGGTGTGTCTGTGAGGGTGTTGCCAAAGAAGATTAACATTTGAGTCAGTGGACTTGGAGACGCTGACCCACCCTCAATCTGGGTGGGCGCCACCTAATCAGCTGCCCGCACAGCTAGAATAAAGCAGGCAGGAGAAGATGAAAGAGCAGACTTGCTGACTCTTTGCCTTCATCTCTTGCCTTCATCTTTCTTGCCTTCTTGTCTCTCTTCCCTTCATCTTTCTCCCATGCTGGATGCTTCCTGCCCTGGAACATCAGACTCCAAGTTCCTCAGCCTTTGGACTCTTGAACTTACACCAGTGTTTTGGCAGGAGCGCTCGGGCCTTTGGCCACAGACTGAAGGCTGCATTGTCAGCTTCCCTACTTTTGAGGTTTTGGGACTCAGACTGATCCACCACTGGCTTCCTTGCTCTTCAACTTGAAGACGGCCTATCGTGAGACTTTACCTCGTGATTATGTGAGTCAATTCTCCTAATAAACTCCCCTTCGTATGTACATATACCCTATTACTTCTGTCCCTTTAGAGAACCCTGACTAATACAGTAGAGATTGCCTGGACTTATTAATAATAATGACTCTGTTTAGTTAATGTAACAGACAGATAAAGACAAATGAGTGACACCCATGCAATTAAAATAATTTTGGTGGGGAGTGAGAGGAGTTGGTTCTCCACTCACAGTGGAAAGTTTTAGCGTATACTGCTGCACATGACATGGGAGTATTTTGCACTTCCACTGGAAAAAAGTAAGGGGAATAAAAACCCCTGGATTCTACTTGCTGACTTGAGAGTGACTAAAGCGATTTATCTGAAGGTTCCCCAGGGTGGATTCATAGTGGACTCAGGCCAGATTCTCTGCTGATGCTTTGAACTTATGTCCAGAGCATCATCTCCACCACAAAAGAGCTTGCCTGCTCTGTGTCCTGGCCAAAGAGATGCACGTGCTCTCTCACTGGGTTGTGGCTCTTGAGTAACTCCTGGAATTACCCAGCTGGAATTTCTATTCCTTTGGACCACAAATTTCATATCTTCACCTGCTGCCTATATCATGCTAAAAGATGGAAATGTCTCAACTAAACCATGTAGGTGGACTAGCCTCATTAACAAGATAAGCAATGGGCCATTTTCTCACTGGTTATTAACTATGTACATTATCTATGAAATAACATATCTGGTCATGGTTACTACTCTATTCTGTAGGGTGGAATAGAAAAAGGTAGAGGATATATATTTCAGTTGCATTTTTAAAATTGTTTATTTTGTTTTTTAATTGACAAATAATATTAGGTTGGTGCAAAAGTAATTGCAGTTTTTGCCATTAAAGGTAGACAAGGCTGGGCACGGTGGCTCAGCACGCTTGTAATCCCAGCACTTTGGGAGGCAGAGGCGGGCAGATCACAAGGTCAGGAGACCGAGACCATCCTGGCTAACACGGTGAAACCCCATCTCTACTAAAAATACAAAAAATTAGCCGGGTGTGGTGGTGGGCACCTGTAGTCCCAGCTACTCGGGAGGCTGAGGCAGGAGAATGGCGTGAACCTGGGAGGTGGAGCTTGTAGTGAGCTGCACCACTGCACTCCAGCCTGGGCAACAGAGCAAGACCCCATATCAAAAAAAAAAAAAACAAAGGTAAACAAAAACCTTAACTACCTTTGCACCAACCTAATAATTGTACATATTCATGGGGTATGTAGTAATGTTTTGGTACTTAAAGTGATCAGAATAGGGTAATTAGCATATCCATCATCTCAAACATTTATCATTTCTTTGTTACTATATTAGTCCGTTCCCACACTGCTATGAGGAAATACCTGAGACTGAGTAATTTACAAAGGGAAGAAGTTTAATTGACTCACAGTTCTCTACGACTGGGGAGGCCTCAGGAAGCTTACAATCATGACAAAGGCAAAGGAGAAGCAGGCATCTTCACAGGGCAGCAGGACGAAGTGAGTGAAAGCAGGGGAAGTGTCAGGTGGTTATAAGACCATCAGATCTTGTGAGACTCACTCACTATCATGAGAACAGCATAGGGGAAACCGCCCCCATGATCCAGTGACCTTGACATGGTCCTGCCCTTGAAACGTGCGGATTATGGATATTACAATTCAAGATGAGATTTTGTATGGGGACACAGCCAACCCATATCATTTGTGTTGGGAACAGTTGCATTTTTTTTAGGTAAAATGAGTGGCATAATGGTTGACATTAACAATGTGAGGTGATTACTCACTAGTTGTAAAGAACTGAAGATGTGACTGGTAAATTTGCTCAGATTTTCCTTTCCTAGGCTGGGGAAGCTAGAATTCAAGCAGAATCTGTGACCTACATAGAAACACATAGAAACTGAAATTAACATATTTTGTCCAGATTCACCTGGATTAGCCTGTCCCACATTGGCATAGATAAAACATGATTAATATGCTTTGGGAGGGGCTGGGAGATTGAGGAACGCATTTTACACTTGGCCACAAGAGGAACAGGTGAAGCACCATTAGCTGTTGAATTTTTGATCTTTTTATTTTCTTCATGAAAAATTTGTTATTTTTAACATTTTTTACATAATAAACAGAAAAATAAATTATATGTCACATAAAAATTTATGTTTCACAAATTTACGGTGATTGATGTACTTTTGACACATCTATCACGTTTTCAACATTTATAATTTTTTTCCACTGGGGAGTTGAAGTTTTTGTACGTTCTTTCTGTATGTTTATGCAAAGCTTGTTTTTCAGACTCTTTGTTTGCATGGTTTCTGTGCACTAAGGACTTTATAAAAATCAAATCATTCTTCATCCCAACAATCTCATGAGGTAGATATTGTTATCTGGCTTCACTTTGCAAGAGCTGAAGCTTAGGGCAAATAAGAAATGCTTACAATCTCGCAGTTAACAACTTATAGAGCCAGGATTTGAACCCAGTTCTGGCTTATTCTCATAGTAACTTCATTGCCAGCTATGAAATATCCATGACACCTGTTTATACCTCAGAGCAGTCACTTTAATATATTTATATTAACTTCTACGGAGAACATAGTTAAACTGAGGCCAGACATTTTTAGCAAATGCCCTTAAACTGGGGAGGTGATGAACACTTGAGATGGCACAAGACCCAGGTTTCCATTAAATTTGAAATTAAATGGAAATACAGTTGACACCTGTGTCTTTAGGCAAATTAACTGCTATAACTAAGTAGAAATTACCCTCTTCCTTGTGGAAATACACCAGTTGGAGCTGTGTAGGTTATGAAGATCTAGCTTGCGATTTGAAAAAAGAACCCATTCCATGAGCCTGGGCTCATGGGACTTTTAGGCAAGTCATTTAGATCTGATCTCATCAAACTGGCTATGTCAAAATGCATGTAACCGAAATAAAAGCTGGTGCTCGACATATTCTAGTACTTGTTCAGTGTTGCCTTCAAAAAAATATAAGCTATCAATCAAAAGTAATTTACACAATTCAGATCTTTATTGGAATCTCTTGAATAATGTCAAGGCAGATAAAAATCTGAAAATCCTATCCACCTTTATTAAAATAATATTTCTTTAGTTCTCTCAAACCCAGTATCTCTCAGACCAGGAGCTGACCTTAAAATTAAGGCCTTTTTATTTATTCATTTTTAAATATTGCCTCTCTCAAGCCTTGCCTGGATTCTCCACCTCCTCAACCCCAGGAAGCAACAAGCTATCAAAGACAGAATTTGCACAACAGGACAAAGGAAGGTAAGGCTGGGAATACTGATATTTTATTTTTGCTCTGTCAGACATAAAAATACTATGTGTAATTCCTAAGGATTGTGTGTAACAGAGAAACTGGGACACACTCCATCCCTAAGTCTCCCTTGCACCGTTGCCACAGGCATGACTCAGGAGCCACAGGAAGTTCAGGGAGAGCATGAGAGTCGAGAGTGGTGAAAGATTCATGTATGTGGTGGGAGGGGAGATAAGATACATAGGTGGACTGAGTTGAGTAGCAGGCATGGGTTGAAGCTTAGCATTGGGGTGAATATGACAGATTTTTTGGTGTGTAATTTTTAGATAACATGTGATGCCTTCTGTTTTAGGCAGCATCAAAATGATCCCATGCCACAGTGACTATGTCAGAATGTCATTGACCCTGCCTCTGATGCGCTCTGATGGGCTTGCCTCTCTCTTTTCCACTTATATGCTTCTTTCCCAACTTCTGGATACCGATCAAATGTCAGGTCAGGTTGGAGTCACAGAATGTCATGCTTAGAAAGAACCTTAAAGGTCATACACTTCAGCAGTTCCCTAATCTCATACCTGGCCTGTTTTCAACATGCATATTCTTGTATTGCACTTCTCAGAGTTTTTTCATTTATTTGTTTGCTATGGAACCCCAAAAACTGCAATTAAAAAAATCTTCCCAATTGTTTTTTTTTAACCACTCTGCTTTGAGAAATCCAGATTAAATTCACCTGCTTCCATCCCACTTGATCCTATGCCTTCTACTCAATTCAGTCCACCTGTAAATCTTACCTCCCCTGTCATCACATACTTGAATCTCTCACCACTCCCTCCACCAGCAGGGCTCTTAGTCAGCCTAGGGATGGTGTTGATGATGGGGATGGGAGCTCATATGTACTGAGTGCTTACTAATGGTCAGTCATTGAGCTAAGGGTTTTACCTAATTTATCCCACTTAATATATATAGCAATCTCAAGAGACAAATAAGATTATTATCCTCATTTTCCCTTAAGTCATTGAATTTGCTGTGAACACACTCTTTTCTAGGTTTCTGCTCAGGTATTTCTCCCGTTGTGAGGCACTCCTGGCTACTCTGTGGTCTTGGTGATGTGCCTTACCTTTGTGCTGCTGCAACGTCTGTGCTAACTGGGGTTCTTCCATATATTATTGGGATGATAATACATTTAACAGCTGAGAGTGTGGAGTTACTCTGCCACTTCCTGGCAATGTGGCTCTGGGCAAGATAAACTTGCTCTGCACATTTTTTTTTCGTCTGTAAAATGAAGATTAAAATAGCACCTCCTCTTAGGTCTGATGTGAGGACCAAGGCACAGATGCATGTTAAACACTTAGAATAGAGCTGGGAAGAGAATAAATGTCCCACAAATGTTACCTATAATCTTATTATACCAAATTTTAACCGTCCATTTACTTGTCTTTCCCCTTTCATAGGCTATAAGCTTCTTGAAGGCAGAGATTATATCTCATTCAATCTTCTATCTCAAGTATCTACTGCAAAACCAAGCAAACGGTAAGAGCTCAATAATTGGTGGTTCTTCATGTCATCCTTATCTATAAAAGGGCTCAAAATAAAATATCATAAAGACATCCAGCCCACACACTTACTTATTTCTCTGAACATTTACAACATTTCTAAATGATACCACTCTACTGTCAATTAATAAGAATAATTTATTTTATTGTGATTTAATTACATGGTCCTATACATTTACTCACTGCTTTGCCTACCAGACAAACCTAGATTTGAACCTTGCTTGCTTGCTTCTCTTGCTCTCTGTGTGGCATTGGGCAAATCATTGCACCTCTTGGATCCTCATTTTTCTCATCTGTAAGATGGAGATGATATAATACATCTTCCTTGCAGAACGGTAAAAGGATTAGCAGTGTTGTGTGAAGGACATGTTGTACAGTGGCTGGGATGGAAAAGATGTCCAGGAAGAGGTACCTATGCTTTCTATTGCATGGAAGGAGTTCACCACAAATATTTGTTAATTTATTATCGGCCTCTGTTTAGTATAGTCATACGCCTCAGAGATATTGAGGGTCTGGTTTCAGATGACTACAATAAAGAGAATGTTACAATAAAGCAAGTCACACACATTTTTTGGTTTCCCAGTGCATATAAAAATTGTGTTTATGCTACACTGTAGTCTATTAAGTGTGCAATAACATTATGTCTAAAATGTACGTACCTTAATTTAAAAATACTTTATTGCTAAAATATGCTAACAATCATCTGAGCCCTTCTCGAGTCTTCATCTTTTTGCTGGTGGAGGGTCTGGCCTCAATGTTGATGGCCACTAACTGGTCAAGATGATGGTTGCTAAAGGTTTATGATGGCTGAGGCAGTTTCTTAAAATAAGACAACAATGAAGTTTGCTGCATTGATGAACTCTTCCTTTCATGAAATATTCCTCTGTATCACGTGATGCTGTTTGATAGCATTGAACTCAGAGTAGAATTTCTTTCAAAACTGGAGTCAATCCTCTTCAACTCTGCTGTTTGTGTGGTAAATGCACCTGATAGCATTAACTGAAACACACCCCGAGGATGACCGTGTGTGGTAGATGCACCTGAATGTGTTCTGAGCTAGGGAATCTGGGAGTGGCCAACCTGGAGATTCATTCCTTGCCTGTGAGGAACATCTGAGTCCTTGTCCCATCCCATGGAACATGGGCCATACAGGGGATTGAGACCCTGAGTTTTCCATTAAATAGAGGTTGCCAGGTGGAGGTCATTAAGGGGAGGGTATTAAGTGAAAATGCAGTGTAAACTGCATACTGTTTGCAAACTTTTGTGGCCTTCCTGTCCAGCCCACCACCACTGTACCATTTCTGTATGTAAGGCGGCTCCCCTGTCCAGCTCTCTGCTACTGAACCTCCCTTGTAAGTAATCCCCTAATAAACCCAACATCTCATTTGCTGGCTCTGGCTGTCATCTTCAGCTTCTTGAACAGGTGACTTGCCTATTGAGGTTAATAGGGGTTTGGCACAACACCATTGCTTTATCAACGAAGTTTATGCAGTATTCTGAATTCTTTGTTGTGATTTCAGCAATGTGCACAGCACCTTCATTAGGATCACCAGGAGTAGATTCCATCTCAAGAAAATACTTTCTTGGCTCCTCCATAAGAAGCAACATGTCACCTGTTTCAGTTTTATGAGGTTGTAGTAATTCAGTCACATCTTCAGGCTCCACTTCTAATTGTAGTTCTCTTGCTATCTCTGCCACATCAGCAGTTACTTCCTCTATTGACGTCTTGAACTCCTCAAAGTCATCCATGAGGGTTGGAATAAACTTCTTCCAAACCCCTGTTAGTCTTTTATTTTGACCTCCTCTCATGAATCACAAATGTTCTTAGTGGCATGTAAAATGGCAAATCCTTTCCAGACAGTTTTCAATTTACTTTGCCCCAATCCATCAGAGGAATCACAATCTACAGCCTTATGGAACATATTTCTTAAATATTAGGACTTGAAAGTTGAAATTACTCCTTGATCCATGAGCTGCAGAATGAATGCTGTGTTGGCAGGCATGAAAACGACATTCATCTTGTGCATGTCTGTCACAGCTCTTGGGTGACCACTGACGTTATCAATGAGCAGTAGTATTTTGAAAGGAATCTTTTTTTTCTGAGCAGTAGGTCTCAACAATGGGCTTAAAATATTTAGTAAACTATGCTTTAAAGAGATGTGCTGTCATCCAGGCACTGTTGTTCCATTTTGAGAGCACAAGCAGATTAGGTTTAGCATAATTCTTAAGGGCTCTAGTATTTTCAGAATGGTCAATGAGCATTGGCTTCCACTTAAAGTCACCAGCTGCATTTTAGCCTCTAATAAGTGAGTCAGCCTGTCTTTTGTAGCTTTGAAGCCAGACATTGACTTCTCTCTAACTATGAAAGTCTTAGATGGCATCTTCTTCCAGCATAAGGCTCTTTGATCTACACTGAAAATCTATTGTTTAGTGTAGCCACCTTCTTCAGTCTTAGCTAGATCTTCTGGATAACTTGCTGCAGCTTCTCCGTCAGCACCTGCTGCTTCACCTTGCACTTTTATGTTATGGAGATGGCTTCATTGCTTAAACCTTATGAACCAACCTCTGCTAGCTCTAACCATTTCTTCTGCAGTTTTCTCACCTCTCTCAGCCTTCATAAAATTGAAGAGTTAGAGCCTTGCTCTAACTTAGGGTTTGGCTTAAGGGAATGTTGTGGCCAGCATGGTTTTCTTTTGTTTTCTTTTCTCTTTTCTTTTGTTTTCTTTTCTCTTTCCTTTCCTTTCCCTTTCTTTCTTTCTTTCTTTCTTTCTTTCTTTCTTTCTTTCTTCCTTCCTTCCTTCCTTCCTTTCTTTCTTCTTTCTTTCTTTCTTTCTTTCTTTCTTTCTTTCTCTTTCTTTTTTCTTTCTGTCTCTCTCTCTCTCTCTCTCTTTCTCTTTTTTGCTCTTGTTACCCAAGCTGGAGTGCAATGGTGCGATCTTGGCTCACTGCAACCTCCGCCTCCTGGGTTCAAGTGATTCTCCTGCCTCAGCCTCCCTAGTAGCTGGAATTACAGGCACCTGCCACCATGACTGGCTAATTTTTTGTATTTTTAGTAAAGACAGGGTTTCACCATGTTAGCCAGGCTGGTCTCGAACTCCTGACCTCAGGTGATCCACCTGCCTCAGCCTCCCAAATTACTGGGATCATAGGCATGAGCCACAGTACCTGGCCGCCAATGTGGTCTTCTATCCAGACCAGTAAAACTCTTGATATTAGCAATAAGCCTGTTTTGGTGTCTTATCATTTGTGTATTCACTGAAAAAGCATTTTTAATTTCCTTCAAGAACTTTTCCCTTGCATTTATAACTTGGCTTTTGGCACAAGAAGCTTAACTTTTGGCCCATTTCAGCTTTTGACATATCTTCCTCACTAAGCTTAATCATTATTAGTTTTGATTTAAAGTTGGAGATGTGTGACTCTTCCTTTCACTTGAACACTTAGAGGGCATCATAGGTTTTTAGTCAGCCTAATTTCAATATTGTTGTATTGCAGAAAATATGGAGGCCCAAGGAGAGGAAGAGAGACAGGTGAATGGGTGGTTGGTGGAGCAGTCAGAATACACATGTTTATTGATTAAGTTCACCATCTTATATGGACATGGTTAATGATGTCCCAAAACCATTACAAAAGTTGTATCAAAGATCACTGATCACAGATCACTGTAATAGGTTAAATAATAATGAAAGACTTTGCAATATTGTGAAAATTACCAAAATGTGACATAGAGACATGAAGTGAGCATGTGCTGTTAGATAAATGACACCTATATTGGGGAAGAAGAAGTGGGGAGGGGTGAAGGATAAATAACTAAACATTGGGTACAATGTACACTACTCGGGTGATGGGTGCACTAAAATCTTAGACTTCACCATTATACCATTCATCCATGTAACCAAAGACCACCTGTACCTCTAAAGCTATTGAAATAAAAAATATTTATGAAATAAACTAAAGAAAAATGGCACCTATAGACTTGTTCTATGCAGGGTTGCCACAGATGTTCAATTTGTTAAAAAGAAAATTTGCAGTATCTGAAAACTACAATAAGGAGAAGCACAAAAAACAGGGTGTGCCTGTGATTTTCATTGACAGGAAAACTCTTTTTTTTTTTTTTTGAGATGGAGTCTCGCCCTGTTGCCCAGGCTGGAGTGCAGTGGCGCGATCTCGGCTCACTGCAAGCTCCACTTCCCGGGTTAATGCCATTCTCCTGCCTCAGCCTCCCGAGTAGCTGGGACTACAGTGCCTGCCACTACGCCCAGCTAATTTCTTGTATTTTTAGTAGAGATGGGGTTTCGCCGTATTAGCCAGGAGACATGAAAACTCTTTCGGGCCTGAAATCTTTTGAGTCAAATTTCCTGAAGAGCTAGTATGGTTGAATTGTGTGCCCCTAAAACATGTGTTGAAATCCTAACTCCCAAAACCTCAGAATGCGACCTTTTGGGAAATAGCATTGTTGCACATGTCATTAGTTAAGATGAGGTCATTCTGGGGTAAGGTGGCTCCTAATTTGATGTGACTGGTGCCTTATAAGAAGAGGAGAGAGAGATGCAGGGAGAACGCCATGTGACAACACAGGCAGATTGGCATGACCTGGCTGCCAGCCAAGGAACCCCGGGGACTGCTGTCACCAGCAGATGCTCGGGAGAGGCAAGGAAGGATTTTACCCAGAATCTCACGGGGAGCATGGCCCTGTTAACACCTCGGTTTTGGAGTTCTTGCCTCAAGGACTGTGAGAGAATACGTTTTAAATTGCTTCAAGCCACCTAGTTTGTGGTATTTTGTTATGGCAGCCCTAGGAAATGAACACAACTACTATGCTAAACTTAATGAGCATGTTTAGCTACTCTACAAAAGTAGCTTTCTTAGAGTTACTCTAGAAAAAAAGAAATATTTGTATTACTCATGAAAATGAGCACCTTGAGGTTTTCCACAGGTGATGGATTTTTCTATCCTAGACATGATTATAGCTATAGAATGACTGGCTGACTTCCAGGGGAAAGAGAGAGAAAAAAAACCACCCTATTCAGAGGTTTTTTTTTCCCCTGAACTTCCAAACTTTTTGTAAAGAAGTTTGGGTCCCAGGAGGATCAAAGAGCTTTCAGTTATAAGATAAGAAAATTCTGCTTGCATTTACTATTTATGAGTTGTGGCTTCATATTGTCACGTGACCACATGATGCTTTGCTTTTAAGAACCTGCAAATGACATGAGATTCATTATTTTTTCATGTAAAGAGGATGATGGCAAGCTCTGCTGTGTAATACACAACCAGCCTATCACTCTTGCTCTAGAATTGATATTAACATTGTCCATTTAGAAATTAGTGGACTACACACCATATTCATGAACATAATATTTGACACACAGGCAATATTTGATGGATAGAGCGTTCAAGTGTTTAATTGCAGTACATGATTCATGGGAAAATCTTCAACTCTGAGTTATTTATTTCCTGGTACTAAACTCAGGAGCATAGTTTTCCAAGGAAAGCACACATCTAATAAGGAAACCCATTAGCTTTGTTCTCATATTTCTCCTCCAACAAGGGGGCTGCTACCATTTGTGCTGCTACGTTTGATTCAATTTCTCAGTGCAAGCAGAATGAAATTGAAATAGTCAAATAAGTTGGAGTAAATACTAAAAATTAACCTTATAGTAATCCAAAGTGTCCTAGAAAATAATTTATTTATTTATTTATTTTGAGACGGAGTCTCGCTCTGTCGCCGAGGCTGGAATGCAGTGGCGAATTTGTATGTATTTCTAAAAAGCCTTTCTTCTGGGGGGAAAAAAGTTTTGTGTTTCAGTCTGAAATACTGCTAATTGGAAACCCAGTCCTGTCATGGAAATGCTGCTATGTCCTGTTTTTTGCATACATTCAATGCTAATGTGTCTCTCCTGGCCTCAGCTTCAAGGAATGTCTTAAGCTATGAAATGATGAGCTTCCTCTCTTTTTGTTGGAAGCAATTCCACATTTCCTTGAATCAGTTTTTGGCTCAGGTTACTACTGCACAGTTATGACTATTTTTAGTGTTTTTTTTTTCTTTTATACTTTAACATGTTCCCCAGAATTATTCTAAAATAGCTGAATGATCATATAATTATTTTCTCTTCTTGTGAAATTCATCTTCCATTGCTTTTGGTGTTATCTCTGTTCTCTAAAACATTGAATAAAGGACATTCATTCATTCATTCATTCAACTATTGTCTACCACTGGAATTGGCGAACAGAGGCTTTCTGCCTGTATCTGTACCATTTGCAGGCTAAGAATGCTTTTTACATTTTTAAATGATTGGGAAAAAATTGAAAGAAGAGTAATATTTTGCGACACATGAAAATTACATGACATTCAAATTTCAGTGTCCATAAATGAGGTTTTATTGGAACAGGGCCACACTCATCTGTTTGCTATTGCTTATGGCTGCTCGTGGCCTGGAAAAACCTCATGGCCAGTCTAGTAACTCAGGACTTCTGCCTCCTTCTCATGGCTCCAAATTTACCAGCACTGCCTCAAGGGCTGTTGTTCCTATGATGTGCCACTGCCTTGATCTATTTCTCTCTGGTCTACCCAGCCCCTTTCATGTGATACCCCAGTAGGGCTCTGCATGACTTGAACCCAAATTTTCCTTTCAGGGTAGATCAGCAGCTCATCAGCTAGCTGTATCCACATCCCCATCGAGCCTCATCTGCTGGTTTGGCATCCCACATACTCTCTGTCTGGAAGGCGAGCTTGGACAATGATGAAATAAAAGTTACTATTTAAAAAAAAAAAAAAGAGAGAAATGGCTCTCAAGTTGAATTTCTCTAATCTTGCATTTGTTTAGCTGATTTTTTTTGAAGCTTAAAGGTAGGAGCTTACTTTCATAATTGTTAAATTTCTTCTGATTAGTTTTGGCCCAGTATAGCTGTCTGTGGAGATGTTTTTGAAACTTTATTTTCTTGGCCATTATACTGCTGTCTTTCTTAGAGTTGTCTGTTCTAAAGATTTTTTTGTTTGTTTGTTTGTTTGTTTTGCAGACATGTGTTCTGCATTTTAATCTGATGTATTGATCAAATGTTTAAGAGCAGTGATCCCTAAACAGAACTTTGTGTCACTATCCGAGAGACTTCTCTCCAATTCAATATTAATCTATTAAGTAACATTCATTAGGAATGATTTTTTAAATAAATGCTAATATCCATAACAATACGTGATTATAGAAGATTGTCATATGTTTTATAAAATTAAGATAAACTGTGTCTAAGCCCTTCCTTTGCTCTAAAAGCTTAGAAGTTCTCTTCAGGCTCTCGGTGAATATAGCAGAGCCAAAAGAGAAATTTTTGGAGTCAGAGCAGAGTTCAAACTCTGTGTCTTCCACTTCATCTAGGGAAGGGCTTCTCTACACCTCAGTGTGGTGGTGAGGGTTCTGTGGAATGAGGGGTACGCTAATAAAGCAATTACATACACACATGGCATTACTAATAGATTCTCCTATAAATGGTAGCTTTAATTATTACCAGTAATAAAATTATAAAGAAAGAAATGAGGTTAGCTTAGGGCAACTTATTCTCAGTAAATTCACACTGGCATCCAGTGGAGAAGAAATTTGTTTCTAAATATCCATATATCATTTTTTGATCATTGGTTCTTGTGGTTTGCATGGGTTTAATATCATGTATACTGTCCTGGGGTTTCTGCCGTCTATTCTTGGCTAAAGTTTGTTATCCCACATTTCTGACTCCAGTCCTTGTCAAATCTCCTATATACTGAAATTCTTAAATATTACTAATGGTCTTTTTATTTTCAGACCCCCTAGTCCTGCGTATAATTTTTTTGAGCATGTGAATATGAACACATGGAAGCAGCCAGATATTTCTGTATAATCTCCTGTGAGGCTTCTCTTCAGCTGAAAAATTGGATATGGGGTTAAGAGCTCTGGATCAGGAGTAAAAACCTCTAAATACTGGTGTTAATTTGCTTCTTAACTAGCTGTGTGACCTGAGATGGGCTGTTTAACCTCTCTTAACACTAGTTTTATTCCTTGGTAAAAATAATTGGTTTCTACCAGATGCTGTCCACGAGTTCCTTCTTGTTCTAAAATCTCATAATCATAAGCAATCTATTCAGAATATAAGAGAAACCCTTTGAAATGTTTATAGGGAGGGAACATGCATGGAACTATTCAGTAAACATACAAGTTTCCTGTAATGACTGAGAAAATTGTGGTGGCATGTATATTCTGTAGGAATTCAGAGAAGAGAGGGATTTATGGGTGTCATATTTTTGGGAATGGATTATCTGGAAGAAGTATAACCAAAAGAGAGAATAGAGATGGAAAAGGGTTGATATCGGAGATTGTTTTTAATTCTTGCAAAATGAAGATAAACTGTATCTAAGCTCTTCCCTTGCTCCAGAAGCTTAGAAGTTCTCTTCATGCTGTCTGTGAGTATAGCAGAGTCAAAAGAGAAATTTTTGGAGTCATACAGACCTTGGTTCAAACTCTGTGTCTTCCATTTCATCTAGGGAAGTGCTTCTCTACACCTCAGTGTGGTGGTGAGGGTTCCGTGGAATGAGGGGTGCGTCAATAAAGCAATTACATCTTGTTGATGTTTTAATCCTCTCCAGGATGAATGTTAGTATAAGATGGCTGCCGACCACTCTTTAGAATACTGCCTTGACCTGATCTCAGAAATGGGCAAGATGGTGCCAATTATTTCCGAGCACACCATTTTGAGACAATATATAATTTTAGTTGGAGTGAAACAACATTCAACAAGTATAGCTGTTTTGAAGTGGTCCTCTGGCCTCAGAAAATTTCTGAGTATTTCTTTTTAGCAACTTTTGAAGGCAAACAACTCAGATAATTGCTACTAAGTTTTTGTTTCTTAATGTTCAATCAAGGTTGAGAGAAAAAACTGTGGAGTAGTAGATGGCATCAGCTTAGGGTGCTCTTTTGAGGGATGCAATGAAATATGATGGTTGGGCATATAGGTTCTGGACACACTGGTTTTAACTGAATAAAGTTAGAGAAGTAACTTAACTTTTTTACCTCAGTTTCTTCATTTTTAAAATGGCCTTAATATAAAACCCATCACTATTTTGTTAGGGTGAAATGTGTTATTACCTACAGAGCTTACACTAGTTGTTGGATTAAAGTAAATGCCTACTAAATCTCATTTATTATTATTCTTAGAGTTTTTGTATGCTCCCACAAATGCATTCACATGTCGTTAAAAGAAAACAGGACTTTATGAAAACTGATGAAACATACTTATGAAATAGTATGAAATGAAAAGGAGAAATGTGAAAAATTCTGGGGGTTTCTCCAGGCATAAATTATGATACATGGGACCATTATATATCCTCCTTTATGTATAGGAGGAATGACTGGCCTCTCTGACAGTCAGTCCCATCACATCTCCTTACTTTTTGAATTGAAAATTGTTATGCAATTTTTAAAAAAGATCTTAGAATTTTGAGTGACCTCTCTGGACCTTAGAAATCATTGTATCATATGACTCTAATCAGTGATTTTATCATTTAAGATTAATTTGTTTATTATCATTGGAATGTCAAAATCTAAACATCGTTTTGCCTAACTTGTGAATTCATTTTAGTAGATCAACTGTGTAAAGGATTTCATTATACAATAAAATAATAGGAAATCTGTTTTAAAATGATTAAAAGGATTAGCTAAAGATGAATGTATTCCTCTAGGAGTTTCTGGCAGAAAAAAAAAAACACATTATTCCCATTAAATGGGTGTAATAGATCTTCCTCTTTCAGAATTTCTGCAACTCTTTCATCTTGCATTAACTCAGCTGTGGAAATCAACACCCAAAGGATGTAGTAGGGTGAGACATAACATGTGGGAATGAAGAAAGCATAAAAGGCATTTAAAAAACTAGGGGTACTGAGTAGAAAATTCATCTGCTACTGCAGGGAATCAACTAACTCATAAAGTGCTTCGTGCATTCTTCATTCTGTAGCAGAATTAAAAGCTAGTTCTTCAACTCTTTGTTTTCTTTTTGAAGGCTTCTGACAATCAATTCTCTGTCCACTCTTTTTTTTCCTCTCTCTCCATAACAATTGTTACTGGGGACAAAATAGGGTGCTGGAGGGGAACAGTAAAAAGAAATAATGGTTTGAACTTAGTTCAGTGTACGTTTAGTATAAGGAAGGAAAGCTCTTGGATGGTGAAGAGTGCTTATGCAGTGAAAGGCTCTTTGCTTGGTATATTTAAAATGGGATTAAGTAAAGTACTAGAAAACACATGCCATGCAACAATGCCACTTTGGCAGGAAGATGGCTTAGAGGCCTCCATAGAGGTTTTCCATCTTAAAGTTCTCTATTTTGGTAGCACAAGACATTAGTTCATCAAATGGTGGAGTGGAAATATTGTTTGCTTATGCAAACCGGCTAGATTTGAAGAATTGAAAACACAGCCAATAAGGAGCTACGACACA
Source organism: Homo sapiens (assembly GCF_000001405.40). Classification (NCBI taxonomy): domain Eukaryota; kingdom Metazoa; phylum Chordata; class Mammalia; order Primates; family Hominidae; genus Homo; species Homo sapiens. Next base: position 3,767,258 of record NC_000003.12, on the reverse strand, counting down.
ATGGTTTGTGTACAAAACTAAAAGACCTTGGTTTCACAGTGAGCCTCTTGCTGGCTGCCAGGCTTAGTTCTCTTCCAGGTAGGAAGTCACCTGTGAATTGATTAAATGTGGATAGACTCAACTTTGTTTATAGAGTTGGATGACACTGTAGAGAAGACACATGCAAGTATTTGTCACCAAAGTATTTATTTGTCAATCATTCTCTACTGTCTTTTTTTTTTCCCTCTTGAAATACAACTTGGCCTTCTCTGCAAAACCCATTTTTTTCTACTTGAAGGACAGATCATAGTTGAAAAGACACAACAAATTCCACATACTATCCTTCCACAAAAGGATTCAAAACCACTGAGTATCATGGAAAACAAATTTTTATAACCTTTTCAAATGTTTTGACTTGTAACATCCTTATGTTGGACTTAATTTTCACCTCCTGCCTGATTATCCATCTTCACCTTGACAGGAAGAGCGTGTTCTGCTCTGTGATCTTCTCTCTTAAAATGAGTGTGAAAAGTAAAGGCCACCTGTTACCATTTAGAAGTACAGTTTTTCTTTAAATCCACTTGACATTTCAAGCCTTCACATTTGCTACTTTGCAATAACATTTTCCTTTATGGACTATGTGGTTTCTAGAATGGTGCCATGTGGGTCAAAATCTAGCCAGGAATGAATGGTGTTAAAATCCCTAAGCTTGAGGTTGTTTTAGGTTTTCATCTCCTACAGGGGAAAGATTATACTATGTCCTTATGCAGAAATACATGAAGCAGATTTCTTCTTATATACCAGGTCTGATGAGTTGGAAATGACTGCCTGGATGGCTGCATTGAGATTGGCTATTTATGGACAGCCAAGAAAAAGTCTGCACCAATTTGGGATGTGTGTCCTGGGTTAGGGGTTGGGCAGTGTCCTGTATTAGCCTTTCCTTCTTTAGAAGCCTCTTCCAGGATGTCACTGCTATACTACACACCCCCACATTTTTAGCTGAGAAAGTAGCATGGCCATGGGTGTGTGGCAACAACTTCTGCCCTGCTCCTTCCTCCTCTTTCCCCTATATACTGCCTTAGACTGATGGATATTCGATCCCTGTGCATTTTCCAAACAAAGAGGGACAATTACTGGCCTGGATTGAAAAGCCCAGGCAATGTGATATGTGCTCATCAAGATAAACATATATCTGCAAGCCTTCCCTCTGAGCCTTAGGGGGGTCTTAGTCACCAAAGAAGTGCAGGTTGCAGCAGTATTTGCTCTTGGTGAATTTTCAGAGGCTAGGGTAATTCCACAGCCTGTAAATGGAGACAAGCTTCAGGCTGCAGACTGGGCAGCAGTTGTGGGCAGATAAGAGTGTGTCGTTCCATGCCAGAGGTTAATGGGAATTGTCAGTGTGGTGGTGATTTTTCCAATCCTTTGTTCTCATTTTGACAGAGGTTGTGGTCTGAGCCAAACCTAGGATCCTATTTCCAAGAACACCTGTTGCTTCATGGATCAAATGTAAGAGATCCTTCTTGGGAACTCCTATTCCAAATAGCACCATGTCTGTCCGTCGCATACTGTCTACATTCCTGACATACGCTTTCCCCTGGCTGAGCCTTTGGTCACCAAATGGCTAATCTCTTTGCTGCATGTTGTTTTCTTGCAAAGCTTTAAAAATATTTATTTCCTTTTTGTTTCTGAGTAGTATATAAATATACCTAGAAATATATTTCAAGTCAGCACTTAAGTCTCTCTGCCGGCTTTAGCAGAGAGTTCTGTGTAATAATAATCCGTGAAGTAATCAAAGTTCAAGTTTATTTTAATATTTATATTTAGAATACAATCAATCAAATGCACATAAACACACCCACTCAGTACCCAAGTCTCCTCTCTCTCCATGACCGGTCTTCATGTGAGTCCAAACCCGGGAAAACCTGGCCCCTGAAATTATAAATCATTTGTACCCAGTCACTGAATGACTTGCATTAGTTTTCAGTAGATTTTTTTTCCTTCAGCTTATCTGAATAGCTGCAAATTACTTCTATTATTTTTAAAATGAAAATATTTAGTGGACCAATCTATAACATGACAGGTTCCATTTAGCCTAAAGAGAGCAATTTACAATAATAAGATCGTTTCACCTGGAAAAGAGAAAGGGCATCTTGAGAAAGTAAAAAGTCTTGTTGGCTTTGTTTTAAAGGTATTAGCATTGTGTTATTTGTTATCTCCTACAATAATGCCATATCCCACTTATTGAGTGTTCACCATGTGCCAAGCGTTGAGTTAATTTTGCATGCATGATCAGACTTAATCTTCACGGAAATTCCTGAGGCAGTTATAGATTTCTAGTTGATGGATGAAGATACTGAGTTGGAGTGAGAAAGGTGATAAAGCAGCTTACCAGAGGTCACACAGACAAGACGTTGAACTAGAATTTGAACTTAGGTCTTTCTGCTTCCAATGTCCTTGTTCTTTCCTGCTTCCCAATAAAGCAAAAGACCTGGCCTTCGAGCAAACAGTGTTGAGAGATCTCTTTCCAATTATTTAATATCTCAAGTCTTCTTAGTTTTCTGGGCTTGCCTAAGATCTTGAATATAAGTGTCCCTAACAAAAACGAGCCCTTGGTGAGAAGGGTATAGTGAGGGTCCATATCTCCTGGCCATCTAACTCAAGACATTTTCTGGATTTCACCACCTCTTGATAGGAGGTATGACATTGGCAAACCATTTCATAAGACCTTCCTTCGATCACCCTTCCTAGCCACCTTCCATCCTGCCCTCTTTTGTTGCAAAACTCATCTGCAGAGACCAAATCCCTCCTTAACATTTTATTGCACATTGTTTTGTTTTTTATCATGTTTCCCCAAATAGAACCTCTGTCCCTGGAGAAGAAGACTTTATTTCACTCACTGTTGTATCCTCAGTACCTAGAATAGTGTCGTCCATAGTAAACCCTTGCTAAATATTTGTGGGATGAGGGAATGAAAACATAAGGCTTAGTTAGACGGTTCCATTTTCTTGTGCTCATAGGCATTTGAAATTTAGCCAAGAGCCTCTCTCTTTCACATAGCGTATATGATGAGCTGTGGATACATTTTTATGTACTCTCGGGTTTTTGTTTTATAAAATAATTTAATGCATCATTAGTATAGTAATGTTTCATATTCAGGACATATCTATCTGTAAGCCCTGTCCTTTTGAAAACTCAAGCCAATTTGTAATTAAATACGCTTCAGAAATATTGCTGTGATTTATCAAGCAACATCACAGAGCTTGAAAAACATGTTTTCCTCACCTACCCTCTCAAAATGCAAAAAAAAAAAAAAAAAAACCCCATAAAAGATCCATTCTGTTGCATTGCTTGAGCTTTCTGTGAAACCTTTGAAACATTCATTACATTTAGGCAGAATGTGTACATGTTATCTCATGTCAATAGGTCCAGATTTCCCAAGTCCAAAAGGTAGAGGAGAAGAAACTCATGCTTCTACCAGGTTTTGGTGGCTTTGAAGGAGAGAGGAAAAATAGTTCTAGGGTTTTCTGGCTTTGGCTATTCCCTCTGCACAGCAGGATGTTTAAGGATTGGGAGTCAGGCTGCATTACAAACCTTCACAGGAAGCACTATTTACAACGGTGTTAAGTGTCAAATGGTTAAGAAAGTCCATGAGATCTTGTTGCTGGAGAGCAAGCTAGGAAGAAAATCTTTTTATATTCCTAATGTTAATGGAAATGATCTTTCTTGCACTTGGATAAGGGGGGAAATATTTCCTCTTATTTTACTTGCAGAAAGGGGGGCAATTCCCATATTTCATAAAGCCAGTGCATATCAAGTGATCTTCCCTGCTTATGTAGATGACTTATTCTTTTTTTTTTTTGTTTTTTGTTTTTTTGAGACGGAGTCTCGCTCTGTCGCCCAGGCTGGAGTGCAGTGGCGTGATCTCAGCTCACTGCAAGCTCTGCCTCTTGGGTCCATGCCATTCTCCTGCTTCAGCCTCCTGAGTAGCTGGGAGTAGATGACTTATTCTGAAAGGATTTTTCTCAGCCTTTCAGCAGGACTAGACATTCCACTGCCTTTTCTCACCTCCCCATTGTAAGCTTTTGATGTGTGACTCCTTCAGAAAGATCCAAATTCTCATTGACTACTTTTAAGTTAAAGTGTTTACTTAACAGCAAATGATCAATGTTGAGCTAAACAGGGAAGAAATCATCTGTATAGTTACATTTCTTTATATCTCCCAGCACATGTTTGCCTATTTTAAATGCTAACGTGGCAAGCTATGTTGGATAAGCATTCTGGGGTGTCCATGTGTTCGTTATTTTGCAGCATAAAGTGGAGATACTCAATCTTCGAAAATTGCTTTCTGAGATTGGATACTGTATCGTGTCTCGTAACTCATATTTGTTCTTAATAAAAAGGCATTACCCGAGGAATATTCTTGTTATTGCTGGATCAACTCGTTACGAGAAAAGTGGGTTAAGATATATTGACATTTATTCTTTTGGGAAAAGCTGTTCGTGTGTGTGTGTGTGTGTGTGTGTGTGTGTATGTGTTTATTATGCAGCTATTTAACAGTTAGATTGATGTCTTTAGAAAAGGAATGGCTCTTTTACAAGAAAGTCAAGTGTTAAGGGCATGACATGTCAAGGAAGGCAGATCTGGATTTGATTTTTGACTTTAGTTTTCCAGCTTTGGGCAAGTACTTAATCCTGCTATGCCTCCACTTACTTCCTCATCTACGAAATTGGAAAAATAATAACACCAGGTTTAACACAGATTTAGTATGAAGTTTAAATAATTGATTTGTGTAAAGCACTTACTACAAAGCTGAGCACATACTAAGTCCTCAGTTTATGTTAACTTTCGTTATTAGTTCAGTTGGCAAGTGAACAGACAGTGATGCAGACCAGGATTTGGAAAGGGATGGTCAGTGCCCTGTGGGTCCTAATTAATTAATGTTACATCCCCAGGGAAAACTGCTTTGAGTCCCTAAGTTAAGGTAAGCAGCCTCTGGTATACACTTTCATGGCATCTTGTACTTTTTTCTTTATCACAGTTTTAAGACATTATTGGTATGATTATCCACCTAGGGGCTGATAGGGGATGAAAGGCACCCTATCTATTTGGTGCACTGTCCACAGTGCCTGAAACAGAGTGGATGCTCAAACCCATTTGGTGAGTGGACGGACGCATTCAACAAAGAGGTATGAGGAGACCTTGTGTCGCCAGGACCTTCGTAAATGAATGAATGAAGGAAGGAAGGAAAAGAAGGAAAGAAGGAAGGAAGGAAGGAAGGAGGAAAGAGAGGGAAGGAAGGAACTCTCCTGACTTATCTGGCTGCTCTTTTTTTGTGTCCTATCCTGGCTCTTTCTACTTTGCTTGATGTCTAATTGTATTTAGAGTATTTTAGATGTGAAAGTTAGGAGTAGAAATGGCAGATTATCACATGTGATTCTAGGTCTGGAGAACTGTCTTATTGCTTGATTACATGACCATTCTAGAGTCTGCACATTTTTAATCAAGTTTACCCTTAAGCTGCCTCCTTGCATAGCTTAAGTTCAGCCTAAAGGTTTGTCTTTATATTGTGAGCTATAACCTAAATGGAATTGTAAAGAAACTGTAGTCTACTGTTGTACCAATCACTGAATTTTGGCCAATCAAAGGTGACCAAGAGTTCAAACTGTGTTTAAATAAGGGAAATGCAGAGCTGTAACCAATATGGCTATTTCTGTGCCTTGCTTCCATTTTCTGTATATCACTTTCCCTTTTCTGTCCATAAATCATCTTCCACCACATGGATGCACTGGAGTCTGAACCTACTCTGGCTCCGGAGGCTGCCCAATTGATAAATCGTTCTTTGCTCAACTGAACTCCTTTAAATTTGATTTGGCTGAAGTTTTTCTTTTAACAGCAGCTTAGAACTGAAGAAACATGGTTCTCGAGGGCTTGAAATAGGTTCTGTCTCTTCATTGTGCCTTGTACCATCTAAATTCCCCATTTGGCGATGGTTTCTACAAGCATGCAGTAACTTGAGGATATTCGAGCAATTGGTTTCAGTACATCAGTTTTCAGTAGAAACAGCATGTTTCATGCACATAGGGGCCAGACATAAACTAGTGAACCTGGCTGGATGGGGACAGTGGCAAACTGGAGACAAGTGCCCTATTCCAGGGGCAGCCCCCACTCAGTTCTGTTGATTTTTGCCAATGAGGGCCCAATATTACCAAATCTTCCAGTTTTTCAAGAGAAGCTAGACATCTACCTTTCTATGGGCAATCCTCCAATTTAAAAATGTTATCAGTTAGTTAATTCATTTTTCATAAAAAAATTATATGGTCCAAACCAACAGTTCTAATGCCTCAATGCAGCCTATGGGAACCTGTACAGACAGCTATGTCTGTACAATCCTAAATCACATACTGCTAAGTGAAAAAAGAAAATAGTGTCCTAAGGAATGTGAAAAAGCTACTTCAAAAAATGTCTGCAAAGAGTTGGGGTGCAGAAGATAGAAACACAGGTTTTAAGTTCATGGATCTGGGCATGAGTCCTAGATCTGCCACTCACTAACAGTATGACCTAGGGTATATTATTTACCCCCTCTGGGATTGCTTCTGCTACGATGCCTTAATTTCCTGGGGGTTTATTTAATAGAGAGGAATAAAAATGTTTATGTATACTTTATAAGATGCTCAATTTATTACATGAAAATATACAGATCTAATAAACAAAATTTGAAATATCAAATGGAACATTTAAAAGTTACTACAAATGCAATTCATTAAATTCTCCTAGAATATACAAATTAAAATTAGAATTTTAATGTGGCTGAAACGTTTGAACACTATAAATACCTTAAAGTAGACAAAATAACTATAATTGTAATGTTTACTAAACTTATTCCTATAATTATACTATTCAAAATAATCTATGCTCTGATTTATTTCTTTATTATTCCTACATATGTTTTTAAATAGCTTTATAGGGTTATAAAAATATTTGTTTTAATTTAACCTGAAAATTATACTAGAATTTATGTTGATGCCATCCCAGGATTATAAAGGTTTTCACTGATTCAAGAAACAAACAAACACCCAATACTTTCTCATATTAACCAACATAAGATCTGGATTAACAGCCAGCTGATTTCTGATCTATGTAGAATTGCTCATCCCAAAATGATTCAAAACTGAGCCACTGATCATTTGAAGAGGTTCCTTATAAAACTCTACTCTATTTGTTATACCAGTGAAATAGTTTTAATCTTAGGTTTTCCCACCGGTTTATATATTTGCAAGTT